>NC_000003.12:76260000-77510000 GCF_000001405.40 Homo sapiens
ACAATAGAGATCTTTATTGATAAAAATAAATGACAAGGTTATTCTGGATTCCTAAAAAAGTCCAGACCTAGACAACACATTTGTCAGTTTTTATGTAAAGCTGAAACCATAGAAAGTATCACCCTGCAGAAAAGTGCAATGCTGGTCCAGGTGAGGAGCAAGGATAAGTGTATGCGGAATCCCAGTGCTGATATGCGAGAGCCACATGAACTTGTGGATGGTTCTAGAGAGATGCAGTCACTTTAGTAAATGCAAAAGGTGAACATTTACTCTAATTTATATAAATCCCATAGGGCTGATGTTGTTTAGTATGGGAGGTAATGACCATGGAAGTAGAAAAGAAAATAATAAAAACTCATATTCTAGAAGTCAAAGGAGAAAAAAAGTTCTCTACAATGATCGGTGATATTACCAACATCTACAGAGGTCAAATTTGAGGAAGACTAAAAATACATCTTTGCTTTGATTAATATGTGGAAATTGGAAATATTTCAAGATCATTTTCATTTTCATTTCAAGATCATTTCATTTGATCATATTTCAAGATCATTCATACCCTCATTGGTGAGGGTATGAATCCAAATAGAATGGATTAAAAAACCGATAGTGTCAAATATATGTTTCTTAAAGATAAAATCAGGATTTATACAAATATAAAACAGACCTATATCAAAGTTTTTATTTAATTCATTAATTAATGAATGAACCAGTAAGAGAGCACAGTTAGTTCAAAAACAATTTCAAAGGATCGCACAATAATGCTGAAATGAATTTACCATCACACACAATTTGCATTTTTGTTAGTGTTCTACATCTTACAGAATTATGAAGTAGCTCAAAAACAGTGAAAGATAGCAATAAACCTGAATGGTCCACTAGAAAGAATCTCATACTATTTTTTTCCTGTTTCCAATTTTTTCCCACAATTTTCATAAAATAGGATATAAGGAAATATTGAAAGTGAGGGTAGAAAAAATGTAGGGCTTCAAGACTAATTTTTGCAACGTACTGTAGTAAGAAAGATACTGAAATGGGAGTTGGGGAAGGAACAACTAGATAATTGTATGATTTTGAGATTTAATTCAACTTTCAGTCTGAATTTCTTAACTACAAGGGGAGTTTCAACAGAACCTTAGTTGTGCTCAAATTTTTCTTTTAAACTAAATTATGTGTGTGTGTGTGTGTGTGTGTGTGTGTGTGTGTATATATATATATAAATGACAGCTTCCTATGAATTCTAATATAAAGAGAGCTCTTCTGTTTGAAGTGGTGGAAGAGAACCTAGGGTACCCTTCCTTCTTTACCTGGAGAGTCTTTACCTGGAGACTCTTTACCTGGAGAGTCTTGTGTCAGTTTTCAGAACCAAAATTTTAATTTCTTATATGATTTTAAGGGTGGCACAAATTTTTCTCCTTCAGATAATACTATGTGCCATTTTTTTGGGGGGGAACTATACTTGCTCTCAGAGTTTAAAGTTATGTTCACAATTTGGATTTAATATACAATTATGTTATTTTGTTGTATAACCAACACCCCATCTCCAACATGCCCAAGTTGACTCTAAGGGATGAAATACAATTTAAAATCTATTTAATCATATGTAAATTAAATTAATGAAAAAATTTAGCATAAAAGAATATAAATAAGTCTAAAATTATTTTAATTGTACTATTTGGTGCTATATTAAATAAGCCCTCTCCTCATCGTAGAAAAAATACTGTGTGCATTTTTTTAGTAGATTGTATGTATTAGAATGTATTTTTCATGCATGATATACTTGATATATTCTATTTGAAATAGCAATTCCTGGTATACTATTTATATTTCATAGTAGGTAGTACTTGAGAAAGACCATCATATAATTGGTGAAGAAAATGATATGAAAGTATTTTATAGAACAGGTAGCTTTCTTTTAGATCCACATTATATACGATTTTTGGAGGAGATGTATAGCATGGCTCATTGAAATACAAAGATACTTTTAGAAATTATTTTTATTTAATTGTCTTTATGCAGAGCATGCTTGTTGTCACATTTAGAAGCCTGTCACGTGGTGGAAGGTGAATTGTCACATTGTTCTAATCAACAGAGCTATGCCAATACATTTTCTACTTCAGTCTCTCTTACCTTTGCATATACGTCTCCTACGTTGCCTTATATTTTATACTTCAGTAAACTAGACAATTGTATTTAAAAGCTAAATCCAGAACATTTAATACTTATTAAATATTATAATGTAGTTAGTATGAAAGAATATGAGTATTTGGTGACTTACATAAAATTTAACGAGCTTTGCTTTTTTTTTTCCCCATCAATTCATTTACTAGGTGATTTTACTCTGAGATAATGCCAAAAGGTAGATGACACATTACAAAATTTGAATTTCCATGCACTGTCTGCTTTTTCAAAGGACAGAGGTAAAGTTTTTCTGGACCAAGAACACAGCAAAAGTACATAAAATGGAAAAGGTTGTTTTCATTGACTTTGACACAGCTGAGTTTCTGGCTTTGGTAGAACCTTGGGTCTTATTTTTCTGGACTGCTCCTTTACTCTCCATTTTGTTACCTTTGGTCCCCCTACTTATATACTTGGGGTTGTCCCTAAAGCTGGATGTCAGCTTTTCTAATCTCCCACATGTAATATTTGAAAAAGTTAAACTTATTGCAGACAAATTGGGAAAAAGTATATTCCCTGATAGTCTTCAAGAATCTCAGGCTCTAAAAACGTATTACAAACTCAGATGTTTCCAGGGGTCATAAAAGGTAACAGAAATGTAACCAGATCAAGTTTAAGAAACAATAGAGAATAATCAGGACTTTGGGCTAACTACAGAGCAATTATGCTTGGTAGGGCACAGCTACTGCATACTTCTACCAAATTGGTTCCAAATCTTCTAAAAATTTAAAAAGTTGGAAATTCAAGTTTTTATATAAAATCTCTTGGCTGTTAAATATTGGCAACTACTTTAGAGCAGCAGCAACCACATCACACAAGCTATCTCTGCTTGCCAAACTCAACATGCCATCAGTACCAGATAGGATTGATAGACCCAAGAAATCTCCCGAATATTGTATTTCAATCATCCATGTAGCCACATTCCTAGCCCTCAGTAAGCATTGTTCTCCTGGTTACTACTTAACTGTAATACTAAAGTGCTTGCTTCTCCTCTTTCTAAATAAATTTCACACAGTTGCAAAAATCACCAACAAGCACCGTTGAATCATGGTACAATAGTCCTTTTTTTTGGGGAAGGGTCTTGCTCTGTCACTCAGGCTGGAATGGTGCAGTGGCATGATCCTGGGTCACTGCAGCTTGGAACTCCTGGGCTCAGGCGATGCACCTTTGCCTCGCAAATAGCTGTGACTACAGGCATGCACTACCATACCTAGCTAATTAAAAAAATGTAGGTACAGAGTCTTGCTGTGTCGCCTAGGCTGATCTCAAACTTCTGGACTCAAGGAATCCTCCTGCCTTGACCTCCCAAAGTGCTGGGATTACAGGTGTGAGCCACCCTGCTTGGCCCAGCACAATATTTCTTAGCCTACAGTGATAACCAATTTGAGGAGGCCTACTGAATTGGAATTCAAAAGATCTAGGTTTCATGATTTTGAACAAGTAATGAAAACTTTAATGAAATAAGTTCCACTTTACAGGTTTATTGCAATGACAAAATGGGACAATTCATGATAAAGCACTGACCCAGCCATCCCATTAGTGGGTATATACCCAAAGGATTATAAATCATTCTACTGTAAAGATACATGCACGTGTATGTTTATTGCAGCACTATTTACAACAGCAAAGACTTGGAACCAACCCAAATGACCATCAGTGATAAACTGGATAAAGAAAATGTGGCACATACACACCATGGAATACTATGCAGCCATAAAAAAGAATGAGTTCATGTCCTTTGAAAGGACATGGATGAAGCTGGAAACCATCATTGTCAGCAAACTAACATAGGAACAGAAAACCAAACTCCACATGTTCTCACTCATAAGTGGCAGCTGAACAATGAGAACACATGGACACAGGGAGAGGAATATCACACTCCTGGGCCTTTCAGGGAGTGAGGAGCCAGAGGAGGGAGAGCATTAGGAAAAATATCTAATGCATGTGGGACTTAAAACCTAGATGACAGGTTGATGGGTGCAGCAAACCACCATGGCACATGTGTACCTATGTAACAAACCTTCACGTTCTGCACTTGTATCTCAGAACTGAAAGTGAAATTAAAAAAAAATAAAGAACTAAAATATTAGTTACGCCATAATTACAAAGTAATATTACCCAACAGTGACTTTTCAATATTTGGGTATTGTCTCTAGTTTTTTTTTTTTCCCCCTTGGTGGCCTTCTAGACTTCCATAACACAATAAAACTTAACATCCATGCACCTTTCCTCGTTATTATAGCTCCTACTTTATAGTACATTTTCTTGCCTGGAAAACATAACATGAATCCATTAAAATGTATGTCTCTCGCTTTCTTAAATAATTAAAATTATGATATATAAGGTTCCTTTCCGATGAAATGGATGCAGTTAGACTTTTTGTCTAAGCCCTCTTCTGGTTTCTTTCATTGTCACAACTTGATGAAATAGTTACAGATTCATAGTGGTCAAAAGTACCAGAAAAATCACTTGATTCAATTTTTTCACTTTCAGAGGTTCAAACTGAAACCTAAAGATGATATTTTACTGGTTTGAGGTTTTAGGGTGACATAAGATCAGCTCTGGAATAGATTTTAATGCTCTTGTCCCTGTGTAGTAGTAGCCCATACTACTCTTCTCAGGGCCTCAGGAATGATTAAAGTGGCTTTTACTTTACATGAGAACTCTGATCTCTCCATTTAAAATCCAGAAAGCTGGCCACATTTGTTGCCACCTCACTTGCCTTACAAAATGATACTTAATGTCTTCTCTATATACTTTCCTCCCCATGCAGTTTTTTTCCATAAACTTCATTACTCCAGGGGAGAAAATACCACCTTGTGTTGAAACACTAGGCACATTTGCTATCTAAAGAAAATAAACGATTTTCAAAATTGTATTTTCTAGCCAGTTGTTATGGCCTTACATCTGAGCCCTCCTGCTGTTAAGAGGCATCCTCATCTCCCACGCAGGCTGAAGCCTGGAGGCACGTGAGTCCCTGGGTCCTTTTTCTGCTTCAGAGCCTTTGCTTGATCCATGTCCCTCAGTCAGTCCTCTTCACCAACATTCTGCCTGCGAAAGACTATATTCTCCTTTAGGATCTAATACAAAACACTCATCTTCGTCTAGGTGTCCTCAGCCTTTCCTAATCGATCTACTTCATGTTGATCTGTTTTAATATTAACTTGTGATAATATATTTGTTTCTGTTGAACTGTAGTATATTTTATAAAAGTATCTTCAACTAGACTTAAGTTATTCACAGGCTTGAGACATTTATTAATTTAAACAACTATGATAGTAATAAGAGCTTCCTTCTCTTGTCACCACTACATGAAATAGTTATAAATTCATAGCAGTAGACGGTGTCAGAAAAATCACTCAACTCAATTTCTTCACCTTCAGAGGTGAAAACTGAAAATGTTTTTGTATTGTAAACCTTTCATATTTTGAGCACCTGCAAAGTGTTATATTAGCTCCTGTAAGCATTACAGTAAGTTCGTGAGATGGATACTATTATGATTCCCATTATACAGAAAGGAAAATGAAGACTCTGAGCTCACAGTTACACAGGAAAGAAGGGTCAGAACCAGAGGTTGAACAAAGCAGTGCCAAAAGAAATGCTATTTGCATAAAAGAATTTAATACATCTTTAACAGAAACAGTGAACAGATTTGTCTGTTCAAGTTCTTTAACTTATATGATTTTCTGTTTCATCACTTTAAAAGTAACAAGGAAAGAGCCTTAGAAAGGGTAGGTGAGTTTATGAAATGATCAAACTCAGGGTAAGTAAGCTCTTCAATAGGAAACTCTTCAAGAATATAATTTTACCTTTTCAATGAGAAAACTAAATATAAGATGCTGGAAATTGAAGGTTTTCAACTAAAAGGATAAAATGTGAAGGAAATACAGAAGGATGTTGAATTTTGTCAAATTGCCTTTTCTGCTTTTATTGAGACATTTACATTTTTTGTCCTTCATTTTCTCAATGTGATATATCACATTTATTGATTTGCATATGCTGAACTATTCCTGCATCCCAGCGATAAATCCCACTTCATCATGGTGCATGATCCTTTTAATGTAAATGCAATTTTTAAAGGATTATTTTACAGAAAATAGAGAAAGAGAATATAGAAAACTTTTTAAAATCAAGGGTTGACAAATTATTATCCATTGACCAAATTATGCCCCTTGCCTGTTACTGTAAGGTTATTTTAGCACAAAGCCACTTCCACTAATTTACATATTATCTATAACTACTCTCACATCACACAGGGCATAGTAAAGTATCTGCCCTTTCATAAAAAGTTTGCTGCCTCTGTTCTAAATCAGAGAAGTTTTGTAACTTACGTGTTCTCTCTCTGTATGCAACATTAAATACATTTAGAAAAAATATGTAAGTAAATGTTCCTGAGAGTCTACATCCAAGATTATGTTTGTATTTTCAGGGGTCATACAGAGTAACATTGGGGATTTATTATGAATGTTCTGAAAGAAACGAAGCACAAAAAGGCTAAGTGATTTGTCCAGTCTCATTATGACAGTGGGGCTTGGGCAAGTCTATGATGCTGCCATCTGAGTTATCTTAAACAGTGAATGACTGTTGATTTCTGTTTTTCTACCAAACTTTTGTGATATTTCAAAGAATAGTTTATTTAAAATTGTGTATGTTTACATTTCTGAGTATCTGTAAAACCCCATGTATTAAGTAACATTTTCTTCCCTTAGATCTCTCAAATAAGTAAGTGACTCTAATCCTTAGGAAATAGCTGTGCATTCAATTAGATATTTTAAAAATCCACATGTTCTTTCGGTACTTAAATTGAAATATTTTTAATTGTTTCTGAAAATGGAACACTTGAATACAATTTTCTCTGTGTGCATGTTCCTTAGGTTGATGGTTAACAATATTGATTTGTATTTCAGATGATGTAGAAAGTATCCCTGCTGTTCATTCACAGCATAAAACCATTTTGAGTGATGTTTCCATTTTCACAGCATCCTATACGTATCTCAACACATGTCTTACAATGCCCTATTAGTCAAACCATCTCTTTGTCCATATATTCAAATGAACTGTAGAGGTTATTAACTTGCCTTTGGCAAATAGATTTATTTTTTTAAGATAAATGCTTTTATAAATTCAATGTGTGACACTTTCATTACAAATTATAAATAGAATGCCCTGCTAGACTTTTATGATAGCCATCACTAACTCATTTGGGCCCTTATTACATTTCAAGCCTTCACATTCGTGGATATTTCCTTTTTAATCACTAGCAAGTCTATTTTGGGATGTTGCAGGTTTTAAATTTTAGTGTTGTGTTCATCTAATTGGTCCTTTAAATAGACACTAAGCCTTTTGCAATTTAATTATGCTATCAAACACTGAATTTAATACCTATATTTTTAATCACCTGTGTCATATTTCTCTTCTAATATGTTTAATGTTTCTTACAATATGAAATTATAGCAAGTGATAAGCTTTGTAAATTAACTTTTATCAATAGTTATTTTAAATTCTATTAGACTAGTATTTTTGTTTGCTTATATATGATAAATATGGGATTACAATATAATGTTAGAATACTTTAATGATTCTTAATGGTTAAGCAAATATGTGTTTAATAATCAAAATTAAAGCTATATTAATGATGGCCTCTCTATAATCTTCACCCTAAAAGCAATTACTTACTCACTAACTAGCTAACCTTTGTACCTCACATCCACATTACTACATCTTTCTGTACCTCACAGCTGTACTATGCTTCACAGAAGTAGCTATGTCCTCAGACCGTTCTGAGAATTCAATAAGATTATACTCATAAAAACTCGAAATGCATGACCAGAGATGTGGCAAGGGCCTAATACATGTTACCAGTTACCATTAAGAAAAAGCTGTAAGTGACCACCCTGGGCAACATGGTGAGACCTGATCTCTAAATGTACACATATACACATAAATTATCCAAGGAAGGTGGTGTGTGCCTGTAGTCTCAGTTACTCAGGAGACGGAGGTGGGAGGATCACTTGATTCCAGGAATTCAAGGCTGCAGTGAGCCATAATTGTGCCATTGCACCCCATCCTGGGCAGCAGAGCAAAGAAAGCGAAGGGGAGGGGAGGGGAGGGGAGGAGAGGAGAGGGGATGCTATAAGCTAGCTGCCTGTTGGAATTTCTTTCAACAAAGTATATTAGTTAACCTGGGCTGTCATAACAAAATATGATAGGCTGGGTAGTTTAACTACATAACTGTATTTTCTCGCATTTCTGGAGAATGGAAATTCAGTGTCAATATGCCAGTCGTGTAGTTTCTTGTGAGGCCTCTCCTTCTCACTTGCAGATGGCCACCCTCTTGTTGTGTCCTCACATGGTCTTTCCTCCATTCATGCACAGAAAAAGAAAGATCTTCAGTGTCTTTTCCTCTTCTTTTAAGAATTAATCTCACTGGATTAGGCTCCCACCGTTAAGACCTCCTTTAACCTTAATTACCTTCAAATAAAGTCACGTTTGAATTAGGGTTCAAGATAGGAATTTTAAGGTACACAATTCAGTCCATAATAAAAGATAATATTATTTATCATCATTTCCTCCTCTCTTCAATTTAATAGTTTTTTAAAGCATAAATTGGAAGTTGACTGCCTCTTTAGTAGTAAGGCAACATGTAGCCCTGAGTCTCCAAGGTAAATCAGAAAACTGAAATCATGTATTGAGTATAGACACATATAAAATGTTCACACACCTATACTTAGACTCTTACTCCCACACACTATTTTGTTAACCTAGTAGCCATTTGTTGGCAGTAATTCAAATCAGAGATTTGTTTAATATTATTTGTTTCATAAAAACATTGAAATGACTGTTATCTTATTGGGGAGGAGGTGGGGATGGTTAATGGGCACAAAAATATAGTTAGATAGAATTAATAAGATCTAGTATTTGATAGCACAGCAGGATGATTGCAGTCAACAATATTTTATTATACTTTTAAAAACAACTAAAAGAGTGTAATTGAAATGTTTGTGACACAAGGTAATGGTAATTGCTTGTAGTGATGGATACCCCATTTACTCTAATGTGGTTATTACACATTGTATGCCTGGATCAAAACGTCTCATGTACCTCACAAATATGTACAACTACTAGGTACTCATACAACTTAAAAATAAATAAATAAACACATGAAGCTTTACAATGTTGACCTCTCTCTTCTTGAAGCTCTTTCTTCTCTTCCATTGCTTCTTGACGTCTCCTTCAAGGGTTACTTTTTCCTTCTGAATGTTCAGATCTAATACAAATATATGTAAACCAAAATCCCCCACTAGATGATGAACTTCTGAATGGATGATCACATCAAGGTTTACCTACTTTTTGTCTCAGTTACACATACCTTTTATAGCACATACACACATTCAATAAGTTATGGTTAAATGAAAAAAAAAAAACAGAGTAAATGAAAGGAATGAGTAAATCCATTATTTCAACAAGCACATTTATCTTTTATATAACTAAAAACCAATGCATAATTATAACCTCCCTTACATTTTTGTAAAGGCCAGGGCTTTCAGATTTTTATGAAATAGTAAGACCTATTTCGTATCTCTCGTGTCTATTTCATACTTTGTCTATATGCAAAATATAAAAATCAATACTTACCTGCAAGTCCTTCTTATATTTGAAAATTGACATGGAACATTAACATATATATGATTGTAGGTTCTATAGAAAAGGATGGATCTTTGCTTTTCTATTTACACTGAGATTAAAAGGAAAGAAATTTGACTCTGGGTGAAGTTAAATGATTAAAGATAGTAATAAGGAAATTGCAAGGAATTGTTTATAGTACAATTGGAAAAGGCTACTACTGGATTTTATACAATCTCTTTTTTTAGATGTGGTTAAAATTGGAATTGACTGTCATATTGATGGAGGAGTTTAAGGATAGTGCTTATTGAAATAAGAATATGTCTTAGGTAATTTCTCAAAGATCATTTCCACTTTACTGGCATAAACACTGAAGTAGTGGTTCAAGGGAACCACAATGGCACATCAATGTTTTACCTCTGTTGGCTGCCAAAAGGAATATTTAAGACAATCCAACACTTTAAATACACATTTCTCCCCTGCCTAGAACTGTGGGTTCTCTTCATTTCTTTTTTTTATTACCATAGATATAATAGACATTCCTCAGAAACATGACACATTTCCATGGACAACCCTAGTTTATATATTGCAGCAAAGATAAATTATGTCTTCCAATTTTGTATAATTCCCCATATTCTAGTTGAGAGATTATGAACTCATAATAGACTACGATGTAGCAAGATTGCATTACACTATAAATGAGACCATTATCGTAGATGATAACTCCTTCTTCCCCATCCCCCACTTTATTTTTAAGAATTACTACTCATTGTTCTGGATGCAGCTTAGATTCGTGTTTGATTCAACATTTTATTTTATTGAGCACCTTTTGTGCTACCTGATACAAAAGCAATGTTGGATAAATGAGTAAAACAAATGACAAACCAATGATACTAAATATATCCTTTAAAAATACAAAAAGAAAGAAGGAAGGGAGGGAGAACAATTGCATTAATTTTATTACTTGTCTCTATAAGTAATGTGAAATAGTTTAGAGAATACTAAATGTAGAGTATAGCAACTTGGATTCTAGTCCTAGATATGTTACCTGAAGGCTTGAAGACGCTGGACAAGCCGATTTCTTTATAGCTGGAAGCTTCAGTTTCATAAAGAGTGAACTGGAAATAATAGCAAGTCCTCTTCCTGCTTACACAGGTTTTTTCCATGCTGAATCAAGGATGTACTTTGAAACACTTGGTAAACTTTATACCTATACAAAGTGTTACAAATATTTCTTTTAATACTAGCATCTTGAATAGCCACTGCTACTAGTAGGTGGTCCATCAATCGGAAAGATGTTTTTATAGATTATTTAAAATAAGCCTACTTATCTTTACATTTATATGAAAATTAACCAATCATTTGAATACAAACAAAAAGTAGGGAAAAACAAAAAGAAATAAAACCTGAGAATGACTGATTAGGTGACTGCAAAAAGTATATTTAAATTTTCTTCTTCTTTGACTGCAAAACTTGTTACATAAAACAAGTAGTGGCATTATTAGTTTACAACATGTTTAATTTTAACAACTGTTCCTTGTTTGAGTGCTACCTCTCCACATTGTAGTAAGACTTAGGTACAAAATGAATGAAAAAAGATGGAGATACTTTCAGAACCAGGGAAAGTATGTGATCCCAGAAAGTCCCATTGCCCTTTCTGGTAGTGACCTAGACTCCATTACAGATTCACATATGTTTAATATTAAAGCATCTAGTATGTTTAAGTTAATAAATAATACCTGTCACTCTGCAATCTTTTCAATGAGATCAATGAATAAACTAATTTATATTAACTGATATGGCAGAATCTCCCAATCTTCTCTTTGTAATATGTCCAGTAAGAATATGTATTCATGAATATATGCATCTGTTAGAATTATCAACTGTATAGCACACTTTCACCCTCCTGCTTCTCTGGCTCTTTTTCTCTTTGTTTCTCTCCCTTTTCATCCTTCTCTCCTCTCCTCACAAACATAAACACACATAGCCTTTATTCCATGAAGATGAACTAACTCATCTTTGTATTTCATGATAAAATCAGACTCGATAAATACTAGTTCTTAAAATATTTCTGAAGTGACAAACTTGCTTGTCTCCAGAGACAACTCTGTGTACAAAACCCATCAGAATATTTCTTTTCTAAATATTCTAGTTCCCATTCTAGTTGTCTCTTTTTCTGATATGTATCATTTAAAATTAGAATGTGCTTCATACATCCATATTCTTAATATGTTTAGCTTTAGACACATCTAAATATGCTCTATAAATATAAGTGTTTCCAACATAAACATATAAAAGTAAGTTATTATTGCAAAGTTATTATTGCCTGAGGAGAAAGTTGACTCTCAAGGACAGTGATTTTCAAATTAAATGTTTTGTGTCCTTGAAGTTATGTAAAGTAGCGCTTGTCAAGCATTATGACCCAGGCATAAATCCTTTATAATTTTATGCCTTGGTAGGGCCATCTCTTTACGAAATTCATAGCTTATATAATAAATATAGGTGAGGAAAGAAGAGTTAAAATTATGAGTTAAAAATATGAACCACCAGAGGTTATTAAAACTAACTTAAAAATATATTTCTGGGCTGGATGTGGTGGCTCATGCCTGTAATTCCAGCACTTTGGGAGGCCGAGGTGGGTGGATCATGAGGTCAAGAGGTCGAGACCAGCCTGGCTAACATGGTGAAACCCCGTTTCTACTAAAAATACAAAAATTAGCTGGGCGTGGTGGCGCGTGCCTGTAATCCCAGCTACTTGGGAGGCTAAGGCAGGAAAATCACTGGAATCTGGGAGGCGGAAGTTGCAGTGAGCTGAGATCATGCCAGTGCACTCCAGCCTGGGCGAAAGAGCGAGACCCTGTCTAAAATACATACACATATAAATATATATATATATTCTATATATATAAAATATATATTATATACACATATAAATATATATATTCTCTATATATAAATATATAATATATATTTATATATAAAATATATAAAATATATATATATAAAATATATAATATGTATTTATATATAAAATATATATATTATATATTATATATAAAATATATAAAATATATAATATATATTTATATATAAAAATATAATATATATTTATATATAAAATATATATATTTATATATAAATATATAAAATATATAATATATATTTATATATAAAATATATATAATATATAATATATAATTTATATATAAAAATATATTATATATAATATATATTTATAAAATATATATTATATAAATATATAAAAAATATATATAAATATAATATATATAAAATACACACACATATACACACACACATATAAATATATATATATATATATATATATATACACATTTCTATTTGGAAACTCATCTTTTTTATTTACATGGATAAGTGTTAGAGTTCTCCACTTATCTAAGTATGACTTCTACAGTGAGACTCATTCAATACAGTCTGACATTCCACAGATGTAGCAATGATGAAATACAGTTTTTCGAGGCAATTATGCTTAGAATAATAAGATTTTGACTCTCAGGAGTAGGTCATTTTATTTCAGTTTTTACTGATTTCTTCATCTGTTTTGTGCTACTGTAACAGAATAACACGGAGTGGGTGTATTAGTCTGCTCTCACACTGCTATAAAGAACTGCCCGAGACTGGGTAATTTATAAAGAAAAGAGGTTTAATTGACTCACAGTTCTTCATGGCTGGGGAGGCCTCAGGAAACTTACAGTCATGGTGGAAAGAGAAGCAAATACGTCATTCTTCACATGATGGCAGGCAGAGAAGTGCCGAGCAAAAGTGGGGAAAGCCCCTCTTAAAACCATCAGATCTCATGAGAACTCACTCACGATCATGAGAACTCACTCATCATCATGAGAACTCACTCACCATCATGAGAACTCACTCACGATCATGAGCAGAGCAGCATGGAGGTAACCGCCCCTGTGATTCAATGATCTCCCACCAGATCCCTCCCATGACATGTGGGGATTATGGGAACTACAATTCAAGGTAGTATTTGGGTGGGGACACCACAAAACCATATCACTGGGTAATTTATAATGATCCAATTAATTTCTCATAGCTCTGGAGGCTGGAACATCCAAGATGAAGGTGCCTGCATTTGTCAAGGGTCTTCTTGCTAAGTTATCACATAGCAGAAGGGCAAAGAGAGGGTGAAAGGGAGAGAAAGAGAGCAAGAGGGGACAGAACGCACTCCCATGTAGAGGTACCAATCCCATCCATGAAAGGATCTAATCACTTCTTAAAGGTACCAACTCTTAATATGTGAGGTGTTACATATGTTACAATGGCAATTAAATGTTATCGTGAGTTTTGGATGGGATAAACATTCAAACCATAGCTAACATTAACATAGATTAACTATTAATTTTATTCATGATACTACATACATACAACCAAATCAGTATTTTTTCTTGAACTTTTGTGGAGCAACAACAAAAAAGAATTTTCACCAACATGGCACATGTATACATATGTAACTAACCTGCACGTTGTGCACATGTACCCTAAAACTTAAAGTATAATTAAAAAAAAAAAGAATTTTCAGCATGATATCTTAAACTAAGAATTATTTTAGTGTTTGTTTTAAATTAATACTTTTTGAAGGAGTTTGGCTATATGCTGTGTAGTTTATAAACTATTTTATGAATCTGATATATGATTTGCTATGAAATACAGATTGTTATTCAATCTGTTCTAGAACAAAAACCCTAGTTTCAAGAAATATAGCAGGGCCGGGCACGGTGGATCACACCTGTAATTCCAGCACTTTGGGAGGCCGAGGTGGGTGGATCACAAGGTCAGGAGTTTGAGACCAGTCTGGCCAGAATGGTGAAACCCCGTCTCTACTAAAAATACAAAAAATTAGCCGGGCATGGTGGCACGCACCTGTAGTCCCAGCTACTCAGGAGGCTGAGGCAAGAGAATGGCTTGAACCCAGAGGCAGAGGTTGCAGTGAGCTGAGATTGTGCCACTGCACTCCAGCCTGGGCAACAGAGTGAGACTCCTTTTCAAAAAAAAAAAAAAAAGAATGAAAGGAAATATAGCAACATTATTTAATCATATACCCAAAAAGGTAATATACAGTCTAGTCAGTTTACAAGAATTCAGTGAATATAATATTTTATGCAGAGATTTGTGCCATTGTAACTTGTAAAGAAATTCTAACATATACTCTTTTCTGAAATATACTATTTGAGTAAGTTACTTAATATAATAAATAACTGCCCCAACTCACCACATTTTAGATGGAAAAAGTGATTGACAACAGTAGACACAACAACAATAATTGCGCCGTGCAAGTGCTATGTGAGAGTGTCAATGCGAAGTGCTGTACTTATATTCAATAATATCAGGTGAATTCAAATACATCTATCACCTTAAGGATGAGTAGTTTGAGTTTAGCAAATCCCCAGTTACAATTTAAGTAGTGGAAGCAGAATTTAATATCAGATCAGTCTACAATTTTTTTTAATACTTTAAGTTTTAGGGTACATGGAGGAAATTCCCTTAACTAATGAGAGCACCTGTTTCCTCACCTGCCCCAAAAGTAAGTAAAACTTGCATAGAAATAGCAAGCAGGATGCCTAGTCCAGAGCAGGCACTTTGCAAAGGTTTATTTTTCTCTTCTTTGTACTGTGACAAAGACCTCGGTCTTTACTATGAAGTAACTATGACTTTCACAGTCATTTCACTCTGTGACTATTTCTAATACACAGAATGAGAAATTTGGACAGGAATCTTAGCAGCTCGAAGGTTCTATGATTCTCATATTTCCCTAGATGAAAACCCCAGGCAGAAATATTTTCTATTTAATCAGATATTAGTTCATAATTAAGTACATACAATTGAATGTTAATTACATCTTGTTCTTTAAAAACCTACTTTCTGGGCATTCTGCAGGAGACAAATCGGAAGAATGAAGTTTAACATTTTCAATACATACTTTGTTATGCATATTCCTAAATTAGAAATGGTTTTTACCTAATAATTCCCACCTGTAAATGACTTCCAGAAGTTTATGTTATCCTGAATTAATCACTCACATAATGTCAAAAGCAATGTGCTTATAAAATGTAAAGACAAAAAAGAACTCGGAGGGGGGGAGCACTTTTAAAAATTGTTTTTTAATGGATGTTTTCATTTTAATTAAAAATCAAATATACAATTTAAATACATAAAGGGATGCTGATATCAGATAATTAACATATAAGTACATCTTGCTGACAACTTAAATATGCATGTTTTTATTAAGAAATAAAGAAAAAACTCAAAAATCCAACAGTCAAGGTCTTCCTAAAGTACTTAAAGCAATTTGAAGTTTGTTAAAATGTATATTTTAATCACTCATAATTTAGGTGAGATAGAAATATTCCCAACGTGGACTTTCCAAGGTATGTGAAATTCAATATGTGAAATTCAATACTGCTAGCTATAGAGCAGAAATTATGTTTCTGTTCTAATATCTATCAATGTCCAATATGATAGATATTAGCCACATATGGCTATTTAAATTTAAACTAATGAAAATTGAGAATTCATTGTATCAATCACACTAGCCATATTTCAAAAGCTCAACTAGCCACTTCGCTACTTTACTGAACAACACAGTTATAGAATATTTTCATTAATATAGAACTTCTATCAAACTGAGCTGGTTTACAGTCATTTTTTTCTTTTGCACAAATTATAACATGAAACCATATTCTAAACGTTTCCATATTGGAATTGGAATTTTAATTCATTTGTTTAAAACTACTTTTTATAAATTGTTCATATCATTTCTATAATCTATTTTTTGTAATTAAAGGCAATAGATTATTGAACAATCACGTTGCTTAAATGAAGAAAGGCTTACCAATGAGATTTAAAATGTGATTGGTTTTTAATTTCACTGACAATAGGGCAATGCCTTAATTAACATTGAACAACAAGAAGTCTATAATAATGGGGTGATGATGTCCTTGTATCTGAAGTCTGTGTGATTTACATTAGTACTGTCCAACAGAAATATAACCAGAGCCATGATTTCCAGAAATATTTCGGATATTTTTGGATTTTGGAATATTTGCATATACATAATGATATATCTTATCTCGGGGATGGGACCCAATTCTAAACATGAAATTCATTTATATTTTATATATACATTATACACATGTCCTGAATTTAACTTTATACAATATTTTTTAATAATTTTATGCATGAAACAAAGTTTGTGTACTTTGAACAGTCAGAAAGCAAAGCAGTCACTATCTCAACCACCCATGTGGACAATCTGTGGTTGTTTGCCATCATAAGCATTCCAG
Organism: Homo sapiens; assembly: GCF_000001405.40. NCBI lineage: Eukaryota > Metazoa > Chordata > Mammalia > Primates > Hominidae > Homo > Homo sapiens. The sequence goes on from NC_000003.12 coordinate 76,277,133, forward strand.
TGGATGTATAGCCTACCAATAAGCAATTCTTTTTTTTACTCTTATTCATACATAAGCACGTAATAGTAAAATATATGATATAACATCAATAGGGTGAAAAAGAAAAATGTTCATGGTAACTAAGGAACCCAGTAGCATCATCAGAATACATGTATCAGCTGTTAAACAACAGCAACAACAAACAACAGGTTTTAGACTCTACCTACAATGCTGTGCTTTGATTACAAGGTTACAGTATACTGTGTTTTATTGTTTTAGATAAGAAGAAACATCAGAAATAGTTGACGGACTAAGAAGTAGGTCCTCTAGGGATAGGAAGGCATTCTGCTGGATGGCTTTTTAAAGTAGTTTCTCCAGAGAAGGCATCTAATTCTTGGATTAGGGATGCTCAGCTTTTGGTATAAAATGAAAGAAGCAAGGAGGGGGCAAAATCATTGTTAACACTAGAAAATATTAGAGGGACTACAAAAGCCTTCAGCAATTGACTTTGGATGCTCAGTACCAAAAGCCAATGTATTTTCATCAATAATACAGTCATTAAAAATTAGCAGTGTTCTTGGTATATAGAAAGATGCTCCTTGCCTGGAAACAAATAATCAAATAATGAATGCCTGAGTAAAGCGATTTGATTCTTAAAGATGGTTTTTATTCTCATATATATTAAAAATTAAATAAGTAAAAGTTAATACCAACTTTATTGGGTTGAATATTGTGAGCCCTTCACTCCCAGCAATAGGTAAATAAATAATAAGTCCAAGACATTTTTGTTTTTAGATTGAAAGTTACAGTTTTTTGTTTTTTTTTTTTAACAGGAAACTCTTCTCAGTGATTGACACACAGTAGCCTGGTTTTGTGCAGTCCTTTCTTGGCACTGTATAGGAAATAGTGAAGTAAATAATAGCTCACCTTAATTGTCATTAAGAGGTAAACGGTGAAATGCAATATTGTCAGGCTCTTCATTCTAATTAATGATAAAGTTAAACTTGTATGGTTTAATAAAATCTGCCACAGAGCAAGACTAATTGGGTGATGAAAACAGAGACTGAAATCGAGTAGAATCAAGCTTCAGAAATGAAGAAAAACATTATGATTGCCTTGAGATATATCTAAAGATCAAGTTCCAAAAGTTTGTCACTAATAATAAAGAGTAGATCCTAGTATTCCTGTAGCAATACTTATAACCTTATCAATACCTTGAATAATTGCAGAGTTTTGCATTCTAATAAACTGGAAAAGCCCAGGTACATTTCGGTCTAGATTGTTGAATAGGATATTGTTCATGGTAGCACTTATATTTGTATAAACCATTGTTTCTGAAACAAAATTTCAATATATTTGCTCCCTAATAAATATCCTTAGTTTCTCTTATACTGAGTTTCATCTCATCAAGTTGGTTGACAAAGGAACGGAAGCTTTTGAGGAGTCAATAAAAATAACAGAACACTAAGAGAAACATACAAGTTTGTCCCGGCATTTATTTTTAAAAGATATTTCCCCAAGTAAAAGTTAGAAAGCATCTGGAACCTGTCATTTTGTGATGATGGATCTGAACAAGAAGACACATGTACGTGTCAGAAACAGAAATAGTTCTGTGTTCATGATCAGGCTGTCAACACATATCTTTAGGGGGAATAGAGAAAGAGGTATGGGGTTTGAAAATTGGGAGAGAAATCCACTGATTTATTTTGGAGAGAATGTGAACGCCACTAGTCCTCCTCTATAGGTTCACTGATTGAGCTGCTACCCTTATAACCTCTTCCTCACTGTAAGCTGCTCTCCCACTCCTACCCAATGCCTGAGAGATAAAGGTGATTCTATTTGATACTCATAGACTATGGGCTTGCTAAAAATGGGATGCAGAAAAGTTCCTCCTTACTTTCTTATACTTAAATATTAATAGTGTTATTGCAGCAAACATTTATGTATAGAAAATACAAACACATATTTTAATTATGCATATATACACATACATCAGATAAATATATGGATATATTATATATATATATCTTATATATGCATGTGGTGTGTGTACGAGAGAGAGAGAATAGGATGACCATTGCAAGCTCACTTTTTTTGGGGAAATTTCCTGAAAGTCCCTATGTAATTAGATAGATAAACTTTAGGTAAGATTTTTTTTAAAAAGAGCTTGTGTAGGTCTCTTACTCAGATATAACTTTCATGTTTATTTTAGGCTTTAATTTAATTTATTGCACCATGTTCTGAAAATATAACTCCAAGTGATTCTACATACCAACATCTTTACTCAAACTTTCTTACTGAAACATGTCTCCAGTTTGTCTTTGGCATTGAATATTCTACCACTATGGCAAGCGAAAAGTTACATTTTGGTCATATTAGTTATAATAGGTCTTAGAAATAATCTTATATAGTTATCAATTGAGTAAAGGCCAATTTATAGAGATTAGGAGATGCCTGAGAATTACTGTTCACACTTTAATGTGTTCTTTATGACCCACCTATATTTAATTTAAATATGAGAATATATTCATTTGTATTAAACCCTAATGTCCTTTAACATTCCATATTTTGCTTTAATTAGCGAATATTAGATAAGGGGAAACAATTATCATTGCATCAGGATCCACATAACATAAGATAAAAACATAACGTAACACATAACATAAAAGAAATAAGATGAAAACAAAAGTCTGTAAATTTGGCAATTTAATCTTGACTATGATCCCTAATATAGCATCCTTACTTCTCTCTTCTGACCACTGTTTTGGGATTGATTTGGTAAGATTTGGTTATTGCCTTACTGTGACAGCTCCCCAGGGCCTAGTCCCAGACCTTGACTTCTCATTCTTGCTACTGCTTTCGGTACTAAACTTGGGATTTAAATCTAAACTTGGGATTTAAAATAACTTCACTATCCCAGTTTTAAGAACACTTCCTATTATATCCCCATTCCTTTTGCTATGTACCAAAGCTTCTTGCTTGGTGTACAATAGAACATTACAAAATAAGCATGAATTCCTGAAAAGTCGGCAATTTCTGTTAAAGCGAATAGTCTTGATATGTATGAACATGCTTACCTAAGCAGTCATGAATTTTTTCTTCATAATATTTAGTGGAAAGTATCTTGCTTTTAGGGACTGAATTGTGCCCCCTGCCATTCATATGTTAAACCATAACCCCCAGTGTGACTGTATCTGGAGATAGGGTCTTCAGGAAGTAATTAAGGTTAAATGAATTCATAAGGGCAAAGCATTAAACTGTGGCCTTCTCAGAAGAGGAAAAACATGGAGGTGTGTCTCTCTTTCCCCACCACATGAGGACACCATGAGAAGGCAGCAATCTGCAAGCCAGAAAGAGAGCCCTTACCAGAAACCAAATGAGCCTAAACCTTGCTCCTAGACTTTTTAGTCTCTAGAGTGCAAGAAATAAATTTCTGTTGTTGAAGCCACATGCAGTCTATGCCTTAATAGACGAATCCACTTCCTTTCCCAGTATATTTCAACTCTGGATTCAGAGCCTTCTCTAATCTCTCCTTAAAGTTCTGTTTTAAATGGCCACTTTTATTGCTTTTTAGAAATTTTTCTTTCATTTTCTTTATTTCTTTCAGAAGATCTAAAAGATCTTCACATCTTTCACCTGAAACAGTGGGCTCTTGTATTTACTTTGAGTTCTTCCCCAAAGAGCCTTTCTTTCCCTCAGTGTCTGGTTCAAAATTCCATCAAGTAAGTGCACATTTAAACAAATGCCATTTCCCTGTATGAATCTAGTGAAGGTTCTTTAATAGCATAGTTCAGTGTGGTGCAGCAGTGTTCTTATACTTGTTGGTGGGAATATGTACTGGAGCCACCCTTCTGGAAGGAAGTCTCACCGTTTGTGCTGAAAGCTTGAAAGTCACTTATATCTTTTGATGCCATAGTTTCACTTCTAGGAATCTGTCCAAAATCAGTGATCAGAGATGCCAAGAGGATTTTCTAGACAAGAACATTTATCATATCAAAAATAATAAATCCAACTGCATGCCCATCTGTAGAGAAATGCCAACAGAGCTATGCCAATCCACATGTGGGAATACTACCAATTCCCACATGTGGGAAAACTACCAATTCCCACATGTGGGAAACACCAAGAGAGCATATTTTCAATGGTTCTTAACGATCTGGGGAAATTTTGATGACATAATAAAGCAACAATGCACATAATGATTCCATAATTATTATTCTGCAACTATATGGGTATATGCATGTTTTTGAGTGAAATTTTAACAGCTGTGATTTTGATTTTGATTTTAAGCGTTTATCTCTTTTCCATCAATTTGCAATAACAAATTTTACTTATAGAGTTGGAAAACATCAATATTCGGTTTTTAAAATGTTTGGACAGGAGACATCATAGTACTTCTATATACTGTTGGGTTTGTTTTCCTACCACTATAGCCAGGGTAAGGTACTTAGTATGCTTAAGGTCGTGTTAAGTTCTAACTTATCCTGTGTGTGACTTTTCTTACATCACTTCCCTTTGCTGGGAAATAAAAAAAAAAATTCTTAGATACCGGACAAAATTCCTCCTATTATCCAAATTTCAGATGCAAGCAATATTCTCTGCAAAATTTTCCTGAAGAAGTATAATTACCCTTTTTAACACATTTTAGAGAGTCACTTTATCTTAGCACCAAACATTGTTCACATACAATAAAGAGGGTATGAAAAGATTTTTCCTGGTGCCTATGAGATTGTTAGCACAAGGAATTGTTTCTTAGGCTGACCCAAAGATCCAAAGATAAAGTGTTCTCTGGTCTACACCCCTCTGGAGCTTACCCAATGCCAAGCACCTAGAGGGTGCTCAATAAATATTTAATTGAATGGACTGTTTGAAAGCTCTTCAAGATAAGACTTTAAAGTTACATTATGTAGTGAACATTCATAGACATAGCCTGACATCTTTATATCTTCATTTTGGTGGTATTGAATTTATAGTAAGATGAGTATTATAAAATCTTCACAAGTGTCTCAAAAGTAATTATGACACATTGACTGGAAACTCTTTACCTGCATAAGAACTATAGTTGGATTTCCAACTGTTTAGTTGGGGGTTTGTTCTCAAGAGTACAGCCCTACCTTTTCTGTATTTTGTAATAATAGGTAGCTATGGACCTGTACTTTTACTCTTTAGAAAATGCACTTGCTGTATAAAGTGTCAATCATGGAGATACAAATGAGAAATAATAAATTTTACATTGTTAGACTGTTAGTCTCAAAGTACATAGTTGAGTTGGCTGGTTCACTTAAGAATCATACTAACCTTGTCACAATTCTGCTGAATGAATTTAATGAAATTTGAAATCCAATAATACTAAAATTGTTTATTTTTTTCTAAAAAATAGCTAGTCATTATGAATGCATAATGTTTATAAATGTAATTGCTTCATAGTTGCTTTGCATTTTATGATTATTACTATGCATATTTTCTTGCCTATTGGCATTTTAAAACTTTGTGCTGACAAAATCATTTTTAGCTTTCTCATTTAAACAATATTTAAAGCGACCTGGGAAGTCTTCAACATTTTCATAAATACCAGATTGTGGGTCTGCCTCAATGAGTGATCGTTCTTGCTGGGTATCAAATCCCATGTTTAGTTTCCAAGCCTCCCAGCAACAGCACTGAGCAATCACACTGCAGATTATTTCACGTTTCTAACTGAAGTGCATGCTGTGCTTTGCAAAAATCTCAGTAAGAAAACACACATACTTATGCATATAAAACCACCTTTTGTCAGCCTTAGCACAAGAAGATAATAAGTACATGTCTAGTTTTTATAGCATTTATTTTATTGAAGGGATTACAGATTGAGATATTTTTTCTTTATTTTATTTTATTTTTTCTTTATTTTAAGAAAATTTTTTATTTTTTCTTTATTTTAAGAAAAAAAAATCTGAGCCAAGTTGTTTCATTACAAGTCTAAAATGTTCAGACTTTTAAATAAAACATAAATAAATATAATAGTTATATATGTATATATATAAAACTGTATATATATATATATAAAACTACATATATATAGTGACCCCTGCCATGCAGCATTGCACCCTTGTTAAGAGGTAGTAATAATCTGTAATAATTCAGTCAGACATATTTACGCTGTCTTATTAGTAGGTTGGATTAGAAGTGTATTAAGGAACCGATGAAGTTTCTTACCCACCTATTTAAAGTTTATCTCAGGAAACAATTATTTATCCTAACAGTCTCATATGCAATAGGAACCACCTTTTCCTGTTCTCCAAACTTTAGGTTAAGATAAATATTCTTGCTTTCTCTAGTCATTTCTTAGGCCCTGGCAGCCTTTTGATGTCTCAACCTCAATAAAAATCAAGCAGTTTTCGTAAACAACCTCAATCTTAAAACATGTGTATTTACTTATCCTGTAGGAATCTTTACTTATCTAGCAATATAGAATAGCTATCCTTGAGAAGCTTTTAAAAGAGTGAATTTCTAAATTTCTTGTCACCCAATTCCCATTTAGCATTAATAAGGAGAGGCAGCATTATGACAGAGTTTCTGAAGGATATGCAGTTCACTTTTTCGTCAAGAAATGCTAAAATGAAGAATGCTGAGATGTACTCTTGGCTTCTGTATCCCTGAAACAGTTTTTTACAAGGCCATCGAGCCCGTGTTTGGGGTTATTTTTAAATAAGAAACAGCTCTATGAAAGTTGATTATGTTTGTTTTGAGAATGTTGAGAAAATTTTTCATTTTATTACATGGGGTCTTCTCTATGAAAATCTTATGAAGAGGTTCCTTTCTTGTCTTAGGATCGTTCTTCTGAGCAACTGCTTTACTTTAATCTTATGGACCCTGAAATTCGTAATAACTACTTCTCACTTTTTGCACTGACAATTAAAAAGCCTAGAACCAAATAAATGACCCTACCATTCTAATTGCAGTGGCTTCATTTGGTTCCAATTTCATATCCTTATCCTTATTTTTCCATTACTGTATGTTTTCACCTTTAAAAAATATAGATGTATAGGTCTCTTTGGGTATTTTATTTAGATACTTTCAATTATATTCAGAATAAGCTAGCGTACACATATAGGAAAATCATTTAGGATTTTTTACCTTGGCAATAAAACCAATCCTTAATGCTATTCCTACTTCTGGGGTCAGAGATTCTATTCTGTTGAGAAGCTTGCCTCTTTCACCTTTAATTATCCTAAGGAGATTCTGGTCTTTCCCTGATGTTTATGGTATTTTTGATCGTTCCTTTAGAGTACAGAGCACTCCAGGGAGTGTGACTCCTATAAAAAAAATCTGAGATAAACTTAATCATCTTAACCTTCCAAGGGCATCTCCCATTGTCTTATTTCAGTGTATATTTAATAGATACAATCCATTCATTTTATGAAGTAATGAAAAGGATTATCCATTCATTTTCCAACTTCTTGACTCATTGATTTGCAGCTTCTCTCAGTGTGCAATAACATTCAGGTCTGATTTCATACTATTTTTCAATTGCTTTCTCAAAAATATTATTTGATCATCAGCTTCTGTGAGTAAAACAATCCTGAAAACTCTTGATCATTTTAAATTTGGCTACCAAGTTTAATTTTATCCAGAGGCCTGACCTTTGGATGTTTGATTCTTCATTTGATTCTTCACCTGATTCCAAGTCATCATATGCATTGACATTTTCCCCACGTTCAAACTGGCAGATTTTTCCACCTGCTGCGATGGTGTTGTGGTGGTAGAACTAAATTTTTGTGAGGGTCTTAAACTCTTTCAAGCCACATCAGATCACAATCCAATCTCATTGGTGAAACTGACCTTTTTGTTTTCCCACTGCTCTTTTCAAAGGCTTTTAGCAAACCTTTTCTGTGCTGCAACCCTATCCATTCCATCATGCTTTCTGCCCACTTATGCTGGGAGAAGTATTTGAGTTCGGAGGCAAGTCTGAAAGGAACAACCAAGTTTAATGAGAAATTATTTTGACTGCTGTGGGACGAGAAGAACTTTTCTTGTTCACCATAATTTATTTTTTTATTATTTCCTGTATGTGAATTCTATTAAAAAGTTCAAGTAGTCATTTACTGGATAAATGCTAGACAGATGTAATATGTCAGAAGGTTTTCTAAGCTATAATTCTTCTCACCTTCATTTGATTATTCAGTTTCTTCATAAAAGTTATTTTATTGCAAACAACTAGTTATAAGCTTAAGTGCATCAACTCAGTAACAATGATGGTACTCTGGTAAAATTTTAGATTAACAGTAGTGAAAATTTTACTTTTATGTATGTCTAGGAATAAGAGCATATCAAAACTCTTGATTGCCAGCAGAATAGAAGCTACAGAATATAAAATCTAAAAGTCAAAAATTTAATATATTTTACTATTAAAATATTTTGATGTTAAAGACCTCAAGAGCTTGAAGAAAATAAAATTCCAGAGAAGCAGGCCATGTTCATATTTTTAAAATCGAATGTTCTTTTACATTACAGCAACTTAATTTTAAGAGAAAAGGCATGAAAATAAGAGACTACCTTGTTCTAAAAGACATAGAAACTAATTGTAATATTATATAAGAAAATTAAAGTGAGAATGTAAACTTGTTGACTGTCACAATTTAATATTTAATCTATTCAAACATCGAATTTAACCTTTCTCCAAAATTTTCTTTCCTTTCATGTTTTCATGTTTGTATATCTTAAGCAGCATCTTCTCTATTTTCTTATTTCTTGCCTCATTAATCCCACTTCTTGTCATGTTTTCCGTGTTCTTGTATACAGTCCTGTTTGATTTAAAATGTAATCCGCACCCATACTCTTTATTCTCTTCCTTTACTGTTTAATGAGGACTCAAAAATTATTCAAGATTTGCTGAGTAGCTATTATATTCTGGACACTTAGGTAGGCACTGCAGGTACAAAAATGGATAATATGTAAACACTTCTCCTAAGTAGTTCACAGTTCATAGAAGCCATAAGCAGGTAAAGCAATACTTATTATGTAAAAAGATATGTGAATTAATGAACAGATGGAATTGCCACTTCCCATTCAGAGTGTGCTGTAGTGCAGAGTTAGAAACAACCATTGGAAAAGGAGGAACAAGCTTCCATAAAAGCAATGATATTTGTCAAAGTAGATGTTTTTGCTTGGCAGAGACAGGATGTAGAAAACTATATAGATGAAACAGCATCATTCAAGGATTGAAAACATGAAGTAGAATGGTGTGGTCAATGAACTGCATAGAGTTAGTGGGGGTCTAGTGCAAAACTCTTGTGGGAAACTGATACAGTGGTGTAAGAATAGTGTTGGCAGAGATGCTTTTCCTATCAATTGTGTAGAAGATGCATAATCATTGAAGAATGATAAAAAAAGAGGGACAATATTAATTTTCATTTTTCAGCATCACTTTGTTGTCAGGGTGAATGATGACCAAAAGGGGATGAGGCTGGACAGAGGTTGAGAAATCCATTAGAGGAGACAAGTCTGGGAGGAAGATTTTGAGATCAGCACTGGGAGTGGAGGAGAGTGAATGGTCGAGAGAAGTATTTACAGTGAGGACTATGTATGTCTTGGGTGTTGTTTTGTTTTGGAAAGGTGCTGTAAAAATATAATTTAGGAATAAATTCCAGGTTTCTGCTTTGTGTGGGTGGTAATGCAAATAAGATGAGGCGGTAGTTGCATACATGATTGCTCATTAATTTTTTTGTGCATAAGTTTAAAATCTCCGACCTATTGGATACTTGGCCTTGTGACTTCCTTTAGGTAATAAAACATGACCAGGAATCTTGTGTTTCTCTACAAGCGGAAATAAAGCTGTAAGAAAAGGCATTTAATTCACATGTTTTCTTTTCTTTCTACCGTAAGACCTTCAGTGTTCCAAATGGACATTACTGTACCACCTGGATCCCAGGATCAAGAGGACATGAAACAAAGTCCTAGCTAAGCAAAAATATAAATTTATTCCTCTATGACAGTTAAATACCAGGGTCATTTGTTAACTGTGCCATCAACTAATCTATCCTGACTGATAAGAGGAATGTACCACTAAAAGGCAAGCTTTGGAGAGGTGATTAATTCAGCTTTGGACAGGTTGAGACTAGGCCTTGAGGAGGCACTTGTATTTAATAGCATTAGAGAACTCATAAGACACATTTTCACTTCAGTGCTTCCTTTCTTTCTTTTTTTTCTTTTCTTTTTTTTTTTTTGAGACAGAGTCTCGCTCTGTCACCAAGGCTGAAATGCAGTGGCACAATCTCGGATCACTGCAACCTCCATCTCCTGGGTTCAAGCAATTCTCCTGCCTCAGCCTCCCAAGTAGCTGGAATTACAGGCACCCACCACCATGCCCGAATAATTTTTAAAAATATTTTTAGTAGAGACAGGGTTTCATCATGTTGGCCAGACTGGTCTCGAACTCCTGACCTCAGGTGATCCACCCACCTCAGTCTCCCAAAGTGCCTGGATTACAGGCATGAGCCGCCGTGCCCGGCCCTTTTCTTAAGTGATTATTCTATTTTTGGTGTTTTGCGTATTGGAAGGCAGTACTGCATAATGGTTAAAGGTACATTCTCTAAAGCCACACTGTCTATGTTAGAATTGCAACTGTTTAATCTCAAAGTTTTGATGCTTTGGTTTCCTCATCTGTAAAATAAAGATGATCAATCTGCCTCATAGGGTTGCTGTGAGAAATAAAGTAAGATACATATCTGCACTTAGAAAACTGTCTGACTCATATTAAGTGCTATGTAATGTTACTGCTACTATTTTTGTATTCATAATTATATACTTTCTAAAGCAAGTGAAATATGCAGGTAGGTATGTTTGTATGACATTCCATTTTCCATTTAGGCTAGAAGAAAAAAATAATGAGTAAAAACAATTTCCAGGCTTATCTTTTGAAGAAATCTGTTCTACTGAAAATAATTTTTATTATTTAATGTGAGATTATTTTTTTCTAAGTATAAAAAAGTGTCTTAAAATTTGATTTGCTAATCAGCCCTTGTAATATACACACCTAGTCTTTATAAGATATGAAAAAATTATTTAAAAACTAAACTAGTCTTTGAAAATGAAGTTGATCAAAGAAACATACAAATGTCAGTAGACTAATTAAAATAGGAAATAACCTCCTATAGCATGCTCTCAATAATAAGGAAAATTATTCTTAGGTTATTCTTGGATTCCTTCCTCCTATTTGAGAGCCCAGTAGTCTATTTCTTTTCAACAACAGAATTTTTTAATTAAAATATGGGTTTCTGTTCAAACCTCAGATAATGAGAAAACTTAAATCACCTAAAATACCCATTTTTTTAATCATTCCCATTAATGAAGGCCCTTCCCCATTAACAAAGGTTGGTGTTGATCAGACTAGATCTTTTTTTTTTTTCATTTCCAACTTTTAGGTTCAGGGGATACATGTGCAGGCATGTTACATAGATAAATTGTATGTCTCAGGTGTTTGGTTTAAAGTTTATTTCATCACACAGGTAATGAGCACAGCACCTGAGAGTTTTCAATCTTCGCTCTCATCCCATTCTCCACCCTCAGATAGGCCCCAGTGTCTATTGTTCCCGTGTTTGTGTCCATGTGTACTCAATGTTTAGCTCTCACTCATAAGTGAGAATACGTAAAATTTGATTTTCTGTTCATACATTAATTCACTTAGGATAGGGGCCTCCCAGCTCTATCCGTGTTGCTGCAAAGGACATGTTCTCATTCTTTTCTATGGCTGCCTAGTATTCTATTGTATATCTGTACCATATAATATTTTTTTAATCCAGTCCACTCTTGATGGGCATCTAGGTTCATCCATGTCTTTGCTATTGTGAATAGTGCTACTATGAACATATGCATGCATGTGACTTTATGGTAGAAAAATTTATATTTTGGGGGGTACATACCCTGTAACAGAATTGCTGGGTAAAATGGTAGTTGTGTTTTAAGATCTTTAAGAAATCTCCAAACTGCTTCCCACACTGGCTGGATTAATTTACATTCCCACCAGTAGCGTATAAGGGTTCCCTTTTGTCCACAACCTCACCAGCATCTGTTACTTTTTGACCCTTTAATTATAGCCATTCTGACTGGCATGAGATGGTATCTCATTGTGGTTTTGATTTGCATTTCCCTGGTGATTACCAATGTTGGGCATTTTTTCATATGCTTGTTGACGACATGTATGTCTTCCTTTGAGACGTGTCTGTTTACATCTTTTACTCACTTTTTAATGGGCTTGATTGTTTTTTGCCTGCTAATTTAAGTTCCTTATAGATGCTGATATTAGACCTTTGTTGGATGCAGTGTGCAAATATTTTCTCCCATTCTGTAGGTTGTTTTTTTTATTCTGCTGATAGCTTTGTTTGCTCTGCAGAAGCTTTTGAGTTTGATTAGGTCCTACTTTTCAATTATGGTTTTCTTTGCAATTGCTTTTGGAGTCTTCATCATGAAATCTTTGCTGGAGCCTAGGTACACAATCATATTTCCTAGGTTTTCTTCTAGCGTTTTTATAGTTTTAGGTTTTACATTTATGTCTTTAATCCATCTTGAGTTGATTTTTGTATATGGTAAAAAGAAGTGGTACAATTTCATTCTTCTGCATATGGCTAGCCAGTTATCCCAGCATAATTTATTGACTAAGGACTCCTTTCCCCATTGGTTGTTATTACTGATTTTGTTGGAGATCAGATGGTTGTAGGTGTGTGGCTTTATGTCTGGGTTCTCTAACTTGTTCCATTAGTCAATGTGTCTATTTTTGTATCAGTACTATGCTGTTTTGGTTACTGTAGTCTTAGAATGTAGTTTGAAGTCAGGTAGTGTAATGCATCTGGCATTGTTCGTTTTGCTTAGGATTTATTTGATTAGTCAGGCTCTTTTTGGTTCCATATGAGTTTTAGAATAGTTTTTTTTCCCTAATTCTATAAAAACTGTCATTCATGGTTTGATAGGAATAGCACTGAATTTGGACATGGCTTTGGGCAATGTGGCCATTTTAGTGATATTGATTCTTCTAATCCATGAGCATGGACTGTTTTCCATTTCATGAAATGATTTCTTTCAGCAGTGTTTTGAAATCCTCACTGTAGGGATCTTTTCACTGATTTCTTTCACCAGTGTTTTGTAATTCTCATTGTAGAGATGTTTTACCTCCCTGAATAGCTGTATTCCTGGGTATTTTATTCTTTTTGTGGCTAATATGAATGGAATTTGGTTGTTTATTTGGCTCTCAGATTAGATATTGGATGCTTTTTGTACATTGATTTTGTATCCTGAAATGCTGCTGAAGTTGTTTATCAGATCTATGAGCTTTTGGGCAGAGACTATGGGATTTTCTAGGTATAGAATCATATTGTCTGCAAAGGGAGATATAGTTTGACTTCATCTCTTCTTATCTGGATGCTTTTTATTTATTTCTGTGGTCTGGTAGCTCTGGCTATGACTTCTAGGACTAAGTGGAATAGGAGTGGGAAGAATGGACATTCTTTTCTTTTTCCAGTTCTCAAGGCGTATGCTTCCAGGTGTCATCTGTTCAGCATCATGTCAGTTGTGGGTCTGTCATAGATTGCTCTTACTATTTTGAGGTGTGTTCCTTTGATGCCTAGTTTGTTGAGGGTTTTTAAAATGAAGGGATGCTGAATTTTATTGAAAGACTTTTCTGCGTTTATTGAGATGATCATGTAGTTTTTATTTTTGGTTTTGGTTATGTGATGCATCACATCTGTTGATTTGTGTATGTTGAATCAACTTTGCCTTCCAAGAAAGCCTACTCGATTGTGGCTTTAGCTTTTTCATGTGCAGCTGGATTCAGTTTGCTAGTATTTAGTTGAGGATTTTTGCATCTATGTTTGCATTAATACCTGTTTTTGCATCAATATTAGGGATATTAGCCTGAAGTTTTCTTTGTTATTGTGTCTCTGCAGGGTTTTGCTATCAGAATGATGCTTGCCTCACTGCATGAGTTAGGGAAGAGACCCCCCTTCTCAATTTTCTTGAAATAGTTTCAGTAGGATTGGTACCAGCTCTTCTTTATACAATGGGTAGAATCTGGCTGTGAATTCATGTAGTCCAGGGCTTTTTCTGGTTTGTAGGCTTTTTATTGCTGATTCAACTTTGGAATTTGTTATTGATCTTCAGGACAGGGCTTCAGTGTCTTTTTCATTGAATTTTGGGAGCTTGCATGTTTCCAGGAATTTATCCATTTCTTCTAGATTTTCTAGTTTATGTGCATAGAGGTGTTCATAAGAGTCTCTGGGGGACTTTATATTTCTGTGGAGTCACCGGCAATGTCCCCTTTTTATTTGGATCTTCTCTTTTTTTCATTATTAGTCTAGCTAGCAGTTTATCAATCATATGTATTCTTTCAAGGAACCAACCTGTTGCTTTATTGATATTTTATATGATTTCCTGCCTCTTCATTTCATTACATTCAGCTCGGGTTTGGGTTATTTTCTTCTGCTAGTTTTGGGTTGGTTTGCTCTTGTTTTTCTAGTTCTTCTAGAGGCGATGTTAGGTTGGTTGTTAGTTTGAGATCTTTCTTATTTTCGGTGTAAGTGTTTAGTGCTTTACTTTCCTATTAACACTGCTTTAGCTGTGTCCCAGAGATTTTGATAATACCTTCATTTTCATTAGTTATAAAGAATTTCTTGATTTATGCCTTAATTTCATTATTTACCCAAAAGTTATTCAGAAGCAGGTTTAATTTCCATGTAATTGTATGATCTTGATGGATCTTCTTGGTATTAATTTATATTTTTATTGTGCTGTTGTCCAAGGGTGTAGTTGATATGATTTTTTTTTTCAATTTGTTGAGAATTGCTTTATGGCTGAGCATGTAGTCAATTTTAAGGTATGTACTATGTGCAGATGAGAAGTATGTATATTCTCTTGTTGGGTGGAGTGTTTTATAGATATCTGTTAGGGCTATTTGGTCAAGTGTCTATTCAGGTCCCAAATATCTTATTAGTTTTCTGCCTCGATGATCTGTCTAATGTCGTCGGTAGATTATTGAAGTCTCCTGCTATGATTGTGTGGCTATCTAAGTTTCTACCATTTCTTGTTGGCTGTCCACAGCTCTCTGCAAAGCTGCTTATTCCTAAGAAGGCCTGTATTCTGGTCTAGGCAGGTTATCAAAGTCTGCTGTGCTAAATTTAAAAAGACAACATTAGTAGGCAGATGATGTTGTTAGCACCACACGAATTAACTCAGGAAGGTGCTACCTCCAACCACCTACTCAAATCCTGGTGTCAAGCATCAGGAACATATCTACATTTCATTATCCTTCACTACTAAAGAAACAGTCCAAGTAAGTGTTCATTGGCGTCTACGATGAGTGAGTCTTCTGTCAAACTTGACAACATATAAGATGTAACATTTACTCTTAAAGAATGTAGACTCTCTATTCCACCCATTCTATCCTTTTACTTCCATGTGTGGTTTAAGAAGGACCTGTGATGTTTGTCAGTGGCCTTGGACAATGGGGAAAATGTGCTTCATCCAATTGAACAATATAAGTGTGGTGTTTAAACTCAAATCATAAGAAGTAACTCATCAATCACATTTTCTAAACTAGAAAGAAAAATCCCTTCATGCAACTTGAAAAAAAAATTAACTGAATAAAGAAAGATAATTTTTAATCATTTTAATTTATAATAGGGCATATTGTTCTATTGTGTCTTTTTAAACAAAGCTTAACACCATGTTTTCATTTCAATTCATATCATTGTAGTTATCTGAGTGCAGTGTAATTTATCTCATTGTAGTGATCTTATTGTACTGACCTACCTTGTTACAAGTGACCATGCCGATTGTAATTATTTTTAGAAGATATTTCTGAATGTCAAATGTCAGAAAGTACTAGGGTTTTTTTTTTTTTAAATATAGTGCTTATTTTGGGTTTGTTATAACATAAAAATTTTAAGTGGCATTGTTAGGATATATAAAAGTTTTTGCTTTTATATTTTATAAATACAAGGAAAAATTCTGAAGTATTATAGTTCGGTCATCAGAGAAAAGGAATTTGCACAGAGGTATCAAACTGCAGGCAATCAGGAATAGCAATAACATTCGAACTAGAATACACTGAGACCCGAAAGGTCTCAGTAGTCAAGCAGGCTTCTTGTCCGCTAGCATGTGTTATTTTGGGAATTAGAAAGAATGCCCTTCTAAAGGGCAAAATAAATGTTCGGAAAAATCAAACATTTTCATCAAGGAACTGAATCTAATCTCTTAACTGATGGAGAGGCACAGGCAGGGGGCCTTTCCCTTGCTAGGCAGCAATGACACCAGAGGCCAAAGGGGCCAGACTGAACCGGAATGTCTGCAGGCCCATATGCCGGGAGGTGAGTCAGAAAAGGTGTTACACACAAGAGGGAGTAGAGACAACAGTTCAAGCTGATGTGCAGAAATACAGCCTTGAATCCAAAAAAAAGTAATAAAAATAAGAATGAGCAGAACAGCATGGTATAATCAGACAGGGAGTAGAAGGGTAAGACTGATTGATTATGTGGAAGACCGTTAGCTAGCAGATATTGCTTTCATGGGCTGTAGGACATGGACATTGGATGGAGTGGCCCTGCTGAAAGGGCCAGCAATAGAATCAACCCTTCTAAAGCCTCAAGATCACCTTTCCAGGATTTGATAGGATTAGAACTTCCTTGGATTTGCAAAGTTAAAAACACACATCTTTTCTTTTGAGACTATAACCGTTCTATTGTCCCAAGTTTTTGTTCTATTATGACTTGGCTTTAATTTAACATATTCAACTCAGACCATTTAGAAGAAAAGGCCTCAAAGGGCCTCCTGCCACCATTCACGGCACCCAGGCTGTTTGTGCTGAGGGGGTGCCTGCAGGCCCATGCTGAGCCACCACCCTCGGTCCCCACTCAGCCTGTCTCCGATGTTCATCGGCACCCAAAGTCCAGAGGGGGCCGAGGCAGCGTGGGACTGGTGTGTCAGCACTACCCCATGCATGTGCACACCCAGCTGGGTTGTGACAGCACCCAAGCTTAGCCACAACTTTGCTCCAAAATCAGAGTGGGTGCCGGGAGTCGGGGAGACCAGGCAGTGGGAGCAGTTATTCCGAGCCTGCAGGGCAAAGGGGGTTTCCTGGGCCTCCCAGAGTGCAGAGATGCCTGGATCTGCAGCTGTGGCTGGGCAGCTGCAGCTGCCCCTGGAAGGGCAGGGCTCCCACCCTTCCAACTCAGAAGGGAAAGAGCTCCGGCCTATTCTCAGCTCCGGCTCAGTGGAGTGGATAGTCCTGGCCACGCCTCCCCGACTGCCATCACTGCTGCCATCACTGTGTGATGGGGTGAACCTGTTTAATAGAGCAGCTTAAAGAGAGTTGTCACTGAGCTTTACGTACCTTAATTGGCCCCAAATATCCATTGTCCACTTTTTAGCCAGATGCTATTTTCCATTGAGCTCATTCCCTTTGATGCCTTTCTGTGACGTTTGTGCTTTTCTTTTGTATCCTAGAGCCAATATATTCCAAGTGCTGACTCTGAAATGTGACGGTAGAATGCTTCTCCATATTGCACAGCAATAGTAGAGACAGGAACTGTCAATTACTTTTTCGAAAATGGTGTATTATGACAAGTGGAATATTTGTCTATAAAATATATATAGATTCAAATATATTTCATGAATTTTTCACCTGGCCATTAGCTTTGCAGGCAATAGCCAGTGGTCAGTGGATCTGGGTGAAAGCATTTGCTCCCTGATTATAAATTTGATAACTTCAATGAGGGATAACATAGAAGTGGAAAACTGTCTTGATAGATAGTGGTTTCTTTAATAGTCTCCAAATGAGTGATTGTGCCCTTGGTGTCTCTTGTTTACAGGCAGGTAAGATGTTCCAGCCCTCTCTGGCTGAGGGTCAGAAGTGGTGAAGAGGAGGCCACTAATCCAGATGGGACATTCTCATTTAGCACATGGGGAGATGTTCTGTCAATAAGGTCAATTTTAAGTGTGCCAGCTCAGGTAAAGAGGCTTTTAGGAAGGATACTTGGGCAGCCCATTGAATCAAAACAAGAATTCATTGACTTTGACTCCTGTACTCCACCAATAACATGACTCAGACATACTAACTTAGACTCTAATTTTAATAAATTATTTATTGAAAAAAAAGTGTATTTCAACCTGTGGGTGGATTCTTTTTGTCCTCCCCTGATTCAAGCAGTTGTTACTGGAGGGATGGGGTAAGAATCACTGTTCTAAAAGAGCCACCAGGACTATGCCCATAGAGAGTCACTTAAAAAAAAGTATGAATGTAGAGGCAAAATTTGTCATCACTGTTACGTAATCCCTGCCCTCAAGATGTTTGCAATTCTCGGAAGCAGGTATGCAAACAAAGAATTGCAGTATGTTGTCATGGATACTAGGGTATATGAACACTCCTGTTTTCCACATCTGAAAATCTTCTTCTGTACAGTGGATTTACAAAAAAACTGTTCTTTATGGCTCGACCTATAACGACTCATTGATGAAGTTACTGTACACACTATTATGTTAGAATTTTGTGTCTGTGTGTGTGATCTGAGTCTTTAATAACTTGATAGAAAAGGGGGGGATGCAGTTTAAAAGCCTTTATCAAGAAAACATTAAAATGGATGACTTCTATTTGGATTCTAAATTTACCACTTAAGTGGTGTCCCTAATTCATGATGTGACTTTACGTAAATTATCTAACGTCCCTGAGCCTATTACCTCATTTAAAAAATCAGGTGTTGAGTTTATATAGTAGTCACATTCTTTAGCTTAAAAACTTATAGTTTTCATCACCGGATTGAGATAGGAGAAGCTAGTATAATACTGCAAACCAACTCCACCCTCCCCACGTACACATAGTCAATAAGTTATTTATAAGATACATTTTCATCTGCGTAGGCTGAAAAATGACCTCTCCACAAAAAATCCATTTCAAGTCCATAGAACCTGTGAATACTACCTTATTTGGAAGAAGGATAGTTATGTTGAATCATCGTGGATATCTGGTTGGGCACTAAATCCAAAGACAAGTGTCCCTGTAAGTGACATATGGAGAATACGATGTGATGACAGAGGGAGAAAGTGGAGTAATGTGGCCACAAGCCAAGGAAGCCAAGCAACGCCAACAACCACTGGAAGTAGAAAGGATTCCCTCCTAAAGCCCCAGAGAAAGCTTGGCCCTGCCCCTGCAGGCACCTGGATTTCAGACCTCTGGCCTCCAGAACTGTGAAAGAATACATTTTTGATGTTTCAGGACACAAAATGTGTGGTTGTTTGTTACAGCAGCCACAGGAAACTAATATACCATCTCTCTGGCTTGTGCTCAGATAATTTCCTCTGTCCTTTCTCCATGAGTACAGATGAGAATCCTACCTATCACCAGAGCACCTGTTTCAGTATCACCTCCTTGGTTAAAGACCTGTGCCTCTCCCCAGACCCAGCAAAAAGGATTAATCTCACCTTCCCCTTTCTCCCTATGGCATTTATTTATGTATCTGTTAAAACACTTCTAATGTTCCATAATTTACCTATATACCTTGCCTCAGGGCCTAAACTAATCACTGAAATAGAATCAGCATTATGTCAGTATTTCTTGTGCAACTATGGGAGTGTGACGTATTAATGCTGAAATAGGGTCACTCTTCGGGGAACTGCATATGGTGCCAGTGTCTAACTAACTTGCCGAATATTTGTGTACTTATATGGAAGTGACTTTATAGATTCAATGTCTTAAAACTAGGTGAGCGGGTAGCTTGATGGAATCAGAGTGACAGGAAAAAGAGGAGGTTCAAAAGGAACTTTATATACTAAAGTTACATTAATAGCTCATTAATTAACTACACATCTCTTAAAACACAATAGCCACATTATTTTTGTTTACATTACCTGGTTTATGAAAAGGGAAGGCTGAGGAGATATGAGGCATGAAGGCACACATCTTCTGTAGCAGAATGTGAGCCATCAGAATGAATGGGGTGTATTTCTTCCTACTCTTCAGTTAGTTCAGAGGCAATTGTCTGACATACTGGTTATGTGGGATTTTATATGGGCTGATCTCAACTACAAGAATCCATGTTTTCTAATGTTATGGAGAAAATGCAGACAGCTCTCCTTTTACAGATAAGGAAATTAAAGCTGCAAACAACCACATACTTTCAAGTCACTTTGCCTCTCTGAAACTGGATTTCCTCATCAGTCTAAAGAAGAGTTAACACACCTACTTGGAGAAGCTGCCAATCTTACATTATCTTTTGAAAAATGCCTCCCATTGCCATGTCACACTTATACTAGAAGACTCCATTTCCCTGGTCATCTCTGAGTAAAACGAGAGTGAGGCATTATTTGGCCACTTAAATGTTAATTGTTATCATGTAGAAATTCCTCATTGTATAATTATGTTTTAGCAGAGTTTCTCATGCCTAAAACCATACCCATGTTTCACAGTGTGTCATTCTTTACATACTTGAGCTTAAGTATCTCCTTTAAAAATCTCTTTTTAAAATGGCGCCTAATTATTTCCAAGGAAGAAAATAATGTTTATAGCTTCAGCTTCAGGAATTGTATTTCAAGAAAAAAAAAAGATCAAAGTACTTGGAGAAGAAGAAAGCTGCTTTCCTTAAAAAAAAAAAAAAAAAAAAAAGCCCACTTGAAACAAACATTAAAAATATATTTAATTCCCAAAGGAAACTTCTGAGAAAAACATAAGCAAATGAAGAAGTGTGTTTAGAAGAGAAACTGTGTTTCAATCTAGTGCTCTAGTTTCTCTGTGAATGCTGTAACATGCATTTTCAAAAGGATAACAGCTATAAAACAAGAGCAGGTACAAGGGCCAGGGGTGGCCACATGGATTGGCTGACTTTATTCACACAGAGACAACATTGTGAAAGATGCATCTAAAGTGCTGAGCCCAGGTGGATGCCATCGGGAGCTGGACTTAGAGATCCCTAGGAAAATATTCATTAGTCCCAGCCCTGAAACACGGGAATAAGAACTCTGAAATAATAAAATAGTACAGCCTTTTTCGAAACATGCCATCATAGAGGAACAAAAAGCTGGGTCATTTCCTAAGTGATTTAATTGTTTAGCAAAATGTAGTGACTATTCTGTGCAAATACATGTTCCAGGTTCTGTAGAAGGTAGAAAGATGAGTTATAATGGATTGTACAAGGGTGAGGGAGGAAGAAAGAGGAAAGGAAAATGGAGAGGGATAGGGGTCTCTGGGGAACGATGTGAGGTGTGTTGTACGAGTTTGGATCCAATATAGACCAAGAAATTCGAGGTTCCAAACTAAGAGTTGCTTTAGAGGTGGCGTCTCTAAATTATGTTTCTAAGAACCTCATTCTAAGCCCCATTTTGAATTCAGGATGAGGGAGGTTGTTTGAAAATTTCTTTAAATATATGACAGACATGCCCTACATCAAGGGGTATCACTGTGATAGATTCTACATCTTGGCACTTGTTCAACAATTTGAAGTCAAAGAATGCACAGAGGTGAGGAAGGCTAATATTCTCCGAGTGCAGGCTCTCTTCTAGACACTTTAAATCTGTTATCTTGTTTAACCCTCAAAACAACCTCATGGGATATATTTTATCTCCATGTTTAAAATGGGACACTGAGACAGAAAATAATTAAATAACTTAACCAAGATTCCGCCATTGGTTAGTCATAGAGCCAGGATTCCATATTCTCTGTATGTCTATCATGCAAATTCTCAAAGAAAGATTTAGTATCAAATTTTATTGTTGCTGTCCTTGTTTTCAATCAAGATCAATGGTTAATGTGTCCAAGGTAAATCTGGTTTCACTATTATTGTGCTGTGTGCCTCTGACCATGCCTCTGCCAGGGGCAACCTAGTAGTTCAAATCTGTAGATGTTATTCTCTTCTAAATAGTGTCTATAAGTGTCTGCATTTCACCCATTTGTTTAACAAATATTTACTGAGCTCTTTCAGCGTGTTAGGCCAATATTCAGGTGCCTTACACATACACATCTGTGAATACAACGAACACAAATTCCTGTTTGCAAGGAGCTCACATTGTATTCGGAGAGAGATGGGAAATAAGTAAAAAACACAATAAGAAAGCAAAGTATATAGCATGTTAAAAATTTATAAATTCCATGGAAAAAATAACCAAAGACATCAGAGCAGTTGGGAGGGACCTGGAAGGCCAAGAGAGAGGATAGGAAGCGTGGGGCTTCAGTAGCTAGGGCAGGTTTCATGGAGAATAAAAATCTGAGCAAACCCTGAAGCAAGCGAGGGATTTGATGAAGCTCAAGTCAGAGTTAAAGTGGTTATTAGAACAAACACAATAAGGTAACACTGTCTGGGTTTTTAGAATGTTAAGGAAGCCAGTATGGCTGGCACAGAGAAAATAAAGGGGAGAACAGGAAAAGATACATTGGATGTGGGAGGAACAGATCATAAAGACCTACCAGCTCATTGCCTGGAGACTTTTATTGTGAGTTCAAATGGGGAGATGATGCAAGATTTTGAGAAAAGATATGGTATGACTTAGGTTTTGAAAAGACTATTGTGTCCACAAAATACACAGGAGGCTAGTGAGATAAGGTTGAAGTGTGACTACCTGTTAGTTGACTGTTGCAATAAAAGGTGAGAGATGTTAGTGGCTCAGACCAGGGTGAGAACAGTGAAGGAGTGAAAACTGGTTAAATTCTACATATTTTATAGAAGTAGAGTCCATAGGATTTTGAGGTGGATTCTACACCTACAAAGATGGGAGAAAAAGTGAGGATGTAAGAATGACTAAGTTTTTTGGCTGCAACAACAAAAACAATGAAATTGTTATGAAATAAAAGGGAAAGGTTGCAAAACATAACTGAGAGGAGCAATATTTTTTGACGAGTTGAGTTGGAGGTATTTATTTGACATTTTTAGACATTGTCTGTTGTTGCATTACAAATTATCACAAACTTCACAGCTAAAAATAACATCCAATAATTAGCTTTCTAGGTCAAAAGTCCAGGTGGGTTTGAGTGGATTCTTAGTTTAGGATTACACAATGCCAAAATCAAGGCCTCATCCAAACTGTGTTCTTATTCATGGGCTGTGGGAAAGAATTCATTTGCAGGTTGATTCAGGTTCTTGGCAAAATTGAGTTCTGTGTGTTGATAAGAAATCTACTTCAACTTCAATGGCAAGCTGTGGCTGCTCCCTGAATAGTTCTTTTTTTTTGAATCCTAAATGGTGCCCACTATTCTCACCAACATTAAATAGGTCTGTGTCAAAAAAAAAATTACATTCTTTTTTTTATTCCAAGAAAATGTTTATCAGATATAGTGCTAAAATTCAGCCTCCGCAGAAGCAGAAACCAGGCTGTTCAGTGAGAGATATATTGAGCATGTCTTCTGGATGGAATAGTAAGTAGTTAGGAAGAAAGCACTAGGACTTATATCACTCATCGTCTGGTGAATTAATTAACCTGAGGCTTGACTAATGGGAAGCTATTTTGCCATTAAGGGTGATTAATTAACAAATTCTTCTACTTAGAAATTAGTGCTTATATATGCACATATGCATATATATATATAAATATAGCAATGTGTGTGTATAAATTGTACTATTAAGCATAATTATTTAAAATATTATTTTCAGACTATTTTAAAATAGTTTAAATGATTTAAATTAAAAGCAAAGAAATTCCCTCTTCCTGGAAGTTTCAGAGGCTAATGAATCGTCCCCATGGTCATGTGAAATTGACATTCAGCAGAAAAGGAAATGAAGCCAGGTGAGTCTTTTCTTGTCCAAATCATTAGGTTTAATGCTACAGGACACAGGACAAATGAACTATAGAAGTAATTGTGAGTCATGGTTTTGTCACATGACATACTCTTTATCTAAGCAATGGGAAGGAGATGGGTGGCGATAAGAGGGAGAGGGTACTGTGAACAGCTGCCAGATGATTTCTGTTATGTTTAGTTCAGCTTGAATTAGGAAGAAAGAAGAAAGGAAGAAAGTCTTGTGTTTAATGATGAATAAATATTGTTGTATCAGATGTTAAGATTGACCTTAACAAAAGCAAGAGCATCCAGAAATCTAAAGGAAGGACATTACTCAGGTGATAATGAACCTAAAACTTGTGTTCAAGAAATTCAGATTATTTAGCCTGAAGGTGATTTTAGGGATGACACTAAAGGGGTAAAAGCAGCTATTTCCTAGTTTTTAAAGAATCATTTCGATGAAGAAAGAAAATATTTGTTTAGCATCATTTTAAAAGACAGGATTAGAATAAATGGTTGAAAATTAATATTATCTAAAGCAGTTGAGATGAAGAATAGGCTTTCAAAAAAAACTGAGAATTATATAACTTGAAGTATTTAAACAAAACCTGGGATACACATTGGTGAAGAATGTTTGTTCTTTGTGTTTTTTATACTAAGTGATCTTTTAGCCTGATCTGGATCTGAGATTCTAATAACTTATGAAATAAGATCATTTTAAGGTCATGTACTTGATCTCATTACACCTGACACTTCAAGTCTCTAATGTAGTAAGTGTTGTGGTGTTATGAGGTGAAAGTTACTAAAGTTGCTTTTAAAGACCTGTTATCCATCTATCTGTCACGATATTCTATGTCAGAGACTGCTAGTTTCCCCCCAAAATGTATTCTCGTTTTCTCTCAAATGAACACAAACCCAGAATTTTAGCTGGTCATTGCTTCTGTTGTAGCTAGCTTTGACCATGTAACAAAAATATAGCCGAAGGGTTGTAAGTGGGAGTAGTAAGTGACAATTTTTCTAAACCCTTCTGAGAGATAGCAGCTTGCACCTCTGTCACTTTCTTTATCTTGTCCTCCATCCTGTTGACATGATGATGTCTGTGGATGCAGAGAACCTTTTAGATGCTTTTCTTGTAAATGGAGGCCATCCCTGATGAAGAAACAAAATAGAAAGAGCCCATATCTCTTGAAACTTAATGGAGCAAAGCTTGACTGCTTGTATCCAGACTTTTTCATGAGAGAAAAATAAATTATTATTTATATTGTAGTGTCCACTTTTTGTCTGTGATACTCATGCCTTAACTATATACTGATATATGGCTATATGATAAGCCTACAGCTATTTGTACAGCAATTCCTAATTGATAATAGGAATTAGTCATAGAAGATGGTTAAAGACATTGCAAAAATACGCAGTTTTACATTTATTAAATACTACTTAAATTTGTTCAAAATTTACACTATTTTCCAGCTTATCAATGATCTGAGAACTCTTATTTCTTTGTTTATTTCTAAATAGTAAAGTTAACTGTGCAACAGTTGCATCTGTTGTCTTCAACATTCATAATATAGGACACCATTCCTTGGGATACCTATCATTTAACTAGAAACAGAACCAATATTATAGTACCCTAGAAGGCTCAAGAGCACTCAGGGGAGAACCGCTAGCTGATTCAACTATATATTAATACAGTCATGCACTGCACAATGACGTTTTGGTCAGTGATAGATCCCATATATGACAGTGGTCCCATAAAATCTTAATACCATATTTTTCCTCTACTCTTTATATTTACATGCAGAAATACTTTCCATTGTATTACAATTGCCTAGAGTATCTAGTCCACTAACTGGTGTACAGATTTGTAACCTAGGAGCAATAGGCTGTGTCATATAACCTAGGTGCGTAGCAAACTATACCATCTAGGTTTGTATGAGTTTCTATGATATTCACACAATGATGGGATCACCCGGTGATGCATGTCTCAGAAAATATCTAAGCAATGCATGACTGTATATATTCTGCAAACATCCTCATGGGACTCTGTAACACTATAATTTAGTGACTGTGCTATTTAGACTATGTAGATTTTATGTATTTATAGACAGGAATATCCCATGTTTGGATAAATTTATTATAAAAAATTTTAAAAATAAACATCCTGTTGGTATCTCTTATAGATAAGAAATATTTTATGTAATTGATGTAGCATAGCCAATAAACCATGTCAACCTTTCTAGCACTGTCCTTTAAATGAACTTTACATAAGCCCAAGAAAATATCTCAGATGAAAAAAAGAATATTTTACAGGTTCAAGCATGTTTGATGAGATTTCAAGGCTTATTCTCTATCAAATCACTAGGGCGCCTCCCCAGGACCCACATTCTGCCTTCTTTACAGTGAAGTCATGTAATCACTTGCAACTTAGGTTAACTATGTGTTAACAAATGTCAGAAACTAATTTTTCGTATGAATTCTAAAAATATATTCATTTTAAAAGGTTTAAACTTTAATTGTGTGTGTGTGTGTGTGTATATATATAAAAATAATGAACTAGGTGCTATATAGCAAACCCAGAACGCATAAACTTTTCCTTCCAAAATAGTTAACACTGGAGTAGCAGTGCAGTGCATTTCAGAGGTACACAGAACAGATTCTTTTTTCAAAATGCACGCACCCAGGTCCTACACACAACTTGTTGAATCAAAACCACAGAGTGGTGTACTAACAAATTTGCCCAGATTATTCCAATGAAACCACCAATATTTTGAACTACTCTTCAAAAAAAAAGAGGGAGCAAAATATTAAACTGCCTGTCTCAGTTAAATGTTTAAAAGCATATTATGAAGTAAAACACAATCAACTAGGACCCTCCAATAAGATATATAAGCCTCTGCTTAATTTTTTAATGGAAAGGAAACATTAGCAAAATGCAGTGTAATATTAGGAGCTCATTTGAAGGTTCAACTAATGCAGCTTGCCCTGATCTCTTTGCAGATTCAGCCTTACCTTTTTGTCTCCTATAACTGCAAGCTAATTGGATGAGAACTGATGTGCAACCCGGTGATACTCAGGTGCTGCAGGGTCTTAAATTATCAGAGGAATTCAGAGATGTTCACTCTGTAGAAATCACTGGCAAAGGAAAAAGGAATAAAAATATTTAAACTATTTCTCGATAACAGTGAAAATAAGTGATTTTTTTGTATTTAGGTAGATATTTCAATTAACCAGAGTTAATTCTTCAGCCACATTGTAATTGAAGTATTTATACATTATGCATTTGACCTGGTACTTATGTAACTGTACATATATTTTACCTTGGAAACAAAACTGATATATATTATATGTTACCATACATTGTGCAAAAAACAAGCAATGTTTCTCTTGTTGTGGAATGATTTGCCTTTGCAGCAGGCTGAGCTAGAAAGGATGTATACGATACCTTGTTTCTGTTTATGGAAAACATGGTTAAAAACAAAGAATTAAAGTGTGTTTTTAATATGGCATTAAAACATTCAGATCTGTATTTTGGCTTGCATAGTCAAAATAGAACGTTAAAGAATTAGGGAGAAATAACGACGTAATTAATGAAACTACATATGTATCTATATATGTAATAGTGAATTGATCTTTGGTCTTTCAAGAGTTATGAAGCTAATGCTAATGCTAATTTACTACTGTCTCTTTGATTAAATCCCAGCTAAAATTTTATTCTGATGGCTTGTTGATGGAGTATATAATACAACATTTTAACAATAGTGCAGCCTGTAGTTAGTAGAGAATAATCTTTGCCAAGTTAATGAGAAGGAAAGTAGTTAGAGAGTCACACAGCTAAGTTTGCCCTGATGATTTTCTCGTTTTATTTTGTTGTTGTTTTATTTTCTTTCTCTTTCTTTCTTTCTTTCTTTTCTTTTCTTTCCTTCTTTCTTTCTTTCTTTCTTTCTTTCTTTCTTTCTTTCTTTCTTTCTTTCTCTTTCTTTTTTTTTGTCTGTGTGTGTAATGAAGAAACAGTGAGAATTTTCTGGACTAGAAAGATTTTTCTCGATGTATATATGCACCACTGGGCCCTTTCCAGCACTCAAGCGGGGTAAATCCACCATTTCTTTGGTCTGATGTAAGGTGTTCAGGGAGATGAGTTACTCTCTGTGGGTGAATTATCATAGCAGAAATAGGAGACTTCCTTGGAAGCATAAGAATATAAATAGGATATTTTACATTGCTGTTGTTGCAGAGTGTGTTGGTAATAACTGTTCTGTGGTCATCTTGGGAGCTTCAGTCAAGAAAAGCATTTTAGATCATGCCTTTAATTGAAGCATTTTGGGAGGCTGAGGACAGAGGATCACCTGAATCCAGGAGTTTAATATCAGCTTAGGCAACATAGCCAGATTCCTGTCTCTACAAAAAGCTAGAAAAATTAGCCAGGTGCAGTTGTGAGTTCCTGTAGTCCCAGCTACTCTGGAGGCTGAGGCAGGAAGATTGCTTGAGCCCAAGAGTTCGGGGCTACAGTGAGTCATGATCTCACCACTGCACTTCAGCCTGGGTGACAGAGCAAGATCTGTCAAAAAAAAAAAAAAAAAAAAAAAAAAAAAAAAAAAAAGAACAGCATTTGTTCTGACTATACTTACATAAAATGATGGCTACAAGAATCATCGGCAGGGTGTGGTGATTTATGCCTGTAATCCCAGCACATTGGGTGGCTGAGGCAGGCGGATCACGAGGTCAGGAGTTCAAGACCAGCCTAGCCACCATGGTAAAACCCCATCTCTGCTAAAAATACAAAAATTAGCTGGGTGTGGTGGTGGGTGCTTGTAATCCCAGCTACTCAGGAGGCAGAGGCAGGAGAATTGCTTGAACCCAGGAGGCGGAGGTTGCAATGAGCTGAGACTGCACCACTGCACTCTAGCCTGGGTAACAGAGTGGGACTCCATATAAAAAAAAAAAATTGTCCACTTCTATTAGTTGGTCTGAAATGCATAGTGTAGGTTGTGCTCTGGGGGTGACAGAGCAAGACTCCATCTCAAAAAAAAAAACAAAAAAACATCACCTTGTGATCAGACAAGCTGAGGATTGCTCAGAGTTTCTCAGCTTCAACACTATGGAGATTTTCTTCTGATAATTCTTTGTTGGGAGGGGAGGCCTGTCCTGTGCATCGCAGGGTGTGTAGCAGAATCCCTGGGCTCTACCCACAAGACATGTGAGTTGCACTCTTTCAACCTTGCTGTGACAGCCACAAAATGTCTTCAGACACTGTCAAATGTCTTTTTGAGGTTAAAATTGATCCTGATTGAGAGCCTGCTAGGTACCTAGTGACCAAACTCACAGAATTTTCAGAAAATGGATTGGTTCAGTCTTCAGCCTCATCTAATGAAGTGAGTATAATCAGTGAGATTAAAAACAACAACATATTGATATAAAATATAAAATTTGATGTATTTTTTTTCAAAAGCTTGGTGACAATTTTTGTTTGTAAACTCATTAGGGAAGGTTTTATCTCATACACATTCAATCATTAAAAGTCTAGTAACATAACTCACATTATGCCATTACTACCTAGTATCAGAGATTAGTAAAAATTATATCCTTATTAAGAAAATAAATAAAAGGCAAGATGGTATTTATTGTGCATAAATAGTAAAATTCAGGGGGTATAATTAGAATAAATCATGGTATTGGATAAAAATGAATATATATAATTATGGAGATTCCTAAATCTTGCTTAATGGTGTCAAAGTTGAAGCAAATGCTAGCAGGACAGACAAAATCAAACTTCAAATGACATATTTAAAGAAGAGAGCTTAAACGCTGGAATAATTTCCCATTATTCTTTGTATTTAATTTGTAACTAAATTCTTAAGGATATAAGCATTTTGATAACAGGGACTTTGTCTGATTATTCTTAAAATACCTAGCATTTTTCCTGGCTTAATGTATAGGT
This sequence comes from Homo sapiens, assembly GCF_000001405.40. Classification (NCBI taxonomy): domain Eukaryota; kingdom Metazoa; phylum Chordata; class Mammalia; order Primates; family Hominidae; genus Homo; species Homo sapiens. The sequence goes on from NC_000003.12 coordinate 76,306,763, forward strand.
TTTAAATGTTTGTTCAATGAAGGAATGTAGATAAGAAACCTTAAAGTTTATTTCAAATTAGTCTCTTTCTATTTATTCCCACTGTTTTCAGTTCAGTTTCCAAAGTTTTCTTGCTTGGACTATTGTATATTTAAGCGGTTTTTCCTGCTTCTAATTTCACTCCCCATCATAATGCAGCCCATTTTTTTAAACTCATTTTGGATCATGTAATTTCCCTAATTTAAACCCTTTGTTGACCCCCTACCATTGAAGATAAAGCCTAAAGCTTTGGTGGTTAATGCACTCGAACATTTTAATCTAGCCCCTGCCTACCGCTGCTACTCATCTATAGGTTCCACACCCAGCCACACTGCCTTCCTGGCAGTTCCTGGAAGGGGACAGGCTTTCTTTCCTGGCTGTAACCATGCTCATGCTATTTCCTCAGCCTGGATTATCCTCTGCCTCTTGCCTGACTTGACCTAGTCTTAAAATATATTCTCATTATTTGATACTTAGTGGAAAAGCCACCTTCTCTGCCCTGAATGTCCTAGCTGAACCAGCTCTTTCTCTTCTCTCTCACTGAACTTCACTTTAATATATACCTCCTTTATAGTACTCCTTCTCTGCAGTCTTCCTAACCATTCTTTATGGCCTGCATTAAAGCATTTATTATGTGTATTGTAACTGTCTGTAAGTCAGGTCTTGCTGGGGCCTTCTTTTTCTTCATGTTTTCCTTTGAGCACGAGTAGGTGGTGAGGAATTTTATTCTGATTGCCTCTCTCGGTGGACCTTCCCATTTATAGACCTCTGTGCTGCTGCCAGTAAACTAAAGAAGATTCCAAGCCACAACTACCCCAAAATCCCTCTAATTCCCTTACCTTTCAAGCTTTGCTTAAGCCCTTTCCAGTTTCCCAAGATCCATGCGCCCGACTCAGTAAAAGAGAAGAATAACAAAAACTGGGGCTGTGCAGGATTCAAATTCTAGCTCTGCTGGGTAATCACGATGTGACATTGGCTAAGTAGCAATATGTAGAGTATGAATAATAAATGACTCATCTCACAAGTTCATGAAAATAAAGAAAACCTCTAAAGCACTTAAAACCTCACATATATTGAGCATGTTATCACTATTTGCTATTCTTTTACATTAAGATGTTACTTATGAGCAAGGTAGCTCAGAAGGATTGAGAGTGCAGAGACAACAGTTTCATGGAGGGCCTAGCACAGGGATGAGCAAAGGCTTGGAACTGAGGGGTTTGAATTCAAAACAGCACTATGACGTTGGATAGGTGACTTAAACTCTCTGTGCCTCAGTTTATACTGTACTAAATGCAGGAAAGAATTATCCCTACTTTGGCTGGGCATGGTGGCTCACGCTTGTAATCCCAGCACTTTGGGAGGCCAAGGTGAGTGGATCACAAGGTCAGGAGTTTGAAACCAGCCTGGCCAATATGGTGAAACCTCGTCACTACTAAAAATACAGACATTAGCTGGGCGTGGTGGTGGGCGCCTGTAATCCCAGCTACTCGAGAGGCTGAGGCAGAAGAATCGCTTGACCCCAGGAAGCGGAGGTTGCAATAAGGCGAGATCGCACCACTGCCCTCCAGCCTGGGTGACAGCGTGAGACTCTGTCTCAAAAAAAAAAAAAAAAAAAAAGAAAGAAAGAAAAGCAAAGAAAAAAGAATTATTCCTACTTCATTGTGTTTTAGTAAGGATTAAATGAGTTGATGAATGCAAAGTGCTTTGAACTTGTAATAAGTTAGCTAATTTGTTACTAATATTAACGTAGATGGGAAGGCATTTCTAAACTCATACTTTCACAGATACATGTCTCATTGGACTGCCTCTCCTCTTAGTCTTTCACTTTTCCTTCAGATTGTACTCTTGTTTATTCCATTTGCTACCCTCACTATTTCCATATGAGGAGGCTTTCTCTTCTCTCTTCTGGTATGCAGAAAGCTCCAGCAGAACTTCAAACTTCTGCCAGATGAATTCTGGAAGAGAGTGACTTCCCTTGTTGAGCAACAGTGATTTTGTTCTTCCAATTCCATTTCAATTTCCCCATCAGAGAGAGCTGTGACCTGGTGTCTACTAGGGATTATTGAAAAGGAAAGAAACCTTGGAAATCTAAACATGAAATATTTTTGGAGTGAATCTAACCAGCTTTACCCCATTTCAGGAAAGAATGATTTTCTTAGTAACCTTGTTCCGGCCAGACCTTTCAGAAAAATTCAACAATTCTATCCACACACTTTTATTATATTCAAACCTATTTGACATTTTTTCTGTTCTGCCAAAGGGCCAAGACATTTTTTTTTTAATTGCTAATCATGAAATCTGTGCTTTTTCTTTGAAGAGGGATGGAGCCAGCGGAAAGTAAATGGGTTTAGTTGTAGAGTCCTCCTCAGAAGTTGGTGGTGAGGGAGTTGGTCAATTTATTCTACCAATTTCTGTTTACTTGCATTTAAAGAGAGAGGAAATTGTCAGGTAAACAGGATAGTGACTGGAAAAAGAAAATCAAATTCTGAGTTAAATATAGCTCCCCATTTTTAAGTATGCAAAGACATGGAATTTTAAATTCACTATTTATAAAATGGGCATAAGTTTTTCCTTCCTCACACAGAAGTTTTCAAATTGAAAGTTGAATACAGGGTGATTATTGTTTCTAAACTAAGGCACAATGTGAGAGTTTATTTTGTGTATTCCATTAATTTTTTTTGACAAACATAGTTTCCTTTTTATAAAAACAAATTGTAATAACTGTATTTTCAAATTTAATATGTGGCTTATCTTAACAAGATAACTTGCTCTTCTAAAGGTACCTCTTCCAAGAATATGATTTGAAAGCGGTAATTTGTTCCCTTTTGAAAGTGATAACATCATAAAACTGGTGGTTATCATAATATAGAAATTGATTACTTTAAAATACATAAGTGCATAATTCATGTATTGTGTCTCACTGATTAAGGAAATTAGTGACCATACATATACTAACATGTAGACAGATTTAAAATAGTAGCCAGAATGTTTTGATCACGCCAATTCACTTCAGGTGGCAAAGATTCTATCATTTTTATTAATTATTATTGTTACTATTATTGAGACAGTGTCTTGCTCTATCGCCCAGGCTGGAGTATAGTGGCACCATCATGACTTACTGCAGCCTCAACCTCCCAGACTTAAGTGATCCTCTTGCCTCAGCCTCCTGAGTAGCTGGAACTACAGGCGTACCACCATGCATGGCTAATTTTTTTTTTTTTGTAGAGGTGGGGGTCTCACCATGTTGCCCAGTCTGGTATGAAACTCCTGGGTTCAAGTTATACTCCTGCCTTGGCCTCCCAAAGTGCTGGAATTACAGATGTGAGCCACCACGTCAGACAATCCCAAATTAGTTCATTTTATATGTATGCCTTCACCCACGTCATCTTCATCCAGGGGCACTGTCATGTGTTAATTATAACCATACCTTGTGACCAGCAATGTCTGCATAAACATAGTCGCAAAAGACAGAAAGGCTTGAGGAGCTTGTTGTATTTCCATGGTGATGTACACAAACAAATAAAAATATGCTTTCTTGAATGTGTGATTAACACGTTCCAGAAAGCCTTGGCCGTCTATGTTGGTATTTCCAAAAGTTTGCTTATGATATTCATGGTGGGTTCATTAGGGTGACACAGGAACGCCGAAATAAACTGACTTCATTGAACACAGAGGAGAGCTGCAACTACGTATTGAGAACTTGCCCTTCCTGTTTTATTGCTGGGGAGAAAAATTATATACTTATTGTTGTTCATCTAATAAATATTTCAGACCCATTTATGAATCATTAGTGCCGATGCAATCCCCTTTGAATGTCACGAGGTGAAGTAAAGGAAAAATAAGATACATTTTAAGTTCTGAGTCTTCCTCTGCTACATTGCCTGAATCCTCGTCTATCCACACAATAGATTAACTACCCTCTGTGCATACTATATTTTGCTCAGCCCTTAATATTCTGAAGCTGAACTGAAGCAGGCGTTATCCGTGGCGGTTCCTGGGTGGTTTTCAAGCCCAGCACTACCCACCCAAGTGGCGGTGACACCGGCTTTCACTGAAGCCTTATTACTCTTAAAAGAGCAATTTGGTTGGTTGCACGGCTATTAGGATCACACAGGCAGCCTGAAAGCTGTCAGTACAACTGCTTCTCATCTTTTTCACATAATCCTGACATCTTTTCCCTTTTCTGCTGGACACAGACATTACTGTTTTTATCATTTTCAATCAAGCTCACCCAGAACACTGAGGAATATATTCCCACTGAAAGCAAAGTGGAGAACAGAAATTATTTTATAGCTTCTGGAGTAGAAGCAGGGCTGACTGCGTACTGAGGAGAAGGAGCCGGATCCGTGAGAAATGTAGCTTGGCTCAGGGCTACATCAGGAAGCTGCTACTTCAGCTGTTAAAGATGGCAAAACAACACCTACCTCAGGTTTTTCAATGATTAATGCTATTTTCATAACCAGGAGGGAAGAGGATGTGAGAAATTTTGTGAAATTAACTTGTGGAAATGTTATCATCAGAGAAAGTGGAGAAAATTACTAGGCTTGAACTTCTCTTCGTTTTGATGCTCTTCCTCTCTGGACCAACTCTGAGCAAGCTGACCCGGACCCCCTGGAAAGGAAAACCTTGGAAGGGGGGTAAGTGATGAAAGTTTCGTGTTAAAGATCTAAATGGAGTTAGCAAGGCCAGTTACTGCTAACTTAAGGACAGCTGAGGGTGAAGGAGCTGCTTCTGTCTGAAATCAGGTTTTTATTTCAGGAAAGGGGGTCTGCGTTGCAGATAGCTAGAAAGAAGAATTTTCTGTTATTGATATCAATATATTTTTGCAATGTTTGGTTTTCTGGGCTTTCAAAGCATTACAATGATCGTTTCCAGCAGGGAGACTGTAAGAGCAGATGCATGCTTCTCTAGTGCAAGAATATATGTGTTTTCCTTCGGAAGCCGCATTATTTTTAAAAGAAATGGGTTCTGAATATGCTAGATCCCTGAATTGTTGGCAGATTTTGTGAACTGATCAGAGGGATGTCTGAGAAAGGGCATGTTATGAAATGCAGTGCCACCAACACTAATTTTCTGGCTGACTCTATCAGTGTTGATGTGTTAATAAAGATAAATTGCATTAACTTTATTGGAAAAAAATCTGCTGAATGAGAAAAAGCCTTTCAGTACTTTGAAGTGTTGTAATACATTTTCTTCTGCTGTTGAAAAATTATCGTGAGATGGGAGAGAATTTTTGAGACTTTGAATCAACCTTTCTATAAAGTTCAGTGGGTTCTGCTTCCCCGAATGCCATTTGTTTATATAAACACAAGTTACCAAGATATGTGTTTTGTGAATGCTGTAAGCCAAAATGATGGTGCAGACATATCCCACGAGAGACTTTCTGGACACTGTTTGTATGTTTGGAGAAAAATCTTGATGGGAGATATATCTGAGGATTTTGCTTTGCAGAAGCATTCTTTTTACCTAACGTTTTTATCTTGGCTGTAAAAATGTTTCTGAGTCTCCCCTACCATTTCTTTCCTGTCAGTGTTTATCATCTGAGGTTCAAGAGAAGCATGTATATTATGAACAAGAAGTTTTAAAAATGTACCACAATATCTCAGCAGGATTTTCTAAATACCCAAGCCCCATCAGTCTGATCTTTCTGCTTCTCCTTTTGTTGCATTAAATATATTACAAATCTTCTGCCTACTGTACCTTTGAGGGAAAAGTTCCAACAGGCACTTAGCTTAGATGGTTGGTGCAGATCCACCCAGAGGAATGGTGCTGCAAATTATCTTCAGGCCTTGTAAATTATACCATCACATTACTATATTTCCTAGTGTTATCAATGGATTTCTTTTTCTTGCAAACTGCAAGCAGTTATTTATGTTAGCCTGCATGCTGGCCTTTAGTAGCTTAGGATTTAGCGATGTATGGTGTTATTGATGTCAGGAGTGTTAACTTGTATTTCTTACATATGGTCAGTACCTATAGCATGTCAAAGTTTAATTTCCTGCGTTAAACTTAAGCAGTAAACTTTGGAGCTCTAGCTACCCGTGAGAAAGATTGCTGCAAGATTTTAGCAAAGTTGTTAACCTATTCAGAAAGGTTTATTTAAAATGCTTGTGTGTGTTCCTAAGCATGTATTCATTTCACACAGCTTTGAATACAGATGCATTAGATTTCATTTGTAAATCAAGTCTGAAATGTTTCCTCTTTGAACATATGACCACTTTTTCCAATGTACTCTAACTAGCTCAGCTAGAAATTTGCTAGCTCTGCTGTGTGATGATGATACAACTCAGTTAAGTTCAGGAATAGGCAATCATAGCAACATATTTCATATTGTTAAAAGAATTCTGTGTATTTTTTAAAGGTCAGTCAAGTTACTGAAAAACTTTAAACGTGTTGACTGTGCTTTAAAATTATTTCCTTTTTAGTGCCTCTGTTTGTTACTGTATAGGCATTGCATAAATATTTTCCACAGATTCTGAGTTCCTGCGATGTAGCCTCGCCTTGATATGCATATGTGTATGTTGTAAATATTTATTTATTCATGAGCTTGGCTATTGATGGTGGTGTGTTATCTTTCAGTGGGTTGTAAAATTCTGTTCGTTTTTTTCTTGGCATGCTATGCAGTCTTTTAAAACACATTTTTACAATTTGTTCAACATTATTTCCCTTTTCACAATGTAAGGATCTTCATTTATTATTTTGAAAGATACCTTGCAGAGGTGTTCTACACATGAGGTGGGATGGGGGAGAATGAGTCATGTTAAATTAAACACTGTGGCCAGAGGCAAAGAGGATCAACATGGAAATACAACATTTTAAAGGTTACTTTACTCTTTTTTGGTTTGCTTCATATCAATACCAGCTCAAGCTTACCTGCGTACAAAACAATCTTTAAAACAGATACTCTATTTCTAAAAATCCTGGAAAAGATACCAATAGCAAACAACAAAGTTTTCTTCCGAGTTATTTTTTTTTTCTTGCACTCACACTGCCTATGTGCATTTGTCTTAATCTGACTGAGCAGCTGTCAACCTCCATATGGCAACCTGCTCACCTTGACAATTTCCATTTTTGTAGTATTAACAGGAACTACCATTGAGACAGAAATGGTTATTGGGGCAGGCTTGGGGAGTGGCAGCTTCAAAGACCAGTGTATACGTGTGGCCTGTGAGGAGTGATACGAGCAGCACGTAGCCAGACAGCACCAAACGGATGACGGGAAACTGACTTGTCAGAACATTTGGAAAAAAGGCAGATTATTGTTGGCTCTCAAGGGATTTTTAAGCTCATCAATGAACATGACTCCCAAATATAGGTTAGTAGGCCAGCAAGTTTTCCCTCAGGCATACACTTTTCTATTTAATCACAATATATGAACACCTTAAGGGAAGGCAGGTGTCCCATCTGATTAATTTAGAGCATGACATAAGTGATCATAAGAGTTTGCATTTATGATAAACTCACCAGAAATCTTAACTACATTGCTGACATTTTCTTCATTAGAATTACAGAAGCTAATTATTTTATGTTCGATTACCTTCACCATGAAAAAGTCTAAAAGATGTAAACAGCTCCATTCACATGAGCATAACTCTACAGAAAAGTTTACAATGCAGATGTTCAATATATACAACAAAAAGGAAGTTATATATAAATAGATAATATCATATTTACATATAATATACATATGTATTGAGTTCACCCTTGAATGACACAGGTTTGAACTGTGCAGATTCACTCATATGAGAACTTTCTTCTGTCTCTGCCACCCCTGAGACAGCAGGACCAACCTCTCCTCTTCTTCTTTAACCTACTTAATGTGAAGACATGAGGATGAAGATTTTATGATGCTCCACTTTCACTTAAGGAATAGTAGATGTATTTTCTCTTCCTTACGATTTTCTTAATAACATTTTCTTTTCCCTAGCTTACTTTACTGTAAGAATACAGTATATAATACATATAACATATAAAACATGTGTTAATCAACAGTTTATGTTACTGGTAATGCTTCCAGTCAACAGTGGGTTATTAGTGGTTAAGTTTTGGGGAAGTCAAAAGTTATATGCAGATTTTTGACTGGCACAGGGGTCAGTGGCTCTAACCCCTGTGTTGTTCAAGGGTCAATCATATCTATTTCTGCTATTGGAAATTATAATTTAAGCCAAATTTTAATATTTATAGCTACTATTAAAGGTACAAATGGGAGGTAAATAGGTATAAATAGAAAAATAGGTCTAGAAGATGTAAGTGGGTAAGGCTGGCATGAAATAGTCAAAACGTTGACCCCTTGGTTCAACACAAACATTGGCTAGTCTGAGCAACCACTGATCAAACTAAGAGGGGGAATTAGACCTGACTGTTGTCCATGTCCCACCCATTCTGGCACTTGACCTTGACTCCATTTCAACCTCCTGGAAGAGTCTGTTGAGTTCACTCAATCATCTCACTTATGACATGAGAGTTAAACTATTGGCAACGAAGTATGAAGTGATCAAAACTTTTAATAACTCAGAAAATTATTTCACACAACAGCCATACTTTTTTTCTGTAATAAATTACAGCAGCCAGTTATCTAATATATATCTTTGCTAAGCAAAGAAAGCCTCTCTGGCAGTTATCTTCTCCCTCTTTAGGAAGGATTAAATTGTATTATGAGCACATACTACGGTATTGCAACATTTTAATTCATGGTGCATTGAAGCGCTGACCTAGGAATATTTAGAGTGGCAATTTCAATTTTAATCTCTTATCTGCATGGTCCCATCTAATACATTGACAATTATTTCAGAATTTGTTGGAGCTTGTAGAAGTTTTTTAACCTTAAAAGTTAAGAAAAAATTATTAAGTATTTGATGGTGTCTACTGCATAGAAGCCCATTATTATATTTCTTCTGATGTTTCCCCTAGTTATATGAACTAATAAAAAATTTACTGCCTCATAAAACCAGTATCTCACATTCCTTGCTATTGGGTAAGAAATCAATATTTTCATTAATCAGATTTGAACACAATGATTTACTCTTTCAGAAACAATGAAATAACTTAATATTGGGGGAACCAGCCCCCAGTATTTCAACATAGGTTCTTTCTATTTTCCCTAAGTGTCGGCCGGTCTGAGAAATAAAGAGAAAGAATACAAAGAGAGGAATTTTACAGCTGGCCCTCTGGGGGTGACATCACACATTGGTAGGTCCATGATGCCCCCTGAGCTGGAAAACCAGCAAGTTTTTATTAGGGATTTTAAAAGGGGAGGGAGTGTACGAACAGGGAGTAGATCACATGCTTCTGAGGAAACAGGACCAGGACAAAATCAGAAACTCCTGATAAGGGTCTATGTTCAGCGGTGCACGTATTGTCTTGATAAACATCTTAACAGGAAACAGGGTTCGAGAGCAGAGAACTGGTCTGACCTGAAATTTACCAGGGCTGGTGTTTCCCAATCCTAGTAAGCCTGAGGGTACTGCAGGAGACCAGGGCGTATCTCAGTCCTTATCTCAACCGCATAAGACAGACACTGCAAGAGCGACGATTTATAGACCTCCCCCAAGGAATGCAATTCTTTTCCTAGGGTCTTAATATTTAATAATCCTTGCTAGGAGAAGAATTTAGTGATATCGCTCCTACTTCCATGTCCATTTATAGGCTGTCTGCAAGAAGAAAAATATGGCTGTATTCTGCCCAACCCTGCAGGCAGTCAGACCTTATGGTCGTCTTCCCTTGTTCCCTGAAAATCGCTGTTATTCTGTTCTTTTTCAAGGTGCACTGATATCATATTGTTGAAACACACATGTTTTACAATCAATTTGTACAGTAGAGGTCCTGAGGTGACATACATTCGCAGCTCATGAAGTTAACAGGATTAGGAGATTAAAGTAAAGACAGGCATAAGAAATTATAAGAGTATTATTTGGGAACTGATAAATGTCTATGAAATCTTCACAATTTATGTTCAGAGACTGAAGTGAAGACAGGTGTAAGAAATTATAAAAGTATTAATTTTGGGAACTGATAAATGTCCATATTAAAATGAAATCTTCACAATTTATGTTCCTCGGCCGCGGCTCCAGCCAGTCCCTCCGTTCAGGGTCCCTGACTTCCTGCAACAACTTAAGACTTTCTGGTTTGAGGAAACAAATGTAGATCACTTTATGTTGTTCTTGAAATAACCCCAACCACTACACTAGTTCTAACTTCCAGATAAAATGCTTCTAACCTGCATGCTTAAAATTATATTTCATCTTCTAAAGGATTATGACACTTTACATAGATAAGAAGACATCTGTCAGTTTTTATAGTGCTTAATTGTTATGTGCGTCTGTGTCTTTTTAACCACTTTGTAAGTAATTTCAAGAGAAATTTTGTCTTTGATTAATCTTTGTTAACATGCAGTCTTGTACTTAATAGATGCTTAATAAATATTTGATGAATGGACAAAGTACATGGAAAAATAGACTGGTAATACAATATTCTGACTTTAAGTGTTAATTACACATTTCTTACTTTTAGCCAATGTGATGGATCTCACCTTTGTAACGCTGGGAAATCATTTTTATTACAAGGCTTTTACTATATCATTTAAATGTCAGTTTTAGTTGTAGAAAAATTTGAAGGTATTTTATAGTAGTCAAGAAATTTGGAAAACTCTGTCAGACTCATGTAGGAAGTAGTGCAGTAGAAAAAAAGAAAGCAACACTGTTGTTCAAAAGTAATTTATAATGTGAGATTGGGAATCTGGAAACTGAACTGTATGAATATTCATGCAAAATGCAGAGTGTTCTTTGTACTGTGTATAATCATTACGTCTGAGTTTCATTTGTTTAAATAATTTAATCTCCATCTGTATGCAATAAATAGATTTAATACCTTATCTTTCTTACAACTGAAAAGTAAATTCCAAAACCAGGTCTGAAAAACATGTTTTTTCTATATGTTCAAAAGATTATTAGAGTATTTTTTATATATAGTAATTGAAGAATATGCTTAGCAACTATACTAAGATCTGTTGTAAAACTTACTCATATTGTTTCATGTTATTTGGGAAATAGCATTTAATAAATTCAGGAAAATTCCATATATATAAGATTTTGATAATGAAAAAAATGGTGCTTGAGAATAATAGATTTGTCTTAGCTATAGAAAATATGTCCTGAGTATTTTTTATCCATTGTCATTTTTGTTAAACTTCTATTCAAATTCACTTTTTTAAATTTTGACATCAAAATTTCATTTTAATTATATATTTGTCATTAATGTATGCTTGTTCCCTTGTGATTAAAATACCCTGAGATTTCATGTTATTTACCTGAAATATAATTTTTAATTTAATGACAAATAGGGAAAAAATTGGAAAGAGTTTTGATGTATTCTTCATATTAGAAAAGTAGGTATATTAAAGTAGGTATATTAAAAAAGCTCTTTGAATTTTACTTACAAATAGACTAAGCACTCTTATCAAAAGTGGGGAAAACTACTGCCTAGGTAGCAGACGGTTGCACCACTTTGAAGAAAACGATGTTGGGAAGCGTATGTTCTTTATAATGTCAGATTATGCCAGGGAAAAGTGTGGGTTGAAAAACATATTAATGCATTACACCCTTATCAAGCATGTGTACAAATTGTGTGTATATATCTATCAGCCCCCACCCTCTCCTCCCGTTTCCAAATTACACACATGCATATACACATATTTACAAACATATACACACACATTTGTTTAAAAACTTAAAAGGGAAATAAAGATGCTTGGAGGGGTTATTTAATTTTAAAAACTGAGATAAATTGACAGTAATAAAACACCTTGGATATATTAGTGTTGGGGTTCATGAATGCATAGTTAAGATTGTGTCAGCGCTTCCATTATAAGCTACATTTTCAAAGGGTTTACAACTTAGCTATAAAATTTTTGCTTCAGGGTGGACCATGGCTAATATTAGGTCTTAGTCCCAGAGCAATTTCATTTTTTTTAGTTTTCAAATTCAACCTTCAAAGTTAGTTGAATGTTAAAAAATGGGGAAAAAATATAAAGTTTAGTTATTTTCACAGGTTTTGTTACTTGAAAAGGAATTAAAATTTCAAAAAAAAGAAATTCCAAAAGTGATGAGAGTTGGTAATAAGGTGTTTGCCCAAGTCAACTGAAGATTATGTGAATCAGATAATGACCTTGGTCAATCAAGACTGGGGATATTTTAGCTGTTAAGGATTTTAGTTTCATTAAGAAACCAAGGTCACCCAAACAAGAGATAATTCTTCTAAAAAGGAAAGAAAATAAACATATTACATCGAAAGGCCATTACATTTTCAGAGACCAGGGAATTCATCAGGGCTTATGGCCCCATGAAAAGTTATCTTTCAGCCATTCAGTCTCATCAGTCCTGAGGATCACCTTTGTCCAAAAGTAGAATTTAAGAAATGAAAACAAAGGATCACAATCCCAGACTTACAAAAATAAAATCAAAGTTCCAAAGTCTTTTATTGATGTCTTAAAAATGATATGCAGCTTCACACACAAAAGAGATTTCTTGACTTACTCCACACTGGGTTTTTGAAATCCGTATATTAAGTAAGTGTTCAAAGCTTGCTCTATCGAAGACACTTGAAAAACTATTCTATATATGGATTCTACCCTCCATAAACTTATAATTTATAATTCTTAAGCCTTTTTTTTCTTTCTTGGGAAGGAATATTCCTTTCCCTTTAGCTGGTGTCTTCAACTAAGTTAAATGATTATGATGTTGAAAACAAAATTATACTAAAGTTGCACTTGGTTCTATTTTTGGGGAAAAAAAGTATCCAAATAATATTTTGAGGTTATCCTATGGTTGATTTCAAACCAAAATCTCAATTTCTCAATTTAGGGTAATGTTGAGTAAGCTCCAGCATTGAACCTGTTCTTCAAATTACTTGTTAACTTCTGGATGATTCATGCTGATTTTTGTTTGTTTATTTATATTTTTTTCCCATTTGTGCTTTTTTTTTTAATGAGAGAATGGCTTTCAAAATACAAAGTTATTCCTGTTCTTGTTTTTGTGATATCTATAAGTATCTTTAGCTATTGAATATAGGTTATAATTTAGCTTAACGTAGAAATTCAAGTAATCTATGTAGGAATTTTGGTGTGTGGCATGGTGATATGGTCTAGGAAATACTCTGTATCCCAGGATTAGAGGGGGGAAGGCATCTGTATTTGATAAACGGAGGGGAAGTTGTTGTGAACCCATTTCTTTTTAGGCAGGATATGGTTTATACCTAACAGATTTAGTTTGAAATATAGTCCAATTTGCTATTTAAAACAAACTACACATCAAATTAAGCCTATCATATTTGCTTCAGATTTCATTTTGTAATGAAATTCTTTTATAGAATTAAGTAGGATATTATCCAATTCACTATTATGCAAAAACAACAATAAAACTTTATGTACCTTTAGCAATAATATTTATTTGAATGACTACATTTTGAATTTCATTTCTGTACAAAATGCTAAATTAATATGACTATATTCTTATGTAGAGAAAATATTTTCCTGATATTATTATTCAGAAAAATTAAAAAGATGTAATGAGTTCATTCAGTATTGTCAATTTACAGCTCTTTGTATTTTGCCAGGATGAGGTACAGAAATTCATTCCTTCTGTCAATTTATGAAGAGTTCACCACATCAGCTATTAGGACAGACCCTACATATGCTCTGTAGAATCCCTTCATATCAATGTCAAAAACTCTGTCATGAAAAAAGTAGTTATCAAGCTGGGCAAAGTCCAACATTATGTTCTGGAGACAGCGGCATTTTGTGAAATCTCTAATGTAATAGTTGGCAGCTAATAAAGAATTTATTTTAGGTCAATCAGAAATGTCACAGAAGTACCTTCTACAATCCATAGAGGCCTAAGAATTGCTCCTGGCTAACAAGTACAGATTTTCATTTATCTAACATAATGTCCCATTCCTGTTGAGGGATTTCATGGACCAGTGTGGAGAAACATACAGGGATTTAGGGTTGAGGTTGTTGATTGCGAAGTGTAATGAGTAGGACTTAATGCACTGTTAGATGAAGATCTTTACTGATTGCCTATTTCCATTGGAGGCTCCTAAAGATGTTATGAAGGTAATTTGTACACTTCATATGGAACAACGTAGATATACTGTACTATTAACAAAATATTTGTAGTCTATCTACTATAGCCATGGACTTATGTAGCCTAGTAGAAAATCTAAAAGATATACATGCATTCATTCAATAAATATTTACTGAATGCTCCTAAGAGAAACATAATACAAGTCATCAGAGAAGACAAGAATGAAGATACATTTAGAAAAATATATTGTACAATGCATGACCTGTAAATTATGCATCTCCAGTTCCTAGGCTCTAAATAGAGCAATATAAAAGGAAAATATATTTCAAACAATGATAACTGCAAATGAGCACAGGGAGGTATAGAACTATATGCTAGGCCAGGCGTGGTGGCTCACACCTGTAATCCCAGACTTTGGGAGGCCGAGGTGGGCGGATCACGAGGTCAAGAGATCGAGACCATCCTGGTCAACATGGTGAAACCCTGTATCTCCTAAAAATACAAAAATTAGCTGGGCGTGGTGGCGCGCCACTGCTCAGGAGGCTGAGGCAGGAGAATCTCTTGAACCCAGGAGGCGGAAGTTGCAGTAAGATCATGCCACTGCACTCCAGCCTGGCAACAGAGCGAGGCTCCATCTCAAAAAACAACAACAACAACAACAACAACTATATGCTACGTGTATCAACCCCATTGGTTTTATGAAAGTAACAACTTGACTAATGTTACATGGTAGTCCACTTCCAACCAGCCAGGCATTCAACCCAGGTAAACTGTGCTACATTTAGGGGACAGTCAAGTAACCTACCCCCATTCTAATGGACAGTGTGTTGAGAATTAGTGGAAAATAACAACAGAGTCAGTTAAGTATAGCTGTAAGAAGCAGGAAGATGAATCTAGAATTTATAGAACTGAAAATAAAAGGCCGTTGTAAGACTTGGCAGGACACGTCATATGATGACTGCAGTGTTTAGGGAACAATTCTGTGTGCGTTACCTGGGTGACAAACTTTCTTACCGGTCACCCTGGAGTACTTTTCCCTCATTACATTTGCAAGATTTACTTTTTGATATCTTAAAAACAAAAGCAATCACACAGAATCATGTGCTAGAATAAAGGTCTAGCACACAGAATCATGTGCTAGAATAAAGTTGTAGGGCTGGTCCTATTCTCTTAGTGTGAAGAGTTTCATCTATGATGTCACTGTTACTGAAAACTTTTCCTGAAACTATTTACTTGCCTTATATAAAATATCTTGTGCAAATCATCTTCTGAAGTGGTTTATTTGAAATGATTTCTACTTCTTCCGTATATATATATATATATATATATATATATATATATATATAATATACACACACATATATACACACAGACATTATATAGTGTACATTTAACTAAATTAGTATATAAATCTATCCTGTATACAAATAGTTCATCTTTTATAATTACTACATTTCACTGTGTGTAAAAATTATAACGTTTGCTTCATTTATCAGTTATATGTTATCAGTTATCATTTTTACAGACATTTCATAGAGATATAAATGTGTAACTTGGAGCCTCAAATATATGTTCTAAAAAGAGTTCTTCATATCATAATCACATTATTGGATGATCTTTAAGATTTACTGTTATAATTTTAAATGCCTTATGTATACATAAAAGTATGATTTTATTCATCTGTTTGAAGAATCCTAGGCAAGTGGGTGGGTACACTAGTTAAATAATTTGAAAGTGATAGCATGTTTTTCCCAAGCACAAATTTTGACTTATAATAATTAATTTTAAAAAGAAGCGGCGAAGTTACCGGAAGTCAGTTTTTCTTGTAACTTTAATTCACTTTCAGTTAGATTTGAACAGACTCTTAGGAACTAAATGAGCACAAAGTACACCAAGAAGATGCATTCTTATATATCCTATTTATAGTTTAAATTCTTACAATTTTGATTACAGCAACCTTCTTATCCATATCTTGCAGATACATTTAAAGGCAATTAAAATAACTTTATGGGGTAGCAGCTCACGTTTGCTAAATTTATTTGAAATATCGCCAAGAAATAACAGAGACACTGAATTTCTGCTGACATCTCTGCCATTTATTAGTTGTATACTCTGAGGCAAATTATCTGACTTCTGTGATTCTCACATTCTCACAGTGCTATTTCATGTGGAACAAACAAGGTCATATATGCAAAGTAACTAGCAGTGTAGCAGTGGTCTTTCAATAAATATTTTCTTCAGGAAAAACTATACTCAAATCTTTTACTTATTGTTAGTATTACACACACACACACACACACACACACACACACACACACCCCTAAAGGCTAATTGCTGGGATTCATGGAGCATTTCTTGTGTGCCAGCATTGTGTTAAATGCTTTCCAAGTATAATCTTATTTAATCCTGTGTCTCTATATTAAGCACTACTTTTCTCTTTCTTAAAACTCAAATAGCCAAATCTGGATTTTTTTTCTCCTCATTCGAATTCATCAATCTGTATTTTAGGCTCATTATAGATGTGAAAATGTTAGATGCATACTATTATTTTTTTATTTTTAGTCAAATAAAATGCAATCACTGTTCATTACCTCAACAAATTAAGTACTAATATCACATCTGGTTTAAAATAAAGACAAATGAGTCTATGATTAAGAGGTATTTGGAGAATATTGATGGTGTAGAAAAAGCAAACCCTCTATTTTAAGAAATCCAACAAGACAGGCTTAGGTGGCATGGAGAGTATCGTTTCCAGATCACATATATAAAATTGGAGTATTCACAAGGGCAAACTTGGAATTGAATGAGCCAGGTCCAAAACCAGATGGCAAGAAAAAGTTTCAAGCTGTTTCATTTGGAAATTGGTTTTTGGATTTCCACGTGGTGCATTACAAGTTCAAATTAATTTTAAACTTTTAATTTTTCATATGTATCTTCATGACTCCAGCACATGCCTCCTTGTCTGTCTTGTTGCCAGTCAATCTAAAATGGATACCAAAGTGCTTTTCACTCTACATTAAATACACACAGAATAGCACTTAACAGTGAGCATTTTGAACTCCTCTCAATAAAAGTTTTAAGAGATAAGAAGCTTTTTCTGTTTCAGGTCACTATTATTCTGAATAATACATAAACATTGAGAAATGGTAGAAGTTCTACTGAGGATCAAGACATAACTTCAATACAATGATCTATCATTATCACAGTTTTGGTATTCTAGTAAGCCTCACACCATACTACACTAAATGTTCAATATTGCTGTCTTTTTTCTTTCCTCTCCTTATCATAACACTATTTAAAGGAAGAAATTGTAGGATGAAACGGGGTTACTCATGGGAGTACTTTGACGTGCCAAAAGTAAAACACTGAAAAAGAAAAAAGGTCACTTTTCTAGCTTCAAAAACCACAAGGGATGAATCAAATGCTTTGAGACGTAATATGTGATGCTCTTCTAGAACTGAAGCTGTGTGTTCTTTCAATCCCAGTCAATGTGGTTGCTTGTGTATACCTTAGGTAGATAATAAAATTCATTGTTAAAAAAATGTACAGCTACTGATTTAGGGTGGTTTCTAAAGGTCACTGTAAATGAATATGTTTGGAACAGTTGATAAGGCAGAATGCAGGACGGAGATTTTTTCTCTCATTTAACAAGTTAGCAATTTCTTCAATCCGTTAAATTACCTGATAGCATGTTTGCTATGGGTTGGAGAGCTTTAAGTAATCTGTGTTGTGTGTAGATTCAAAACATGTTTAAGATCCACGTGAGTCTAATTTTCAAAAGTACATGAAAACAGAAATCTTTGAATGAGTAAAAGAATTTTTTCTTGAAATCATGAGTCCTTTCTTCCTCAATAATTCTGGAATTAAATATCAAAAAACTTCTCTGGAAAAAAAAGCACTTTACTACATGCAATTTCTCTGTTACCTAATATAATCTGAGAATGTGATTTTCTGATAAATGAAGTTGACTATTAATAGGAATATTAAAAACAGATCAGTCTCCTTTGGGAGGCCAAGGCAGGCAGATCACGAAGTCAGGAGATCGAGACCATCCTGGCTAACACGGTGAAACCCCGTCTCTAATAAAAATACAAAAAATTAGCCGGGCGTGGTGGCAGCGCCTGTAGCCCCAGCTACTCGGGAGGCTGAGGCAGGAGAATGGCATGAACCCGGGAGGCGGAGCTTGCAGTGAGCAGAGATCGCACCACTGCACTCCAGCCTGCGTGACAGAGCGAGACTCCGTCTCAAAACAAAAACAAACAAACAAAACAGATCAGACTCAAATAAAAGCCTAACTTAAAATATTTTTAAATGCAACATTTTATTTAACACTACAATGTAAACGCTCTGCTGTATTTCCATATTTTATAATATCACAATGGCTCAGAGCCTTCATTATGAATGTCAACTTTTATGGTATCAAAGCAAAAAGAGCCAGTTAGCAGAAGTTCACAATTATTGTACAGTAGATTAAACTAAGTTTACTATAGGATGCATTTCTATATATGGCAATAATTAAGTTAATAGAGCATAAATAAGTTGATAAAAGGAAGTCTGATTATAGCATTATTCCTCAATACTTCCTTAGTTTCGTTTTATAAATAATTTAAAAATTACCTTCCCAATGTTTGGGGATGTCAGGTATCAGACCATACTTGTAAACATACTTGTAAAATGTCAGGTATCAGACCATACTTGTAAACAGTTGGTTGTAGCCTGGATTATGAATAATTTGTTTGCATTTTAATCAGTTTATAAGCCAAAGCAGGTGATGTTGAATAAGTTTCTCCCTTGATTTTTTATTAATGCTACTCGAGATACAGAGACAGTGCAAAAAATAAGAATAAAAGGCCAAATTAAAAAAAAAAACAACAACCCTGTTTTGATATTGTTAATAGTCAAGTATTCCCTGTGAGCTAATTTGACAGTAAAAACACGTGGAAAGGCATTGGGAATAAAACATACCTGTTCCTTGTACAAAAAGGAACGACATAAGCTTGAATAACTATAATAACAAAAGTTAGGTGGATTGAAGTTATCATTGATCAGAGAATTATTCAAGATTCCATTATTCTGAGCCTAACAGTATTGTAGAAAATACATTTCTCACTTGAGAAATGAACCTTGTGTCTTTAAAAATGATATCAGGAACATTAGGCAACCAAGAAAAACATGTTGAAAATCATGAATATGTTATTTTGGTGATTAATTTTTGATGATGCTAAATATTTTATTCTGCATGTTTTGGAGACTTTTGGTCTTAGAAAATAGCTGTTTACCAGTTTGAGTAATTATCATAGCGTGTTGGCAGAGGTTAGACACTAAGTAAGCTTAAGGTTTAATTTATCTTCCACTTAAAAAATGGCACATGATCAATGTAGACACACTGGAAATAAGAGAAAAATTTAAAGGGAATAAAAATGACTATAACTCCTCTTTGTAAGAATAGTCACTTTAGTTCTACACTCTAAGAATGTTCACTTTAACCCTGTCCAGTATTTTTTTTGATGTTCACATGCATGTAGATAGGCAGATAAATGGATGAGTGTGTTTGTGCATATATATACACACATACTAGTAAATATGTGTATACATACCATGTACATACTAGTAAATATATGTGTATTATGTTGCATAATGCATATATTACATACATATATGTATATTACATTGCATAATGCATATATTATATTGCATAATGCATATACCGAATGAAAAATTTATTCATATGCAGAATTATTATCTTTTATTTATTTATTTATTTATTTTTATTACTATACTTTAAGTTTTAGGGTACATGTGCACATTGTGCAGGTTAGTTACATACGTATACATGTGCCATGCTGGTGTGCTGCACCCACTAACTCGTCATCTAGCATTAGGTATATCTCCCAATGCTATCCCTCCCCCCTCCCCCCACCCCACAGCAGTCCCCAGAGCGTGATGTTCCCCTTCCTGTGTCCATGTGATCTCGTTGTTCAATTCCCACCTATGAGTGAGAATATGCGGTGTTTGGTTTTTTGTTCTTGCGATAGTTTACTGAGAATGATGGTTTCCAATTTCATCCAAAAATGTGGCACATATACACCATAGAATTATTATCTTACATACATAATTTTGTATCTTATTTTCTTTTACTCACCTTTAGATTATGTCCAATGTTATGAATATCTTTGAGTATAAATCTGATTATTCCTTTGGCAAAGTTTCTAGAAGAAGAATTATTGTCTCAAAAGATATAATCATTTTAAGGCTCTTGATTCATAATGCCCAAGGAGCATTTTATAAAAGAGCACCAATTTACATGCCAAACTGATTTGAGTTTAAATGACTAATGTGCTTTCAATAGTTTAGAAAAGTATCTATTTTCTCAATTTGATATAAAATATAGTATAACCTGATATAACCTGATTTTAATTTAAATTTATTAATAATATACCTAAATTGGTAATATTTATATATTTGTTCATTAGCTATGCATGGCTTATATGTTATGAATTTCCTTTCAATTTAATACTTGATATACATTTTAAAGTAAATTTTTGTTATAATTTCAAATATGTGAAGAAGTGCTTTCAAATTTGATAATGACAGATTATTAAAAGCTAGCTAGAATTTTGGCCAGCAGTGTCACAATTCAATATCATAAAAAGTAAAAATTCATTAAACAATTCTTGATTCTATTAACCAGTATTTAATAAGAATCTTTCGTATATTAGAAGCAGAAGATGATCCTTGGACACTAATATGATTAAATCTAGCCTGCATAAATATAAACACTAATTTTGAATGGCTTAAATATCATTGGCATCATTTCACATTTTAAGAATTCCTATTTAAGCAGGCAACATGATGTGAATGTTAAGAAAAAGTAGGCAAATTCACATTTTGGCTCCATTCATATGATGTGCAGATTTTGTGAGGAAACAGTCTGGATGTCATGCTTTTTGAAATATTGGATTAAAGAACATATAGACAACGGTGAATAGAGTGTTAGACTTTTCTTCAGAAGAATGTGAAAAAAAAAAGTGTTAAGTCTGGATAATGGGGAAGATCACTTTCTTCAGAATCATGTGGAAATAGGAAAAGAGGTAGTCTGAGGCATCAATGAGACAGGGAAAGGTTGCCCTAGATGGGTTAAATGTGTGTTTCAAAGGGGAAAAAAAAAGAAGAAACCAGAAAGAAGAGAAAGAAGCCTTCACTAAATTAATTGATTCTTTAAGAAGTCCCAGATTTCAGATCAACATATACAATAGTTCCTTGATGACTACAAATCATCCAAAAGTGATATATCTATCTTGGGACCATTAATATTTATTGTCACTAGAAGTTTGAGCAGAGCACAATCTTCATTATGATGAGAGATTATCTACATATTCCCGTCCAACTCTCAGATTATATACATATTTAAAATGAGAATAGAGTGCTGCTGAATATCCCATTAACCAATTGGAAGATATTCCCAAAAGTATTCATTGTGGTAACTAGGTAATTTGATAACAATTCAACGTTAGGTACTAGCAAAGGTTTTTCAAGCATTTCTTTTAAGAATTTCTCTCAAAATTTGTCCATTAATTTCCTAGTATAACATATATCATTGCATTTTTATAAAATATGTTATTAGTTTGGAGGCCGAGGCGGGCAGATGACAAGATCAGGAGATCGAGACCATCCTGGCTAACACGGTGAAACCCCATCTCTACTAAACATACAAAAAATTATCCAGGCGCGGTGGCTCACGCCTGTAATCCCAGCACTTTGGGAGGCCGAGGCGGGTGAGTCACGAGGTCAGGGGATCGAGACCATCCTGGCTAACACGGTGAAACCCCGTCACTACTAAAAATACAAAAAATTAGCTGGGCGTGGTGGCGGCGCCTGTAGTCTCAGCTACTCGGGAGGCTGAAGCAGGAGACTGGCGTGAACCCGGGAGGCGGACCTTGCAGTGAGCCGAGATCGCGCCACCGCACTCCAGCCTGGGCGACAGAGCGAGACTCCGTCTCAAAACAAACAAACAAACAAAAACAAATATATATATATATATTTATGTTATTATATATATATATATATATATATGTTATTAGTTGTCATATGTCTCCAACTTCATAAAGAATGACAGCTAGTAAAGATTTCCAAACAGATGACTATTCAAACAAGCAGACTGGTTGTCAGAACTCCAGGGTCCCCAAAGGAGGCAACAGCTCAACGGATCAGAGGGAGTCGGTGGACAAGCTGCACACTCAGCGCAGGAAGCAGCTCGTGGATGTGACGCTCCACTTCACCTACCCCAAGTCCCCCACGGAGAGACACGACAAGGTCAGGCGGCGCTACTCCTGCCGCAGTGAAGGAGCCCGGGACTTTTTTTTGTTGTTTTGTTTTTTGAGATGGAGTTTCGCTCTGTGGTCCAGGCTGCAGTGCAGCGGCGCGATCTTAGTTCACTGCAACCTCCACCTGCTGGGTCAAGCAGTGTTCATGCCTCAGCCCCCTGAGTAGCTGGGATTGCAGGTGTGGACCACCACACCCGGCTAATTTTTGTACTTTTAGTAGAGATGGGGTTTCCCCGTGTTGGCCGGGCTGGTCTCCAACTCCTGACCTCAAGTGATCCGCCCGCCTGGGCCTCTCAAAGTGCTGGGATAACAGGCCTGAGCCACGGCATCCGTCCTCAGAATCTTGTACAGCAAACGGGATACTTAGAATTTCCTTCCGCTGGGGAATGAGTAGCTGTAAGTTAGTTATCTTCACCTGTCCACTTGACTGTCTGACCTGGTGCAGTAACAGTTCAGAGTCAAAGGATACTTCTGCTTTGCGTTTTGGCACGCTCAGCAAGAATATGCAAGGAATCAGATTCATGGTAGACTGTTTTCTAAAAAATAATAGACATTTTTAACACAAATTTTGAAGTAAATTTCTTCAAGTTAAACATGTATTCCAGAGTCGGAGGAAAGACCCACTTTGGAGACATTCTTTCAGAATTCTCTTCAAAGGCCCTTTTATTTGCTTTTTCCGGGAGCAGTGATGCATTTCTTAAAGAAGCCTTGATACTTAGTCGTCTTTGAACTTCAGGAGCGTTTTCAAAGGCAAGAGAAGCTGGTTTTCAGGAATTTGATTCATAATGCAAAATGTGTAATATATCTGAATACAGGAGTGTGAAAACATAGTACTTAAATATTTGTGTGAACATTTTACTGTATCTATGTGGGTTTTCAAAGGCCATATTTGAAAGGTGATTATAAAATAGCACATAAGTATTATACATGAGGCACCATGAGGCAGAAACCAAATAAAGTAGGTTTTCTATATACTCAAGCACCTTGCAGTCTAAAAAGGAACATAAAGTAAAACAAAATTATGCAGATTAGCAGGGGAGATAGAGATACACCCAATTAATTGCAGGGATAAACTAAACTCATAACTAATCAAAGTGGCAGAAGGATTAAATGGTATTCTTTGATTTCAGAAGCCTAGTCTACATTATGATATTTTTGGAAATAAGTCTTTTTTGCACCATTAAATAGCATTTTTGATAGTGTAATTATCATGCCTGCATGAGTATTAGAGCTTTCAAATACACTATTTTTATTTTTGCTCTTCTTGCAGTGTTATATGAGAATGACATAATACTTAGTTTTATAACAGAAATGTAAGTGGTAAGGAATTTTTCCCCCATTCTGCTTCAACAGAAACATGTTTTATATGGACATTTTAAAGTTTTAGAATCTAAATGCAATCCTCATTCTTATAACATTGGTTAAAAAATAAAATAAAAGATCATCATTAAGAGCAATTTGTGCAAGAAACTAAGGTTTGAATTTCAATGGCCCATCCTCATATAAATTCTATTTTGGATTCCTAGGTCTCATCGATTTGTTGTGATATTACATATAAATGAAAATACCAAATGTCTTTTGCTTTGTCAGTGAAAAAGTAGTTTGGGCTTAATAAATGGTCCAGTGATGTCTATTTGGAAGCTTCATGACATATTAAAGCAGTTGATGAGGAACATTTGTTGTGGGGTCACGTCTGATTGATGGTTTACTACCTAGCACAGCCTCATCTGCTGTGGTATTCCCATAAGAAATGTTCATTGCTAGACAGTGCTAAATGTGCTCTATCTAAATCATTCATTACTTATAACAAGTTTTAGTATATATATGAATCAAATGTTGTTTATAGTTGCCTTCAACAGGATTTATCATTTTGAAGCTTTTCTACCACTTCGAATGGAATAACTAAGATATAGATTTTTTAATAAGTGTTTTGAGCCCATGGCGGTAATGTACCAAGAATTCAATAACAAAGTAAATATTAAGCAAGTTTTCTAAGATTAAAGTTAGAATGTAGTTTTGTAACTTTTTTTCTGTTTCTAAATACAAACAATTGTATATTTTTATAGTATGGGGTGTTGGCAAAATCATTAAAATAAAGGGCAATTTTAAGATATTTAGCATTCATAAATATCACATGAGGCACACCTTGCTTCCAGCAATTAGGAATAACTTATTTTTTATATATAACAATTCCAGTTTATCGTCTGAAACTGCCTTTTAATTACAAGCTTCTTTTTTTATATGTAACCTGTTCTCATTCCCATTAAATCTAATCTTCATTCGTTTCATTTTCTTTCTCAGTGTCTTTCACTCTATTTGGCTCTTATTTCCTTTATGCCTCTAGATTCCTCTGTTTGGTTTTAACGACATAATTTGACATTCTCAACCCATGGCCAATGCTCAGTAATATCCGGGCATCTTTGCAGTCTACATCACAGCTCCTTCTGAAATCCCAAATTTAGGGAAACATTAATATTTGTTATTGTTCTATTTTAAGTAATATTTGAATTTTTTTTTTTTTTTCGAGACGTAATCTCACTCTGTCGCCCAGGCCTGGAGTTCACGATCTCAACTCACTGCAACTTCTGCCACCCAGGTTCAAGCAATTCTCCTGTCTCAGCCTCCCAAGTAGCTGGGACTACAGGCGCCCACCACTACGCCTGGCTAGTTTTTGTATTTTTAGTAGAGACGGAGTTTCACTATATCGGTCAGGCTGTTCTCGAACTCCTGACCTCAGGTGATCCGCCCAGCTCGACCTCCCAAAATGCTGGGATTACAGGAGTGAGCCACTGCGCCCGCCCTAATATATGGATTATTTAAACTAATAGAAGATTTGTTGTCATGTGTGTATTACCTGAACCAGGAAAACATTTGAGATTATATTAATGACTACAAAAATAAAAAATAGGAATCATAGATTGTATATTTTGAATACATTTCCATTGTGAATGGCAAGGCTAGAAGTCACTTTTGTGTTTCCATGATTGGAGACATTTTGAGACAAATGTTTCCTTTGTCCTGTATCAAAAGTTATGGGAAGAGGGATCATGGTTTCAGTTAGAAAAAGAGCCTGTGAATAATATTGTATAACACCAATTTGCTTTATGTTTTCTTCAAGTTGTGTATGTGAAGCAAGGTGTTTTAGGGCCAAATTTAGTACCCTTTCACATATGTTCATGTATTTTCAGCAAAGTAACATTTAAAATGTCAATATAATTTCGTCAAAAATTTTTGTTATTTGACTAATGATGCAAAAGTTTGAGGGAACATTATTAAAAATTTTAAATGTGTTTTCCATCTTACAGTTTCAAACTCGTAGATTCAAGTTAATCATATTTTCCATTTAGTCCCTCTGGGATTTATCTCTGCATAAAACCTAAGAAATATATTCTTAATTTTCTTTCTTCATAGACAATATAATCTTGATAGGTGAAAGCTGTTTACACATTTCTGAAACCATTTCACATTAATTTGAACTTCAAATGGAAATTGACAGGAAAATCTTTACCCTCTAGCCAAAGAGAGTAATTTAATACTTTCCACCTCTGTGGCCACATAAAAATAATTTTTTTTTCCTTCAAAATATATTTAGTGCATTCCAGATGATTCATCCATAATTAACACAATAAAACTTTACACTGGATATCAAAGTAAGTTATGTAATAGAATAAAGTTATGAGCCATGTAGGGAATTGTGTGTGTTTTTTGTTATATAACACAACAATTTTTCACCTTCAGTGCACATTCAAATTACTTAGAGGACTTGTTAAAACAAATTGATGAACCCCCCTTCCTAGCGGTTTTGATTCAGTAGGTCTGGGGTGACACCCAAGAATTTGCTTCTGTAACAAGTTTGCAGGTAATGCTGTTGCTGCAGGCCCTGGAGCCACACCTTGAGAACGCCTAGTATATGTAAACTGGTCTTCAGTGTCAGAAGAGTGTCATTTAAAATCATGGCGTTACCACATAACAGCCCTGTGACCTTGGATAGCTTACATAACCTCTCTAAAAGCTGTGTCTTGAAGTTCGTAAATTGGAAAAATCATGCTACCTGCCCGAGAAGGTTGTTGTGATCATTGAGATAATGTATCTAAAATGCCTAAGACAGTGTCCAGTACATATTAGCTGTGCAGTGATTCTTGACTCTCTTTCCCTTCTGCAAGTGTACGCAGCGTAAAGTCATGATTCTCACTGAATAGATGAGCTGAGCAATATGTCTTGCATTTCCATTTGTCTAGCTCTCAGTAAATTAAGAAAAAATACATAGTTATGTATGACATATTCCAGATAATCCTTGATAATCTAATACTCATCAGATAATTGCTCTACTTGATGGAAATTTCTTAATAAAAAGATGTGGTTGCTGATCTTAAGGAGCCTCAATGATTGCTATAAAGAGTTGTTTATAAAAAGCATTCAACCAGAATGGCACTTTTGTTCTTCAGGTTTTAGTCAAAAGTTTCTCCCTCAAAAAGGAATTCTTCTCCACTAACCACGCAAGCAAAAGAAGCCTAGCTTCATAGTATTCCATGGTGTATATGTGCCACATTTTCTTAATCCAGTCTGTCATTGTTGGACATTTGGGTTGGTTCCAAGTCTTTGCTATTGTGAGTAGTGCCGCAATAAACATACTAAAAATGATGGTTCATGTCCTTTGTAGGGACATGGATGAAGCTGGAAACCATCATTCTCAGCAAACTATCGCAAGGACAAAAAACCAAGCACCGCATGTTCTTACTCATAGGTGGGAATTGAACAATGGGAACCCTTGGACACGGGATGGGGAACATCACACACTGGGGCCTCTTGTGGGGTGAGGGGAGCAGGAAGGGATAGCATTAGGAGATATACCTAATGTAAATGATGAGTTAATTGGTGCAGCACACCAGCATGGCACATGTATACGTATGTAACAAACCTGCACGTTGTGCACATGTACCCTAGAACTTAAAGTATAATAAAAAAATATATATATATACATATAAAAGAAGCCTAGCTTCACCACCCATATCATCATTATTATCATTGCCTGAAAACTATTTTACATCAGTTATCTTGTTTAATCATTTTTTATTGTTTTTTTCACTAGTATTTATGTGTTAGAGAGAAAGGAGCTGGTCTTGCGTATTTATCACAGCATCCCCCACCTCCAGAAATGCTTGGGATGTAGAAGTTGGTGAATGTATATTTGTTGAACAAATTAATGAATATGAGTGTACTTAGAGAAATCTGCTTGGATTTTACAGGGGAGGAAGCATTTAAACTGAGCACCCAGTGAGAGAAAGACATCTCAAGTTGAAGAAAACACTAAATGTTAGGGCATTGAGAGGACAGTAGAATGCCATTTTTCTAGTGATCTACAAGCAGCTTGGCTTTTCTTTTTTTAAGAGATTGAAAGGGAAGCGGGAGCAAGAGTCACATAGGCATAACAGGAAGAATGTATCAATCCGTGCCCAATGGAGATCAACACAAGAATTTTACCCAGTAAAGGAGAACTATCAGTGGACATCTAAGTGTCGGTGTTTCTCCTAACTATAGGATCATTGAACTAAACAGAATGTGTTAAGTATAGCATTTAGACAGCTCACTGATTCTCAAGGTAGAGAAGCAGACCTGGTAATCCTTTGGGACTATTAGAAAAATTAATGATTTAGTAAAGAAAGGAGTTACCTGAGGAAGAGGCACACTATAATTTTAAAAGGCTAATATTTCTAATTCTGAAAATAATTTGATTATTACTCCTTGGGATTTATTTTGAACATTTAATCTTAAACAAGAACATAAAAAATACTGTTGATACTTCAAATGCTTTTTTTCATCTATTTTTTTTCTGTGACTTTGCTTTAAAAAAAAATTTTTTTTGTTTTTGTAGAGACAGGGTCTTGAAATGTTGCCCAAGCTAGTCTCAAACTCCTGGACTCAAGTACTCTCAACTCTACCTCCAAAAGTTCTGGGATTGCAGGCATGAGCCACCACATCCAAACTTTTCTGTTTTGTTTTTTTTTTTTTTTTTTTTTTTGAGACAGAGTCTCTCTGGTGCCCAGGCTGGAGTGCAGTGGCGCGATCTCTGCTCACGGCAACCTCCACTCCTGGGTCCAAGCAATTCTCCTGCCTCAGCCTCCCAAGTAGCTGGGATTACAGGTGTGTGCCACCACGCCTGGTTAATTTTTGTATTTTTGGTTAGAGACGGGGTTTTACCATGTTGGCCAGGCTGGTCTTGAACTCCTGACCTCAAGTGATCTGCCCACCTTGGCCTCCCAAAGTGCTGGGATTACAGGAGTGAGCCACCACACCCAGCCTTCTGTGTATTTTTATATTTGAAATGATATAAAATTAATTTACATGCTGGTTTTCATTTTAATTATAAAAAATATATTCCCATCATCATCAAAGCCATAACTTTTTTTTTTTTTGAGACGGAGTCTCGCTCTGTCGCCCAGGCTGGAGTGCAGGGGCGCGATCTCGGCTCACTGCAAGCTCCACCTCCCGGGTTCACGCCATTCTCCTGCCTCAGCCTCCCGAGCAGCTGGGACTACAGGCGCCGCCACCACGCCCAGCTAATTTTTTGTATTTTTAGTAGAGACAGGGTTTCACCGTGTTAGCCAGGATGGTCTCGATCTCCTGACCTTGTGATCCGCCCGCCTCGTCCTCCCAAAGTGTTGGGATTACAGGTGTGAGCCACCGCGCCCGGCCTAAAGCCATAACTTTTAATGACTGCATTCTGCTCCATTTTATGGGGACATTACAATTTACTTAAATATTTTTCTCTTGAATACTCAGATAGCTTACCATGTAAACATAGGTTATATTCAGATTGTTAGCTAGAAGACTACTTGTGTGTAAGCAAGACACCAAAAGTAGTGGCTTAAATAAATAGATACGTATTTCTCTCATGAAAAAGATTGAACTAGCATTTGCCTGTATTCTTGAAGCTGTCATAGGCTCTTTCTGTGTTATTGATATACAGTGACCTAAAATCTTGTTCTCATTGACCTGGTTCCAAAATGGTCCATGATAACTTGAGATCACTGTATGTACGTAGCAAGAAGAAAAAAAGGAAAAGAAAATCACTTTGCCAATGGCTTACTGCAGAAATTATGCATAACGGTTTCATTCATTTTCTATAAGACTTAGTCATGCTACTCTAGTAAGGGAAGTAGGGAAACACAGCTTCTTTTTGAGGTGATTCTGTGCCCAGCTAAATGTTATCACTATAAAGGAATAAGAAAATGGGTAGTGGTGGATAAATGGCAGTCTCTGCTATGCCTAGTCAAGTTTCTCATTCCAACAATGTCCCTTTTATGGAGATTATCTTGGGAAACCACTAAATTTGAGGCATGATTAAATTTCCTTTTGAAGAATACTGCAGTGGCCTAATTCACAATGTTTCTGCTACTTTCTTTAAATTATATGCTTTCAAATATTCACTAAATACTTCATTAATTACTTGATTTGTGAAAAGCTCAAAGAATGACGTAACATTTAAGTCATCCTCTGGTCTGTGGCATTGTTTATTTTAGGCCATTTTGAGAGTTAATGGCTAATTTATTTTAAAATAATCATCATATAAAAACATAAATACATTATCCATCTATAAATATATCATATAAATACATTCGAAAGATTTTTTCGTAAGAGCATTTAACAGGAAGCTGGATATCTAATAAGATTTTGTTTTATGAACTACTTTAAGTATATATTTAATTGTCAATTAGGTAAAATATGATTCTAATTCCCAAAATTAATGTTTGCAGTTATGAATTTTTAAAATAGATTCTGAAAAATGTTATTGGGTATTTAAAAAAAACCCACAATCTCTATTTTCTGGGGCTTTGTAGAGAAAAAAAGATAAAATTGTGTCCAGCAAGTTTGATTACAGTTATCCATTTAAAAACTGAGCAACAGAGACACATTTTTCCTTCTAGTGGGATCCTGTCTGATTTTCAAGCTGTAAAAGTTGATCTTTCATTATTAAACATTTGTCATTTTCATGGCCAAAATTGTTCATCTTCCCTAATCAAAGCTCCCTTGGCCCACTGCAAATTATCAGTGAGATGAGCAGCAGAAACTCAAGTGACATAGAAAATAACAGCTCTGTATACACTAGAAAATACTAAAAACTCTCCCCTGCTGTAATAATACGTAAACACTATTGGTATTATCTTTAACTCAATTGTTAGGTCCACTTAGGTAAAATACATGGGTTGAAGATTAAAGTGAAAAGAGTTAATAGATAGGAATTAATATTTCCTTTCAGTGCTGACAGAAAATTTACCTTTGCTAACAAAACCATTTTATTTTCTCTTATTTGGTTACGGCTTGCTTGGCCATTACAGGATTGTATCTATTTTGTAAAATTTCCCCAGAACTAGGAAAAGCCTCAACACATATCACTTACCTAGTAAGTCATAGCCATCATAATTATGACATGGAAGAAGAGAAAGGAGTCAGGGAACAAAATGAAAAAGAGAACTAGCAATAAAGGAACTGAAGAATAGAGGTGTGAAAGAAAATCTGATACTTATTTCTTTATGCGCAATGATATTCTGAGTAGTTTCAATTCAATTGTTTATTACGTATACAGCAAGAATGAAATTGGGATTTGAACTTGCCTTATTCACCTCAATAGTTGTCTATTGTCATTATGTATAATTCTATTGTTAATAAAACCCAACGTTCAAAAGTAATAAAATTGATGAGGTTTTGGGCTCCACCATAGGAGATTTATTTTTGATTTATTATTGAAACCCCCGTGGTAAAACTAGAAATAGAACTTTAATATTAGCAGAAGACTGAACTTGTTGTTCTGTGATTACATACTCTGGCTTTCCCTCCCACACTGTGATGATGGTTACAATTCATTTCATGGTACCTCAAGAGAAATATTTGACATAGGGGGAAAAAGTGCCTAATAGCTTCTAGTACATGTATTTGAGACTTTAAGTACATAGCTATAAGGAATTTAGTTTCCTTCTCAGCCTATTAGTAAACTTTACATACCCAACTTTACATACCCACTGGATCAAATGGAGTGTGAGTTCTTGTCTCTTTCCCCTTCTCACATGTTTCTACCAAGCTGACCTGAATATCTTTCTATACCCCTGCAATAAGGTACGTTGAAGTTTTAACTTTATCTCCAAGTTCCTTCTTTTACTTGCTCACTTAAGTGATCACACTTACTTTGGTTAGTCATATAGCAATTTGATGACTAAAAATAGATTTTCAGGCTCATACCTGATATCCCAGCATTTAGGGAGGTCAAGGTGAGAGGTTTGCTTAAGGTCACAAATTCAAGACCAGCCTGGGCGTCATAAGAATACACTGACTCTTAAAAAAAAAAATTAGCCAGACATAGTGGTGCATGCCTGTAGTACTATCTACTTGGGAGGCTGGTCAGCAGGAAGGATCATTTGAGCCCAGGAGTTTGAGGTTACATTGAGCTATGATTGCCCCAGTATGCCCCAGCCTGGGAGAGTGACAGAGCAAGATCATGCTTCTTTTTTAAAAATTATATATATAATGCTTATTAATTATAAATTAATATTATATAGAAATTATGTATAATTATTTTTATTAATCAAATTTATTTTGTTATATATTTGATTAATAAACATAATGAAATT
Source organism: Homo sapiens (assembly GCF_000001405.40). Taxonomy (NCBI): domain Eukaryota; kingdom Metazoa; phylum Chordata; class Mammalia; order Primates; family Hominidae; genus Homo; species Homo sapiens. Next base: position 76,338,806 of record NC_000003.12, read on the forward strand.
GACAATGAAGTTGAACCACTGTGTCTTTCTAAAATCTGGATGAATGAAATCAAATTTAAGAAAATATTTTAGAAAGATTCCAAGACAAACTGATCAAAACAGAGCTTTTGATGTTAGAGCTTTTGAATGTCTTAAGGATGCCTTCATGACTTAAATCTGAAAAACTGTTGAAGTTTTGTAAAATCTAACTGTGCAAATAAATGTCTAAAAGCAAATTTTGCATTTCAATGTGTTATTACTACTTGATATTTCTTAGTCCATCAATGATATTTTTAAATGTAAAACACTTCTATTTATGACATTTTATATGTCCTTTAAACTTATCTAAATATTTCACTTCAGTTTGCCTTTTTAGAGCTTTTCTGGATTTTTATGATCTGAATGGCATATTTTCAAAATATTGTATTTGATAAAAAAGTGAAGAGTAAACACTGATGCACCTGATTGTGTGTACTTGTAAATACAGCTTCCTAGGCAATAGATTAGATTTAGATGTTGTGTCTCAAATATTTGCTGCAAGGTTTCATTTTACCCACAAAATGCATTCAGATTTTGAAACGCATGCTTTAGTGGAATATAAATAATATAAAGCAATAAGGTATATATAGCAATAAGATATATTGGAAACCATATACTGTTTCTAGATATGTCACCTGTTTTGGACAGTGGCATATGAGATTATGTTATGAGGACAAAAGATTGACCTGGGAGTTTATCTTTCTCTTTCAAGAACTCTGAACATGGGCGAGACACCTGCCCTCTATGTGTTAATTTCCTCTTCCATATGGTATGCATGTTAAGTTTACTCATCATGATTATTCTCCTTAGCAAATTGGAATCTGCGTCATTTTTATTTGAACAGCAATTCCAGATCACTCACAGACACCAAGAGTATAGTAAACGCATGCTGTGTGCAGCACCACTTTGAATATGAGTTTGATTTGGGGCTTATCACATTTCCTTATTTGGGTGTATATTGTTATTAATCGTTACAATAATTCATATGTTTATATCTCCAAGTTTATTAATTTGTAGGAAATTAAAATCTTGTAATGTTTGTGTCTGTAACACAAATATTAACATATATATGTGTAATTCTTCCATAAGTGCCTGTCTTACTACATATAATCTGGGGGAATTTTTCAAAGTTTAGCATAGAGCTATTAATTCATCTTTACTATAATCATCGACTATTTAATACCACCAAAATTCCCCTGGTACCACCAAAGTCTATTGCATAAACTACTAGCTACAAATCCTAACAAAAATGAACCAATTGCAAAAAAAAAAAACTTAGAAAATTAAGATTATATATCAAAATATAATTACGTAATAAGAAGCTAGTTAATTGCACAACACTGACTGTGATTTTACTAGTAGAGCAGGAACACTTGAAAAATACAAAGATGAGTTAAAAGCAATTGCATATTATTCTAACAAAAAAATTCATGCTGGCAAGCTGTCCTTTTGGTCTCCCTCAGCCTTCAGTCAATTTCATTTATCTTCCAAGTTACCTTAACCTTGTGGGATAGAACAGTATCCAACATTTCACCTCCTTGACCATGTTCAAGAAAGCTTGTTTGTCTTGGGCATAATATTTTAGCCAATCCTGGATGCCAGTCTATCACTCTAACTGATATATTTCTAACCAGAATAATATGAGTATAAAAATATAAGTAATGTGAAGTCTACAGTACTGAAGCCCTGAATGGATTTATACTGCTTTACAGCATATGTGATTTAAAGCTAATGGTGTATCTCAACATTTTATAAGCATTTAACTTTTGCAGAAATCACATTCTAGGTCACAAAGCATATTATGATTTTAAAATATTATATAGCTTCCCATTTTTGGAAGGGCATTTGTTTAATGGTTGGGAGAGCCCGGCAAGTTGTCATTCATTGAAAATGATTCTTACCTTTAGCTGATGGATAAATAAGATGTCAATGCTGCAAATAAAATGAACTTTTTTTAGTTCTAAAAAAATGCATTGCTCATGTTCCAAGCACTAAGAAAGTAACCATCAGAGTTCTTATATTCTGCCACAAGAATTATAATATGTTAGTAATTAGCATGCGGAAATATCTTAATAAAAATTCTTCAGGATAAGTCTGCCATTTGGGAACTGACAGTAAAATAAAGGCAAAAATGTAATGAATTTATCTCATTTGTTTTGTGAATCTTGTAGGAGTGTTCTGTCTCCTTAAAGATCATTACCTGTTCTTCAGCTGGTACAGCTATATTTTCTAAAGGTCAGAATCAGTGTAATATTAGTTCATTTTCCCCTTCAATTAAACAAATTATTTGTGATATATGAGGAAATTTGTTATCAGATTTAACTTGTCAGAAATGCTACCATAACAATATTAGACTAACTACTGTAAGGAAAAAAAGAATAAACACAAAACTTCAAATCTCAGAGACTTACCTGCTCACATCACCTTCTAAAGGTCTCTTTCCTGCAGCGATACAGGTTCCTTGGTCTCTTTCCTGCAGTGATACAGGTTCCTTTTCTCTAATGCCTCTGCTGTCCCCTACTACGGGTCCAATCCAGCCCACAGCTTGTTTCGTATGGCCCCAGAACTAAGAATGCTTTTCGCTTTTTTAAAGCGTAAAAAAAAAAAAAAAAAAAAAAGGAAAAATATGTGTTTGAAGAATTACGTGTCTTGCAAATGTATAATATTTACTATCTCTTTACAAAAAAAAAAAAAAGATGTGTTGATATTTTCCCTTGTGCTGTGGACTGTTCAACTGGATCATTTACATTAGGCCAACTGATTTGAGAAGAGAGAAAATGCTTGGGAAATTCACTGGAAATTTCCATAGCCCTGCAGATTGTGTCTGTACTTTTTCCAATATTCTGTTGGTCAGAATCAGTCACTTTGACATACCTAACCAAAAAGGAAGCTGGGAAACATAGTTGTGTTGGATGCTTAAGAGCAAAAGGAAAATGGCTTAAAAAATAACTATTAGCTGCCATGTTTAAAATGGGACGTAAAAAAAGTGAACACTTGCAACAGATGATGTAGCACTATATTTTGTAAGAGTATTTTCTGAATGAATCTTTCACTATGGTGGAGACTTCTAGCATATGTTTCCTCTTTTTCCAATTATCCAGGTGAATAACAATTTCCTATCCACTTATAGTTAGGGGCGTATAACATAAAACAATACTTTGGTATAAAATTTGGAAAGCTGTCTTTGAAAATATTCCACAATGTTATGAAACAGTGTTTACAGACAATAAAGTAGAGGATTGTTTCTTTCCTGGTAGACAATCTAATTAGGTCAACATGTTGACTGTTGGTCCCCATGAACTTCCCTCAAATCTTGTGATTCTGCCTGTGAGATCCTCACAATTCCTTTAACAGGCTCTGTCTCTGTTACCATCCCAACTCATCTCCAAAACTTTCATGAACTATGAAGAGTCTTAGATTTTACCCATCTTGCAAACTAACAAGTAAGCCTGTCATGATTTCATGGATCCTCAGAGAAGACACGTGACTCTCAGGTGAGAGACATAGATCTTTGTTACTCCCAGCACAGCAAACATCATCAACATACACATGCCTGAGTGTTTCAATCCCCCTTGAACCCAAGTCTTATAGAAGCAACACAGATGAGCCCAGATGAATGACTGCACAGAGTGGGTGCCACTTCAGGAGAACTATGAGTGTAGGGAACCCAACTTTTTTATGAATGGTAGTAAGCATGCCTGCTCTTAGCTCTGGGAGGAAATCGGCTATAAGCAAATCTACCTTTTGCTCTGGATGGATACACTATCTCTATCTTCCAAGGCTGTTCAACCTGTATATATCCTTACAAATATATCCTATAACAAAGGGCAATTATATGCTAGCCATGCTAGCAAGACAGAGAAAAAAATCACTAGAGTATGGTAGGGAATTTTTTACAGAATTATTGTCATTGGACTACTGTATTTTCAAAATATATCTGGTACATGTACAGATTTATATTAGAGGCCCACTTAATAGTAGGTATAGATAGATTAATTAAAATCTATACCCACTGTTTATAGGGAAAAAAACTGAATGAAATCATCATTTCTATTAGTGACACAGTTGTTTGAATGGCCAATTTTATGTAACTACAGAATGATGCAATTTCATTAAAATTGATTATTATATAGTTATAACATGTAAGTAGCTTGTTTGCATTATAAATGTTGATAGTTGTGATTCAAATTTTATTGAATGGTAATCAAATGTTCCAAAGACAAGAACACATAGGTCTTTCTCGGTAAATATAATTTCTATTCAATTACCAGAAACTCTTCTCTAGTTCAGAAATCTAACTTGTGAATTGTTCAAGGTGGAATTCAGCTAATATTACAAACCTCTACGTATGGTGTGGTATATTTATTGAATAAAACTCTCACAGACCAAATAATCTCTATTAGTACTCTCTATCCAAGAAGAACCAAAGTGAAAACAACCTATATACTGTGTTGTAAGCATAATTCTTCCATTTTTGTTTGCCCTAAGTGATAAAAATTCCTGATGTCTTCATCTGTAGCATGATTTTCCTAGCTGAGTTTAGTGTGGAATTCAATATATGTCTAATAAATGAATGACTGGTAACACACAGGTGTCTATCTGCATAAGGTGATTTATCTGAGGAATGAAGTCCTTCTAGAATGAAGTTTTGCACATGAGAACTTATCGAATATAACCTATAAATCAGAGGGAAAGAGAGAAATGCTCTCAGGTTAGTGCAAACGTAACTGCGGTTTTTGCCATTGAAACTAATGGTAAAAACCGCAATTACGTTTGCACCAACCTAATATAAATATTGGCATGTTTATTGTTAGAGAGGTGTTTAAGTGACAAAGCAAGACATAAATCAGGAAATGGTATCATGCAGTATTGGTGTGGTGAGATTTTGGCCTTAGAAGTCGAATGCAACCATGAGGAAACTGCTGTGCCCAGCAGTATAGTAGAAAATCTGCAGAAATGAATTTATTTTTTGAGCACAAATGAGACAGCCCTTGTAGCCTCCAAAGATATTTGGTGAGGATTTAATTTGGTGCCACTTATTCTAGTAAATCAGAATGCAAAATCTGATTCATTACTTCTATTTTGATCTTGATGTGTCCAAAGATTTTATAAACCTGAGTAAATTTGGTTTGTACTAAAAGCATTTTGATATACCTTGAATCTATCTTTAAAGTGGGGCTGTTTTTCCCCATTCCTTTCCAGCTCTTCTTTTCTCTTTGTATAAAAGTATGTCAATGAATTCTATTAAGTTTAAGCTATTATGACAGTAAATTCTTAAACTTTAAAAAAATAATTTCTACTTAATCTTTTATAATAATCATGTTGGAAGATAATTTATTTGTTTGAGTTAAAACAATTGAATGTAAGAAAAGAGTCTGTTAAAAATTGATAGACTGATAGCCTGGATTACGTTTTGCTATTCAAGGGTATTTACACTTCAGGTTTTTACAATGCAACCTAATTTTGCAAATATTTATTAACACAACTATACAAAAGTGTGATATGCATATCTTCAGATAACTGATGACATGATTCTGTCTGCTTAAAGTATGAGAAAAAATTTCATGAAGACTTTAAAGGTATTGGTGAAATTCTACTTTTTTCAAATCTACTAGTTATTTTGGTCATCAGAACTCTTTGATCAAGGGAATGTTCTTTAAGCTATATTTTCAAAGATTAAAAGTCAAGGAACTCCAAAACTCAGAAGTCGGGATAGGAGTTATTTGTAGTAGTCTATGTGAAACGTGGACCTATTTCAGAAAAGGCTCTATTACTTGGTCACTAATGAAATAGCAGAAATGATGGATAAAAAGAAGAGGAACAAATGTCTTACAGGTTTAAGCCTAAAGACAGAAATTAATCTAGTGGATTTGGTTTAGGAAATTATATGTTCTGTTTTGAATAGGTCGATCTGGGTTAAAATGCCCATTATACAGTTAAATATGTGCTGAGAGAAAAACCAGAGTAAAGTCAAGAATTTGGGAAATATCTAGATGTGATAATAACAGTGACTGTGGACAAAATGTATATTTTAGTTTCCATCCAGGGTGTTTAATACACCTTATTATACTTAATCCTCATTAACCCTAAAGCAGTAAGTATTTATCTGTATAAGAAATTGCTCTTTTATGAAGTTAAATAACTTGAGAAGTACTATTCAGTTATTTCTAGACCTGGATTTCAGTTCAGATCTGTATAACTGTGAAGATGGCATGCTCTTAACTCCTGAGCGCCACTGCCTTTTGTGATGATGGTTTAAATTTTGAATATGACAGAAGTCAGAGAGATAATAAGCAAGGTTTTGGAGAGAAAAAAGAAAAGAACTTAGGATACAAGGAGGTGTGTCGGGGAGGAGGTGTCCATATGAATATAAGGCCAAGACAGAAACTGCAGCAGGAACAAAACTCCTGGGTGAATCTCTGGAGACCCAAGTCATGGGAAAGGCCTCTGTGAGGTCCAGGGAAAGCAGGTCTTTTATTTGCACACTTTTTTTTCTGTCGCTCTTTGTAACTAGACTTTTCAAAATAGGTGAGTATGAATGTGAGATGTGTGAGAATGTGTATAAACATGTGCAGGTGTGTTTCAAGAGTAGGCAGGATATCTTTTTTCTTTTCTTTCTTTTTTTTTTTTTTTTTTAAGCACAGGGGAAATATTTTCAACAAGAAAACTATTATTCCTGGTTGAATTATAACAAAACTATTTTTGGCACTGAAATTTTCCTTGGGTTCCCTAGCTGTGATCTGATGAAATGTTTTCCCTGATTTTTTTAACCATAAAATATATCTAAAGAGTAAAATAAATTTGAGCCTTCCTAGTTTTGTAGGAGAAATGAATTTTCAGGTACTGAAAAATTGTCCTGATATTAAAACCCCAAAATAATTTCTTGAGCCTAAGAGACCATCACAGAACATAAAGATGAGGTTTTCAGTCCTCCTGTTTAATATAAATTATTGAATTGCTGAAAGTTTTATTTATGAAATTTCCTTTCATATATTTAATTTTCTGTAACTCTTTGTGATTCAGTTTTATTTGTTATTACCTAAAGCGTACCAAACTCCAAGTTTGTATTGTCAGGTATTTTATTATTTTAAATGTAAAAGTGCTCCTTTAGACAGTCATTTTTTATTCCCAACTGATCTCGGTTTCTCTTTAATCTACTCACCCTGCTCCAGAAGGCAGGCTCTATGGGGGTTCTAAAATGGATCAGGCTTTGTCCTTACAGGCCAGTTAGCTCCGGCTTTGATCACACAAAAGGGAAAGCACTAAAGATCAGCCTTGTCCTTCTGGAAGCTTCCCTCTTGGGACCACTAAAGAAGGCTGTCTTTGTTTCTTTATTTTTCTTTAAGAATTTAATAATCTCTGAGGAAAGGAATGTTAGCTCTCCAAGTTACTAGTACTAACAGTTTTTTATAGTCCATTAAGAGAATTTTTTTTTTTTTTTTGAGACAGAGTCTCGCTCTGTTGCCCAGGCTGGAGTGCAGTGGCGTGATCTTGGCTTACTGCAAGCTCCGCCTGGCAACAACAACAACAAATGTAGGCTACACCTCTTCCTTAGAAAGCATTGACGGTAAGTCTAACATATTCCCTGTATTCACTTTTGAAAACTGAGGTCAAGACTATTTTCAGGGTGGGAGTTTTTGACTTTTAAATTACTTTCTGGTTTTGGTTCCATTAAATATTACTCTTTTGGCCTTCAAAATCATGTCTGATGGCATGTAGTCTACAGTTGCATAATATAGCAGTTAGAAATGTGGGCAATGTCTATTAAAAATACATATTTTATTGTCCAGAGCCACTAGATGACTTAGCAACCATTTCATGTTTCACAGACACACATTCATTCATTCATGTTTTCTCCATTGAGATTTGTCGATAACGTTTTCCAGTCAATCATATTATGAGAATTTAGCCTACATTTTACATCCTTCTAAGGGATCTAAAAAATATGAGCTTTCTCCCATCTCTTCAGCAAAACTTTGCCTGATATACTCACTGAGTGACAACATGAAAGCAAAATAAATTACTCTGTATGCTCCCTGTGTGGCCTCCTGTTATAACAGGGCCACTTTGCATCAATTGAGAATAAAAGCATAATGATATACTCCCTAATGTGAAGATGATGCAGTCTGATAGATATAAGCACAGCTTGAAGAAGGTTATGCCTACATTGGAGCCAAAGGTTCATAGCTTTTGTGGCTGAACACCTAAGGAGAAATACCATTCAGACAAAATAAAAAAAAAATGGATTATGTCTCTTTACGTTTAGCAGTCCTTGCTGGGAATTAGATTTGTTTTGAGTAAAATTACTGGAAGACACACTAGCAGAGTATCAATTTATATTCTGATAAACACTTTTTACTGTATCCACCTTCATATCACCTACTCTGTCCTAAACCCCAAGGCATAGATTCTCCTGCTTTGACCTGAGGATTTATTAGTTAATGCCTTAGGTACAAAAGAACAAACAGCCAAAAAACTGTAATGAGAACATTTTTACTTTAAGGAACAGAATTATTGATTTTATTTATATTGAGTTTAAACAGTTTAGAAAATTTCTGTCAAAATTGTGTGTGATGATGTTAGTGTGTGTGCATTTTTAGGTGTGAATTCTCACTTTCTAATAACAGAAGGTATATATTTAAGTGTTGCAAATTCAAAATAGCTTTATAAATATGATGTAATAATTCAGAGGAGATGAATTATTTGCTTGAAATTTGCCTGTTCTGGTCAAAGCTGCTGCTCTAATCTGAGGCACTAAGTGTGATTTTGTTCTGTTTAACTTATTTATAATCTTATACTTTTTAGAGTTGTGCTTTTGAAACAAAGATGATTCAGCAACCCAGAAAGACAAAAGGGGTGGTCATATTTCACTCTCCCCTGATTCTGTGTAATTACAACCAAGCACAAAAAGGCAACAGAGAAATGGGTCTTTGATTGTGAGAAATACCTGGAAAATAACATTAGTAAATTACTTTGCAGTGTCTGTTGTGAATTTGTATTTTTCCACAAGTGGCCCCAAACATCATACTATATATTAAGCAATCTAATGTTTAAAATAGTATTTATTATATTGTTAATGTGATACAATTGAATGAGGATGTTGGATTGGACTTTCAACTATTCAAGAATGACGGATGAAGTCTAAAGCTAAAAATCCGTCAGTTACCCATATGCTGAAAACTGCTACCTTTGAGGCTTCAAACACTTGCATCGTCTGCCCAAGCACTATCCGCCATCATTCCACAGTCTCACACAGTCAGTATCAGTCTTCAGCATCGTCCGCCCAAGCACTGTCCGCCATCATTCCACTGTCTCACACACAGTCAGTATCAGTCTTCAGCATCATCCGCCCAAGCACTGTCCGCCATCATTCCACAGTCTCCCACAGTCAGTATCAGTCTTCATAAGAAGTCTGGGGAAGAACAAAGATTGGGTTGCATCTTCTGGGGAGGCAAGTAATTGTTGGGAGAGGCAATCTTCCTGACTGGAGATGCTCTGGTAAAGTGGAGGTGGGGCAAATACTGTTTTTGGAAAATTGCTCTTCATTTGCCTTAAATAGGGAAACACTGACCTATGAATTACCATTCCAAAGATATAGGTTAAAGTGCAGAAATTGGCATGACCTCAGCGTCGCCACACAGAAACAAGTGAAGACCTCTACTAATGGAAACATTTAAGAAGAATTAGGCTACTTCTCCTGAAGGCAGCCCTTGGCATCAGCAAAAGCAAGGGTAAAAGTTAAAATTACCCCCAAGAACATCATGGCACAACCTGTGGGTAGCCCATTAGTGCCATGAAAAATTATACTAAATTAGAGACTAAGGTCACATCCCACATCGAGGTACAACCAATTATGTGCTATATCTGCTTCTCCATCTCCCCTTCCTCCTTTCAGCACTGGAGGAATTTATCCACAGAGAAGGTTTGGCAAAGCTCAACTGTTCTTTTCAGCCAAGGCCGTCTAACCACAAATCTAAATTGCCCTGAAGGATGGACAGTGAAGACTGAATTAGCTATATCATTGGACAGTGTTATTATTGAACATGTTCAAAAAGTTATGGAGGCTGGTGAAATGCCATCAAGGAGTGGAAAGGGGAATTTATTATACCATATTTAAAGCAGCTTAAGTCACGGTTGTGTATTTATACCCCAAGGAATTGATTTTCTTCAATAAACCAGTTATACATGGCAACTTTAATCAAATTTCTAGTTCCTAGGGGCCTTCTGGTAATCTTACTGTTTAAGATCTCTGTTCCATTTGTAAGGGGCAGAGCAAGGATTTAAACTCTGCATAAGTGTCTATTCCTTTTGATCAATTGAGCCTAAAGAAAGCCTATGTAACATATTTTTAAAAGATTTTTTTAAAAGTACTTCCTGATTTGTTTATAATTGTGAAAATAAATATCAAAACAAAAAAGCACTAAAATGATAGCATATATAATTGATGGCAAATTATAGTTTGTTTTATATACTCCTATCTCCCAATTTTGTAATAAATAATACTAATAGCAGGCATTAATTAAACATCTATGAAATCTGAGAGACTATTTGAAGTACTTTACATATACTCATTTAGCTTATCACAGCAATCCTAAGACACAAGAAGAACACCATTACCCCCATCTTACTGACTATGAAACTGAGTCCTGGAGAGACATTTTCAAGGCCACACAGTTATTTGTTGACAAAGTCTGAATTTACACTTAGAAAATCTGATTTCAGAAGTGTGAGCTTCAGATTTATTTTTGTGTGTGCTTAAGATATCAAGTTGCATTTACCTGGAAAATGTGCCAAGAACTGGAAAGGGTCTGAGATTTCACGTTACTTGCAAGCTAACAAGTTAGCCTGCCACAGTGTAACGGATGCTGGCAGAAGGCATGAGACTCTTAAGTCAGAAACAAAGGACAGTTATTACTCACAGCAATAGTAGTAGCAGGGCCATCATCATTTTTCTTGTGTCAGTGTTTTTGGGCCCCAATTTCCGCAGGAACACATGGAAAGATTCAGATGACACCTGCATATATGGTGGATTGCGCTACAGAAGAGGAATTCCATGCTTACACTGGACAATAAGCATGCCCGCCCATTGCTCCAGAGGGAGACAGTATCTTTAGCTTCAAAGGCTATGAGCAAACCTGCCCTTTGCTCCAGAGGGAGAGACTATTTCTGTTTTCCAAGGCTGTTCACTATACAAACTTCTTCAAAAGATAGTTTGAAACAAATACCATCAGTACCTTTGCTCACAAACAAGCAGAAATGAGAGAGTATTAAGGACTGTCTCCCAATAAAGCTTTGTACACCCCATTATCAATGGCAAAGTCATGAAAATGTTAGAATTAGTGACACACTTGGGAATGAATTTAGGATTTAAACTTTTCTTCTTGGGATTTTTCATTTTTTGTTTTTTCTACTCACAGTACACTTATGCAATAGGAGATAATTGCTTTGCTTTGTGTCATAAACATGTTAGAACATTTACATCTGTTTTCCATAACTGATATGTCTCCACTTGCTTTTCTTCATCTTTTCAACCCAGAGAGAATATCACATTCTCCTTAGTGCAGATCCAGGCTTAGCACTTTGAAATATATCTTCAGTTGTAATTGCCATTTTCTCTGGTTGAGAAAGTTTATTTCCATTATAACCTACATGATATTTTATAACAAGACTTATACCAAATGTGCTGAGTTTTAACTAGCTTTATGAATTTGAAGTGACTTTCTCTTGCTATTCAATAATGTTCAATATAAATACCAATGTTAAAAATATGATATTTAATATAATCATTAATGACTTGGAGACTGAGAGATACCACAGAAGTCTGAAAGCATTAATTACTTTAATGGGAGCTTATTTTTAATCTTATATATAAAATTTTCTTAAAGTATTGAAAAATTTTTAAAAGACTTACTGTCTACAGCCAAAGAGAAATCAGTAAAGACTTACATGAAACAAGTAGAAACACTAAATAGAATTTGCCATCTCCTTTTTCTGTTTAGTTTTTATAGACATTTTTTCATGAAGACAAACACTGATTATCTGTTATCAGAAGAAGTTAACATTCCTAGTCTGCTCATAAAAGGATCCTGGAAAAAGACAATCGGGACACATAAGCATCTGTCTTGGAAAAATGAGTGAAATTGGTATATATTTTAATTTCAGTATTTTATTATGAATTGGTAGTCATAACTGCTTATAATTGCATTAGCCTTTATGTTTTACTAGATATGTTTTTAAGTTAATTTTTACTAAACATCATGTTCAAGTGAATTTTCCTCAACCCTCTCAATAAAATAATGATATATGTAGTATGATCTCTCTTTTATAGGTAAAAAAATTGAACCACAGAAAGTTTATCATTATGCCAACATCACATGTGGCTGAATAGTAATCATGTAATACATCCCTAAGTCATATGAAAAGAAAAAGGAGAGTAATATTAAAAAGCACAATACTAATAGCAACAGCCCTGAATTCTTACTTTTTTTATGGTGCTGGTAAATAATAATTGTCTATGTTAAAAGTAATGTAAGAGTTATGGAAACTAGTAGACCTTTGAGACTTTTGGGGCAAACAGCTGTCAAACCTAACAGAACATCAGAATCACTAGAGAAACTCTAAAAATAAAAGTATTGGGTTTGTCCATTGGATATTGTGATTTACCACACTTAGAATAGGGGTCCTGAATCCTAATCTGAATATATATTTTTTCAACTCCACAGGGATTCTGATAGAATTTTCCCCATTTCCTGCCTCTACAGTATAATATTTTGGTTAATGAGTGTTTCAACTGAGAACATCAATATTTCATGAGGCTTATGTTTCCATATTATGTCTTTATTGTTTGCCTTGTTCTTATAAATGTATGTATGTATAACCTCACATACATGTAAATATATGAGTTTTTCTTTAATTTACATTTTAGGAAGAGATGACCTGGGTTTAATTTCCACATCTACCTACTATTAACTATGTGACTTTGAGTAAATTACTTAACCTACAATGCTCTCAGTTTCTTCATTTATAAAAGAGGGATATGCTAGCAACCCTATAGTATTGTTGTGAAGGTAAAATCAGAAAATGTAATCAAAGTGTTTGGGACATAGCCGCTGTTCAATTAATGTTAATAACTTTACAATGTCATAACTATCATATTTCATCAAAATATCATATTAATAATCAGATATAAGTTAGTTCTAACACATTCTTATGAGTGTCTTTTTAAATTACACAATAGCTCAATGGTAATGGTTATACAGAACTTATGTGGATGAAGTGTTGTCAACCTAGTAAGCAGAAGTACTTCATTCCCTGTAGACTAATTCCCTCCCCAAGTTGAGAAGAGGTAGTCTTACAAATGTGTACTAATCTCATGATCTCTATTTATAGCCTGGCCAGTGTCTGCAGAATTAAAGAAATGGCTGAGCACCCACACTGGGAAAAAACTACTTCCTCAAGTTGACAAAGTGGCTATGACTAGTTGGAGTGAGGCAAGTCAGGCACATCCCCTCGTTCCTACTGGTTTTCCTCCACAACCCTGCTTCCTCTTCTTGCTTGCTCTCAATTTGTTTCATTCTTTTGTTTCATTGTGGAGTAAAGTCCCAGCTTCAGATTAGATCAAAATTTTGTTCAAATGATTTGAAAACATTTTTATAGCTAGAATAATTATGTGGAGCTACTTATAAAATACTCCAGCCTGATGTTTAATTCCCTAGGCAGATTTGAATGAAAATGAGTTGAACTGGTTTCTTTAGTATAGTATTTGTGACTATTACCTCACTAAAATGACTAAGGACAAAAAAATGGTCCCGAAAACTTGGGTGTTACTCTTGTGTTCATGAATGATTGATGAAGCGGCCTTTATGTGCAGTCTCCTGTGGATTGCAGAACCAGCAACTTTGGTCCTTTATGAGACAGAGTTTTATTAGAGTTCCCCATAAATATCAAGTTATAAATAAACTGTGTCTGGAAAGTGCTTCAACTGAATTCCAGGCTGCTCACTAATTGGCCTACCACAGATGGCTATAACAAAATAACTAACAATTAGATTACCCCATTGTTACAAATTCACTCTGAAAATAGCAAGGCACACGTGGCTTTTGACAAGAGGTTGCAGGAAGAAGGTGTAGAACAACTTGTTAAATATTAATCAAGATTTTAATTCAAGAACAGCCTGGCGTTTCCTCTCCCAAAATACAATTCTAACTTAGCAGTCACCGTCAGCATAGTGATGATTCGTCGGACTTTGCATTGTACACATGGATTAATGCAAATGCACATAAATGCAAACAAGGTTAAAATGGAAAATGCAATGGAAAGATGAAATACTGCTTTGGATCCCTGTTTCACGCAGATGACAGAGGCAGGTCTGTCCTGATATGATCTTTTTAGCCATTTCAATAACTAAATTCTCATGAAGAGAATGAGCGAGAGAGTTTTATGTCATGCTTTATGGTACAATATGGTTTTGTGTAGGCATAAGAACAGTATTTTAAGTGCTAATCATAAGTTGGCAAATATAACTTTAATAACGAAGGAGAAACTTGAGAGAATTCAAGAAATAATACTTAAAAATTAATATCCCATTTCTCTAGTCTGTGGGGTAGAGGTAGTTGTGCTTCATCTATATAAAAGTCTTATTGAGTTCATGTGCAGAATTTAATGAACTACATTGCACATTCAGCCACATCTGCTTTGTTGCCTAACATTTCTCATACTCATTGGGCCTGTTTGGTTCACCTAAGTTAAAATTTAGGCAGACATCAATAGGTGTTAGCAGAAAATGAAGAAGTCTATACCTTCCTTTTTGTTCAGAAATGTTTTTCTCAAACATGGAAATACAAGGCAAAGACCATAGTCTTTGAGACACTACAACCTTCGCAACCTGTTCTTTGAGAACATCACATTGTGTTTATTGGATGGGTTCAGGAGGAGTTCTTTTAAGAAAATATATTTTCTTAGAACTTAGAGAACTCTCTAAACGCACTTCTAATTAACACCTAAATTCTTTCTTTTAGGCGAGACAGAGACTTTCTTTGCATAACAACGTCTGGGGCATTTGCAAATCTCAGCTTGCTTCACGTTTTTAGGGGCTGCAATTCTTGTGACCAGAAATGCATGTGAAAGCAAATTTATTACAGTCGGAGACGAAGAACAGTTAACTAAAAATGATCTCTGATTGAGAATAGCAACATTAGATGTCTGACATCTGTTTCCCTAGTTGTTTTAAAACTCAACATAGACGAAGCATTTTAAATCGTAATGCAAAGCATACTCCCAATTCAAGGCATTCAAAAATTCAGTAGCTTCATTTTACAAGATAACTAATTTTCAAATACACAACTATTAAAATACTTGACAAAAACTGAGCAGTTCATATATGTTAAAATATGCTTTTAAATGTTTTGAATTCCAGCTGTTTCTTTTTCTGTTCTTAGTAAGAAGAAAGTGCCACAACTCTGGATTTCAATACATACATTCGTATAACCTTTTCCTAAATTAAGGAGAACATTTGGGGAACACTTTCACAAGGTTTGAAAGAATAACTTCTACTTTAGATAGAGTAAGTCCTTAACAAAATAAATCTCTTTTGATGGTGTGCTTTTGATTGATTAGGACTTCATTATGTTTTTATAAATTATTATTAAAATGCTAATAGTGAAGATAGTCATTACTATTTATGATTACTTAGAGCCCTCACTTGCTTATTATGCCTGTACAATAATTTATTACTGCTTTGTTTGTGGGAAGTTATATATAAAACCAGTAATATATTAAACCCTAATTTCCATTCTAATATCAAGTGAAAAAAATCATCTGAAGGTGATGAATTTTCGGTGTCACAAATCACTGTCACACATTCTAGGCAAGTGATATTTTTAGAGAGGTTTTGGGAAACGTAATGAAAAAATTATGAAGGAAAAGTCACTTCTTTCATATAGGAAAAACTGCTGGGTATAAGTAGAGGAAAAGAGAAGCCTCAGCACAGATGTCTGTTTACATGTATCATACCTGCCATGGACTTTTTATGAGATTTTTTGTAAATTACTAAACTAAGATGTTTCTCCATTTATTCATTTTAAAAATAAGTTTTATAAATCCAATTTTCCTATTTCACAGAACTGTTAGGACCCAGTGAAATATTTTGTTAAGCATTTGAAAGTTCCATGCATATATCTGGATATGTGTGTATGTGTATGTTTATGTGTATGTGTATGTGTATGTGTGTGTGTGTGTGTATGTATGCATGGGGGTGTTTGTGTTTGCAAGTGATGCTATTATATTCACTCCTTAGGTAAGAAGCGACTTAGTTTCTGTCTTATTTTAAGCAAACCGCCACACATTTTAATCAGTATTAAAATGATAATTGATTACAATTTTTTGGTTTTGACCATGTGGCAGATAATGTATCTTCTGTTTGTTATCAATAGGTAATAGTGAGAATTAAATTAGTTAACATTAGGAAATTGTATGTAGGTTAACAGTGCCTGACAATAGCTAAGAGTTTAGCAATAATTCTATTATTATTATTTCATCTACATATCATTTATTTAGAAAACTAATGCTGTGAAAAAGGTAACAATAATCTTCAGTTTTGGCTGAGGAAGCTGAGACTTGGAAGGTGTGAAGGAAGTATTCTGAAATCAAATTGTGAATATCAGGATGAGAATTGGATGGCAACTGGTTGAGCTATGAGCTCATGGTTCTTAACTGTTACATTCTGCAAATATTCTAACCTATATATTCACTTATTCCTTAAAATTCACGGATAATAAGTATATCTAACACTGAAATTGGAATCATGTTACTTCACTGACAACACCTGCATAGCAATCTGAGATGACTGGATAAATAAAAAATTCTTAAAATAGATGACAGATACATCCATATAAAGAAAGTATCTAGCATTGGCACTTTCCCCAGTCATTAGGTAATATTTAGATGAATTTGGGAGCTACGATTTTTTTGGTGATTTTAAGGATATCCCGTGCAGAAAACATTATTCAGAGGTTTACTTTGGCTTTTGGAATTATTGAATTGAATCTATTAAAGCTACAACAAAGCACACTTGGAGTACAACTATACTTTAGATTGATTCACCCCTTACAGCAGCAGCCTGATGGAAGTGATGGGGAGATACAATGTGTTGGGTGGTTTATAGCATATGGAGAAGTAGAATAGAAGGCCTCAAGAAAACAGAGAAATGAAACAGAATACTTGAAATAAACTATTGTTTATAATGTATAATAATGATATTTAAAGAAATATTTACTTTTCAATTTATAAATATACATGTTTCATCTGAATATTTAATTTGGTTATATATTGCTTTTGAGAACAATACATAAACATGACACAAGAGATTATAGCTAAAATAGAAATGGAAGAGGTCTAATGGAATACTACAAAGCACTTGAGTCATGCAAAAGATAACAGGAAAAGAGAAACAAGTGAGCAAAAAACAGATGGAATCAATAGAATAAAATAAAGTAATACAGCTAAATACAATTATATCAATAATTATGCTAAACAGGGATAGAATTAAGAAAAAAAAGCCAGGTTGAATAAAAAGCAAGATCCAGGTATGTAGTATGTATAGGTAATGAATTCAACTATAAATATATACAGAGGAGAAAGTAAGGGTAGAGAAAGCTATATCATACAAAAGTATAAGAAAGCTGTTGCAGGTATATGAATACTTCAAGCAGAATATCTATTACCAGATTGAGACTTAACAATTATATAAGGGTCAGGTTACCAAAAAAATATAACGATGCTAAGCATATTTTTACCTGATAACAGAACTTCAACTTCACAAAGCCAAAAATTGACAGAAAAAAAGGAAAAAATGGACATATCTACCGTCATAATTGGAGAGTTTCACATACCGTTTTTGTATTTTATAGAACAAATAGACAAAAAAAGCAAATGGTCTAGACTTTATTGACTTTTATTTAATACCCCACTATGCAACTGCAGAAAGTATATTTTTTCAAGATCGTAGAAAACGTTGACCAAGATAGATGATATTCCTACTCATAAAATGTGTTGATAAATTTCAAGAAATTGAAACATACAGAATCTATCTAAATGTGAGTATTAAATTAAAAGTCACATGGCTTCCTTGTTATATTTTTATTTTTAGTTTAAAATAGTATTTACAACCTCAAATTCCTAAGAATAAATTTCAACATGATATCTAAGACTTGTACACTGAGAACTATTTAAAAAAAGGCAGAGAAATGAAAGAATTCTGAAACAAAAAGAGACCTAAATAAATAGTCATGTGTTTGAAGAGACAATATTGTTAAAATACCATGGAATACTACACAGCTGTTTAAAAAAAATGAAATCATGTCCTTTGCAGCAACATGGATGCAGCTGGAGGCCATTATCCTGAGTGAATTAATGCAGGAACAGAAAACCAAATACTGCATGTTCTCACCTATAAGCAGGAGTAAAACACTGAGCACACATGAACACAAAGGCAGGATAAATGAACAAACTGCTGTCCTCATACAATCAAATACTACTCAGCAATACAAAAGAAGTGAGTTACTGGAACATGCAACAATATCGATGAACCTCAAAAATGTAAAGAAAAGACAACAGATTCAAAAAAGTAAATACTGTATCATTTCACCTAGATGAATTATAAAAGCAGGTCAAACAAATCTAGTGATACAAATCTCAACAATGAATTCCTTTGTGGGTTGGGGTTGGCTAGAAGGTTACAAAATAAAACCCACTATGGTGATGAAAGTGTTTTCTATTTTATCTCACATGATGGATACATATATCCAATCAAGATTAATTGACTTGAACGTTTAATAACAAAAGCAAAACTGCCTTTATTCAGAGATAACAGGATTATGAACGAAGATATCTCATTGGGATCTACCCAAAAGCCAGCTACATTAGTAAGTTGCAGGATAAACAACCACAATTAATTTTATTTGTAAAATTTGGCAATATATAACTAAGAATTAAAATGATTTAAATACAATTTTGAATAGATTAGAAACATCAAACCAAATCAAATAGTATGAAAATTATATCTAAACTTTAAAATATATATATATATATAAATTTTAAATATGCTTACCCATAAAGAAAACAGTCATGTCACTCCAAATGTTTTGGAGTATTATTTTACAAAATAATACTTTATAGTTTATTTGCTTAATTTTCCTAGCAATCAGTTATTTTGGGGGACATAAAAAGTTATTTGTCTGTAATTAAGATACAATACTCTAAGTCTTATGTCAAAGCCCCCCGAGGTGGATATAGTCTAATAGCCCATCTTCCCTAGAAATAAACTACGTTTATAAGCAAGCTTTCTCTCTTCATAGATGTCTGCCATGACTGTGTAAGAGTCCCCTTACTTGGGGTTTTGCATATCCTAGAGATTTGCTTCATTTTTCCCCACTCCAAAAAGGACACCAGCTGTCCTTGAGACTTGTTTCTTACCTGGTCTTCCATTCTCCCACATATTAAAGTGTACAGTACTGGGAATCTATTTTCTCTCTTTTCCCTGTCTCATCTAGTGAGTTGAGACTTTTTTGTTGCTTTCATTCTAATAGTGTTGGTTTTACCCTTTTACTAGAGTACTAACTTGTTATTCAGACTCACTTGCTAGGTGGCAGAGAAAATTTTTTATTCATCTTTGTCCATAGAAAGTAGTCAATAAATACATATTTCTATGCCTAGTTGTATTACAAATAAAGCATGTTAGGATATTCACTAATTCCAATTTAAAGAGTAAGTTACATAGCTTTTCTTTAGATTCAAATGATAGCTGGAAAGAGAAAGGAGAGGAATTGACAACGAGTAATTACATGTACATTTGCTCAATATATATGTTTCTAAACATGAAACTGTCTAGGTTCAGACAATAGGCATTAGAATTTGAAGTTTAAGATGAAAGTTGATGCTGTTTAAATTTTTTTTATTTTATTATTATTATACTTTAAGTTTTAGGGTACATGTGCACAATGTGAAGGTTAGTTACATATGTATACATGTGCCATGCTGGTGTGCTGCACCCATTAACTCGTCATTTAGCATTAGGTATATCTCCTAATGCTATCCCTCCCCCCTCCCCCCACCCCACAACAGTCCCCGGTGTGTGATGTTCCCCTTCCTGAGTCCATGTGTTCTCATTGTTCAATTCCCGCCTATGAGTGAGAACACGCGGTGTTTGGTTTTTTGTCCTTGCGATAGTTTACTGAGAATGATTATTTCCAATTTCATCCATGTCCCTACAAAGGACATGAGCTCATCAGTTTTTATGGCTGCATAGTATTCCATGGTGTGTGTGTGCCACATTTTCTTAATCCAGTCTATCATTGTTGGACATTTGAGTTGGTTCCAAGTCTTTGCTATTGTGAATAGTGCCGCAATAAACATACGTGTGCATGTGTCTTGGATGCTGTTTAAATATTGAATGAGCCCTTTTAGCTAGAAAGGATGCTTTAAAATTGAAAGAGACGTTCATCTGAAAGGTAATAAAGAATGAGTTTTATTTGTGCAAGTATGATTCTTGATATGAATTACAGGAAACTATTATGTTGTTCTGTCTTAGATATTTCATGTTATCCTAGACCTATAATAGCAAATACAAGTAAATGCTAAGAGCATATTAAGGCTTTTTAGTTTAAAATGAAACATTAAAAACCTAAGTGCACTAGTGAAGCTTCTCGCTGGACATGTGATCCTTTACCTCCTGTTACGCACAATGGTAAGATGATCCATACAGGTTTTATACATATTTCTCAGGCTTGGATTTTTTTCTCAACATCATTTCTATCATAAGGAAAATATCTTTCCTGTAATTCACTACTCTTTGGTATTGTTACTGGATTTTTTTGTCTTGGTATTCATATATTATATGTCATTTGATTCATATAGTATTCATATATTATATGTCATTTCTTTGGTAGCTATCTCTTTCCTTTACTTCCTAAGACTACTTTTAGCTTTTTCTTGAGTGATTGTACTCTTTAAAGAAATGTACAGGAAGCCAGTATATTATAGAGAGAACTCTCCCAGTCTAAAGTTATAACATTATATGCAGTCTAAATATGACACAGAAACATGACACATAGAGTAAACCCAGCTGCCAGTTTCAAGCAAGAACAAAGCATGCAGCTTATGAATTTATGGCTATCATCTTTGACCCTGAATTGATTGAGAAGTTTACCATAATTAATCTTCACCCATGACCAGCGTAGTTCTCTATGAAGTTGCATGTATATAATTGGGACAGAGATGTGGCTGTTCTGCAACTCACAGAGAAACTAACTACTTTGCTCCCTGATGAGAAGCCAATTTATGATGGTTTAGAAGTTGACCCATCTGTGTGACTATCTAAATCCATGTCACTAAACTAAAGTTTAGATCTCTTTTCGGTTTTCCAGCTTTAATATTCTGGCCCAAGTAAAGAAAACAATAAGTTTCCCTTTATTCATTTCACTTTCAGAAAAGTGTTTGTACCCCCTGTCATGAAATAAAGAGTATTGTTGAACAATGTTATTTTAGATATGGGGTGGCCAAGCGTGCAGAAATTGAGGAAGAAAAGAATATTTTAAAAAAATTTATGTAAAGTATTTGACTTTGGATACAAAAAAGAAAGGCTTACTAAGCATTACATGTGTAGGAATAGCAAAGATTCCTATAACAAAGAAGTTAATGAACTTTTAAACAAAATAAACTTTCGCTTAGTAAGGGAAGGAGAGGCAAATTATAGTCATCTAACAATATCATCTGCTCCTGTTTCCTTAACGAAGACTTTTTTTTCCAGTTTAGCATTGTACTCAATTAAAACGCTCACCTTGTTAACATTTTTAAAGCCAGGTATAGTCATATGATCTAGTTCTGGTCAACGGGATATCGTTAGATGTCATTCGGTGGGTGTTCTTACAAAGCTTTTAAAAGGAGAAAGAATTGGCTGGAATCTGCTTTTTGCTTTTTGCCCTTGGCCTCTCCCCTTTCTCCTGTGTGGATGCAATGGCTGGAGACAGAACGGCCACATTGTGAACATGAGGATTAAAGCCAAACTCCACAGAGGGTGGAATTGAAAGTAAAAAGACTTTGTGAGGATATAGTGAAGCTCCCATATCAGGTCTTACCTATTTCCTCTGTCTCTTTTTATTAGGAGAAAAAAAAAATCCTGTTTAGTTAAGTCGTTACTGTGCAGCTGACAAAATCTCAATTGATACAACCAGCTTCTATTAGTAATTTTTTTCATGTAATGACATGTTGAAAACATTGTATTGTTTTCATAAGCGCTGCAAGTTAGAATTACTCTTGATAAAGGAAACTCAAAGTAAAAATAGAACAGTCTAAAGTGGGCCCTGACAGTGCACTTGAGTGTTTTATCAAACCAGCAAGCAAGGGTAGCTTGGTCTACTCAAGCCTCTGGCTTGAGCAACACTTCTTGTGGAAGATTTGTGGAGGACTCTTAGATGCCATGTGTGCTTTTCCAACTTAAATGATTTCATGATATTTAGCACAATTTCAGTGGGATATTGCTGAGAAAATAACAGAAAGTACTATTTATCCAAATTTATTTCTGTGCCTATGCATTCTATATGCACTGTGATTTAAATTACCCTATAGATGTTGAAATTTTCATTATGCTTATACTTCAAAGATGGAAATAAAATAAGAGTAAAACAAAAGAAAGCAGAATGTATTTTTTGAGAGCAAAAACTTTTCAAATTGCCCATGACCATAATTTTAGGGAAAACAACAAAAATTAATAATTACTCAAGAACCATATAATGAAGTAAACATTGTAGTTCAAACTCTGATTTTACACCAGATAATATAGTAAGAGAAATGCATAATCTTTATGTACCTGGTCTTTTTATTAGGAGCCCAACTCCTAAACTAGTATCTTCATAAGAAATTCACCATTATATCCTGAAATTGAAAAGAAACACACCGTGAAGTATATTTGCTAATATTATACAGGAAATATCAAAAAGTAAACTGTCTTTATATGAAAAGGCTGACATTCTTTCTGATATTTAAGAAAGAGTAAGGTGTACAAAGTGAAAGCCTGCTACTTTTAAAAACCTGAAGTGTTAGATTTATTACTCCTTGTGCATAGATGTTTGAAATCATTCTTTGTTCCTTGCTAAAAATAAACATTATCTTTTAAAGTCTTGGAGTGATTTAAATGAGTAAATGTATAAAAAATAAGTTTTATGCCATGATAAACACACTATATATAAACTTAAGAAAGTGAATATTGGCCAGGTGCAGTGACTCACGCTTGTAATCTTAACACTTTGGGAGGCCAAGGTGGGAGGATCAGTTGGATCCAGGAGTTTGAGACCAGCCTGGTCAACATGGTGAAACCCATCTCTACAAATAATACTAAAATTAGCTGGATGGGTTGAGGCTCCTGCGTAGTCCCAGCTCCTCGGGAAGCTGAGGTGGGAGGATCACTTGGGTCTGGGATGTTGAGGCTGCTGTGAGCTGTGATTCCATTTCTGCACTCCAGCCTGGGTTACAGACCTGGGTTAAGACCTTCTCTTAAAAAAAAGTGAATATTATAGACACCTGATTTTATTGATCATAGGGATCATGATGGTAATTGGTTGCTTAGTTTACTGTAAACAGTATTTTATTAACTTAAAGTCCTAAGGCCTAGTAATCACTAATCAGCCGTGTTAGCTTAGGTAAGGTGAATAACCTCTCTAGATTTGAATTGTCTTATTTATAAGGGGAAAAATATGAAGTATTCTTCAATCTCTATTAATTCATGAATACATGTGTGTAATATGTTGCTTTGAGCATATTCTACATCGAAAATTTGCAGATGTTACCCAAGAGGCACAGGGCAAAGAAACTTTTAGAAACACAGTTTTTAGGATCTGATCCTAGTCCTTGAAATAGTATGTCCTAGTTCTTATTGTTTCTTGTCTTTGAGTGGCTGCTGTTCCTGAGATTTAGTATGTAGCCAGAGTGAGGAAGCGTCCTTCCAACCACCGCCAAACTTCCTCATCTTTTGCAAGAGGGCTGCTTCTGAGGTCGTTCAACAGAAACTGTTACGCCAGTCACTCACTTGTGTATGCTGATTCTTGCTTGTCCTTCTGGGAGCTAGTCTTGGGGCAGGTCAGGCGACATACACTGGGTACCTTCATTTCCTTTATTTCGATGTTTCTTTTTTACAGCCTGCCATCTGAATAGAAATTACACTAAATGATATCCTTGACCTTGTCTGGTAAATGTGTTTGGAATTTGTGAATTGCTTCATTTTGATCAAATGATCTAAGTAGATGAGGAAATAATACAGCAGGTAGCACTCGATAAAATTTATATAGCTTCTTCCCCTTTTGTCTCACCTGCCAGCTAACAAAGTATACACACACACACAGGCACACACACACACATGCACACACAGAGGGAATCAGTATCACATTGAATTTATGGTCTTACTCCTTGGCCTCATCTTGAACCTCTAGCACAGTGGCTTTTTGCAATTCATCAGAAGAGAAACTATAAGAAATTAATGAATGAATTGGCCTCATATATCACTACCAAAAGAAAACAATTCAAACATTAAGATGTTTAACACACTTTAAACCACCACGTTTATTCTCTTATCTAAAGGATATCGTAACAGAATCTTCATAAAGTTTTTAAGCATTATTAAAGATGACAACAAGAACAGGTAGTTCTAATTTTGCATCGTGTTTTGAATGGATTCTGCTCCTAGTTTCCAGGACTCTGAAGGCATCTAGGTAACTGAGATAATGTTCTGCACATGATCCTTCTCTTATGCTTGGTGCATATGCTTGTAAAAAGCCTGTTTGTCAAAAAAAATCAATTAATCTTAACTGTACAAATATTTGCTTAATAAGACTCCTTAGGGAGCCAATATTAATCAAAGGCTCAGAATGATCTGTAATTAGCACTTTAATTGTACATGTATTAGTGGATGTTTTGAAAGTGCTTAAGAGTTTTTTTTTTAAATGTTTTATTTCTTATTTTATTTAAAATATTTTATCCAACACTCTCTTTAAATTTCTTAATCTGGGACATCCTTGACTTTTACTTAAACTATGGTCCTAACCAAGCCTCCACTTAAACCTTGGTCACAGAAAGCTCAGGCAGTAACTTTTATATAACATCAATCAAAGCAGGCCTGTTGTCAGATTAAAACTCTCCAAAGCTTTTCCACAGACTAAAATAAAATTCAAATTTTCATCCCTGCTTACATTTACTGAGTCAATTCTTACCACTGCCTCCGTCACATTATATGTTCCAGCTATGCCAGCTTTCTTCATGCCTGAAGACTTGTCTCTCCTAGGGGCTTTGCATTTTCCGTGTCCTCTGCCAAGAACACCTCTCAGAGACTCCCTCTTGTCTTTTCTATTTCAATTTAACTGACACTCCAGGAATACCTTCCCTGACTCCTGAATCCAAAATATGACCCAATTCAACTAGTAACTCTCACAGTTTTTCTCTATTTCTACTCTTTTTTCAGCATTTGTTGCAATCTGAAATATTCTTTATTCTTTTTTGTTGATTTTTTGAGTTCTTTATGATGTGTCTGTCATTAGATGTGAGCTTCATGAAAGCAAGCACTTCTTGTTCAAAGCTGTATTCCTAAAACCTAGAATAACGCCTGTCAAATAATAGGTACTCAATATATACTAGTTAAACTGAAAAGTACAGGTTATGTAGAATCCTTTCTTCATCTCACATTTTTGACTTAACTTGGCTGTAATTCATGAGATTAAAAAAAATATACCTGGACTAGTATTATTTGTTTTATTATTCTTGTTATAGTGAGAAGTTTTATTCCTAGGAAATATCTGATTTTTCACATAAAACCTTTTGTTCATTTCACTGAAAACTTTGGAAGAAATGAAGGAACAATAGTGACTATTCTGAGACCTGCACAGTAACTCTTTTCCTTGAGAATTTCAAAACTTCATGTAGGCTGCTGATCTTAATAATACTTTTCTTCTTTTACAATATCTTTTTTAAAGAAATAGTATGTTAGAAATTCTACTAGGGAGGGCAACCTACGGTGTAAACTGCCATTAGTTTGCATCTCATCTGATTCTAAAGACTCTCTACCTGTTTTCCTATAAATTCGCTTGGATTTATCTTTGCCCCCAACTTATCTGGTGTTCTGTTGTCTACCTGAATGCCACTCTGTTTTCTTTGTGAACTCAAGTCTAAGAGAGATTAAAGTAAGGCCAGCTGAGTGATTTTCTAATAAGAAGCCACACTTTATTCTAATTTTTTCAGAGTTGAAGCAAATCACAGAGTCTAAAGTGAGAAGAGAGAGAGCCTGTGGTGTGGCTTCTTGTGAATGGTAGTATCACCTGTATCTGTACTCCAAAGTAAATGTGTCTTGTGCCCAATGGTATTTTCTGACAGCCCATAGAAGAGGATACCTTATTCTTTATGGGCTTCATTTTATTTTGATCTGATAAAAAATACGATTCCTGTACAGGTAGATGATCCCTGTTCATAGTAAACTGTAAAGAAAAATACTTGTCCTCTTTCCTCTGAGCCTTTAATATGGTAACAATCATGTTTTGAAATTCTGTAAGAGATATGATGTAAGCTAATTGAGATTCAATTACCACATCACATGCTTTTCGCTATGCAGAGGCTAACTGGGGATCTGTCTATTAGAAATTACTCATAGCCGGGTGAGAGCTAGATGAATAGCAATTTAGACCTTGAAAGACATGCAAGACTATAAATGGAAATAAAAGTGATGCTAATGGAAGATCACCCAAGAACTTTTCAGAATTCCCTATTGAGAAATGCTGATTTTCATATTTGACATTAGGGCTTATGATAATGACAAGACCTCAAGATTGAGTACAATTAGATCCATAAAATGTATTGCAAATATCTTGAAAACTATCTATTAAATTGAATCTTTGAGCTGGATTTGTCTCATTTTCTTATAATGATTCACAACATGAGAAATTGGAATTTACTTTTCTTTGTTATTAACGACCAACATAAATCCACATTATGTATCTAATTATTCAGAAGAGCCAAAGTGTTCTTTTCAAAACCAAAGACAAAATGTCACTCTTCTGCTCAAAACATGGTGATGGCTTATATTCCCGAGAATCAGTCTCAAAGTTCTCACCATGGCCTTCTAGGTCTCTGCCCTCATCACCTTCCTCTCCCTTGGTTCATCTGTTGAGGTAGCTGGGTCTCATGGATGTGCTGTGAGGCCTCCCCATTTCTCAGCCCTTTGCATATCCTACTTTCTTAGTAAGAAAATAGAATGTCATTGTTCCTTACTATTTCCTTAGTAGAGAATGTCTGTCTACATGGCTAATTCGCTCATTTCACTCTGCTCTTCCCAACAGTCTCCTTTTCAGAGAGATTTTCCCTGATTAAACCATTTAAGGTGGAATACTCCTCTTCCTAGAACCATCATACCAATACCCTTTACCCTGCTCTAATATCCTTCTTAGCACTTGCAACCAGGCACACTGCATTTCATTTATTTATCTCTACTCTATATTTTCACCATTAAAGGATAAGTTTCCCAAGGTTAAATACTTCAGATTTTTTTTATGACTCTGTCTCTGATACATATTAGGCATTTAACAAGTATCTGTCCACTGAATAAAGGATTTATGAGCCTTTGCTTTTGGGCTTCATCTAACTAAATCAGTTAATTGTGAATTCACTACTGAAAAAGAACAGAGTAAGAATTCTTATATAAATTAGTAGAGACTAGCCTTCCTCTTCTAGTAATGCTATTGTTAAAATTGCTTACATAAGATTAAATTTTAAAAATCTTTATAGTATGTAATCCTTTGAAATTCAAGATATTTCTTTACTGTGTAGAAAGCACATATTATGAAAAGTTTCTGTTTTCTCAGATATTTATAGTAAACCATACACCAAAAAGATTATTCTATGTATGATCACTTACACAAAAATATCTCTTCAAATGTAGTTATCATTAATTAGTTTTTATTAAGCAGAGAAATAATAATTAATAAAAGGGCAATTCAGCCCAAGATTGCTTTATATAGCATTATTTTTCAGCATTTTTTCATT
Organism: Homo sapiens; assembly: GCF_000001405.40. NCBI lineage: Eukaryota > Metazoa > Chordata > Mammalia > Primates > Hominidae > Homo > Homo sapiens. The sequence continues at coordinate 76,366,892 of NC_000003.12, forward strand.
GCATTCCAAGCAATAAAAATTATAACCAAAAGCATATTTTGTTTTAAACTATAATAGAATAAAATAATAGCATTGCCCATAATACTGTTAGCCAAATTAGTGTGCACTCAATATAGAATGTAAGCAGAAATAATGTCATAAGCAATTTTATATGAATTTCATTTTTAAGAAACTTTTAATTTCCTAAACTTGTTCCTTTTAATGTCAAAATAACTGCCTTTTATCTTAGAAGATGATTGCACAGAGATTATTTGCTTTAAATTTATTATATCATGTGGAATAATCAATTTACCTGCCACTAGTTAAAATTCCTAATATCATCTGATCTAACATTCTGAACAATTGTAGAAAGAGACTTTCTCATTTACCCATTTGTCCCCCTCTCTATTGAGAGATGTTTACAAAACTCATGCCTGTAGTTATATACACAAATTTTCATCCTCAGTGTAATAAGGAGATGAGGAAAACTTGAAAATGAAGATACAGACTCTATTTTTTTTTCTTAATGGCTTTTCCCTAAAAGAATTCATGTCAGCAGCAGGATGAGTCCTAGCACATTGCGGGATACTAGAGATAACCCTGACTCGATGGGAAAAATTCCATTTACTGCATCACAACTTCCTGTGGTTTGTGCCCAAATTTACCACAGTGAAATGCTCACACTCAATGTTATTTAAGTCATAAAACAATTTGTTATTATAGTCTGCAGGAAACTACACAAAAATGAAGGAAAATGGACCATGTGGAGCTTTTTATACCATTTACATTGTTCAAGTGGCCCCAATTTCCATGAGAAAAAAAATGCCTAAATAATCTACTTTGAAAATAAAGCCTCTTACCCAGATATTTTCTTTTTCAAAATGAGTACTGTGAGAAGCAGCAGCATTATTTAGAAGATGTAACCAGGTTTCGTGATAATTTTGTGCAATATGAGATTATTAATTCATTTCCACAAGTCTTTTTGAAGTATGTGTTATCAACAAGGAAATATTTATCAATACACAGTGATATATATTTATTATTATTTATATTTATAAAGAAACATTACTTAAAAGTATAGACGTGCCTTAAAAAACATTAATGTTCTAATCATTATTCATTTTCTTTGGTGTCAAACCTAAATATGGTAAATATTGCATTTTTAATGTTTAAAATAAAATAGTCATATATTACTATTGAATGAAACAAAATCAAATACTGAAAAATTCTATCATTTTTTTTCCTTAGGTGTCATATCAATAAAAAGGTAAGGTGTATAATTACCAATAAAATAGTTGAGGGGTGAATAGGAAATGCTTTCTGTACCTGTTTACAACATGTATATTTAATTAGTTAATCTGAGTCATGAGTGAATATGTGAAATAGAATAGTCAGTATTTTTTATAATATATGTTCCATTACTTACTGCTGCCCAACAAATTACCCCAAAACTTAGCAGCTTAAAACAAAAACTATTTATCATAGTTCATGATTTTGTGGGTAAGGATTCAGCTGGGTGATTTTTTTTACTCTATATGTCATTGACCAAGGCCAGCAATTGTTGTTCAGCAGCCTCAAGAAATAATACAGAAGGTTGAAGCAGCTTTACTCACAAACTTAATGCCTTGGCTGAGATGGCTGGAAGGCAGGGCTCAGCTGGGACTGTTGACCACAGTATTTACACCTGACCATCTCAGCATGATCCTGTCAGAGCATTTAGACATCTCACATGGCAGCAAAAAGCTCCCAGACTGACCGTTTCAAGAGATGGGAAATGGAAGCTGCCTATTTCTTAAGACCTGGACCCAGAAAATAGCACGATTTCTCTTTTGCCATTTTCTACTGGTCTAAGAGTAGAATATACATTCCTTGTATCAGGACGTGGGATCTATGTTCCCCTCCCTTGAATCAGAGCCCACTCAGAATCTGAATGTATAGCAGGAATTCCAATTGAGACTAAAGATACCTTGCGATGTAGAGGAGTATATTTTGCTATGAGAAAACATCCTCTCTCTTTGACGTTAAGACCTTACTTCACCAGTTTTATTCCCTTCCCCAATGTACTGTAGAAAATGTTAGTCTACTTGTGAACAAAAATGGAAACAAAACAAACTCTCACAATAAAAGAACCTTCCCTTGACTCCGTAGGACTCTTTTATTACATATTTTTTTTCTGTTCCATTCACCTTCAAACTTCTCACTAGAGTACTATGTAAGCAGTGTCTCCACGCCTGCTACTCTATCCATGGCAATGTGGCTTCTTTCCCAGGTGTTTTTGCAGAAATGCCTCTCTTTTCAGCAACGGCTTTGTAATTCTGAACACAATGAACCTTCATTGGTCAGGTATTAACAGCCTTCTCTGATGCCTTTGACACTGTTGATCCCTCCTTATATCTGGAAATCATTCATTGGCCTTCCGAGTTGTCACAATCTCCTGGTTCCCCGGTTTCCACGCTCTCTTCTCTGGAGACTCCTCTTGCTTTGTCTGTAGATAATTAGCTTTCTTCAGAGTTCTGCCACTAGGGTCTGCTATTTTCATTCTGCAATATCTCCTTGGGTGATGTCATCTTTGTTCACACTTATAAATAACCCCTTTATGCTGATGACTTGCATAGTTAGATCTCTTTCTCAGAATTCCTAGCAGAACCTCAGATCTAACGTCCAAATGCCAAATGCCAGCTATATATCTCTGAGTAGATAGATGCTTCAAATTTGACCTAACCTGGATCGTTCTCTCACATTTATTGTATCTTTTCGGCAACATCAGCGTTCATTAGGTCAGTCATGTTCTAAAACTGGGCTCTATCTTTGGTTTGTCTCTCTCCTTGTCCTTTTGCAACTCTCCAGCTACTTATACCCCTTAAATAACAAAGTCCTGTTGATATACATACTAAATATTTCCTGGGTTTTAAAACTCTCCTCTCATTTCCTACTAACACTGCTCTGATTTGTTTAATATTATCTTTTGAAAGAAGTATTACAACTGCCTCTTACTTGTTTCTCTACCTAGACTTGTGTCCACTCACATACCAGAAAGAACTCTGAACACGTGACAGTAACACCACTATGCTTCACAACTTTCAATGTCTCTCCATTGCCAAGAACAATATTTTTAAAACTGCAGATAGACACTCATTAATAAATTATACAATTAGTTTAGTAGATCTCGATGAGTGTTTTTAATGAAATAGAACATGCTATGTAGAATATTACAGAGAGCTTTGCATTTAGTAAAAGTCAGATATGATCCAACTGGTTCAGGTGTGTGTGTATACCTACTGGGTAGCAATAAATTTTTCTTTTTTTTTGGTTCCAGACCAGTGGAAACTTTGCATTCCCTGGGGCATGCAAGATAATGCATTGTGGGCCAAAAAGATGATTTAGAAATTCTATTTATTTTCTCTAAAATGGTAAGGAATAATTTGAGCTTTTCTTGTATTCAATATGCAGATGGGAATTGGTGTGATTTCTTGCTCAATATGTCAGTTCAATTCACATGACTCGAAAGAATTTGCATTATCAAGAAGAAAGAATAAATGCTTCACAGAGGGAAATTTGAACATAATGTCCTCATTTATTAAATCTCTTTCAGTGTATGGTAGTTTATCTTTACCTGCTTAACTAAATTAGTGGATTATATTATTAGAATTTTCCATCAACTAACCATCACAAATAACCCCATGGCCTAGAAAGTACATACAAAGAAACCACAGAGTCAAGACTTTTCTATAAGAAAATAAGGGAATATTGGAGCTGACATTTCTTGTCCTGCCAGGAGCTCTTCATTTGTCACAATTAACAATTAAAAATTATTACAATACTAAATCAAAATGATCAAAATAATTGCACCAAAGGCATACTTTTCTAGGGCAGCAACAAAAATAAAATGAGGTAATTCAATTGATTTTGTATGAAGGTCCATACTAATTACATGTAACTGCTTCAATGCATCTTCAAGAATCTACTAGACAAAAATTTCTCTAGTGTTTATTCTAGCCAGGCACTAGGCCAGGTGCGGACTCATATGTCATTTCCTTCCCAAGTCTTCTTTCTGCTAGGTTGAGTTTCATTCCTCCCCCAGCATCCCCATGATAACCTATGTACCCTTCTCTCATTGCACTCACCCTAGAAAAGGATGCCTCCCCCATGAGTAGTTACATAATTAGACTCATAGTCCCTGCATCCTGGACATTTTCTGGCAGAGGGCTGACACACAAGTGAATCCAAGTATGTGAGTGTGTGTGTTCGTGTATGTGTATACATTTATGAAACTAGTCTAGGAAGTGCTTTCGTTTACTCTTTAATCTGAGCACAAGGGTTAGAAGTGCAAGAAGAAGTTTGCTTCATTAAAATAAAGATGATTTATTCCTATCTGTAACCTTCTTTGGGTATCATGTGTTTATTCATGAATATTCTGTGCACATAAAAATATCTTAATCAGAGGAAAGTGAAAGGGTATTTACAATCTGTTATGTACATAATTGTATATGAGTCTTTGCACATACTGTATTGACTGCACATTTGCTGATGTGAGAAAAAGCAAAACAAGAAACTTAAAGATTAGCTGCATATCAAATGTTTACTATAGTATTTGCACATTGAATAAAGTGAAAGGGTATTTACAATCTGTTATATACGTAATTGTATATGAGTCTTTGCACATACTGTATTGACTGCACATTTGCTGATGTGAGAAAAAGCAAAACAAGAAACTTAAAGATTAGCTGCATATCAAATGTTTACTCTAGTATTTGAATGAGACATATTTTCAAGTTGATATTTTCAAACTGTGACTGCTATAGATTTTGTATAACATCAACATCACTTAAAAAATGTATAGGTTTACATCATTACTTCTGGCTCCTGGCAATTATTTGACCATATCAACTTGTTTCACTTCTAGAAACCAGAATGGTTACTATAATATTAAATTTACTAAGGAATTCACATTGCATGTATCACACCACGAAGATTCCCTTAGGTTTTCCATAATATCAGTACATAAGCCAGCACTAAAGAATAAAGCAATAAAAATATAAACTATATCTAATGGAATGTCTTTTATAAGAGATTACTTAGAAGAAATTATGGTTAAAAGAGTGTTCCCCTACTTGATCTACAAGAAGAGCCACTTGATTGTCAACTGATAACATAGTTAAGTAACTGGCATCAATTTCTTTCTGTTACTATTAGGTTTACGTGTGTTTAATTATAACATGAAAAAAATACATGATGGGTTTTTTTGTACAAATACAATAAAATTGTATATTTCCCTTTTGTTACTTTATACATTAAGAATAATGTTTCCACAACCAGGACTATACATAAGTGTTTATATTTCCTATTTGCATTAAAGAATCTTTATGTGCAGAGTCTAAGAATATTAGTGTCTCATTCTGTACAGAAGCTAAAAATTTTAAAACTTCCTGACTTTCAGACTTGCCTCTCCCAACAGACTATTGCTATCAAGGTTGAACAACATGTACCTAGTACAATCTAGCTGATTTCTACCTTAGGTAGAAATTGATGTGAAATTCTATAAACAATGTTCAACCTAATTGAAATAATTGAGAGGGCTTAACCTTTTGTTTGAAAATAGTTTTTATATGGTAAAATATTTGACGTCTCCAACTCCCAAACTGTACCTTAACCATGGGAACACAATCTTTTCCTAAGTTGCATCTACATCTATAACAGATATCTTCTACTTCGGGTTAGCTGATGAGAATAACTTCAAACATTGAGCATAGAAATTGAATCTTTGTGTAAGCAAGTGAGTCAGAATCCTGTATTTACAGATTGTCAGTCTCTGAGTTGGTCGTCATGGGAGTGGGATGAGACCAATGCTTGCACATGCTTTTATCATTACTGCCCAAATCCAGTGAGACAGACAAGGAAGCCTTTGCTTCTCTAGTACTAACTCCATTAGAACCTCTCACAATGATTAGGACTAGGAAATGCTAACCCTTCCCCAGCCTCACCAAACATGCATCCTGAGGCTCTTCCAGAACCAGATCAAACACTTGACCACAAATGGGGAATATGGAGATCTTCCCTGAAGAATAATGAGATTTTCCTTGGACATTATTGGTTGAAAGTGAAGGCAAGGAAGAATAAGCGAATTAAATCCAGTTCCATATGTGAGCATCAGCATGAGTTCACTTTCCCCACCAAAGAAAACTGTTTCTAATTTTCTTTCTAAATAATTAAGAAATAAGAGCATCTAGTCAAGGGAAACAGTTTCATTCCATGGAACTAGAGAATCTAAGTCAAATTGGAATAAATAATTCCATTGGCATGGCCTTGATTTTGTACTTTTTGTAATACTAGAAACCTGCATTATGGTTTTGAATAAAAGTTGGCTTTTTCCTCTCCCTGCCTGATTGTAAAGAGCTCTGCTTTTTCTAACCAGGAAGAGTAGAATGTGATGTAATTTTTGTTTAATTCTTTTATTTAGTAATTGAGAAAGGAAGAGGGTTAGTTCAGCACACTGCATTTAAACAGAATATCAGTTTGGCTATTTTGACTTTATAGAAGTCTGTAAATAAGAAGTCATTTATATGTGCATAATTTGGATGGACAGTTTCATGGACACTCTTGGATGGAGCACTTGGATGGCCCATAGAACACTCTGTTTGTCCCTATCATAGTACGTATTGTATTGTGTTAAGATGCTTATTTGCTTAAATGTGTCTCCCAAAAGGTGGTGATGACTTTGAAGCCAGCGACTATGACTTGTTCACTTCTGTATTTCCAGTTCTTAATACAATGGCTTACATACCATAAATAAATTGGTGCTCAACAGTATAGTCATTGAATGTAAAAATGAAGATTGCATCAGCTGGTTTATGACATGTAACAAACCACCCACAAAGTTGGTGCTTAAAACTAATCGTTATCATTGTTCATGAGTCTGTTGGTCATGTGAGCATTTCTGCTGATCTTGTCAGACTAAGCTGATCGTTGCTGGGCTCACTCGTGCTTCTGTGGTCAGTAATGGACTTGGTCATGGGCCATGATATCTGAAATGGTCTTATTGTCACAGCTGATGTTTCTCTCTCTACTAGCCTGGCTAATGAAGGTGGCTATACCATGTCTCTCATCATCCAACAGTCTAGGGAGAGTTTGTTCACATGGCAGCAGATGGTAGGAGTTCCAAGAACTTAATAAAAATTGCAAGTCCTCTTGAAGCCTAGATTCAGAGGGGCAATTACATTTTTGACTCATTTCTTTTATCAAAGCCAGTCTGAAGACAAACTTGTATTCAATATATGGAAAAAACGAGTCCCCCCTCCCATGTTTTCATGGAAGGAGCTATGAATTATGGTGGTCATGTTTGAAATTCACTACAAATGATAAAGCATCCAGAATGTCACAAGAGACTAAGCTACAGTGAAATCTGAAATCTCCTCTCTGTGACATTAGCAACATCGTTAATATCTTAATCCTTTTTCTGCCTGGGATCTGAATCCCTTTCAAAAACCCACATTTATTTAGGTCAAATAATTAAAATGAAGGCAACTAACTTAAATGAAATCACTTACAATTTTATTTTAGACAGCCATAATAAACACAAGTAGATAAACACAATAACAGTTTAATGAAAAATAGCCGTGTTCTCTAAACAAAAAATAGTAAGAATAGCAGTAGTGGTTCATATTTTTACACATCTCTTTATATAAGGTTTAATTTTAAAAGTAGTTGGATTATCAGAGAAAAAAACTCCCCTTACATGCTAGTTATTAGCTTTACGCCTTGTAAATGTTTTTCTTTCTGTGAATTGTCCAACCCCTTAGCCTCTGTCTACCTGGGGAAACTAGACAGAATTGAAAATTTAAGCAAAAATTCTACTCTGGTTATAGAAAGCTGTTTTGAGAATGACTGGCAATTTCAGTGGCCTGCTGCAAGTGGTTTATTTTAGTTTTATTTTATGTCTTGATTCCACTCAGCCTTAAGAAGACCATAGCTTGGATAATAATAGTTCATTTCTGAAATGGGCTCAACAAAAGAAAGCATTCACCATACTTTTAGCATTCTTTTATCAGTGTGACTATCGTACGCTTTCTTCTTCTTTTTTTTTTTTTTCAGATGGTCTATAGCACTGTAGCATAAAGTATTATAAGAACCCCTCCAGAGTTCACGGGCATCATTAGATGGAATCACTGAGTTAGATGATATCTATAAAGAGATATTGAGGATGTCATTAAAATAAACATTAAGCATTGTGAGGTAGAACATGAAATTCTCTATAAAGGAGTTTTCAGAATTAGATTTCAGTAAAACTGTGAGACTGAAGAAATGTTGTCTTGGCAACCTATGAGTTACCTTAAATTTGGCATCCTAATTTGTGTTAGAAAGTTTTCTGTATTCACTAAATCCTCACTGATAATGTTTGGGTAGTTTTTGTAGTCAATGTTCAAGGATAGGACTATTTCAAAACCAGGAAAAATGGCTTTAAGCAAAGGCAAATAGATAAGGGTGGCAAACTTCGTATCACACTGTGGAGGTCACTAACTACTCAAATAATCTTGAGTACTTCCACGCATGCAGTCATGTATTCATCTAATAAACATTTATTGAGCACCTTCTATATATGAAGCCCTGAGGCAATTATAAAGAAGAATGAGGTGCATCCTTATCCTCAATAATTATACTGCCTGGAAAAGAAAGCCTACAGCTAAGTTGTTGATGAAATATGAAGTAGAAATGAATATAAAGTGCTCAGGTAGCATACAAGGAAAGCAACTAAATATTATCAGGAGAGCTACTGGTGAATTAATGAGGCACTTACATAACATAGAAGATAGATTAAAAAAAACTAGTTGCAAGTAAAGTAGAATTCAAGCAGTGTGAATGGCACAAACCAAAGCAAAAAACTAGAAAGTAATTTAGTCTCTTTGAGAAATTTTTCTAAAGCATAAGTCATATTGTTTTGGGGGAAGATAAGAGTAGAGTTAGGTAAAATATCATAAAGTCAGAATTGCTAGTGTTCAAATTATTGATTCATGTGCAAACATTTTTATCTAGTGTAGCACATGCTCTGATCCTTCTAAGTCATATTTGAATCATTTATCTTCTATGCCCTTCATAGGTACTTGGATTCTGTTACTTTTCATATTGCATTGCACTGTTTCGTAATATCTGTATTTTTACTTTAATCCTGAGAAGAAGACTGTGTCTTATATTTCTATCTCCTTCATGTGGAAGAATGCAAAGTACTTATCATATTTGTTGAATGCTTTTCTATCTTCCTAAAATCTTAATTCTTCCTATTCTTGGTCTTAAAATAGTTATCTACTTTCTTAATGAGCCTACTTTATTGTTCCAAGCTAGTAACACCAACTGATAACTTTGAACTGAAACAAATAATTCACTTAGGTCTAAATTGGTTTCCCAGTCCCAGTGGATTCAGCAAAAACACTGAGGCTTAGAAATGTACACCAGTGGCCAAGCATCTTCACACAATGTCATTTGTACCAGGGTTTGTCCAAATATAGAGAACCACACAGTCAAAGAAACCATGGATTTTACCCAAGTCATCTATTTGAACAAATTTGTTTGTGTCTCCTGTTCTTTTATTATCCCCATGTATGCTTTTAATCAGCTAGATGTAGAGTAGTACACAGTCTTTGCTTCCAGCTTTTAAAGACGTGTGAAAATCCAAGAATCAGTGGTGATCCATTATCTAGCAATATTACTGAGCAAATATGAGCTCACTGCCCACAACAGATAGAAACCAATACTCTAGCAATGGCTTTTGTGAAAAGAAAGTCTTTATTTTGCCAGGCTGGCCAGCAAGGGCACAGGTGATGCAACTCAAATCTGTCTTACTAATTTGGGGTCTGGGGAAAGTTTTAAGGGGCCAGAGGACAAGGGAAAGGATTAAGAAATGTTGATTTGGCAGAGTCTAATTGAAGGTCTTCAAATTTGACCATTTATGGTAAGCCATGTTGAGGAGGATTTTAGCTCCTGATCTTTTGGGCCAGTGGACCCCTGGCTTTTGAAACGGTTCCAGGGTTTAGGTTCTGGTTGTATCCTGGTCTTCTTGGTTCCACAGGGAGGAATCATGGGTTCTGGGTGTTGCTAAAGGTCAAAACTTTTTCTGTTGTGCATGCTTGGGCTACATGATTGGCAATTTTGACTCTGTTATTCCTACAAGGTAACTTGGCATTCTGTCATCAACAAAGTAGGCCCGGGTTGGGCTGGTCCTGTTGTTATAGTAAGGATACATCAAATCTGTGAAAATATTCAGAAAATTCAATTTCTTATGGCCATATTCAGAAGATTTATATCTATGGAATTACATGCAAACATATGGTGAAAGAAATAGTCATAAAATAACTCATGAGAGATCTTCTGAATACCTGTTTAAATTGAAAATGAAATCCATAATATTGACATAAAACAAGGTCCTATGCCTGCATTGCACTGTTAATAGGATAGCCCCATGAGTGATTTAAGGCATATTTAGATATCATGCTTCAGGCATTGTTGCCTTTTATTGACAAAAGAGATTGCACGATGGTTGTTTTTGAGAAGTTATTGCTTTCTGTGCAAGAGTCCTGCACACAGAAAAAAAGTATTGGGCTTCTGAAACTGTGAAATTGCTACTGAATATTACCTGAGGAAAACTGAAGTGATGTGCAGAGTTGTGATACTGTAGGCATTCTCCCAGTTGTTCATTTTATCCCTGCTAATCTCCTTGCTTCCAGCTTTCTTTGAAGTTATTTTTATTTTCTCCTCTTTACACTTCAGCGAATGCTCTCCCTATGTGAGAAAAACTGAAGACCAAAGTTCATAGATGTTTACTGTCCTCTTGGCTAACACATGCATGACAGAGTCTTATACTAAAAATACCTAGCAAACTGCTTGTGGGTTTTTTTTCTCTTATGAGTAGAAAGGGTACTAGCTTGTGTATGTATTTTTTCTTAATGAAAATATGCTGCTACTATGACTCCAAGAATCATTGATAACCAAACTTGGTGACATGTTTTCAATTGATTACACTGTCATCAGTATCGGTTTTCTAGGATTGAACTCAGTGGCATGTAATTTGGTTCCTGAACACTAATGCATTGCTAGGAGCACGTGTGTGACTGAGTAGTTGACTTTAACATCACCCTCTGCCACTCCATTTCTGTCAGTGCCTCCTTATTAGAAATATACCTAGAGAAAAGTCACACATTCTGGCAGCTTGCAGTATAATATGAGATGCCTTCTAGGTGTAAAATAAAAATACTAGAAGCACATTTAAATAATTTTTAACTTCCATGTTGTGATTAGATGAATAAACCTTACAAAATGAAAAATAAACCTCTATACTCATTACTTTCCTGCATCTTTCTAAATCCATGTTTCAAAGGAGATCTTTAAATTGACCTCAACAATGGAGACAACTTAGGAAGTAAATCAGTTGCTGAGATGTCAGTTATTTCAAATGTTGTAGGACTTGTTGATGTACAAGGTATAGTAATAATATTAGAGATTTATTGATGTATTTATTTCTTTAAAATGTGTCAACTTACACAAAATGTATAGTGTCACCATTTTAGTAAAAGTTCAAGTATCATCCAGCCATCAATCCTTCTATTTAAGAAACGTTCGACGAGTAGGAGATCAAGTATCATCCCTCCATCAATCCTTTTATTTAAGAAACATTCGAAGAATAGGATATAGCAGCACACTTCACGTGCTCAGGCTTTGGTAGGATGCACAAGAACACAAACAATTACAGTGCAGAGTAGCAAGTTTAGTAAAACAAGTTAGTTCATACAGAATATTTTAGAATCACAGGGAGCAAAGCCTTCAATTCTGCTTACATATGTCCAGTAATTCCTCAGAGATGAGTTCAATCTTCAGCTGGTTCCAAGGAATAAGTAGTACTTTGCCAAACCAGTAAATGGTAGGAGGTATTTCAAAAAACTAGAGACAGAATATGGAAATGCAAGAGTCATGAAATTGCTTGACACGTTTAGGAACCCTCTACGCAGTTGGTTGCTGGAGCAAAAAAATTCGAAAGAACTTGCAGCAAACGCTGCTGAAGAGAACTAAATCATGGCCTCTTTGCTATGCACAGCTGAAAGATTTCTCACTATATTATCTAGGCAATTGTGAGGAGTTATTTATGGTTTCCACCAGAGTAATGAAAGATCATAATATCAGCATTGCTTAGACTGTGCTTAATGATGGAGGGTGGTGGGGACAGAAATAGGAAGCACTGACCATGGAGCAGACATTAACAAATGAAGACATTGTTTTAGTAATACATCAAAGAGATGCTGTAGCTAGAATAAAGGCAGGATAATTTGGAATATTAAAAGAAAAGAAGTAATCGATATTATAAGCCACATACTAGACAGCTTTGAATATGCAACGAGAAATGTCTCAATGTAGTCCTGTAAAATTGTTCAACTGAAAAATATGTATTTAAACAAGAAGTTTATAAATACTTGAAATCTACACTTTTATTTTTTCAATAAAAAATATTTAAAAATATTTTTAACATAAAAAATAGCTTTGTGTTATATAAAAGTGTCTTTCTATGTAGAACAAATTGATCCTGAGTTTTTAAATGAATCTTGAATGTCCTTGTATACATTTCAGTCTCCTTGTTGAAGAGTTCTTGGGCTATGCTTGTAGTGTCTCTGACACATTCACCAAAATGATACCATGAAACGTAAATTAAACCAGCCAATTTGCAATAACCTCTCATTAAAACAATATTTAAGATAAAATTTCTGGTTCAGATAACTTGAAAATTCTGTACTCTTATTTCAAGATAAAATATGCAAAATATATATAATTGCAAGTAGTTTTTTTAAACGTGAACTTTATGACAAAACTTTAAAAAAATGCTTGAAAATCCTTTTCCATAGGTGACTTTGTCATTTATTTTCCATTAAATGTGAATAAGCAACAATATGAAATAGTGCTTTCAACAACCCAGATGAATAGCCTTAGGAGCTAGTAATAACCCGGTCAGCATTACTTCAAGCATTCCTAAGTTTAACTATTCCTGATTTAAAGACAATGATTATTACTAGCTTTTGTCTCATGTGTTTATTTTATTCCTCTTGTTATTTATTTTTCATTTATGTGACTTGCTTGATTCTTATTTCTGGGCTGTGTAGATAGTTGTACCTTGTTTCTTATGTTATAACCAGTATCACTAAAAAAAATCATTGACAGATTTAATGCATATGCCATATCTAGGTGGGCAATACATTTTTGGTGGGTTTTTGGAATACAATGGTTTGTTTCAAATCTAACACCTGTGTGCTTTGAAGTCTAACTCCTTGAAGATATTTAACTATAAATCTAGAGCCATTAAAATACATTTAATGTATTTTAATACATTCACTTGGCTATTTACTTGGCTATAGAAAGATTTGGCACACATTTCCTAATTCATCTAGTCTACAAATATTTATTGATAATGTAATATATGAAAAAGTACTTGCAAAGTACTATAAAAGATGAATAGAGATGAATAAAATTTGGTCTTGATCTCAATGAGCTTCAGAATCTGAAAGGCAAAGTAAGATATACACTTGACCCTCAAACAACCCGAGTTTGAACTATGAGGGTGCACTCACACACTGATTTTCTTCAGTGTCTCCCAGCCCAAGACAGGAGGACCAATTCCTCCTTTTTCACCTCCTCCTTTTTCGCCTCCTCCTTATGGTTTTCCTAATAACATTTTGTTTTCTCTAGGTTTCTTTATTGTACAAATACAGTGTATAATAGATATAACATATAAAATACGTGTTAACTGACTGTTTATGTTATCAGTATGGCTCCTAGTCAACAGAGGGCTATTAGTACTTGAGTTTTGGGAAAGTCAAACGTTATATGTGGATTTTCTACTACACAGGAGGGATGTTTTCCTAACCCCCATGTTGTTCAAGGGTCAACTGTATTCACAAACTATCTCAATATAAGCTAGAAAGTAAGATATATGAAGAAAGGTATGAGATAAAGTATCATTGTTTGGAATAAGTAATGACCATTTCCATCATGATAGAAATAAATGATTTTTTCATTGATCCAGGCAGTATTTTTGATATTCTCCTGCAGGTCAGACAGAATTCTTAGCATAAGAACTACTGTAACACAAAAGTAGAGTCCCAGCTCTGAAAGCATTTACAGCTTACGTGAGCGGACTAAAAAAAAAAAAAAAAAGCAGATAAATAGCACAATTTCAAAGTGTTTGAAAGGATTTAAAAAAACAGACACAGATAGATAGCAACTGGGTGATTGTTGGAAGGGCTTGAACCAAAAGTGCTCTCTTCGGGGGTGTCAATTAAAATTAGCACATTGGAAACTTTTAAGCAAGAGAGTGAAATTATTGTTCATGAAAAAGTTGGTTACTGAGCTCAGCCTAGGGACTCATTTAGACCAAAATAAATCAAGTTAGGGAAAAGGCCAATTTGGAAAGAAGAATATGCATAACAAGAATGTTCACTATTATTATTATTTTATTTTGTTATTATTTTTTTGAGATGGAGTCTCGCTTTGTCTCCCAGGCTGGAGTGCAGTGGCATGATCTCTGCTCACTGCAACCTCCACCTCCCAGTTTAAGCGATTCTCCTGCCTCAGCCTCCTGAGTAGCTGGGACTACAGACACGTGCCACCGCGCCCGGCTTATTTTTTGTATTTTTAATAGAGATGGGGTTTCACCATGTTAGCCAGGGTGATCTCAATCTCCTGACTTCATGATCCACCCACCTCGGCCTCCCAAAGTGCTGGGATTACAGGTGTGAGCCACTGTGCCCCGCCTATTATTATTATGTTGAATATGTAGACTATCATTGCATGCTTACAATGCAATACCATTCTAATCATCCTACAAATATTAAGTCATTTCATTTCACAACAATAAGGCATGTGCTTTTATTATCTTTATTTTGCAGGTAGGAGAATTGAGACAGAGAGAGGTTAAGTATTGCGCCTTATGTGTCACTGCTAATAAGTGGCCAGGTTGGATTCTCAGCCCGGTTTAATGTCAAGCTGGGGAGCCCACTGTCAAGCACAATGCTAGTCTATGTCTCTAATTCATGTATATATAGAATATTTAGACTTTGTCGTTGTTGTTTTTTGTTTTCTATTGTTTTGTTTTGTTTTGTTTTGATAAGGGTCTCACTCAGTTGCCCAGGCTGCAGTGTACTCATGGCTCACTACAACCTCAATGTCCCAGGCTCAAGTGATCCTCCCACCTACCTAGTAGCTGGGACTACAGGTGTGCACCAATATGCCTGGCTAATATTTTCGTATTTTTGGTAGAAACGAGGTTTTGCCACGTTGCTCAGACTGATCTTGAACTCTTAGGTTTAAATGATCTGCCTACCTCGGCCTCTCAAAATTCTGGGATCACAGGCATGAGCCACAGCGCTCGGCCTCGAGACAGTTACAGCATTTTTATTGGTTAAAGCTTCTTGGCTGGGCGCGGTGACTCACGCCTGTAATCCCAGCACTTTGGGAGGCCGAGGCAGGCGGATCACAAGGTCAGGAGATCGAGACCATCCTGGCTAACACGGTGGAACCCCGTCTCTACTAAAAATACAAAATATTATCCGGGCGCGGTGGCGGCGCCTGTAGTCCCAGCTACTCGGGAGGCTGAGGCAGGAGAATGGCGTGAACCCGGGAGGCGGAGCTTGCAGTGAGCCGAGATCGCGCCCCTGCACTCCAGCCTGGGCGACAGAGCGAGACTCCGTCTCAAAAACAAACAAACAAAAAGCTTCTTCAGGAGGCCTAACCTAATACAACCTAATAATCTTCTATGATTGTTCAATCTGTTAAAGAAAGGCAATGAAGTGAATACTTTAGGGAATGTCTACATTGAATAGGAAAGAAAGAACAGCCAGGGAAGGGACAATTACAGAAATAGGAAGAGAACATGGAGAAAATGGGTTTTCAAGGGAAACACTCCTAACTGTAGATGTTACATGACTGAAAAAGGCCAAAGCATCTAATATGCAGCATCCTAGTGACCTTCAAGGGTGGTTCAGCTTCTCTTTGAGACTTAGAGGTTATAAGGAATTAAGGAAATAAAGAGGATTCTGTCAGTGAGATTCAGGCTAAGAAACAGACGAGAAAAAAGATGGTAATAAAGTTAGTTTTAAGGATAGGTAGACTTTAGCATAATTTTAATCTCAGAGACAAATAAAGAAGAGTTTGAATTTGTAAGCCATTGAAAACATTGAACAATTTTTTGAAAGATGTGGGAAGCATGCGATGGAGTAGGCAGGGGAAAGGCTAGTATTGAACAGAAAATAGTGTTCTAAAAATAGAAAAAAAAGAGAATTTTAACATAATTTCAAGGCTCAGATATGTTTTGTCCTCATTCCTTCTAGTATTCAACGTTTGTAATAGATGTTGGAACACAAATTTTGTCTGTTCAACTCTGTTCCCCTTTATAAAACTATGCAATGGATGAATAGAGAATATATTCAGTAGTGACTGTTTAGCAAACAACTCCAGCTTCCAGATGAGATACATAAATCAAAACAGATTAATATTCCCTCTGAAGAATATATTGCTGCTTTTGATACTTGTATATATTGATGCTTATGGTACTGTTAAGAACCCTGAGTTTGCAGTCATGTTATTTTCATTTTTAACAATTTAATTTAGAATTCAAAAACTTTTTATATGTTTTTCCTGATAAATAGTGCTTAAATTACTTGTCAATATTCTGTTCCAAAGAATGCATACAAATTGGATTTTGTTTTTCATTTGATGTGTGTTAAGAGTGGAAAAGATGCATAACTGACGTGCATCTGGCATATCTGATGTGCCGCAACTGCCAACAGTTCAGATAACTTTATGGTGGTCACAGGTCAGTCATAATGAAAAAAAAACAAAAAACAAAAAACAAAGCATACCCAATTCTGTTAGAGTAAATCAAATAACCCCTGACAACAGGAAGTAAATGAGAACAGGTGACCTGAAAAGCAGGATACTTTACTTTGTGAACTCTATGTAAGGTTACATGAGAGACTCTGAATTTTCTATGCGTCAGGGAAATTTCCGTTCAGGGTATTCCCAGAGGATGGAGTGGTTTAAACTTAGACTTCACAGTGGCAGTGTCTGCAGCGGAACTGGCAGATGTCAGAGCATGTGACAAGACAGGCTGGGCAGAAATGCAGAAGAGCGTCCCTGATAAGGCACTGGAAGAGAATGGATTATTTGTGTACAGTTGCAGATTATAAATAAATCTGCCATGTTAATCAAGGGCATATCAACGCTTTCTTTGCCAACCGCACAGTCATTTCAATTGGAGTGAATGAGTTGCACTGATACATTTTTTCTAAGTGGTTTTCTTGTAATTATTACTAAAACTGTCCTTGGCTGCACATAATACAAGAGAAATGTTAATCTATTTCTTGATTTAGCTTTTTAGTATGCTATTTATTCTCAATAAGTAGCTTAGTTCTGGCTTTATAGACAAGAAGCACATACTTGATTTACTGGGTATATGTTAACATTCAGCCATCTAGACCATTTTAGCCAACCCTAAGGACCCTGTTTTGGTCATGAGAATATTTCAAAACAAAAAAGCAGAGAAATAAACAAGGTTAAAGGGTAAGACCTGTGATTGAGAGAAGGGAGTCTGTTAAGCTTTAAAAATCAAAACCGAAATTTTGGTATTAGTGTGTGTGCATGTATTAGTCTGTTCTCATGCTGCTATATAGAACTGCCCAAGACTGGGTAATTTATAAAGGAAAGAGGTTTAACTGACTCACAGTTCCACAGGACTGGGGAGGCCTCAAGAAACTTACAACCATGGCAGAAGGGAGAGCAAACCCATCCTTCCTCACATGGTGGCAGGAAGGGTAAGTACTGAGGAGAGGGGAAAAGCCCCTTATAAAACCATCAGATCTTGTGAGAACTCACTTGCTATCAAGAGAACAGCATGGGGGTACCTGCCTCCATGATTCAATGACCTCCAACCTGATTCCTCCCACGACACGTGAGGATTAGGGGAACTACAATTCAAAATGAGATTTGGGTGGGGACACAGCCAAACCCTACCAGTGCATGAACATCCAATCTCTTTGCAGCAAGGCCAGAGACCATATTTCAGTTCTATATTATTTTGTCCGCAAAGTGTCTTTTGTTTTGTTGTTTTTGAGACAGGATCTTGCTTTGTCTCCCAGATAGGGCCTTGCTTTTAGTGCAGTGGTGCAATTATGGCTCACTGCAGCCTCAACCTTCCAGGCTCAAACTATCCTTCCACCTCAGTCCCCCAAGTAGCTGGGAATACAGGCATGCACCACCATGTCTGGCTAACTTTTGTAATTTTTATAGAGACAGGGCTTCTCCATGTTGCCCAGGCTGGTCTCAAACTCCTGGACTCAAGGCATACACCCACCTTCGTCTTCCATGCTAGGATTACAGGCATGAACCATCACGCCCAGCCTGCCAAGTGTCTTTTAAAAAGTTTAACTAGTTTCAAATATTTAAAAATCATATTTTATATAAAAATAGTTTCTTCAGTTCTCTTATACATCTGACACCTGAAAAACGAACCCATATCTGAGATGGTGCCAATGGGCACCATTGCTATCTAGTTTACAGAAACTGCACAGTCTGTCACCTTATCTACCTGACTCTAGGAAAAGAATTGAAGCAAAGAGATATAGATCAGGTTTTCAACATCCAAGAATTGTGTGACTTGTATGGAAAGCGTACCCGCAAATTAGATATTTGGTTACATGCAAAAATAGAATTTGCATAATCACATAATTATTAAACTCAGGCATTTTTCAAAGGCTCTGAAAATCACACAGTCCACTCATTCTAATATTCATTTTTTTCATACTCTCAAAATGTTATTTTCATTAAGTTTATTTTCCCTTGCTCAGAGTTTGATCTGGATATTTGAATCAATTTCTCTGTGTAGAAAGAGTGGCAAAAAAAAGACTGATTTAAGTGGAGAAATTTAGTTCATTAACATATTTATATCCCTTCTGCAATGTGACTATTCATTTTTCTGTGTTTCTAGATTAGAAACTTCTTGTCATAAAGATATGTCAGTTTCTAAGGCCAACAGAAAATAAGCTATTATCAGCTACATGTGTGAAAGGTGACTAGAAACTGAATGATCTGATACTAATTAATTTGATGATTTAATGAAACAAATTTTGTTTTACCCTTGAGTATCAATCCTAAATGAGTACATCCTTATATTTAAATTGAAATACCAATTTTTAAAGAGTAAAAGCTATAACAACTGAAGTCATATTTAAATATAAATTCATTTGATATATAGTAATATGTATGTTATATTGATTTTAACATACATATTTCTGAGGATGTATTCATGCACATTTAATAAACACATATTTTTAGATTAGTTTCACCTATGCTCAGAAGAACACAGGTTATCTTACCAATGCAAACTAGACCTTTCTTCATATTACTCCTTCCCTTCCTTCCTTCTTTCCTTCCCTCCTTCCCTCCCTCCCTCCCTCCCTCCCTCCCTCCCTTCCTTCCTCCCCTCCTTTCAGAAGTATTTATTGAACACCTACTATATGTCAGGTATTGTTCTAGGGATATAGCAGTGAACAAGACAAGCGGAAGATTCAGCACTCATGAGGGTTGCATTCTTTATTCAATCTATTTCAAAAATACACTTTTTTAAGGGTTTTTTAGGGGTTTTTAAAAGCCCTTAAAGGTTGCAAGCCATTGTGTTCCCTTCTTCAAAATGAGGCCAATTGTCTATGTTGATCCTAGTGTGGCAGATGTTAAGGTAATTTTCCAAGTATAATTAAGTCTAAATAATCACTTAGGACAAAATGCTGGGCTACGGTATCAAAAAAGGGAGTTTAAAATACAAGTAGTCTGGGATAGGTTTATGATGATTCTGTTAATTCAGTGTTGAAGTGGCGTATACTATCACTTCTCAAATGCTTTGCAAGTTCCAACTGTGGGACATACATATGCTAGGAGCTGGCAAGAGAAAGGTGAATAAGCCTTGGCCCCTGCACTCAAGCATGATAGGGTAGCTGTGGAGGTTATGAGTACTAGAATAAAAGGTGTTAAGACAAAAGATACCTTAAAAAGCAGGTGGGAGGGAGACTCAGTCTACTCCTGCTGCTATAACAAAATTCCACAGGCTGAATAATTTTATATGATAGAGATCTGTTTCTCACAGTTCTAGAGGCTGGGAAGTCCAAGATGAAGGTGCTGGCATTTGATGTCTGGTGACAATTGCTCTCTGCTTCCAAGATAGTGTCTTGATGCTGTGCCCTCACATGGCAGGGTCGAGGGGGAGAAAGGTTTTCTAGTTCCCTTCAGCCCTTTTGTAAGGCAGTAATCCCATCCATGGGGGCGGAGGCTCTTAAAGGCCCCACCTCCCAATCCTGTTGGGTTGGGTATTAGGTTTCAGCATGAATTTTGGAGGGAGCACAAACATTCAAATCATAACAGAAGGTCACAGTAGCAGATCAGAAAGGAATGAGGGCAGGTTTCCCAGAGAAAAGGATGTTTAAGCTGAATCTTGAAGAATCATTTATTATTATTACTATTTATATTAAAAATCATTATTAATAGAAACTAGTATTTATTTTTTATTTGTTAGAATAAATGAAAGCAGAGATTTTTACTGTTTAATCTGCTTCTGAATCTCAATTACCTAAAATTATGTGTTGCACATAATAGGCAATTAATAAATATTTGCTGAATGAATGTGCCAGATATGGCACTAATTAATTATTATGAATTTTTCAAGTCTGCAAAACAGCCCTATAAAGAAGTTATTATAATTATTTTTCCCATTTCACAGATGAGAACAATGGGGATTTAAAAATTAAGCAACTTGTTTAAGGTTATGGAGTTTTGACTAGGTAAAGCCAGGAGAGTGATTAGACAGAGGGACTCCAGAGTCTGTGCTGTGGATGAGCAAAGGTTTTGGAGATGACAAATGAACATCATGTTTGTTGCATACAGGGGACAAAGGCTTAAAAATATAGCCAAATCTTTAAGGTTGTTGCATTTCTTCCAATGAATTATGGGTTTTACTAGTAAGACAGAGGGCAGTTATATGAAAAATTAGAAGCAATGGGATGAAATGATCAGAATTTTACCTTAGAAAATTAAATCAAAATACTATATCAATATTCCAGAGTAGACAAAAACTTCAGGCAGTAAAGTCAGTTAAGAGTTTCTTCCGGTAAACATACTGTGGATTAGGAGAACTCTTTTTTGTTCCATGCTTCCCTTTTGTAATTACTGGGTCACCAACCTGCAACTTGTCCCTTTGTAGATCTCATTTCTCTTGTGTTATAATTTTAACTTTTAGTAATAAAATGGTTTGAATGTGTAAAGGAAAATACTTGTTGTAAAGGAACATTGTCCATATAATACAGTGTAATTTTAGTGATTGTAAATTTACCATTTTTTTCTTTTTTTTTTTTTAGACGGAGTCTTGCTCTGTCGCCCAGGCTGGAGTGCAGTGGTGTGATCTCAGCTCACTGCAAGCTCCGCTTCCCGGGTTCACGCCATTCTCCTGCCTCAGCCTCCCGAGTAGCTGGGACTACAGGCACCCGCCGCCACGCCCGGCTAATTTTTTGTATTTTTAGTAGAGACGGGGTTCCACCGTGTTAGCCAGGATGGTCTCCATCTCCTGACCTCGCGATCCGCCCACCTCAGCCTCTCAAAGTGCTGGGATTACAGGCATAAATTTACCAAATCTTATTTGTATTTACTCTTCTGTCCCTACAGCCAAATTTCATTCATTGCTGTACAACCAATTTTGTAGGTAAACTGAGCTACTTGTAATTTTCAGAATGTGCCTTACATTTTGTCTTCAGCTCTAGATCTTTTTTTCAAGAAAATTAATGTTAATTGATAACTCTATTTTTTACCTTTCTGGCCACTGTTTTTATGCGTCTTTCCATCATCCATTCATCTTTCCATCTATCCATTTATCTATTCCATAAATATTTATTGTTTTATGCTTATAGATATTATCAGTGATAAATAGTATTATATATTAAACATTTTTTTCTTAAACAGTGCATTTGCCTTAAAAAATCTTTTCAATCTAAAACTTTAACTTTCTGTGCCCACTTTAATTTTTGAATAACAGTACAGTTTAAGAAAGAAAACAAAATGACATATTGAAACTGTCTTCAAAAACTACACTTAAAAAAACTATACATAGAAAAGGTTATTGCCCTGAAGTTAGAAAACACATTTGAAAAATGGAAGGACTTTTGCCTACATCCTGCTCAAATTTCATTCAGCTTTTGTACCTTATACATTGATTTTGGGTATGCAGGTCAGTGCATAATATGCATTGTAAACTGGTAATGAAATATAAGCAGTAAAAACTTATTGACTGTGGTATTAGCTGATATTTCAAATGCAGAATCTCCTCAAGAGCTCCCTTCAGGGGATCTTCAAAGAATGTAGCAGAAAAGTTATCCACTATCACACAATAACACATAGTTTAAAGCAAAGAATTTCCACACAGCAAGAATACAGACTATGTTAAGAAAATATGGAACTCTAGGTTAGTGTCAAGGTGGAACTCTGAATTAGGCTCGCCACTACAAGTTTTGAAGGGAAATAATTTGTTAGCTATGAACAGGAGATTTGAAAACAATAGGAAGATACCATCTTGAACTATGATTTCTTGTTGAGATGCATTTTCTCCAAATATATGACTGCATGTGCACTCTTCAGCCTATGTGCTCTGTACTGATAAATCTTAAATTCATAGTGTTACTGATAAAAAAAAGTATCCATAAAATACTTTGCCTCTGTATCTTTTTAATAAAAGGCATACATTATCCCCATAAGACAAGGCTGTTTTCAAATTTGATGGTTACAAGCTGTGATGAAGCTTCTTATGAAGTAACTTGGCAATTCATCTTTCCACTTTCCTTTGTTACATACATCTATATTAAAATTAAGTTTCATCGATTACATTTAGGCAATGAATTTTAGCCTCTCAGTTTATTTCAGTTGAACATAGATTCCAGAGCTAGGAAAATTATTTCTGTGTTACCGTTTGCATCTTACCTTGGGACATGAGAGTTACATTTATCTGTAGCTTATTGTTTTCAGTAGTCTACTCAGAAAGCAAATTGCAGTCATTCTTCACTAGAGCTCAAATGTCCCGTGTGAGGTTAGCAAATTTCTGCCAATTGCCATTGGTCTGGAGCTTAGAATAAAAATTGTCTTCACATAAGGACTATTGAATTTTAAAGATGATACTCATTATATTTGTTTAGACCATACCTTAATAACTTAATAATTATAACAGCTAACCTCTGTTCAAAACATTAAAATATGCCCCACACCCTCCCCCACAAAAAGAAATAGTTGGTTTAGGAACATTTGAATCAAATACAGAAACACTATCATCATAAAATCTCACATTGTTTTTACAATACTGAGTCCCTTTATTACATTAAAACTTCAAAATAATCTTAGATTATATTCAAAAGTTTAGTTAATATAATAACTATATATATAAACTATTCTGTATGTATTTGCATTTATATTTTGAAACTGTCTTATTACAAATGTGTCTTATGATTTTAACTTGATGGAAAATGATAAGACATACATTAAAGAGATTCTTTTTAGATGATATTACTTAATACAAGATAATTATAACTGTAATTTTTACCAGTATGCTAGACAATGCATCTAAGATGAAATTCATTAAAGTTTCATTACTCTGAGCTGTGTTAGCCCACATTAGTTAAGTAGTTGGACCTGTACACTTAAATTCATAATCCCAGCCTACTTTATTTATTTTTCCTCATGTTCTTTCTCTTTGGCTTTCTACTCCTCTGTAGGTCTGTCACGGAAGTGTGGAGCCAGTTCTGTCTTCCCTCCTTTCTAAATGATTATCATATTCTTTTGAGAAAATGTTGGTCTTGCCCCTCCTTGTGTTTCAACCTATTCCATGTGCAACTTCTGTATTGTGGATTAGTCATATCCCATCAGAATTAAAACTTCTAAGGACAGTATGTTCAGTATGACATTGAATGTGTAGACCCTAGAGTCTGCCATATAACAGAGACAGTGAAGTGTACCCAATAAATAAAACAAGGTAATTTTGTTGTTATCTTGGTAATGTGGACCATATGGACAAAAACATAGAAATAATAAAATAGATTAATTAAATTCAGTTAGATAATCCATGTAAAGTCTTCAGCACAGTGCCTAGTAAATAGCAAGCATTCAATTAATATGTTATAATAAATATTATAAATATTAGATATTATTATCATTAACAGTATTTTGCATCTTGACTTAATTGTAGATTCTCATTATATCTATTGATACAGCAAGTGTTTCTCAACGATCAAACAGGGCCGTATACATCTGGCCATAGACTTCAATTCACAAAAATTCTCAAACTTAGTTGATGATTAACAGCTGCTTATCGTATTTTGCTAAAAATGGTTTTGAGACTAAGACCGATTATGAGTGTGTTATGCAGTAGTTTAATAACATCTGCAACGGACGGAGCCAGTCTGCATTCCACATATATGGAATATGTGTAGAAATGTGCTTATTTAAAATAGTAATAAAGCTCATACAATGTGTTTCTAGTCTGAAACAAATTGTATGTTATCTCCATTTTTCTTCCAAAATGTCATAACATCTTCCTCATGATGGTGATACTTTTTTTTTTTTGAGATGGAATCTCGCTCCATTGCCCAGGCTGGAGTGTGAGTGCAGTGGCACAATTTTGGTTCACTGCAGCCTCCGCCTCCCAGGTACAAGCAATTCTCCTGCCTCAGGCTCCCGGACTACAGGTGTGTGCTGCCAAACCAGCTAATTTTGTATTTTTAGTAGAGACGGGGTTTCACCATGTTGGCCAGGCTTGTCTCGAACTCCTGACCTTGTGATCTGCCCGTCTCGACCTCCCAAAGTGCTGGAATTAAAGGTGTGAGACACCGCATCCGGCCGATGTTGTTACTTTCTATTTTAAGAGAAGTGTTTGTGGTAAGAAGCATAATAATCAAAAATAGTGAAAATCAATGCCTCCTTGAAAATTATAATGATGCAAGTTTGTTGTTTAAAACAAGATCTGTTAGGAAGACAGTAGACTCTTAAGTTTACTTCACCATAATAAAGTAGTCTTTAAGCATTGTGAATAGAAAAATTAAACATATATATGAGCATTCTTATTCAGGGATAATTTTATAACATGTTTTCTTCATAACATTATTAATTATTTTCTACATGGCAGTGAATTTACTTAATAAGATTTTCTTTTTCTGTATATATTTATGCCTAATTATGAAGAATATCCTTGGCATTAATAATGCAAATCTTAATTATAAATTAGAAAATTGATGTACCCTTTTGGCTAAATTATTGCAATGACTTTCTATAAAGTAGGATTATTTGGATAACAATCTCTGGGGTATCTGAGTTTTGCTTTAATTGTTTTCAGTGTTTTTTACAGCCCTGCATGGTTTAGAACTTTGTGTTCATGCATAGTGAATAGCCAACTTGAAAACCTCATGAATTGTACAGTTCAGATACCTGTACAAATTGTTTTGGTTTATAAAAGCTATCATAGACATTAATAACGTCACATATAAATTCCTGTTATACTAAATTGATATGCATGATGCTTTCTTAATTCTTTATTTTAAAAAATGGGAATCATGACTGAGTAGCTATTTGACTGATTTTAAGAAATCTGGTAAAATGTTCGCTTTCATTGTGCATTTTCCCGCAAAATGATGGCTTTCCACTTTAGGGATTAAGTAACTTAGAAAACTGTGAAATAAAGCAACGGTTGCCAATTTTTTCTCATCATGAAACAATAAAGAATAATAGTCATTTTTTGTTTTATAGAAGATAGATATGTTAGAAATATCAGAACATTTTTTTATAACCTGGTACCATTTAAATCTACCAAGTTCTACATTTTATATAGGCTGGGATAAAAATCACTTCAAAGGAACTGAATTTTGATCATCTTCACAACAATTTGTCTTGTTTGAAAAATGAAGTTTAGTGTAATCCCACCACTGCTACTCAAACTTTTGCTAAACTGTCTAGAATAATTACACTTTTGGGTTGAATTCAGTTTGCTAGAGAAACAAGGATTGGCTTCCATGCACATTTTAAAGAACTTAAATTTGGATGTGAAGATGTATTATGAAACTCCCCCTTGCTGATAACTTAAATAAGGACCTGTCAAGTATCAAACAGGTGACAGCTATTGTTCTATACTAACAGTAAAATCCAGTGTTTCCTAGATATAACATCGTTTTGTGTATTGCAATCATCATGGGAGCTTGTTAAAAATACAGATGTCCAGGCTGCATCCAAGACCTATTGAATAAGAATCTCTAGATATGGAAACCAAGGTGTTTTAAGTAACCCAGGTGGTTTTGAAATTGTGTCAGAGCTACTGAAACAGTAAGTCCCTCATTGAACTATGGAAGTATCTCTACCTTAGAAGTCATACAAGTCATATTTGAGAAGAATTTGAACACTTTTTAATTCATATCTTAATAAATAAAATTTCATTGTAGAAAATTTTAAAATTATGGAGCATATGATACTAAATTATTAGAAAAAAGTAGTTTGTGGGGAATTAAATAGCATTGTAAGGAAATTGATAAGACTTCTAAAGTTTTTGTAGCTTGTTTGTTTTTATAAACTTTGACCTACTTCTATATGAGTTCTTGCGTTTATTAGAAGTAAAACTCTGTAAAGTAAAAGATGTTTGTCCCTGTTTTGAGAAACACTGTAGATAATGAGGAAGGAAGGGACACAATAGTTGAACTTGATAAGAGAAATGTGAAGGAAAAATTACCCAGAAACCACATGGCCTGAGAAAGTGAAGCTGGGAGTGAAGTGGAGTGAAGCTTTTTGAGCCATCTCTGGACAGAGGAGTGTATCTGAGTCTTTAGGACTCATGTCAGTTCCTCAGCATGAATCATACAGCATTATTCTTTTTCATGTAGTAACATGGTCCAGGTTTTATTTGTATATGTATTATGCAGCACATAAGTGTGAAATTGTAAGTATATGCCTAGATTTGTTAATAGGGATATAGGTGGATGAGGGGTGTAGAGGGAAAGAAAAATAAAAAATTCGTTTTCCATTTGCTTGGTAGATCTTCCTCCATCCTTTTATTTTGAGCCTATGTGTGTCTCTGCACGTGAGATGGGTTTCCTGAATACAGCACACTGATGGGTCTTGACTCTTTAGCCAATTTGCCAGTCTGTGTCTTTTAATTGTAGCATTTCGTCCATTTACATTTAAAGTTAATATTGTTATGTGTGAATTTGATCCTGTCATTATGATATTAGCTGGTTATTTTGCTCGTTAGTTGATGCAGTTTCTTCCTAGTCTCAATGGTCTTTACATTTTGTCATGATTTTGCAGTGGCTGGTACCAGTTGTTCCTTTCCATGTTTAGTGCTTCCTTCAGGAGCTCTTTTAGGGCAGGCCTGGTGGTGACAAAATCTCTCAGCATTTGCTTGTCTGTAAAGTATTTTATTTCTCCTTCACTTATGAAGCTTAGTTGGGCTGGATATGAAATTCTGGGTTGAAAATTCTTTAAGAATGTTGAATATCGGCCCCCACTCTCTTCTGGCTTGTAGAGTTTCTGCCGAGAGATCAGCTGTTAGTCTGATGGGCATCCCTTTGTGGGTAAGCGACCTTTCTCTCTGACTGCCCTTAACATTTTTTCCTTCGTTTCAACTTTAATGAATCTGACAATTATGTGTCTTGGAGTTGCTCTTCTCGAGGAGTATCTTTGTGGCGTTCTCTGTATTTCCTGAATCTGAATGTTGGCAGGGGTTGCAATCCTAGTCTCTGATAAAACAGACTTGAAACCACCAACGATCAAAAGAGACAAAGGCCATTACATAACGGTAAAGGGATCAATTCAACAAGAAGAGCTAACTATCCTAAATATATATGCACCCAATACAGGAGGACCCAGATTCATAAAGCAAGTGCTTAGAGACCTACAAAGAGACTTAGATTCCCACACAATAATAATGGGAGAATTTAACACCCCACTGTCAACATTAGACAGATCAACGAGACAGAAAGTCAACAAGGATATCCAGGAACTGAACTCAGCTCTGCACCAAGCAGACCTAATAGACATCTACAGAACTCTCCACCCCAAATCAACAGAATATACATTTTTTTCAGCACCGCACCACACCTATTCCAACATTGACCACACAGTTGGAAGTAAAGCACTCCTCAGCAAATGTAAAAGAATAGAAATTATAACAAACTGTCTCTCAGACCACAGTGCAATCAAACTAGAACTCAGGATTAAGAAACTCACTCAAAACCGCTCAACTACATGGAAACTGAACAACCTGCTCCTGAATGACTACTGGGTACATAACGAAATGAAGGCAGAAATAAAGATGTTCTTTGAAACCAATGAGAACAAAGACACAACATACCAGAATCTCTGGGACACATTCAAAGCAGTGTGTAGAGGGAAATTTATAGCACTAAATGCCCACAAGAGAAAGCAGGAAAGATGCAAAATTGACACCCTAACATCACAATTAAAAGAACTAGAAAAGCAAGAGCAAACATATTCAAAAGCTAGCAGAAGGCAAGAAATAACTAAGAGCAGAACTGAAGGAAATAGAGACAAAAAAAAACCTTCAAAAAATTAATGAATCCAGGAGCTGGTTTTTTGAAAGGATCAACAAAATTGATAGACCGCTAGCAAGACTAATAAAGAAAAAAAGAGAGAAGAATCAAATAGACGCAATAAAAAATGACAAAGGGGATATCACAACCGATCCCACAGAAATACAAACTACCATCAGAGAATACTATAAACACCTCTACACAAACAAACTAGAAAATCTAGAAGAAACAGATGAATTCCTGGACACATACATTCTCCCAAGACTAAACCAGGAAGAAGTTGAATCTCTGAATAGACCAATAACAGGCTCTGAAATTATGGCAATAATCAATAGCTTACCAACCAAAAAGAGTCCAGGACCAGATGGATTCACAGCCGAATTCTACCAGAGGTACAAGGAGGAACTGGTACTATTCCTTCTGAAACCATTCCAATCAATAGAAAAAGAGGGAATCCTCCCTACCTCATTTTATGAGGCCAGCATCATCCTGATACCAAAGCCGGGCAGAGACACAACTAAAAAAGAGAATTTTAGACCAATAACCTTGATGAACATTGATGCAAAAATCCTCAGTAAAATTCTGGCAAACCGAATTCAGCAGCACATCAAAAAGCTCATCCACCATGATCAAGTGGGCTTCATCCCTGGGATGCAAGGCTGGTTCAATATATGCAAATCAATAAATGTAATCCAGCATATAAACAGAACCAAAGACAAAAACCACATGATTATCTCAACAGATGAAGAAAAGGCCTCTCACAAAATTCAACAGCCCCTCATGCTAAAAACTCTCAATAAATTAGGTATTGATGGGACGTGTCTCAAAATAATAAGAGCTATCTATGACAAACCCAGAGCCAATATCATACTGAATGGGCAAAAACTGGAAGCATTCCCTTTGAAAACTGGCACAAGACAGGGATGCCCTCTCTCACCACTCCTATTCAACATAGTGTTGGAAGTTCTGGTCAGGGCAATTAGGCAGGAGAAGGAAATAAAGGGTATTCAATTGGGAAAAGAGGAAGTCAAATTGTCCCTGTTTGCAGACGACATGATTATATATCTAGAAAACCCCATTGTCTCAGCCCAAAATCTCCTTAAGCTGATAAGCAACTTCAGCAAAGTCTCAGGATAAAAAATCAATGTACAAAAATCACAAGCATTCTTATGCACCAATAACAGACAAACAGAGAGCCAAATCAAGAGTGAACTCCCATTCACAATTGCTTCAAAGAGAATAAAATACCTAGGAATCCAACTTACGAGGGACGTGAAGGACCTCCTCAAGGAGAACTACAAACCACTGCTCAATGAAATAAAAGAGGATACAAACAAATGGAAGAACATTCCATGCTCATGGGTAGGAAGAATCAATATTGTGGAAATGGCCATACTGCCCAAGGTAATTTATAGGTTCAATGCCATCCCCATCAAGCTACCAATGACTTTCTTCACAGAATTGGAAAAAACTACTTTAAAGTTCATATGGAACCAAAAAAGAGCCTTCATCGCCAAGTCAATCCTAAGCCAAAAGAACAAAGCTGGAGGCATCACGCTACCTGACTTCAAACTATACTACACGGCTACAGTAACCAAAACGGCATGATACTGGTACCAAAACAGAGATATAGATCAATGGAACAGAACAGAGCCCTCAGAAGTAACGCCCCATATCTACAACTATCTGATCTTTGACAAATCTGAGGAGAACAAGCAATGGGGAAAGGATTCCCTATTTAATAAATGGTGCTGGGAAAACTGGCTAGCCATATGTAGAAAGCTGAAACTGGATCCCTTCCTTACACCTTATACAAAAATTAATTCAAGGTGGAATAAAGACTTAAACGTTACACCTAAAACCATAAAAAGCCTAGAAGAAAACCTAGGCATTACCATTCAGGACATAGGCATGGGCAAGGACTTCATGTCTAAAACACCAAAAGCAATGGCAACAAAAGTCAAAATTGACAAATGGGATCTAATTAAACTAAAGAGCTTCTGCACAGCAAAAGAAACTACCATCAGAGTGAACAGGCAACCTACAAAATGGGAGAAAATTTTCGCAACCTACTCATCTGACAAAGGGCTAATATCCAGAATCTACAATGAACTCAAACAAATTTACAAGAAGAAAACAAACAACCCCATCAAAAAGTGGGCGAAGGACATGAACAGACACTTCTCAAAAGAAGACATTTATGTAGCCAAAAAACACATGAAAAAATGCTCACCATCACTGGCCATCAGAGAAATGCAAAACAAAACCACAATGGGATACCATCTCACACCAGTGAGAATGGCAATCATTAAAAAGTCAGGAAACAACAGGTGCTGGAGAGGATGTGGAGAAATAGGAACACTTTTACACTGTTGGTGGGACTGTAAACTAGTTCAACCATTGTGGAAGTCAGTGTGGCGATTCCTCAGGGATCTAGAACTAGAAGTACCATTTGACCCAGCCATCCCATTACTGGGTATATACCCAAAGGATTATAAATCATGCTGCCATAAAGACACATGTACACGTATGTTTATTGTGGCACTATTCACAATAGCAAAGACTTGGAACCAACCCAAATGTCCAACAATGATAGACTGGATTAAGAAAATGTGGCACATATACAGCATGGAATACTATGCAGCCATAAAAAATGATGAGTTCATGTCCTTTGTAGGGACATGGATGAAATTGGAAATCATCATTTTCAGTAAACTATCGCAAGGAGAAAAAACCAAACACTGCATGTTCTCACTCATAGGTGGGAATTGAACAATGAGAACACATGGACACAGGAAGGGGAACATCACACTCTGGGGACTGTTGTGGGGTGGGGGGAGGAGGGAGGGATAGCATTAGGAGATATACCTAATGCTAAATGACAAGTTAATGGGTGCAGCACACCAGCATGGCACATGTATACATATGTAACTAACCTGCACATTGTGCACATATACCCTAAAACTTAAAGTATAATAATAATAAAAGAAAAGAAAAAGAAAAAATTCAAGCTGTATGTATTAGTTACGATCTTCCCCTGGCAATTTTACCACCTAACCTTACCAATTCAATACGTACCCTCTTCCATTTTCACACACTGTTGCACCTCTAGGCAGTATACACTAAACTAATATAAATTATAGTTTTTAGTATATTTTAAACTAAATATACTAGTAGTATATTCTAAACTAAATATACTAATAGTTTAGTATATTCTAAACTAAATATACTATTAAGTTTAGTATATTCTATTGGTTTAGTATATTCTATTAGTTTAGCATATGCTATTAGTTTAGTATATTCTATTAGTTTAGCATATTCTATTACTTTAGTATATTCTGTTAGTTTAATATATTGCCTAGAGGTGCAACTGAGTATGAAGATGGAAGAAGGTACATATTTGATGGTAAGACTGGGTGCAAAACTTACCATGTAGGACAATAATCTATTATCATCATAATTGACTTTGAAGTTAACTAAATTACACACAAATAATACTTGACATGGTTTTGAACATACAACTCTGTAGAGTGTTTTGTTTATATAAGCATGTAGTATATACAATAATATTCAGTCCATATTAGGCACGCAAGCATAATATAATTTTATAACATTGAAATCATATACAGAGAGATGAAAAAGAAATAGAAGAATTAAAGAAACAAAATTTTTTATATTGTTGAATTTGTATTTTTTAAAGATACAGAGCTGTAACTTGTCTTGGGTAGTAAATAAGATAAGTAGAGAAACAGAACTAACGTGACAACTGTCTGCTGTGTGCCAGATGTTTTTTGTTAGTCTCTCTAAAAATGGATCATCTGTTCTTTATGACAGCACCTAGAGGAAGGAACTCTTTGAGGGAAACATTATTGCTATTGTACACATAGGACTGCAGAGTTTAAATGCCCTGCCTAAATGTTAAATCTGGGGTTAAAACTAAGCTCTCCAGGAATCTGAAACTATACTATGATGTGAGAATACATGCCTGCTTTAGTACCCCTAAGAGCTTTCAACATGGATGAGATTTGTAACTGAAACACCCCTGAGGTTTCTGAACAAATTAATGGCATAATAAAACAACTTTTAAAATGAGATCAGTAAAATAGTTCAGAGTGGAAAAGAGATGCAAAAGCCATGTATGAAGTGATAAAATTCCATCTTATGGTAATAACATTAAGCATCAGGAAGTATGAGGCTTTGCCAAAGAATAAGGGATAGAATACAGAGGCCGTCAGGGGAGTCTACCCATAACTCCTAACTCTGTAAAACTCTTTATTCATGAATGTTTTCTTGTAGAATAATCACTTCAAGAGCGCACATTGGCGAAATAACAACAGAAGCATTTTAGAAAAACTAGGCTCATAGTATTATAATACCATATAGTAGATACAGTTTGACTTTGATAGAAAAATATCCGGCAAACTTTTAGCAAGAATAAATTCATTTTAAAATTGGCTTTACTCCATAAATTCAGGGTGTGAGAAATAGATGAATGGATATTACGACAAGTGTAGCAACTTCTCTATATAAAGAATATATTCATTTTCTGAAACATGATACCAATCCTAAAATCCCAAGAACTTGAAAACAAACTTTCATTTTGTGTATCTGTTTAGCTGGTACCCATGGTACCTTAATAGTTAACAAGAAGTTTGCACTTGGAAAACATTCTGGAATACTTAAAATTGAATAAAAAATTGCATTGAAGCAATATCTTAAGATATCTAGACACTTATTGAATTGGAGAAATCAGACTAAGCCTCAATAACCGTTTTCATTTCTGCCAGTGAGATAGTGAAATTAATATTTGTAGATTCTCTCCTTCCTCAGTCATGAGTCACATGAAAGTGACTCACCCAAAAGGGGATAGCAACATCTAGATACCAAAGTTATCTTTGAGTGGCATAGAATATAAAAGTTCTAAGCATCATTATCACCTTAGCTAGTTGAAGAATATTCAAATTTATGGGTTTTGCAAAAATTCTATTATTGGTTTGGACACTGAAATACAATTACTACAAAGAAACATACAGGACAAATTGCTTTAACAAATGTTTATATTTTTGCTTTAAAATATATGGTAATTTGTAAGATTGAAAAAATAAACTGTGAGTAGTATAGCAAGATATCAGAAGGCTACATCATCACACATCTGATACATATGTTTAACACAATATAAATTATGTTTTTTAATAAAAATATAACTTATTTATAAAACTTGCTCATTCAATATCTGCTTTTTGTGACACCAAGTTCACTAGGTGTATTTGTACTTATCATCATTAGAATTGAAGTGTTATTAATATTTAAAATAATGTAGACCATTCAGTGTTCTCTCTACAACCTCCAAATATGAGTTATACAAAATAGATCCACAAGAAAGTTTCAACTCTTGTTTTGCAGATTGCTATTATGTTCAGGATTATTTTTTATTGTGGAGGAATAAGTACACATGTGGCATATTAGGTATACACAAAAATATCTCTGGCTCTCTTGCTGCTGAACCATAAGAAATTATGCTTCACATTTTTTGAGTTTGAATATACCCATGAGATTTTGCATTGGTCAAAATAATGAGATAGGAAACATTGATTTGCCTGTTTTCTTCTCCTCTGCTGCAAGGGTGGAACATATGCTCCTATAAGGTGCACAGCTCAGTCATCACAGATGAGTTGTGTAGTCTTCAGGACTCAGTCAACATTGCAAGAAAAAAATGTAACTTTATCTTGTAAATTTTTTGAAACACCAAGATTTGGAGAATGTTGGCTATTGTAGTTTAACTACATCAGATTGAATGACACACTACGTGACTGTAGTGCCCATTCTAATTTGAAGATGCTAGACCCTGAGCACTTGGAAGGTAAAGAAAGCTTGTGTTTAAATCATTTTCCTTACTTCAATATCTAGCACATGACTGAAGTTTAAAAGGTTATTGGGTAATGAAAATAATTAAATGAATAATCAATTGTAACATGTAACATAGATGGGAAGCCTCTTGAAACAGGCTTTTAACAAAGGCAATGAAGGTGATAAAAGATTAAGTAAGGATGAGCAATTAACAACAATAACGGAACCAGTAAGAGTTGAAATTTATGATGGTGTTGCAAGTATTAGGTGCTGTTCTACATGGCTCCCATACATTACCATATTTAAGCTTCACAATAAATTTATGGTACAGATATTAATATTATTCTTGTTTTACAGGTAAGGGAATAAAATCAAACCTTTACTCTGACAAGAACAAAAAAAAAACTATCATAAAACTGCAAAATCATTAAGATTATAAATAAATTGAATAGAATAATTTGTCATGTCCTAAGGTATCAGAACAAGCTGATGAAATATTTTACATGTTCTAGTTTGCACAATGGTAGTAAAATAAGTGAATTCATCATAGCCTAGAATACAAAGAAAAATTTTTAGAAATGTTTATATAAATTCTCAGAAGGCAGTTCTATCATTTGATCAGTACGAGAGGATAACTTCTGAATTTTTTAGTTTAACACTAAGAAGACGTGAATGCTTGAACAAATATAAGCCTTGGTGTCTCTGAAAGACAGAAAATGCTGAGCTGAATATACCTGACCTCTGACTTAGAACAAGTCTTCATATGTGCTGAGAACAATTTTACTTCTTTTACTTGTGATTTTTTTATTTATTTCTGTTTGCCTAAAATTTTCAAGTGGATATTTATTTAAATTTTAGCTTGGTCCTGAATTCAATTACTTTTCCATTTAAAGGTGTTAAACCAACGTTATCAATCTTATGTCCCCAGTGGTAAACACTGGGTTGCCATATGTTGATCCACACACATAACTTGGCAATTGTGTAGGAAATGATGCTTGACGACATTTCTGTAATTGTGCATTCAGGTGGGGCAGCTCTCTTCCTTGTGAAAATTAAATATTCTCTTTTACTCATATGCTTATTAGGTCAGTGTATTAGTTTTTTATAACTAGTGTAGTAGATTAGCAAGAACTTATGGGCTTAAATGACACAAATGTATTATCTCATAGTTCTGCAGGTAACAACTCTGCTATTGGTCTCACCCAACTAAAATTAAATTGTCAGTAGGTTGCATTATTTTCTGGAGGGTCTAAGGAAGAACCCGTTTCCTACTGATAAATTCAGTTGCTTGAGGTTGTAAGACTAAGGTGCCCACTTTCTAACTGGCTGCAAAGTGAGAGCTGTTCACTGTTTCTAGAAGCTGCAACACTTCTATTCTCTTGGTACCTCTTTTTCAACTAGAAAGCCAGCAACTGGGGGTCAAATTCCTCTCAATTTGAATTTCTCTGATGCAGTTGTTTTCCATTTCATTTCCACTTTTAAGAACTCATCTGATTAGATTGGGCTCACCCAGATAATTCAGGATAATCTTTTCATCTCAAGGTCCTCAAATTTAATTACGTCTGCAAAGTCCCTCTTACTATGTATGACAACATACTTAGAAGTTTTGGAAATTCTGACAGAATCTGACAGTTTTGGAGATTCTGACAATTTTGGAGACTCTGACAGAAAGACTGGGGCCAATAAATGTCTACTTGATGCTTTGGTGCGTGATTCATTCTAGATACATACAACTTTGGAATGTACAAAGAACTGGAATATAGTTAAGTTAATTCCCTTGGCATAAACCTCTGTGGGGGGCCATTATTATGCCTATCACAGGCAATGAGATTTTGTTTCTTAAACGTGTTCAGACTTGACTACATCAGATAGAAGGAGTATCTCAAGAGCAGATCATTCAGCAAGGTTTTTTTCTGTACAGGAAAATTAGATGCCAACAATGAGTCTCTTTTTAATTTATAATTCAGCAAAATCAGTATTTTACAGATATCTGTCATACTTGAAACTTAAAAATATTTGTCTATGTTATTATTAAATAATCTATTTTTAAAAACCATTTACCAAGAGAGGCATTCATTCTTTTCTCTCAGATTCTGAACAATAAAGACAGGTTGTTAGAACAATTTCTGGTCCTGGGGAGCTTTCAGTATGATGAGACTGACCCAGACCAAGTTCTCCAAAATGCTATATTGAAATGACATCCCCAGAGGGTTCTGCATTCTTCTTAACCACAATGTTTACTCCACTACATAGGTGCTTTAACTGCAGGCCACCACTTCTGTACAAGGTATGGTTTGAAGACAATGATCATCATAAGCACTGGCAGAGTCTGTAAGACAATACTGAACACAGCACAGCCATTATTGCTTGTTAGTTGTATTGAGGGGGAGTGATTGTGACTCATTCTAATGTTTGAGGCAGTGACTTTTCCTTTCATCCAAAATGCTTATTTTAGGTATTAAGTAATGTCAACATTTTGCTCTGAGAAAATGTATACGCCGTGCCATATTATTATTTCCTTTGGTATTTAGGACTACCCTTAAGAAACAGCTTAGTACTTGAAATACATGATTTATGAGAGATAGTCTAAGATGATAAGATATCTGGACTATGAGTTAAGAAATCTGAGTTTCAGTTCTGACTCTGCTGCTAGCTATATTATAACCATAGACAGTGTATTTTCCCTCTCTAGGTTTTAGGCAAATGAATTTTAAACAACAAAGTTTGTATCTCTTATTGATACTTCCACATATGCAATGCTTAATTTGTGCTACCTAAGAGGCATAGAATGTAGCACCTTCCATCAAGACCACATCAACTGGGTTGGGAGAATCACATTCACATAGAAGGATTGGCTGCAAAAATAATGACAACATAGAATCAAATTTATTAAGTGTATATATTATTTAGTTTATAAGTGTGATTGGATTTTGCAGAAGGAATATATCACTGAGAATTTAGTACATTATGTTATATGTATGAAAGTAAGTCAGTAAGTCTTGAGCTAGGCTTTGGAAGCTGTTCAGTTTGGATAATTGAGAGTAAAGCAGTTAATTTGGAAGAAATACAAGTAGAGAAAATAAAATGATTATTATGTGCTCTTGGAATAGTAATGCCATTGGCCTAAACTGAGATTAGAGTTAGGAGGTTTGGAAGCTTAAGTGAACCAGACATTTCAGGACTTTGCTAACTAAGAGGCATAGTCGATCAGGTAGTTTAATAAGGGTGAACTTTTTTTTTTAATAGTTGCAAGCATGAACATAAAGCTACAATCTTAGGCACATTTTACTTTATCATTGAGGGAATGTAAAAAATGAGAGACTCGAAGTTGCTTAGAGGTAGATAAAGAAATGCAGGCGTGTGGGTTGGGAGTAGCTATCAAAAAACATAATGGTAGAATACATTGAAGAGTGAGGGAAAGAATCCAAGACAGTGCTAAGCTTTCTAATATAGAAAACGGAGAAAATTGAAAAAGTTAAACGATAATTCCGAATTTTTGTGGCTTGGTTGTGAATATGGCGTATGTGAAAATGAGAATGGGTTATAAAATGCAAATATTCTGTCTTGTTTGAATAATGGAGTACTTACATATAATAAGGCATAATATTAGTTGACATAGAATTAAAAATGGAAATGCTTAAAACTCTTCCCAGAGCTTTCATTTTGACAGGATGAAATGGGGAAGGGAATCAACTTTGGACAATGGCATGTGTGGAGGGAAATATGAGTGGTAAAAAGGATGAAAGAATAAAGGTGCTTTAGGTAGAGTTGAGGTTGATGTTGAATTGTTTGAGGAAGGCCTCTTTGATGGGGTGTCAAATGAACACAGATTTAAATAATAAGGTATGAGCCTTGGGAAAAATCCAGCCAGAAGCTTCTTAAGGTTCTCATATAAGGTTAAAAGGCTCTTATATGAGAACAAGGTTGCTTGTTCCAGGAAGAGTGAAAGAGTGAAGGGTAGAGTGAAAGATTGGAGATGAAGTCAGAGAGAAAGATTGGGGCCAATGAATGTTTACTTGATGATTTAGTGCATGATTCATTCTAGATACATATGATTTTGGAATGTACAGAGGCTGAAATGTAGTTTAGTTAATTCCCTTGACATTGCAGAAGAAGAGTAGAAAGGTCAGATATCTAAAGGAAATGCACAAATTTACGCAGTCAAGTAAATCTGGTCATCAGTCCATCATTCTTTCTATTAGTTAGCAAAGTCCTTCAACATGTTTTACTTCTTTGCTTAAAAACAGCAGGTAGTCCCGGTTACTTATAGGTATCCAAAATTATCATTAAGAACTAAGGTTGTGAAGGTTTGGAGAGCATAGGTTTCTTGGCAAGAGTCCACATGTTCATCTTCTACTTGTTTTTCCTCTATCCACACTCTTAATGTCAAAAGCAACCTTGAAAAGGAAAGCACTCATATAAGTAGCTGATGGGAATGGGGGTTGGGGAGTTGAGGGAATCACTTTTCCTTGCTTTGCCAGGTGGTGCATATGGACAAATTATATCTGGAAAATAATCATGCCTTTTGAAAATGATTTGCTCATATGGTTCTGTAATACACTGAAGGTTTTTGGCACCCTTTGTTTAATAATTATGTCTTGTCTTTTCCATGTAGTTACTTGTGTTTTCCTAATATTATAAGCTTTTTAATAATGAGTATAACTAAATAGATGTCTATATATGGCAATATGAATTTTTAACATAAAAATTACATAAACCAAGAATTATATTTATTACACAATTTTTTCATTTCAGTATTGATTGTATTCATATTTGTATGAATATTTTACATCAAAACACTTAGAATATTTCAGAATACAGCATTAATTTTCCCTTTATTGTCAAGTTAGCACCATATGAATTTTACTCTCAGTAAAAATGTAATAAATCAATGGAATTTGCCTTTTTGTTATTAAGCAAGTAAGTTTTGTGAAACATCCACAGTGAGGTATGTTTGGAAAATGTAAATGTCACAGGAATGCTCTCTATGATGATAACTAATTTTTTGATTAAATACTTTTGCCAACTCAATTTGTAGCAATAGTTGTAAACAGATGAGAACGGGAACTTGCTGTGATATTTCTAGTCCTTGTATGGATAGCAGTGATTATTTCATATTCCATTTTTTTTCCCTTAAGAAAATGGCCCACAGGTAAGTGATTTGATAAGGAATAGGACAAGAGGGAAGGAGTGGTTACACTTCTTCAAGGTGATCCAGTTATCTCATTTTTTACAATTAGGGCACTAAGTCCTCAAGAAACATGATTCACTCATAGTCACACAAGTAAGCAAAGAATCCCACTAATGGTATTCTGATTCCTAGCCCAAAGATATTTTCTTTATTCTACTACTTGTAATGATAATCATTGTTTGCACAAATTAAATTTATGGTCCAAAAGTGATTTGTGTGAAAATAGAAAGCTGAATCATCTTCTCTTTTTTGTAGGTCCAGTCTATTTAGACATTTTTGCAAAGATTTTGATCTGTGCTTGTTTCATACATATAGTCAAGAATGATTTTCTTTGAAACCATTTATCATGTATCCAACTTGCTTAAAATCATCCAATGGATTTTCATTACACTTATAATAAATTTCACATCCTACTCTCGCCTACAAAACCCCACATAAACTGGCCAGACCACCCTGAGTTGTTTTTTTTTTTTTTTTCATTTATTTTGAACTACTTTACGCCTTGCTTACTGTGTCCCAAACATGCAATGTTTCTTTTTTTAGACACACCAGTTACATTGTTTGCAGTAGGATTTTGCTCTAGCAATTCCTTCTTCCTGGACATTTTTCCTTCTCTGATGTTTATTAACATGGTCACCTGATTCTTGATATTCAGGTCTCATTTTACATTTTACGTAGAGAGACCTCCCTTTCTCACCTGATCTAAAGTAGTCTTCCATTTGCTCACTTACAACAGCCTGTCTTGTCTTTCTGCATAGCAATTCCTGCTGTCTAAACTATTCCTGTTAATTTACATATTGTTTAGGTGTTTGTTTTTAAAATATACCTTTTATTTGCTCATTAAGATAGGAATGGGAACTGTCACTGTTATGTTTTTAATTAAGTCACCAGTGCCCAGACAGTTGTCTGATAGACACATAATAAAAGTCAACATAGTATGTTTGAAGCAGAGTTAATACTGGAAATGGCATAAAAATGGGAAAAAATACCCATGTGAATATAGCCAAAGGATGCATCT
This sequence comes from Homo sapiens, assembly GCF_000001405.40. NCBI lineage: Eukaryota > Metazoa > Chordata > Mammalia > Primates > Hominidae > Homo > Homo sapiens. The sequence continues at coordinate 76,407,555 of NC_000003.12, forward strand.
TACCATTACTGCACACGTTTCTGATGAGAGCCATGGAGAGCAATAGGAAAAAATGTCAAAGTGTCTGATTGAGGGAAATCAGATGGAATATGAAGGTACCAAATATGAATAATGGGTAATAATCTTTGTTATCTGGAATTATGTTTAATTATTTTTTTCTTCATTATACATACATACAAACATAGGTGCACTAAATTTTCAAAGTATTTTAAGGGAAGCATGTGTTATAATCAGCAGAACCCTTTTAGGAAAGAAACCATGATGCAGAACAAGCGAGTCCAACCCATGGCCCATGAGCCTCATGCAGCCCAGATGGCTTTGAATTAAGCCCAACAACATGTTGTAACCTTTCTTAAAATATTGTGAGATTCTTTTGTGATTTTTTTTTGTGAGTTTGTTTTTAAGCTTATCAGCCATTGCTAGTGTTAGTATATCTTATGTGTGGCCCAAGACAATTTTTCTTCTTCCAGTGGGGCCCAGGGAAGCCAAAGATTGAACACCTCTGATGTTATAAAATGAATAAAATAATAAGACAGGCACTATCCCTACAGCTAAAAGTATAACAAAAATAGTATAATATGCCTACCATCAAAACGCTTAGTCAATGTTTGCTTGAGAATAGATTCAACATTTTGCTTAATTCAGACATTGATGCCAATCTCCCTTGATAAGCTTCCTGTGGATAATAGTTGGAAGGGATTGAGAAAGGTGGGCTCAGTTGGCATGGGTAACAGTGCAGAGGCAGTTATGGTTTTTTGCTATTAAATTCATGGACAAAATTATATTTTGTCTGTCCTTGCCAATTGCCTGATTTTGCTCCAAATACAGATAACTTCCAAAGGATTCAACTCTTTTGAAGCCTATGAAACACCTTGTAGATTTTGTTCAAGAATAGTGAATAAATTCAAAATCACTTTAATTTAGCTTAGTATTAACCTTACAAAAAGTATCTCATTTAAGAAAGCTTCAAAAAATATACTTAAGCAAATCTATTCATTTCAGTAAGAGAAAGAAATTAGAATGTGTCTGGAAAAACGTGTTCTTGCATACATCAATGTGCAAATATATTTGACAAATATTATAGAAGATGTAAGTTTATCACTGATTAATTAGAGAAAGGGCTGTGATAAAACAGTATGGCAGAGAGGGATAGTTAAGATATTCAGGGAAAATAAAAGATAGATAAAATTGCTGTTAATACTCATCCTCTATCTTTATGTAAATTTGGTGGTTACAGAATATTTTAAATTTTGTAGGTATCTGAATATATCAAAATGTTGATAATTTGGAGTAAAATTTTGCTAATTTGCTAAGTCTGGCCCTCTTCCCCTTGCCCACTGAAGTCACTAGCTATTCATGCACTTTGTCAGTTTAGAGTAACATTTGGGAGATTGCAGGGTTTCAAAATGAATTATAATACACTAGGGTGTAGAAAATTTTAGACTGGACACTGGGGTATTAATATGTGAATGACAATAGAGTTCTGTAGTCAAAAATGTTTAGAAGACTAAGTTTGACATATGAAAGTTTCAAATTTTGTTTTAGTTTTTATGGTAGAACGTTCAGAACTCATTGCTATACACAAAACTAAGCATACACTGAGAAATGTGGAAATCTCTAAAGACTCATGGAACTTTATATCCACTTGGAGGGTAAAATTGTAGGTATCAAGATAAGTAATGATCAGATCCAACTACAAGATTATGTCGGGCTGGCAGTTGGTCATTTCAGAAACAATTTTTTTCCTTAGTTTCCACATTTCTTAGCAGAATATCTTTAATTTTAAAAAGGAATCTTGAATGAAAGCCCCATAAAGATAATATTTTTCCTAAAAGTAGCCTACTCATTACTAGCCTTTTCATAATTTTTTATTCCAAAATGGCTCCCTCATAATCAGCCTTTTCCTTATCAGTTAACATATGATCCATTATGTTCCATGGTACTTTGAATAGAGATTTCTCAGACCATTCTCTAGCTGTCAAAACAAAACTCACATTTTAAGTTCTCACCAGATATAAAGCCTACATAAGAGCAGTATAGTTTATTGAGGAGGAACAGGTGCAGTAACTTGAAGCATGTTATCTGGGACATAACCCTGACTTTCAAACTAAGCTCTGTTCCTTAATAAGTTATGACCTTGAGCATGTCACAAAACTCTTTGAACTTCAGCCTTCACATTGTAAAAGGGGGATAGAAGTAGGACTGTATCAAAACCTAAGCATAATAACAACAAAAAAATTGGCACAGTGTTCAGATAAGAATATGCCTTAAATAAGCGAAACAAATGGTTATTACTTTTTAAATTCTTGGATTTCAGTGAAGACATATGATAGAGTACAGATCTATTTCTAGCAAAAGTGCTGCTCCCCCAAACATGTGTTCACAGCAATCCATTTTATAATTGCTCATTTTATATCAATTTCTGAGAGGAGTCTGTTGCTTTGTTTATTCAAAGTGAAGAAGACCGGACAAAAGGCAAAATTTTTGTTTTCGCATGCATGTTTTGTCATTGTTTAGACAAAATCATAATCTCAGTGTATTTTTTTCTTGGGCTGCTTTGTTTCTACTAGAAATTTGTAGGCAAAACAAAAATTTTCCAGCAAGTCTCTACTTTCTGCTCCTGCCTAAAAGCCAATGAGGCCCTAAGGGTTTAGCATCTCAGCACACCAGTGTTCTTTGTGATTTTTTTAGATACTGTATTCTGTGATTAATCAGATCTTTGCACTAATCTATGTTATACATGGAACACAGCACACAGCAGGACGGACGGTGTATATATTGTATCTATTCTAAAGGATCAAGACTAAACAATGAAGATTATGAGTACTAAAGGCATGCTTTTATCACCTCATAGATGAAATGGATAAACTTAAATATTTAGAATATTGAAATGGATTTCTTAGTGGTAGGAAAATGTGTGTGAATGTGTTTATGTGTACTTGACAATTTCACAGATCTAATCTGCATTTTAAGTTCAGGTTCTCAGTTGTCTTCTAACCTGAGACCACTGATATTAGATTCCTATTTTTAATCTTTCTTTGCCTTATTTTTGCATCAAAATACTTTTTAGTTTATTATTTGCCTAATATAAGTTTGAACACCCGATTATGTAGAAGAAGAGAAATGTTTCTGCTTATTGGTGAATGACACTTCAGATTTATGCCCTAAAAGAATGTCAGCTCTAAGATATATGAGAATATACATGTCTTTAATGGTATAAACATATTGTTGAAAGGCTATAGCAATCTTCACTCTGTAACCACTTGTAATTATTGTTATTGGATGAGATGTGTGGAATGTGATGTTTCAGGGAAATCATATTTAAAATTGAATTAGTAAGAAGTAGGATTTTGGTCTTATGAAGAAAAAACTGTTGTCATGGCTCAACAACTCAGAGTGAGTGTAATAAATCCTACTTTAAAAGAAGACAAGTTGCAAATTATCCTTCCATCCAGGGACCTGGATTTTTTTTTAATGATAGGTTATCATGAATGAACAGTACTTGGGGGCATGCTATTCCATTGTGTTGAGTCATTTTTTTGGATGACAAAGTCCAATGGCCATGAACAAAACTTGGCAGAGTTGAAACCCAAGAAGAGCCAAAATTATAAATAGCTTATAGGCTGAATTATAGAATTCCGAATGACCAGACAGAACCTTGACGTTCAGTTTAATTCAACAAACATATATCAAGGTTTCTATCATGGCCAGGCAGTGTACCAAGACGAGTAAGACATGGTTCTTGTTCTCTAGGAGCATACAATCTAGCTAGAGAGATACCTAGATAAGCAGAAAGTAAATATAATACATGCAGTAATAGAAACATACAAAATAAATTGAAATAACAGATAATAAAATCCTAGTAAGAAAATACTTTTCTATTAGGTGGTTTAGAGCAAAGGAGATCTTGTGGTATTATCTTGCCTTGAGTAAATTTGTGATCGCTTCTAAATTTATTTCAACTGAACCTCATTAAAGTAAATTATTTTTATTTTTTTCTGCCATAGTTCTTCAGACAAAATGCCTTGCTATAGGGAAGACATTTTTTTTCCACCACACCAGTTCACACATATCCAACTCTCCCTCCAACATTTAAGTATCTCATACATTATTACAGTTACAATGGATATTTCTGATCCATATTCAGGTAGCATAAATGCTGGCATGCAAGTAATTTTTGTGAAAGTAGCATAAGCCTAAAGTGTTTAACTCTTATTTCTCTGCAGTGATAATACTGATGAATGCTATTGTGTAGAATGTGTATATGTCCTGTGAATGGGACAGAAGATTATAGGGTTATCAAGGCCATGCAACTTGTGCCTTTCAGTGGAAATGGGCCATCCTCTGTCTTTTCCCTTCGCCAAAGGTACTTTTATCCTGTGGAAGTATGTGCCTGAAAATGCCTTGTATTAGTCCATTTTCACGCTGCTGATGAAGACATACCTGAGACTAGGGAAAAAAATGGTTTAATTGGACTTACAGTTCCACATGGCTGGGGAGGCCTCAGAATCATGGCAGGAAGTGAAAGGCACTTCTGACATGGCGGTGGCAAGAGAAAAATGAGGAAGAAGCAAAAGCAGAAACCACTGATAAACCCATCAGATCTTGTGAGATTTATTGACTATCACCAGAATAGCACGAGAAACACCAACCCCGTCATTCATTTACCTCCCCCTGGGTCCCTCCCCCTGGGTTACTCCCACAACACGTGGGAATTCTGGGAAATACAATTCAAGTTGAGGTTTCAATGGAAACACAGCCAAACCATATCATTCTGCCCCTGGCCCCTCCAAATCTCATGTCCTCACATTTCAAAACCAATCATGCCTTCCCAACAGTCCCCCAAAGTCTTAACTCATTTTAGCATTAACCCAAAAGTCCACAGTCCAAATGTTCATCTGGGACAAGGCCATTCCCTTCCTGCTATGAGCTTGTAAAATCAAAAGCCAGCTAGTTACTTGCTAGGTGCAATGGGAGCACAGGTATCGGGTAAATACAGCCACTCCAAATGGAAGAAATTAGCCCAAACAAAGGGGCTACAAGGACCATGCAAGTCCAAAATCTAGCAGGGCAATCAAATGTTAAAGCTCCAAAACGATCTCCTGTGACTCTAGGTCATGCTGATGGAAGCGGTGGATTCCCATGGTCTTGCACAGCTACACCCCTGTGGTTTTGCAGGATACTGCCTCCCTCCCAGCTGCTTTCACTGGCTGGCGTTGAGTGTCTGTGGCTTTTCCAGGCTCAGAGTGCAAGCTGTCAGTGAATCTACCATTCTGGGGTCTGCAGGACAATGGCCCTCTTCTCACAGCTGCACTAGACAGTGCCCCAGTAGAGACTATGTGTGGGGGCTCTGACCCCACATTTCCCTTCCGCACTGCCCTAGCAGAGGTTCTCCATGAGGGCCCCACCAGGTGTTGCCATACATCTGAAATCTAGGCAGAAGTTCCCAAACCTCAGTTCTTGCCTTCTGTGCACATGCAGTCTCAACACCATGTGGAAGGTGCCAAGGCTTGGGGCTTCCACCCTCTGGAGCCACAGCCCAAGCTGTACATTGGCCCCTTTCAGCATGGCTGGAGCAGCTGGAACACAGGGCACTGAGTCCGTAGGCTGCACACAGCACAGGAGCCCTGGGCCCTGCCCACGAAACCACTTTTCCCTCCTGGGCCTCCGGGCCTGTGATGTGAGGGTCTTCTGTGAAGGTCTCTGACATGGCTTGGAGATATTTTCACCATGGTCTTGGGGATTAACATATCATGTCACCAAATGCTATGGACTCCTGCTACTTATGCAAATTTCTGCAGCCAGCTTGAATTTCTCCCCAGAAAATGGGTTTTTCTTTTCTATCGCATAGTCAGGCTGCACATTTTCCAAACTTTTATGCTCCACTTTCCTTATAAAACTGAATGCCTTTAACAGCACCCAAGTCACCTCTTGAATGCTTTGCTGCTTAGAAAGTTCTTCTGCCAGATACCCTAAATCATCTCTCTCAAGTTCAAAGTTCCACAAATCTCTAAGGCAGGGGCAAAATGCCTCCTGTCTCTTTGCTAAAACGTAACAAGAGTCACCTTCACTCCAGTTCTCAGCAAGTTTCTCATCTCCATCTGAGACCCCCTCATCCTGGACCTTATTGTCCATATCATTATCAGCATTTTGGGTAAAGCCATTCAACACGTCTCTAGGAAGTTTAAAACTTTCACACATTTTCCTGTCTTCTTCTGAGCCCTCCAAACTGTTCATTCCAACCTCTGCCTGTTACCCAGTTCCAAAGTCGCTTCCACATTTTTGGGTATCTTTTCAGCAATGCCCCACTCTACTGGTACCAATTTACTGTATTACTCCATTTTCATGCTGCTGATAAAGACATACCCAAGACTGGGAGGAAAAAATAAATTTAATTAGACTTACAGTTCCACATGGCTGGGGAGGCCTCAGAATCATGGCAGGAGGCAAAAGGCACTTCTTACCTGGTGGCAGCAAGAGAAAATGAGGAAGAAGCAAAAGCAGAAACCCCTGATAAGCCCATCAGATCTTGTGAGACTTATTCACTATCTTAAGAATAGCACAGGAAAGAACAGCCCCCATGATTCAATTACCTCCCCCTGGTCCCTCTCACAACATGGGGAATTCTGGGAGATACAATTCAAGTTGAGATTTCAATGGGGACATGGCCAAAGCATATCATGCCTATTTTGGTGCTTTTTGTCTGTATGCTTATAAATAGATATTTTATTCCTAGCTTTCAAAGTATTATAAAATTAACACTCAACTCTCTATTTTCAAATTGTATGTAGCACAGTTTTGTTTACTGCTAGAGTTCAGTTAGTTGGTGGTATATCATCTGGACTGAATCTTCCAGGACTTTCCAGTCATACTATGCAGCCATAAAAAATGATGAGTTCATGTCCTTTGTAGGGACATGGATGAAATTGGAAACCATCATTCTCAGTAAACTATCGCAAGAAGAAAAAACCAAACACCGCATATTCTCACTCATAGGTGGGAATTGAACAATGAGATCACATGGACACAGGAAGGGGAATATCACACTCTGGGGACTGTGGTGGGGAGGGGGGAGGGGGGAGGGATAGCATTGGGAGATATACCTAATGCTAGATGATGAGTTAGTGGGTGCAGCGCACCAGCATGGCACATGTATACATATGTAACTAACCTGCACAATGTGCACATGTACCCTAAAACTTAAAGTATAATTTAAAAAAAAAAAGAAAAAGACAAAAAAAAAATCTAGAAGGTCATGGGAAAACAACACAAAAAACAGCAACAAAAAAAATTATTCTAAGGGAAGTGATTGACACACAAGCTTGGCACAATTTCACTGTCTCTTTGTGAAAGGAGATGGGTGATAGTGGGTAGAGAATGCTTCTTATCAATTGAATTTCTGTCCTCACCAGGTCTTCATGACATCATGGTTGTTATGAGCCTAGAGAATGATGGGTGCTGAAGGATTACATAAAAATAAGACGAAAAGACCTCTTATTTTTCTCTCCCTAAGCTCTGTAAATCATTAGGGAACAAGGCAGCATGTCTTTGATCTCTGTAAGTAAAAAGTAACCAGAATCTCCTGTGTTTCTCATGTATGGAATATATCAAGGGGCCAGAAGTACATCGAAGGCTCCAGTGCAACTTTTTCACTTCACGGGGTCCCCATATTGACAGTTCTGAGGCAATGGGACTTCAACAAAAATGGGACCTTTGCAAGCATCCAAAGCCTTGAGACTAAATGAAGGGTAACAGAAATTATGTGAGAGAAATGTATGCCTCTCAGAAATGTCTGAAAGGCTCTGAAGAAGGCTAGATATCACAGTGACTTTGCATATGTATGTGTTAATGGGACCCTACTTTTAACCTCAGATTGATATTGCATGGTGACATAGCTCATTAGCAATCATCATTCTTCTCACTTTATATCATAAGTACTAAATATTTTAATAATGACTTCATAATCTCTATCAAGTTGGGGAGGCAAAATGTGAGCCTACTCAGTAGTTTGTCATCACTAAAGAAAAAGACTAGCACATAGTATTTATACTGTGGTGTATGAGTGTGCATCAGTGTAAACTTTGAAAATGGCAGGACAATATTGCTAATCGATGAAAAATGGACTACATTTCTTATAGCTGCTCCTTATAAATATGCGTAGGTATATGAATTTGTAGACTAAGATGATCAACCTGTCATCTTTTATGCCACTTTCATTAATGTTTGACCCACTTATAAAAAAATGAAAATCAGACAATAAGGAGTTACACAATTTTAATAAGAACAAAACACTGCCTGAATTTATCTTCAAGCATCACAACTGAAATTGGAACTTTCCAGATCACTTTAAATTAAATTGATTAATAATACATCATGTTAAAATGAATTTTTCATGGTTTGGGAGCTAATGTTCTCAATTATTTAGCAATGCAAAGTGTAGGAAACCCACACACAAACAGCATGCAGGAGCTGATCCGTGAACTTTCCCTTAAAACAAGATGATAAATGGCCTATTTTTCTATCATACTAAAGCAATATGTTATTTTTTTCCATTCTGAAAACACTTGCTCTCCAGGAAAACAAATCAGGACATGTTCTGTGGTTTTAAAAAATAATAATAAAATAAAATAAAATAAAAATTATTTAAAGTACTTTTAAAAAATCTTGGCCCTGAATGTCTATAATAGAAGAACATGTAAATTAACTAACAAATTCCTTTGGCATGTTAGTTTTGTGTCTTTTGAGTCATATTTTCACAGTCTTTTCAATTCCATCTTCCATTTTAAGTGGAAAGCCAAGTTAAATATGAAGTAGCTTTGAAAGGATTATTTGCTTCTATGCCTTTATTGAACATTAAAACTGTGTGTGTGTGGGGGGGAAATAATTTACATCAGAAGACACTAAAAATAAAACCGTACATAATTTACATTTTGACCATTATATTCTTTGTAATTAAAAATTACTTTAAAGAGCTTAAGTAGTTAATGTGATAAATTAGTGGATTTTTTTCTTGACAATTTTGCTATGCTCACTTTTGCCCATGTTTTGAGAATCAGAGTAGCACTAAGATGTTTATCTCTTTAATCAAGTATTTTAATGTACCGATTTATAGGAGAGATGATGACCACAAGACACAAGGTCACAGAGCTTTAGACGAAGTGATTTGACAGGCTCTCTAGACTAAGTCACCTGAAGATGCTGCTAATATCTCTCTCATCATCTGCGCCGTCAACTTTCTTTCTTGCCTCTCTTCAGTTTGCTTTGATGGGAATCTCTTCTTCGTGATAATGTAGAGTTCGAGTTATCAGTTTCTACAGAGTTTTATGAGCTATAGTATTAAACTTTATATTATGCAGTGTTTAAAAGATCACCACATTATTGAAAGAAAAGTTTCTCAAAGCCACTGAAGATAGCATTAATGTTATAAGCATGTTATTAAAAGGCTAGTTGTTAAAGTAGAATCTATCCTGCTGTGCTGGCTATTCAGTTATCATGGCATCCTTAGCATAAATACTGAACACCTTTTAAAGATGTTGTGTTCCTTTACGTGGTTATTGTAGATGGTAAAATCAAATGACTGGAGGAAAAAAGCTCATGTTATCTGGAATGGGTGTAGGCTGACCACACAGCATGCTATAAGATATTGCCATAGAAATAACCTAACTCAGTGTACTCATTTTGCATATAAGACAACTCTGACTTAAAAGAGTTTAGATGTCTTGCCACAGGCCATCTTGTTAGCTGAAAAGCCAGGCACAGAACAAGATTCAGTGACTGCTTTCACAGTGTCCATTCTAGGACATCATGTTATCATTCTTTTACTGCCTAGTTATATGCAGGTACTTAGAACAAGATAAATGAACAAACAACAAATCAAATATGACCAGGGTTTACTCTGCTAGTTACAGAGTTAAAAGGAGAATGAACATCTTTTATTCTGGTCCATTATGCTTTCTCCTTCATAAGGAGTTTAGCTAGTTAAAATATTGAGGAAAAAATAAAGTTAGCCTAAATGGCATGAAAAAAAGGAGGGGTTTATTCAAATAATTGGGGAAAGAATAGTTATAGTCTGAACTTCCTAAATGGTAAGCTTGTAATACAAGTTGAAAGGACAGGGAATAGGCAATAGAATTTCCAAATAAAAGACAAAAATCAAAATTCATATTGAACCATCTCTGCAAAACCAAACTATTACATTAAGAAAGATAATTAGGTGAAAAAAAAATCAAGTTATTTTAAATTTTATAGTTGATTCTTGTCTAATCACTTTGAAACAGAAAATAATTTTCTGCAAGGATGTGTTCTCTACCACATACCAAAATGATCTTCAAACTGTTGAAGTATTAGGTTGATGCAAAAGTAACTGTGTTTTTTGCCATTACTTTCAATGGCAAAAACCACAATAACTTTTGCACCAACCTTTAATAAAATGAGAACAAGTCCTGAACAGTCTCCTGAGGAGATAAAGCCAGTTAAGCTATGAAAATAACCTTAACTTTGCTTAAATTGTAAACAGGCAAAACTTAACTTGACCTATTTCTTATAAATGCCTATATTAAAGAAAAAAACAAACTTAAGCTCAAGCAGAAGCAGCCTACAAATTTATAATTATATAACTAGGGACTTGCCAATGGGATATACCAAATAAGGTCACTATATAACTGTCGCCAAACAAATAGAGAGAGAGAGAGAGAGGGAGAGAGAGAGAGAGATGGAGTCTTGTTCTGCCGCCAGGCTGAAGTGCAGTGATGCGATCTCGGCTCACTACAACCTCATCCTGGGTTCAAGCAATTCTCCTGCCTCAGCCTCCAGAGTAGCTGGGACTACAGGTGAATGCCACCATATCCAGCTAATTGTTGTATTTTTAGTAGAGACAGGGTTTCACCATGTTGGCCAGGATGGTCTCGACCTCTTGACCTCATGATCCACCCGCCTCGGCCTCCCAAGTGTTGGGATTACAGGCAGGAGCCACTGCACCCGGCCCAAACAAATATTTTCTTTGCTTTTGTTCTGTGTTGGCCCAATAAAAGTCTCCTTGTGGTGATCCCTTGTTGGAACTCCCGACCTACTTCTGGTTCAGAGCTATTTGCTCAAATAAACGCTTAAAAATTTTATGTTTCAACCTGCCTTTTTTTTTTTTTTAACAAAACCAAACTCAGTTTTCTAAAAATGATGAAAATTTTCAAATAAAAAATAATCACGTGTACTCTTTACAGTCACATTTGGTTGAAAATATACTCAAAGACCTTATAATCAGTTCTGTCAATTGTTAACTGAGTTAGTTTGCAGGTCATGTTAGTTACCTAGTTTACTGGTGAAAAAAAATTAGTAAACTAGAATAAATTCAATTATTTCTTGTGTGCAGTGTAACTGTTCATGCAGTACAATCTTCTTTTTGTTTATGGGAATTAAGAATGTCTTACTAAAATACCATTGCAACCACATTTTAATCATGGTTTTACAAACTCTTGTATATAAAGATTAGTGTACCATCCATTTCTTTTTTTAAATTCTCCAACCCCATGTATTTTGTTTTTTAAATTTCACTGACAGCAGGTAAACAGTGGGTTAAGGAGTAAACACAGATAAATCACCATAAAATGGAAAAATACGTGTCAAAAATTATGTCATCAAATGCCACGGTGCGAGTTATTTGTGTTACTTCTGGGTTTAATTCAAAACTGTGAACAACATTGCCATTAAACATGTGTTTTGGGGAAGAAAATGAGAGTCCAGAAAACATAAAAGGTGAATAGTAACCACAGAATGCTGTGTCTGGACTCACTTTTCAGCATAGGCGTAAGCTGTGTAATTGTACACATGTAAATTAGATAACATTTTTATTCAAAGTGATACAAATACCAATGGAAATGGGTTACAAACATCTTTTTTTTTTTTAAATTTAACCTGGGCTCCAGTGAAAGCAGGTGAAGGTGATTTGTTTTATCACCTGAACTACTTTTTTATTCAGGGCAATCAAGATCTTCTAAATGAACTACCTGTATATCTTTCTTTTTTCCTCCACAGAGGAAGCTGTAAAAACTAGATTACCCTGTGTTGCAGTGATAAGAACTTATTTTCTCTGTCTATTGAGGAAAGAGATGTACATTGTCGTGTTTTTTTCATGAAGGTAGGAAACATGATGTTCTTAAGGTCAAATGCATCAGGGCGATTTAGCCTCATATTTTATTAATAGTAATGGGAATCATGTAGCTGAATCCTGGCAAATTGGACTGAATAGCTATTTCCAATGTTATATGATTATATTCATAATAAGTGTTCATTTGATATTCAATGTGAAGCAACTAACTCTAATGGGTTTTTGTTTTAGTAATAGTGATATATCAGTAGGTGGAAAGGCCATTCCATTTGGAATAAAAAATACACCGTAATCAGTGTTTAAGTTAACTTTTCTCTAGGGTTTTACCTGTAATTCTCTGGACTATATGCAGTTCTTCTTTTAGCGTATTATTCATCATATCACAGGTAATATGATAATTGCTTAAGATACTGCTTTTCTGAAGCTCTCATTATTTTATTTGGAGGCAATAACTATAAATGATTCTATACTGTATCACCCACTTATTATTTGGCCTTTTGACAAATCCTTGAATATTATCATTACACTATTTTCTATTTTTGTAGAGATGTGGTCTCCCTATCTTTCCTAGGCTGATCTTGAACTCCTAGGCTCAAGCAATCTTCTCATCTCAACCTCCCAAAGTGCTGGGATTACAGTCATGAGCCACTGAACCTGACCCATTACACTGTTAAGAATACAGTCTTTATCAGTTTTGCTTGTGTTGGTCATAAAAGGCCTAACTACAGAAGTTAAGGTCTAACCTGATGTGTTTAAATGATGACGTGTTAAAATTGCCGGCATTGATCTACTTCTGTGTAAGATGTTAGTCTAAAAAGTTGAGAGTAGAACCTAAGATATAAGCAACGTTTTTGATTAAACACACATTTAAGACAAGAATTAGTACCAAAGAGCTCTATGTTCATTAATAAGTAAACTAATACAGATATATACATACATGCACATATAATTTTATATAGATCCCTTTTTGTTGCTATCTGCCATTTTATATAAATATGAAAACATCAATATTTTATAGTAATAAGCCATAAACACTGTATAGTTCAAGCAATTGTATTTTTCCCTAAGAGATTCCAACTATTTTTAAATTAAACATTTCTCTCCAGTGGAATTTTACATTTTCTCTAACAGTATTAACAATTCTAACTGATAGAAGCTATTTTATTTTTCAAAAATTTGAATTGGAAGTATTTTGTGTCTCCACAGAAAATTGTCATTCCAATCCATGTGCTTAAATATATAAAAGCTGTCACTGATGAGCAAAGGGTTTTCCACATGTATAAGAAGAAGTGAACTGACAAGAAATAGTTTGTATTCAGCCCTGGAGATGGTCAAGAAATTCATGCTGATATTTAATAGGACTTATCAGCAGGAAATCAATGAGATTTTAGGGGTATAGCTAGTTTCACAATAATGCTAGGTCAAAACATCTGTTAAATTGTTGAACCTCTTTCAACTGGGGGAATAAATATTAAATTTAATAAAATGCTGTAACAAATCAAACATCTATTTTAGCTCTACACATATTTTGGGATGTATTTATAGCTGGTTGTAACAATACATGAAAATTTCCTACCATGGATTCAACAACCAGCAATATTTGGGTAGATAGCAGTCTCTATTCTGTGGTGCATTTTGTACTCATTCAACTGCAATTGCTGAAAACAATAGCCGAAAAAAGGTTCAACATGCCTATTGAAATCGTTAATTATTTTTAAAATAAGATTCAAACATTTTTTCCAACAATAATATTTTTTGATTATTCATTTCTTCTATTAAGAGTGTGTGTAGGCTGGGCGCAGTGGCTCATGCCTGTAATCCCAGCACCTTGGGAGGCTGAGGTGGGAGGATTGCCTGAGGTCAGGAGTGTGACACCAGCCTGACCAACGTGGAGAAACCCCGTCTCCACTAAAAATACAAAATTAGCCGGACATGGTGGTGCATGCCTGTAATCCCAGCTACTGAGGAGGCTGAGGCAGGAGAATCACCTGAACCTAGGAGGCACAGGTTGCGGTAAGCAGAGATCGTGCCATTACACTTCAGTCTGGGCAACAAGAGCGAAACTCCATCTAAAAAAAAAAAGAAGATGGCAATTTGTCCATACAACATTATTCTCAAAATAAAATAATAATGTGGGATTGGGACAGGCACTAATAGCCCTGAAAGAAATTTTTGGCATGGTTTTGCCACGAAAGTCACATTTAGTCCCCAATTTTTACATTTGGCTGTGTATAAAACTACTGTGATCCTTTTATGCTTTCTTTTTGTCTTCTCTTTCTGCCAGTTGTTTACATTCCTATACCCAATTCTTGCTTCCTGACATGCACATATTGAGTACCCAGTAATATTGAACTGTAAATCGTAGGTTCTTAGTAACTTCCTTTGCCAAACTGGGCAAATAAGCAGGCCCACCTGACCCTGTAGAGCAACAGAGGCTAATCATTCCACTTCGGTGTGATGAAGGCATTTATGTAAATGCCTGGTGACATTATAACCTAATATGTATAATAATGGGATAGAAATGAAAGAAATATATATTCAAAACAGGACCTTTTTATAAGCTTACTTTTCATTTTCTTCAGTGGTCCCCACTGCCCACTCTAGTCTCTCCCAAATGTATAATTTTATGATACTTTCTTATCAAGAGGTTGTATGTCTGGGCTCCAGACCCTTGTTTAGTAAGGTTCAGATCTGAATCTGGACTTAGATTTAACTTGATAAGATAACTGAAGGAAAATGTGGATAAATTTAACTATTTCTACTTGAACAGGTGGGCCTGGGCCTAATGGAGGTTGCTAGAGTTCTATATTAGGCAGTGAATCAACTTCTCAACAAAGATTAAAAACTACTTGCGTGTTTGATCTGTATTAACCTCTCAGGTCACTGGGGCGCCATTTAGTAAATTGCATCGTCTTTTTGGAAATGGGATCATGGCTATAAAAGAGTTGTTTCGTCTAACTTAGAAAATAAATTTACTTTCATGCATTAATCTGGGCATCAGAAACATGGCTGAAATTCTTAATAGCAAGGTGTTGATGTACTTTATGTAAAAATGACTATTTTTCTCTTCAAGCACTTTGATACTGCAAAATTCTTTTAAAAATAAAATAGAAGTAAATAAGATGTAAATAAGTAGAAAACACAAAGTTCACAAAGTTAGTCCACTCATCCATAAAATCTTATTTCGAAGGAGAAATGGGTGATAAATTAAGGGGTCATGGTAAAGAAAAAGGCGAGATTTCTTTGTAATCCAAAGACACTAGGAAAATTATCTGTTTTACTAAAGATGCATGATGAAAAGGGGAGGATAAACTCGGTAGGATACCTAAAGATGTAGGCGGAGGTAAGAGTCTTGCCCATATAGGAGAGGAGTTTGTCCTTTGAAAGGGGCCCATCAGTCCCACTGAAACAGGAGGGACAGTGAAAGGCATGATGGCAAGTGCAGGTGAGTTTATAGGTTTGACTACAGAGTAAAGGGTTAGGTTCTTCTATTTTCTCAGTAAAAGCTTAAGGTCAGGCAAGTTAAGATGAACAGGAAGAGGATGAAATAGAGGATCTCCCTGGAGAACAGAAGAGAGAGCAGATAAGGAAGACACAGAACTGCTGAGAAGCGCTCCATAACTAGCTCAGGTGGAAGACCCTTAAGCTGTAGTGACACAACAAAACCAAACATAAACAGAACATTTACGTTTTCCTCCAGGGGCACTCAGGAGCCAGGATGTTCTTTGTCAAAGGCAGACAGTTGACATTACCTGAGTAATGGAATAGCAAGACAACACGGAAAGAGAAAACTGAGGCTGTCTACATGAGAATAGCTGAGTAGATGGATAGAAAAGAGGTAGAGGCAAAAGTGTGACAATATTGAGAACAGATGTAAATGAACCTGATGTAACCCATCAGGTTAGAAAATAGGAAAGCAGGGAGCAACCAAGAGAAATTGGAAAATGGGATTTGATCACCAGATGATTAAATGTTTGTATTCAGAATTTTATAACCTGAGAATTTCTGGGTGCTTGCAAGGTATAATCTTAGGGAGTTGGAGGGAGGAGGTTAAAGCAAGTGAAGATAAAGGTAAAAGTCCACCGGATGACAGGTCAAAGAATTGAGAACTGGAGTTCATGGATAGTCATCCATGGGGATTTTGAAATGTCTAAAATGATGGCAAGACTTGAGATAAAAACGATCATTGTGAGCCAGGTATTAATGTGTCCAGCTAATAAAGGGTAAATGGATATGGGTAGATAAGGAGCTCCATCTGACCCTGTCCAGCAGTAGAGCCTACTCAATCCACTTTGGTGTGATGAAGACAACTGGAAAAGGGGACTTTGGCTTGAGGTCCATGGGCCTCCAAAACGTCGATGAATCAAGTTCACATGGTTGTGATCTTGGATGAAAAAAGATTACATTTCTATTTTCACTATCTTTAATATTTAGCACTTCTTTTACTTATGAATATAAGTGATAAGCCACAGTGCTTAGCAATATGTGTCTTTGTCACCAATAGAAGTCGTGAAAATTTTCATATTACCTTAACAATATGTAAAAATATTATTCAATACTTATACGTTTAAATTATGCAATGAATTGAACAACTGACATTCACACTTATCAATATTTTTAAAGTGTATGTTATTAGGCTTGCTAATATTGAAAGTGTTATTAACAATGTTTATACATCATTTCATTATTTATTAGTATTCCTACAATTGTATTTAGTATATTACAAATATTCTGTGAAATAAGCCAGATACAGAAAGACAAATGCTGCCTGATCTCACTTATATGTGGAATCTAAAAAATGGATAAACACATAGAAGCAGAGAGTAGAAGGGTTGCTGCCAGGAGCTGGGGGCAGGGAGAAATGGGAAGTGTTGGTCAAAGGGTACACAGTTTCAGTTATGCAAAATAAATAAGATCTGAAGAGATACTTTATAGGGCCTATTAGCAACACTGTGTTATATAGTTAAAAATTTGCTAAGAGGTTAGATCGTATATTAAGTGCTTTTACCAGAAAAGTTAAAAAAGTAGGAGAGTAATGGGAGGACATCTTTGGAGTTGATGGATACAGTTATGCGTCGAAAGTGATGATACTATGATAGTTTCATGATGTATATTTATCTCCAAACACATCAAGTTGTATCATTAAACATCCACAGCTTTTTTATTGCCAATCGTGCTACAATAAAGTGATCAACATATTTACTAACCATTCTGTGAAGTGGTCCAAAGGCGTGCATGGCACAAACAGCTCCACTGGAGCATGCTGAACTCAACATTCCCACCCCATAACCCTTTTTGGAAATCTCATCTTCCACCACACCCAGGCATGTCTCTGGTGTTTTTGTAGGTCTAAATCAATAATAACACAGCCTAGATCCTGCATAATCTGGCCTCCTCTACCCTTATAAATTCACTCTCATCCTTCTGACACTCCATAACCCAGCCACATGGAACTCCTTTTTAGTACTTGCATGAGCCATGCTTTTCTAATCCGGGGCCTTTCCACCTGCCATTCAATTTGCCTAAAATAGGATTCTGCCTTTTTTTTTTCTTGATCACCACCCGTTTACATAGTTAATGTGTATTTTGCCTTCTGACTTTCCCAAATTAGATGTTCTACTTAAAATATAGGAGTGTATAGGACCTGGATATACTAAAGTTATTCATCGTGTATCTGAAATTGAAATTTAACTGGGCACCTTTGTATTTTTATTTGCTAAATCTAGCAACTCTACCCATGGACCTATACTTTCCTCTCATAACATTTTAACACCTGTAATTACTTCTTCAATGTCTGTCCTTTCTGGAACTTTGAAGATCCATGATGCAGCAAGTGTGTGTGTGTGTGTGTGTGTGTGTGTGTGTGTGTGTCTGTGTGTGTGTGTGTCTGTGTGTTCTTCACCATGGTATACCCAATGCCTAGGATAAAACTGCTAAGCATGTAGTAGTCACTCAAAAATTTTCCATGACCAAATTAGTGAACTCTATTCTATGCTTAAAGTATCTGTTTACGTTTCTGACTTTCCTCATAGACTATGAGTTCCTCAAGAACAAAGATACCTTTTGTACCCAAAGCCAAAGCTCGGTGCCTATAACCCCCGAGAAATGAGTTGATCAGAACAAAGTTTCCCTCACGTGTTCTTTGAAAGCTGCTAGAAGAGGACCCAGTGTGTTTACATCATGTTTGTGAGGTGTTCAACTTACCTCATTTGAGAATAAAAGAGCTGTACTAAGGACAAAGACGTTAGGCATGTATGAGTTTTTAGTCACAGTTTCCCAGTTAGCATCAATTATTTGGGAAAAATTAAAACACTTATTGGTTTATTAATACCTCTGTTTCCTTTAATTCTTTTATATAAGAAAGGATGAAGGTGAAAGGCATGAAGATTGTCAAGTGTTTGTGTTTATGTGCACAGATGAGTGTTGAGACCGTTATAACACAGGCAGAAAGTTTCAATGTGGATGAAGAGGAGAGGAGAAATCCGGTTTTTGAAAAAGTTTGGAAAACTCTGTGTTAAATGAAAGAGGTTAGGGATTTGTAGCTCTGGCAAATGTTATTTGAGTATTTGACTAGTACCACTTTGACAGCATATATCCTGGAGTACAGCACCTCTAAATTACCCTCTAGCTTTAAAATTCAATGTGCCTCAGATATAAAGTATATTCACAATTAAGGAGTCACAAGAGTAGCAAGCAAAGGAAATAGCCAGGGAATATTGAGGAGCCTGGGAAGGTTACAGAGATTGGAACTCTGTGGAAATATGGAAAGAATACAAAAATGATCAACAGACATCTGCGTCCTACAGAGTTCATAGATGGTAAGGAAGGCATGACCACTGGGTCTAAAAAAAATAAAATGATCCTTTTTCTTATACAGAATTTCATTCAAGTGCTTGGTCACAAAATCAGACCGTAAGGGAAAGATACATGCAATTCAAAGAATTTTGAAATTTAAAAGGAAACAAACAGGAGAGAGTGGGAAGTGGGCTTAGATGAAAGGGGTGATTTTTATTGATTTTTTGTGCTTTTCTTTCTTTTACAATACATAATTAAATGTGCTTGTAGGTAGAAGGATAGATTAGTAGATTTCAAAGAAAGGGAAACTGAAGATTTTAGGAACCTAAGGTTTACAGAATCTCTGAAGGAAATGTGAGAGTGATGAATTGCAGAATACTGATTTTATACAGGTAGAGAGAAATATATTTGAGATATCACTGAATGATTAAAGGGTCCATACCCAGTTATATATGAATGAAGTTACTCTTCGTGATGGTGAGAGCATCACAGAAGAGGAATTAGACTCCATAAAGAAGACATAGTGTACCTAATTGCTTATTTAGCAACACATAGATGCACGTGAATATGTTGTGCCGTGCTAACATATATTTTCCTATGACCTAACTATTAGTCTATACTCTCAGCCTGATTGTGCTAGTCGAAATTGATCAGTAAGCATTAGCATTCTATAATACAAATGCCCTTCACAATGCAGGATTTACATGATTCTCTTATTAGGTGTGTTTTGCATCGGGGCTATTTCCACTACTGTGTTCTGGCTTTCTGACATTTATTATGCATTCTGGTGAACAGTTTTGACCTTTAATGCCTAAAAAAAAAAACCACTCGCTTGCAACTGATAGTTCTGGAGACCATAGGAAGTGGGGGAAGGAGGAAAATATCATGTTGGATGTAAAATGATAGATATGATCTGGAGAGCTATCAATGAAATGGTGAAAATATGATAATGTTGAGCATACAATGGAGGGTTCCTGGATGCACTTTAAAATTTTGAAGACTACTACAAATGTAAGGACAGCAAAGGGGGTTGTCAGAAGCAGACCTGTGGCTGCAAAAAAATGTAACTTAATTCATGAATTATTTCATGGGGGTTTGAAGAAAATGGAAGAACAATTCCCAGTTGTGATGTCAAAAGAGCAATTCTATACATTACCAATTCACTAAAAGAAGAAAGTGTTTTATCAAATACCATCCACACAACTGATAGTTATTATTAAATAATACATTTTGTTGCTTACTATGAATTAGGATAAATGCTTATTGTAATTGTATTCTTGTTGTTTAATGATTACGGTTATATTTTTTGGCAAAGTAATCTGATTTTATAGCTATCTCTTTAAATGAGAAGGCTTCTTTTTCAGATTTCTTCCAAGAATCTGTTTTTTCAGTGAGTATCTTAGCACAAATATCTTAATCAGTCACATTGATTAGTATGTGCCTCTCTTCTCCAGTTTTAGACACTGCAAACCCACCCTTGAATGTAAATATGTTACTTGTGTTTTTAGAATTTACAGGTTTAAAAAATATAGATACTATCAGGGGAATGCGTGAGCAATATATATATTAAATTTCAAATATATAACTAGTTTTAATGCTGTGAAATGGATGACTTTTTTTTCTCAGTTTATGTTTATGGTGTAAAATAAAGAACCAGGTGGTATTTCTGCTTCAGTAGTCTGTCTGTTCAGCAGGAAATATTAAAATATAGAAGACCTCATAAGTTCCATCTGCCCACATACCTGATTTCGAGTCTTCCAATAGGCTCCAGACATTCACACTGAACATCTTTGTAATGAATCCATCACCTAAGAACAACCCTTAAGGAGCATAATTGTTTAACCCTGTGGATACCTCGAAAAGAAAAAGCACAGAAATGGATCATTATATTGTATATTTTTTATATTGTGGACAAATATTTAGGAAAAGATGATTTTAAGGGACATTTTTAAGAATTCTATATGAAAGATTTGAAATCATCTTTGAGAATTTTTAAAGATCATCAGCACTATATGTCTATTTCGAATGTTAAAGATTGTGTAGATTTTCACTGATAAAAGGAGAGAAAAAATGCTTTTTAGAGTCATGATACTATGAAAATACTTCACTACTTAAGGAGTTGGTTTTTGCTTTTCTAGCACATTCTAACACTATAGTCTAACAGAAACAAAAAAAAGTGAGTTTTTTTTCTGTAAAACAAATACATTTCATAAAACTTCAGATAAACTAAAAGTTTATATATTAGATTTGGTTTTACATTTGACTACTATTATTAGTGGACAGAAAATACTTGGGATAGAACTTTGAGATTAATATTCTTTTGAGTTGAGCCACGCGAAAGTGATAACACGAGAAGCGTCACCTACTGAAGCTGGTTCCTCGACCTTACTTAACCCTTCTGAGCTGCCGACAGTCATCTTCACGGTCGTGGGACTGACCATCTGGCACCAGCTGCTTTAGCACTTCAGCCCCAGCTGCCCTACAGTAGCGTCTCTAGGCCATAAATTTCTTCTCTAACTTCTCACCTGGAGTGATAAGACTGGAGGATTCAATTCCAAATTCCAACACTTCGTAGGATG
Source organism: Homo sapiens (assembly GCF_000001405.40). NCBI lineage: Eukaryota > Metazoa > Chordata > Mammalia > Primates > Hominidae > Homo > Homo sapiens. The sequence goes on from NC_000003.12 coordinate 76,429,029, forward strand.
AAAATAATAAGTCTCTCCTTAGGAAAACATTTGTTGACTTCCTAATATATACCTATCATGTATTAATTAGTTCTTCTGGATCCAAACATTAATAAGATAACAAGCATTTCCCTCACAGAACTCACAGACCAGTGGGCGCACACACACACACACACACACACACACCCACTCACTCACACTCAGGGTCTAGGAACAATACAATGTATTGTATATGCTATGTCCAAGGTCTAGACCTCATGCTTATAGGGGTAGAAAGAAGGGAGTACTTATTCTTATGTGGGTAAAAAGCGACAAAAGGAATAGCTGTGTTCTAACATTTGTGGAAAACCCATTGTTAGGGTTGTTATGTGGTTGGAGACAGTATTTTAAAGCACTTAGAACAATTCCTAGTGCTATATAATTATTGGTTCAATAGATAAAGCTTTTATGGCTTTGTGAATACGTTCTAAATTTTACTTCTTGATTTTCTGGTTTGGTATGACAGCATAATATGGAACAGTTTGGCATACATCAGAAAAATGTATGTTATTCTTCCAGAGGAGAATTTGGGTCTTCCATAAAAGCAGTAAATATTAAAAGCAAACTAAGTAGAACATTTCATAGCTTCTCTTGGTCCAATTTAAATTTAATGAGCTCTTAGTAGAACTGAGTGTATCATCCTCATAAACTTAGAGGCACAAGGTTTACAGAAACTGCAACTTCAACATTCTTCAACAGTAAATATGACTATAAATCAGGGGGCACATTTATTTTCTTCCAGGGCTCTGGTCTTTTGCCATCTGCTAACATGGCATCTTGCCCATTTGGAACACTGTCAGGTTATGTAGGATAGAGGTGTTGCCTTCCTAATCTGCTCCTGACTCAGGACTGACCCAATTGCTTTGGGAGATGGTGAGGGCGAGAACAGCAATCAAAGGAACAAACAGCATAGACAGTTTGGACTCCTGGACAACCTGCCCAGGACACGGGGACACTGGGAACAAAGTGAGCCTTTGTTCACTGCACCAATAGCACCTGATTAGGGACAGAGGTGAGGCAAAGGGGATATGTCTCTTCCTAGTTAATTACAGAAGACATTAGGGTCTCTAGTTTTTCCAGAGTTGCCAGGTAGGCTTGGAGATAAACAGTAATTCAAAACCCCAAATACCTTCTATGTTTCTTTTGTAGAATCTATCAAGGTTTCCACCCACTACCTTGGACAGGGTAGATCTTATAATGCCGCTTCCCTGAAACTATAATAGTCTCTTAACTTTGCCCTTACTTTACAATATCAATATGAAATAAAAAATAATTTGGTCCTTTCAGTCACAGTTAGTATGAAAACACATAGTCATTTAGTGATCACAACTACGTAAAAACTGAGTATTCCTTTTTCAAAGTATCTCACAAATGCCAGCTGTTTTACACTGACTTATCCCTTTTCCACAATCCTTGTGTTTTTTTAATCAGAAGCCTATTTTTATTTTCTTCTATTTTTTTAAAGCACTGTTAGATAATATTGTATTCTGTTCCATATCAATAGGTGCTAAATCACTAGAATTATTAAGGACATTGGGGAATGTCCTTATTCTGATATTAAAATAATAAAGCAACTTTTAAATGGCACATTTTTCCCTGGATGGAGCCTGTGTTCTGTTTTGATAATTTATATCAGTTTATTTATGAAAATCTCTGTAAAAACAGTAATCATAATTATTTTTCTTTTCAACCCCAGCGTTTAACTCAGTACTTAAGATATAGATACTGCATGCTTAGTAGTTGTTCAGCCAATAAATAAATTACAGCAGCTGGAACATTTTGCGTATATGTTATTTGAAAAATAATGCTTAAAAAGTCTTAAAGGCTTATACATATTTAAAATATTTCAATTATTTATTTTATAGAATTTTAACTTTTAATTAGTGAAATTATGAAACTCTCTTACTGTTTTTGAATTAAGTTTTCTCAAACTAATAAAATAATAGTCATTTATAGATATTTCATGAAGTCAACAGTACAACTATGTTATAAGGGGGTTTTGTTCATTAAATAACTCAGCAGTAGAAGAAACAGTTTACTATATTTCTGAGAAACTGAAAATGTCAGAATCCTTTAAACAGCATAAAAGTTCATAAAAAGATAAACCATTGCTTCAAGAAGTATACTGTGTAAATATAACCGCATCTTTGGTTTTATGAAAGCATAACACAATGGCCTTTTATTTGTCAGCAAAAAAAATCAAAGTTAATTTAAAAATATATCCAACCCTTAGTAATTAGATATTTTTGCAATCTTTTAAAAAATTAACATATGTACTAGTTTCTAAGAATTCTATAGTGACTAAAAAGTAGCCTTATAATATTAAGAAAATACATTTATGTGTTTAAAATCAGATGAATCACAAATGTGGCAATGCTTTAAATTTATAAGAAAGACACTATAACATGTAGTATGGTTGAATAAAACATGAATGATATAGTAAATCTGAGGCCTTCATATTTATGACTATACTTTGTAAGCATTAATGCCAGTGGATTAAGCTTAGTAGGGCAAAATAATGTGGTTAAGTGTTCCCAAGATAATCTTTCGTATAAACAAGCAGAAACATTAATCTGAGAAAATGATCCTTTGCATGAGAAAATATCACTAAATGGAAAGAAATGCTGTTGATGCCAAATGAGTATTTCGTGACACCAAAATGACAAATAAAAAAATAAAGAAGGAGGGTGTTATGTTATGCTAATCTGGTACCAAATAAAAGAAGTTTTATTTGTTTTCTGCTTTTGTCTTAAATATCAAGGCCATGTAAATGTGTTCATAAATTTATTGCTATCTTAATGCTGGGGGGATTTAAATGTATTTCATTTTATATGAACTACATTAGTTTTTGACATTTTGGGACACTGAAAGGTCAAAAATTAGATACATTGATCTGTATAAGAAATAAGAGAATGACTCCTAGGCACAGGTGTTAGAGGCTGTTGCTTAGAAGCATTAGAATCCCACCTGTAGGAAAAGGGAATGAGTTGTGTGGCAAAATGGTAATCATCAAAGTTGAGTGTGTCATTTGTGCCATATGGCATTTGGTCTCCTACAAAGTTGTATGTTTACAACTTTATAACACAATTAATAAAAAGTGCAAAGTTGGACTTTTGCTTAGATAAGACTACAGAAGAGGTCTAGATTTTGTATAGACAGTATATATTCTGCTCTAGTGTTTTATGGTCTCAAAAGTATTTAGAGAAAATGAAGACATTAGCATAGAATATTTTATTATTTTCTCCCCAAAGTCTATTTTTACAGCATATTTTAAGTATATTAGTTATATTTTGCCACATAGAAAATTACTGCAAAACTCAGTGACTTAAAACAGCAAATATTTATCTCACACAATTTGTGAGAGTTGGCCACCTCAGATTGCCTTAGGTGGGTGACTCTGGCTCAAGGTCTTTGATGAGGTTGTGGTCAAGATGTCAGACAGGACTGCAGTTATCTCTAGACTTCACTGTTTCGATGATAGCTTATTCATATGGCTATGAGTAGAAGACTTCAGTTTCTCACTGGCTAATGGGAGGAGACCTCAGTTCCCAACTATGTGAACCTCTCACGACATAGCAGCTGGATTCCCTCAGAACTAGTGATCAAAGAGAATGAGGCAGAGGCCACAATGCCTTTAAAGACCTTGCCTTGGAAGAAATGTACCCTTACTATTGCTGTATTCTACTGGTCAAATCAAACAATCCTAATACAATTTGAGAGAAACCTATACAAACACGCATAACCGAAAAAACAGGGCATTGGGGGCTATCTTTGAGGCTATTACAGTGAGAGAAAAAAGAGGAAGGAAGGAAGGAAAGAAAGGAGGAGAGAGGGAGGAATGAAGGAAAAAAAGGGAGGGAGAAAAAGATGGGAGGAGGGAGGGAGGGAAGGAGGGAGGAGACTCACTCACTCCAGAATCTTAGCGATCATTTGTTCACATTGGACAAACTAGCATTTAGAAACTGTGACCACCATCTCAAAATGCAACTTTATTATTTAAGGTTTGCCAAAGTGCCAATCTTTTTTCCATAATTAGTAAAATAGCTGCAATCTGCTAGTTTTCTCATATATCTGCAGTTAATTGGTCAGAACATTTTCTTATTAGTGGGACTACATTAAAAATCCTATACTTTGTAGGATAAGATTTTCTTTCAAAAGGGAATGTAAAGTTGTATGGTACTTACACGCTATTTATAAGTTTAAAATGTTATCACTAAATAAAACCTTAGAATAGCCAGGTTGAGCAAATAAAAATGCAGTATGTCCAGTTGAATATGAATTTCAGATCAACCATAAACAATATTTAGTATAAATAAACTAAACAATTGCAATAAACATGTAATAAACTTTTATTTATCTTAAATTTACATTTAACTGAGTGTCCAGTATTTTATCTGGCAACCTTACCTTAAATAGCTGTCAACCTACATTTTGGTCAAACATAATAAAATTTTAAATAGTATACATTCTTTCTATGTGTTATTTTTTCTGCGTAAACCTATACTTAAAACAATAAGTGCGTCAAGTAAAGTAGGTCACATTTATAGTTATTACTCATTAAATTGTATTTGTACGTGGATGTGTGTATTCCAAAACTTGAGTAAGAAGATGACAGAACAATTGAACAAAGATGTATATGTTGCTGTGTTGACTTGTGAGACTGTTGATGTCCATGTCCGAGAACACGCATAATAGCCAAGCTTCCATTTCTAGAATAGTTCCAATTCTAAAGTCAGTTCCATCGATTGAGTTGAACCATTTTAAGGTTTTAGAAATCCTTAAACCTTAAAGACATAATTGCTACTTTAGAATTCACATCTCTATCTATTTTCTTTGAAGTTTGCAAGCTGTTTTTCTCATGACCATTTGTGATTTGAATTTATTTATCCATCTTGGGATTCTACTCCAATACAATCTAGAAGAAAATTAAGGGCAGTCCAGAGGTGAGTCAGAACTCTGAGGTGGTTCATTATGGCTGACATGCAAAATCTGGTAGAAAGACTGGAGAGGGCAGTGGGCCTCCTGGAGGCAGTATCCCATACCTCTGACATGCACCGTGGGTATGGAGACAGCTCCATATGTGCAAGCATTTGACTCACTGCTTGCTGGTCCTGTGGCAGAGTATTTGAAGATCAGTAAAGAGACTGGGGGAGACGTGCAGAAATATGCAGAGATGGTCCACACAGGTTTGACGTTGGAGCGAGCGCTGTTGGTTACAGATTCTCAGTGTCAACAGCCAGCAGATAATAAGCTTTCCAATTTGTTGGCACCCATCTCAGAGCAGATCAAGAAGTGATAAGCTTTCGGGAGAAGAACCGAGGCAGCAAGTTGTTTAATCACCTGTCAGCTGTCAACGAAAGTATCCAGGCCCTGGGCTGGGTGGCTATGGCCCCCAAGCCTGGCACTTATGTGAAAGAAATGAATGATGCTGCCATGTTTTATACAAACCGAGTCCTCAAAGAGTACAAAGATGTGGATAAGAAGCATGTAGACTGGGTCAAAGCTTATTTAAGTATACGGACAGAGCTGCAGGCTTACATTAAGGAGTTCCATACCACTGGACTGCCTGGAGCAAAACGGGGCTGTGGCAAAAGAACTGAGTGGACTCTGCCATCTGGACCCTCTGCTGGATCAGGTCCTCCTCCCCGTTCACCAGGCAGGCCCCCCTCCTCCCCCAGTCTCTACCAGTTGAGGCTCAGATGAGTCCGCTTCCTGCTCAGCCCTGTTTGCGCAGATTAATCAGGGGGAGAGCATCACACATGCCCTGAATCATGTATCTGATGACATGAAGACTCACAAGAACCCTGCCCTGAAGGCTCAGAGTGGTCCAGTATGCAGTGGCCCCAAGCCATTCTCTGCACCTAAACCCCAAACCAGCCCATCCCCCAAACCAGCCACAAAGAAGGAGCCAGCTGTACTTGAACTGGAGGGTAAGAAGTGGAGAGTGGAAAATCAGGAAAATGTTTCCAACCTGGTGATTGAGGATGCAGAGCTGAAACAAATGGCTTACATATACAAGTGTGTCAACATGACATTGCAAATCAAGGGCAAAATGAACTCCATTACAGTAGATAACTGTAAGAAGCTTGGTCTGGTATTTGATGACATGGTGGGCATTGTGGAGATAATCAACAGTAGGGATGTCAAAGTTCAGGTAATGGGTAAAGTGCCAACCATATCCATCAACAAAACAGATGGCTGCCATGCTTACCTGAGCAAGAATTCCCTGGATTGTGAGATAGTCAGTGCCAAATCTTCCTAGATGAACACCCTCATTCCTACAGAAGGCGGTGACTTTAATGAATTCCCAGTTCTTGAACAGTTCAAGACCCTACAGCATGGGCAGAAGTTGGTCACCACAGTGACAGAAATTGCTGGATAGGCAAAGTGTCTCTGGGTTCTTTGCCCTCCCTTCACACCGTGGGATAAATCTGTATCAAGATGGTTCTTTTCGCGATTTCCTCTACCTTGGTGCTCTTAAAACTGCTTCTCTGCTCTGAGAAGCACAGCTACCTGCCTTCACTGAAATATACCTCAGGCTGAAATTTGGGGTGGGATAGCAGGTCAGTTGATCTTCTGCAGGAAGGTGCAGCTTTTCCATATCAGCTCAACCATGCCGCCAGTCCATTCTTATGGAACTGCCGACTAGGACTATGATGCATTTTAGCTTTGAGCTTTTGGGGGTTATTCTACCAACAAACAAACAGTCCATTGGAAAGAAAACAGTCCCAGGAATTAACAGATCAGAATGTTCACACTGGTTAATCTTTTTTTAACAATGAGCATGAAGGTAGCAGAAGCTGGTGTGTTTCCAGATGGTTCTGCTATAACCAAACTCATTTTTCACTGTTGACAAGCGAGGCAGGGGTTGCACTGGACCAAAGGCTGAGGCTTGGCCATCTAGCATTCCATGCAAAATTGTGTCCTATAAGCATTCCTTTTATTCTCTATTCTATCCTGGTTCTGCCTCAACCATGAGATAGGAGAGTCTCTGGTGCTAGCTGCTGTAGCAGTGTCCTTCATCCAGGGAAGTTAATGGAGTCTTGGACCCTTTCTTTCTTTCTCTGGGATCCCTGCCCAGCACCTTCCTACAGAGATGACTTTAAAAGGAAAACACACACACACACACACACACCATTTCTTTTTCTTTTTTTTTATTTTTTTATTATTATACTTTAAGTTTTAGGGTACATGTGCACATTGTGCAGGTTAGTTACATATGTATACATGTGCCATGCTGGTGCGCTGCACCATACACACACCATTTCAAGGAGTCTGGCATTCCTGAATCCTCCTTCCCTGCCAGGTACCTGTCACCTGTCTTCACTGCCTCCTTTTCCCTGTCATGCTCATCAGCTTATGGCTTCTGTCCAAGCACCTGAACAGAGGACTAAAATCTCCACTGCAGGCTGGTTTTAGGTCTTGACTTATGTAACAATCTTGCACAGTGCTGCTAATGTAAATTTCAGTTTTTCGCCTCTAGGACAAACACTTACCAAAATAGGCAACTTTTTTTTTTGGTGGGAAGAGAGATTGTCCTGTGATTTCTACCCATTTCCTGAGACCTGTGGAAATAAACCTTGATGTGCTTAAAGTTATACAGAAAATAGAATAAAGTTAATACCAAACTTGAAAAGAAAAAAGAAAAAAAGAAAATTAAGAGAAATCCCAGGAAGTTGAGCTCAAGAAAATAATAATACAATATAGCTTATCATTCATGAAAGTGTCCCGTACATTGCTTTTTATATAGTGTTCATTTAACCAATCTGGAAGGTAACTTTAGCTTGACCTTACTTTCCTGTTAAGGTCGTAAGTGGGGTGCTCTGGCTCAGACAAGCAATATGCAGAATCACTGATTTTAAACTGCAAGGCCAATTTGTTAGCTATGCTCATCGACCTAGCAATATATCCTCAAGCTGCAAATAAATATGTGAAATGCTATCACAGTAACATTTAAATATTTAACAGCTGTTTTACTTAATTCTAGCTCAAAACTGAATTTGTGTAACAGAATGATTCAATCTTTGCCCAAGACTATATGAGTCATTGTGATTTGAAGTTTGGATTCCAAAATCTTTATGTAAGAGACAGTAGTATACTGAAGCTTTTGAAACTTTAATTAACACCAAAATTTTCAAATATACATAATTCGGTATAGAATGGAGCTAGAATTTGGTATTTTAAGGAAAAACATTTTATATAAAGGAATCACATATGAATAATGACAAGGGCGATAAATGAAAAGATATTAGGCAGTATACTGCTCTCTAGTTAGAGTTGGTCACCTCCAGCTGGGTTTCCTATACTTGAAAAAACCAATACTACTTTTCAAGTAGTACTAAGCAGAGAAATGGATATTTGAAGGAAAGAAAATCAACAGATGGCCTGGAAGAAAATGTTTTAAATAATTTTAAACACTGTCCCCAATCCTGCCAATGATTTGGGAAGTATTTCTGGTTCCTTCAATTGAAATGTCACATGTGAATTTTAAACCGTATTGAAAAATATTAGTGTTCTTCTGAATTCTGAACAGACAGATGGTTTAATAAAACAAAAAAGGGATGTTTGAAAATTATTATACATACTTGTTATCTTAAAAATTCAGAAATTCCCCTTTGTAAACAAAGAGGAAGACTGTACAATGTTTTTCACTTTTGTTTATGCTGTGAGTCTTGTGCTGTACTCAAGTGAATAATGAAAAAAGAAGACAAAGAAAAAAGGTGATATTGCTTCTAAAATATTGCCTGCTACTGCTGGCTGTCTACCCTTTTTCCATGTCATTAGCAGTTGTTTAATTATGCCAACAACATATCTGCCTCTTGGATAGATAATTATGCCAGTTAACTTCTTCTAAGCCTTCAGACATGAAATTCATTGCGACAACATGGGAAGGGTACTGCTGCCCTCTAAAATGTAAGCGTGCTCTTGAGTGAGCTGACTTCTCTCAACGATGTAAGACCCATTGCAAAAGGTTAAGCATATACAGTTCCAGGATTGGAATGACAAATTTTATGTCTCCTAAGAACTATAACTTTGTTGGATTTGCAAGATTTTGTGCAAGCCACAGCATTTATAAGACAGGCAATATTCATTCTTGAGAAAAAATTTATATTCTCTGGCAAGTACTGAGCAGAGATTTGTTGGGGGAGCCTATCAATTGAAAGTTGTGTAAATATTGGCCACATATATTTTATCTAAAATATGCCATCCTCAATTGGTATTTTTGCAATAAAGTGCTAGAAGGCACTTTAATTTGTGCTGTATTTAGAAAATTTTATGTGGAATTGTATGTATGATACATATCAGTTTATATGTAACCTAACTTGGGGCCACTTTGACTTTTTAATTTTTAATGTAATCAGTTCACACACACACACACACACACACACACACACAATGCACATATATGATGGTAGCACGTATTTTACATAAAGTAATCCTATAAAAAATATACTGATATTTTTCACTGCTCTACCTAATATTGTAAAGCCATAGACTGAGCAAGGTAAACAAATCAAAATATGATTATTGGCGAAGAACAACTCACGAGTAAAAATTAGTTTGAAAGATTAAATTCCAGACTGTGTCACAGGCTAATTTATACAAGTATAAGTGTAATTATACTTGTAATTACATTTTCAAGTATATATTCTATAGGAATAATTGGATGTAAATTTATTAATTTTCATGGTTAATGCAGAAACATCTTGAGTCATTTCTATTGTAATTTTTAGTTATCAACTATGCTTTATTTAAATATATACATTCAATGAATAAAGAAAATTTAGAATCTAACTAAAACATACGAGATTTTGAGATAAGTGTCGTTAAGCCCTGAATTCAAGGCATAAAGTTCACAAGAGAAAAGGAAACAAAGGGACTCGCAGAGAGGCTTTGAAAGTTGTGGTTTGAGAACAACAGGATTTGGGTTTTTTTTTACACTTCCTGGCTATTTAGTTGTGATTGTGTGTTGCTGCATAGACAATGGAGAAAGGATAACTTTTTAAATGTGTTTTTCTAGAGAATAACCACAAAGAAATAGAACAAGTAACTAGTGGGAACCACCATTACTGTTTATTTCACTTATCCACTTACTCATCTAGTAAATATGTATTCAATGCCAACTGCATGACAAGTACTATGCGAGGGTCTAGGCAATTGTGAATCAAAAGAAACAAAGGTCACTACTGTCATGGAGTTTAGAACTAGTGGGAAAACAGAAACAAATGTAAAATGGGATTCTGCTGAAGGTTACAAAGAAGAGGTACGAAGAGCTGAATCAGGAAGATCAGAGAAGGTGCCCTTAAGAAATTTAGGAGTTTAGAACTAGTGGGAAAACAGAAACAAATGTAAAATGGGATCCTGCTGAAGGTTACAAAGAAGAAGCATGAAGAGCTGAATCGGGAAGATAAGAGAAGGTGCTCCTAAAGAAATTGACACTGATATGGACTATGAGAAGTAGAAGATGACGATGAATCAAAAAGCTAAACGATCTCCAGGCAGAGAAGCATGTTCAAAGGTGTTCTTGCTATAGGGATTATGCCAAGCAAAAACAAAATAAAACAAAACAACTGCATTGCTTGTACTCAATGAGGGCAAGTGCCTAGTATGATGCAGATGTGAGATATTCTACAATTTCTTGTAAAGAAATTGAAGAAAGAACTAGAAAAATGTAGTTAATTATCTTAGGTCTATTTTTAATATCTGCCTGTCAATGCATGATGAAAGAGTGAGTTAAATCATTTGCTAAGTATTAGAATTTCCTCCTACCCTCTTTCTTTTGCCGTTGACTTGAGGGGATGTAGTCTTCACACTCCCACGATGGGTAGTTCATCACATTGGTAGCCCCAGAGAATCTTGCCTTCCGGTATCCATGCCCTTGTATCATCCTCTCTCCTTAAGCCTGAGCAGGTTCTATGGATTGTTTTAACTAACAGAATGTGGTAGCAGTGACACTCTTCCAGTTCCAGTCCTTCTCCTTAAGAAGAAGTGGGAGCTTCTACATTTGCATTCTGGGGAACTCTGAACTACCATGGATGAATCCTGTCTCTCCTGCTAGAGAGACTACCTGAAGATGGAGAGGATGTGAAATGATGTGGGGGGAAAGCGAGAAATTCCACTAAATAGCAAGACCTGGGGTCCAGATGTACAACCCCAATCAAGTCCCAAGCAAGAATTTTAGTAAAAGTACTTTTTTTATTTTATTTTTTTTTTATTATTATACATTAAGTTTTAGGATACATGTGCACAACGTGCAGGTTTGTTACATATGTATACATGTGCCATGTTGGTGTGCTGCACCCATTAACTCGTCATTTACATTAGGTATATCTCCTAATGCTATCCCTCCCCTCTCCCCCAACCCCACAACAGACCCCGGTGTGTGATGTTCCCCTCCCTGTAAAAGTACTTTACTTGAAAGGGGAGTCTAGGAAGCATGGTCAGGGGAATAGAGAAGTAGAAAAAGGAAGAGAAGAAATCTGTAAAGGGTGCTTTAGTGAACAGATTTAATTGAAGGCAAGTAAAATACAATTCCTCTCATAAGTCAGGGGAACAGTGTAAAACAATACCTCACTGTTACCCCTTCCAAGAGCAGAAATGTGTTCTGTATCCACCACATCGTCACACATCATTGGTGAAGGCCTGCTCCTGGAATCACTAACCCTCTGACACTTTCTGCTTGCCCTAACAAGGGCCAAGTGTGCCTCCATACCAGAACTACATGAGCAGGCAGTCACAGGTATTTAAGGAAAACAGTCTTTCAAGGATTAGTAGGTGAGTGCTGACTAAATATTACAGAGTGCTGAGCAGGCTGCCTCCACTGTAAAACACAAACTTCATGTGGCATGTGGCATGTGGCATGTGGCAATGTTTCTTTGGCCTATTATCCCATCTCTAGCCTAACTCCCAGCACATACAGCTGAAAACATGCTGAAAATATGAATATTAACATTTAAATTTGACTTTTGTTTAAAGGGTATGTGTTATATTCAATGGGCTTGATAAATATTAGATACTAGACCTCATTGGGATAAAATTCAAAATGTTGATTCTATTCCAAAAAAAAAGTCAACCAAGATCCCCTTGTCCTGCCAGAACTACAAATTATGTGTTCATTTTCACAAAGCTGGTGCTTGGCTGTTTTATATAATATTAAGACATGGTTTTAATTACTTGGATAGAGAAAAGTTATCGAAGAGTTTCTAAGAAGCCTAGAATGTCTGTGGTACTATTCTTCCTTTGCCAACATTCTGGTAAACCTATGAATAATATATGTCAGTACTTGAACTACTTGAAGTGGAAATGGCAGAAATTTAAGACAAACATTTCCTGGTCTTTAATTCAAAGCTTGTATAAAGAAACTGTTGGTCGAAAGAGTATCAGATATTTGGAAGAAGGGAAAAGCCCCTCATTCTTGAAAAGTTGTATATTCAAAACCAGAGGGAAGAACCGTAGTTTTCAGGAGAAGAAGCAGATTGACAACCCATGAGTTAAACACCTGCAGAATGAGGCTTAGTTCAGTACAGAGCTATTAAGTTCCTTTGTTGTTACATTCAGTGTGTCCATGTTCATTCCATCAGCAGTTGAATAAAAACTGTGTGAGTGTGTATCCTCCCAGAAGAGAGCAAGGGAGTCCATTTGTATTGGGAGACAACTCTCCCCTTACCTCTTTTAGCTAGATGAAGAAATGCAAATTAAATGTCAAGCCAATTTTCATGTTAATAATAAGAGGAATAACTTGAAACTTCTTGCTCTAGGCTGAATTGTCTAATATCCAGTCGCAGCTGCTAGGCTGGCTTTGTCCCACCAACTTAACTTTCACTCCTTAGCAGAAAACTTTAATTGTATTGGTATCTGCCTTTAATTTAGTAAATGTGCTACATTTAAGGGGACAGAGGAAGCAAGAAAGAAGAGAGAGAGAGAAAGAATCTGAGATCAGGACATAGGGCAGATGGCAGTTGCCTTGGTGGTGTCCACCCCTTACTTGCCTTTGAGGAGAAATACAGTGAATATAACGGCCAAAGACCATTTTCTCACAGGGCAGAAGAAAAACGAGTAAGGGCTCTGGATAATCCACAAACTGAGGAATTGAGCTAATGCTAGTACTTTCAGGAGGCCTAGAGAATACCTCAGAACTCAATTCATTTCTTATTGCTAAGTGTTGTATTTTTAAGAATGATAGGACAAAAAAACCCGAGGATATATTGTGTTCATCTGCGTCAAAAACTGCCCCAGCAACTTATCCCTCCATATCCTAATTTAATCCTAATTTAATCAGGATGCTCTCAAGGGTGTGTCCAGTAAATCTCTCCAGAGACTTCTTCAGACGTTTCTAGTTTTTTTGTTTCTCAAGTGGAAAGAGAGCAGAGCATAAAACTACCGTGCGTTATTCTTTTCTGTTATTTTAATGGAGATGGCTCTTTACTGGTGGCTCAGGGCAGTACCTTTCCCAGAGCAAATGCTATAGAAGTACAAGCAGCTGATGTTACAGTGGTTCCCCTTTATTCACGGTTTCACTTTCTGGTGTTTCAGTTACCTGAAGTCTACTACTGTCAGAAAATATTCAGCGGAAAATTTCAGAAATAAACAATTCCTCGGTTTCAAATTGCATGCTCTTCTGAGTAGCATGATGAGATCTCTCATCTTCCCACTCCATTCTGCCCGGTTAGTGAATCACCCCTTTGTCCAGTATAGCCACACTGTATGTACTACCCACTCATTCTTTTTACCAGAGTGACTATTGCAGAATCTCAGTGTTTGCGTTCAAGTAACCCTTTTTTAATTAATAATACTTTACTAATAATAACTGAATTATTAGTTATTGTTACTCTCCACTATGCCTAATTTATAAATTCAGCTTTTTCATAGGTAAATGTGTTAGTCTGTTTGTGTTGCTATAAAAGATTAATCGAAGCTGGGTAATTTATAAAGAAAAAAGGTTTATTTGGTTCACAGTTTTGCAGGCTTTACAGGAAGCACGGCACCAACATCTACTTCTGGTGAGGGCCTCAGGAAGCTTCCACTCATGATGGAAGGAGAAGGGGAGCAAGCATCACATGGCGAGAGAGGAAGGAAGAAGGGGTGGGGGAGGTGCCAGGATCATTTTAACATTCAGTTCTCACAGGAACTAATCAAGTAAGAACTCACTCATTACCTGCAAGACAGCAACAAGCCATTCATGACAGAGCAACCCCCATGACCCAAATACCTCCCATCAGGCCCCACCTCCAACATTGGAGATCACATTTCAACATGAAATTTGGAGGGGGCGAAAATCCAAAATGTATCAGTATGTATAGGAAAAAACACAGTGAATACAGGATTTGGTACCATCCATGGTCTCCCGCATCCACTGAGAGTCTTGCGATGTATCCCCTGAGTATACGTAGGGACTATTTTACTAGTGCTGCTGCTACTAGTAATACTACCATGATGGCTACTACCACGACTGCTATTACAACTTATCTGAGTGTGTCATAGAAATTCAGATAAGGGTTACTTAGGTCAGCATAATTTATATCCCTGCTAAAAATGCCCTTTTCTCCAAATACTGCAGGGTCTACCATGTACAAGGTAATCACTAGAAAAGTTAAGGCACAATTTAAGTGTCAGCTTCAGTCCAATTTTTTTTAGAGGCCACCTGCAACAGAATCATCTGAGTTACTTCTTAAAAAGGCAACTTACTGGGAACTACACTAGACTGACTTAATCAGAATCTAGAATGTAGCTTATGAATCTTTAATTTAAACGAATTCTCCAGATATTTCTTGTTGAGTAGAAATTTGAAAACTTCTGCTGGTCTTTTCTGGAAAAGTTACACATAAGGTTTTGACCTACTTTGATGGAATTTGTGGCAGAATGTTCATATGCAAGAAACGGTCAAACATTTCTCCAAATGTTTTTAGATTTTAAAAAATATCATTATTATTATTATTATTGATGGAGTCTTGCTCTGTCCCCCAAGCTGGAGTGCAGTGGCACAATCTTGGCTCACTGCAACCTCTGCCTCCCAGGTTCAAGCGATTCTCCTGCCTCAGCCTCCTGAGTAGCTGGGATTATAGGCATGCGCCACCACGCCCGGCTAATTTTTGTATTTTAATTTTTGTATTTTTAGTAGAGACGGGGTCTCATCATGTTGGTCAGGCTGGTCTCAAGCTCATGACCTAGTGATCCACCCGCCTTGGCCTCCAAAAGTGCTGGGATTACAGGCGTGAGGCACTGCGCCTGTCCTAAAAATTATTTTAAGATAATTATATGTATATTTGAAAACTGTTAAATAACTTAAAAAATCTAGTAATCACAAGATGTAAAGTAACTCATAATTCTAAATATTTTCCAAAAGGTTTGTATTAGTCCATTTTCATACTGCTATAAAAAGCTGCCCAAGACTGAGTAATTTTAAAGGAAAGAGGTTTAATTGGCTTACATTTCAGCATGGCTAGGGAGGCCTCAGGAAACCTACAATCATGGCAGAAGGTGAAGGGAAAGCAAGGCATCTTCTTGCACCTTCTTCACTAGTCAAGGGGAAAGAGCCCCTTATAAAACCATCAGATTTCGTGAGAACTCAGTCACTATCATGAGAACAGCATGGGGGAACCACCTCCATGATTCAATGACCTTCCACTAGGTCTCTCCCTTGACACATGGGGATTGCGGGGTGATGGAGTTTTTATTCAAGATGATATTTGAATGGGGACACAAAGCCTAACCATATCAAGGTTTATCTGCATTTTTTCACCAAACTGGTGTTATAATAATCCTATAGTTGTTTTTACCGCTTTTTTACTCAAAATATATGGGGAACATTTACAATGTTATTAAAAATTTTCCTACACATACAACATTTCTAAAGGTTTTATGCCATTTCATCAAAATTATATGCAGGCATTCAATAAACTCCATTGTTAGATAGGCTTTTTTGTTTTTTCCCTGAGGTTTTTTGGAAATATGAAACATGCAGAATCAACATTCTTTATTACATCCTTTTAGTTTTGAAAAGCATGAAAATATCATTATAAACTCTTTACAATTCCATGTTACTATCACCGACTACAGTTTACTAGCAAAAGAAGGGAAAGATATTTTCTAAGTAGTTAATCCATAGAATAAACTTATTTATTACATAGTCCAAGTAGATTATATAAATCATATTTCAAAATTAACTTTCTGAAAGTATAATTGTACAGGGAAGTGCACATGAACCATCAAATAGAAAAAAACTCCAAATTGTCAACATTTAATGGAAAGTGTGTATTTTCTAACTTCAAATGGTATAGTCACTTGAAATTGAGAGGGAAAGTAAACACAGAAATGAAGCTATAGCAAAACTAAGGAAGGAAAAAATGCTGAGACACTTAGTAATATTTTAGTAAATATTCTTTTTCATTTAAAGCCAAGACAGCTTCAAAATATTCTCCGTGGAGCTGGTACCATTCCTTCTGAAACTATTCCAATCAATAGAAAAAGAGGGAATCCTCCCTAACTCATTTTATGAGGCCAGCTTCATCCTGATACCAAAGCCTGGCAGAGACACAACGAAAAAAGAGAATTTTAGACCAATATCCCTGATGAACATCAATGCAAAAATCCTCAATAAAATACTGGCAAACCGAGTCCAGCAACTCATCAAAAAGCTTATCCACCATGATCAAGTGGGCTTCATCCCTGGGATGCAAGGCTGGTTCAACATACGAAAATCAATGAACGTAATCCAGCATATAAACAGAACCAAAGACAAAAACCACATAATTATCTCAACAGATGAAGAAAAGGCCTCTGACAAAATTCAACAGCCCCTCATGCTAAAAACTCTCAATAAATTAGGTACTGATGGGACGTATCTCAAAATAATAAGAGCTATTTATGACAAACCCACAGCCAATATCATACTGAATGGGCAAAAACTGGAAGCATTCCCTTTGAAAACTGGCACAAGACAGGAATGCCCTCTCTCACCACTCCTATTCAACATAGTGTTGGAAGTTCTGGCCAGGGCAATCAGGCAGGAGAAAGAAATAAATGGTATTCAATTAGGAAAAGAGGAAGTCAAATTGTCCCTGTTTGCAGATGACATGATTGTACATTTAGAAAACCCCATCGTCTCAGCCCAAAATCTCCTTAATCTGATAAGCAACTTCAGCAAAGTCTCAGGATACAAAATCAATGTGCAAAAATCACAAGCATTCTTTTACAACAATAAGAGACAAACAGAGAGCCAAATCATGGGTGAACTCTCATTCACAATTGCTTCAAAGAGAATAAAATACCTAGGAATCCCACTTACAAGGGATATGAAGGACCTCTTCAAGGAGAACTACAAATCACTGCTCAACGAAATAGAAGAGGACACAAACAAGTGGAAGAACATTCTGTGCTCATGGATAGGAAGAATCAATATTGTGGAAATGGCCATACTGCCCAAGGTAATTAATAGATTCAATGCCATCCCCATCAAGCTACCAATGACTTTCTTCACAGAATTGGAAAAAACTACTTTAAAGTTCACGTGGAACCAAAAAAGAGCCCGCACTGCCAAGTCAATCCTAAGCCAAAAGAACAAAGCTGGAGGCATCACACTACCTGACTTCAAACTATACTACAAGGCTGCAGTAACCAAAGCAGCATGGTACTGGTACCAAAACAGAGATATAGACCAATGGAACAGAACAGAGCCCTCAGAAATAATACCACACAGCCACAACCATCTGATCTTTGACATACCTGAGAAAAACAAGCAATGGGGAAAGGATTCCCTATTTAATAAATGGTGCTGGGAAAACTGGCTAGCCATATGTAGAAAGTTGAAACTGGATCCCTTCCTTACACCTTATACAAAAATTAATTCAAGGTGGATTAAAGACTTAAATATTAGATCTAAAACCATAAAAACCCTAGAAGAAAACCTAGGCAATACCATTCAGGACATAGGCATGGACAAGGACTTCATGTCTAAAACACCAAAAGCAATGGCAACAAAAGCCAAAATTGACAGATGGGATCTAATTAAACTAAAGAGCTTCTGCACAGCAAAAGAAACTATCATCAGAGTGAACAGGCAGCCTACAGAATGGGAGAAAATGTTTGCAATCTACTCATCTGACAAAGGGCTCATATCCAGAATCTACAATGAACTCAAACAAATTTACAAGAAAAAGACAAACAACCCCATCAAAAAGCGGGTGAAGGATATGAACAGACACTTCTCAAAAGAAGACATTTATGCAGCCAAAAAACACATGAAAAAATGCTCATCATCTCTGGCCATCAGAGAAATGCAAATCAAAACCACAATGAGATACCATCTCACACCCGTTAGAATGGCGATCATTAAAAAGTCAGGAAACAACAGGTGCTGGAGAGGATGTGGAGAAATAGGAACACTTTTACACTGTTGGTGGGACTGTAAACTAGTTCAACCATTGTGGAAGTCAGTGTGGCGATTCCTCAGGGATCTAGAACTAGAAATACCATTTGACCCAGCCATCCCATTACTGAGTATATACCCAAAGGATTATAAATCATGCTGCTATAAAGACACAGGCACACGTATGTATATTGCGGCACTATTCACAATAGCAAAGACTTGGAACCAGCCCAAATATCCACCAACGATAGACTGGATTAAGAAAATGTGGCACATATACACCATGGAATACTATGCAGCCGTATAAAATGATGAGTTCATGTCCTTTGTAGGGACATGGATGAAGCTGGAAACCATCATTCTCAGCAAACTATCACAAGGACAAAAAACCAAGCACTGCATTTTCTCACTCATAGGTGGGAATTGAACAATGAGAACACTTGGGCACAGGAAGGGGGACATCACACAGCGGGGCCTGTTGTGGGGTGGGGGGAGGGGGGAGGGATAGCATTAGGAGATATACCTAATGTTAAATGACGAGTTAATGGGTGCAGCACACCAACGTGGCACATGTATACATATGTAACAAACCTGCACGTTGTGTACATGTACCCTAGAACTTAAAGTATATATATAAAAAAAGAAATTAAGCAGAATAAATAAATAAATGAAATAAAACAAAAAAAGAAAAAACAAACAAACAAAAATATTCTCCTTTATTTTATAAAAATAATTTTCCAAGCTGAAAAGGTTTTGAAAGAGTCTTTCAAGGTGAGCCACTTTGCAGAAAATTCTCTTGTGCATGAATATGTAAGGTAGCAAATTTAAACTAATAAGAATATTTAATATAAACATACATAATGAGTTTGTCTTGAGAGAACAGCTCTCTGTACTTCAAATGTAGAAATCTGATATATCTTGCAACTGATAATGTGTTTTAATACGAGGAAATGACCAAAATATCAGCAGTGTTCTCATGGTTTCCTGGGAGGAAAAGGTATGTCTGAGATAATGAGCACCAAGGCCAGTTCACCAAGGGCAAAATCCCTACTTGTGTCCTTCCTGTTGAAGGGCTTCTGTGATACTCCAATGAGGAGAGACTGCTGATCAACAGCAGGTTGTTATCGACCCAAGACTTTATAATTTGCTTAATCTATTTATGAGCTCTATAACTGTTACTAAACAGTTCCATGGATATTCATTTCATAGCCATTATAAAATGTATTCTTCAAATCCTTCCAAACATTTTTAAGAAGTACATAAAATTCTTGGAACCAACTAAAACTTCCTCTTAGCTAAGTTTATTAGGCCCTTACTCTGAACCAGACTTTACATTTGTTAATTCATCTATTTCTCACAATAATGCTAAAAGGTTAACCTAATTATCCCCCATTTTGCAGATGAGAACTCAACTTCAGGGTAAAGTACCCACGGTTGTGCTAGTAGGAAGTGGTGGGATCACTAGTGAAATACAAGTCTAAATCACTGCATCCCTATTCATTATGAACAAGCTGGACCCTAGAAGAAACAGCAGCTTTGAGACACTACGTTCCATACAAGGGATACATTCTTACAAAGCAATTTTTAAATTGTAAGGAAAAACGGAAATATAAATTTTAGTTAAAGTCCATTTTTGAATGATTTTTCATTCACAAATAATAAAGAGGAATATCTTGACTTTTCCATTCATGTAATGGAACAGGGTTCTCCAAAACGTATGGAAATGTCCCCTTAATAGAAAAAATGTTTTGATCTTACCAAATATATGTGTTTAAAACTATGTATAAATGTTATACAGTACATGCTGTACTGTTATGTATTTTTTATAAATTATATCCAAAAATGAAAATTAAAAAGGATGAAGTGTATGAGCTAAATTGAAATTTTTTTCTCTCTCCCCTTCATTTTACAGGGAGACTAGACCATTTTACATACTCCACTGTGTAGAACACTAGAATAGATTTTTAGCATTCACAATAAGCTTTCTAATGGGAAAGAGATGCTAATCATGGGTGAATGTAAAGAAATATTTCATGCCTGAAATTTGCTACCCTACATGCTGGGGTAGGGGTAGGTCTCTAAATTTACATATTTCATAAGAACTTTCTTAACCGGACTCGATTTAACTGGAGTTTGAAGGATTTCCTAGAGCTGCTGAACGTGCATGGTTGATTGGCAACTCTCTAGCTACAGTTCCTGCAGTTAGAATTGTATACATATCAAAAATCAGTTGTTTGTTCCCCCGAAAGCAGTGTTTAAGTGTTTTGCATTATCTATGATATAATCTTTAGACTTTACTTCTGCATCAGTGAAACTAAATTAGGGATCACCAAATAGGGCATTTACATTGAAGAGAGTCGTTAAATACTGGTTCAGCATCATTAGGTTGCTCATAAAGGAATCACGAATAAACATTTTAGAGAGGTTGAGTTTATTGCATATATTGGATATTTACAACATAGTAAATATTCCACCTGCTCATACTTGCTGCAAATATAGAGTTGGGAAAATGTTTTTGACCCTGGAATAAAGAAGCAATAAACAGCTTTACACAACATTAAGTACAAAAGTGAATTTAAGGAGTCTGATAATTGGAAAAGTCATTTATCGAAATAATCTTCATCATCAAGAACATTGTTTCTATTGTAACACCAGCTAATATAAACACCCAGCACATCAGACGTTTGGAAGAAGAGTAGGTAGTTCTCCTTACAAGTATTCTTAGCCCTGTGGTTTTATGTTTTTCAATGCTGATAGAAGTAGAAGACTGGATAACCAAGCAAAAATGGGTTCTGGAATAAATAATTGCCTAAGAATGTAGGTGTTTACAATAAGGTCTAAGTGAGCATTAAAAGAGTGACAAATTTCAGGAAATTGTGATGTTTAAGATAATTCTCACCTTTAATAAAGTTTTATAGGTAATTGAGACTTTAACTTGTATAACTAATTTTCAGTCATAAAATTTATCTCCTCTTTTAATCAAAACTTATTTTTTTCTTAACATGGTTTCTGAAATTTTTAAAGTAAAATATTTTTAAATCTGGCAGAAAAAAATGATGAAAATTTTAACTTATTCTATTATTTGTAAAAATGTGGAGTCCTGCTATGTTTCCCAGGCTAGTCACCAACTCCTGCACTCAAGTGATGCTCCAGCCTCATCCTCTTGAGTAGCTGGGATTACAGGCACATGCCACTGCACCCTGCTCATGAAAATTCTAAACAATTGGCTTTGTGATGAAGTTATGTGACTTTAAATATTACTGACCTTTGTTGAAAGTATTTCTTGCATTCAATGTTGAGTTATTCTGTTAATGAAGATCTACAAAGAAGATGAAACACTAAAAAAATTTGCAAATTTCAAATGCTTGCATTTGAAATATATTTTTTATTTTCAGTGCTTTAAAAATATTTTAAGACATTTTCGAAAACCATGTGAATGCATTTTTATTAGAGATAATGTTTTAAAAATTTGTAATATACCTGTGATATGATTCATAATAAGCCAGGTTGTCCTGTGGTAGCATCCAACCACAAGATTTGAGTGGCTTAGGATCACAAAGGTTAATTTACCTCTCATTTAACGTCCACAGTGGCCGCAGACGCCTTTCCAGGGAGGCTGTTCTCCACATTGCCATTCGGGGTTCCAGGCCTCTTTGGTAGGTTGTGTAACAGGATGAAATGCTAGGGAAGTAACACAAAGCTCTTCAGTGCTTTCATCTGAAGGCGACACGTTACTTGCCATACAACTGATCAGGTCTGTCATGTGGGCTAGTCACGTGGACTCTTCCAGTTGCAAGACAAGATGAGAATGAGGTCTCCTTGTCCCCATAAGTGATAACTGAATATTGGTAAATGCTAGCAATGCCTACTTACATGAACACAAACAGCATTATTTGTTCCTGTTTTTGTAGTGGGTTAAACAGTAGCATAACCCTTCTTTTGATTCTTAATGCCACTTATCTAGACAAGTTGGATAATGTATTTTGATCGCTCCTTTCCTAGAAAATCTTATCATAGCTGTTCAATCATTAATGTCTAAAAATATTCCATATTTGCCATCTGTGAAATTTATTACTATAGAAGATTTCTTCAAACTATGACCTTAGAATTATTTAAAATTTTGCTGGGCAAAAGCAATGGCTGTCTCTCTTCTGTCAGCTGCTCCAGGTGAATGGGGGACAATGATGTGACCTCCTACTCTGCAAAGAATTTATATTTCCATTAAGCACTTTGAGGCCAGGGAAAGACACTTTAGAAACCATTAAATTATTATAGTGCCATAAGCATTTGGGTTTCTAAATTGTTAGATTCAATCCGTATTCCTCTGAACTCAAAATACTAATGTCGGAGACAGAACATCATTTATGACTAAGAAAATTCTTTCCTATGGATCACAGGGTATGAAAATGAGTAGATGAATGCTTAACAAACTGGAAAAAGCTCCTCTTGGCTGCAAGAAGATTGTAATATGATCAAGAAACAGGAGAACCTGTTTACAATTTTGTCTTGAAAACTCATATCTACCAATTATTTCTCTTTCTTTATGTTAGATTTATGTTGGTATGGTTAGTTATAGACCAAAGTTATTTCTGTTTGTGTGTGTGACTGAATTTTAACGTATCTGAGAATATAAATCAAAACTTGCAAACGTTTGTCTTTCTAAATATTCCTTCAACCCCTAATTCTTTGTTGAGAGAATATTTTGTTATACTATTAAACCTAAGAAATATTTATGTTACTTTGCTTTTCTCTTCCAACTTATTTTTTTATTTTATTATTATTATACTTTAAGTTTTAGGGTACATGTGCACAATGTGTAGGTTACTTACATATGTATACATGTGCCATGCTGGTGTGCTGCACCAATTAACTCATCATTTAGCATTAGGTGTATCTCCTAATGCTATCCCTCCCCCTTCCCCCCACACAACAGTCCCCAGAGTGTGATGTTCCCCTTCCTGTGTCCATGTGTTCTCATTGTTCAATTCCCAGCTATAAGTGAGAACATGCGGTGTTTGTTTTTTTGTCCTTGCAATAGTTTACTGAGAATGATGATTTCCAATTTCATCCATGTCCCTACAAAGGACATGAACTCATCATTTTATACGGCTGCATAGTATTCCATGGTGTATATGTGCCACATTTTCTTAATCCAGTCTATCATTGGTGGATATTTGGGCTGGTTCCAAGTCTTTGCTATTGTGAATAGTGCCGCAATATACATACGTGTGCCTGTGTCTTTATAGCAGCATGATTTATAATCCTTTGGGTATATACTCAGTAATGGGATGGCTGGGTCAAATGGTATTTCTAGTTCTAGATCCCTGACGAATCGCCACACTGACTTCCACAATGGTTGAACTAGTTTACAGTCCCACCAACAGTGTAAAAGTGTTCCTATTTCTCCACATCCTCTCCAGCACCTGTTGTTTCCTGACTTTTTAATGATCGCCATTCTAACGGGTGTGAGATGGTATCTCATTGTGGTTTTGATTTGCATTTCTCTGATGGCCAGTGATGGTGAGCATTTTTTCATGTGTCTTTTGGCTGCATAAATGTCTTCTTTTGAGAAGTGTCTGTTCATGTCCTTTGCCCACTTTTTGATGGGGTTGTTTGTTTTTTTCTTGTAAATTTATTTGAGTTCATTGTAGATTCTGGATATTAGCCCTTTGTCAGATGAGTAGGTTGCAAAAATTTTCTCCCATTCTGTAGGCTGCCTGTTCACTCTGATGGTAGTTTCTTTTGCTGTGCAGAAGCTCTCTAGTTTAATTAGATCCCATTTGTCAATTTTGGCTTTTGTTGCCATTGCTTTTGGTGTTTTAGACATGAAGTCCTTGTCCATGCCTATGTCCTGAATGGTAATGCCTAGGTTTTCTTCTAGGGTTTTTATAGTTTTTAGCTCTAACGTTTAAGTCTTTAATCCATCTTGAATTAATTTTTGTATAAGGTGTAAGGAAGCGATCCAGTTTCAACTTCCTACATATGGCTAGCCAGTTTTCCCAGCACCATTTATGAAATAGGGAATCCTTTCCCCATTGCTTGTTTGTCTCAGGTTTGTCAAAGATCAGATAGTTGTAGATATGCGGCATTATTTCTGAGGGCTCTGTTCTGTTCCATTGGTCTATATCTCTGTTTTGGTACCAGTACCATGCTGTTTTGGTTACTGTAGCCTTGTAGTATAGTTTGAAGTCAGGTAGCGTGATGCCTCCAGCTTTGTTCTTTTGGCTAAGCCAACTTATTTTTAAAATACCATAAATTCAAATAAACCTTTCGAGTTGGTAATGTGACCTGCCAAACATGTCATGGGCATGCAATTAGGCACCTTTGTATTTTAAAAAACAAAAGGTTACCCTAAGTATCCTCTAAAAAAATGAATCTGTATTTTGTGATATATGATTTAGTAGTTACTATTTGGTACTTGGTAGGAAATAGCTCCCCAATTAAAGCTTGATTCCTGAACAGAATGAATGTATGAATTGACTCTATTACAGATAAAATAAGGCCTAAAGAAATAAGGACATTCATGTGGAGTTGCAGAGCCCAGAAAGTGCATGAGTACCTGTCTATTGTCACCTGGGCCATGCTCATTTCTGTGCAACTTATACATGGTTGTGTGTTTCTCCAAAGACACTAAAATTGATGCAGAAGAGATGTCTTTCAGCAAATTTGGTTAATATTATTCATCTATTAATTATCTCACCCATTCATTCATTCACTTAAGAAACCTTTTGTGAGTACTTATTGGATCAAATCCTGGGAATCCAGAAGTTTCAATTTTATTACTGCTATCAAAAGCACACACCATAACAGATTTGTTTAAAAAATTTGAAGTGCTAACTGAAAAGTGGAAAGAAATATGAATAATTTGTTAGTTTTGCAAAAGTTATTGGGTCAAAACTTACTTTAAGCAAGAGAAGAGTAATTTTACTTTGTCAAATTAGAAAGAAGTTGAAGTTGACATATGCTAAAGAAAGCATCATTAGCATAGATGGAGGTGTATGTGATGAAAACATGTAGGAAATCCAGGCATCTGCTCAACCTCAACTGATTGTAACTCTGTGAGATTAAAAGGTGGTTGGAGATCAGGAGAGTATGGTGGTTAGAACGTTGGGGTAAGATCAGATTGAACACTAATTTCATCCTTTACTGACTGCTGAATATGAACAACTATTTAACTTCCCTGAGTTCCAATTTCTTCATTGTAAAATGAGATTACTTTTCCATCAACTGTTATTCTGTGTGAGGAATTAATTAAATGTAATTATACAGCATTTAGCCCGGTGCCTGGCACACAGGAAGCACATATTAAATAATTTTTTTAAACATTGAAAAAGCCTTTTATCACTATGACAAGAGATGATCAACAATTTAGGAATATCCATAGAATGTGTAAATACCATTGCTATATGTTATATGTATATAAATTAATACAGAAACAGCACATATTTATTTCTTTAAGGAATTTATTAAACAGGCAAAAATTATTCAACATTCTAGAAAACAACCTTGATGTAACCTTATCCTCAAACACCTACTTAAAAAATAAATTGAGAATATTCATTTGGTAGGATATTGCTGATTGGTATAAAAAGGAAAAAAATTGTGGTCCAACTAGGTAAAATAAAGTTAAAATGTTTTCTTTACTAAATGACTTATTGCAGTGTTTAAGAAAAACATAAAGTATACAGTGTTTCACAAATTTATTTCACCATGGAATGTTTTCATTGTAGGATATTTCATGTCATTTTTGTTGCCTAATACTTTGGAAAATTATGTCTTAGACATTTAGTGCTATCCAGCTTCCTTGCTTTCAAAAAATTGAACTAGAATTAGTTTGGCACTGAGCTAGGCTTCATAAATGTTTCGTTTTATCCAATGAATGTACAGCATTTGACAGCACAAAAGTTAAACCACCATAGAAAAGAGAAATACTTCATTCTCATTATTTGTTTTATAATTCTTTTTCATATGGTGTCAGTGTTATCCATTCAATTAAATTTATAATTTTCATGCTCTTCATTTTGAATCCTAATTTAGAAAAAATAAAAAGAGTAAAATAATAAAATGTATTTTTATTGGTTCTCATTCCAATTTCTGAAACAATATATAGTTAGCAATTTAAAAATTAATTATCCTCCATATATTTGCCTATAGATTTAGTCATTCTAAAATTTAGAAATTAGACAAAGTTTATCTTTCCTCTACAGTAATCCTAGTAAATGTTATGCATTACCGTAATCCTATAAGGAGATTTAAAATTCCTGTACTTTTATTGACCAGTTCTACTTTTCATGCACATTCCTTTCAGGGGAAGGGAAAAATAAGGAAAGAAAACACATAGCAAGCATATAGACAGGAATGATCTAATTCTAATATGCCAGTGTCCACGTTGACTCATCAATTCATTAAGCAAATGAATATTA
Source organism: Homo sapiens (assembly GCF_000001405.40). Lineage (NCBI taxonomy): Eukaryota > Metazoa > Chordata > Mammalia > Primates > Hominidae > Homo > Homo sapiens. The sequence goes on from NC_000003.12 coordinate 76,455,834, forward strand.
GTTTTTATTTGTCTGCATGTCATGTCTGGCTGTGGTGTACACTATACCAATTCTATTTTGGATTGATTGCTGACAGAGAAATCATTCATTATGCATGTGAGGAATGAAGTCCCAGAGACATAATTTTTTCAGCTTGACTCTATGAATACACAAAAAGGCTGGTGTTTCTTTGTGTTGATAATAAGACAATACATGTCTCATTAGCATGTTTAGACTACATACAAGTTATAAGTATTTGTAGCATATTGATAGTTATCAATGCCTTCTTTGAGGTTTGGTTATGAGAAAATGTGATATTCAGTAAATGGACTAGTACCTAACAGCAGGTGTTCCAATCTTGCCAATTGCAATACCATAATTTATTCACTATTAATCTGTTGCTGGATGAATGTTGCAACTGCAAAGATAAAACTCCCATTAAACCAGGAGGAGTTATGTAGTTACATTGATTTTGATAAATTCAGGTAGAAATTTAATGACATTCCATTGGTTTGTTCAATTTTTATTGTTCTAATTATATCATCAATCATAGTTCATTCCAGTTGCATATGTTATTGAATTATAACCACTGTTCTAAAGCTCAGGTTTCTCAAACTGACTAATGCAATTAACAAATTGAGGGAACAAGGCAGCAAAGATGAGATCAAAGTACCAGCAGGTACTTTACGTCAGTGACTCAGACCTTGGACCAGGTTTCCGGAGACTGTATCTTTAAGACGGTGGTCAGATTCCATAGTTGCCAGTTGGCATATGAATCACATGATGGAGTACTATTAAGTACACATCAAGTAAAGTGCATTTACATACAGCTTTTTAAAGTTTGTAATTTGGCTGAGTTTTTACATAATCTTGACCAATTTGAATAGCCTTTGTTTTAGTCCATTTTCATGTTGCTGGTAAAGACGTACCCAAGACTGGGAAGAAAAAGAGGTTTAATTGGACTTACAGTTCCACATGGCTGGGAAGGCCTCAAAATCATGGTGGGAGGCGAAAAGCACTTCTTACATGGTGGCAGCAAGAGAAAATGAGAAAGAAGCAAAGGCAGAAACCCGTGATAAACCCATCAGAGCTCGTGAGACTTACTCACTATCACAAAAATAGCAGGGGGAAGACTGGCCCCCATGATTCAATTACCTCCTTGTGGGTTCCTCCCATAACATGTGAGAATTCTGGGACATACAATTCAAGATGAGATTTGGTGGAGACACAGCCAAACCATATCATTCTGTCCCTGGCCCATCCAAATCTCATGTCCTCATATTTCAAAACCAACCATGCCTTCCTAGTAGTCCCCCAAAGTCTTAACTAATTTCACCATTAACTCAAAAGTCCACAGTCCAAAGTCTCATCTGAGACAAGTCAAGTCCCTTCTGCCTATGAGCCTGTAAAATCAGAAGCAAGCAAGTTACTTAAACAATGGAGGTACAGATATTGGGTAAATACAGCCATTCCAAATGAGAGAAATTGGCCAAAACAAAGGGGCTGCAAGGCCCACGCAAGTCCGAAATCCAGCGGTGCAGTCAAACTTTAAAGCTCCAAAAGGATCTCTTTTGACTCCAGGTCTCACATCGAGGTTATGCTAATGCAAGAGGTGGGTTCCAAAGGTCTTAGGCAGCTCCGCCCCTGTGGCTTTGCAGGGTGCAGCCTCCCTCCCTGCTGCTTTCATGGACTGACATCGAGTGTCTGCAGCTTTTCCAGGTGCACGGTGCAAGCTGTCGGTGGATCTGCCATTCTGAGGATGATGTACCTCTTCTCACAGCTCCACTAGGCAGTGCCCCTGTAGAGACCGTGTGGGGGCTCGACCCCACATTTCCCTTCCACACTGTGCTAGCTGAGGTTCTCCATGAGGGCCCTGCCCGTGCAGAAACCTTTTGCCTGGGCATCCAGGCATTTCCATACGTGTTCTGAAATCTAGGCGGAGGTTCCCAAGCCTCAATTGTTGACTTCTGTGCACCCTGAGGCTCAACACCACATGGAAGTTGCCAAGGCTTGGGGCTTCCACTCTCTGAAGCCACAGCCCAAGCTGTACCTTGGCCCCTTTCAGCCATGGTTGGTTGGGGCGACTGGGACACAGGGTACCAAGTCTCTCAGCTGCACACAGCACGGGAACCCTGGACCTGGCCCACGAAATCACTTTTTCTTCCTGGGCCTCCGGGCCTGTGATGGGAGGGGCTTCTCTCCATGTCTCTGACATGGCCTGGAGATATTTTCACCATGGTCTTGAGGATTAACATTAGGCTCCTTGCTACTTATGCAAAGTTCTGCAGCCAGCTTGAATTTCTCAGAAGAAAATGAGTTTTTCTTTTCTATCACATAGTCAGGCTACACATTTTCCAAACTTTTATGCTTACTTTCCTTATAAAACTGAATGCCTTTGACAGCACCCAAGTCACCTCTTGAATGCTTTGCTGCTTAGAAATTTCTTCCTCCAGATACTCTAAATCATCTCTCTCAAGTTCCAAGTCCCACAATCTGTAGGGCACGGGCAAAATGCTGCCAGTCTCTTTGCTAAAACATAACAAGAGTCACCTTTACTCCAGCTCCCAAGTTCCTCATCTCCATATGAGACAGCCTCAGCCTGGACCTTATTGTCCATATCCCTATCAGCATTTTGGGCAAAGCCATTCAACATGTCTCTAGGAAATTCGAAACTTTCCCACATTTTCCTGTCTTCTTCTTAGCCCTGCAAACTGTTCCAACCTCTGCCTGTTACCCAGTTCCAAAGTTGCTTCCATATTTTTGGGTATCTTTTCAGCAAGACCCCACTCTACTGATACCAATTTACCGTATTATTCTGTTTTCACGCTGCTGATAAAGACATATCCAAGACTGAGAAGAAAAAGGAGGTTTAATTCGACTTACAGTTCCACATGGCTGGGTGGCCTCAGAATCATGATAGGAGGGAAAAGGCACTTCTTACATGGCTGAGGCAAGAGAAAATGAGGAAGAAGCAAAAGCGGAAACCCCTAGTAGACCCATCAGATCTCATGAGACTTATTCACTATCATGAAAATAGCATGGGAAAGACCAGCCCCCATGATTGAATTACCTCCCCCTGGATCCCTCTCACAGCATGTGGGAATTCTGGGAGATACAATTCAAGTTTAGGTTTGGGGGAGACACAGCCAAACCATATCAGGCTTCTTCAAATAGGGCTGGTGCTGTATACATCATCTGTGAGATAAATACAATGTACCCTGTGTTAGAGCTCAAAATGTATAAATATTCCTGAATTTATATCTGGCTTTGTTATTTGTTTACATGCATTAAAACACTTTCCTTTTGGCTCACTCCGCTTCGTTTGTTTGTGAGTTTGATTTGGGACTCTTCTTTTCAGACATATTTGGTTGTGATATAATATGGAGACTAGAGTTATAAAGAAATATACCTCTCAATGCAATGTGGGTAAAATTTGAATTATTTTCCATATCCTAGTGATATATATACATATATAGCGAGAGAGAGAGAGAAAGATCTAGATGCAGATGCAGACTTATAAAATTTCAACGGTGTAACATTCATTAGAAAGATGAGTGGCAAAAAGAATTTATTAAAATACATCTACCTGCAAATCTATGTTTCTTTCTATTCATGTATCAAAGAGTTATTTAAAAGTACCTTTTTTATATGAAACCCTTTGGAGGCAGTAGTATAGTTTCTTACATCTTTTTTCTTTAGGCATTATAGTAACTACTATAGACTTTATTCAGCCTCAATGTTCATATTGCATTGCGTGGTATAGCAAATAGCTACTAGTAGTAAATGGCTTTGTTACTAAATGCCATTGGTATGAAGTCGTGAATTGGTCCTAAATTTTCTATAAAAGTTCATTAATGTAATAAGACATATACTCCACTGATCTTTAAGAGCAGCTATAAATTGCCAACATTATTGGAATTCATCTTGTGGTTAATAAATAAAAGATAACTAATAAAAGGTAATAAAAACATCATCATGTTCCCATCACATAGTTTTATTTTGAAGGCCTTTTTATCATTCATTTCTATAAAAGGATCACTTAAGTTCAGTTTCCTCATCTATAATATGACAAAAATAATAACTTCTCCAAATGTGTGGTTTAACAAATGAACCAACAAAAACCAAGAGAGCGTGTCAAGCCATTTTGTCATCCAAAGAGAAGTATATGAATGTAAGAATATTACTATTAAAAAGAAGAAAGCTTAGAAAAGATATCTTTATTTTTTTCTTAACACAAAGGAAAATGTTCTCTAATTATCCTCCATTTCTGGGGCCTTATGTTTATGCTTATTTGTTCTTGTGACAGTGTTTTATAAAGAGTATTTACATTTATAAAAAAAAACTGAGCACAAAGATGCACTTTGTGCCAAAAATATAATGGATAATTTACCCCAAGATTTAACTTACCAAAACTTAGCAGAAAAAAAAATAGGAAACCTGAAAAATCCCATAAATAGTGAAATATTAGAAAACATATCAAGGTAAGCCATTATATTAACATACTCAAAAGAAAAAGAAGCATGATCATTTCAAAATAACAGGAAACCTATAAGTGTGCAGTAAATATTCTTTGTAAATGGAGGCTGGGCATGGTGACTCACTTTGAATGGATAGAATATAGACAAGTGGTGCTTTGTGGCTGCTAAGGGTAAGTCGTAAAATGAATAGCTTTACCTCTGGCTCTCTTGCTCTCTTGGTTGCATACAATGGGACAAACCAGCTGACATGTTGTAAGGACATTCAAGCAACCAGGAGAAAATTACCTTTGTGGATAGGAATTGAGGCTCTCCACCAACAAGGAACACCAACTTGCCAGCCACGTGAGTGAGCCACGTTGAAAGCAAATCCTCTAGTCCAATTAAGCCTGCAGATGACAACAGCTCCAGCCAGTTTCTTGACTTCATAAGAGACTCTGAGCTAAAACTGCATAGCTAATCCACTATAGAGTTTCTGACCTGCGCAATATGTGAGAGAGAATACATGTTTACTGTTGTTTTAAATCATTAAATTCTGGAATAATCTGTGATGCAGCTGTAGATATCTAAGAAAAATACCAAGACATGTTAATCCCTAGTGATTAAGACTGTGATAGCTGTCGATTACTAAATAAATAGAACTATGGAAAAGAATAGACAATACAGAAACAAAGCCATGCATCGATAAAATCTTAATATAAGTCAGAATACCACTGTATTAGGCCATTCTTGCATTGCTATAAAGAAATACCTGAGACTGGGTAATTTATAAAGAAAAGAGGTTTAACTGGCTCACAGTTATGCCAGCTTTAAAAGAAGCATGGTGCTGGCATCTTCTGGGCTTCCAGGGAGGCCTCAGGAAACTTATAATCATGGCAGAAGGTAAAAGGGGAGCAGGCATGTCACATGGCCTGAGTGGAGCAAGGCTGGGGTTGTAGGGGAGGTGTCACATACTTTTAAACAGTCAGATCTCACAAGATCTCACTATCATGAAGACAGCACCAAAACATGAGGGGTCCTCCCCTGTGATCCAAACATCTCCCACCAGGCTCTGCCTCCAGCACTGGGGTTACAATTCAACACGAGATTTGGGCAGGGACAAATATCTAGTCTATATCAACCACTATTGTAGAACAATAATAAGAGTATTAGGAAAATTATGATGAAAATATAGAGAAAATTACTGTATCACACAATGCTTAAAAGTAATATCTATGTGGCTTAAAGATTTAAAGGTAAAAAATGAAGCTTTAAACCTTTAGAATAAAGCAAGAAAATATCTTTATGACTTTGGGATAAAGAAGGAATTCTTAAGCAAGATGATATTTCTAAAAGTGTTATTTAATTGAGCTTCATCTGAAAATATTTCAGAACAATTTCTTTACAAATTCTTCAAAGCTCTTGGTAAGCAATGAAATGTATCACCTATACTTTGAAAAACAACTTAGACCTAAGTAAATGAAAATTTTTAAAGTAAATAAATTAATATTGTTGCCCCAAATCCTAAGCCCATCCTTTTTAAATATTTTTCTTTTTGTGCCCTGTGGTACATTTGTGCCATCCTTAGTTGCTTAGAAGCCTTTTTATTTAAAAGTAACAATAGAGAAATAGAGAGAATAAGAGCAAAAACTTTAACGTAAGCATAACGTAAGCATAAAAGGACCAGATTAAGTCCCTTCAGCTTTTTCAGTTCTTTATCTAATCCTCTTTCCTCCTCCATCCCCACCAACAACAACCTCAATCACATCTAAACTCCTGAGTACACACATCATCTCTGCCATTTTTTATGTCTATATGTGACTCAAATAGCTCTTTTTTGCTTTTCTCAGCCTGGCTGAATCCACTTGGAATTTTCAAAAGTGATTTATCAAAGACTATTAGGAGAAATAAGTAGATAAGTACAATGCAAAAGCATAATAATAAATATTTGCCAAATGTCGATTTTTCATTCTAACATGATAAAATTGTACATTCAGGTGTAAGTCTTCAGGCTTACTCACCGAGCTCTTTCCCCTCAATTTCTAATTTGAATTTTCACAGTTTAGAGCAGAAACATTCGAGCGATTTTTTGATATGTTACATTATATGAAAACTCAGTACATATACACACACACACATACATGCAGGTATATGGACGTGTATATGACTAAAACAGATTATTCACAAAATAATGTTGTGCCATTACCATCAGTGATGCATTTCTTTAATGTTAGTTATTACTTACTAAATGTATTTTATGGTGCAATTATAGATTACAAAGATCAGCAATTTGTAACTAACCTGCACAATGTGCACATGTACCCTAAAACTTAAAGTATTAAAAAAAAAAAAAAAGAATAAGATACACTATAAAGGAAAATACCAGAATGCATCACAGGGAGTAAGAGGAAATATAGCTTGTTTATTTCAGCTGGACTTTATGCATGAATGTATGTAAGAATGTATAAAAGTGCTATGTATTCACACTACAGTGTGATGTAAACTATGTGAATTACTGTCGGTCATTGTCAGAAGAGTTTGTAAGTCACTGGTTAAATTTTCTTCTGAAGAAAGCCCTTTTTCTTCTTTGAATCAGTTTTTGGCAATTCTTTATAGTGCTACCCTTTGTCCCTCTTTGGGCAAATTTTACACTGCCTAGCTTAAGTAAATTGGCTGATTCATGGTTGTTTACAGCCCTAGCATCCACAGGCCCAGTCTGAACAGTGTGTAGGTCCACTCACTTTGCCCATCACCGCATTACATGGTTGTACTCCACTTATGACAGCAGGGAAGTGGAGGCTGTGGCCAGGAATCTCCTACCGTGGGAATAGCATGGCCTATATCCAAGGCTGCTCCCGCTGGGAAAACAGTGAAAGCACCTGAGGCTCAATGGCACAGGCAGGATCGAGTAGTATGGGGTGACCTACGATTTAGGGAGGACACTGTGCACCCCGGGCCACTCACACATGCTTTCATCCTTTCATGGTATTTGAATCTTGTATGAGGTCAAGGTACCCTAACTTCTTCCCTAGAAAGAGAGGTCGATTTCAACCCTTAAAGATAGCAGTCACTTGCATTCTCCTAACAAATCTTAGAAAGTGTTTGGGAAAAAAAAACAAAATAAAAAAAACTATAATTTTCATGCTGCAGCTAATCCTAGGTTCACAATTGACATTCCTCATCTGTCACCTCCATCTTCCATTCCAGATTTTTTGAGTACTCTACTGGCAGTTCTGGTCCCCCGGGTCTCACTTTTGGGGAAATTAGGGCATTAATACTCCAAACCTTTTTTCTCAGGAAATTTGAGCCCTTAGTTGTCTTTTTATTTATGGGCTGTGGTTTCTGACTGGCTCATTTATAGTTACCACCTGGTACAAGAGCACTAAGAGTTGCCCCAGTGCCTAATCTAGGTCCTAGACACACTCCTCCGCGCATCCATCAGGACAGCCATAGATCCTCAGGGTTATCTATTGCCACCTGCAACATAGTAACTCTTTTCTTTGCCTGCAGATCCACTGGCATGAAAAACACAAAGTAGCTCACTGGTAGTTGCAATTTCGAGCTCAACAGAAAGTCTTTGCCATGTCCCACAGAGCAAACAACCCCTCAAGTAAGGGCCTGTTCAACTTAACTCTGCTAGTTAAGTCACCTAAAATCATAGCTGTTTGTTAATCCTTTAACAGTAATTAAATGGATCAGAAGGTGTGATTGGAAGAGGTGAGAAGAGAGACAGAGGAGGAGAGAAGGAGAATAATAGGAGTTGGAAAGAGAAATAGGCATTGACAGAAGTGGGAAGGGGCCTTGTTCTCCTTTCAAACGCATTTCACAGTCTGGTGCCTCTCACTGTCCTAATCTAGTTATGAAGTATAGATTCAGATTTGTGATTGTCCTAAGTTGTAGTAGAAAGACTTCCTAAGGAAAGGCTGAAAGATTTTGGCATACAAATTTTCTTTCATATCTACAGGTTACTGATGTCATTAAATGATGATTGGACGAATAGTATGTAGAGACTGAGAAGCACTGGAAAGGCAACACCTCTACTCCCAAGACATACAATTGATGTGAAAACGTTTCCCAGGTTTTTTATCTTAAGCACATTCTAAGGTACAGAACAAAACCCCTTCAAGGTTTAGTCCCACACTGCCAAATCCATGGACCTAGCTTCCTTCGTCTTTTCTTTCTCCTAATCCTACCCCTAAGGATCACACCAAACCACTCTCTCTCTAGGAACTCCTCTCAATATATACTCAATAAAACCCCAGAGTCAGTTTCTTTCCACCTCAGTAGGGCTCAATGGTGTATTAGACTAATCTCAAAAAAAAAATAAAAGAGACTTGGACTTAAGAATTTAAAATAACAATAATATAAACTCCTTTACCCTTTCTCTACTGGAAACTAAATAACCAAAATATAAAAAACTAATTTCTCCCTGGAAATGAGGGAAAATTTAGTTTTCAAGAATTTTAGTTTCAAGTTTTCAAGATTAAATGGATATTGTAGTTTAATTAAGGAATGATGTACACATTCCCATATACACAAATCCTTATGTTCATCAAATCCTTTAGGCCTTTTGAAATATTATTCCTCAGTATCTTATGACTCTCCTAGATAAACCATTTCTTCCATTCATCTCTATACAATACCAAGTATTATCTTCCTTACAATCTTTATGAGTGTCTGTAATTTTATTCATTCATTTATTCATGTATTTGTTTCTAATCTTTTTCAAAAAGAAAAGAAACTCATCAAGGGAAGGTATTCTATTGGTTTGGTAAACAAGTACATGAATTCCTAATGCCTAGATTAATGTTTGGCACACAGAATAACTCAAGAAATATTTACTACATGAATCATAATTTTTATATTTTTGTTGAGGCGTAAGAACAAAGTGTATTGAAGATAGAAGACATCTACAGGAACTGGTTTCCCTTTTTATTAGGTTCTATCCAGATATCTTAAGATATGTTTCTACTGGGAGGATTCATGTTAGTCAAAAGTATATGTGAATGCATATACATGTATCATGAGTTATGTTAAAACGTACATTTCACATTTTATTATTTGACCAATTATAGAAGAAATATTGTAAATATGAAAAAATAGTGGGTAATAAAAATAGTTTATACTAAAGTTTGAAATCAATTGGGATCTGGGATAAGGCATTTTATACCCACCCATCCCATAAGCCATTGTATTTTGCTTTTATGAGATTTTTGATTTATTACTGAAGCACTGGATGATTAATTCAGAAAAATGATGGATGATAAGAAGAAATTATTTGAAATTATAAAATTGCAGCAGATCATTCACAGTGGATAATCTACATGTAGATAATTGAGAGTTGGCTGAAGATAGATGTTTCTAATTTTGATGGTGTCTTTCAGAAAATAACACTCCTGATATTCGTCAGGTTGAAGAACCACCATTTTAATATAATTTCTGTATGCTATCATATTTTTCCAGTCTATTTCACAGGAGAAGTGTCCATTGTTCTAAAGATATATTGTTTGAATGGCTTGATGTTAACCTTCAAATATTATGAAGACCACTGCCTAAGGGAGATTGAAATCAAGGCATTTTAATTACTCTTACTTGGTACATAAGCTAAGTGAGGAGCTTTTAGTTTGATAAGCAAAGACAAAAAAACACTGGCCCTTTTTTCCTACCATACATTTTCTCCTTTTGATCTCTGTGCTCCTCACTCCAGTTAAAATATCCTGGATAAAATATGGGTGTGTGTGTGTGTGTGTGTGTGTGTGTGTGTATGTAAAATTGTCTAAAACATATATACAATATATACTTCATGTATAAAATGTACATAATTTTTTAAATTCTTGCAACAAAGTACCTATATTGCATGCCCAATAATGATTCTGAACCATGAATAGCTCTTAGAACACCAAACTGTATACCTACATATGATATCACTCATCTTTATCTTAGCATGGTAGAAAAATATATTCTGAATAAGCATTTATAATATTAATTCATTTGTTGTCAGGAAGAATTATTAATACCTGGGCTTCATAATTTCTATTGTTTTCTTTTATACATTAAATTAATCATTAATTTAAGCCTTGGGATCACCTACGTCGATCTTACTGTGTTTCATGCCACTTTCAAAATAAAGTATTTTAACATTCAGAAAGTACAAGCTTTTAGCAAGATCAAGCATACTATTCTTTTTTTATTCAGTAGAAAATTGATATGCAATGCTCTATTTTTTTGTTCCATGGAAATGTTTTAAAGAGGAGAAATAATATGAATGTATGATGGTGTACAATGAAACACTTGTTGCTCATAAATATCTGATAATCAATATTTTTATTTATATTCCTTACGATTTTTTCATATAAGCTTCTAGAGACTATTTTTTGTTGACCCATCATTTCCTATCAGAAAGCTCTGGCTAGCTTTCAGCATGTTTCATTTTGAGAATGTGTGTCTTAGATACATAGGTTATATTGCCAACACTGAATTTTGTACATTCAGAACATCAGGGACCCTCTGTGACATCTAATCTTTAGATATATAGGACCTTTCTCATTGCTCCATCAGCCACTAAATTCATAGTATTGCACTCCTATCATGATTCACGATCATGAAATAAAATTTGCTTTAACACTAAGCTTTATGTATGTACAGATACAAATTTGTTTCTGTTTAGAAAACAAGCATCATGCTGACATGTCATGATGACATTTTAATAGATAAAATGGTAGGACAGTTATAAACTATTAATAGTTTCAAGACAGCTGAAAAACAATATACTACACCATGTAATTGTGTTCAATAAAAAGGACCAAAATGAGGAAATATATTTTATATGTTCATGTTTAGTGATATATAAATATCAAGAAAAAACTTGTGTTAGATGTCTAAATCCTACCAACTCTTTTTAACCAAGCCATTGGATGGCAGATAAAAATGAAGAGACACTAGACTTGTCCTTTATTTTTGAAAATAATAATGCAGCCATTTTTTATTTCTAATTATAAGACAACCAAAGGTGATTATTATTTTAAAAAACTCATGGTTACTGTATAAAGCGTGTTTCTTATAGAAAAGCTAAGAAAACAAGATTTAGCTATCCAAAAATTATGCCAGTATTTCCATGTTTCTATCATTTAAATAACATGTGAAGTAATAAAATACACATGTTTAGAAATATGGCAGAAAGAGGTGGTGGTCACCAAATATTTTATGTGTTTCCTATATTCCCAATTCTCCCTTGATGTCAAGTCGGAACCATGTGACTAGTTTTGGTGGAAAGACCATTAGAAGTCACATGTGCCATTTCTGAGCCAGACAATTTAACAGCCAGCTGTCCATTCCTCTGTTCCACTCCAACAATGACCCTGATAGCTGTAAGTTCTATCTAGCTGGTGTCATTACAAGATGGAGGAAGGAAGCCTGAAGTATACTGGGCTTTATGTGAACTGGTAAGAAAAGCAGAACAACCTTTTTAGGTGTATTAAAATACCAAAATTATAGTATTCCAACTCGTAGTGGATAGATAATTTGTGGTATAAATTAATATTAATAATGTTTGATAGGGATTTGTCTTAAGCAATAGCATGTTGCATTTAAGAGTTTTTTAGACTCTATGTTTACAATATTTTGAGCATTCAGTGGCAATATATTTGAGATGTCATAAGTAGTATTTTTTTAAAAATTAATTTTCTTCTAAATATGAGCTTAGCTCAAAGAGGAATAAATAGCAAGTTTTATCTCTGACAGTTTTTAGCAAGAAGAAATAATGATAGAAATTGTCATTTACAAAAGCCCCTAATGTGCCAAGTTCTGTGTTAAAAATCATCATTTAAATTGTGGATTACTCATTTAATTCTCACTTATTCCTATCATACAGAAACTATTATTGCCCCTGTTTTGGATGTGAGGAATTATAGCCTGAAAAGGGTTAAGTAAATTGTCCAAGGCTACATTGGATAGCAACTGGCAAAGTGAGGATTCAAATATGGGAATTGAATCCATTGTCAGCACTTTAAACAAATAACTACATTTGACATTGGAATCAATAAAGCTATACTTTATATGGACACTGGCAATTAATTATCCTGTCTCCTGTTTATTCGTTGCCTCTTTTCACCTGGAACCTTTCTATCAACCTTAAAGCACACTCTCCAATATTGGAAACGTGCAAAAGCAATGAAAGGATACAATAACAACAAGATTTTTCTCACTCAACTTCTTGCCCCTCCCCTTTATAGCCACACATCTGGAAAGAGCCTCAGTCTTTCTCTCTCCACTTTTTAATGTCTGACTCAATTCTTGCCTTTATATAATGTGGCCTTTGTCCTTATTATTTAACTAATATTTTCCTGCTATGTTCAACAATAATCATATCTCTCCTTATTTCTCAGCAACACTTGTTGTGTAGATAACACCCTCCTCCCTGAAAACCTCTTCCCTTTATTGATAGCCCATGTACCTAGTTTTTCTCTCCCATGTCCTCTCTCTTCAGGATATATAGGTTAAACCTGTTCTATTTGTCATTCCGTGCTGGATTTCCTGCAAATAACTCAAGCTTAAACCTTTTTTCTCACCATTCGCCCTCTACCTAGACAAACTTATATCTACAGCTTCAGCTGCCACCACACATTTCTCTCTTTAGCCACATTCTACTCTTAAGTTCCTACTTCACGTCTCTCTTTTATTTCTAAAGGGGATCTCTGACTCATCATATTCCAAATAGAACTCATCATCATCTGCCCTTACAAATGGCTATCACCTTTGATCCTGTTGAATGTACCTGAAGCCCAGCAGTCATTTTTTTTACTTCTTTATTAATGAATTAAGTCAATTAATAGTGAATTCTACTTCTTATTCCCCGACCCCACAGTCAAATGACCATCATTTTTCATATTACCTCAAAATGTATTTTGAATCTGTCTGCTCTCCATTAATCTAGTTGAAGATGACAATGACGATAATAATGATGATGATGACAATGATGAGGATGATGATAATTGCTAACATTTATTGACTTATTGACTACTTAGCATATGTCAGGTGCTGTAATGCTCTTATTCTAATAGACCACTTGCCGTAATCCTAATATAAACTCTTGTCATTCCTCAATTTGTCCTCTACACTAAAGCCAGAATGATACAGTGGTGAGAAAAATTGGTATCAAACTTCTTCCCAAACCCGTTTGATGAGTTCCACATCCTATTAGAATAAATACAAAGTCTATTAAAAGGCTGGCAAGGCTTGTAAGATTTCACCCCTGCCTACTCACTTGAGCCTTAACGCATACTGTCCCCCCACACCTCTCTCTTTGCAATACTTATTATCCCTTTTCTTCTTTTAATTTCCTGAATGTGTCATTTGCCCTGTGTTTATTGTATTTTTCTTTCTAGAAGGTAGAATGACTATTCCCACTGGTTCAGTTAACTACTCATCACCTTTGAAATCCCTCTAGTTAGTCACAGAGTCCTCTGTCTACGTTCTACTCCCGCACCCCTATGGCTTGATCTGCTTCTACTGGTTTCTTTTTCTCTACACTAGTAACCTCACTGATTTGAGGAGATGATGTCATTAAATTTTGTCTTCTCTCACTACACTGTAAGAACCAAGAGATCCAGTAAATTTTCTTCTTTTTGCTTACCTTTCTCACAGATATCAGGATTCAATACACATCTGATAAATGAATAAAGAAAGAAAAAGGAAGAAGTAAAATATACTATTCTGCAAGCCAGCTTGGACCCTTACTTTTGCTTACCATTCCCTCTACACACAGGTCCTGTGAGATATCAAGGCATCAGGTCCTGTAGATTGTATGTCTTATTATCTCTTAGATCTGCTCCATTCCATTGTCTTACATTCAAATCCCATCAAATTTATCCAAGTGTCTGCAATAACTAGTATGGCTGCCTTGGAGGTCTTTCTTTGTTTTATCATTGCTATCACAGCTGGAGTGATTTTCCTAAATGCAGTCCAGATTTAAAATTGATAAGTGGATTCTATTTCAGTTACCTATTGCTGTGAAGCAGATCTCTCTAAAGCTTAGTGACTTAGGACAAAGCTTTATTATTTCTCATTGTCCCAAGGGTTGACAAAGCTCTTCTGATCAGTTCTTGCTTGGGGTCCTTTACAGGGTTGCAGTTAGATGTTGACCAGGATCATAGTCATCTGAAGGCTTCAGGAAGCTGTACAACCCAAAATGGCTCACACATGACTCACTGCTGTGGCTGGGAGCTTAGCTTAAGATGTTGACTGAATCCCCTATTGTGGCCTCTCTACGTGACTCGGGCTTCTCATACCAGAGCTTCTAGGTTCTAAGAAGAAGCATACCAACAACTACCTCAAGAGACTGAGATAGAAGCCACAAAATGTATTGACAATGCAGCCTTAAAAGGAACATATTATAACTTTCACTATATTTTCTTTGGTTAAAAGTGAACCACTGGATTAGCTCATATTTAATAGAAAGAAACTCTAGAAGAATATTAATACTGAGAGTATGGTTCTTTTGGGGGCCATCTTTGGAGACTAATTGCTACCATCTGTGTTACTTCACGTAACATACATCAATGGTATTTCCTAATCCTGCCTTTGCCTATACCTGTAGTCTTACCTTTGACCCCTATTCCAACCCCATTTATTTATACATACACTTGGCTGCATGCATTTAGTTTCCTGAGTATAGTAATAATGTAGTTTTAGGCCACCATAAAACTTTCTTATATGCTCTTCTACAAGATGTTTTGTATTTGTTTTTTATTTGCTAGGTTTTTCTAACTTTATTCATTCTTTACAATATAAATGTAGAAGCTGTCATTCTTTATGGGAAGTCTCTCTAACAGTCTTCCAGCTGTTTTCTATTCCTGTTGCAACCTGTGAATACTTGTATCATTGGACACTGTAATCATTTTAAATTACTTGAGGGCAGCGACAAACTATTAGCCAATTTTATATGAAGAAGTCATGGCAGGTAACAGGGCAAGAAATAAATCCTTGCTGAATAACTGGATAAGAAGAAGCACTTATTTTGCTCTTAGACTAGACACATTTTTAGAGCTGCTTCTAGTAGGTTTAATTTCCAGTCTTTTGCTGTATATGTATCCCTTCATTTTATGAGCCTATGTCCTTTCTGAATGGTTCAACAATAAGCTGTGAATTACTCATAAACTACAAGGGAAGCCTGATAACTATCTATAACACACTGCCTTGATTGCCTGACATGAAGGCTGTTCTGTATAATTTCAATAAAGATATTTAAAACTGAAGACTGTGATTCTTCACACAGTTTTGTGAAACTGCATGTCATTACATGCAAAATGGAAGTTTTGCATAATTTTCAAAAATTCTTAAAGGAAATCTATTTTCAGTTCATGTGATATAATAGTTTTCATCAAATTAATATTGAATGTCTAAAAGTATAACATTTGTATTAGTCTGTTCTCATGCTGTTATTAAGAACTGCCTGAGACTGAGTAATTTATAAAGGAAAAGGTTTAATTGACTCACAGTTCTGCAGGCTGGGAAGGCCTCAGGAAACTTACAATCATGGCAGAAGGGGAAGCAAACACATCCTTCATCACGTGATGGCAGGAAGGAGAAGTGCCAAGCAAAGGGGGAAAAGCCCATCAGATCTCATGAGAACTCATTCACTACCATGAGAAAAGCATGGAGGTAACCGCCCTCACGATTCAGTGACCTCCCATCAGGTCCCTCCCACGACATGTGGAGATTATGGGAACTACAATTCAAGATGAGATTTGGGTGGGGACACAGCCAAACCATTTCAACATTTCTCTGTGGTCTGATAAAATGTGTGTGTGTGTGTGTGTGTGTGTGTGTGTGTGTGTGCGCGTGTGCGTGCGCATGTGTATCACTTCTTCCATAAACCTATAGCCACATTTCCTACCATAAAAGTGACAGAAAAAAATATGCAATATGTATTCAGCAAAAATGAAAATGATCATTTCCTATTTGATTTTTATTGTAATATAGCAATATTTAAAATAATATGTGTTTATATATAAAGTCTCAAATATTTTTGTTGTTTTTAAAATTCAATAGCTTATGAGTTTTTAGTGTAATTTCACTTATACTAAAAGAAGTAGAATTGAATAGTGAATTTGAAAATAAATAATATTATTCTGAGAAACAGAAGTGCAGATCTGTAAAAGAAATTTGTTACGCAAAGGAATGCCGACTGCAATCCTCATCCTACTATCTATACCTGATACATTAATAAATAACAATTGGACTTAGTGCATTTCTCCAGCCACGACATTGATTTTAAAAAGTGCTCTTAGGTAGCATATGTCAATTGCTTTAATAACTATTGTTGAAGTGATCTGTGCTGATTTCTTTAGAATAAAATTAATCTTTAATTTTTTACCCACTTGAGAGAAAAATTAACTTTAAATGTTTAAATGTCACATATTTTGTTATATAATCTCTTAAAAATGTTTCAATTTAATTGGTCTTATATGGAAAAACAAAGATGCTTGAAAGGCATCAGATTAAGGTCACAAGTCAGTGTTCAAGCAAAATAGAGCTGGGCTACCCAATGATTTCCTGTTATTAAGCCGATAAATCAGGGAGATGTTGATAGATGTGATCGCTGGGACAGCATGTCAGTCTCATGAAAAAAGTGCTGAACAGACACAGGTAATCCATGCTGTCGGTGTCTTGAAAATAAAAATTTTAAAAAGGTCAAAGAATCGAGAAGACTATCAGTGGTGTTTACGCATCCAAAAATGCAATTTTTTTATGATTTAACTTAAAAGACGGCTCCATAAGGCTTCATAATGAACAAAGCCGAGGAACTGTCAAAATGAATGCAATTTGTTCTAAAGGAGTACACATCAACACTCCACATCTATCCAGACTGACTCCCACGGGCATTTACAGTTCATTCCAGGCTTCCAGTCTTTTTGAGTTGTTGTTTTCTTCTATATGTAATTCAACTTGTTGTCAGCTCCTCATATTCTATTTCTGCCCTGTATCTTCAGGCCTTGTTCAAGTTCTGCCTCTTTTGAGTACCTGAGTGCTCCAACTCAACAAGCCCCTCTTCCTTGAGCCAATAGAACAATGTCTATTTAGTACGATTCATTTTGATGTGTAATGGATTCACACCTACATGATTATTTAACAAATTATTTTTGCTTTTGACAAGTATGTTCTGAATACCTTCCTCTCAGACTCTTGTAATAAATAAATAGAATAGAATTTCTGTCTGTAAAAGATTTACATTCTAGTGAATGATTTATAAGTTTTGGAGGTCAACACTTCCTTTGAGAGTCTGACTAGAACAACAGCCACTTTCACCAGAAAAAATATATTCACGTAAAACTTACTATAGAAAATCTGGTGAGGCGATCATATAAGGGGATAGAGGTGATGCCTTTCAGGTAACATTTGTAATAGTTTTGTAAAAATAATAACCTCTTTTTCAATTAAAGAATGTTGAATGATATCTAGGGAGATACAACAAGCAACACAGGTAAAAGGAAGAAATGTAAAAAAGAATGAGACATTGAAGAAATGTTAAATTTTTTCAGGTGGCAAGAGAGAGCTATGAATGTAGGTTGCAGATGCAAGTTAGAACAAAGTGCAGATGGTCATATTTACTTCCTAAAATGTCTAGCCTGTTTTTGGAGTAGATGTCTTCCTAAGAAGATTATTATTTTTCCAGACCCTATGGATTTTAACCTTGTTTTTCTGTATCTAACTTGAAGCATCTCATGTGTAGTGTTTTGCAAGTATTAGATGTTTAATTGATAATTGACAAAGAATGGAAAAAAAGAAAGGAAGAAGGTTATAGAGTAAGTTCCTCTTCAGAGCTCTGAAAAGGATAAACAAAGACATAATTGAATTATAAATACTATACCAGGTCGATTACATGTAAGTGTATGTTATCTTAATAGGGTGATTAATTTCATGTCATTTTACAGGAAGTGCTTTAAGTGAAAATATTTTTCTTGTAACAGCTGTTTAGTTTTATTAATGCCACTAGAGAGGAAATTATAAATATTGTAACTATAGAGTTCTAGATTTATCTTAGTTAAATGATACATTATTATATACCAGTATTTAGGTTATAATTTCCATGAGGACATAGACTATGTCTGTTTTATCCACTTAGCTGCTAGCTAACTTTCTACACATTTTAAATAATAGAATAAGACAGCATAGATCATTTATTTCACACATATTTATTAAGAGATTACTAAGTGCCAGGCCCCGTTCTAAGTGGTAGAAAAGCAGTAATAAACAACAGCAACAAAAGTGCCTCTTCTCAAGGAGCATATATTCAGGAAGAGGAACACGACAATAAGTAAACACACAAATATATAGTATGTGAGACAGTGACTGTGCCATAAAAACTCAGTATGTGTCAACTGGACATTGTCACAAAAATACTATGTATCAATCACCAAAATTTCAGCTGTGCCCTGCAGCAATAAACCTCTATTTCACTCGAGTGTCTGGAATCCGCTGGAGATCAGCTGAAGTTTGAATTAGGTGGCTCCACAGGTATCAGCTGGGCTCACTCTTGCATCTGCAGATTCGAAACTGACTAAACTGAGCTGGACTCCACCCAGATGGTTAGGCTGGACTTCCTCTGCTCCATGCTGCTCTCGTCTTCCTCTTAGAATCCACAGGCTATGGGCATGTGCTTCTCATGGCAACGTCAGAAACGCAAGATAACAAGCCCAACCAAACGGTGCTTTGAACGCCCTACTTCCATCGTCAGCCTAAACAAGGAAAAGGCTGAGGAATGGGGAGGACAGTTTGCCCACCAAGATAGGAAGATGGGGAGGAAATATTTTTAAACACTAGCTAGTTGACCATGTAATATAGCACGGGGGAAAAAAAGGGGGTAATATGAGATGATAGTTCAAATAGGGTAGGCAGGACCAGGTTCACTCATAAGATGGTATTTGACCACGGGAAAAAATAAAATAGAGAGTAAGGCATGGAAATGTCTGTGGTAAACAGGTTTAAAGCAGAGAGAAAAGTAATGTCAAAGGCTCTAGAACATGCTTGGACTGTTCAGGGACTGCTGGAAAAAAAAGTAGAACCAGATTTGAATGAGGATGAAGTGGAAGGAGAGACAATGAGGCCAAGGAGAGACACTGACCAGGTGATGTGCAGCCATGGTGAGGATGTTGGATTTTATTCTGAGCGAGATGGGAAGCCAGAAAATATTTTGACAGAAAAACTTACATTATCTGACTTTCACTTTAAAAGGATCACTCTGCCAATGAGGTTTGGAACCTTTTGTATTAAATATATTTCCTCATTAAAAAAAATTTCAACTAGATAGTAAATGTGTATGGGTGGGGGAGGGGGAAATGAACTGTATGTTACTTATACCTGGACCCACTAGTATTCGTAAAATACCTCTTTAATAACATGCAACTAGTTCAAACATTTTTGCTGATTTTATTCTAAGAAGACGTGAAGTAACCTAAATGAGAAAATTCAAGAGATGTTTCATTATAATGTTAGACGTGAGATTCCCTCAGAGCATCACCATTAAGTCGAGTGCTAGAATTCTATTAGTCCCCTCACGGGGTAAAGAAAGAGTATTCCCACATGATGCTTTTGTCAACTTTGCCTTGGCCAGGCACCGTGGCTCATGCCTGTAATCCCAACACTTTGAGAGGCTGAGGTGGGTAGATCACTTGAGGTCAGGAGTTCAAGACCAGCCTGGCCAACATGGTGTAACCCCATCCCTACTAAAAATACAAAAATTAGCCAGGTGTGCTGGTGGTCGCCTGTAATCCAAGCTACTTGGGAGGCCGAGGCAGGAGAATCACTTAAACCCCGGAGGTGGAGGTTTCAGTGAACTGAGATGATGCCACTGCACTCCAGCCTGGGCGACAGAGCAAGACTGCATCTCAAACAAACAAAAAAACCCAAAGAAACAAAACTTTGCTTTATCCCAGACCCTTCCTTTTTTTATTAGTCTTCGTCTTTAACAGCTATTCCTCAATGTTGCTCTTGCCCTTTTTTCTTAAGTCTAGACTGGAGACTTTACCATTGAAGTAATTGCTTGTAATATTGTTGTGAATGATTCAGCTGTACTCAAGCTGTTTCTCTCTTCCCTTTTTGGATTTTTATGGATCTGTCCCTGGCAGCTGAGGGGTAGAATGCTTACCGTATAGATCCATCCACCTTCCTCTCTGATGATGTCGGAAACAACACCTGTCTGTTGAAACAGTTCTCTTTTTATTGAAAAAAATAATGACATCTCCACCTACTTGCTGGACAGATTATTGCTTTGAGCTGCTGCTTATTTGAAGAAATATCTTATGGATAAAATTTAGTCACTCCTCTGTTCCTGCGCTGTACCACTGTTCAATCCAGGGTGATTGGGAGAGGTGGCGGCCTTTTCTGCCACTATTGGCATGAATCTACAAGCCCAGGATTTAAGGGTCTATTTATAGCTGGACAGAGGGCTAACAGTCAGGCTGAGCTACTTTAAAATAAACTTCGGAAATGACCAGATGTATCAAACAGCCACGTTCCCATGGTATCTTTACCAAACGAGATTTGATCACACCTAATTTATATTCTTGGGAAAAAATGGAAAAAAAATGATTTTATAGAACATGTCTGGAGGCAGCAAACTCCAAGTGACATCTATCAGAGGTAATGCAGATGAATGGGGCCGAGTGGCATTGTTTGGTAGCCCAGATGATACCATCAAAAGAACGTGGACTTTACTGTCAGGCAGTACCAGGTTCATATTCTGGCTTATTGGACATATGACCTATAACCTTAGTCAAACTGTGTAGCCTCAGCTGTAAAATGCAAATGATCCTGTCTACTCCGTGGAGGTGTCTATGAAAATAAACCACAGGAATCATACACAGCTTCTTTTCCAGACTTGTAAAATTAGTTCTCAGTAAAGGTGAATTCTTCTGCTGCTGATCCTATATCATAACTATGAACCAACACCTCTATGTTTGTAAAAAGATGATGGGTAGGATTCTTTCATATTCGGTTAGACCAGGAGTTGAAAGATTAAAAAACATATTTTTCTCGCCAATCTGTCACTTAGGAATGATAATAAGCATTGTCCATTCCAAATTATAAATCAGATGATTATAAATATTTTTATGATTAAACAGCACCCTACTCCATGTGTAGCTTATACTCAAAGCATAAGAATATGACAGTTGCAATGCTATAGAAATAGCAAACAAGTTTTACAACAAAATACAGTATTTAAATGTTGTATATGAAACCATAGGGAATGATCAAATTAATATTTCTGTCATTCAAAAATATGAAAGCCATTATACCTCTAGTTTCTCTGACAAGTTAACTCAAAACTATCTTAATAACATGTCCATTTTTAAAAAAATTTTAAAAGGTAAGATCTAACTGCTCTTAATTTTTATTTTAAAATTGACACCTTTTGCTGCTGCTCAAATTTATCCACAGTCTTCAAACTTCCAGACTCTCATTCTCTTCCTTCCTCGTCATTGCTTACATTCAGTTTAATCAAATACCCCTCTTCCTGCTGTTCCTTATGTCCTACTACTAAAAAAAAATCTCCACAGGCTTTAAAAACCTTTTTTCTCTAAATTCTTCCATTTCTTTCTACATTTGTTGCAGAAACCAATGAGGGAATTTATAAATACATAGTGCAATACATTTAGCAATTTTCCTCTCACAATGAATGTCATTTCTCCATTCAAAAAACTTCTCAGCCTTTCCCCAAGTTAATTCCTCCAATCAGATAAGTAGCCGCTACTTCTTTATTATTATTATTATTATTATTATACTTTAAGTTTTAGGGTACATGTGCACAATGTGCAGGTTAGTTACATATGTATACATGTGCCATGCTGGTGTGCTGCACCCATTAACTCATCATTTAACATTAGGTATATCTCCTAATGCTATCCCTCCCCCCTCCCCCCCACCCCACAACAGTCCCCAGAGTGTGATGTTCCCCTTCCTGTGTCCATGTGTTCTTATTGTTCAATTCCCACCTATGAGTGAGAATATGCGGTGTTTGCTTTTTTGTTCTTGCGATAGTTTACTGAGAATGATGATTTCCAATTTCATCCATGTCCCTACAAAGGACATGAACTCATCATTTTTTATGGCTGCATAGTATTCCATGGTGTATATGTGCCACATTTTCTTAATCCAGTCTATCATTGTTGGACATTTGGGTTGGTTCCAAGTCTTTTGGGAAAACTGGCTAGCCATACGTAGAAAGCTGAAACTGGATCGCTTCCTTACACCTTACACAAAAATTAATTCAAGCAGCTGCTACTTCTAAATGGACTAGCAATTTATAGTAAATGATCCCTTAACAATTGTATAGATCCAGATATTAGTTGATTAAATGTGCATTAAACAGTTGCATACTAACCAACATTTATCCAACATCACACACTTTTTTCTCTGTTTTTTTTTTTTTTTTTTTGAGAGACATGCTCACTCTCTCAGCTCGGCTAGAGTGCAGTGGCATAATTACTGCAGCTTTGAATTTCTGGGCTCAAGCAATCCTCCCACCTTAACCTCCCAAGTAGCTGGGACTACAGGCCTGTCACCTCATCTGGCTAATTTATTTTCTGTAGAGTTGGGGTCTCCCTATGTTGCCCAAGTTGGCTTCCTGGCCTCAAGGGATCCTTCTGCTTTGGCCTCCCAAAATCCTGGGTTTACAGGTGTGAACCATCACATCCAGCCTAACTTCACACACTGTTAACTAGAAAGTTCCTTTAAAACAGAGATATAGTAACTTCAATATCATGGTGTGTTTGTAGCATGGGAAAATGGCCTCTGCTGCATTAAGATGGCCTGGTTCTCACCTGCCTTTGTAGACATCAGGCAATCCTTTCACATATCTTAACAAACTCTTTTTAAGGATCACAATATAGCATTTCCCTTAGAAATACCACATGCAAAAGCAAAGTAGGTTTGTTAATGGTATTCATGAAGCTTGATTTTAGTAGATGCTGGGAATTCTATAACGTTACAAAATGGTTCATAAAATATTGCCATCTGCTATACCAAGTAACAGTTCATTTTTACTAGTTTTAAAATGGCTGTGCTTTTATGTGTTTGGATTTTTGCCTAAACTTCAAGTTCCCTCTGAAAGTTGCTTCTGACCTCTGCCTGAGGAAATATGAAAATCTGCCTTTCCTATCTTGTTTTATAAGCTTCAGTGACAGAATGTAAATGGACTAAATACATTCTGCAAAATTTTACCATAAAAATCTTTCACATGCTGCCTGCATGGCTGGCTCTGTTTATAATATTTCCAGCTTATACTGAAGTAACCACTTGTAAAAGAAATTGCCCCAAGTACTAGTGCTGAAAGCAAACATTTATAGAGTAGTGTGCAGTCAGCAGAAGATAAAGGCTTTTATTACAACTGAGGAAAAATTTTGCAAAATAATTGATCCTGACAGAAAATACAGGATGGAATATAAGCTTCAGATTTGAAAATTATCTCATCCAACTACTTGCTGAGTGATGAAACTGAGACCCAGAGGAATTCAGTGACTTGCCCAGGGTCTCACCTTTAGGAACAGACAGTGTCCAACTTTGGATAAAATGTCTTTGGTGGAATTCGGGTTTTAGAAGAGTTTGCATTAAGCAACCATACGGGCTCTGCTGTTTTCAATTGTTTAGACATTGGCTGAAACCAGCAAATGAGTGAATGAAGTTGGTAATTAGTGATTTGATGATATTTACTGGACAGAGCCAAAATAAAGAACAACAAAATACAAAGTAGCTTTTTTAAATAGAAAAAGGAGGAAGAAGGAGGATGAGGAGGAGCTGAAAAAGAGGAAAAGAGGGGAAAGTGAAGGAGGAGGCAATGAGGTATCAGCACCATAAGTTATTTATTCCTACAGATTGTGTCCATCATCATTCGATATACTTGCCAATTCTTTTTGTTTCTATTCCTGAATATCTAATTAAATGATTACACATTCACTTTTCTTCTTCACTCTCCTAGAATAGTGATATCCTCCTCATATAAATTCTGAGAATACTCCTCTTTAAGAAAATGTGCTTTGTGCCTGTAATGAATTTTGAAAACTGGCCCTGCTGATGGCCTCTGGTTGAATGAGCTCTGGGTGTCCTTGGGTTCACTGCTTTTCTGTAATTTTCTCATATAGACGTCTAAGGAGAACACTGTCATATATTTACCTAAAATGCAGGCTTCCTTTGTCATGGAAGAGGTTATCTTAGTCTATTGGGGTTGCTCTAACAAGAATACCACAAACTGAGAGGTTTATAAACAACAGAAACTTTTTTCTTACAGATCTAGAGGCTGAGAAGTCCAAGATCAAGGCAGTGATAGATTCAGTGTCTGGTGAGGGCCTGTGTACTTGTTCATAAACAGTGCCTTCCAGCTGGGTCTTCCCACAGTAGAAGAGGTGATTCGGCTCTTGGGTGTCTCTTTTATAAAGGCATGCATCCCAATATCTTTCTAAAGGTACCACCTCCCAATACCAAGACCATGAAGGTTAGAATTTGGGCATACATATTTTGGGTGGACCCAAACATTCAGATTATAGCAAAGATAATATTTTCACCTGATAGAAATATCAATATCCTACTGAAACATTCTCAATAAGAACAGATGTTAAAGCAGATTTATTGGTTATCACAAGAGTCTTACAACTTTTCAATTTTTGATTCAGGGGATATGGCAACACATTATTGAAAATATAAATTTTATAGAGATTGTATGGAGTTATTAAATATCTCAAATAGCCCCAGCCAATTCATTTTGTTCAGTGCTGTGTGCCTAGATGAATCATCTTCACTTTTGACTAGCCATACCCAGTGATAGGAGATATGAGCAAGGAAATGCGTCTCAATGACCTGAAAGTTTTCACTTTGTGATGTCGCGGTTTTTGAAATTGATGTTGGCTCAGAGGCATCTTTTTTAAATGTGAACACTCAAGCTGGGTCTCAAACATTAGTATGTATTAGTTTAAGTAGACTGCTTTCTTCATTGGACATAAATGATATCATCTGTATTGAGTAAATGGAAATTGTAATTGCGGGAGGGAAAAAGAAAGTAATGAAAAACTAGGGAAAGAAACCATTTTGAAATTGAATTTCCTCCAGGGATATAGAAGCCAGAGGAGGCATCACTGTGTTGGAAGGTTAGGGTAGCAAGAAGACACTGAGCAACTGGAACATGAGAAGATAATGTGCATAGTTATAGCACATTCATTGTATAGACATCTGTGTCTTGATATAATTTACTGCATGGTCAATGCATATCTCAATAAATGAATGAGGACAATATGAATGAATCAAAGCTTATACCACTGTAGCTATGCGGAAGCAATATCTCTTAAAGTTTGCATCAGCATCATCTGGGAGCTGGTTAGAAATGCAAATTCTTGGACCCTACCCCAGTCCTTTTAAACCAGGAACTCTGTGAGTGAATCCCAGAAATCTGTGCTTTAATACACCCTATAGATGATTCTGATGTGGGTTTAGGTTTGAGAACCACTGAGGAAGAGTAAAAGTTAAGAGCGTCACTCCACACAGAAGTGTGACTGACTGGAGGGTTCAGGGGAATGAGGTGATTAGGTGGCCTTGTTCAAAGACCCTGAAGATCTCCCCAAAAGTGGATTTTTCTTCATCCAGGCAGAATACAAACAGTTACTTGTTCTCACCAAATATATTTTCACTTGCCCTGTCTGTGTGACTGTCAGGATGCCTCAGGATGTCCAAGAAAGACAGCATCAGGTCCTTGCATTCAATAAGTCAGAATCCCCAACCAGAGTTGGCCTCATACATGAAAAGAAAACACCTGATGTGCCAAATCTTGAATAGGAGCTGCCAGAAAACCCCTGCCAAACCACCCACTTCATTTCCCAGCATGTGACCCTAACTAATAGCCAACATAGAATCACGCTCTGCAGGTATGCCTTTATTTCATGTCATCTTTTCAAACACAAATAAGTGTTTTGCCTCATGGAACAATTAAATATTTCCATTTCAGAAAAACTGACACAATATGATTGATATCAACAATTATTAGAATCTTACAATGGTCCTCTGAGGACTTATTCTTCCATGAATATTCAAGTTTATTACAGCTACCCAGAACAGCCACCATGACGATGTGTGTTAGGTACATTAATTTATGCAAAAACCATTAGTGTCTTTTTCTAAGCCCTTACTTTTGCAACAAGGCAGAGTTTCAATTTACTATAGAAGGAAAATTTGTCCCCTACAAGGATACTATAATTGCCCATTTTTAATGCAATTTTCTTTTACTGATCACAGTCGTAGATTTTCCAAAAGGTTAGGTAACTGACTAATTTAATGCCAAGTATCTTATCTCTAGAGACGTAGGTTAAGAAATGTCACTCTGATTGTCTCCGTGGCAAGCCATGTCATGTATGGACAACTCCATCTCACTGTCTAATTTGACCCAATTTTCCATTTTGCTTAATAAGCACATTACAGTGAATCACTGATCTATTATCCAAGGAATTATGAAGCTTATGGGTTATCTTCCATTGCACCTGCTTTAATCAGCGTAGTGCCTTGGGTATTATGGTCACTTTATCCTTTAATAAAAGAATTGTTAATATCTTCATCTGCAATTTCAAGCAATTTGCAAAATTGGGTTAGCTGGCTTTTATATGGGACTTATTACAAACTCAGTTACTTAATGTGATGTTTTCAGCAATAATTTCTGTGTTTCCAACATCCTCAAATTAATATTTTATTTAAACAAATTGTCAGTATTTAAAGTGGTAAAATTCATTTAGGGAGATAAATGGAAATGTGGGATTTTGTTCTAAAGTTACTTTCATGCTATATCTGATACTATTGTATTGGCTGTTTATTTTTTTAATTTACAAAACTAAACTAATAGGAACTATAGTGCTTATAACCCTGTATAGTTAAGGATATTTAAAATTGTTTTTGGAGATATTTTTTCTAAGAGATATGATACCACTATTTTATTGTTGTATAGAATAACTCTTATTACATTTGTAATAATTCTATTACATGTTGTTTTCTGTATGTAACATGTTAACTGTCATTATTTTTTTTTTCAATTTCAACTTTTATTTTAAGTTCATGGGTTCCTGTGCAGGTTTGTTACCTTGGTATATTGTGTGATGCTGAGGTTTGGGGTGTGATTGATTCCATCACCCAGGTACTGAGCATAGTACCCAATTAACTATGATTATTAATAAGGATCCATTATACCATCTCCTTACAAGTCGCATATGTAACCAATATATAAATACTGAATATGAAACTACCATATGCAGAATCCATATTATCTCTACCAGAATGTTAAAGTCTACATCACACATTTGAAGTTACTCTAATTCATTCAGGAAAAGAACGCTTGTGTCACAGAGGTTTGTTATACAGAATATTTCACCACCCAGGTAGTAAGCTTAGTGCTCATGAGTTATTTTTCCTGATCCTCCCCCTCCTCCCATCCTCCACCCTCTGATAGGCCCCAGTGTGTGCTATTTCCCTATGTGTCCATGAGTTCTCATCCTTTAGCTCCCAGTTATAACTGAGAACATGCGGTATGTGGTTTTCTGTTCCTGTGTTAGTTTACTAAGAATAATGGCCTCCAGACTCATCCATGTCCCTGCAAAGGACATGATGTCATTCTTTTTTATAGCTACATAGTATTCAATGGTGTATATGTACAACATTTTCTTTATCCGGTCTATCACTGATGGTCATTTAGGTTGATTACACGTCTTTGCTATTGTGAAAAGTGTGGCAAAGAACGTACACATGCATGTGTCTTTATAACAGAATGATTTACATTCTTTTGGGTATATACCCAGTAATAGGATTGCTGTGTCGAATGATATTTCTGTCTTAAGGTCTTTGAGGAATCACCATTCTGCTTACCTATGTGATAAACCTGCACTTGTACGTCTGACATTAAAATAAAAGTTTGCAAAAACAGGTACTACTTTTAAAATAATGATCCACTGGCCTTTAAGTCTTGGTGCCATGTTCTAAATATGTGCTCTGAATATTGGAGAGGGAAAAATGGTTGGTAGGGCTACATCTTCTTCTTAATGTAAAATATATGTGCTTTTAAAATAAGCTTAAATTTTGATTTAAAAAATAAGAAAAAAACACTTAAGTATCTGTTGTGTGTCAGCAACTGTGCTCAGGGGCAGGAATGCTCATCCCTTAAACTCAGTGAGTCCACAGTCAAGTGGGGAGTCGGCTATGCAGCACGGAAAGCTCAACAGAATGCAGGAATTAACAACTTAAAGCCAAATACTCCTCTCTCCCCAGGAGAAGTTGAAATTAGTGAATTTTTATTTTCTGATCATTATAGGTTAAATTTTCTAAAAGCTTGAACGTAATTACCTCCTTTGTAATAGCTGCAGTGCCAAGGAACTGGATAATTTGTGTTAGGTTATTCAATCGAGATTTCTGCTGCTTTATTATACCCAAAATTTTAGTGTTTCTTGCTTATTATTTCAAGTGGTAGCTAGTTCTCTGTTTGGCCTATATCTACAGGCCAGCAAGAAAACATTTTATCTAATTTAGTGAAAATTTTTAAAAAAGAATAAAAGGAGAATTTTCTACATAAAAAAGTTACTAATATTGATTATAAAACCCTAAAAATCCTATTAACTAGGGACATTTTTTCTCAATCCTGTCACTACGCAGGGCCCTATTTGGTCAACTATCTGTGCTTTTCATTCTTTATGTCCTATTCCCTTATTATTTATTTAAGCTAAGTTAATACTGTACAATTGCAGTCCCCAACCTTTTTGGTACCAAAGACCAGTTTTAAGGAAGGCAATTTTTCCTCAAACGGTGGTGGCGGGGATGGTTTCAGGATGAATCAAGCGCATTATATTCATTGTGCACTTTATTTCTGTAATTATATTGTAATACATCATGAAAAAGTATACAATTCTCATAATGTACAATCAGTCGGAGCCCTGAGCTTGTTTTCCTGCAACTAGATGGCTCTGTCTTGGGGTGATGGGAGACAGTGACAGATCATCAGGCACTAGATTCTCACAAGGAGCACGCAATCTAGGTCCCTGGAATGCGCAGTCCACAATAGGGTTCATGCCCCTGTGAGAATCTAATGCTGCCGCTAATCTGACAGGAGGCAGAGCTCAGGTGGTAATGTGACCAATGGGGAGAGGCTGTAAATTCAGATGAAGCTTTGTTCACTCGTCTGCCACTCACCTGCTGTGTGGCCCGGTTCCTAACAGACCGCAAACTGGTATCAGTCCATGATCCAGGGGTTGGGGAACTCTGCTATATGAAAAGCTATATACTCATAGCTCCCTCCATAAAATGTGGAAAGACCTTTGCCTTGTGTGAGCCTACTTTGAGAAATAGGTGTCACCTGTTTTTTTCAGAGCAAAGGCTATACATCTCTGCCTTTTTCTAAAATGTTTCTCACAGGTAAGGGTTGCTGTTTGTACTGAAGTAAAA
This sequence comes from Homo sapiens, assembly GCF_000001405.40. NCBI lineage: Eukaryota > Metazoa > Chordata > Mammalia > Primates > Hominidae > Homo > Homo sapiens. The sequence continues at coordinate 76,485,716 of NC_000003.12, forward strand.
CTGTCTAGAACCAGATTACATACAAAATTTTGCTTTTTATAATTTAAAAAAATAAAGTAGGCTACTATTGCTTTGGTGTGCCCTCTGTAAATTAAGACTATAGTCGTGGATCTTAAAATAACAACAATTTGTTAGAACAAAGAAACAAACAAACAAAATTTCACATTTTTCCTTGCTCACCATTCTAAACTCCAGAAACTCTCACTAGACCAAAATATGGAAACATGGAAGAAAGAAAATGAAAGAATTATATGAGATGTCACTCATAAGGTTTGGTTTGCACCTCAGTTCAATCACTCTCCAGCTACAACATCTTGAGCAAGCCATCTTCACCTCCATCTCCGGTCCAGTAATTATAAGATTGTAAAGTAAGCCCTGCCTTTGTTATCATCAGGGGCTGCAAAAAGAATCAGGTGGCATAATACCTGTGAACCTGCTTGGTGAACTCCAAAGTGTGACATAAATACTTGTAGTTTTTTCTGGGAAGGACTTAGCAGCCACAGGGGCATTGTCAAGATGATGTTGGAACTGCTTAGGTCTTCTTTCTGGAGAAGGAAGAACTCAGACTTGAGCTCTTATGCAGAGAGCCCTTAGAGTGATTCTATACGATTAACTACCTTGGGTTGAAGTTATGTCACTTTCTAGGCTAATGCTCGGTGGTTACGCAGAGGGATTTTCATCTGTCGTATGTACAACTGACGCACATTGAGTCATGACAATGTTGAACAGCGTTGGTGGTTTAGATGCAACACCTATCCTTTACGTAAGGGGAGTTGGGTTTTTGAGGTCTTTGCAGGATTTCTAACAAATATTTTTTTCCAAAAAAATGTTTACTCAGAAAATCTCTGGTTATCTGATAATGAAAACTCATATATCTTTGAAATGTCTTATGATGACATTTGGCAAGGATCAGTGAGAGTCTTCTCAAATATTAGAAAAACCAAAATAAATGTATGAGGGCAAATTCTAAAGGATGTTTTATGTTCCTGTTATTTAGCAGTTTTCTGAATCTCAAAATGATAGCTAATACTTTTTCTCAGAAACAAAATGTATGATATTATTATTCTTTCTCTCCATTGTCATGTAATGAATGGAAGAGCAGACAGGGTGCAATTAAGGCCTATGAGGTTTCCTTTTTCAACATTTTTCCTATGTGTCCTTGATATCTTTTCTAAATAATTGTTATCCCCTAAACCCTCTAAATGTTATAAGGGAGTAGAACTTTTGGAATACCCAAGCCAGAGACTCACATTTTTGTTTTGTTTGTCTTCAGAGACAGGGTCTCGCTTTGTCCCCCAAGTTGGAGTGCAGTGGCACAGTCATAGCTCATGACAGCATCGAACTCCTGGGCTCAAGCAATCCACCTGCCACAGCCTCTCGGGTGGCTAGGACTGCAGGTGTGTGCCACTATACCTGGCTAATTTTTTAATTTAATTTTTTTTTTTTGTAGAGACAGTGTCTCTCTTTGTTCCCAGGCTGATCTCTAACTCCTGACCTCAAGCGATTCTCCTGCCTCAGCCTCCCAAAGTGCAGGGATTACAGGAGTGAGCCACTGCACCCAGCGAGAATCACATATTGTTCTGCTTTCTGTCCCGTCACATCCTTTTTATGATAGTGGACCTCAGTGACATAACCTATGGGCTTAAAAGGGGGATAAAAACGTATGTAAAAATGTAAAAAAATGGAACCAATATAATAGCTTACTATCTTTAAAAATGTTATTCTGATAAAAATATATAGATTTTCTATTTCAACAATAAATGAATCTTCTAATACTTTAGTAAAACTTCTCAAATGGAGCTTCTGTTTAAGATTTTAAAGTAAGCCTAGTGGTCCAGGAAATAACACGCCAAACACCAGTAGTCATAATACTTTCTCTCTGACTCATATTATCAGGGCAGAAGTTCGAGCCTAGTTTACTTAGGTTCTCTGTTTAGAGTCCTAGAAGCCTGCACTCTAGGTGAAATCCAGCTGCAGCGATAGACTCATCAGAGACTCATCAGATCTCCACTGGTGAAAGATCTTCCTAGTTCCCTCAGGTAGCTGAAAGAATTAATCTCTTTGCAGTTGTAGGACTGAATTCCCCATTTTCTTGCTGGCTGGCTGCTCCTAGAAGCTGCCCACAATTCCACATGACTATCTCCGTGGACCCTTTCACAACCTGGTAGCTCACATCCTCAACACCAGCAAGAGAGACTCTCTCTGAGTTTAGCCTGCAAAGGTAGTTATACAATGTATGGCAATCACAGAAGTGACATCATTACCTTTGCCATATTCTACCATTAGAAGCAAGTCTCAGACCACACTCACACTTAAGGAGAGAGGATTACACAACCATATAAACACGGGGAGTCACGAATAATCAGGGTCAACTTAGGTCCTTTCTGCCTCAAAGTGAAAGGGTTTGCATTAGTTTTCTATTGCTGCGTAACAAATGACCCGAATTAGCAGCTGAAAATGCAAATGTATGACCTCACAGATTCCGTGGGTCAGAATTTTGGCACAGCATCACTGAATTCTTTGCCCAGTTTACTTGGAAGACCTCAAGGGGTTCTTTGGGGGCTATCTTATGACCTCATGGCTTTCTTCCACGCCCATTAAGAACATTGACAGAATTTAGTTCCCTGTGGCTGTAGGACTGATGTTCTTGTTTTCTCTCTGGCTGTTGAGCTGGACTGTTCTCTGCTGTTAGAGAAGACCTGCCATTGCCTGCCATGTGGTCCTCTCTCTGCTGTTAGAGAAGACCTGCCGTTGCCTGCCGTGTGGTCCTCTCCACAGCATATCAGCTGCTCCTTCAAAGCCAGGAGGGGTACATCGCTGCTACTTTGAATCTCTGCTCTTCTGCCACTGACTTCTAGACCCAGATTTAAAGGGCTCATGTGATAAGGTCCATCCTATCTAAATACTCTCCCTTTAATTATATCTCCCAAAATCCTTTTTTCCATGTGAAAGAACATAATCCCTGGAGTGATATCCCACCGTATCCATAGGGAGCAGATATCTTGGAGGCCATTTGAGAATTCAGGGGGTCTAGGATAAAGGACACACACACAAAAAAGGGTGTGTCAGGAATTTGCCTTTAAAACCCTAGAACTGATTTTATTGAAATCACCTACATTCAAAGTTAGAAAATCAAGTTTACTATGGAAATTATAGCCTTTGTCCTACTACCTAGAAGGACGATTTTGTGGTATTTATTTTTGTGCAGTTCTTACTTTTCTTCTTCCTCTTTTTGGTGAGAGGGCAAAATCTGATTATTATGGGAGGCTGAGGCAGGAGCATTGCTTGAACCCCAGGAGGTGGAGGTTGCAGTTAGCCAAGATCGCACCACTGCACTCCAGCTTGGGTGACAGAGTGAGACTCTGTCTCAAAAAAAAAAAAAAAAAAAAAAAAAAAAAAATCTGATGATTAGAACACTGGTACTGACTTCTTTTTTTTGTTTTTTTTTTTGGCCTCTTTTAGGTTTTGTCACAACCTAAAACATTTCTCAGTGGCTCTGATGAAAAAATGTTTGTAATGGATGTGTTTTATAAGAGATGAGAACTTATACTCTGTTCATTGCTGAAATGGGAAATTACCTGCTCTTACCTTAAAAATATCAGGATAAATGGAAGCCACAGTGATATAGTAGGAAGGGCACTCAACTAGAAGAGGAGAGCCTAGAGTTCTGATCCCAATAGCCTGAGCAAGCCACACATTTTTGGCAGAATCTTAAAGTGTATGGGTTTCAGTTTTCTCATGTACAAAATTACAAAGTTAAACCACACAGTGAATTCTCAACCAGCTTTAAAATGTTATAATTTTGTGGTTCCAAAGTGAAGTAAGTAAGTAGTAAGAAGTTTTCACCAAACATCATCAGCAAATGCATAGTCTCATGAATAATTAAAAAATTATTTTATTTATAACTTCTCACATGGCCATTTGAGTTCAAAATTTTATTTGAGTTATTGTTACTTTGAGCAAAATAATTGTATTAAATGATAATTTTTAACTTTTACATATGTAAATCTAGGTGAATTAAACCAATTATAAAAGCTGCCAAAAGTACATAAAGATATATGGTTTAAAATAAAAAAGATATTATAAATATTCTTTTATAAACATTTTAATATTTTAATGAGGTATTTTTGCACTTATTGAATTATAAAGAAAATATACCTGAAAACAAAAAGCCTTTCAATAAACATTTTTTTCTTTAAGGTTTTCAAAATGAACACATTAGGACATGCCTTAAATTGAAATGAGTATTTCAAAAATAAAACAAAAGTGTATTATTTGCTCTGCTCATCTGTGATTATCCTGGGCTGTTGTTTAAAGATTTTCTTTAAAATAAGAATGCTCTCCTAAATGCCAAATGCTTTTGCTTATGTCCACCCTTTTTGGTATGGAAGGCTTTTGTTCCTTAAAATGTCACAGTCTTTTCTACCTTCCACTTCCTCCTTTTTATGACGAAAGAAATTTTTTATCTATTTTCTCAGAGCTAAAGGATGGATCCCCATCACTAAAGTTAAAGAAAATCAGGATTGATGCCTGTCCTCGCTGTCACAACCTAAAACACTTCTCAGTGGGATTGTATGACAGTAATGATTCAATTGCAGATCAATGTTGAACATTTTTGGCAGAGTTGGCTGCAGAATGAATAGTCTTCTCTCCTTTTGGGTCAATGGAACCCCAATAGTTCTGATTTTTACAAATCTGTTTGGTTTCCTAGTGTTAGTAGTGTCTATCGTTAGTAAGTTTTAATAGCAAAGCGAAATGCTTATTATTTGACACAAAGAAAAAGAGTTCACATTTTGCCAGAAGGAAGCACTATACTGAGGTTAAGAATTATTCTGGAGTGCTTACGCTTCAGGACTGTGAGAAGTGATGAAAGTAACTCTTGCCACTCTAATATGTCGCCATGATAAAATTGTTCATGGAAAAAGGACACACATTTTTATATTTTTTTAATTTAAAAAAATGCAACCCCAAACTTGAGAAAATCTCAGAATGAGGACCACAGACAGAAACTGTCAGATTTGAGACAAGAAAGTGTTGAATGTCTATCGCATTAGTTATGTGTCTCTGAGCTTTCTTATGGCTTATATCCTGTAGTCCACATTTTTATTTAGGGTTATTTAAAGCTTTAAAAATCAATAGATTAAAAATAGCAGACCAAAGAAGATTCAATAGAACAACTCCCCTAAATAAAAGGCAAATAGAACAGAATTAATTCATTTGATCCTCAATGAAGATTAATTTTGTTTTTTTTTTGGAGGGGGAGATGGAGTCTCACCCTGGGTTGCTCAGGCTGGAGTGCAGTGGTGCGATCTTGGCTTACTGCAACCTCCGCCTCCCAGGTTCAAACGATTCTCCTGCTTCAGCCTCCTAAGTAGCTGGGATTACAGGCGTGTGTCAGCAGGCCTGGCTAATTTTTGTAATTTTAGTAGAGATGGGGTTTCACCATGTTGGCCAGGCTGGTTTTGAACTCCTGACCTTGTGATCCGACCTCCCAAAGTGCTGGGATTGCAGGCATGAGCCAGGGCGCCCGACCTAAGATTAATTTTTTTAAAAAAAAGTAATAGGCACCATCACATCAGCCGTAGAGCATATGATCTCCCTTATCCCATTCCATGCTCAGTCTTCCTCTCATCTTGTAAATTAATACTTGCATGCACATACTATCACTCATTCTACTTATAAACCCAAAGTACTTCACAATTAAGTAGAATGAGAGAGACTGAGTTAGCAAAGGAACTTGGAAGTTACTGGAGAACTAGCTGCATTGTATGTGAATTGTAGAATGGATTAGATAAAACAGAAATCAGAAATGTGCTGCCTGGCATATACTCTTTTAAGCAACTCCTGGTGTATATGACATTAACAGAATGATATTCTACCTTTGTTTTGCCCTTGTTTAGGCATTATTACATTGAAAAATTATACCTATATTGAAAATTTTCTTAAGAAAATGCATTCATTACAGTCAAACATTGCTTCCTTCTGGAAGGAGAATTTGAGCTTTCAGATTATATTTTTATTCTTATATTCTCCCCTCTTTTCCCTCTCCTCAGTACTTTGTAGGTTGTGGGACTGGAGACTGGTAATGAAACAAACAAGCCAGGTGCGGTGGCCCACGCCTGTAATCCCAGCACTTTGGGAGGCCAAGGCAGAAGGATCACCTGGGTTCAGGAGTTCAAGACCAGCCTAGCCAACATGGTGAAACCCAGTCTCTACTAAAAATACAAACAAACAAACAAAAAAATTAGCTGGATGTGGTGCATGGTGGTGTGTGCCTGTAGTCCCAGCTACTGGGGAGGCTGAGGCAGGAGGATCGCTTGAACCTGGGGAGGCAGAGGTTTCAATGAGCTGAGATCGTGCCACTGCACTCCAGCCTGGGCGACAGAGCAAGACGCCATCTCAAAAACGAACAAAAAAAAACACCCCCAAAACTTAATCTAGTGTTGTTAGCTATTATTAGCACATTTAAAATATAGGCTCAGTGATAAAAGCAGTTTCAATTTTGGGCTGTATTAGGCTTTTAAAATTACCTGTTTAATTTTATCAATCTGGTTTCAATATTTGTTATTGAGAATAGATGAGAATTAGCTTTGTTGATCAAAACAATCTGCCTGGTATATTAAAGATACGAGACATGACCTGTTTATGTGTTCGCTCCTTTTGACCATGCATGTTCTCTCATAGACTCTGCCCATGGTCCAGTTGCTTTCTAGGGCAGCATTAAAAATTATTGTGAAGGTCATCCTTCACTTCCGGTTTCCAGGAAACTTACTGCACATGTTGTCTTAGATGGCAAAATTGTCACAAATAAGAACTTTGACATTTAGTTTTCAAAAGTGCATAAAGAAAAAAAAAACAGGGAGGAAAAATAATCAACTCAGTTCCTTTGTTTCTGAGTTTTGCTGTCATATGGTCAAACTTCTCAATGCCTTACTGTTTTTACCTGATTTGTCCATCGTCTTGTATGAATTAGCCATTAACGACGTACTATATACAGCTTTTTTTTTAGAGTAAATGGAGGATCCTCATTCAACTAACTTGGACTTTCTGACCAGTTATCCATGTTTTTCCACTAAAATGACAAACACAGCAGAAAGAACACGACTGAATGACTTCTTCATATTTTATAGTAACATTCTAGCAATTTTTATAACGATTTTAAATAGTAGTTTTATAATTGGATATAATCATGTAATTATGATTTTATAATTTAATTTTTACATTGTACATTGGTTATAATTACATTATGTTTTTAAAATAATTTAATTCTAAAATATAATGCCTCACAGTTGAAGTATTTGCACTCACTGGAAGAGACATCCGTATTTAAAATAGAAAAAGGCAATGAAATAGAATGACATGTTTGGGGCATGTTTTTGCACATATGCATAGCGTTGTGGCTGTCTCAATATTTAAAAGTAGGTAGAAATGTATTTGACTGTTGCTGTCAACCATCGCACTTTCTTAGCCTCTTTTGTTTCTTTAGCTATTTTCAAGTTGCTAAGCTCAGCCAACAGCACAAGTCTTCCTGACACCTGGCACTATTTTGTCTCTTTCTCTGAAACAAACCTGTGGTATTAACATATCTTAGCACTTGAACCCAAAACATGTAGACAAAAAATTATATATATATATATATATATATATATAATTGTATATACATGTACAAAAAAGATTTCATGTACACAACAGTAAGAAAAGTCCATCCAGTGACTTTCTTGATGAGTCTCATATCAAAATATTAAAAGATTGCTTTAGGCTGTTATTTTAGTCTTGTTTGTCCATATCCAATTTTTTTGGAAAAGTTCATTCTCTTCCACTAAAATATTAAAACATATTATTTTTTCCTATATGTTTCCTTGCATTTTCAAATTTTATATCTTTATGTTGACATCTTACATTATGCGAAGCCTTCAGTTTTTCTTGATGACATTCACTGATGCCATCTCTTTCCATTTACTATCGATTTCCGTTCCCAAGCTAGTAAAGCTGTTGGAGCACAGCCTTCTACTGCTGGTCCCTGACCCCTTTGCTAAGGAAAGTTTTGTCTTGTACCTCTGCGAGGCACTGAATGCATCTCCCCTTTCTTCTCAAAGTTATCATGAAAGATCTCAATAACAGAAAGTAATTTTTTATTCCTTTTATTTGTTTTTAATTAAAAGCTTGATTTCTTGAATTTGTTCCACAAATGAATGCATCTAAAGAGATACTTAACACAAAATTGAGGGGAAATCTGCTTTTAAAGTACGTCCATAAGATCCAGCAATTTCACTCCCAGGCATGTACCCCAAGCAATTGAAAACAGCTAAAAGGATGATATGTATGTGAATGTTCACAGCAGCACCAACCACAATGGCTGATATGTACGTGAATGTTCACAGTAGCGCCAACCACATTGGATAAAAGGTGGAAACAGCCCAAGTATTCATCAATGGAAAAGTAGACAAACTAAGTGTGGTATATACATACAATGAAATATTATTCACACATAAAAATGAAGGAAGTACTGATTCATGTGTAAGGGAGGCAAAATTTTACCTCTACCCTCTTAGGGTACTTTAGCTGAGCCTGCGAATTAAACTGACATACGACAGATTAAGAGGAGAAAGGCATACACATTTACTTAATACACGTTTTACATGACACAGGAGTCTTCAAAAGAAATGAAGATGGAAAAGAGTGGCAAAACCTACATACTTTTATACTCCATTGATCAAAGACATGCAATTGTAGGCAAGTAACTAAACTACGGGGGGAGGCTAAAGGAAGATAGAATTATTTTAACAAGGTCTGTTTGTACAGAATTTTGGGGGTCTCGACTTCCCATCCTTGATGATAATGTTCTTTTCATTGTGGTATAGGGAGGAGATCTTCCATATGGGGTTTTTATCTCCTGTTCTCAGGAAGAAAAAGGGGAGCGTTTGAGTGCCTTTGTACCTGCTGTTTCTTTAAGTGACTTTAGCACAAAATAATCTTTATGCCAAACTGGCAGAAGTTGGGGTGGCGTATTCTGTTACTCTTGTGCTGTAATGTGGAGAAACCTCAAAAGCATTACGCTAAGTGAAATAAGCCAGACAAAAAAGGACAAATGTCGTATGATTTCCTTTATAAGAAATATTCAGAATAGCTGAATCCATAAAGACAGAAGAGATATTAGAGATTCCAAGGGCTGGAGGAAGTAGACAATTAGGAGCAACTGCTTAATGGGTACAGGGTTTTCTTTTGGGGTGATGAAAATATTTTGGAACTAGATACAGGTGGTGACTTCTCAACATTGTGAATGTACTGAATACCACTGAATTGTGTCCTTTAAAATGCTTAATTCCATTTTATTAAAATTTCACCTCAATTTTTAAAAAACAGGGAAAGTACCCTCACGTGTGTTTGAAGTTAACATTTGTAAATAGATGAAGACAAATATAGCCTATGGAATCTAACTCTTTAGTATACCATTAATTTTTACAAATTTAATAGTGCTTTGTATTTATCTTCATTTCCTTTTTTTTTTTTTTTTATCTGATTCTGGAGTTTAAGACACACACAAAAAATGTAATAGCCCTCCAACTGCCCTAGGTTATGTTTTATTGGTTAATTAATATCTCATTTAGTGGTTGAAGATATTTGAGTGTGCCTGAGTTGTGTATTAATGGAGTGCTAAAACACGCCCTGTCATGTCTTAATGCCATGAGACAGCCTCATATTCAGTAAGTGAAAAGCGATGAAAACTTCAGTGTCTTACCACTGAAGTGCTTACTAACTTAGTCAGATGAGATTAAATGATTAATCATTTGTTCACTAGCAATCATCAATCTTTCTCCATTCTAGTATTAGGTATTATTTTTGTTCTGGATCATTTAGGCTATAGACCATTTTCTAGTTTTTTTTTTAGATTGTATGTGCTCTGTTCTTTCTTTTAAAGCATCCTTAAGCATATGGAAGAAACATGGACAACAAGGTATGCTATGAAAGCCCTTGAAAACTGGGTGAAAATGTTCACATAATGGGGTTTTACAGCAGGTCTCATACGTAATGAAGAACAACTATGTTATCAGAATACAAAATATGAAATCCATGTGTGAGATAAATCCAGTGTCAGTCTGGGTATTTCTTTTACATCAATAATTTAGAAAAGTGATGGACATTTCTTACTACAATGATGCATGGTTTTATGTTTCTATGGAAGTGGAGTGTTTCAAGAAATGTATGCCTATTAATATTTTGTAATGAATTTAATTAACAGCCATATTGTACTTCTTGAGGTCAGAAAAGTAACATCGTATAGTGGAAGCATTTCCAGAGTTGTCTTTGGGGTCTGCCTACAGGCAAAATGTTGCATGACTGAGCAAACTCCTTTACTTCAACAAGCCCTCAATTTTCTTTATCTATAAAATGGAATAATTTTCATTTCGAGATTGTTGTAACAGTTAAATAGATTCATCTATAAAACATGTCTGGCATACTACCCAACTCCTCACCCATTTCATCTTCACGTGACAAATATCACTCTTCATTCTTTAAGTTTCATTTGTAATTCTTAAATTCAATTCTTTCATTTTCATCTTCAGAGAAAAATGAATAGATGGATTAAGAAAAGAGAATGACCGTAATTAATCTATAAAGTTAACAAAATTTCCATAAAAACCCCTCTAGGGGGTACCTTCACAATGTTTCTAAATCTCATCTAGAAAAATAAGTGATTTGTGAATGCCTCAGATTCTGTTCTAGGACCTATTACCTTTATACATCCCTGGAAAATTTCATATGTTACTAAAGGCTTATTTGCTTCTATATTTTGAAAACCTCTAAATGTACTTCTCCTGTTCCCAAGACTCTCATATCCAGCTGCCTACTTGATTTCCCAGTGTGGATCTCTAATAGGCATCTCAAAGTTAAACTTAACATGCTCCGAGCTGAAATCTTGACTCCCTAGAGTCCTTCCCCAGTTTCTGTCATGTTGGTAAATGGCAATACCACTCATCCAACCGCTAAAGTCCAAAACCTTAGAGTTTTTTAATTTCTCTATTGCTTTTACAACCCCTACCCAAAATATCAGCAAACCATTTTACCTATTTTCCAGATATGTCCAGAATCTGACCACTTCTCATCAACCATACTATTATATGGCATCCCAATCCACCATCTAATATTGCAATAGACTTGTGGCTTGTGCTTCAGCTTTCACTCTTGCCCCTCTATGGTCTATTCATTACATAATAGTCACAATGAACCTTTTAATAGCCAAATCAGTTCATGCAATTTATGGCTCCAAACTCTACAAACTTCCCATTGCTTTAAAAAGAAGCAAGTCTTTAAAAGGCCACATCACCTTTTGTGGCTTCTGTCTCCTTGGCCCACTGCACTCCAGCCACAATGAACATTATGTGGTTGTTTTTCAAACACTGCCAGATACTCCTGCCTCAGGGCCTTTGCACGTATACTTTTCTTTGATTGGAATGATTGATCTCTGGCTATTTTTCACTGTCTTGTTTTTTTCATGCCTCTGTTTAAAAGTCTCTCTCTCCCTCGCTGAAGTGCAGTGGTGTGATCTTGGCTCACCACAGCCTCAACCTCTCATGCTCAAGCAATCCTCCCACATCAGCCTCCCAAGTATCCTGGAGTACAGGTATGTGCCAGCATACCAGGCTAATTTTGTTTAATTTTTTAAAGATGAGGCCTCACTGTGTTGCCCAGGCTGGTCTCAAGCTCCTAGGCTCAAGCCTTCTTCCCGCCATGGCCTCCCAAAGTGCTGGGATTATAGGCATGAGCCACCACACTGGGCAATGTCCCATTTTTAAAGGGGAATTCTCCAACTACTGTACCTAAAATAATATCTCTTGTCTTGTGTGACGGTTAATTTTATGCATCACCCTGGCTAGGCTGTAGTGCTCAGTTATTTGGGCAAATATAAGTCTAGATGTTGCCATGAAGGTGGTAGTTACAGGCAAGTCACGTTGAAATCAGTAGATTTTGAGTGAAGCCGAGTACTCTCTATAATATGGGTGGGCATCCTCTAATCAGTTGAAGGTGTTCACAGAAAAGACTCAGGTTTCCCAAACAGGAAATAATTCTTCCCACGGTCTGTCTTGACTCAGGCTGAGACATTAACTTCTGCCAGCATTCCCAGCATTCCCAGCATTCCCAGCATTTCCAGCATTCCCAGCATTTCCAGCATTCCCAGCCTGCTGGCCTGCCTTGCAGACCTTGCACTTTCCAGCCTCTGCAATCACATAAGCCAATGCTTCTTCCTTAACCTGCTTTATTTGTCTTCACAACTTATCACTCCCTTACACTATATTTTAAACCTCTTTGTTTACTCATTCATTGTCTGCCTTCCCAATTTGAAGATAGGTTTCAAGAAGAAAAAATTTTCAGTGGTATGTTCAGTGTTGTAATTCTAGCACCTAGAAAATTCCTTGGCATATATTTTTTCAAAAAGTGTATATGTACTCCAAACATTATTTCTCAGTGAATGAATTACTAGGCACAAGAGTTTGGAAATACTATAACTCATAATTATTTGAAACATAATTGTATGATGTTCTACCAGGCATTACAATGTATTTGAGTGGTAGTTGCTGGGGGCGCAGTAGGGTGTGGGGTTGGAGAGGTGTTTGTTAAAGGATACAAAACTTTAGTTAGATAGGAATAAATTCAAAAGATGTATTGTACAATGTGGTCACTATAGTCAATAACAGTATATTGTATTCTAGAAAATCACTAACGGAGTAGATTTTCAGCATTATCACCACAAATAAATAAATAAGTGTGAGGTAACATATATGTTAATTAGCTGTATTTAGAAATTATATAATAAATATATATTTCTAAATATTCTGTTCTATGCAAGAAATACATAATTTTTGTCAATTTAAAAATTTATTAATTAAAGAGAATCTTGGCATATAAACTTTTGAACAAGCAATACATCTGTAACCAAACATACATCTGCTTCTTCTTAGTTTGTCTGCTTTTTTTTTTTTTTTTTGAGACAGAGTCTTGCTCTGTCGCCCAGGCTGGAGGGCAGTGGCACAATCTCGACTCACTGCCACTTCCGCCTCCAGGATTCAGGATTCAAGCAATTCTCTGCCTCAGCCTCCTGAATAGCTGGGATTACAGGAACCCACCACCATGCCTGGCTGATTTTTGTATTTGTAGTAGAGAGGGGGTTTCACCAGGCTGGCCAGTCTGGTCTTGAACTCCTGACCTCATGATCCACCCTCCTCAGCCTCCCAAAGTGCTGGGATTACAGGCCTGAGCCACTGCGCCCAGCAGTTTGTCTGCTTTTAATGCATGAGTCTGTATACACCCCATCCACTTAAATTTATCTGGTTTTCCTTTCTACCCCTCATAGGTCAACCTAGTCTTTACCTTACTCCTGCTCATTACCCAGAACTCCAAAACTAAATCCATTCTTAGTAAGATGCTACCACTGATCTCATGACCTTATTGGAGGGATGATATTTGGAAGATTACACCTGCCACTGTCCTTTCCCTCAATTTCTCCGCAACATAAGGCTTTGTATAGGTAATGCCCTTTACTGAAAAGTAGGGGAAAATATAATACAGGAATAAAAAAACTTAAATATGGATGCTACATATGACTGTCCCTAGATTCCAAAGAAAATGTGAAGTGAAAAAATGATATCTTGTATAGGAGTCCCTTTGTTGACACTCCTCAGCCCTAAGCTTTGCTTCTCTATCCCAATGTCCAACCTCTATTCTTCATCATCTGGAGAATACACTCCACTTCCTTCTCAAATAACATATGGCTTGACTTTCAGGAGTACATTTCTCAAGTCCTAAATTATTCCTTCTGGACAAACATTATGGAAAAGAAATCAACTGTAGGCTTTGATCACCCAATCAGTCTCTTTTGAGATCTTTTCAAAGAATGAAAAGGCACCTGTTCATTCTTCCTGCAGCCATTCTGTTACAGGTAACTATTCGACCAAACACTGAAAGTAGAGTCAGAGTTAGCAAATGTGAAGACACACATGTACGTGCAACAGACATTTCAAAGAGTATACATTAAAACTATATCAATGGAGAGAAACAACTTCCTAAAATCTATGTCATCTCCAAAAATCCCCCTAAAGATCTACAATGGAGACAATTTTACATTGCTTTACAGACTATGAATTCTCCTTTTTTTAATGATGGTTCCAAGCTAGCCCGTGTGTGTGCTGATATACAAATAAGTAGGGCAAATTACTAGACCTTATCAAAGAACAGAGACACAATGGTTTGGCCAACTTTATTTACATAAAGACCTGGCCAAAGGTTTAAAACTCAGAATTTGTTTTTTCATTTAATCCAGGAATGAGAGTCAAACACCCAAACACCGGTGGAGGGGAGGTTTTAAAACTTGGGGTGGTGGGGGGACAGTAAAAATAGTTTATTTTATTTAATTAATTTTTTTATTAGAGATAATCTCAATCTGTCACCCGGGTTGGAGTGCAATGACACAATCACAGCTCACTGCGTCCTTGACTTCCTGGGATCAAGCAATCCTACTGCCTCAGCCTCCTAAGTAGCTGACACTACAGGCGAAGGCCACCATACCTGGCTAATTTGTGTACTTTTTGTAGAGACAGGGTTTCATCATGTTGCCCAGGCTGGTCTCCAACTCCGGAGCAGTCTACCCACCTGGGCCTCCCAAAGTGATGGGATTACAGGTGTGAGCCACCGCACCTGGCAAAATAGTTAATTTTAAAGGAAAATATGGAATGTAATATATAGCCCTGCAAGGGCAGCTGTGAGGTGATTCCTGAAGTGCCTAACTACCCTAGGACCAACAGCAAGTGACCCTGTAAAACAAAGTCAACACAGAAGCTCCTCCTTTCCTTAAAGAATAAATTCCTCTGCAGACAAAGGAGAAGGGGGTACCACATTTGTCACATTCTTCACAAAAGCAGTCACATCAGTTTTTTTATGACAGAGTGACAGCTCTGGAAAGCTCTCCACATTACTCAAAAATCTATGAGATAAAAGTTAATTTTTATTTTATTAAAGTCAGTTCTAGAAGATAAAGTTGGAAGTTGGATATCTTTGCATGGTGATTTCGCGGTTCAAAATTTTCTGAGATCCTTCCCCTTAATTTTGAACAAGGGAAGAATAAAAACAGTATCATTTTTTAATAAAATGATAGGTATCCAGTATAGCATTCCTCAAAAGAAATGCTATTTTTTAGGGGTTATGAATCATCACTTGACATGTCCTGTGTACAGCAGCTCCCAGGCTGTGTCATAATTCTAGAAGGCCTGGCTTGACACTGTAGGGAGGGCTAGGAAGCATATTTGTCATAAATCTCATAACTTATCCTGCAAAATATCAGAAAAGCTGGAAATGAATGCCAAAAGGCTATTATTGCATCTATTTATACACTGTTCACTGTATTATTATGTATCAGAATTGGATTTTATTTTAAACCAGATTTTATCAGTTTGAAGGTTAACTTTATTTTGGAGAGGGACATAAATTATTTCTCTTAAAGTTCTTTCAAAGTTTGAAATAAATTGTTTAGTTTGCATTATACTTCAGAGAAATGTCCACTGTTGGTTTGTCTTCTCAAGGGAGGGATCAAAGTCTCTGCTATGTATAATAATTGGACCCAAATACTCCAGTAATGATAAATTTCAGCCCATTATATTATCCCAATCCTCTACTGTGGAAAGTGGAGGAGATGAGAGGAATCCGAGTCAGAAATGATGGTAATATAAATAAGTTTTCAAATACCATGCTAAATTTCTTTCAAGGCTAATCATTAACTCATTCTTCCACTCAGCAGGTATTATTAAGTGTTCAGTTGTGCCAGGTATGTGGAGTAGTAGCAGACAAAATGGCCTAAATCTAATACTGCAACAATCTTTTCATGTTAAATAAAATCTCCTAGCTAATAGGTGACAGAGCCAGAATTTGAACTCAATTTTGACCAGAATTCAGAGCCTGTATTTTAATTTGCTTCTTTATCCTACACTGTATTTTCTCTTACTTAATGAAACAGATTTAATTAGAAAGGCTCAACTCTATGAATTAAATATAGGGATATCATTTTTATAACATTTTATATTAACAGGGTACAGAAAATAAGTATACTCAGTGGGGTGGGAGTAGTTCACGTCTAACAGCAAGCCTCACCCCCAGCCTTTTTACATGTACGCTGTTTGACTTATTGTCAAAAGGACACTGTTATTTTTATAGTTTCTGGAAGAGATTGATCAAAACTTCAACTATTGTGGAATTAATTTGAAAGTTTTCAAAACTACTCATTTTGCCACAGAGGATACTTTTAAAATAGACTCCCATAATCTTTAATATTCAAACATTTATAATAATACATATGGTTTTCAGAAGCATATATGATACAGTGTTAATTTTAAAGTGTTCATGACATCAATTATGTTTTGTGAAAGATATAATACATCAGGCTTTGTTAGGACAATGCAGAGACAGCCCAGAATCATGAAGGTGGAAATAAAGATGATTTTCTTCTGCCTTAATAGCTTTAATTGCAGGATACAGTAGAATACAGCTGCTCCTCCCTTCAAAGTTTCATTTCATTGCCTGTCTATAAGCTGTCACACCATGGTTGCCACTTGACTGTTATGTCACCCAATCCTGTTCCACCTGAACAAATTTGTGGCAATATGTGCTGAATGCTCCATTTCTTTGCTCTAAAGTATAAATGCACTGTGCACTACTGAAATAGGAGTAGTTTAAGTTGGTTGATGTAAACTTATTTACCATGAATAATATAGCAAGTGCTCCACTGATATAAATAAAATTTAAAGTTTAGGATTGACATTTTACTTAGAAATAAAACTAGAAATTTGCTTCATCCATTCTTTTTAAATTTTTTAATTTTAATTTTTAATGTTTGTGGATACATAGCAAGTGTACGTATTTATGGGCTTCATGAGATGTTTTGATATAGGCATGCAATGTGAAATAAGCACATCATGAAGAATGGGATATCCATCCCCTTAAGTATTTATCCTTTGAGTTAAAATGTGAAATCTTGTGATGATTTGAACACGGTGGCATAGTTAATTATAAAGAATATCAAATCCTTTATTTGATATGTCTATAGGTCTTTTAAACAAGAGAAAAAAACAAAAGGAATTAAACCAACCCCTGAACAACAGCAAACTTGGCAAGAAAAATGTAGATGATTTATTGCAATATATTATCTAAAAGTCTCATTAAAAATTTTAGCTTTCATGGAACAACCATGTAGTAGTCAGGGTTCTCTTAGAGGGACAGAACTAACAGGATATATATATATATGTGTGTGTGTGTGTGTGTGCGCGCGCACGCATGTGTGTGTGCAAAGGGGAGTTATTAAGTATTAACTTACATGATCACAAAGTCCCACAATAGGCTGTCTGCAGGCTGAGGAGCAAGGAGACCCAGTCCAAGTCCCAAAACTGAAGAACCTGGAGTTCAATATTTGAGGGCAGGAAGCATCCAGCATGGGAGAAAGATGTAGGCTGGGAGGCTAGGCCCGTCTCTCCTTTTCATGTTTTTCTGCCTGCTTTATATTCGCGGGAAGCTGGTTAGTTAGCGCCCACCAGAATAACGGTGGATCTGCCTTCCCCAGCCCACTGACTCAAATGTTAATCTCTTTTGGCAACACCCACACTGAAACACCCAGAATTAATACTTTGTATCCCTCAATACAATCAAGTTGATAAACTCAGTATTAGCATCACAAGTCCATATGATCTCACTACTGGGTATATATTCAAAGGAAAAAGTATCGGTATACTGAAAAGATGTTTGAACTCCCATGTTCATTGCAGCATTATTCACAATAACCAAGATATGAAATTAACCTAAGTGTCCATCAACAGATGAATAAATATAGAAAATGTGGTATATATTCCCAATGGAGTACTAGTCAGCCTTATTACAAAAAGAAAATTTCGTGACAACACAGATGAACCTGGAACATATTATGTTAAGTGAAATAAGCCAGGCACAGAAAGAAAACTACCTCTCAATCTCACTTACATGTAGAATATTAAAAAGTTGAAGATCATGAAAACAGAGAGTCAAACGGTGATTAGTGGATGGTGGGAGGTGAGGTTATAGGGGAGATGTTGGTTAAAGTACGCAAAATTTAAGTTAGGTAGGAGAAACACAGCCAAGAGACCTGTTTTTAAAAGTTTGGCTTTCAAATAATTCACTGAACGTGTCTGGTTTTCATTACTCTTTTCTTTCTGCATTCAAATGTGTCATGAAAATCATTATGTAGATAACTAGAGTTAAGCTCAGATTTGCTCTTTCTCGTGTAAAATGAATGATTATGATTTGCCATGATTTGTAAACAGAATAGTCCTTTTTTTATATCATTTTCTCTCTTCATCCACTAACCTAGCAAACGACAATGATTTAAATTATGGGTGGCACAGTATGTAATGAAAAATACGCATAACAAAAACTTTGTTTTACAATGTTTGGCCACTGAGAACACTTTAAAAAATATATGTAAAATAGAGGTTTTGTACGACGTTGGTCATGTTCACTATGCAGTTGTACACTTTCATGAGTGCACTGCCTCTTCCGCAAAAACACTCACTGTGACTTGATAAAAGCCATACGTTTGTTTAGAAAGTGAGAGACAGAAAATGATGCAGAAAGCAACGGCCAGCGCCTAATGACCGTGAAGAACTATGAGATCCGTCAGACTAATTCTTTCTTGAGAGGGACAGTTCTAGTAAATTGAAATTTGGTAGGCATAATTTAACAAAATTTCTGGTTATTCCTTCACTAAATGTTCATCAGTAAGCTTAGAAAATACTCTTTTTTTTTTTTTTTTTTTTTTTTTTTTGAGACGGAGTCTCGCTCTGTGCCCAGGCTGGAGTGCAGTGGTGCAATCTCAGCTCATTGCAACCTCTGCCTCCTGGGTTCACGCCATTCTCCTGCCTCAGCCTCCCGAGTAGCTGGGACTACAGGCACTGCCACCACGCCCAGCTAATTTTTTTGTATTTTTAGTAGAGACGGGGTTTCACCGTGTTAGCCAGGATGGTCTTGATCTCCTGACCTCGTGAGCCACCCACCTTGGCCTCCCAAAGGGCTGGGATTACAGGCCTGAGCCACCGCACCCAGCCGAAAATATTCTTTAAACTGTGAAAACAGTTTGCAGGTCTAGCCGCTAGCGTTAGGCTATTGATGATAGTCTTCATTTTGGGGTGCCAAGAGTTCATATTGTTTCAAATTTCATCATTGGCTTAGAAGATGGAAAACCACACACATTTATTATGTTTGCTGTTGACACTAAGCTTTATTTTTGTATGTGGTAAATGAGCAGTGTGGGCAAATGGGATAAACAATTATTGAAAAGGAGAGAAAGAAGAAATTGAAGACACCTTAGATTTGAAAAAAACAGTATCAATATAAAGTTGAGAATTATTTTTGAAAAATGTAATTAAGGATCCTTTCCTGGATTATGACTAACTACCTAAACAAAATCACATTTAGATCAATTAATAAAAGGAGTACGACTGATGATTTGATCTTTTGGTAAAATGCAGCACAGATTAGTTAGATTTTCTGGAACAACCAGGCAAAAACCATCGGTTGTTTCCTCAATTAGGAGCTCTGGCTTCCTTGGCCACACTAACCACTAGCAGCTAAAGATAGTTCAGCATTTAAAAAAAAAAAAATGCTATTAGTATGTGTTGTGGGCTGCACTGTGACCTCCAAGAGGGTATGTTCAAGTGCCAACTGCTGGCACCTGTGAATGTGATCTTATTTGGAAACAGGGTTTTTGCATATGTACTCAAGTTAAGATGAGGTCATACTGCGGTAGGGTGGACCCTAACTCCAATATAGCTGTATCCTTGTAAGATGAGAAGTAGAAACACAGACACAGAAACGGGTGTTCTACCCACTGACAGAGGGAATGACAGACAGAAATTGGAATGAGGCATCTACAAGGCAAAAGACATCATGGATTGCAGGCAACCACAAGAAGCTAGAAAGAGCCAAGAAACATTTTTTCCCCTAGAGCCTTGACCCTGTCAACACCTTGATTTCAGACTCCAGGAACAAGAGAGAATATATTTCTGTTGCCTTAGGCTACCCATTTTACGGCTTTTTGTTACTGTCCCCCAGGAAACTAATACAGTATGTCATCCATAAAAGAAAGAGTCACAAAAGTTTTTTTCAGTCCAGTGAAAGTAAATGAATATTTATATTTTATACACTTACACATTTGTAGGTAACACCTTGGAGCTATGATAGTAAGTCACATAAACAGAAACTCCATTTTGAAAAGCACTGATGAAGGAACTGCAAAAAATAGAGATACTGACTCACCTGAATATGAGCACCTGCATTCTTCACTGACATCACCATTATCCCCCTGAAACAGCTCTGCCAGCGTCTCTGTCTAGTTCAACAGCCCTCGGTGAATTCCTTTTACTTACAAAGGGAAACTCCATATTCTTCAGCTGGGCACACATATCTTTTACAATGTAATATCTTGCTTTTAAAAAATATATACACCATAGAAATTTATTACTCATGATTCTGGAGTCTGGGAAGTCCAAGATCGAGTTGCCAGCAGTAAAAGTGTCCTGTGAGGGCTGCTTTCTGTTTCCAAGATTGCATTTTGACCTCTACCTAATCTTCTAGTCTATATTGTGCTGTGCCCGAGTGGCACCAATGTTCCAGCTACACTAGATTACATGTCATCCTTCAATGTATCCTTCGTTTTCTTGCCCCTGGATATTAATTTGTGCTGTTTTATTTTGTTCTCAAGTAACCAAAACCCCATTCCAGTTATTCAAGGACTAATTCAAGTGCTGCTTTGCCTCATGAAGGCTTCCCCAATGCTCCTCATTGCATTATTTTTTCTGTCTTTATTTCCCTTATTCTTTGTACCTTCATTAGAGATTTAATAAGATATTGTGATTTATAATTTATGTATGTGTCTTGTCCTCATTTTATCAGACAAGATGGTGCTTATGATATTCTTTTACAAATCACTGTTAGCGTACCCTGGCAACCTGAAAACAGCTAAACATAAAATACAATCTGTTCCTTAGAACATGGAGGCTTGTTCAAGGAGGAGTGATCCCTGATTCATGAATGAGTGAGTGAAGGTAAGACTGAATGTGGAATCAAAATAAAACTGAATGTGTTTGTTCCTTAAAATATACCTAAAAATAAAGAATCAGCTGGCTTATTTTTATTTTTGACAATCTTAGTCAAAATCTTCTAATAAAAGTTATGATGTTAAGTTTATGAACTTTCTATAAAAATATATGAATTTAAAATTGGAGTCTTCTCTCAGAAATATTAGTATCAATTGTAACAATTTAATAATGTTGATTGTTTGCTGTGAACTAAATCTTGAGTTACATGTTTACATGGCTTTTACTGATTCATAAATTAACGAAATAGTTACAATCAACATAAATTAGAAATTCGTACAGGGCATAAATTAAAGGTACTTAAATATTTTATATCAAAAGAGAATTATTTAATGGAAATAGATTCCTGTTTGAAAATGCATGAAGATAATAAGTTTTAAATTTTTGAAAAAATCTAAATACAAATAACACAATGAATATGAGTTTATTTATGAAATTTGATTAGGTTTTATAATTTTAAAGATTATTCTAGCTATATAACCCTCACTTCTTTATGTAATTACTAAATATGAACTTATGAGTTCTTTATAAGAAAAACGTTTATTAATAAAGTAAACATAGTTCTTGGTTTTCAAAGAAGAGTCTGGTGTTTGGAGACAGAGAATGTTAAATCTAATACTTGCAGAAATTGTAATACTGAAGTTCCCTTTACAGAGAATGCCTCTTCATTCTATTAGAATGGAATCTTTAGAACCAGCTATAAAAGAGCTTAACAGTAACAATAGCACAATACATACCAGACAATATTTTAAGTGTTTTGCATATATTAACTGATATAATCCTCACAACAACCCTACGAGATAAGTACTGTCATTACCCATATTTCACAAAAGGAGAAACCATTTTTTACTTAGTGTAGATTAACTCATAAAGGTCATGTACCATATACCAAGCACATGATAAAAACACGATCCTAGTCTGGTTCTACAATCCGTTCTTTCTACCACTCTTCTCTAGAGTCCTCTAGTTTTAGGAAAACAACTCTCTGATCTGTCTCTTTCATAGGAAATCAAAGTCATGAGGACATATGTTTCAAACATTCAATAGCACACAGCACTCCAGGAGGAATAATTTACAAAGGGTTGTATAATGAACACTCCTCAGGATGTCTTCCTCTTTATATATGTATATGTATGTCACTTATCTAAAGTAAAATCATATGAAATAAAATACATGTTTTTATGTAGCATAATAGAGATCCATGATACCTACACAATTTCAAGTACGGTGTGACTTTCCATTCATCAAAATAAAGCATATATAAATACATGTACACAAACTTGTCATTGTTAATTTTAGTTACTTCTGATTTTCTTAAAACCTTTAACATGCTGTCCCTAAAATGATCATTTTTAGTATTCCCCTAAATGTGGCAACAAATTATGTGAAACTAATTAGAACTACGTTCAAATTTAAATTCACCATTAATTATTCTTTTAACCATTGGCAACATGAACTGCATTCCTTAATTGAATTTCCCTATTTGTAAAATAAAGACAGTATACCTGTTTGGAGGCTGTTGTGAAAAAAAATAAGATTAAATATATAATACATTCCTTGCAACAATTTGGACCTACTCAATCTATTTTCTCCTTTCCTCGTTCTTGTGACAGTGAATATTTGTCTGCTTTACTAATGAAAAATTATTAAGAATGTTATTTTAAGAAACATTAAGTAGGTGGAGGAAACATCCATATCTATGTTTAAAAATAATCATTAATCTATTTATTTTAGTACAAATGTAGTAATCCTGAGATATCCTTGGATCGACATATATTTTTCTTATGCAATAAGTTGCTGAAGCAAATATAGCTTGCTACCACTCAAAAAACTTGAGGCTTATCATATCATCCCTCCAAATATTTAAAAAGATTCAAAACATTCTGGCAGTTCATTATAAGACAAAGCATCTCAGTAATTCTTTTCAAAATGTACTGTTTATATGAACTCTCAGTGAATTACTTTTTATTACACTGCTTTGATTTCATTAATATAGTAAGTTAGTGCAGGATTTCTAACCTAGGTCATATTGATTCTGTCTGGATTCTTTATCCATTGAACCAAATGATCCTTTTTTATATTATACAATGCATATGTAGATATGTGAATCTGAAGAAGCTCTACTATTTCTATTGAAGCCCTTATCAAAGTTATATACATGCCCATATAGTGAATTGGGTTTGGGAGTTTTGTTTCTGTGTTTGTTTTTCTTGTCTCTAATAAGATTACTATCAGGAAACTACCTTTGTTATTCTTAGAAAGTTACCTTTGTAGAAAAAGGTAGTTTTTCTAGTAAAAGAAGGGGTGGGGCCAAGGTGGTGCCATTTTAGGGCTCCTTCTGTTAAAACAGCTGACTCTCAGTTGCAGGCAGCCCCACTCTCTGAGAAAGAAGATATTCAATCACACCCATTCTGTTTGAACGTTTTGGTGATAAATTTTACTCACCCCTGGTGGAGCAGAGCCAGAGAGAGAGAAAGAGGCAGAGATTCCATGAGTGCCCGACTTGGTTTTGGCAGCTCTTCTGGGTGGCAGCTTAGCCTTGATGATAACTGCTTATGGTCCCAGATAAACATTAACATGCAGCCCTGGAACTCTAAGCAAAAGGTCACCCTTGGTCGAATTTTTACTAAGAAAGGAAGCTTCTCCTTATTCAATGGCAGATGGTAGCATGTTTACATGGTACCTGTAGAGAGAATCAAGAGCCGTGAGTGGAAAGTGGAACAAGAGACATTCGGCCTAGTGTTGAGGCAACGCTTTCCAACAGTTGCTGCTGTCCAGCAACGGAAGTCACGCTCCACGAAGCTGTGAGTGCCTCCTCACAAGAATTATTCCAGCAAAGCCCAGGTAAACATCTGCCATGAATACTTTTCTTTAAATTTCACAATTTGTTTAGGCAAGTATTTAATTAATGCCTCACTCAGGTTGAGCACCTTTAACCTAAAAATTCAAAATTTGAAATGCTCCAAAATCTGAAACTTTTTGAGTGCCAAAATTATACGACGAGTAGAAAATTCTACACCTGACCTCATGTGATGGGTCACAATCAAAATACAGGCTCACACACACACACAGTTTATTCAATGTCCCCAAGGCGAATATAGACTCTCCCAGGCCCATTCAGGTGCAATACGTCTTTTCTGCACATGCCCAGATTCCCTAAACAAGCACACCCACAAAGGGTAATAAAATGGCACATGTGCAGGCTGGACATGCCAAGGGTAGATTCCCTATGATGCCCTACATGAGAACAAGACGTGCATGCATTACTCACTGTGATTTCTTGCTTATTCTCTACTTTGTGGTGAAAGAATATTGTTGAAAAATGTCAAAAAAGGCCTGAAGATATCCCTATGACTGACAGTGATAAGAAAAAGGGTAAGCATTTATGTTCATCTATAACACACAAAATCAGGCTGCTGGAGAAACTGGACAGTGATGTAAGTGTGAAATGTCTTATAGAAAAGCATGGCGTTAGAGTGACCACCATATACAACCTGAGGAAATGGAAGGATAAACTGTTGAAGTTCTATGCTGAAAGTGATGAATAGAAGTTAATGAAAAATATGGCTGGGGGCAGTGGCTCACGTCTGTAATCCCAGCACTTTGCGAAGCCGAGGTGGGTGGATCACCTGAGATCAGGAGCTTGAGACCAGTCTGGCCAACATGGCAAAATCCCATCTCTACCAAAAATGCACAAATTAGCCAGATGTGGTGGCAGGCACCTTTAGTCCCAGCTACTTGGGAGGCTGAGGCAGGAGAATTACTTGAACCTGGGAGGCGGAGATTGCAGTGGGTGAGATCCTTCCACTGCACTCCAGCCTGGGCAACAGAGCAAGACTCTGTCTCAAAAAAATAAAAAATAAAATAAATGAAATACAGGAAGAAATTAATGAAAAACAGAAAAACACTGCATAAAACTATAAATGAAGATCTTGACTGTATATTGAAAGAATGGATTCTTTAGCTTCTCAATGAACACATGCCACCTAATGATATGCTGATTATGAAGCAAGCAAAGATCTATCACAAGAAACTGAAAACTGAAGGGAACAAATGGAATGGTTGCAGAAATTTAAGAAAAGACACAGTATTAAAGTTTTAAAGATTTGTGATGATAAAACATCTGCTGATCATGAATCGGCAAAGTATTGACAAGTTTGCCAAGGTCATCACTAATGAAAATCTGACACTAGAACAAGTCTCTAATGCTGATGAACTATCACTGTTTTGGTATTACTGCCCCCGAAAGACACTGAATGCAGCTGACGAGACACCCTCTACAGGAATTAAGAATGCCAGGGACAGATAACTGTGCTGGCCTGTGCTACCGTGTCAGGCACAAGTTAAGTATAAACTTGCTGTGATATGCAAAATTTTGCGTCCTTACTATTTTCAAATAGTGAATTTCTTTCCAGTTCATTGTTATGCTAATAAAAAGCATAGGTCACCAGAGACATTTTTCTTATTGGTTTCACAAACATTTTGTACCAGTGACTTGTGCTCACCGCAGCGACTGGATGATGACTGCAAAATATTGTCATTCCTTTCTAACTGTTCTGCTCATCCTTCAGCTGAAATTCTCATCAAAATATTTATGCCATATATTTTTCCCAAAATGTGGCTTTATTAATACAACCATGTGACCAGGATATCTTTAGATCAAATAAAGTAAACATAAAACACTTTTTTGAACAGTGTACTAGCCTCCGTGAACAGAGGCATGAGTGTGGGAGGTTTTCAAAAGGAGTTTAGCATGAAGGATGCCATATATGCTATTGCCAATGCTGGGAACACAGCTACTAAAAATAGTTGTGCATGCCTGATACAACCTCTGGCCTGCCTTTATGTTCACAGAAGATAATGAACAAAGTATAACTTTAAAGGAGTTTGTATGTCAAATGAGAGAAAAATTATATCTGACTTCCTTTCATATGCAAAACAGATACCTTCGGAGCCCATCAGTAAGTGGGAAGAAGTGGGTATCACAGGAGTTTTTAACATTGGTAATGAGGATCCAGTTGTTCATTTATTGCCTGATTGTGAAATAGCCAAAATGGTTGTGAATCAAGTTGAGCATGACCATAATGACCATGTTAACAGTGCCTGAAAAGTGCCTATAGATGACATGACAAAAATGTGTGGTGGGCTTACTGAAGGACAAGAGCAGTATGTATCCATAACAGAACAAAACATCATGTCAGTTTATAAAATCAAAGAGAGACTTCTAAAACAAACAAAAAAACATTGTTAATGAGGCAGATGACTCTGGGAGAAACATTTTTAAAAGCCTTCCTGAAAAATCTCTCCTTATCTCTAGAGAATCTCCTTCCTGGTCTCTCAATAACTTTTGATGTTTCCTTAAATATATATATATGGAACTTACTAATTTACTTATATATATATATGGAATAAATGGACTGGTTGCAGAAATTTATATATATATATGTATATATATATATATAGTGTACTTTAACTCTTTAATCAAAACACAGCATCACACATAGAGACTGAAAGCCTGCCATTGTCAGCTGTTGCTGTTGTTTAACAGCAGATACAGGTATTCTGGCGATGCTACTGTGCTGTTAGTTACTCTGAACACATAATTTTTTCACTCTATTATGGTATTTTTTACTGTTCTGCACTTAGCTGTGAATAAGTATAAGGAAATGATTGCTTACTGCTTCTCAGTAGCCTGTAAATTCAGTCAGGAAAAAGGGTGATGTCAAACACCCACAGACAGCACACCCGGGTGGCAGAGGCAGTGGTGCCTTTCCTTTCTGATTGTTCAATGTACACACACTTTCTTTCAGGCACAAAATTGTTTAAAATATTTTATAAAATTACCTCAGGCTATGTGTATAAATGGATATGAAATATAAATAAATTTCATGTTTAGACTTGGGTTCCATCCTCAAATATTTCATTATGTATATACAAATATCTCAAAATCTGCAAAAATGTAGAAATCCCAAACCCGTTTGGTCCCAAGTATTCTGGATAAGGGATCCTCAACCCGTATGTGCTAACCTCATTTCGCGGGCTGGGATAACAGCCATGAGCAAAACAAAACACCGTCATCATGAATATTACATTCTAGAGGAAGAAAAAATTAAATAAACCCAGAAATACATAACACAGTTTAATTTAGAAATAAGCACTCTAAGAAAAAGTGAAGTCTGATAAAGGAATGGAGAGTCATGGTACTACTACCTTAGAAAGTTGATCAAGGAAGTTCTCTTGACAATTTGAACAGTAGCAAGGGGTAAATCATAATTCCTTATAAGCCATTGTAAGAGCTATAAATTTTATTCAAATAAAAATGGAAGGCACATGGTGATGAGGCAGGCCACATTGTTTTAACTTATGTTTGAATTCTGTACCACTCTCTTGTTTTTAATCCTCAGCTTTGCCTTACCCAGAATGCCAGGACAAATGTTCAGGTTATTGTGGGTATTTATTTATTTATTTATCTATTTATTTATTTTTATTTTTCTGAGGAAGAGTCTCACTCTGTCACCCAGGCTGGAGTGCAGTGGTGTGATCTCAGCTCACTGTAACCTCCACCTCCTTCCTGGGTTCAAGCGATTCTCCTGCCTCAGCCCCCTGAGCAGCTGGTCTACAGGCTCACACCACCACGCCTGGCGTGGCCTCCCAAAGTGCTGGGATTGCAGGTGTGAGCCACCACTCTTGGCTATTATGAGTATTTAAAATGAGCCAACCAGCAAAATTGAGTATAAATCAAATATTGAATATAATTTAAAGTTATGAATTGCTTCATTATTTAATTTTGTCTTAAATAGTTCACACTGACTTAATTTGAAAATTTTCAAATGTGTAAACAATAGAGAGATGAGTATAATAAACTCCATATGTCCACTACCCAGTTTAAACAACTATCAGACTATCCCAATCTTATTTCATTTGTCATCCTACCCACTTCGGCCAACCTCAGGTAAAAGTGAAACGATGAGCAAATGTCTTACCATTTCACTCTTAAAATTTTTAGAATGTAAGAACTTTTTGAAAAAATAACCATAATATCATTAACACTACCAAAAATGTTAACAATCATTTTTTAATGTTATCAAATATGAGGTGTTCAAATTTCCCCAAATGTCTCATAAATATATGATTAGAATTGATGTACTTTAATTAGTGTCTTCATTGCGTATTGTCAGTATGTCACTAAGTCTCTTTTAATCTACCTGTCACTCTTTTATTTTAAACATCAATTTACTTGTTGAAAAAAGTGTGTCATTTGTCCCATTATTCCTCTACATTCTACATTTTGATAATTGGATCCCCATGATATCATTTCACATGTTGCTCTGTTTCCTGTGTTTTTTATAAACTGAGAGTGATTTCTAGATGTTTGATCAGATTTGGTTCAAGATTCTCCCCCCATGTTACATGTAGTCAGTCACTCTCCCCTAGGGCCCACCCAGGCGCTCACCTACCTCCCCAACTTTAAGAACTGCTTAAGATACCATCCCAAACATGAGAATAAACTAGTAAAATTCACAAAGCAGCTGAGAATTGTCCTTTATTCAGCTGAGTCTTCAGAAAATCACAGTAACTGTGGTTCATTAATGTTTCAGGATATTCTTCATTATCCCAATCAATATTCAATTGGAAATATTTATAAAAATAATAATAATGAAGATATCAGATAAAAATATTGTTGAACAAATGTTGCCATTATCCTTTTAATCTCTGTTATCGAAAAAATCCTAGATTATTGTTGTTGAGGCCTTTGGAGTTCCATTTAATCTTTTTCAACTTTTATTTCTTTTTTTGGAAACCCACTTCTAAATGTCAGTTTTCCCTGAAATCCCACCTTCAACTCACTTTCTCTAGCTACCATATGCACTTACAGTGCCTATTCTCCTTCATGAAGGGAACATTTTAAAATCTATTTTTGATTATTACTATGGAAACTCAGAGGTTAGATACATGATTGCCTGAATGAAGTGTTCACCTCCATTTTTTCTTCTTTCCATAATGTTGTTCAATAGCAACTGCTGACTAATGACACACACATTAGCCCTTGGTTTGAGACACACACAAGTTAGAGGTGGTGTTTGCATAATGTTTTTATAGAAAATAATAGGAATACAAGCACCTAAATCCTTTTCTCTCACTTCCCATGGCTTGTTCATTTATAACTTGTTTCAGAATTGCCCTGTGCTGTTTCTCTCTGACCTTCTGTTCTACAATAATAAACACTTGGATTAACTATCTGTGTTCTAAAATGCCAGCTATTTCCAGTTTGAGATGTTTAAATAAGTGATTTCCTTAATTTGCAGCTATAGTTCTTTTTTAACCCAATTTTAAAGTGAGTTTCTTTATATACCTTCTCGCCTTCTTCCTCCCTGACTTTCTACTGCTCAGCAATCTTTAAAATTAAACAAAGCATTCAGGTGAAAGGGAAAAAATGAAGTCATGTTATTTGTTTCTATATTTTGAAGTCTATTTTAACTTTATATTTGTTATTTTATTCTCAAATGTATATTTCCTTTTTTTCCCCAACTATCACAAAAAGAAACTGGAATATAGTACATCTCCTTTCAAAACAAAACTGGATATTGGAACTTATCATTATTTCTTACACGCCTGCAAGGTATTTTTTTTTTTTGTACTAATAAAAGGACTCAGGTATGTTGAATTCATCCATTCAAATGTGTACACATTGCTTTTGCTCTCTATTGTGTACATTTGCATATAAAGCCTAAGCATATCTTTGCTCCTTTATTAACAACAGATAAAAATATGTATTGAGCATTTATTCTGTGTCTGGCACTGTGTTATTTGTTATTAATACAGTGGGAGAGGAACAGTTATTGTCTTTAATATTGTTGAACTCTAGAAAGAAAACCACTGAATGGATAACCCACTCTCTGTCAAACGTTCATTCCCTTCTCATTCTCAGTGAACAAAATTTGTCCAACTGTCACTTATAGAAAACCTAAACTGTTTTCAAAGGAACATGTATGGTCTCTCGATTCTTCACTTATGTCTCATTTTCTCCCAGCTTCACTTACAAGTTTTATATATTGGCTGATGACATGTGGTACCGAGAGCAGCAAGGCATTAGAGAAAGTGAAAAGTCAAAAATATAAACCTGCTATGAAAAAGTCAGAGGCGAAAAGCTAGATTTAGACATCTAGTGGACCTTGGTTTATTTAGACCTTTCCCTGTAATATGTTTAAAACTTTAACAGAATGACATCCCTAAAAGTCAAAATTCCATTTGTGCAATTTACAAAAAGTGAGAAATAGATTTGTTACAATCTTGATTTTGGCTGATAAATGTATGTTTCATGGTAGGAAAATATAACTGGGACTCTATGAGCAACAGAAATCTGTGAGAAGACCCTCTATAGCAGATGACCCTAAATTGTTCTTTTCTCCCATCCTACCTCCATACCCACACCTGCTGCTGTTCATACCAAGAATGAATCTACAAAGTGCAGACAGTATCCTTTTTATGACTTCCCCACAGCTTTCAGAGCTTCCACAAAGTTTTCATTAGTCTCTTTGAAGTTCAAAATGTGACCCCGAACACATTGTCGTATTGAGTTGTAGATTCCCGTTTATTACTAAAGAGGCAGTAGCAATAAAGAGACACAATGTATTATAAGATTTTCCTCAATGTGTCATTGGACTGTGAACTTGGCTCTTGCTCCATTTTAAAATTTACCAGTGTTCTCTTGTGTACTCTCCGTTCTTGCATCCTCTCTCCCAACCATTTCTAGGAAAATGAATTCTTTAAGGAATCAAAAAATCATAGAATATTATAACTAAAGGAGACCTGAGAGATTCTGTTTTCTGATCTTTTAATTTTTGAGAAGGAACTAAGATCAAATTTTCTGTAATTTGACAAGCATTCCGACCTAAAAACAGTATTCATAAGAAGCATAAAGATTACTAGAAGGAGACCTTCTCAGGCAGAATGACATTCTAGAATGATCTGCAAGTCCCTGAAGGTAATAAGGCAGCTGTTTTATTGCTTAATCCCCAAGTCATGTTCAGGTTTTCTCTTCTTATTTTGAAAAAGAATGTTGCTCTAAAGAGACAGCGATTATTTTGCACAGTGAAAGAATGGAGATGAGAAATACAGGATCCCTTTTAAGTAATATTATGTGTTTAACTTTTATCTAGGTAGTTTTGAAAGAAAAACAGGTTTAAGTGCATGAAATTATGTATCTATATCATATGACTTTCTTTTAATATAACGGTTATAAAATTTTCATACAGTGTGATTGCAAGCCAGTGTTTCCTGGGGACATGCGTGCATGTGAATATATATTTCAGTGCTTTTACCCATGTATGTACATATATGTGAGTGTTTAATGAGTGCATCTGCCCATTGAATGAATTTCACTTCATTCTGACAATAGAATTGCCTGTTCAAAGGGAGGAAAAAAGATTAATATAACTAAAAGGAAAAATAAAAAGTTAGAGTGACAATTTGTTAAGTGTTTACTAGGAGCCAGGCACTGACCTGGTGGCTTTGCATGCATCTTAATTAACCTTCACAGGAGCACTAATAGGTCGATATTTTTCTCTTCATCTTCCAGATCAGAAAAGCTTGAGGCCTTAGAGAAGTTAAGTGACTTTTCCAGCGTCACATAGATGGCAGCAGTAGAGTGTGGATTTCTACCCAAATCCAACTGGTGGCAAAAAACAAAAAATAGCTAAATGTAAAACGATGTTTATCATGCCTAAGTATGTTATATCAATTAACCCATTTTATGATTCCAGAACTTGATACAGTTGCTATTGCTATTCCTGTTTTATATATGGGAAATTGAAAACCATTTAAAGTTTAAGTAACTTGCTACAGTTAAAATGACACATCTGGGATATAAACCAGTAGCCTGGTTGGACTATATACTTGAAGTCACTTATATACACTCCTGTCCAAAGTGGGTATCTACCTTTTCCTCTCCTTGTGGAGAGGAAAGAACAGAGAACAGAACATATTCACATTTTGCATGTCATTTTAGATTTAAATTATCCTTAAAATTATATTTTACAAAAGGTTAATAACTGTCACTTTGGAAAGTTCTGATGTTTATCATTCCAGAGGCATTCCTTTTTTTATATTAAAAAAAAACTTTATCATGCATCAGGGGGTTCCTTTAGTTTCTACACTCTGTAAAGAGACATTGGCATTAGATTTAGAATACATTGTAATTACTTATGTGAATTGGAACATACAGCACTGTGTCAGTTAGATATTGTCCAGTAGCCTTCTGTAGTAGAAAACAGAAACAATAATGACACACAAAAGAATTTTTTGAGAAGGCAGTCCACAAGAGGCATGGAAGCGCACCAGTATGACCTGAAGGACCCAGGCACTTTCTGTATTTTGGCTCCAAGGTGTCCACTGGGAGTTGACTCATCATTTTTTTAGAATTTTTTTTCTTAATTTTTAATTATTGTGGGTACATAGTAGGTATGATGTTTTGGGGGTACCTGAGATGTTTTGATACAGGCGTGCCATGTAAAATAATCACATCATGATTCCCACATTCCAGATGAAAGAGGAAGGTAGGAAAGGTAAGAGTGTGCTCCTCCCAGCTGGGTCAAGTCTCTTTAAGAGGCGTCTCTGAAAGTTCCATACAACATTTTTCACTCACTTCTTATTGGCCAGGAATGAATCATACTGTAGTACTTAGCAGCAAGGTGAGTTGGGCAATGTAATATTTTATCTGAGCTCATATGGTGGTTTTACCTCTTTAAATTTCCTATGTATTACAAAAAACAAATATATAGCTATGGCAGTAGTTCACATCTTTATTTGTGTTATTTTGAAAATAAATAAGCAAATTTTATTTATGTCATCATGTTCTCTTTGAATTTAAAAAGATCCAATTCTCTTATAAAGCGGAAAAACAATAAACTTAAATTCCCTGGTGCATAGTGTTGAGCCATCACTTCCTACATATTTAATTAGAAGCTAAAGTCAGTCTTTGGCCATAGGGATCAGAGATGAATAACAGTTTATCCTTCTCTCAAAAACCTAAAATTTTTTTGAAGGAGAAAGACGTACAAACTCATCATAATACCCAATAGAAAATCTATTTAAGAAGTAATAGCTGTACACCAGAGGGAATAAAACTAACTCATTTGTGAGCCAGGGGTGACCACAAGAAGAAGAGGTTGGAAAAACTTCCCAGAGGATGTGACGTTTGATCTGGACTCAGAAAGTTGAGTAAGATTTCACTGCAAAGCAAGGAATGAGGAACCCAGACATGAGGAATAGGTTTCCAAAACCTTATTACATATCCAGTGATGTTTAACATATAATGATAGCTTAATACTGTGGCATAAATGTATGGTCAGAAGTTCAACATTTCTGTGAACAAAGTTTTACTGGAGCACAGCCATCCATTTGTTTATGTATGTTCCTACTACGTGAGCAGAGTTGAGTAGTTGTAACAGGGACAGTATGAATTGCAAAGCTGAAAATATTTACAAAAGGGGTTTGCTGACTCTTGATATCAATTAAGACATTTGCACAGGTATAAAAAATGTACTGATGATTTCAGGAATTAATTAAAATGTACATGGTTAAACCTTCCCAAACTCTCTGTCTGCAATTACCTAGCAAAGCAAGGTAGAGGGTTAAAGGTGGGTACACGACAGTCAGGGGATAATTTAATAAACTAGCTTGACATCTCTAAGAAAATATCTAGCATTGTGGCCTATACTACAATCTCCCAGATTTTACGCTTCTCACTTTTGTATACCCGGGGATTTGCATACTAGGACATTGGAAACTGCCAAAATGATAGACATGAAGCTCATCCTTTTGCTAGAAGAGATATAAGACAAAAATAGAAATAGAGAGGGGAAAGGAAGTGAATTGCAAAGTATATATTTCCATTTAAGACTCCTTTTTTCTTAAAGTTTCTGGCTTCAGGTTTAAGTACCTTTGATCTGAATCAGTCTCTCCCTTTTCCCAGCGCTCTGATGCATTGATACACTTGACAAGATCCATGCAACTTGAATGGAGGGGGAAAATCAAGAGATGAATATTTTGCAAATAAGCAGGTCAGCCGAAAAGCCTAAGAACAGACTCAGAGCACCCAAGGACTCATTCACATAGGGACCCCTTATTATCTTATAATCACAATATAAATACCTCGTTAGTCCCTCTCCATGTCAGGTGATTCCACCGAACCTGGGAGTGGCTGCTTCCCTTCTTCCCTTTCTCTATTACACGTTCCAATTAACCCTCAATGAGCTGCATCATTGGTCCTCATCGCATCAGAAGGATTTCCAGGCCAGGCGCAGTGGCTCATGCCTGTAATCCCAGCACTTTTGGAGGCCGAGGCAGGCGGATCACCTGAGGTCAGGGGTTCGATACCAGCCTGGCCAACATGGTGAAACCCCGTCTCTACTAAAAATACAAAAATTAGCCGGGCGTGGTGGCAGGCACATGTAATCCCAGTTACTTGGGAGGCTGAGGCAGGAGAATTGCTTGAACTTGGGAGGTGGAGGATGCAGTGAGCCGAGATTGTGCCACTGCACTCCAGCCTGGGTGACAGACCCAGACTCCATCTCAAAAAAAATTTCTAGTACTGTGATGATAAGTAGTATAGCATCCTATAAAGAGTAGTGGGCTGAGAATCAGAGTGCTTATAGTCACTGGATTTTACAGCTGGAAGGGATCTTACAAGTTATCTAGTCAAAATTCTCATTTTCCTCTGTAAGAAACTCAGGTCCAAATCAATAATGTGACCAATCTTTTAGTCCTGGTCTATACCACTGTGGGACCTTGGAGCCTCTAATTCTCATCAATCTCTGCTTTCTAAATGCAAAATTTGCATAAATCAAATAATGTCAAGAAACCTCTACATTATAGGATGCTAGTAGTCCACATCTTGACAAAACAAAACAAAACAAAACAAACATTTTAAAACATTTAAAAAGCACTTTTGAATTTTAAAAAGGGCCTTTCTGATTTTAGCGTCAGGCTTCAGAATGTAACCTTTCATATCTGGACTGTACGGTCTCTTAGATAGAGTGAGTTCCCAGTATACTATAGAAAACATTGAATTCTCTTCTTCATTTATTACTATTTTTTTCTTAAAGGTGCCTCTCATATTATTTGTCCAGAAGTTTGATATGAAAAAACAGTTGCAACAAAAATTGCTTCTTTTTTTTTTTTTTTTTTTTTTTGACAGGGTCTCCCTCTGTCATTCAGGCTGGAGTGCAGCGGTGTGCTCTCAACTCACCGCAACCTTTGCCTTTCGGGTTCAAGCAATTCTCCCACCTCAGCCTACCAAGTAGTTGGGACTACAGGCATGCGTCACCACGCTTGGCTAATTTTTGTATTTTTAGTACAGATGGGGATTTGCCATGTTGGCCAAGCTGGTCTCAAACTCCTAGACCCAAGTGATCCGCCCGCCTTGGCCTCCCAAAGTGCTGGGATTACAGGCATGAGCCACCGCGCCTGGCCCAACAACAATTGCTCTCTGCATGGTGTGATTCCAGTGGAGGTCCTAGTCAGTAGGTCATTCCAGGTAGTCATTGTTGCCAACCATTGACAAGGCCCAAGGAGAACAGCAGAGATGCGGGAGGTAGGGCAGGAATAGGGGAAGCAAGTTTTGAAAACAGATTTATCTGGGTCCAAATTTGAAATATTTTATTTACTAAATATCATGTTTAAGATAAGCTCATCAAACTCTGCAAGCCTCAACTTTCTCAGTGGAAAAACAGCAATGCCTATATTGTTCTGTTAAATATGGGTTAAATAATGGTGAAGTCTCTATAGAGAACCACCATATTCATTGCAAAGTAAAGGCTGGAAAACTCTAGCTTAATATATGTATTTTCTTTTGTTCCTTGCCTTGTCTGCACTTCTTTTTGGAATTGACCTTCAGAAGTATATGTTCTTTCTAAGTTTGTATTATTCTTATAGAGTTATTATAAATATGGTATTTGTATATTAAATATAACTCAATTTCAAGTTTTTTATATATAAACTAGGAAAGGTGATCAATGTTTATAAGCCACGTGGCAATATATTTCACTCTGACTATATGTGCATCTATATGTGGCTTGAAGTTAGCTGTTTGAGTGATCAAATCAGAATAAATAAATCAACTTGATTTATGTTTTTGTTTTTCAAGAATTTTGTGTAATCCTTCATCTAAATTAAAGAAATTGACTAGTTTGGTAATAATACAGACAACGCTGTAAGAATAGCATTTGCATTGTGGGCGGTATGCAAAAAAATGTTTTTCCCTCTGTATCCAGTATGTTTATGGGCCCCTCCTCACCCTAACAGTTGGTATATGCCCAGGGAATGTAAAATCATTTCAGCATTGGCCCAAGTGCAACATAGAGTAATTAGAGAAGTAAATCTATTCTCTACAACTCATTGTGTGTATTCAAGAGCCAAATGAAATTTTCCTTGCAATTACCCTATGTTTTGGGATTATTCGCCCCACTGCTTATTTCCCAACTCCAACTGTGTGCCCATGTGTCTGTCTGTCACTCCATCTTTCTTCATCAATCCAATAAAATACAGCTGACCAAAAATGAGAATCAAGGCAGTATTTGTAAAAATTAATTTGAAAAGTAAAATGTCAAGTTTGAAAATACAAACAGACAAGTTCTTTTCTTCTTTATAAATAAGTTCTAAATTCATGGAGAACTACACGGTGTTTTTAAGTACAGAAATAAGTTAAAAATCACCCTTAATCCAACAATCCAAAGGAAACTATGAGTTCAGACAAACAATTCACCTTCCTGGAATATCGAACTAAGATTCCACTGAATGATTTATCTCCGTTTTGCTATGGCCATTCATCTGTCTATCCTACATTCACTATACTACTTATTAGCATAAGTAAAACTAGTGAGCTGCAAGAATTGATTATCAATTGTTTCTCTCTTGCCCTAAATCTCTGCCTCCAATTTTATCCTGAAATGAACTAAACTAAGTATCATCAAATGGTGGCTAGAGGTCATATCCCCCTCATTTCCATATTAGTTTATCTTATATGTGATGATTTGTATATACAGAGATAGATATAGATAGCTGTATATATTACATAATTTTTATTATGATTATATAATTATTTAAAGTTTTATATATAACTTTATACATATAAAATATATAATATATTTTATATATGTATATATTATATATATATTCTAGACCTAACCTACAGCTAGTACTGCAAGTGGAAAATTTTGGTCCTTTTTCCTCTAAAGAGGGCCAGCTCCAAATACCGTAAATTTGTTTAGTCTTTACAGAAGCTTGGGAGATAATAATGTACTTGTTCTACCAAAATTGTCCCATTTTTGGTGTGTGTGATATGCCTGTCTAAAGGAGAAGACTAAATGATTAATAATTTTATTTGTAGTGTGGATTTTTGAGGATGACTAGTCACTTACAGAATAAAGTCCAGGCTTTTAATCGACTTTTCCCATTCTGTCTTTAATTTTATCTCATTTTACCTTCCTTCTGTTACTTGGACATGTCTTGAATTTTCTGCCTTTTTCCTTTGTACCTTCGTCTGGAAATACCTTGCAAAGGTACTAAACTCTTTGTTTTAGAAATGTGCTAGATAAGCTTAGTAACTAGCCCAAGCTCACACAGAGAGTTAGTGTCAGCCACCTGCCATCTCCACAGCTGCATCTCAAACTTCTCTGATGTAGTATTCCTCTTCTGTATAGAGCTCATGACTATGGTTTTTCACTCTCCAACACACCAGATGTACAGCTTCCACATTCTCTCATTATCTCACATTTCTTTCAGTCTTCATACTTTCTCTAAGTTGTTTATTTTTATTATCTCTTTTCTGGTGATGGGAAGAAGGCTCCTACTGAATAACAACTTAATAGAAGGATAAACAACCTCCGTGAGAAACGCTGGCAATGCTAAATAGTAAATGCTATAGTTATTAGGGAAGAGGCTGAAAATATAAGATGAATGATTGCAATGATGTATTTTAATATGGGAAAGATGAGGCAAATGGCAAAAAT
The DNA here is from genome assembly GCF_000001405.40 of Homo sapiens. Classification (NCBI taxonomy): domain Eukaryota; kingdom Metazoa; phylum Chordata; class Mammalia; order Primates; family Hominidae; genus Homo; species Homo sapiens. The sequence continues at coordinate 76,523,886 of NC_000003.12, forward strand.
AATTGTTTATTAATGGGAAGAAACAATCTGGAAAACAATGATTTCAAGTGAATGAAAATGGGGAGGAAGTGGTAAGTGAATATGCTGTGTGTGTGTGTGTATGTGTGTGTGTGTGTGTGTGTGGTGTCTTCACATATCAGAGAAAAATCTCAGAAAAATCTGAAGAAAATAAAGTTATCTCCAAGTTTGAAGTCTTAATAATACTATTTTAACTTTTAATACATAAGCAACACAAATTTTAGAAAATGATCATAACAGATGTTAATGAACTTGTGAATTTGTGTACAAATCCTGTTTATGTTTCATTTGACTGGGCAGCAGGTGAGGCTGAGGATCTACATATATTATAAAAATAGAGTGCACAAAATATCCTCTATTTGGAAACATTTACTAAAGAGTAGTGATATGATTATTGCTCAAAGGGAGCACAGATTAAATGTCATTGAAACTACTCTAATGCTGTAAAAGTGGCACTGCTAAAATGACAAATAACCTCCCAAGGCAGGTATTTGATATATGCCCTATGGGTCACTTAAATCCAGATATACTGACAAATTAGAAGGTCCCTTATAGATAATAAATGCTTTAAGGTGAGGGCGACAATTTTTAAGCACCCAGATACTTAACTATAATGGTTTGGGTTACTCTCCTAATACCTATGATTTAGAGATTATGGGACGCTTTTCAATGGAATTCAATGATTTCCATCAGTTATCATTTTTATTTATTAAAAATGAGTTGATTTCTCTTATCCTTATACTACTGTGTTTAGTTTATGATCCATTAAAACAATGTATGTATTGGAAATTGTAGACTGCCAGGCAATTGTTTTCATTATTTATTAAATGTTGTTTCCCTCACTTTTCAAATGGTAGCACTTTGAAATATGCCAGGCTTTCCAGCAGGGGGTTTTCTTAAAAACCTATGACCCTCTTATTCCTAAAAAAAAAAAAAAAAAAAAAAAAAAAAAAAAAAAAAAAATAAGTAAAATCAGATACATCAAATAAATGATTTCTACGCCTCACATTGGATTTATAAAGATCCCATGAGTTAGAGATCTATGCAAAGCAATTTACAATAAGGAAAGCAAGAGAATTCAAAGAAAAAAATTACACTGGAAGACAAAGAAAGAAACATACACAACAGATACTGAGGTGTAAACAAAACCGTTGTTTTGCTTTTATAGGTTTGCTTTTCTCTGTTAGACTCTAAACCCCTTAAGGGCAGCAAAATTATTTTACCCATTTTTTAAAATATCTAGCTCTAGTACATAGAGCTTCTAGTACATAGAAGGCATTCAATAAATGGTAGAAAGAAAAAGAGGAAAGAGAGTAAGTGATAGACATTTTGGAAAGAATAAAAAATAATTGAAATAAATATTGAAAAATTGGCTTTCAATTTTTCCATAGATGATAAGATGAAGGATGATCTTCTTGGTTTTATGTTTTAAATATATTTCTTCTAAATAGCTTATAAAACACATTTTAAAATAAGGAAAAATCCCATGATATAATTTTGTCTCTGACAGTTTAATGAATAGCTCTTTAAAAGTGGGTTACCTTAGGCTTAAAGGCAAGAACGTAAGCATTGTTTCAAGTAAAGATGCATTTTCTGTGTAAGTAATTCATCTTCTTTCCTTTCTTATTTAAACTGAAAAAAATTCTTTTATTTCAGAATCCTACTTTCTGAGTCACTTGAAATGTTTTCTCAACCAATGTGGCCAAATTGTGCTGTTACATTAGGAACGCACTCAAAAAAGAGGTGCTTAATTTCTCTTATCTCCTCTAGACAGACTGTAATTAGAATTAGCCAGGGTTTTACTTAATTTTGCAGGAGTTCTTGTATACAGCCTTCATAGTCATAGTATAATTAACATTGTATCACTCCCATTATTGTTTTTAAGCACTTAAATTGTGCCATAATGGTCACAGCTAAAGTTGCCATTAAAGGGCAATTGCTATTTATTATGCTCATAAAGTAGACACTTTACCGCAGAAAAAAATATATATAGTAGGATTCCATTTAGAAAGCAGAAACAGACAGTGCCATTAGTTATGGCACCCTTGGGCTGAAAGGGCTGTCTCAAATTGATCCTATTCTTATTCAGCAGGCAGTGGAGAGATCTAAAAACAGATGACAAATCATTCAAATCGTTGATTTAAAGAAAAAAAAACAAGTCTTGATTAGCTGAGTTCCCACATAGACTTATAAAATGTTGGTGTTAGGACAAACCTACAAGATGATGGAGTCCAGCTCGTTCATTTTACAGATGAGAAAACTGAGACAAGGGAAGTTTGGGAATCAACCTTAAGGTTACAGAAGCATAGCGGGGCCAGGGTTAAAGTCAGATCATAAGACTTACAGTTCTCATGCACATTTCACAAGGCCATACTGAATAACCTTAAGAGTAGGTTTTGTTTTCTTTTGTTCTCAGCAAATGATTGACACCCCTTTAATTAAGTTTAGCTTCATTGACTAGCAAGGTGTAGTATGTTTCATTTACAAGATATTTTACCTGATTTCAGGGTCAACAATGTCATATAGATATTAGACAGGGTTTGTTTTTACATGTTTGTTGATTCTATATGATTTTGTTGTTTTGTTTAATTTTGTTTTTCAAGATTCATTTTATTGAAGGTGACAGAATTATCCTAATGTCATTGGCTCTTGTCACTGAAAAGAGAAGAGTGCTATAAAATTTTAGTTTTTTTCTAATAATCATATTATATATTCAGTTTGGTTCTTCTATCTATAGGTTAATTTTCTCTCCCAATGCAGGGTGGTAAAGATATATTTTATTCAGCTGAATTGTTGCAACTCAACACAAACCATTTATAGGAGTAAACAATTATCACTGAAATGAGAACAATTTAGTGGTCTTGCATGATTAATGTCCTACATAAATTCTTTATGACACTGAATTGAAAGATGATGTTATGAATGTATAATGGGAAGTTAACAGAATATGTCACCTTTTGATTAGTTTCTGAGGAGACAGGCCTTGCAATCAGTGATTTTGCAATGGTCAGAAGCCTATAAAACTACCATATTTGTTCCTTGTAAATTAAAATTTAGAAGCCACAATGATGTATGTTGTTAAACCAGCTGGGAGAAAAATGCCTGGAAAAGGAAATTGCTTTATATATTTTTTCTGATAAATTTCAGCTGTATGTGTGTGTGTGGAATTTTATTTTTCTACTTCATGTCATCATTACTTTGGAAAGTTTAACAGCAAAATTTATAAATTTCTCTTTTGTAATTGTTTACATTTTGGAGAAAAAAAAGGCTTGAAAAAATGGTATATTGCACGTAATCCTCACAAAAGCCAGAGTGATAAAAATACATAAGACTTAAATAATTATACAAATATCTGTTTTCTTAAATGGGACAAAAGAATAGACTATAAAATCTATCACTAATTTTTTTAAAAAGTCAGAAGTGCAAGGGATCTTATGGATTATCTTAATTTTTATCTGAAGATGAGGCCATTGACATTTTTCAAGTACAAGAAATACTTTAAGATGATACAGTCCATTAGTGGCAATATTAGGAGTAATATCTGAGCATATTTAATTCTATTTCATATTGCAAACTTTCTAATTTATTCTTTTCAATCTGCTGCTCCTCAGTGACCCAAACCAGGCCTTCTTCATATTATTTGGCTTGATTAACTCATTATATAAACACAAGCTTTGTGAGTGCCTACTATATGCCAGATACTACTTTTTTAGGCATTAAGAGAAAATAAATAAACAAATGAGATTTTTAAAAAAATACCCACTGACATTTATATTCAAGAATTTGGGGAGGAGATTTTATTTAAAAATAAGGAAAACATATAGCACATTATATAATGATAAATGTTATGTAGAAAATAAAGCAGAAAACAGAGTAACAGGTGAGTATTAGTTTTAGATAAGATGGTCAGGAAAGGATTCATAAAAGCTTTTACCAAAGACAGACAGCAAAAGAGCCATAGAGCTATCTTTTGGAAAATCATGTCAGACAAAAGGAATGGCAAGTCTTCTAGTGCTAAGGCAAGAGTGTGCCTGTCAGATTTGGGGAATACCCTGTCTAGCCAGAAGGAGGAAGCAGGAAAGAGGGTAGAGGTGAAATGGGGGTGTGGGGTGCAGAATGTTAAAGCCTCATAGCTCACCATAAGGACCTTAGCTCTTACTTTGAATAATAATATGAAATTTTATTTCTTCATTCTTAACTCATACAACAAATATTTAGTGACTTTCTACCAAGTGCAGGCACTGACTGTCCAAGTCACTGGAAATAGGTTAGCAAACCCAAGGCCTCATTTTTACTGCACAATTAATGAGAAACTTTTGAGCAGAGGAATGACCTAATGTCACTAGCTTTAATGGGAGCCCTGTGACTGAGGTTCAGCGTGAGATGTACAGACAGGCAAGAGCTGGTGGAGGTCACATTTAGGAACAATTACAAGAACCCAGGGAAGATGACAGTGCCTTGGAGAAGGTGGGTAGAATTGATAGTAGTAGGAAGTGGTTAGATAATGAATATTTTGAATATATATAATAGACCCTCCTGACGATTAAATGTGATGTCTGAGAGAAACAGGAATCAAGGATGTCTCCAAGTGGTTTGCCTGAACAACTGGCAGGAATTAGTTGACAACTGAGTTGAGCAAGCTGCAAGAAGAGATTAGCTAGGAAAGATAAAGAGCTCAGAATTGGACTTGTTAAAGGTAAGACACCTACTGGACATCCAACTGGAAAAATCAAGCAGATAGTTAGAAATTCTGGAGTTCAAGAGACAGGTTAGGCTGCATATGTAGGTTTCTCATTAGCATATAGATGGTATTTAAATCTACGAGACCAGATGTGATCACCAGGGGAAGGAGGAGAGAAAATATAAGAGTTCCTAGGACTGAAGCCTAGGGCATTTCTACTTTTACAGATTACGGAAATGAGAAGAAACAACTGGAGATACTAAGATGCAGCAGGTAGAGGCAAAATGCAAAGTGCAGTGTCCTTGAAGCGAAACGAAAAAAGCATTTCAAGGAAAGGTCCACAGTCTCATATTCTGATAGGCCAAGTAGAAAGAGGTGGGAGAATTAGCAGTGAATTTACAACATGAAGTTCACTGGTGACCTTGATAAGAGCAGTTTTTATAGAGTGTGGTGGTGAGAAAAAACCCTGACTGAAATGGGTTCAAGAGAGAATGAGAAAGACAAAACTGTTGACAGCTCTTCTGAAAGACAGCATGTTATGTAGAAAATAAAACAGACAAGAGAATAACAGGTGACTATTAGTTTTAGATAAGATGGTCAGGAAAGGATTCATAAAAGCTTTTACCAAAGATAGACAGCAAAAGAGCCATAGAGCTATCTTGTGGAAAATCACATCAGACAAAAGGAATGGCAAGTCTCCTAGAGCTAAGGCAAGAGTGTGCCTGCATGTACATTGCTCTGCATGTATTCCAGGCCAGATTGGAGTATTTTTTTTGGGTCCCCTGCCTGCAGCTGTGGTTAAGTGAGAGGCAATGATGGTATTCATGTACACTTTTCCTTTTCTCAACTTCTCTTTCTAAAAACAAGATAACAATAATAATGATGACAATAAGAATAACAATATACACAGATCTAAGCTGCACTGAGAAAGATCTGCACTGTGGCATATTGTGAAATAAAAATGAGATTCCTTTTGTTTCCAAAATGTGTGAATTATGATGGAAATGGGTATTCAATGAGATGATGTTTGTTATTATTATTTATAATTAAAATTATTTTCTTTTCTATACAATTAGTCAACTTCCCATTCATACTACTAATGGACAGAAAAAACTTGATCTTGATAATTTAAGATATCAGTGGGTTTCTAGAGTAAAGCATGTTGTCTTTCAGTTAAATCCGTCCGTTCAAATCTTATTCCCCTTCTCCCTCTTCTATTCTCCCTTGCAGCATTTTAACATAGGGAAGATTGACTTAGTACCATGGTGGTAAGATATGTGGAGGTGGCTTATTTCCATAATTTTCAGATTATTGCTAGTATCCACTGTTGATGTAACTGGTCTGTGATCCCTGCTTTGGCCTCCCTATGTAAGATCTGCTCACTTCCTCTCTCCTCTCCTGATCCTAGGACCTTCTATTCTGTGTCCTTTTAGCACTTGGGCAGACACTCTCTCATCTAGATTTCCCACATGCCACTTTCTGGCCACAGATGAACTGGAAACGCCATTCCAGGGCCCTCTTTCTGCCTCAACAGGCCTGCACCTGCATGTCTACCTTACTTTGGTCATCACGACTACCGCTTACCCAGCGTGTACACAGGGCTACATGTCAGTGCTGGTGGCGATTCTTTAAAGATGTAGGATTTCTTACAAAGTAATTTCCCCCTGGACTCCCAGCTGGAAAAGGAACAGAAGCCACACATGATTTTGGATTCTCCTGATTTGTCTCATTTTAAGTTCTCACTCAGACTTCCCTGCCTTGATGTAGGCCTTGGAATTTGGAGACACTGACTCTATTACCAGGCAGACAGGCAGTAGCTCAATCCCAGTAGTGTTCCTCCGAATTGCTCCCGCATCTCCAGCTCAGAACAGAAAACTATGTTCTCCCTCCTGTGTGATGACAACATCCTATATCATACCATGCCTTCTTTCCTAGTTCTCTGTCATAATTTATTCTTTGGTTGACCTACGTAGAGATTGAACATCCAAAAACCCCGTCTCGTCTCAGTAACTTAGCTCTCGCAAGTGAAAGTGATCTTAGATTGGAAATATGCAAAGCCCTATTTTAATCAGTTAAGCTCACTTTGACTTCTTTTCTTCTATGCTCCTTCAACTCTGCCTCCAGTGAAATGTGTGCACAAACTTTGGAAGGTTGAGAGTTTGGGAAAATTATAATTTGGGGGAATAAAATACACAGCCGATACTATTTCAAAAAAGATTATCCTGCTACATCAATAAAGACCGTAACAAGGCTGGCTTCTGGTGTTATTGTAAAACACCCTCAACTTCTCTCTTTACCTTCATTTCCCTTCGTGAGTGCTGCCAGCCTCCTTTATCGGAAAAGTCTCTACTTCCCACGCTTGTATCCCCCACATGTATGTGCTACTCCTTCTTCATTGCAGAAGCTTATAACTTCAGTTACACTAAGATATAAAAAGTGCTGATGCATAAAGTTTTGCCTCTCAATAGATTTTGAGGTTTTTGAAGCAAAGTCATAAAATTCTACTGAAAATAAGATAGGACATTTATTTGTTTTTTGTCCGACCTCAGAGAGAAAGAAGTATATATCAAGAACTTCCTAAGTTGAGACATTATAAAAGTAATGAAAGAATCTACTGTGAATGAATTAAAGTTCACTTTAATGAAAACCACTATTTTCACCATTAATTCATTGAACCAAATGCATCTACACCATAGTATAGATATTTTAGCATGAGCTTCTAATAACAGCATACTTCACTTCCTTTAAGAATCTAGCAATGAGTCTTTACTCTGGTTTGAACTTCTCTTCTTTTAGGTTCAATAGATACCTTTTGATATCCCCTGCCTTCTAATCTCATTCAAAGCCAAATTCTTTAGAAGATATAAATATTTAAATTATTATGTCTTCTCGAATATATTTTTTAATTAACTTATGATTTTATTTTTAAATATGACATAAAACTTACATCATGAAAAAGGTAAAACAACTGCCCTATAGCCTTTCTGATCTTCTCCTTCTCTTTTGATTTTTGTTTTGTTTTGTTTGTACAGTTTCTTTTTTTTTTTTTTTTTGGTACCCTAAGCAAATGTTTTTCTGTCCTCTTGGTAATTCAACAGTAATCCAATGAAGTTGTTGTATAGTATATCAAGGCTTCTGATGCTATTTGTTGAAAAAACAACAACACTATTTTCTTAATTTTCCAATATGCCTAAAGTTTAGTTTTAAGAATAAACATTAAACCTACCATTTACTGAATGTATTTTATGCACCAGGACTATGCAGAACGTTTTACTGTCATTATCATATTTAATTCTTCCCCAACTCCCAAAACAGGTTTATCATAATACCCACTTTTTAGATGAGAAAATGAAGATCAAAGAAGTACTCTGCCCAATGTGACATGTCTGGTAAGAGTTTAGGCAGGAGTTAAACCCGTTTCTTTTCAACACCAGAACCTGAGCTCTTAGTAAGTAGAAGGTACTGTTTCCTCTTACGCCCTGCCTCTCCTGGCCTCACTTAATCAGGACATATCTTTGTCTACAAGAGTGTCCTATTCCACAACCTTCCTCCTCCCAATTAGACCTTTCATTCTGTTCTCCTTTTCTTCTCTGCAATAAGCTTCTCCATACAATAGCTGAATGCTGAATTCATACTCTTCACTTTTGGTGAAAAGAGTGACAATTTGATTTCTGAATTAGTGAAAAACTCAAAGCATAAAACTCTGACCTTTCCAGTTGAGTTATGACTGATTTCCTCGGCAGCCTTAGAAACATCCAGTCTCTTACTTGACATGCACACTTTTGGAGGTTGCCCTGGTAATCTGACCATTGTCATCAGAGAGTGGGAAACAAGTCCTTTGTTTCAAATATTATGATTGTAAATGTTTCAAACTGTCCTTTCATATGATCAAAATAATAAGAATTTAAGTTTTTCAGTAACATATTAACTTTTCAAGAATGATACAGACAATTTGCCTTATAAGTATAATGTACCATTTGACCTTGCCACTTTATATTCTGTGTCAGTGGTGACAGGTGATTTTCCTCATCTCAAATTAGGCAACCGTTCTAGCAACTCACAGTAATTTTTGTGACATGACTGACATGTGAAAAGTGATATATCTCTTTCATTAAAAGATGCATGTTCTAAGCAAGGAAGGCTCTGTGCTCCCATAAAACCAGTGCAAAAAGGGAAACAGTTCTACATTGATAATCCTGAGGAAGAAAGCCTGGAAACCTGTTCTCATGCTACCCCATGAACATCATTATAAAGTGTGAGAAGAGTGGGGTCACGTTTTATATTTGTTCCTCAAAATAATGATTAAGTTGTAGCACTTTTTAAAATACAACATATATTTGATAAACTAAGAAGCTATTGAAAATTTTGATACTAGTAGAAAGAAAATAATCCATCCTATTTATCTGGATGATATCCAGTTACTTTCATCTTGTTTTATATTAACTAATGTTTTGAAGAAATATTCAAAATCTCCTAAAAGAGGATTTCATCAGAGGGGAGGCTATTAAATAATGAATTTCCAGGCTTTTAAAATGTATGCATGCCTTTAAATAATATAACTTTTTAGAGCCATAGATCTCTTTAGCCCATGTGTATGCCACAAAATTTAGGCATGGGTCTAGAGAAATACCAGCATGTTAGGATGTGAGGATTAAACACAACGCCTGTCAGGCATTGCGAATCCAAAAGGGGGTTTTGTTTTTCTTCCTTTTTATTTCTGTGAAGACAACTTCCCTGCTCAGCATACCTGTGCCATTTGGAATAATAGGAGTACTTTAAAATAGGCCTCAAATTAATTGTTGTTCTTAAAAAGTACTTTTCTTTTGAGAAACTGCAACAGTTATTTAAATCTCAGAGGAAAAATTGCTCATGTGATAGATGCACATCATATTAGAATTTTATTTTACACCTGAAAGATTATAAAAATAGAACTATATCATCCGGGCATAAGCATAGTGGAAACAAAGTATTGAAAAGGGAAAGGCAAGCTTGTCACACGAGTCCGTATAGAAGACCACCTGCACAGGCTTTGTGTGAGCAACAAGGCTGCTTATTCACTTGGGTGCAAGTGGGCTGAGTCCGAAAAGAGAGTCAGCAAAGGGAGATAGGGGAGGGGCAGCTTTATAGGGCTCGGGTAGGCAGTGGAAAGTTACAGTCAAAGGTGGTTATCTGTTGTCAGCAGGGGAGGGGGTCACAAGGTGCATGGTGGAGAGACCATGAGACTCACTGTCCAGGAGAAGAATGTCCCAGGGTCAACTGATCAGTTAGGGTAGGGCAGGAACGAGTCATAGTGGTGGAAGGTCATATGGAGGGTCAATCGGTGAAGGCAGGAACTGAGGTTTCACTTCTTTTGTGGTTTTTCGGCTGCTGCAGATTTCTTGGCTCCTGCAGGCCATCTGGACATATGTGTGCAGGTCACAGGGGTTATAATGGCTGAGCTTCAGCTCAGAGACCTAACATTCCTGTCTTTTTATTTATAAAATATAAAGTTATAAGAAAAGATAAAGAATATAAATTCCTTCTGGGGAGTTTTTTTTGGAGGGGTAAGGGCGATGTCTCTCAGGACTGCTTCAAGCGTAACCAGGGACTGTGTGGACACCTTAAAGAAAATTTTAAAATGAGTTAATTTAGTAAATTTCAGGTCTAGGGCTCATTTTTATGTGGCTAAAAAAGTGCCAGGTAGCACATTTTTGAGCTTGGAACTGCCCTAATAAAATAAGTTCTCTAAGAACAGTAATCAGGCATGTTAGCTTTAATGTAGGTGGCGATGAGTTTTTAGGCCAGGGAAGGAATAATGTTTTACGTACCAAAGCTTTTTGTCCCCATTTCCCATCATATGAATAGGATTCCCTGTTGTTAAGCCAGTGATCTATTATATTACCCATTTACCATAGGTGTGAGTGGCAGTCTGAATGGAGAAGTTCCATAGTTCTGATTGCAGATCCTATGCAGGAGAGATAGTAAGGAAAATAATCTTTGTCTCCTGGATTAAGCTGAGGCTGGCAAAGAGAGGAATGTCCCAAGCCTTCTACCAACCAGCAGAATGCATTATGTTGTGCTGGATGCTGGTCTGCTTGCCAAACATGTGGAACTGGCCCCGTATATGTGTATCAACCCAAACCAGGAGATACTTAAATTTATGAACACGGGGTATATGAGTAAAGTCAATTTGCCAATCTTGTGTCAGAGTAAATCCAAGAGCCTGATGCGTAGGAAAGCAAGGAGTCCTGAGAGAACCTTAGGGGTTGGTGACAAGCAGTCAGAGCATTGAGAGGTGATGGTTTTAAGGATGGATTTCCATGATGGGAAGGAAATGGGCTGTAAAGAAGAAGGTCATCAACATATTGAGTAAGGTGGGAGGCAGATGGGCAGAAAGAAAGTAAGTCATGAGAGAGGGCCTGACCAAAGTAGTGTGGGCTTTCCCTGAAACCTTGGGGTAGGACAGTCTGGGTGAGTTGCTGGGACTGGTGGATGTCAGGGTCAGTCCAAGTAAAGGCGAAAAGAGGCTGGGAGGAGGGATGCAAGGGGTTGGTAAAGAAGGCTTCTTTGACAAGGTCATTAACAGAATAATGAGTTGTGGAAGGGGGTATTGAGGAGAGGAGACTATAGGGGTTTGGCACAAAAGGATGGATGGGAAGGATAATCTGATTTATGAGGCAAAGGTCTTGAACTAGCCTGTGGGACTTGTCTGGTTTCTGGATGGATAGGATAGGGGAGATGTGAGGAGAATTTGTAGGCTTTAAAAGGCCATGCTGTAACAGGCGAATGATAACAGCTTTAGTCTTCTCAAAGCCTGCTGTGGGATGTGATACTGGCGTTGAGTGGGGTAAGGGTGATTAGGTTTTAATGGGATGGTAAGGGGTACATGATCAGTTGTCAAGGAAGGAGTAGAGGTATCCCATACTTGCAGATTGAGGTGAGGAGATACAAGGGGAGGATGAAAAAGAGGCCTTGAATTGGGCAAAAGGACAGCAATGAGGTGTGGCTGTAGCCCAGGAATAGTCAGGGAAGCAGATAATTTGTTTAAAATGTCTCGGCCTAATGAGGGAACTGGGCAGGTGGGGATAATTAAAAAAGAGTGTATAAAAGAATGTTGTCCAAGTTGACACCAGAGTGGGGGAGTTTTAAGAAGTTTAGAAGCCTGGCTAACAATACCCACAACAGTTATGGGGGCAATGGAAACAGGCCCTTGAAAGAAGGTAATGTGGAGTGGGTAGCCCCTGTACCAATTGAAAAGGAGAAGGACTTACCCTCCACTATAAGAGTTACCTGAAGCTCAGCATCCATGATGGTCCAGGGGGCTTCCGAGGTGATTGGGCAGTGTCTTCAGCCCCTAAACTGGGGAGATCTGGGAAGGAGTCAGCCAGAGAGCTTTGAGCTGGAGCTCCAGGGGCCCTAGAAGTGGCTGCAATATTAGTTGGGTGGTCTGATTTCCAGTGGGGTCCTGCACAGGTGGGACATGGCTTAGGAGGAATCATGGGCTGCGGGCATTCCTTGGCCCAGTGGCCAGTTTTGTGGCATTTGAGGCAAGGTCCTGGGAGAGGAGGTCCTGAAGGAATGCCTGGAGGCTGTGGTTTGGTTGTTCTGAAGTTTTTCTGTGCTGAAGGCGTGGCTGAGGTTTGTCTTACAGCGGAGGCAAGCAGTTGCAGCTCAGAAATACATTGCCACTTGGCTGACTCTTCTCTATTGTTGAACACCTTGAAGGCAAGGTTGATTACTCCTGTTGTGGGGTTTGAGGGCCAGATTCCAATTTGTGAAGCTTTTTTCTAATGTCAGGAGCTGACTGGGTGATAAAATGCATATTAAGAATAAGACGGCCTTCTGGCCCTTCAGGGTTTAGGGCTGAAAAGTGTCTAAGGGTAGCCACCAAGTGGGCCATGAACTGGGCTGGGTTTTCGTCTTTACCTTGGGTACCTTCTTTAAGCTTGTCATAATTGATAGCTTTGTATGCTGCCTTTTTCAGCCCTTCAACTAGGCAAGAGACCATGTAATCTCACCTAGCTATACCTTGGGAGCCTGTCTGCTATTCCCATCGGGGATCCTCTCGGGGAACTGCCCTGGTGCCTTCTTGAAGGTCTGGCTCATGACGCTGGCAGGTGTCAGTGTGAGATTGGGCTAGGGTATAAACAACTCTTTCCCGCTCATCTGGGGAGAGGGGAGAGGTCAGGATGACATTAAGTCACTCCAGGTTAAATTGTAGGACTGAGTCAAACATTGGAATTCCTGTATATATTTAGTGGGGTCTGATGAGAAAGAGCCCAGATGCTGACTGATTTGGGAAAGGTCTGATAGAGACAAAGGTACATGAATCCTTACTATGCCCTCAGCTCCAGCCACCTCTCTAAGAGGAAATTGTTGGGCAGGTGGGGGAGAGCTAGTTGTGGAACGAAACTGTAAGCCAGACTGAGCGTGAGGAAGGGAGGTGATAGAAGAATTATAAGGTTGGGGAGTGGAGGCTGAGGAAGAATTGGGACTTGATTCAGCCTGCTGAGGAGTGGTCTGTGGAAGGGGAGAGAGGTCAGAGGGGTCTGCAGAAAAGGGAGGATTCAGAGGACTCTGAGGTTGGGGTAGAGACTGAAGAAATGGATGGGAGAGAAAGAGGAAAGATTTGGGATGAGTCGCATTGGGAGCAGAGATTAGGAAGGGAACAAAGTGTAAAAAACACCTGGACATAAGGCACCTCAGACCATTTGCCAATTTTTCGACAAAAATTATCTAAGTCTTGTAGGATGGAGAAATCAAAAGTGCCGTTTTCTGGCCATTTGCAACCATTGTCAAGTTTGTATTGGGGCCGAAGGTATTGCAGAAAAATAAGACGTTTGGGTTTAAGGTCAGATGTTAGTTGAAGAGGTTTAAACTTTTTAAGAACACAGGCTAAGGGGGAAGAAATTGAAGGAGAGAGAGACTGAAGGGTAGCGAGAGAGGCTGGAGAAGAGGGTGAAAAAGACCACTTACCCGATTTGAAATTGGTGAGATGTTCCTTGGGCTGGTCTGAGGACCCAAGGTCATATGTGGATCTCCTCATGGAGAGAGGGTGAGGACAGGGAACCAGTCTCCCGAAGGAGTCCCCCTGTCCCTGGTTTCAGCACCAAGTATCACTCATGTTTGTATAGAAGACCACCTACACAGGCTTTGTGTGAGCAACAAGGCTGCTTATTCACTTGGGTGCAAGTGGGCTGAGTCCGAAAAGAGAGTCAGCAAAGGGAGATAGGGGAGGGGCAGCTTTACAGGGCTCGGGTAGGCAGTAGAAAGTTACAGTCAAAGGTGGTTATCTGTTGTCAGCAGGGGAGGGGGTCACAAGGTGCATGGTGGAGAGACCATGAGACTCACTGTCCAGGAGAAGAATGTCCCAGGGTCAACTGATCAGTTAGGGTAGGGCAGGAACCAGTCATAGTGGTGGAAGGTCATATGGAGGGTCAATCGGTGAAGGCAGGAACTGGGGTTTCACTTCTTCTGTGGTTTTTCGGCTGCTCCAGATTTCGTGGCTCCTGCAGACCATCTGGACATATGTGTGCAGGTCACAGGGGTTATAATGGCTGAGCTTTGGCTCAGAGGCCTGACAGAACTCACACACACACACACACACACACACACACACACCATATTCATACACATGTGGGCAAGTGTATGTATGCAGAAAATGGAAAAATAAAGATTCTGGTTTAACTGTGTACAAACTCAAAGAAGAAAAAGTTTCCTCTATTTATTTGTCCCTCTCCCTTCTCTTTTCTACGTAGGCAATTCCCAGTGTCCAGCAGGATTATAACTTCTACAAAGAAGTTGTCTTTAAAATTTTTGATCCAGACTTATTTTTTCCTTTTCTGAATTAATAACTAACCACCTGTGCCACTGAGTTAGGATATTAATCATTTACATCTTGAAAGCAGGTATGTATTTACATCACGTACCATTGTTTAACTGCTGTTGCTATCTTCTAAAGTAGTACATGCATAAAACCTCTCACACCTTGGACTATTGGTGTGAAAACCAATTGTTTTTTCTTTTTCAAATTTATTTTAGAACTGGGGTACATGTTGTGCAGGATTGCTACAGAGGGAACTTGTGTGAAGCTGAGGTTTGATGTATAAATAAACCCGTCACTGTGTTATTGAGCATAGTACCCAACAGGTAGTTTTTCAGGCCTTGCCTCCGTCCCTCCCTTCCCTCTCTAGTGATCCAGAGTGTCTTTTGTTCCCACCTTTCTTTATGTCCATGTGTACCCAGTATTTAGTTCCCACTTATAAGTGACATCATGCAGTATTTGGAAAACCAAACATTTTACATTTTAATATCTGTAATATATCTAGTGGAATGCTAGCATGCTGTCCTATTTACAACAGCAAAGACTTGGAACCAACCCAAATGCTCAACAATGATAGACTGGATAAAGAAAATGGGGCACATATACACCATGGAATACTATGTGGCCATAAAAAACAATGAGTTCACGTCCTTTGCAGGGACATGGATGAAGCTGGAAACCATCATCCTCAGCAAACTAACACAGGAACAGAAAACCAAACACTGCACGTTCTCACTCATAAGTGGGAGCTGAACAATGAGAACACATGGACACAGGGAGGGGAACATCACACACTGGGGCCTGTCGGGGGATGAGAGGAAAGGGGAGGGAGAGCATTAGGATAAATATGTAATGCATGTGGCTTTTAAAACCTGGAGGACAGCTTGATAGGTGCAGCAAACCACCATGGCACATGTGTACATATGTAACACACCTGCCCGTTCAGCACATGTATCCCAAAACTTTAAGTAAAATTAAAAAAAAAAAAAAGAATGCTAGCACGCTGTCAATAAAGATTCTGCATTGTGTTTCATGCATGGATAGTAGGCCACAAAATTCGAGAATAAACAAATCAAATGGCATCTTCACATATTTTTTCCCTGATAAAAAATGTTCGAGTTGTATTATCCATCCTGTTTAAGTAGCAAAGTATACAGTTTAAATATTTAAACCATTGGAAAAAACTAAAATTACCTGGGTTTGTTCCATCTTCAAAAATGTGAAATTAAAGGCATTCTACTAGAAATAGTCTGTGAAAAAAGAAGTCTAAATATAAAGACAGACTAGTAGGTCAGACAGAAAGAGGATTTGCCTATTCCCATTCTTCTTTATTGAGGCTTTTCTCCTTTCTAATGTCAGAAAGCTGAAAGCATTAAAACTTAACCCACAAAAATTTCCTGACAGAGTGTCAGTAATCAGACCAGTGATCCAGAAGATGATAAGAGAATACTGCTTTTCTAGGTGAGAAAAGAGGAACATTTGGTCTAAGACATTCATGCAAATGTCCAGCTGTAATGAAATGCATTATGAAAAATTAAATATACCTGAGGAAATCTGTACCCAGTTTTTGGACCCTGCTGGAGAGCAGCTAACCTTGCATTTTAGCCAAGATAGTTAACACAGATATTTCCATTTTAAAGGACACTCCAAGAATGCAGCATAACCTTTAATGGTACTTACTTGCCTAAAAAGGCATTCCTGTAACAGAGTTGAGTATGCATGAGGAAACAAAAAAAAAAGGTTTGTTGGAAGAGACAAAACTCCAGTGAAATGTCAGGGACCTTAAAGGAGGAGAAGAATATGAATTGGAAAAGGCCAAGGGAAATGGCTTGCAGACATAGTGACTACAAGGGATAAATAATGAGAGCTTTGTTTGGTAACTGGAGTGAAGTTGTGCTTCTTAAATGTGTGGGAAATGGAATTAGATGGAGAGGGTAATGCTGGATTAAGTAGAGAAGTTTGAACTTAATGCAATAGCTAAAAGAGAATCCTTTTATTTTTGTGAACCTAGTAGTGGTATGGTCTAACTGACTGACACTATTACATCCCTTTGCTCATTGAAAAATATTAAGCTGTTCTTTGCTACTAACTGCTTCCATTGCAGAAATACTAGGACATACAAATAAGCAAAATTGACAAAATTAAAAACCCCATAAACTTACTATCCAGAGACTGAGCAAGTTTTAACTTCTAGAATATATGCTTAATATATAAAACTTCTGGTCAAGTAAACACTAAGTTGGGAGCTCAAAGGTAGTCCATGCAGTGAACACTATTCTTCCCTTGTCATTTGCCTTATTCTCTATGAATTTTGAAATTCACAAACAAAGGACCATTGGCCTTGACATAAGAAATAGAAAAAAAGAAAAGTTTGTTATTTTTAATTTGACTTTTGATTTAATTATTTTTATTTTTATTTATTTATTTTTTTGACAAAGAGTCTTGCTCTGTCACCCAGGCTGGAGTGCAGTGGTGAGATCTTAGCTCACCACAATCTCTGTCTCCCAGGTTCAAGTGATTCTCCTGCCTCAGCCTCCCAAGAAGCTGGGATTACAGGCATGCACCACCGCATCTAGCTAAATTTTGTATTTTTAGTAGAAATGGGATTTCGCCATGTGGGCCCAACTGGTCTCAAACTCCTGACCTCAAGTGATCTGCCCGCCTCGGCCTCCCAGAATGCTGTGACTACAGGCATGAGCCATCAAATGAAGCCAATTCGACTTTTCATTTAGTTTAAATAAATAATTATCAATTAAACGTTAGTCCTCCTCCTGGCACTTGTAATGATTGATTCCTTGGTATTCATTCCTTCAACATATAATTATGGAATAACTACTTCTTATTAGGCTTGATAAATAAGACAGCCTATCTTCAAAGGGGTTAACATCTAATACTCTTTACATTGGTTTCTCTTTGGTATCTTTGTCAAACATGTGTGGAAATTTATGACACAGCTATGCTTTATCCGGCTCAGTTTAAAATGATAAACATTTTCAAATCTTGATTCCCATGCCAGTTTTATTCTCAGTATCAAATTTCTCACATACCTAAGATGTATTTTTTTTAATTGCTGAAGAGGTGTTTATTTCTTCATTGTTATTTCATGTGTGTGTGCCATGTGCTAGTCTATACCAGTCAGGTCCTGTTATAAGGGCCAGGGATGTAAAGACAAGTGAGAATTGGCATAGGAGAGCCCACAGCCTTCAGATGGCAAAGAGAGAAGAGTAAATTGAGTGTTTTGTTGGATCCCACTGATGGCGTGGCACACGTAAGAGAGGAGGCGCTTCCCTGGAGGAGGTGATTTCAGACCTGGTGTAAGTAGTTGGGAAGGTATTAAGAGGCTGACATTGTTTGGACTAGAAACTAGGGGTTCTACCTCTTTTTTACGTGACCTAGGTTTTGATTTTCATTTTGTCTGTCATGCTGTTCCTACCTTGTTCATTTTCACAACTTTGTTCAAAACAGCCTCCAGGCTTCTTGAGCCATTTTGTGTATTATATATTAACACCATCCCAGGGGATTACTTTCCCACTTCCTTCTTGAGAAAATAAAGACTACAAGACATGAAGTTTCTTGATTTCTTTCATCTCAGCACTTACCTTCACCAAATGCTTCTTTCCTTCTTCCCTCCTCTCTGCCACTAAAGTGCCCACTTAAGTGCAGTACTTCATCCCCATTTGTCTTCTCAAAGGCTTCAGTGATCATTTTTTTTCTCTCTTGTAGTTTAGACTCTTTTCCTCTACCCTCATTTTCTTTTTGATCTACAATCACATCAAGTCTACAGGCATGTTTAGGTGCCTTCTATATTTTTTTTAAAAGTGAAGTAAATTTGTTATTGATTGCTGGGCCAAAGCTCTGGAATGTCTTATAGGGTCTAGTGATGCAGGAATGTATAATAGTGATCAGCACTTATTTCTATTAATATATGGGAATATGGTGAACCTTTCTGTGCTGGTTTTCCTTTCTCTATCCGCACCCCATTCTGCAGTATTCCCCTAAGCTTTAACCTGTAAAGATGGGAAGTCCAGGCCTTGGCTTCCCTTGCCTGGCAGATTGGTCACTTAATACCAGGTGTTGAGGTTGGTCATAGGAAAGTTGTATCTACTCATTGTATCTTTTGATCTTAGGTATGGATGTTTTTGCACTGCTGTTTACTGACTGAATAGAAATTCTAAGGAACAGTAACCTAAGGCTGAGTTCAAGTCTTCATTTTTTCTTATTGTGAGCCTGGACCAGCTTTCATGGACTAGATCTGCTCACCTTTTTTCTGTCCCTTCAGGATGCTTCCTCTCTCTCTCCTTTCCTTTCATTCCGCAAGATCTTGAAAGGAATAATCCACACTTAACTGCACCCACTTACTCAACTTCTCTTTACTCCTCTGTCCAATAATATCTGCCTCTTCCCCTAACCACTCTACTGATAATGTACTTGCCAAGATGTTTAAAGCCTTTCATATTGCCAAATTAAATGCCATTTTCAATTCTAACTATACTTGACTTCCTTACAGCATTTAGTGCTGTTGACACTTTAACAAGTCATTAAATCCATTCCTTCCTAGGGTCAGTTTATCTCAGTTTTCCTACGACATTCTCATTCTCCTTTGCCGTCTTCTCTTTTTGTCTTTCCCTCTGAAACAATGATGTTTCTCAGGACTTCATGTTTGTTCTGATTAACTTCTTACTTCATGTTCTAATTGAATGGTATTATCCATATTTTCCACAGCTGATAATTCACAAATCAAAATCTGCATTCTAAATTTTCTTAGTAGTATTGTATTTTTAACTCTGGACTAGATACACTCATCTGATTGTTCACAATGACTGTTATGGACTGAATTGTGTTGTCCCCAAATTTATATGTAGAAGTGTTAACCCACAATGTGACTGTATTTGAAGATAAAGGAGTAATTAAGGTTAAGTGAGTTCATAGGATGGGACTCTAATCCAATAAGCCTGGTGTCCTTATAAGAAAAGGAAGAGACATCCAGTAACAACATACACAGAGGAAAGTCCATGTAAGGACACAGCAGGAAGCTATTGAGCCTCACCATTCATCCCAAACAAACAAAAATCAGAAACCTTAGAATCATCTCTTTTCCTTGTTCCTACATCTAACAGAAAGGAAGATGTAGCAGTTTGGTAAAGAGTACGGGCTCAGAGACAAACAGCCTGTATTTCAATTTTAGGATTGCCATTTGCTAGCTCTATAACTGCGGCAAATTATTTCACCTTCATGTCTCATCTGTGACCACGGTTTTGATGTAAATGTCTATTTCATAGGGTTGTTAGGAAGAATAGAATGCTTCTATTCTCAAAGAGTATGCATTTACTAATGTTAACTTTTATAATCACCAGCGTCATTATTAAATACTACCACATCTTCTCAGTGACAGCTGAAATATCTTTAAATCCAGACCATCTTTTTTTTGAAATCCCTGTTGTCACTCCCAAGCACTCCTCATAACTCACCTTGGCTATCCCCTCAGATCTCTTATTTCTAGCTGCTTCTTTCTATAAAATATTTTATGCTCCTCAGTCGATCTTCAGGGGAAAAATATGCTAGAATAATCCTTGGTGAAAAATCTGAATACATGCTCTTCATTTTCTTCTAATACTCCTCCCACTGCTTATGAGGGAAAAATCCACATTTATTAGCATTTTAGACACTATTTTAAAAAATCTCATTCCCACAATAGCCTTTCACCCATCTATAGATACAATGCCACTTTGCCAAGACTGAGCTCATCTTGTTGAGAAATATGCTCAGTTTCTTCATGTCCTAAAGAGTCAGTAGCTGTTTACCAACATCCTTCCTACTTTTCTTCACCTGGAAAATTATAATTCATCCTTCAAGATTCCTCTTAAATAAGTTCTTACTAACAGATGTTCATAAGACCCTAATGTCTATGATCTTTAAAGGTTGATTTCACCCCATGTTGATCCATCTATGTTTAATCTTTTAAAAAATGAAAATATAGATGTATTTTGAAAGTCAAAAATAATTAACATGATCATTTATTTATATTAAAATGAATCTATTTTGACTAGAGTTTTATAGTATTATCTAAGTTTAATGTGTTGTTTAAAAATTTCCTCCAGCCATTTCTTTTTTTGGCTTTTTAAATTCAAGTGTATTCCATTTTTCTGCATCTATCGCTACACTTATACATACCAAATTATGACTTTATGTAGTTTTAAAATACCCATATTTGTAGACTAGTTCTGTCCACATAGTTGTTGGCTTTAGTACACTGTGAAGAAGGACACAGACTGTGGAGTCAAACTTCCTAGATTCAAATTTCAGGTTGACCACTTAACAGTGGAGTCACTACAGGCAAATAATTCAATTTCCTGTGCCTCTGTTTCCTCAGTAGTAACCTCACAATGACATGATGCCCGTTAAATTAGTCAAAGGATAGAAAGCTCTTAGAAAAGTGGCTGATAAACAGTAGTAACCCAATAACCATGGGGTACTTAATTAGTTTAAAAGCCTTTACTGCTACCCTTTTGTTGACTCAAGCAGTTTCTTTCTTTTCTAGTTCGGACTCCTATACGCAATTGCACAAGTCCATGGACAAGAGATTCCCCTCCATCATATCCCACACATTGAGTAGATATTGATGTCCAGGGCTAAACTTACACAGAAGATACAATCAAACGAACTGGATTTTTTTTTACTCCATATTATGTCAAATCATAACATTGACTGAACTTATCCATCTTCTATTTCTGTTCAGTATTGCCATCAAAGGAGTATATGGCAGAGAGACCCAAGTTAAGTGGATACTTCGATTTTTCTCTAGGGTACTAGGCCTTGTAAAATCATTAAGCAATACGTGTACAGTTTACATTCCGAAATGCATGTGATTCATTGAGAAGTAAAGTGAAATTAAGGGTCTATTTTTATCTATGTCGGACAATCAAGTCCTGAATTAGATGTAATTATAGAAATTCTTAACATTGCATACCTACTGTCGGTTAAGTCATCACCTAGAAGTTTTGGACAAAAGAGTTTTCCATGTTTCTGTCAAAGTGATATACATTTCCCTTCGAAAATGTGGAAGTTTTCTTAAGATAAGGCTTACAAGTAATTACTGGGGAAACTGAGATGATTCTCCTTGAGCCTGAAGAATTATGGATTCTGTCTTCAACAGCCCTGCTGTTAATGATTCTAACATTGTTAATTTTTTATGTTCTAATCATGTTCAGTTACAGCCTTAACTTTGACTCTCGTGAAATATGTTCCTACAAAATATCTTTCTATCATCATAAACTGAAATTCATAATAGAAAATGATTTCAATTATCCAAGGTTATGCTGATCTTTTTTCTTGAGTATATTTTGTATTTTCTTAATTTATCTTATACTTTGTCAAAAAGTGTAGTTTTATTCTAAATTTTTTCTTTCAAATTAATGCCTAATTCTATCTAACATATTGTTAATAGTAATATCTGCACATATACTTAGTTATTTTCCAGCTTAAATATTTTAAATAAGGCAATATTCTATTTATTACGAAAACAGTATATTTCCATGTTCTGAAAGGGTTTTAAGGTGACTTACAATGATTATACTAGAGGAGGGTATTTTTTGTTGTTACTTTTTGTTCCTGACTTTTCACTAGAATTAAGTGACAATGGCTAAGTTCCCATCCACAGTTTTATTATAAAGATAATAATATTATGGCCTAATTGGGTGTATATAGAAGTTCCTTGGTAAAATCATTCCAAATTCTCAAGTAGACATATTTTTCAAGAGTGGTCCGTGTGCAAAGCTATAAACAGTATAAATCCAAAATATTTCTCTCTTCCATCAGAAATCTAAATAGTTATTGGATATTAATTAACATTAGGCAAATTTAACTACCTATAATTCTATAAATGGAATTTAAAGAAAAATACTGGTACTGTTTCCTGTCACAAAGCAAATCAAATTCTTCCTGTTAACTAATTATTTTTAGCAATTTCAGCTGTGTAGAAGGTAAAAGTGCTGCCCAAAGATGCCTATGTCTTAATCCTTAGAACCTGTGTATATATTAGTTTGCACGGCAAAGAGAAATTAAGATTATAAATGGAACTAAGGTTGCTAATCAACTGACCTTACATTAGGGAGAGTATCTTGAGTTGTCCAGGTGATTCTGATGTGATCCTTAGGGAAGAAGAGGAAGAAGGGAGCCAGAGAAATGGCAATGTGACAAAGATTACATCTGTTGTTGCTAGCTTTGAAAATAGACCTCCAGAATTGTAAAATAACAAATTTGTGTTGTTTTAACCTCCTCAATTTATGGCAATTTATTACAGTAGCCATAGGAAATTAATATGTTACCCACCTCTACATGACCACTATCTTCAGTGTTTGACAGTAAATTATTTTTTGTTTCTACTACAAGGAAGTCTAACACGAGTTTTTTTTTTAAGTCTAACACTTGATTTTTACTCTACACAAAACTTCACATTGCTGTCTTGATGTCTTTGCTATATTGACCTAAGCCAAATTCAAACTACTGAAAAGGTAAAGTTTCAACCTCAAGAGCTTGTCCTTTGGGCCAAGCAATGCTTAGATTCACAGTTTTGAAAATTAGCTACCCCATATTTAAGCAATCCAGTTTAAGAGCAAAACTTAATTACTTAATTACTCTAGAGAGTCTTCAAAGTTCAATGCACAAAAGCAGTTAGGCTAATTTCCAGAAATCAAAAATTTTCCCTTTTAATTTTCTTGATACAGTCCAACTAGTATAACTTGATTTCTTATTTCATATTTTACTAAAGCACACTTAAAGTGCATTAAAAATAAAGATGTTTTTAATAGCAAATTCTATAATTTACTTGTACTAAAATTAAATGGTCTTCCTCTTTCACATTTTGCAAAGTTTGACAGCATATTTATTTTTTCCTTATGTATATGCTGTCAGATAACCTTGTTCAATTTAAAGCACTGTCTTAATTCACTGGCCCCCTGATAAAAACATGTGACTTTTCCTTAAAGCCTATGTATTGTCATTTGTATAACACCACATGTTTTACAAAACACAGCTTTTTTTGAACTAATGGATTTATGTCTAGGTGGGTAAAGTTTATTTTTATGCTCTGCTGATGATAGAAAATATCTATGGAAGAAAAGAAAGAAAGCATTAAACTCATACTGAAATTTCAAGTTATAGATGTAAAATTATTATTATATTGTGTTTTTAAATTGAATATTATTCAACACATTCCTCTACTTGAACTATGCTGGGTTACAAGAGGGCAATAATCAATAAAGTAGCTCATTATTTGTGATACTTCTAATTACCTCTATGCTAGCACTGACGCTATGGTTTAACCAATGCATATTTTAAAAATTTGCTTGAACAGGATCTTGTTATCACCCTAATTTTTGCTGTGGAGTTTTATTAGAAAATCACGTTACTCATCTGACTGCCACAACAACAGCATTATCTCTAGGGTACTGTTTTTTATATCAAGGTTAATTTAAAGTGATTAGCATAAGCACTACAGATGTTGCTATGGGGATAAGAACTGCACATCTTCTGTGATGGACATCATATGATTGCTGTTACAGTCCTGGTAAGATTGAATTATTTGTTTTAATGTCATGTGAAACAAGTCACATGATAAAGATCAGTATCTTTTTAATAGCATGCCATATTCCTAAATCAATCACCTTTTCACTTGCACAGAATGGTGCATATATAAAACTCACTACTTTATTTTTGGTAAGGTAAATTCATCATGATGTTTGGATATTCAGAATATTTCTTTTAATTGGTATTGATTTTTCTATCTCCCAAGAGGAAAGACACAGTGGTTAAAAGGAGAGTGCTTATTCACATTCAATTCATTCAACAAACAGTCATTGAAAGCTTACTATGGGTCTGGCATTTTCCATATGCTGACAAAAAAATGAAATTTTGTAGTAAATATTTGCTTTGCCTTGTTTTTCCCAGTTGAATCTGGACACACATAGATTCCAGCCCTGGAAATAGTATAAAACATGAGGCTTGAGTGGGAGAGATCAGGGGTTGGAATACAGAAGCCAATGGCACCCTGTCTTTGAGAATGGGTAAGAGAGGGATACCATTGAAGAACAGACATGACAAATGAGAATCCCACATGTTCACAAACAAGAGTGGTGTGAAGAGTGGGCATTCTGAAAGAAGAGACTGAGAAGTAAATATTGAAATCTTGAGAAATAAATATGGAAAGAAATTCCATCGCTTATCACTTTTATTCCTGGGAACCAGAGGGAGGATTTTTTTTTTTTTTAATAGACGGGAGAAGTCAAGGAGAAAGCAATAAAGTTGAGGAGTAAATGGGAGAAGTAACAGTTATTTCTCCACCATAGCCAAAATTTTTGTGTCTACTAACATCAAGAAATCGAAATCAGGTGAAAGAGGGACGCTAATGACAATGGAAAGATGAATACGGTCTCTAAACAAGAAAGCATTCAATTACCAGAAAAATGTATGACCGTGGGAAGAGTTCATAAACACTGCCCCCACTCCAGCTCCACCATGGATTATAGTGAAGACTGAGTAGTCAAATCCACAGTTTGTGCAATTCAATTTCCTAATCCCTGAAGACACTAGGAACAATTTAAGTTTATATATAATTATTATTGTAGAGATAGAGTATCACACTAATAAATTTTCAGAATTCCCTGAAAAAGTTTTAAGATGTTTATGATACTGATCACAAACATATCTCATAATATTTGGGGTTGGGGTGCGAGAAGAATATTTTTTACTGGGAATTTGATAATTAGAACATTCATAATGCCAAATCATCTATAAACACCATTTTTTATTTTTAAGTTTTAAAAATTGTCATGAAAGGCAAATTTTCTCCAATTCAAATTTCATATAAATATACTGAGTTCTGGCAATGTGAATATGAACTCTTTTCCCCAAAGTCTTTTATCAGAATCTCCATCATTTCCCGTAATTTGGCCCCGAAGAGCAGACCACAGTGGCTGTGGTGTAAAACGTTACCTCCTCTTTAGATAAAATTATTAGGAAAGTGTTGCCTCTACTGAGATTTTTCCTGAGTCAATGCCCAGTGCAACGGCAGGGAGGAAACCATTAACTCTCCTCTGAGAAGGTTCTGTCTGGTGATAGAATTTTTAAATTAAAGTACTTAGTGATTGTAATCAAGTTGATATTTCAATGTAACAAGTAGAGCAGAAAATATGCCTGTACCTGAGAATATTCCATCAATATACCCTTTCCGATAGTTTATCCTGTTTCCTGTTCATCAGCCTTGGTAAGTGACCATCAATAACGTAGTGACGCATCTTAGGGATAGTGGATTCAGTTTCTCCAGAAGCACCCTACTTCATTTTAAAAAAGATTCATCTACTAGAAAATTCTTCCTTAGGTTTGATTGGGATTTGTCACCTTAAAACTTTCACTGGTTAGTCCAAGTTGTGGCCTGTCTGTTTATCTGGAAGCTTTCACATATCTGAGAACTTGGCCAAATCCTGCCATCATCTCAAGCTTCCTATGTGTAAAAGTAAACTCATTCCTCTTACTGTAAAGATGATTTGCCCTTTCTTGTTTCTCCCTTTTTACAGTTTTAGAATGTTCCCTACTGTCAGGCAGCTAATAATCTAACTGAATTTTTTAAATGTTAAATATAAGTAATAAACATCTGACTGTTATTACAATATTCTTGATGTAGCTTCAGTGGATTGTTTTGTTGTTGCTTTTTATTGCTTTACTTTTTAAATATTTTGCCATGTATCTTCACCATAGTAATTGACAGATGCTTATCATCTGTCTCCTTTATAAATGACCACTTCTAACTAACTCGTAAAATGACCACTTCTTGCTAACTCGCATTCCTGTGTCACATGTTTAATATACATAATTTAAGAATTCATCCACTGCATGGGGAAAAAGAAAAGCAAAAATATGTGATAATGCCTTCTAAATATTTCCAGTTAGCATGTAGCCAATAAAAGTAGTCAGCCCTCTGTATCCATAAATTCCACATCCATGAATTCAACAAATATTTGATAGAAAATATATTTTTTAATTGTGTTGGAAGCAGCAGCTTGTCTGAAGTGGCCACTGCAAAGACACTGGCTGTAGCTGGAAAGGCGTGGCTGGGACTGTGTGCTCTGCAGGGCCAGGAGGGCCCAGGAAGGAGCAGGAGCCCTGCCCCCTTCCAAGTTGGTGGGGTAGAAGCCCCTCACTCCCAGGCACAGCTGCAACTGTCCAGCCACAGCTCCAGACCCAGGCATCCCTGCACTCTCAGGGGCCTGGGAAGCTCCTGCCCCCACAGGCTCAGAAGTGCCTGCTCCCACTCTCTGGCCTCTCCCCGCACCCAGTGCTCACTCTGGTGTGGAGCAAAGCTGTGGCCAAACCCAGGTGCTGGCACGACCTGGCTGAGTATGTGCACACTCGGGATGGCACTGACATGCCAGCTCCCTGCTGCCTCAGCCTTCTTCAGACTTTGGTCACTGAAGAGCATGGGAGGGATCCCTGGGGGAGCTGAGGGCAGCTTAGTGCAGGCCTGCAGGCAACCCTTAGTGTGAACAGCCTGGGTGCTGTGGATGGCATGTTGATGGCAGGAGGCGGACAGGTTCCTGGGCGGAAAGTGTTGGGTCCCTAGTGAAACTCCACCTTCTAGGCAGGGACAGCTAGGAGTCTCGGGGGCGAGCTGCCAGCTCCAGGTGGAGTTGGTGGCCCAGAGTGAGAACTTATGGTGCTTTTTCCAGTCCCACCCATGGCCATCCATGGAAGCACAATCAGCATGAACTTTCTCCCTTCTGAGCCCATGAAAACCCCAGACTCAGCCAGACTCACACAGAAGTTGGGACTACCAGCTGCAGGAAGGAGCTGCCCACTTTGAGTCTCCTCAATTCGTAAGAACGACCTGCCTGATGGAACAGAAGGGAGCTACCTACTAAAGGTCTACTCTCCTCTGAGAGCTGAATACCCATCAGGACAACCTGCCTGCAGAAAGGACCTACCCACTTCAGGTCTCCTGAGAGCTGTTCTGTTGCTCAATGAAGCTCCTTTCCGTCTTGCTCACCCTCCAGTTGTCCACGTACCTCATTCATCCTGGACGTGGGACAAGAACTCAGGACCCACCTAATGGCAGGACTGAAAAAGCTGTAACACAAACAGGGCTGAAACACGCCCCCCACCCTACTCACCACATTGTGGGCAACGAGAAGGATAGAATGAGGAGCTATGGCCCTTCAGGGAGCCCAGACCTAGAGGATCCCTGAACCAGCGCTGTGACACCCTCCTGGGGTTTTGTGACACCCTCTTGGGGCTTTGCAGTTTCTGGCATCTCTACACTTCCAGGCACCACCATGTTCCCCTTGTCCAGATATGGGTGCCCACAGTGGAAGCTGCCTGTGGTACATCAGATCCAACTGCAGCCTTGCATGAAGCCAGTACCTGTGCTGGCACCTGGAGCTGCCCACTGTGCCACAGCAGCCAGTATGCCTGGCTGTGTGCAGTGTCTGGACCCCGTGCTTGCTCACCCACACATCCCTCACTGCTCCATGAATGGCTCATCCTTGGCAAGTGCTGGATCTGGTCTGGCAGTGTGAGCCAAGTGCAGCCTGCAGGGCTGAGTGGGTGGAATGAGCCCAGCAGGTGCGAGCAATACTCAAGCAGAAGGTGCTGCCAGCCACAGAGGTTTCCGGCTGGCACGGCAACACCCCACGGATCCTGTGACAATTGCATCTGTCTTTTTCTTACCATTATTTCTTAGACAGTATAACAACTATTTACATAGCATTTACATTGTATTAGATATTATAAGTAATCTGGAGATGATTTAAAGTATACAGGAGGATACACATAGGTTATATGTAAATACTATACCATTTTATATCAGCAACTTGAGCATCCCAGAATTTTAGTATCTGTCGGGGGCCCTGGAACCAATCCCCCACAGATACTGAGGGACAACCATAATTCATGAAGAGAAATCCAGATTCAAAGACAATTAGCTAGAATTCACTAGGTAAAACATTTATTCTGGCCCTTAAACTAGCATACAATACACATGGAATAATTCACATAGGAGTATTCATCTTAGAAGAAGTAACCAGCTTCTCTCCTTTTCATATAATTAATCCACAGCTTTCTTTTTCATATAATTAATATGCCAGCTTTCTTTTCATATAATTAATCCACAACTAATTATTAAACAACTCTTTTCTGCTTCATATCATGATATTCAAAAAACAATAAACCTTTCACAGACTGAGGAAGGGAAAACATTTGAACAAACAATTATAGTGTAGTGTGGAAACTATGGCAAACACTCTATTGTGAACCCATGTAGAATATATAATCTATATTTGAGTGGACCCCAGAGAAGATGATATCTCAATTTAACCTGAAGGATGAGACAGAGCATGGACCTTTCCAACCACTGAAAGTAGTTCCATTGGGTTCCATTTAGTTGGTTACATAACTAAGAGTTTAGTAATGGGAGTGTGAGGGATTAGTTTGGAAACAGATCATGACAGGTCTTGTGAAATACATTAAATAACTTTGGACTTTATTTTAAGAGCAATAGGAGGCCATCAAAGGATATTAGTAAGAGAAAACTTGATTTGAGAAAGATCATTCCAGACGCCCTGAATAGCAAGTTTGGTGAATGGATGGGTAAGCAAGTGGTGGGGTAGACGGCTGATGAATTCAATAGGAGAGATAGGATGTGAAAGTGAGCAGGACATAGTGTCAACTCTAGACCTTGAGAGAAAGCTGAGATTAAAATATAGATTTGGGACATCAACATATAAACATATATGAAGAACTGGTTTGGAAACAGTCTTTCAGGGATTGTAATTAGAGTGAGAAAGGGGTCAAAACTGCATTGAGAAGGAGCAACATTTTAAGGATGGGCAGAGGAAGACAAGGAAGGAGCAGACAGTGTGGCAGAAGAGATATCGAATAGCGTGGAATCAGGGAAGCTAAGGGAAGATGACTGTCAAGGAGACGATAAATCATATGTCACATGCTACCCGGTTTTTATAACAATTTTAAACAAATCAGTAGTTTTAATGACCAGAAGGTCATTGTGAACTTAGAGTTTCAGTGGAGTGTTATGATCTGAGCGAGATATTTCTGACTAAAGAAACACTAGATATTGGGCTCTACTTTTTACTAATTAGTGGTCTGATATTAGCCAGGATTCTTGAAACCTTAGATTTTATTACACTTATGTGAAATGAAAATGTTAAAATCATTCATCACTATGGATCCTGGAACATTTAAAATTATCAAAATAAATCTGTGATCTTCAGATTTATTTGTACAGAATTAGTCTGTACATTTCTTTCCTTAAGAGCTTTCTGTTTCATGTAAATGTGAGGGTATTTATCATGTTCATAATGATAGATTAGATGGGGGTGGTTACAGTAAATCTCTCTGAACTTTTTGAACACACTAAAAGTTCTATTTTCTGCTCATAAGCAATGAAATTGTGTATCAGCCCACCATATATTAAAATGCTTGCTAATGCTCATTATTATCATGGGTGTGGAAAACAGGCAGTGGAGTAGCAGAGGCAATTATGCCTTCATTCTTCATGCAAGAACTTGGGTATATTTAGCAAAGCTTGAAATATGCATACCAGGAGACCCAGAAAATTTACGTAAAGAATTAGAAAAACGTGAACACTCGCATTTTATTTTAGCATGGTTTATAATCACACACATGAAAATGAAATTACCCTAGATATCCACACAGAGAGGCTAGTGAAACAATTTTTGGTAGATTCATATGAAAACATATTGTATAACTTGTTTGAAAGAATGAGCTACATCTATGGACATAATGTGGAGAGATATTTGAAGAAAAAGGGAACTTGCCAAAGACCATGAACAGAACAGCCTTTTCTTAAGAAAAATAAATTATATACACATATCACAGCAAATGTCAGGGAGAACACTGTTAACAGTAATTATCTCCAGGAGTAGATATGAGGACATGAAGTACAGTAGGAACTTTTTCTTTTTGGGCTTTTTTTGGTTGTTTACGCTTTTTTGTTTAACATGAATGTATGTTATGTTTGCAATAACAGAAATAAAGATAGAAACAAAAGATATGTATTTCCTAACATATGCTTTTGCTTAAACACTTAATGATGTCTTACCACTCCCTGCTCCATGTCCCACTTCGTTGCCTACATTGTAATTGCGTGTCTAAAGGCAAACAGCCCTGTGTAAACTGCTTAGATTCTGTTCTCTCATCTTCCTTTACTTTACTGTGTGTCCCACTTTTCTTGAGCTCCATCATCTAGTATTCACCTGAAATAGGATCGACAACCATGTAGGGAAACTGCTTCTATATAATGAGAGGCTTTCAGTATTTAATTGATTTAATTTTATTTTAAAATGAGCAGGGCCTTGATGTTATGCACATCTTTTTATAAAAAGGCACATTTCTCAGAGGCTGCTCCGAATGGTTTAGCTGCTTTCATGAGTTACAATCCTACAGTGGGAGAATCAGGGAAAAAAATCACATTACTGAAAAAGGCATGTGTCTGGCACGTTCCCAAGGCATGAGTATTTATGGCATGGTGAACTGTGAATTTGATGTTGATGCTTGCACAACAAAAGCATGTGGTTAAAATCTATTTTTGTCACCAGCAAAAAAAAAAGAACTATATTTAAAAGTGTAAAATGTTTGTTTTATAGAAAGTCTTTACCCCAAATGAAAAATAAATAAATCAAGGTCAGTACTATTAATTCTCTATGAAATGGAGGACATTCAATTGAAGTAATATAAAAATCCCTAGTCTATTCTATGCAAACAATTTTAAGGAGAGGAAAATAGGATAGGATAACAATTGCCTAGTGCTTTCCCAGAGCATTTTTTAATAATAACATGTGCAGGGATCATAAATTATCCAAAGTTAGAACTTGGAAAAGATTCATGAAGAGGTACCCAGGAGCATGTCAAAAAAGAAGAAGAGGAAGAGGAGGAAGAGTAGGAAGAGAGAAGAAGAAGAAGAAGAAGAAGAAGAAGAAGAAGAAGAAGAAGAAGAAGAAGAAGAAGAAAGAAGGAGAAGGGGAAGGGGAAGAGGAAGAGGAAGAGGAAGAGGGAAAAGAAAAAATAGATCCCTCTCATCTTGAGTTGAAAATGGTCAGAAACAAGAACACAATGTATGAAGTATGCTTAATGCCAATTGGAATAAAACCTCAGGTACTTTGTAGAGGGGTAACAGGAGAAGATTAAAATGTATTAAGATGGCTCTTTGAATTTCCCATGACTTAAGTTGAGAAATGAAGTACTCTAAGGCTTACATTGCCTTTTTTTAAACCTAAGACACTAATAATTTTCTAAATGTAAATACTATATCAATTTGACAGAAGTAATGAGTAATTAGTTAAGAGGTTCTCAAACAAAGGGTGGTTTAATGACCAAAAGAAAAACTCTGGCCAGGCATTGTGTCTCATGCCTATAATCCGAGCACTTTGGGAGGCTGAGGCAGGAGGAGCACCTGAGGTCAAGAGTGTGAGACCAGCCTGGCCAACATGGTGAAACCTCCTCTCTACTGAAAACAAAAAATACAAAAAAATTTGGCCAGGTGTGGTGGTGGGCATCTGTAATCTGAGCTACTTGGCAGGCTGACGCAGGAGAATCACTTGATCACTTTGAACTCAGGAGGCAGAGGTTGCAGTGAGCTAAGATCATGCCATCGCACTCCAGGCTGTGCAACAGAGCCAGATTCCATCTCCAAAAAATAAAAAATAAAAAGAATGGAAGAAAGTGAGAAAGAAAGAAAGAAAAAAGAAAAACTCCATAGGTTGTAGTCCTCAGGAGATATTAGTATATCCTATTAAGAATTCACACCACATTTCTAAGCTGTATATATGTATTAATGAAGAAATCCGGTCTTCCATATGTTTTCCACCTTAGGCATGAAGAAATTGGAGGGAAGGAAAATATGTTTCCTAGTAGCTCTGAAGCCTCAGAAGGGAAAGGGGGTGATGTATTTTACAAAGACAATAATACTCAATCAAAGTAAAAATAATACTAATATATTGCTCTGCATAAAGAGTGGAGGTTGTACTTTTTAAGGGAGGAGAGGCAAAATATATGTAAGTGATTTGGTATTCTAGATTCAGTGAATATATCAGTATTGTGACAGTTGATACATATGCATATTATAAGTGTTAATAAAAAGAATGGGTGGTATTTGATGTGAAGTTTAATTATGTAAGTAAACATTTCTAATTGGAATTTTTGTGAATTTATTCATTTCTATGCTTATTATCTCATGTGACAAAAATATGTGTTTATGTTTTCCAAAAGCCTTAGTTATCAAAAGAAATTAATTCATAGTGACTTTGGTACTTGTAGAATATGTGTGTATATTATAGATCCATATTATAATGGAATGTGTGCCAATTCAAGTTATTATGCATTTTTAAGATTTTTATCAAAGCAAATAACACGTAAAAAATAAGTTGTACAACAGCCTGACCTAACCAACCCAACATACCTCCCAGTAAAATCCATTTTTTCACCTTTTCGATGTTTGTTCTCTCATAGTCATCTCCATAATTCTAAATAATAAGCTATGCTTTTATTATTTAATTTATCATATTTAGACTACTTTTTGGACTAAAGATGAACATTTAGCTTATTTACAATTACACATATTATTTGCCACCCAGTTTTAGATAGTTACCTTAATACCTTTAGCTTTTTCACTGATTATTTTATAGCTTTAAATAATACACCAGTGACCCTACATTTGCTTCCTCTTAAATTTTAGCTGTGTGTCTGAAGCTGCTCACTCTATAAGATGTTGCTATTAGCATTCTGTCATTCCATATATCTCACAATTTCTCCCCCTTTCCAACTTCTGTAATATATTATTTTTATATTGTCAAGGTTGATAATATTTTATGGTTTATAGTGGACATAATTAAGCTTTCAGTGTTTGACCTAAAGATTGCATCTAAAAATTGAAATCTACCAAAAATCCTCTAGGGAGTTATAAGCAATTAAATATTATCTCTGCAGAGCAAATTAGTACGGTAAGGTTTTGTTTCATTCTCGATGGGCTCAATACCATCATCTCTATACCACTCAAAGGATCCTAACATAAAGATCAAATGAATTATCTTTCCTATATACCATTAGTTAGTTAAATTGTGCCTCAGTTGGTTTAGTTGCTATCTGGAAACTGATGTCCTTGGGAGAGATTTTATTTTTAAATTTATAAAGGGTGCCTTTTTTTTTTTTTTTTTTACTTTAAGAAGTTTATCTCCACTTTTGCTTCTAAACAGATATGTTCCATTTAGATGAAATACATGGAATTCCTTTGATTTTCTTCTTGCCGTACACTGACTTCTTGTTCTAATTTGAATTGATAGTATTCTAGACTTAGAACTCAGTTCCCCTTCCGTCACTTGAAAATTCTTTTCTTACCGAGTTCCTGGCTTCATTCTACAATTTATTATATCATGTGCCTTCCTCATTCTTGCTTTTCAGCTTCATTTGCTGGAATTACTTAAAAAAAAAAAAAACTACTTGTTTACTTGGGTTAAATATAACAATGGAGCTTCTATGTTTCAAAATAGTTATCATGCGGATAATGGGGAGGCATTCAACTATTTTGAACTAATTTCTGTTAGAGTTGATAACAATTACCACAAAAACACCAAAAAAGCGAAGTAGCATGTCCTGTATTGTTGTTTAAGATAATATATTCAAGATAAACCCAGCTAGGAATATCAACTCTGTTGTGATAGTTGCCTTTCAGCCTAAAGTTGATCAATAATAAACTCTTTGGCAAGTGGAATTCATATTCCCGTGTGAACTGAAAATGATAAATAGTTAATAGCTTTCCTAGGGTCTTCTCTTCTGACACTTTTCAATGATTTCATCATAGTTTCAGAATAAAAGAATATAATTTATTCCAAGAGGCATGAAAATATTCAAGTACTATTCAGATAATTTTCTTAAGTTAGAAGTGTCTTAAGTTAGAAAAAAATATATGTTGCCTGTGCTATGAGAGAAAAAATGTCATTATGAAGTTATAAGCTATTCAAGCTATGGCAATCCCAGTTTTGAATATTTTATATGGCATAAAGCATGCTGAACTATTAAGATAATGAAGCCTCTATACTTTTAAAACAGTTTCTCACAAGTACATGGGCCTTTTTTCCATCTTCTGAAAAATTTACATTTATACAAAATAACCAAATTTATATTTATAATTTTGAATTTATACTTTGATTTTCCTCAGGGTTTTTTTAGATGTTGTACAGAATGGGCTGCATTTTTCCCAATTGCATTAGGGCTGATGCAAACAAGTTTCTCACTAGTTTAGACAAACAATAACTGTAAGATGACTGTAAGGCATATTAAAACACTTGAAACATTGAACAATCGTTAGTATTACATAGATATAGGCATATTGGTTAACAGAATAAATCAGTTTGTTTGAAAGAAACAACCTCTGGAGACTTTTCTGCCGATAATGTGAAGAGTCTGCTTAAACATTTAACAGAGATGGGCTCACTTCAATAAACATTTATTTTGGTATTCAGCATCTTTGGTATCCCAGACTCTAGACTGTTAGCAAAATATATAAAATGTACAAACCTAGGTCTCTATTTTTAAAGACCACATATCCAGGGTAACATCCAGAATCCTCATTTCTACACACAGCACACGAAACAGATGGTATTTACATACGGGGCAATTCTATAGACATATGCAATTCTAAACTCTTCCTCTCCTCCCACCCATTAATATAAGGCACAGGCACATAAAGATACCACACATTTTTGTTCAGTTTTGCTCCCTGGTGTGTGAATTTTTGTATGTCAATAAACAATGGTCACGTTGTGATAGGGATAACAATAAATCTATGAATCTCTTGCAATGATGCAATATATTAGGGGAAGATAGATTTGGGTTCAATATAAGGAATATTCTTATGACTGAGACTTTATAAAAATAAATTATCTTGCATTCAGACATAATTTAGATCATGCATTGCAACGCAGTGGTGCATTGCAATCAATTGGCATGGGTGTACTGGGTGGAACATTTCAACCAATGTTTGAAAATTCGTTTTAACCAATCAACCAATTGGTTAAAAAAACTGATACGGTTGGTTTTTCACAAATAATGTACAAACTTTTTGAAGACGAGTCACCATTTGGCTGTAACAGAGTGTTTACTTCTTACTATACTCTTCCCAAGTCTTTGGCCAAAAGCGGTGGGATGCTGGTAAGGGAAGGATGAGCAATATAAGTAGATACTATAGTAATTCCTCCTATTCGAGGCCCAGTGACATGGGGCACCTGTGCACCTTTGGCTCCTGAGATTTGCTTCTAGGAAGAAATATCAATTAGTGGAACAGGTGATGTCATATGGATAAGCAACTACGGCTTTATTACCTGCACTGACCTGACATTTTAATGCAGTACTTTTTATATATAATTTTAAATTTCATTGTCTCTTTATTTTCATGGCACAAATTCTTCCCCAAGTCATCTCCAGACTTGTAATGCTATTACCATGAGGAGTGCTCTCATTGCAAGAGCACCTGGGAATGGACTCTGTGCAGTTTTCCAAAACTTTAATTCTGCACTTTAAAATCCTTAGAGCAATGCAATGCAGTCCATAGTTTTGATTGCTTTCTTTTTACTTCTCTATAAGAGCTACATAACCCTTTCTGTATATATTAATTTGCTTCTCTTTTATTTTTCTCCCAGTTAAAATAGATGTCTTTCCTACATTTTTCTCTGAATTTCCCATCTGCTTGATATTGTCCACCCAACACACCTATGCCAGTTGATCACAAAGCACCACTGTGCTGCAATGCATGATCTAAATTACCACGTCTGGACACAAGATAATTTATTTCTATAAAGTAGCCGTCATAAGAATATTCCTTATATGAAACCCAAATATATCTTCCACTAATATGTTGCATGAGACCAAGTTTTAAAGTCTCAGGTGATACACATGTACATGATTAGCCTTCAACTATAATTTGAAAAAGAGCTATCAAATATTATCTTAATTATGTTTCTAAATTCCACAAAACCATGTTTTGAGGCATTAAATGGGATGTAAGCAGCTCAGCACAGTGTCTGACACAACAAATGTCCCCAGTGATAGCAGCTAATTGTTATCATGGTCATTATTATTTATTATTATCATCATTATCATTAGCACTACTGATATGACTACTAGTACTAGGACTCTGATTACATCTGATTTCACAAAAAAAAAAAAAAGAAAAGAAAAGAAAACTCACATTACTGACTCCCGGTAAGTCTATAGTCAGGAGGAACCCTTTTTCCCCCACATATTAACTGCTTTATTCTAAGGCTTTTCTTCAAGTAAAAATGCCTTCCATCACAATCAGCTTATTAACATTTTATTTAAAAATCTTTCAAACCATTTTTTTGTCCCATGCACCAAACCAACTGATTTACTGGCCCTAAATGGAATTAGTTGTTTGACATTATGGGGGTATCATGAGGGTATCATGAGCTTGACTATCTCATTTTATCCCTCCTTTATATATAAGAAGTAAGATATATATATATATATATATATATATATATATATATATGAGTATATCTGTGTGTGTGTGTATTTATACAAGCTCAACAGTCAAGCTATAATGGTGATAGTCAAGCTCTCTCTATATATAGACACACACACACAGATATATTCACCATTATAGCTCACTGTTTCCATGGAATAGCCTGAAAAAATATATACATATGATGTCCACATAGGCATCATGTTCCAACCTTAACTAGATAACGTATATTCTCAAAGATATTATTTTTATCATGTCTGCACATCACTAACAAAAATAATTGGTTGAATCCTAAAATAAGTTAATTTACTCAATGAGAAATTAAATTTACTTAAAGAGAGGACGAGAGGAGGAAGCAGTCAAACTTACTCAGCTTGCCTTAGAAACATAAAATTAGAGAATACTAACAATGCAGATAATATTTTTCCTTAAATTGTTATCATCTCAAGTTTATATAACTTTCAGGAAATATGTCATATCAACAAACATTAAGCAAACCCCTTTCTTTTCTGCCTTAATTGGATCAACCTGAACTGAAAATGCTGCTACTTTCTTGCCATAAATAACTGATTATTGTTAAGTGCCTATTATATGCAAAACAAGTAATATTTAAAGAAATATATCTGATTAGTTGGCATCAAAAGGCAAAGATAGAACAAGGAAGCATTTGTGTGCTGAGCAAGTGGTAGGCACAGGAAGTACTTAGCTCAGAGGATAAAAGCATTCTGATGTGACTGGGATAAGACAAACATTCAGTGAGTAAGCAAAAACATGATTTACATTCAAAATTTCCTGCCTACTCTTTAACTGTTATTTTTATTACTCTTTGATGCGGTCCTTTTTATCCAAGAAAGGCACTTGCTCTTACACTCCCTCTCATAATGACATAAGCCTTTTCTCCGTGCTATTCATCCACTTGAATATCTGCATAAGCCAATCCTCACTTCCCTTCATTCTGCCAGACCTTCTTCAAAATTCAGGACAACATGCATCCTTTTCAGGAAACTTCATATAGAAGTCTGCTGGCACTTTCCTCTTGTATCTCAGGGAGAGGGCAACATCTGCCCCTGTCATTTACATCTCAATTTAATGGCATGCCTTATTCATCTCTTGAGCCTAGCATCTGACTATCTGGGAAATCTAGCCCCAGAGCATGCCTGATGAGTCCTGTTTTGGTTAAGGCAGCCAGACCACATTTCCAGTTCTAGATTCACCACTTCTTGGCTTCTGCTTGGATGGGATATTTAACTTCTCTGAGGCTTAGTTTCTCCATCTATAAAATGAGCATAATCTAATCATTATTGTAGGATTCCCAGAAAAACTAAAATAACAGGCATAAAATACTTCCTATAATACCTGGATTATAGCAGATAGTAACAGCCAATAATACTATGATTAGAATGAATGAATACACTCTCCGATGTTAGTCATATATGTATTAGGACCATTTTTGTCTTTCAAGCTTCCTACTGATACATGCATCTTATAAGATTGATCTCTCTCTCTCTCTCTCTCTCTCTCAACCTTTTCCATTCTTTTCATTGTGTCTGTTATCAAGATAAGCATAGTATAGACTCCCTTCGGTCAGAGCCCTTCTTCGTTTCCAGCTCTGTCCCTTTTCATTCAAATGCTCTTCTACTCTTACAAAACAACCAATGGAGAATAAAAGTCGCCATCCTCCAATGATTCTAATTAAATGGATTTCTTTTGTCTTGCAGACTATAGTTTCTGCCATTCATTTTTATCTGGTATATTACAACCAAAATAATATTTTGTCATGTCTTTCTTTATACTATTCATTAAGAATGAGGTCTGTGACTAAAATATATTCGTCTAATTCTACCTTTATTCTTTTTCTGTGATGACATACAATACAAACTTTCAATTCAATGAATATATATTGTTAATGGAAAACCTAATTTGCTCTGTGAGCAGCTTTCTCTTGTGCTCTCTCCCTTCCTTCCTTCCTTCCTCCCTCCCTTTCTTTCTTTTCTTTCTTTCTCCTTCCTTCCTTCTTTCTTCTCCCTTCTTCATCTATCTGTTTACTTTTCTGTTCAGATTTGAGCCAACAGTTTCTTGGGTAGATGACATTGAGGGAAGGAGTAAGGAAAAAGTTGGCATGATCTCTGAAAGTTTGCCTATCCTTTCTCAAACTGAAGGATTTTTTTTTTTATGATGCTGTTCTGAATACCTTGAAAAATTGGGGAAGATGCAATGAGTCAGTCAATTAACAAACTGTCTTAATTTCTCTACTAGAAGAAAAAATGGATATTTAGCTCTGTCATCAGACACTCTGCACATCATTTCTTCTTTAAGTGTGATTTTCTTAAGTAATCTGTTTTAATAGAGCCGATTAATATATTAATGGATTGTGTGAAGGCAGGAACTATGATAATTTTGAGAACACTAACCTACCACACCTTTTCCATGTTAAGCAACTCAAAACATGTTTGATTGCTGCTTGTTGAGAATCTTGTAAATGTTTCTCTTAATTTGTTCATAAGGACTAGCTTTTTTATCATTATTATTCTTGTCCCTTTATGAAAAGTGCTTATTGAATGCTAAATTATATTATGATGGGTTAATTTTGATATGGGAAAATAATTAGTTTGAATTCCCAGATCTTTGTTATTTGCTTCTTACTCATCAATTGTTTATCTGATATTATGGATGTTAATGGTAAAAGAAGTTTGTAATGTGCCTGCATCAATTACCTTAGGACTCAAATATGTTGACTGTAGATTAACTTAAACATTTGAACACAGCTAATGTCCCTAAGAGACAGTATTATCAATTTTTCCACATGACATAATATATGTTATCATAATAAGAAAGTAAATGTTCAGTGTCTACACGATTACTTTACCTTAAGCAATTTTTTAAACTTAAATTTAAAAAATAATAAACAGTACTAATGTAGTTACAGATTTTGAAGTCCAGGTCATAAACAAGCAGTTCTTTGTTTTTAAAATTCAAGTAAGATCTAAAAGTATGCTCTTGCCTGAAATCTCAGCACTTTGAGAGGCCAAGGTGGGTGGATCACTTGAGTTCAGGAGTTCGAGACCAGCCTGGCCAAAGTGGTGAAACCCCATCTCTACTAAAAATACAAAAATTAGCCAGGCATGGTGGCAGGTGCCTGTAATCCCAGCTACTTGGAAGGCTGAGACACGAGAATCGCATGAACCTGGGAGGCGGAAGTTGCAGTAAGCCGAGATAGTGCCTATGCACTCCAGTCGGGGCGACACAGCAAGACTCCGTCTCAAAAAATAAAATGAATAGAAGTGTGCTGTCATCTGAATATTATGCTCCTTACAGTTTCCAAAGCAACTTTTTTAACTTAGAAAAACTGGTGTTTAGTTTGTATTGAAGAAATATCATAAATGCTTTTATGAGCCTAAGAGAAATCACATACACTAATAAATAAAGAGCTTCTTACTTGCCAAGTACAGTTGGGGCCCACTTATACATATTTGATTAGAGTAATTCACTGCCCATCTCTTAGTCTGCAATGACCCTGTTGTAACATGGGATAATTTTAATAAGGAAGACAGTCACAAGTTCATCAAAAGCAGTTTTCCCTCACATTTTTATCCAAATTGTATTATGTGGTCCACATGTCAGTCAGAGAGCAGGAAGTCAATGGCTGGGATTTGGAACACAGGTTAATCTTTCCAGGCTCTGTGAGGCCATGACATTTTCAAGTGTAACAGAATGGAAGCTTCCTGGCCTGAAACGACTAATTCATCTTCCCAGTACACACAGGTGGGGACAGGCCAGATTTCGATTTCATAGTTCACATTTTTCTAATGCAGGAAATTGATAAGCTGTTTTATCTTCACCATGTAAATGTACTGGTTTAAGAGATTTTCTTGTCTTTTCTCTCTTTTAAAATGGTAATACTTGCATTGTGTGGGATTTTGTCTTTTACACACATGTTTAATGTTTGCTTTATAACATCTTTTAGATTTACTTTGTAAAAATTGTCATATATGTAGAATGACCATAAAATTTATCTGATTGGGAGATTTTGAAGATGAAAAAGAGGGAGGCTGGTACAAAAAAGTTTTCAGACCATGGTGTAAATCATGACCATCCCAGGCAAGCTAAGACACCTACTTACCCTTTTGTGATAACAATTAGCCATCTGAAGCTAAAGTGATCTTGGAATGGCTCAAATGGGGGAAGGTAGCTCTACCCTTTACTACCATCTATTTATCCCCTTCATTCTAATGAGATTTCAATGCCTTAAGCTGTCTCAGAGGAATACAGATAAAAAATCCATAGTGATTTCTAATCTATTAATATATATTCAACTCATTTAATTTGATTTATTTATTGCTTTTCTATTTTTTTGGAATAACTTTACCTCAATAGAAATAGCATAATGTGAAAATATTTAACATTACTCAAAAATCTGTGTGTAGTCACTGACATACGATAGCCACAGAATCTTGAACAGTTTCATAAACATTTATCCACAGGATAGTAACTCTAAAATTCCACAGTTCTTGGATTCCAGTTTTATGGCGTCAAGTTTAGTAAAACTGTCTGTCGTACCTATCTGCACTGTAGTTGAAGCACAAAATGTTTCCATTTTTCTTCCTTCTGGTGGTCACAAACAAAATGAAACTTGTGGATTTGCATTTAAAATTTTCATGTATTGTAAACTGAAAATGAGATACAACAACTATCTCATCTCCTGGGCCTTTACCTAATGAAGTAAGATTTATTTTCTGAGCTAGTTAAGGGTTGACCACTCTGTGTAATGTAACTCACTCAATGAAAGGAGGAAGTTGTTACTTTCATTTTTACTTATTTGTTTCTGATACATAAATAATGAAGGATGTTCCATGGAATGGATGCCTACTGGTGACCCATATTTAGGTGTCCTTTACAGTCTCCAGGAGTTGTTAGTCAAATATGCTGGTACAGGAGAGTTCACTGTAATCTCAGGTCATAGTAAAATGAATGACCATGTCAACTCCCATAGCACACTCATCATCGTAGCCAACGGGTATTGCCTGGTACTCTGCCATTACCAGCTGGCACTGATCACTGAACTCCTTGTAACTGTGAGCATGTACTTGGGGAGAAATCAAAGTCTCTTCTCCAGAACACATAGCTTCCTTTGTTCACCACAGCCTTATCTTATATGTGTAGACTGCGTGTGAAGGCAGACTCAAGAGTACTTTCAGAACAGTAGATACTGTGGAGGGTTGGGTACCAAGGGACCTTCTAAAGGAATGTGCCAATGAGGTCTGACGTGCTACAGTTTGCTCAAGAATAATCATGTCTGCAAGGAGTACCTGTTATTTGCTCAATGTTGAAGCTGAATAAACAGAGGGTTTCTAAAATTAG
This sequence comes from Homo sapiens, assembly GCF_000001405.40. Lineage (NCBI taxonomy): Eukaryota > Metazoa > Chordata > Mammalia > Primates > Hominidae > Homo > Homo sapiens. Next base: position 76,566,303 of record NC_000003.12, read on the forward strand.
AATCATCTGGGCTGTGAAGAGAGCACATGTAGAGAGGCAGATGGAGGCACACCCCAGAGGCCTTACGGTCTCCCTAGTACATCACTCACTTTCACACCAGGGATTTCCTCGGGCTTCTGTGTCCCTTAGGCCTGAAATACTGTCTGGAATCCCTACTTTCTCTTTTCTATTGCTCAAAACACTGTATCTTGAGAAACTCTCAAGTCACCCTAATCAGAAGTAGAAATCCAATAAAGAATCTAGTTTAGTTTTTAAAATGCATATGCTCTTCACTAAGAGTAATTCTATTATAAAATAAAAGATGCACCACAGTAAAATAATACCAATGGCTTTACTTGTAACAAGTTCTTTTAGTCATTAATGTTTACAACTTACAGCCTAACAGCATGCCAAAAATCATTGCCATAGAGTGAGGGAAAGAAGGGTGGAGAGGAAGAGAAGTGGGAAGAAAGAAGAAAGGAAAAAGAGAGGAAGAAAAAGAGAGAGAAATAAGTAAAAGGAAAAGAAGAAAAGAGAAAAAATCTCTGCATAACTTCAGCATCCTCATCAGATGAAACAACAGCCCAATTCTGCAGGCATCTCTCAAAATATTTCACTGTGGCACACAGAGATTCCTCCATGGGAAGGAACTAAGTCGCAGAGGCAGTAAAACTCAGCTACCTTAAAATAAATTTATTAAAGCATTTATATATTTATCCATGGGAAAGAAAAAGTCTAAATCAGCTACCTTTAGGAGAATATATTAAACTAATTAGTCTTAACACCAACACAGCAGGGAAAACCAAAATAAAGCTGTGATCAGCAAATAAGCAAACCCCACAGTGGAAAACGAAGACGTGAGATAAGGAAAAGGCAAAAGTCCACCATTTTAAAAAGGAGGAAAAGTAGCAATAACCTTGAAGAAACAGCCAATCTTATATTTCCTGAAAATGGCATGATTGTGTATTCAGGAGAAAATATTTATTCAGCATGTTGGTTTACTTACGAGCATTCTATTTTGTGTTTGTGATTTTTGACATCATATTCATACATTTCATATCATAAGTCATTCTTTTCAATGCCGTTTAATACCCTGCCAGTGCTACATGTATCTTATTTTGGAAATGTAAATATCTTGGTTAGTTGTTTAATATCTTAGGTATCATGAAAATAGCTCAACATATTTTTTTCCTTTACTTAGTAATTGAAACTCCAAATTTCAGAATTTCATTTAGAGCTGACACTGAAAATATCCAGGAAGGGAATGGTTTCTTACTGCTACATAGGAAGAAAAGAAAATGTTCACATTAGGCTATATTTATGCTATACCAAACTACTGATATATATATATATATATATATATATATATATACACATACACATATATATACATATATATGTATATATATATGTATATCAGTGTATATGTGTATATATATATGTCAGTATATATATACTGTTTTATATATATATATATCTGTCTGTGTGTGTGTGTGTGTGTGTGTGTGTGTGTGTGTATATATATATTTTTTTTTTTTTTTTGGGGGGGGTTGGACAGAGTCTTGCTCTGTTGCCCAGGCTGGAGTGCAATGGGAGGATCATGGCTCACTTCAGCCTCAATCTCCCGGGCTCAGCTGATCCTCCCTCCTCAGCCTTCTGTGTAGCTGGGACTGCAGGCACATACCACCACGCTCAGATAATTTTTGTATTTTCAGTAGAGACGGGATTTCACCATGTTGCCCAGGATGGTCTCAAACTCCCGGGCTCAAGCGATCCACCAGCCTTAGCCTACCAAAGTGCTGGGATTGCAGGCATAAGCCACTGCACCCTGCTTACATAAATGTAAAAACATTTGAACAATAGGGGTGCCTGCATAGTATTCAACTACTAGTACAATTTCTTGCTAAAATCTGAACTGGTCACTTTCATCGACATCTATTTTTATTTTCTCTGGTATTCTTATGTGTCATTTTTAGGAATATGAAATAATTCACACTGCTTTTCTTTTTTAATTTAATTTTATTTATTTATTTTGAGGCGGAGTCTCGCTCTGTCACCCAGGCTGGAGTGCAGTGGTGCGATCTCGGCTCACTGCAAGCTCCGCCTCCCGGGTTCACACCATTCTCCTGCCTCAACCTCCCGAGTAGCTGGGACCACAGGCGCTGCCACCACGCCCAGATAATTTTTTTTTTTTTTTTGTATTTTTAGTAGAGACGGGGTTTCACCGTGTTAGCCAGGATGGTCTCGATCTCCTGACCTCGTGATCCACCCGCCTCGGCCTCCCAAAGTGCTGGGATTACAGGCGTGAGCCACCGCGCCTGGCCACATTGCTTTTCTTAAAGAAGGTTTTTATTTCATTAAGAGAAATTCTGGTAGTATTTCTGCCATCCCACCTATTACAGTCATCATTAAAGCATAATCAAGATTATTTTAAGAATCTGTGAGATATATTGTACCTTATTTATTTATCACCAGCCCCTTTTCTAAATTTAATCTGAATCATTTTCTCTTTGATTTGTCACCTCTTATCTAATAGATTTTACTGTATTTTACAATATGCAGACCCATAGCATTCTATGTTCTACTAAATGATGTAAATATATTTTAGAATTGATATGTAAAACCTGCAACTAAATCTGCAACTAAATAAATGTCATAAACAAGTAGTCCCTATGAGTAACAAGAATTCAAAGTGCTTCCACATAATGCTGTTTAATATTTAGATCATTTAGATATCGATTATTCAATGACTTGATATAGATATAAATCTCTGTATGTATTATGGGCCTTTTGAAGATGGGTTATTGCATGGATCTTCTCTGCATGATAGACACCCATCTATATTTTCTAACATCATAAGTTAAACATGATCATCAAGACTGAAGACAGTTTGGAGACAGGTACAAAGCCACAATCTCAGTCTAAAACAGTTGGGCCAATTGTGTTTCAGTTCAGAAGTTTTCTGGGTCTAGAACAATAAGGGATGCATATACTAGATGTTATAGAACATATACATGTGGGCATCTGGATAAGCACCAGCTAATTAAAAACAAATGTTCCTGTTCAGCAAAATAATGAGTGTTTATAAAAATATAAAATATAATTACATATCTTCATATCAATTGAGATCAAGGCTTGTCGCTGACTTAGTTTGAGTCAGGCCAGGTTTTGCCACATAGAGAATTGTATGGGAAAAACATCAGATTTCAGAGACTTTAGGATTGTGAAATTATAAACAATGAATTATGCACATATACTAGTTTTACTATATATGGAGGTAAAAGGGAGGTATTTGTTGAATACTTGTGATTCAGTAATATTTTAATAAAATGTACCTTTGTTAAGTTGTATAATCCTCAAAATGGGCCTTGTGATGTATGAGTCATTATATCTAGGTAACATAGTCAACTCAAAAGTAGAACCATCCTTGAGAATCCAGCTCTATTCCCAAGTCCTTTCCAACTACCATTATAGCCACCCCATTCTGCGAACACTTTCACTTGGTTGTATTTCTTTTATGCTTATTAAAGGACCCAGAACAGCATTGAGATTCCAATAAGCAGCCAGGTGCAGTGGCTCACACCTGTAATCCCAGCACTTTGAGAGGCCAAGGCCGGAAGATTGCTTGAACTCAGGAGTTCAAGACCAGCCTGGGCAACATAGGGAGACATTGTCTCTAATAAAATTAAAAATAATGATAATAATTAGCTGGGCATAGTGGGGCATGCCTGTAGTCCTAGCTACTTAGGAGGCTGAGGTGGGAGGATTGCTTGAGCCCAGGAGATCGAGGCTGCAGTGAGCTTGATCATGCCTCTGAACTCAAGCCCGGGCAACAAAGCGAGACCCTGCCCCCAAAAATAAAAAATAAAGATTCTAATAAGCACTCAGTAAATATCAACTGTTGGTCAACTACTGATAGCCATTGGATAGTTCTGGGCTCCAATGGAGCTATTGCTTTTTTCCAGTCCAGTTTTGACTAGATCCACAGGGTAAGTAAGCCAGGTTTAGAACAATAAGGTTTATGGTGACTTCACAAACTGTTAATGCATCTGTGGCATACTTAAAACAGAGAGGATAAATCATAGAAATAACTTAGTCTAGACACATTTAAGTAAATTTACACATAAACTTAATGGGATGTAAAAAATAACTCGTACATCTAGAGCGCTTTAAAATAACTCAATTATCAAATAGTAAAAATGAGCAAAACATATTAACCATATAAGGAGCTTTTAAAAGCACACAATCTTTTAAAATAAAATCAATGTGTTGATTTAAAACAAAAGCTTTTTAAGGAATTTTTACTTAGAATTTTGTGCAAACTGCAACTTTTCATCTATTTGCTAAGCTTTTTTTAGAGCTCCCTCTACTGTTCAAATATGAACATGCTCATTGAAATTTAAGGAAGGTAATCTGGTTTAGAAACATACAGGCTGCTGAAGATTTACATTAATAACTTGTGCAAGAATCGTCAAAAATGTGAATTTTCTGCTCTTTTTACTTAAAGTCATCCATCTAGTTTTATAGCCCTGCTCCTCAAATAAGAAAGAAAATATCTCTGTTGTACATCTTATGGATGCATAAATGTTATTTTCAGAATTCTACCTCTCTCCTGACTTAATCAGGAAATATCTGTTAATTTTCTTACCATTTCATGTATGACAAAACTGTATCATACAGAATACAAGAAAAAATGTTCTAAAACTTATGTAATGAAGATTAAAGAAGTCTTAAAATATCATGTGCTTCATAACTCCGGAAGATGAGAGATCATATTTGCACAGGTGATATGAAATTATGTAAGGTCTTTTTATCTCTAGCATGTATAACTCACAGTTCCTGTGTGAGTTAAATAAATATTAAGTATTATGCAGTATTATTGAAAAGAAACCAGGAAATACTAATACAGCATTCAATTAACAAAAGAAAACATTCTCAAAGCCAGATTTGTATGTGTAGGTCATGTTACTTGTTAGGAGATAAGATTTTACCAGAATACATGTAGTGAGTGGTAATGTTTCATTTTATTGGGAAAATGTGTAAATTTCAGATTGTTCTTTGTTTGAAATAATATACAGAATTTTTCCAACTCTGATTAAATCACAAACAATAAAATATAGGAAGCCATAAAATATCTTTTCAATAAAATTACCAGAGTAAATATGAGACCTAGAGGTTTTTATACCAAGATACTGAGAAACAAACCAGTAGTTAACTTCATGAGATAGAATTATCAAAGTGTAAAACTCCAATTAAGATAATGGTAGAGTTTATTAATTTAATAAATCAAGAGACAAAGAACAATATAATTCATAGGAGTTAGGTAATAACATACAGTAGTTACATATTTCTCTAATGAGTCCCAAATTCATATTTAACATTACATAATTAATTAGCCAGGAAGTACTAAGACTGTTTAAGTTAAATTACATTATTAGTTTGTAGAAATAGAAGGTAATTTCTAGCTGATTTCTCCATTTTATGTACAGGAAAAAAAATGTCACATTTTAGAAGGCTGATTTTTTAAAACCATCTTCCGTATTGCACTGCGTATTTAAAATGTACTGAAATGAAAATAATGGAAGTAAATTACTAAAGGCAGACCATTCTAAAAGTGTTGAATTTTGAGGTGGGAGGATCACTTGAGCCCAAGAGCTCAAGTTCAGCCTGGATATCATTGATGTATTCTGAAGATTTTGGAAAGTCTAGATATGCAACTATATCCTCTAAAATGTAGTCATATAAATGTTATAACACCTTAAGAAGTGATATTATACCTGAAGTATTTGATAGAAATGCTTTCTATAAATAATATGTGGCACTTACTATGTGTCAAAGACTGCCATAAACACTGTAAGTACAAATTTATTGAATCCTTTTAGCAGGGCAGTACTATCACTAACCCCATTTTAGAGAGAACAAAACTGAAGCACAGACAGGTTTTAAAAAATCTAAGATCCTGAGCAGCTAGTAACTAGGGAAGCTGATATTTAAACCTGTGCATCCAGCTTCAGACCGGATACCTTTAACCACACCATCATCATCATCTCTCTCTACTTGTGCCTGAGGTAGGGTGGTTGTTTTTCTCTTCCTTTTTTGTTTTTGTCTTTGTTTGTTTTTTAATGAAATCATGGGGTTGGAACTGTATCAGTTTGAACTAGGAAGTGAGTCCTGGTGCTAACTGGAGGAAGCTAAGAATTGTATTCTCCATCATCGACATTTAGTCAAAATGCTATTTACTTGAACAGTGTGCTCAAACAATGCATAAACAGATTAATCTGATTTCTAAAAACCTTAAGGAGTCCTTACTTCCCACCTATAGATATTCTTATGTCAAAATGAATACGTCAAAAAGTATGTAAGTCTCTGAGAATGACTGCAAAGCTTGGGGCATAAGTATAGATTGACATCCTTCAGGAGGACTCCACAACTTTATTCTGAGTCACAGATTGATGTATGCTCAAAAATGTTAAGCATTGCAAAAGGCAAATTCTAGCCCCTTGAGGGAATATTGCAAGTAGCATCTCCATCCACACTTACCTATTTCCATAGACTTTGTCCATCATAGTCCCGGGACACACTGAACTGGGTTATTCCTTAAACATGCTGTGCAGTCTTGGAATGCTATGTGCCTAGCTTCTGTCCCAGGTCTTTTGCTACTGACAGCATAAACTTCTCTTCCTTCTTTTGCTTTTTGGGGTATCAGCCTCTTCATTTGTGTAGTAGGAATCCAGCAAACAAAAAATGTTGGTTTTTGTTGGGCTCATTTTTTAAGGATTGAATTAATTTTAATTAGTTAGTTTAGCACTTCCACGTTGCCTGGGACAGGTTAAGTATCAACTCTCCCTTGCTTTTGTGTAGCGAAAAGGGCATGGATTTGAGGTCAAATAGATCTGGATTAGGATCTCAATTCTTTTTTTGTATCAGCCATGTGATTTGGGCAATTTCCCTGATATGTCTAAGACTCAGTTTCCTCTACAAAAACTGGGGTTGATAATAGCTACATAACAGAGTGGTTTTAATAAATCAATTTTAAAAGTATCTCAAAGTGCCCTTTTGAAGTTCAATCAGAGCATTATCAAACTAACCCATTTAAGAGTCAGCTGGTGCTCTAAGGAATTGCAACTTTGTTTGATTTACTATTTACTATCGATTAGAACCATACTGTAAAGTTTCATGTTAATTTTGTGAAGATTGACAAATAACAAATGTTTTCTGTCCCGTGGAAAAAATAGTTTTCAATTTTTTTTTTTTTTTTGCTTATAGGATGTTAACCAATCTTATATCTAATTTTGTAACATGATTCCAGAGATTTATTTTTCTCCACTGACTCTATATTTGGCAGCCTATTACTTTTTTGAACCAGCATTATCATCCTGCTAGTTCCCTTAATAATTTATATAGTTTTAAAATCTTTGATGAGGGCTCATCATATCTACTTTTAACTTTGCACAGTTTCATAGGAGCAGCTAAGTACCTGCAGAAGAAGCATTTGGTGGCCTCATTCCTTGGGCACTTTTTGGAATGATCCACCGCATGGGGAAACTCTTGCTCTCTTCACTGCATGAAATGTTCTTGAGTAACATTTCGTCCTATTATCCCAACCATCCTCCTTGGCCTAGTTTAAATGCTTTCTCCTTCAGGAAGTCTTACTAATTCTGCAAATCAGAAGTGACTGCTCTCTGCGTTCCCATAGCATTTTCTTTGTCATTGAAATTAATCATGGTTATTTGTGTATGTGTCTTAACTCCCCTGATGAACTAGAGTGTATTTGAGAGCAGAGATGTTATCTTGTTCATCATTTAATACACATTATTTTCCGTCCTGTGCTTTTCCCTAGCATACATAGAACAATAAATATCTGTTTATTAGAATTAAGCATGAAAAACTATGAAATAAACCAATTAAACTGATTAAAAAGTCAAAATAATTCAGGTTTGTGTGAATGAGTATAACAAAATCAGGTAAATAATCACCAGTAAAATATAGAAAATAGAAAAGTATAGAGGTGTTTCATTAGATAACCACATAAATTTATAAAGCTCTTATTACTTATAGTTAAAATAATTGGAAAAATATCCTAAAAAGTAAACCCATTCTGGAGATCATTCTCTTTATGTAGCATACAACTTTGAATCACATAAAAACTTTCAATGATGTTAGCAGGAGTCAGCTTCTATACCTAAAACAGTATTCCCTTTAGAGCTTTAAGTTTTAGAACAATATAAAGAAAACCTTTTAATATTGATTGCCAAGAACAAATGTATCATCACTGACAGGGTGATATATGGTAAATCACATATCTTATGCACATGAGTTTTTCTGCCTGTAAAATGAGAGTATACCCACTTCCTATCATAGAGAAACATTATGAATGTGAGCTAGGCTAAATCTCCCTGAGCTTCAAGGAGAATGAACTAAATACATCTGTGAAATAGAACCGGGCTTCTCAAACTTTAATGTGTAAACACCTCACTGGGGAATCTTGTTCCTGTGCAGATTCTGATTTAATATCTCTAGACTGAGCCTAAGATGCTGTGTGATCTCATAGGCTCCCAGGTGCCGCCAGTGCTGCTGGTCCATGGACAGTAATTGGAGGAACAAAATTAAAAACCTATTTAAAAACTGTCCTTCCTCTTTGAATGTTGATTGCCTTCTATCTAGCCTTTCAAAATTTGCCCTTATCATTCTATAAACTTGTTAAGGAAGTGAAAAGACATTTTTCTATTTCTTGCTCAGTGAAACGGAGAGAAAACAGAAAAATGTTTGTTTTAGATATTAGCCCTCTTCCTGATTTTGGAAAACATCCAAAAAAATTAACTATTTTTTAAGAGATAGGGTCTTGCTAAGTTACACAGGCTGGACTTGAACTCCTGGGCTCAAGAAATCCTTCTGCCTCAAAAACTCAACATTTTTACAATACCTTGATAATTCCCATTCTTTCCATTTCTGTACAGTTTTAATATGCAGTGCAACATGGAAGATGATTTAAAAATGGAAAAATTTTGGAGGTAAACTCTAATACTTTCTTCTCTCCTAATACTATAAAATATTTCTTTATATTACTAATATTTATAGTTAGTACATAATGTTTTATCAGAGCCCAAAATTATGTACAGAATTTTCATAATATTAAAACAACTGACCATGTAATTTCATGGTACCCTATAATCACCATGCTAATTATACGGTTTTTGAAAATGTTCAAACTGGTTAGCAAGGAATTATAAAATGACATTTTACTTGTCATAGGCAAGTATTTTTGTCTCTTTGGAGGTAGAAGTATGAGACAATAAATTTGAGAGAGACCTTCCCCCTTTTGGGCCAAAAAATACGACTTGTTCTCTATAGAAAGACAAGCAATTCATTCTTTATCTTTCTTTCCAAAGGTTAAAGAAATATTTCTTTTCTGTTCATACCTATAACTTGTCCAAACCAAATGCTAATATGTAGGGGCAGTTCTTTTAAAATTCATATTTTAACCTGCAAAATGTCAATCATATAACCATCTCCACAATAAGCCCCTCAGTAAAAGAGCTAAAGAAATTTAATTTAGTTGAGTTTTTAGATTTGTGGAGAGAGAGAGAGGATTTTAGTGACTGCCTCTCATTTTGCTTAGAATATGCTATCATTTTTTTTAGAGTAAGGTGCTCTCAAGTTCTTAGTGCAAGGAGTAGAAGAATTTACAATACATTAAAATAAATTTTAAAATTGGAAGAATTTCAGTATAAAGTGGATTCTGCATAAACATATATTTAGGGGAATCTGATTGGAATTTCACCACTGAGAAAATTCCATAAGTGTGTTAATTATACAGTTATTCTAATTCCATGTTTGGCATATGTTTAATTAACTGAAGGAATTACTATATTTTAAAAGTAGCTGTCATGAGAAGCAGCATGGTTCATGTTAACTTTTGTTGAATTTCTTAGCAAACACAAATATAACATGCCAGTAATAATGTAATAACATGCAGTAGCCACATCATACACTGATATGAGCCCTTCTTCAGAGCCATGGGCGGCAAAAGTGTCAGCATGACTGACTTTATTAAGGTGCCTCTTCACATGGAGGATTGATTGATGGATGATATGATACTCTCACTACTGGCAATTCTTGAATGCAACCGTCTTGAGACTGTGACCCTATATAAGCTTTAAATCCAATCAGTTTGTTCTCTTTAATCTAATTTTCTAGCTCTGCAAAGCATCCCATTTTGTCAGTAGACCCCATATCACTGGTGTACTATTGGTATAATCACAAATCAGGTGGCCTACTTTTTGCTGAGGTTTTAAGAGCTTCCAAAAGCAGATTGAGAATATATGTTTATTTTTAAAATCTCATTTTTTAAAAAAGTATTCATAACACTTTACCCTTTGTGTTTTGTTTATTATTTTTACAGTTTAAATCATTTTCTTTCTTTTTTTTTTTTTTTTTTTTTGACAGAGATTGCACCACTGCAATCCAGCCTGGGTAACAGGAGTGAAACTCCGTCTCACAAAAAAAAAAAAAAGAAAAGTAAAAAAGAAAATGAGAGTATTATTTTTCTTTTCTGTAATCTAACAATTCCTTGATAATTATTCTTCAGTAATTATTCTGACTAAATCTGGAATTGGCACTTTCACATTTCCAGGGACACTATACCTTGTAAATCGTAAGTAGTTTTCCTTGGAAGAAAGGAGGAAAGGAGAGGAATAGGGAAGAAGAGGAAAGGAGGAAATAAAACATGACTTCTTTGTATCTATCTCAGGAAGACTAAAAGCAGTCTGTTAATATTCTTTATAACAGAAGCATTGGGGCAGATCTCTCCTGGCTGGATTTTTGGTTTGAGGCTTCATACACAATCAGAGCAGAGCATAATTGTTAGAGAACAAATCTCTTGTACATAACACACCTTGATATGTTGCTACATGGTATCTTTTTTAAATGTAAAAACTACATATCTCATTTTTTAGGAAATAATACTTTGAGGAAGATTGCCTCAAAAATCTATCAGCAAATTAAAAAGATGCTTCTTTTTTTTAATTTTCTTTATCCTCCATACCCAGCTCCATAATAAATTGGGAAACATAATTATTTTGTGGTTCTGTAAGCAATGACCTTACACAGCTTTCCCTTGGAAACTAATAAACTTTGCTGACATGGGACAAATTCTCAAAATTCTACTCTATTTTTGTACATGTTATTGTTTACACCATCCTAGCAGAAACTGTCCAAATCAAAGAGTCAAGCATATTGTCTTTAATTAACACTGTTGAGTTGTTAGCATGTCCAAAAGCAGTTTATACATGCTTCAATCACACCTGAAATGTAGCCAGTGACACCACAACATGAGTAAGTGCTTGTATTTAATCAAATTAGAAGCAATTTAACACTTTCTAGGGGAACTGGGGAAGACATCTGAATTGAGGATTTCGATTTCTGCAGTATTTGGATTTAGAAGTAAAAACCACTAGCATTTATTTGGGTAATCTCAAACCTTATCATAATCCCTATATAAGGGATTACTGCCGTTATTAATATCTGAAGAATCATTCACAAGTGATGAGATAAGAAATAGGTCCAGTCTCATTAAGACACTTCAAAAGCCAACAAAGAACTGGCCTTTTGTCTAATAATGTCCAGTCCCTCTACATATGTTTTACATCGCTTTTCTCCTGCCTTCCTTCCCATGCACTTCATCTGTTGTTTCCATTCTGTTTTAACTTTCAAATTTCCTTCTCTACTACTCTAATACAAAACTAGTGTTTTGCCAATTAATAAGAGCAAAGAAAAGAGTCAGGTTGTTTAAAACCTGACTGTGTCACTTACCAGCTTGGGAACTTAGACAGGTTCACCTGTCCATGCCCCAATTTCTTTGTAAAAATAAACCAGTAATAACAATATTGTAGGGTCGTCATGAGTGTTAAATAAATCTTCATGGGTGAACACCTGGGACAATGCCTGGCACACTGGAACATTAGCTGCTGTTATTTTTATTACTATTGACTCCTTCCCAATCAGCACTCAAATATGTGCTGAAGTATCATTAGGTTAAACCGCAGTTCCACATTACTCTCCTGTCTTGGGTCTCTACTCATTTTCTCAGTCGAGCTTCCCAATAAAATTGTCTACACAGGCTGGCTTCACCTCTCACCCCCCATTCATTTCTTCATATCCTGCAACTCTCTCCCTGCTCCCAGGGCTACTCTACTAAACTGTTCTTTTTAGTTCATTTGTAACATTTTGCTGTCATGCCAATGGACTCTTCGATCATCATCCCTCTTGACCTCGCAGCTGCTTTTCACATAGTTGGTGTTCTGTCTCTTGGCCTCCACGGAGCCTCATTATTGCCCCCACCTGCTACTTCTCCATCTCCCTCGCCTCCCTTGATGGTTCTTTATTCCCTTTTCATAGTATTGTCTTAGCCCAGCAATCTCATGAGTCCCATCACTTCAGCTGTCCACCATAGTGGATGACATTGCTGTTTTCTCTTCTTTCAAGCTTCAGGCCAATATATTCAACAGCCTCCACGGCATCTGTAACTGGACACCTAAAGGAATTTCATACTTCATATTTAAGCCTGAACTAGTAATCCTTTCGCCCAAACCTACAATCTCTCCAGCCTTCTTCGTTTTACTAAATGGCCACTTCATACACAGAGTGGCTGAAATCAACATCACCCTTTTGCTACTCTTGCCCATGTAAAATCTACCATGCTAGCCAGGTGATTTTCTCTATAATACATCTCTTGAAAAATCATACCAAGTCTCTCTAGCACTATTCTTCCCACCTTACTTCGATCATTTTGGATTTCTTCCTGGACCACTAACTTTGCTCCCTATATTTTCTTTTATATTCTGCTACTAACTCCCTCTGATCCTTCCTCCACAAACAGCCATCTTTTAAAAATAGAAATTGGATCATATTACCTTCCTGTGCAAAATCCTTTCATTGGCTTCTTGCTGGAACCATAATAAATAAAAGATAGCATCTTTACCACAGAATTCTCTGTCCTGAGTCAATTTCATATATCTCCAGTATATTTTTTAATTCATTCTATTTTTGTTGCATCTTATGATTTATTTTACAGTTTACAGCTATGTTTATTTATGCTTTTATTTTTTATTTACTCTTTCTCTTCTTAAACTGTAAGTACCATGAAGTCACAGGACAGTTTTTACTAAATCTGTAATGCTACTAGTTCAATAAATATTTCTTGAAGAAATGAATAAATGATTGAAGGAAACTTCCACAACTAATTCTACAGAAAAAAACACATATCAAGTATGCTATACTGCAAATATTACCTGAGAAAGAGTGAGATTTTATCTTAATTATTTCAAAAATCTTAACTGAAAGTCTTGGTTCATATGTTTGAGGGGAAGTTTCATGTCTAATATGTTTACCTATTAAGACCAGATGGAGGTCAGCTGGAGCCATATGTACGAAATTTGGAAGCTGACAAAATAGGACATGAGTTTTTATTGCTCCTTTCAAAAAAGCTATGACTTTGGTTGAGTTACAAAAAAAAAAAAAAAAAAGAAAGAAAGAAAACAAAACTTTGAGTCTGTTCTCTAAGATAGAAAATACCACCTGCCTTAATCAGCCAGTATGAAGATGAAATTATTTATGGCATAAACATGTCATTCGACACTCAAATACCAACCTGATTCCCCTTTTTAGACAGGGTCCATTCTCTGGCAGCAAGTACTTTGATTTAGCTCTCACCCTTATACTCTTTGCTAGAGGCCACCTAAAGAGGTCCCCAACACAAGGAAGAAGGTAACGGAGCAGGTGGTGGCTTGAGTATCCACTCATTTCTGCCTGCCCTCTGCTCCTGATTTAGGATATCAGTAGGAGACTTCCCTTGGGGGCTGTTATATCATTTCTGTAGTATTTGAGTTTGGTTTTTGAGTACTGAGTATAGGTTTATTTGAGTTTTCTTATCAAAGTCATTATTCATTATTATATTGTTAATTTGATTAATTTTTTATTTGCTAGAGCCTGGTTGCTCTTTCTTAGCTTCTCTCCCCCAACTGCTAACCCAACCCCTGTTTTTTTTTTGTTTTTTTTTTTGTGTTTTTTTTTTTGTTTTTTTTTTTGGTTTTTTTCTCTTGGTCTGACAGTATCTTCAGTTCTCCATGGATTTTTGCCACTTGATCTTATGGCCTACTACGTGATCATACCATTTAACCAAACTGCTAAGCTTCATTTGCTAAGGTAATTAATTCACTTTAAATATCTTACTCTACTTTGTGAAGGCACTGTTGTAAAAACATGATATTCAGGACCTCAGCAGTAAGAAAGAATCTGGGAGAAAATTAAATTATTTTTCCCTCCTATTGGCCAACAACCACCCTTTTAACCCCCAAGAATAAATATGTCATTATCTGAAAAATAGAGGCCCTTTATTTTAAAATACCAAGTGTTGTTCAACGTTTTAAACCTAGGTCCAGTTTGAAAAACATGAATTAATTTACCACCAATTTGTTTGATAATATGTTTCTAGATACTGCTTGTCTATAACAAAGATGATAAGAAGTAACCTTTTTTTTCCATAGCAGTAACCACAAATGCTTAAAAGTTCTGAAAGATAAAAAAAACTGGAGACCTTGGGCTAGTTTTATATTTCTGGAAGTTCAATAGATAAAGCATCATGAATCCTTTTGTGAGACTAGAACAGTATCAATAGCAGAACAGTAGTTCTGATGATCTAATTCAAAAGCCAAGAAGTCATTTGCTTAGTGATTGTGGTTGATCAGATAAAGCTTTCAAAATATGTAGCTCATAAGAAAAATAACAAATGAGGCACTTGACAATGTAGTATTTGTATGTACTGTCCTGAGGTATTCACAAGGCTCAGAAATTTACAATATAATATAAATGTATAAGGTAGCAAAGACAAACACATATAAGGAAATACAGATTTGAGTGCTGATTTGTATAGTATAAGTTTGTATTCAAGTGAAGAAAAAGCTTGTGATAGGTAGAGCTTAGCAAAGATTGTCTTACCCAGGATACTTTTAATGTTTTAAGAGTATAAGAAATGGTTTGGTGGAAAGTAGAAGGGGAGAAAGAGCACACATTTTGGTGTGCAAAATGGAGATCCAGAGAAAGAGAAAGGAAGGTTTAGGGAAATACGGAAGCAGCCTGAATGAAGGAGGGAATTACCCAAGCACCCTGGGCAACATGGCGAGATGTTGTCTCTAAACAAAAATAAAAAAATCAGCTAGGTGTGGTAGCACATGCCTGTGATCCCAGCTACTCGGGAGACTGAGGTGGGAGGACTGCTTGAGCCCAGGAGGCCAAAGCTGCAGTGAGCTATGATCATGACACTGCACTCCAGTCTGAGTGACAGAGGAGATCCTGACTCAAAAAATTCATCATGGTAGCCATGGCGGTAATGGAGAAGAAAAGATACTGTTCAGGCAGGCTAAATACAACTAACTCATTGTTTTAAATTTAAGGAGTTTAATCTTAATTCATGCACAATACAAAGTCATTATAGACACTTCAGAAGATTAACTGAAAGAGGAAAAAAGAAAAGATTGGTTTAAAAATAGATTAAATTTACAAAGTTTCATGGTCTTTGCAATAATTTTCAAGATATATCAGGACATTTGTCTCTAATTTTATCATGAATTTGTCTCTAATTCACATTAAAATTATTACAGTAATTGAAGCATGAGATGAGTATGGCCTGAAGTAGGCTGGTAGAACTGAATTGAGTCATTCTGAAGAAGACACAAAACTTGGTGATTGATGGGACATGAAGAGGGTCAAAAGTGACTCCTAGGTTTCTGCCAAAGTGAAAAGGAAAATGGTGTGCCATTGACCTGTCCTGAGAACTAATTAGTCTGATTTTATTCTTAACATTAAATTAAGTGAGTTGGAGTTCCTTAAAGAGAGAAATTATTGGTATCATAAATCCAAAACTGCTCATCTCCTTTAAAAATGATTCTTCTTCAGTTACTCCATAAGATTGACCCTTCAAATCAGGCAGCCAATTTTGTGGTTTATTTATAGTAATGACATTTAAATGCCAGATGTTTAGCCTGCTAGTAATATCTATGAAAGGATGTATATTCAGGAATAGAAAACTCTACCAGGTTACACAGGAGAATTCAATTTTTCAAAAATGCTGTTTCTCTTTGTGAAACAGAAAATTGTCATGCAATGTATTTTTTAATTGAAACACTCAGCCATAACTGTACACATAGATTATGATGTTACTTGTAGTAAATTTTAAAAATCTTTCTCCCTCAAATAAAGTATAAACAAATCTAAAACAAATAGAAAAATTAAAAAAACAAACAAACATACCAGAACAGTTTACTGGAGTTAATTTGATTCAATTAAGTATATAAAAATAAATTTAAGACAATTCCTTTCAAGTTATATGTGAGATATTTTAAGTCTTATATTTATGGTTTTCTGCTTATAATAATAGTGTTGGTGGTCAGTATGGTTAGAGTCACATTTAAGGCAGTAGCAATGGTGGTAGATGGATTAACTGGGAGACAGTGTGTTCATAATCTCATTAAGCCACTTCAGATAACACAAATGTTGACTAGCAACTTTTCCTAACATGTGAACCTATTTTGAGATTTGGTAGCCTGTGGATTGCTATTTTATGACAGCTCTATTTTTATTTACTTCTTTGCTACATAGAGAGAACAAGTAGCTCCTAAAATGTCAAGAAGAGTCACAACAAACTACTATAAAATGTTTCCTTGGTGTGTGTTTAAAAAAAAAAAAAAAGCAAGAGAGAAAAAACAAACAAAGAAAAACACCTGACTTGTCTGCTGGAGTACGGAACCGAGCTGCAGGCCAAAACCAAGTTTTGGTCCCTGGAGTGCCAGGAGGCAAAACATGAATACCTTATGCAGTGCTCCGTTGTAAATATCACATGGATTTGAGAATTCCCTGAGGATAGAGACTGTAATGTTTTAACTATGTGTTTCCAGAGCTTGTCTCAGCATCTGACTCATGAGTGATGCTTAATAAATATTCGGTGGAATAAATGAATTAGCAAATGAGGACAGCGCTTAGTTGCAGTAGAACAGGAAGAAAAAATTATGTTGAGATGAAATTGTTCCCCATAGCTCTGATATGTAACATAAATAGACATATTCACACACACTCAGGCAAACACTTTCCGGAACATTCTACATTGCTGTTCTTAGAATTTAAATACCAAATACAGTGGCTACTTCTTGGGTGTTAAACTACCTGACTTCCCACAACATTTTAACATGTTAATTCTTCATTTTCTTGGACTCTCTCTTTTTGGGTTTTCCGCAGCTCAGTCGTCCTGCCAGTTTCCTTTGCTCTCAATACTTTCTCTGCCCTTCACTGTCTCTTCAATAACCGCTCCCCAAATGTTGATTTCCTCAGTGTTTTCCACTGAGTCTATCTGCCCCACCTTTCTCTCAGTTTCTACCCAGTGTATTTATTTATTGTCATGGTTTCCATTCCTGCTACGTGCAAAATCGATGCCTTTAGCCCCAAATCTACTATAACCCATATGCCTTTATTTCCAACTGAACACAACTAAACAGTGGATCTGAATTCTATTCCACACCTAATTTTAGATATATTTGACTGAGCCATGCTTTTTCTCTATTATCATTGCGATCCAATTATGAATTCAGCTAAAATCTTAGGGGTTATTTTTAAGTGGTTTTCTGTTTTTCTTCTTCATGTAAAAACCACCTGAACACATTTCTTCATCTGGGATAGCGCTTGAATTTCCCAAGGCTGCCTTCTTCAAACTCTCCTCCTTGCTTCTATTTAAGCAGCCTTTTGATGCACCTGTTTACTCAAACCTTTGCCTACCCTGGCTTCCTCTCGCTCTAATCTTTACTGCCTGTCACTCCCAGAAAACACATCATATCACTCCCTTCCATAAGATCTTCAGAGGATGCACTTTGTCAGCAGGAAATGGTACCAACGTAGAACTGCATATAAGATGCCTTATAATCTCACTGCAGTCTGTTTTGCCAAAAAATCTCCTACCAATCCTGTTATGAGTTGAATTGTTCCAAGACTTCAATATATGATTCCCCCCCAGAATCATATATTGAAGTCTCAACTCCTAGTACTTCAGAATGTGACCTCATTGGTAGACAGGATCTTCACAGAGTTAATTTCATTAGAATGAGGTTGTTATTATCATGGGTCCCTGATCCAGTATGATTAGTGTCCTTATATAAACAGGAACCTTGGACACAGAAACACTCATAAAGGGACGAAAATGTGAAAAGACAAGGGGAAAAGACAGCCATCCACAGCCAAAAAGGGAGGCTTGGTGAGGATCCTTCCCCACAGCCCTCAGAAGGGACCAACGCAGCTGACATCTTGATCTGGAACTTGTAGACTCCAGAATTTATAGACAGTAAATATCTCACAGCCATCTAGTCTGTGGTACTTTGTTATGGCAGTCTTAAAAACCAAGATAACTCCCAATTTTACCACTGCCATTCACATATGTACACACCATCCACCACCTGGCCTTGATAATAATATGCTCTGTGTATAGGAACGACTTCTGTCTTCTACCATTCACATGGCACCCCAGGGGAGATTTCCAAGCTGTCTTCCTGCAGTGTCTATCCTCATGATCCTCAGAGCCTTGTGTTAAATTCACTGGTAAACATACCTCACATTGAATCATATGAATAAAAATACTTCATCATAAGGCCGTTTTCTCATTCAACAGCAGTTCATTCATCACCTTGTGAGAGCCCTTTCAGAACCTGCCATCTAGCAAAGAAAACGATAACAACAAAACAATAATGAAAATAATAGCAATCGCTAGCAATCATGTAGTGCCTATTATGTGCCAGGCGTGGTTCCAACCACATGTAGCATCACTGGCCTTGCTGTCTTTCTGTTCATGGATTTAGGCAATTTTTCCTCTGAGCAATGATGAAAAAATCATAAAACTGGAAATTAAGGGACTTTATTTTACTATGAAGCATTTATTCCCTTTTTGGAAAAAAGTTAATACAATTATACACTTCAGGCATTTTGTAAGTTTTGATTGTGGATTTCAATGCCACATTAACATGAAAAATATTGATTTCATGTTAGCTCACTAAAAATTTTCCCAGACAATTCATCACAATGTGAAGTTTTCTTCTAATCCTGTGGTTCTCAAACTTTAGCCAGAAACAGAATCACCTAGAATGGTTGTTAAAGCACCGATTTCTGGGTCTCACCCCAGAGTTCTGATGCAATAGGTCTAGGATGGGGTTGAATTTGTATTTCTAGAAAGATCCCAAATGATGCCTATGCTGCTTATTTAGGACCCACATTTTGAGAACAACTGATATAATCCATGATATTCAACTAAAAATTCTCATACCTAACAAAATTAACCAAAACATGTTGTTATTAAGAAGGGAAGGGAAGACAAGGGGGTATATGACTGATTAAAAATAATCAACTAGTTGGTACCTTTAGAAAAACCACTTGGTTAATTTGTTAGTGGTGATGTCCACATGAGCTTATTGTTATTCCAGGTGTGTTTGGCAGAATTTGTCATTAGTTGGGAAAATGCCTGTGTCTGTATGTACATGCGTATACAGTATGTTATATACACATATATATCACAAAATAATTCTCAAAAGGGAGAAAAAGCATAATTATATTAAGTTGTCCTCTGCTAACAGAGGCATATGATTTTCTCAAAACTTTATTACTCTCTGAGGCTCCCCCTAGTGTCCTTAACAGGATATGGGAAGTAATATAGATAAACTTGGATTTTATGCATTCAACAGTGAATTAGAGGTATCTTGAAAGGATCATAGTGCTGCTTTAAAATAGTCTTTACACACAACACCAGTATTTTTTGTTAAAGTTTTCAGGATAATAGCAAAATGAGGGTGGTGCTTAGATTAAAAATTAACCCTCTTCTGCAAAAGTGCACAGCTGAAAATCATAGCTATGTTTATAGCAATAGGTACATTTAAATGGTCATTGAGAAGTTTTCATGTAGGTTGTATTTTACAGATGATGTGTTTTAGCCATAATTAGACATTTAATTTACAAGACTATTTTCAAGTGCTTCGATATTTAAACAGATATGCCACCTCATTTTGGAATTATCTTTCAAGAATTAGATCCATACATTTGCAGGTGGGTTTTCAGAAATTAGTTCTAGTTCTCAGTCTTTAAGTCTCTTCCATCTAGACCAGTGCCATCCAATAGAAATGTAATGTAAGACACATATATAACTTGAAATAGTTTTGTAGCCATATTTAAAATGAGTTTTTTAAAAATTAATAAAAGGTTTTACTTAGTATTTTAAAAGTTTTCAAATTATGATATGAATTTCCCACTTATAGCACTTCTTAATCTGACATTCCTCAATTCAAACACTCAGTGATCACATGTGGCTAGTAGCTACCATATTGCACAACATAGTATTAGATCATGTGAGTTATTATTTCCTCTTGAGTGTTGGATTGAAAGAAAAATTGCAAGCACTTGTCATGCACTATGAGGTTTTACTTTAAGCTAAAGTGCACTAATTAAAAAAGGAGTACTGATCACATATGCAAAGATATGATCCCAGGTTGTAGTGGCTTTGCCACACTGATAGTGTCTCCAGAGAGCAGCCAGGAAGATCAACTCAGAAGCTGATGCTCAGATGGTCAGGGAACATGAAAATTGACAAACCTCACCTTGTGACTTCAAAAGTCTTTATTTGAGTTTGCTTTATACTTTTGTAGAACTAGAAATATGCTTCTTTTTAAATTGTTGAGCCC
This sequence comes from Homo sapiens, assembly GCF_000001405.40. NCBI lineage: Eukaryota > Metazoa > Chordata > Mammalia > Primates > Hominidae > Homo > Homo sapiens. The sequence goes on from NC_000003.12 coordinate 76,587,038, forward strand.
AGATACATGATACAATTGCTCCTTCATCTGCCACCAAACAAGGAAGGGGGGTAGATAGACTTCTGTCAGCTTTCCTAGTTATTACGCCCATTGCCCCTGTCTAAAATGGCTTTCCTTGAGCCTTAACACCCATTTCAAAATAACTGTGTGAAACCATATTCTTTATTTATTTATGTTTTTATTGCTTTTTCTCCACTTAATGTGAGTTTCATGAGATTAGGGGCTTTTCCTTTTCCCTTCCAATTTACCGGTGTATCTATAATATATGTGCTCCCATGTGGTACGTACCTGTATTAGTCCATTCTCACGCTCCTATAAAGAACTGCTTGAGACTGGGTAACTTATAAAGAAAAGGGGTTTAATTGACTCACAGTTCCACAGGCCTGGAGAGGCCTCAGGAAACTTACAATTGTGGTGGAGGGGGAAGCAAACGCACCTTCCTCACATGCCAGCAGGACGGAGAAGAATGAGTGCCCAGTGAAGGGGGAAGTCCCTTATAAAACAGTCAGATCTCCTGAGAACTCAATCATTATCACGAGAACAGAATGAGGGAAACCACCCCCATGATTCAATTATCTCCACCTGGTCCCTCCCACAACACGTGGGGATTATAGGAACCACAATTCAAGATGAGATTTGGGTGGGGACACAGCCAAACCATATCAGTACCCAAATGAATAAATGAACTAACTTTTTAAAAACCTGAATGAGTTCTTTCTACATCAGAAAATATTTTTCTCCAAGTCATGCCTTTAAAACACAGTCTTTATTTTACACTCTCTTTACTCATTCTCCCTTTCCATCTTTCTTCAGCCAATGTGTGGTCGACAGAGTGTAGGGCATATACTTGAGATGATCATCTCTTCTCTACCCACTTATCCTGGACAATTCCACCTAATTCATTTTTTAGCTAGCTTTGTTACTGAATGGAGATACCTGACTTTATTTACTTCACAGAGTTGTTGGAATGATTACTTATTGTGTGTTATATTTATAAAATTAATGGGGTGTGTGTGTTTAAAATCGTGCATGAATATGGGGTAAAGAAGACTTTTCATCCTTTAAAGATCACCCATCAGGAAGATCAAACCCATATCCAGATTACATTGTCTTTCTCTTCTCAAGATCCTATTAACTTTCAATCTGTGTCACTCATTTGGAAACTTAACTATATATGAGTTTATAGCAGTATGTGACTGTGTCATGTATTGGTATCATTACCAACCTGGCAGAAAATCCCTGATGGATGTAATTCAAGGCCAGGATGAAGAGAAGAATCTATTAAATTCCCACTGAATGGATTTGTTTCTGCATTTAAAATAGCCCTCTAACTTGTTCAGTGTGATTCAGAATTTTAATGTTCACATTAGTATACTTGTTAAAGACTTCTAGAGGATGGATTAAGCAATAATAATTTTCATAGCTGATTATATATTTATTTTAAAATTTAAAATGTGTATAAAGCATCTCTGTTGAAAAGCATTTCAAAAAGAACACAATATTTAACAAGAAATGGCTTAATATGGATTATTCTGATGATATTCTTTAAGAAGCATATATTGGAAAACGTTACAAATAGTGTTATTTAATATAAAGATGTCTTATGTAGAGGCATTCAATGTGATAGATACGTATCACATCAAGTGCCTGCACAAAGTGAGATATATAACTTACTTTTGAGTTGAAGATATACTTTGACATTTTTAAGTGTTAATTTGATTACCTAGAATTGCTAATAGCATATGTTTAATGTCACCTAATTTGAAAGCCAATTTTAATTTATCCAAGTGAATATGTAGTATCTTAGAATATAAAAGCTAATTGTTGTCTTTGTGATCATTTGGTTTCAAATATATCAGCATAAACCGAATGAAACTGACAGATGTTGGAGTTTCAAGCTATCTGAGCACAGTTTCTAATACTTAGGGAAATAAATATTCTCAAAACAATAACATACTCTCTTGTGAACAGGTAGTTCAAGACTAGTTTGGAAATCTTGATTTGAACACCCTGTAAACACTAATAATGTATTGCACACTTGAAATTTGCTAAGAGAGTGTATCTTAGGTGGTCTCAACACAAAAGAAAGGAAACTATGTGAGATGATGAACATGTTAAATAATTTATCTGTGGTAATCTTTCACAATATATATGGATATCAAAACATCGCTCTGTATACCTTGAATATATACAAAGTTTATCTGTCAGTTATGCCTATATGAAGCTGAAAAAATGAAAAATATAAGAAATAAACACTTGGCTTTTTGTTTGTTTGTTTTTGAGACGGCGTCTGGCGCTGTCACCCAGGCTGGAGTGCAGTGGCGCCATCTCGGCTCACTGCAAGCTCCGCCTCCCGAGGTTCCCGCCATTCTCCTGCCTCAGCCTCCCGAGTAGCTGGGACTACAGGCGCCGCCACCACGCCCGGCTAATTTTGTTTTCTATTTTTAGTAGAGACGGGGTTTCACCACTTGTTCTAAATACTTCGGAGCATTGTGTTGCACAAGTAGAGACACACATGGCAATCTATTATAAACAATGTTCTCTAAACACTCCTCAAATGGGAAAAGAGTCTGATATTAAAATGAAACCTTTCATCAATTAGCTAGATATTTAGGGCTATACTACAATGTTACCTAATTTTTGAGCCATTTTTTCCTCAACTGTTTAGTTACAAAATCTTCAAAAATGTTGTATTAATGTGACTCTATTCAGTAATAAATCCAAATCAATGTTAGATCCAAAAGCCAACCAACAAAACCTAACCACCCAGAGCTGTAATCCAAAAATTGAATCATATGATTTACTACTGATCACAATGACAACCCACATCTACAAGTTTCTTTAAAAATGTTGTTACGATATATTTAAAAATAAATTAATTTGACTAAAGAATTTCTGATCCTCCACCTTTAGGCAGACAGCAGGATCTCAGGAGAGTAACAATTAAATGTATGTTCCGGATAATGAAAAATATGTAGGCTTAAACTAATATTATACACATGTGTATAGAAAATACGATGGATATTTAAAAGAACTAAATAAAAATATATGTAATAGACTCTCATGTATTATATATACGGCAATTTTTAGCCAGTTTGTGCCACTAAGTTTAATAGAAATAACCAAAATTCTAAAGAGTACATTTTTACTCAAACTTTAGATAAAAGTCAAAAACAAAGTTGTCAGACAAATGTATGCTAATATTATTTTAACAAGTAATTTAACTCTGTCTCCCAACCATACTGATGCAAAATACTGAATCCTTAACACTTTGTTGATATTAAATGCTGACATTTAGTATAGGTGCAGATTTTGACAAGACTAATACTACTATTTATACGTATAATTATTTAAATTACCCATAGTGCCTCAGTTTAATTGTGTTCATGAAATTGGCATGCATAATTTATGACATCAATGCTGTCAACCATCAATCTACATTTTAGACAGCAACACATCAACCAACTGACAGAGTAAAATGTTTGAGTTGATTCAGAAAAGAACTTCAACTTTTGAAGGTGGAAGTTTGTAGCATGTTATGTAACCAAAGGATATAAATTTTTGGTGTTGTTTGTAAAAATCTGCTCAATACATTTTCAGAAAGATCACAAATACAAGATTAGTTCTTAGATCATAATCTAAGGAAAAAAGCCTATAGAATAAGGAGTGTTTATATTTTTTTATTTATGTGGGTCATTCACTACTTTAGAAGTTTTGTATAGCTTATTGACACTTTCTCAAAACAATATTTTTAAATACATAAAATAAATCATCTTCAGACACAAATTATACTGAAATATAGCTTATTAAATTATTACTATGTGATTAAGTATGTGGTATTATGCACCTTCGTTTTGTTATCAACTGCAGTGGCAGGCTGAATAGCTAACAAAATTTCAAAATGATGATGATAAACGATATGTTACATATCTGCGATAATTTTAATATATAGTCAATCTTTATTTTAAGTAACATGAGGTTTGGGGTTGCCTACTCCCCACTCCTGTATAGTTAAAAAATCCATGTATAACTTTTGACTGCCCCAAAACTTAACTACTAATAGCCTACTGATGACTGGAAGCCTTACTGATAATATAAACAGTGAATTAGCACATATTTTGTATGGTATATGTGTTATATATTGGATTATTACAAAAAGGTAAGCTAGAGAAAAGAAATTGTTAGAAAATCATAAGAAAGAGAAAACATACTTACTATTCATTAAGGGGAAGCGGATCCTCATAAAGGACTTCCTCCTCCCTTGAGTAGACTGAGAAGGAGATAAAAAGGAAAGATTGGTCTTGCTCTCTCAATAGAGGCAGATGAAAATCCAGGCATACATGGGCCTATGTAGTTCAGACCTGTGTTGTTTAAGTGTCAACTGTAATAAAAAAGATCAGTGATGTCTAAGCCATAGATACTTCTAATATTTCTGTAGCTTGTTCTCTATTTTTATAGAAGTTACTGAAAATAAAGATATATATTTTTCCTGTCCAATAATACAAACCTCCTGAATTCTATCTTCAAAATCCTCAGGTGTTATAAACTCAGGTTAAAAACTCCTGCCAATAGTAAACCTTGTATTTTGTCTTTCTTTTCTTTGAGAACCAAGCTATTAATTTATTTATTTCAGAAATAAGAAGCAAATCATTGTGCATTTTGTCAGCATATACCAGGCAAAATAATTGGGAACATTTTCTCTGACTAAACATTGCAGAAAAATGTTTATGAACTAGATATTTAAATGTGATTTCAATTTTAATTTTATTTTTACTGTTTTAATGATACACATTGGGGCTCTCTGTGTGAAAGTGCTCTGGAAATTGAAAGTGTTTTGGAATTCATGGCATTAATCAAAATGCCAGGCCATGTAATATGAGGATTTAGCTATTCAAATCCGACTACACAGAGCTTGGTTCACTGTGATATTGGGGCTATTTTTCACTTATACATGGAGAATAGCAGTAATAAGTTAAGAGCTTAGGAAACGTGTAAATACTTTTTACAGAAAGATGTCACATTTTTAGGAAATATTTTCAAACTAGATGAGAAAATTTCTGTTAAAAAAAAAGCTGAGCTAAAACTGTGAAAGTACCTGTGTACTTTAAATAACTTTCCTATTGCTACCTCTCCTAGATTAAATTAAAACGTGCTTTGCAAGATGGAAGAGAAAATGGTCCTTGAAACATTGAATGTAATTTAACATGTACCAGTTTAGGGTTGTTTTCCCTGTACAGATAATTTATACTTTTTAACCAATTCCCCTGGAGGCTCAAGAGAGCACATTTCTAAAGAGAGCAACCTTGATCTAACCAAGAGCTGCTCTTGCTAACAAACTAACCTAGACAGATGCTCAAAAACAACGTCAAAATAAATTAAAATATTTCATCCATACATATTTGCTATGCTGTTCATACTGAAGATTTGTTAAAGGCAGTCTTCACATGATTTTAGAGATCAAATGTAATTCTCAGATAATAACTTTGAGCTAAAAACAAGATCAACATTACATCAAATATGTTATCAAAATACCAACGTGTATTCCTCCAGCCATTCAAACCTTCCGTATTAGTTTCTTGTCACTGGGTAACAAATTACTACCAAATTAGTGGCTTAAAATAGCACCCAATTATAATCTCACAACTATGTAGGCCAGACGTCCTGGTGTAGACTGATGGGACTTTCTACTCCAAGTTTCTACTCGGGGTGTTCAAACCATCAGAGATTTATTCTGAATACTCTGGGAAAGAATCTGCTTCCATAATCATGCAGGTAGTTGCCAGAACTCATTCCTGTGGTTCTAGGACTGAAATCGTACTATCTTCATGGTCCTCAGCCAAGACAAAAAAAGATGTTCACATTCTTACTAATTCCCTCAACAAATATTTATTCAATAGTGCCTTATGGTAGTCATTATGCCTAGCACTGTAAATGCAGTAACAAACACAGACCAGGCACTGTTTGAAAGAGCCTAGCTTACAGATACATCATAATCACAAATAATTGTAAGTAATAAACTAAACTAACAAAGCAGCTGACCATATTTCAACATATATTTATTGTGAAACTACCATGTACCATTCACTGTGCATCATGCTGAATACACACATGAATAATACAGTTCCTAACTTGTTAGAAGATAGAACTGTGTCTGTTTTCCAGCAGCTCATCACCAAAGTGAACAATATCCTTTGTGTGTGTGACATTAAGAATGCTGTAATCCCAGCTTTCTTTCTAGAGTTGTTGCGTTTAATTACTGATAGATCATCAAGATTGGCTAATGACCTGGAGAAAGATGTAGAAATATTCCAAGCATGCCTAAAAAATGAGACTATCAGTTCAGATCTGAGAGCACTTCTGAAATAGCTGCATTTAAGGTGCCAGGATCTTGATGGCATCTGCAAGAAATTGGAAGATGATTCTTACATACTAAATAATCTGATCAGATAACTGAATGTACTGTTAATCACCTTGAAATGAATGAGCAGAACATGCAAATTAGTATGGCAAGAGCTAATGATCAACACACTAACTTATTAATGGTTTTCAGAAATTAAGTGTTTCCATCATGATTTTTCAGAATTAAATATTTAGATATTTTGATGAATGAATGTACTTTATCATCTGATATTTTTTCAGAAACACTAGTAAAAATGTAGGTAATGTTTAGAGAAGTAAACATGAATTAGAGAATTTAAAAGCAGAGTTGAGTTGCTCTCTTCTTTAATTGTTCTTGTATTTATAGCAGCTTCATGTTTATTTATTATATTTTTGGAGATGTTTTACTAGATGCTTTATATTTGGAAGCAGGTATATAGTGGCAGCTATTATAATTTTTTAAATGTATAAAATAAGAGAAACAGATCTCAGTGATGAAACTTCTTCATCTTTCATTAAAAACATAATTATTTACATAGAAAAGCATGGAAAGAGCTGGAATAATATAAATATTGTTGTAAAGTAACATATTATCATAAAAGAAAGTATGTTGTAAACATTTTATCAGAAATCTTACAGGAAAGCAGTATCATAGTTTAATTTTATTGAATCCTTTAAGTTTAGAGTAGGGGGAATATCTAACATCCATTACAAGTATACCTAAGAACATCTAGCTCTGGTTTCTGGGAAGAATAAGCCAATATAATAAGAGGCTATTTTTCTAAAGTTGCAGAGCTAGTTGAGAGTAGGATCAGATCAAAATCTGGTTTCTCTCTATTCCTAACCTAACCTAATGCTTTGCTCTCAGTCTCATAAAAATATGAATTTGAGACAAATCACAGCAGATACTTTAGGATTGGTGGTACAATTATAAGACATCATTTAGATTTAAGTTATTATCATCATTTGGGTTATCAGAAAGGAAAAATAAAGCACAAAGGAAGAAGGGAAGAAACTAATACTAATGAAGTGACAAATAGGTGCTTGGCCCTGTTCTTAAGTCTCTATAAATGTATTGGAATTACTCTCATATTTAATATAATTCCTAAAGAGCCTTATCCAAAATACTATTATCCATCATTCCCCTGTTCACTTTCTATTTCCTTACTTTTATTTTTGTTACTTTGTCTATTTGGGTGATTTTTTTCTAACAACTCCTCTGTCTCCATTAGAACGTAAACTAAATGAAGGAAGAATGGTGTTTAGTATAGATTTGGAGCTAAATAAGTGAGTGGATAAATGTATTTTATTTAATTGCCAAATAAATAAATGATGTTCCCAAATTTACTTTGAGGTCAATACTGCGAACTTGCTTTTACAACTGAAAAACCAGAGAACTGAGTTACTTGTGTAGCATTACAGCTAAAAAGTGACCAACCTGTTTTTCAATGGAAAAATAATACAGAATACTGACAATAATAAAGCTACGGACTAAATTTGTTCCCCCCAAAACTAATGTATTGAAGCCCAAATCCCCATTGTTATGGTATTTGGAGGTGGAACCTTGGGAGGTAATTAAGTCATGGGGGTGGAGCCCTCATGAATGGGATTAGTGCCCTGATGAGACTGGAGAAAGATGAGGATACATGGAGAAAACAGCCCTTTTGCAAACCAGAAAGAGTGTCCACACCAGATACTGGATTTATGGGCACACTGATCTTGGAATACCCAGCTTCTAGAACTCAGGAATTTTTGTTGTTTAAGTCATAATATCTGTGGTATTCTGTCATAGCAACCCAAACAGACTAAGACAGAATACAGCTTATGTGGGGAAAATCAATAAATATATTTCTATAAATATATATATACATAGAACACATTTTGGGGGACAATAAAAACTGGAAAAGCATTTAGAATGTGATGTATGCATATAAAATGGGAATTATATATTATGTATTTTGTTACATGTTATTTTGTGTAAGTATAACATTTTCACAAAAATATATTTGAGTTTTGTGATTTATAAAATGATAGATTCCATTTCTAGATTTACATTCTTACTTGTGTGACACTAAGAATGATAAAAAACAGACTTTTCAAAGACAACATGCAAAAAAAGCATAAAATTATATTTTGTTAATAAAAGTTCCCCCAAGTGAATAAAGCATGAACGTGATCTTTAAAAAATTACAGATTATATATGAGTGATATGCATATTAAGTGAAATCAAATTCATGTATTGCACGGAAAGGCCAAGACCACTGATGTATGGTTCCCTGAAAAAAGTTTTTCTGCCTTCTTATGAACATAAGAATTCCAAATAGGAATCAAAATAGAATGATTTTGTAGGTCTGGGACATTATTAGCACAAAAGAACCCAAAGAAACACAGTACACAGATAGTTTTGTAAACCATATCCTCCAAATTTGGACAATCCACTTGAAATTCAGCCAGTCAGTACCAATCATGTCTTCAAACACCCGTGAGCCACGTAACTACTTATCTCTGAATATTTAATACATCAGACCACAAAGGCACTGTGTTCTGTAATTATTAACATTCTGGCTCATGGTGTAACATACACAAAGCTTGCCTTCAGAGCCAAAACATAAGATCTGGCAATGAATGTTTATTTCTTGAAAGGTTTGGGGAATAAAAGTACATTATTTCAAGATTTAAAAAAAGAAAGCAATAAAGCCCTGTTGTAAGTAGTGTTTATATAGAGAAGGCAACTATAAACCTGAGAATAAGTACCAAAAAACTTCTTGCATTGATTTTGAATTGCTCTCTTTTAGAATTGTTGAGTTTTAATTTCTTTATGGGGTGTCCCATTATCAATATCCTCAGGGAAACATATATTGAAATGGGACAATGCTTACAGTATTATTGTGTTAATACAACCAGTGGCACCAGTATCACCATAAGTGATAGGAGAGAGAATATGTTAAATAACATAGACTATGAAGAGTAGCGCATGTAGAAATTAGGAAAGACACTTGAGAATCCAGTGGGATGTGTTTTGAGCAGTGAAAAGAATGGAAAACCGGCAGCAGATAGAACCCTCTCTGACATTTACTAACTAGAGAAGTGTGGGATGAATCTTGAACTCTCTGAGCCCTAGTTCCCTCATTTGTTAAATGTAGGTGGCAATCACAAGCTGAGAAAACACAGATGGCCTTCAAAACAAATTTTTGCCTCACTCCCACTGGCACTTGACTGAAGCTACTAGGCCATCAACAGCAGGTAGTAAGAATATCACATTCGGCCTTTAATTGCAGAGGTCTGATGTCTCTTAGCCCTCCTGGATTAAGTGGTCTACTTTCATAAAAGAGATACAGTCTGCTAACCCATTCACCCTGATGGCCCATTAAAGGTGGTATAGGAGACATTGATTTTAACAGCTGTCATTATAATGCCAAATATTGTGTAACAGCAAATCTCTGTTAATGGCTTGATAGACATGTCATTTAAAAAGAATTGCTCTAAACAAAAATATAACAAAAGTGTTTAAAGCCCTCTGTCAACTTGGTAGTGATGTTATCTATGCTGTCATATCAGTGGGATAAAAATATTTATACTAAAACTTACATCAAATCATCTTAGCCCGACAATTGATGCTGAAGTAATTGGACATCCACAGTAAAATTTTTTTAAAAAATGAATCCAACATAAACCTCTATCTTTTATAAACAGTGAGTCAAATGTCAAATGGGTAAGAATTTAAATGAAAACCGTAAAACTATTAAATTTTTAGGAAAAACAAATTGTAATAATCTGGGATTAGGCAAAGAGTTCTTTAAAATTGAAACAAAAAGAACAATTCATAAAAGAAAAAATTAATAAATGGACCACATCAAAATTTAAACTTTTACTCTGTAAAAGCCGTGTGAAGAGGATGAAAAGAAAAGCCAAAGCTTGAGAGAAAATATTTGCAAACACATATCTGACAAAGGACTAATATTGAAGGTATACCAAAAAATCTCTTAAAACTCAATAGTAAAACAAACTAAAAAACAAAAAATGGGCAAAAGGCATGAGCAGACATTTCATGGAAGAGGATACATAAATGAAAAATAAGCAAAGGAAAAGATATTCAACATCTTGTCATCAGAGAAATATAACCTAAAACAACAATGAGGTTCACTACACACCTATCATAATAGCTAAAATAAAAAAACAGATAACACTAAATGTTCTTGTGGATGCAGAGAAACTGAATCCACATATATTGCTGTTGAGAATGTAAAAATGATACATTTTCTGATCCCTCCCTCCTCCCACCCTCCCCGCTTAAGCAGGCCCCAGTGTCTGTTGTTCCCCTCCTTGTGTTCATGTGTTTTCATCATTTAGCTCCCACTTATAAGTGAGAACATATGGTATTTGGTTTTCACTTCCTGCATTAGTTTGTTAAGGATTATGGCCTCCATCTCCATCCATGTCCCTGCAAAGGATATGAACTTGTTCTTTTTTATGGCTTTGTAGTATTCTATGGTATATATGTACCACATTTTTTAATCTCGGAAAGATAAAAACTGATATTTTTACAACTTGCACATGAGTATTTACAGCTTTTTTCATAATAGCCCCAAACTAGAAACAGCTTTGATGTTTTTCAGTGGGTGAATGATGGAACAACTGCTGTACATACCTACCAGGAAATACTATTAAGCCATAAAAAGGAACAGATTATTGATAGATGCAATACCTTGAATGAATATTCAGGAAATTACACTGAGTGAAAAAAAAAAGGCGAGCCCAAAAGGTTACATACTGCAAAATTCCATTTATATAACATTCTAAATGACAAATTTTTAGAAATGGAGAACAGAATAGTGGTTGCCAGTGCTTAGGGATGGGAAGGAAGGGAAGAGGAAAGTGGTTTTTTTTGTTTGTTTGTTTTGTTTTTTTGTTGTTGTTTTTAATAAAAGGAGAATTCAAGAGACTTCTGAGGAGCTGGAACTATATAATGTGGTAGTGAATATGCATGTGATAAAATTGTGTAGAACTAAATACACACACATGCACACATGGATTAATGCAGGTAAAATGGGAAATCCTAATTAGATGGATGAATTCTATTAATGTCAATATTCTGGTTGTGATTTTCCACTACGGTTTTATAAAATGTTACCATTGGGGGAATGGGCAAAGGGGTACACATTAACTCTCTGTATTAGTTCTTAAAAGTCCTTATGAATCTGTAATTATCTCAGTAAAAATTTCAATTAAGCGTGTCAATCACTTGAAGATATTTTTTAAAGTAAATGGTGAAGTTTTGTTTGTATTGATAAGCTGTTCATATAAAATTGAAAGGACTCAAACATGTCCAGATGGGGAAAAAGCTGAGGGGTGAAAAAAAGTATAAATTATCATATCTAAAATAATATGGCAATGTAAGAATACAGGGATTAATTTTCAATTCTTCAAAGCTGTTTTTGTCAGTTAGTACTTCATCTACGTAACGAAGCAACAGCTACTAAGAAAGTATATAATAACCTTGTTTGGAACACAGCATATAGAAAAACATGTCTATTCCATTATTCTGTAACTGACTGTCATTAAACACTTCAAAGACAGCAAAAAGTAACCTCATCTTTAATTACGTTCTACATGTAAGAACTACCCATTTGGTGTATATACATTAAAACAAAAATTTAAAAAAAATTTTGTTTTAGGTTCAGGGTTACATGTGCAGGTTTATTATAGAGGTAAACTCATGTCACAGGGCATTGATGTACAGATTATTTCATCACCCATGTACTAAGCCTATTACCCAATGGATATTTGTTTCTGATTCTCTCCCTCTTCCTACTCTCCCTGTTAAGTAGGCCCCAGTGTCTGTTGTTCTTCCCTTTGTGTTCATGTGTTCTCATCATTTAGCTCCCACTTAAAAGTGAAAACATGCAGTATTTGGTTTTCTGTTTCTGTATCAGTTTGCTAAGGATAATGGCCTCTAGCTCCATTCATGTCCCTGCAAAGGACATAATCTTGTTCTTTTTTATGGCTGCATAGTATTCCATAGTGTATACATACCACATTTTCTTTTATGTTGATTCCATGTCTTTGTTATTGTGAATAGTGCTGCAATGAACATAAGCGTATATGTGTCTTTATGACAGAAAGACTTATATTCCTTTGGGTATATACCCAATAATGGTATTGCTGGTTCAAATGTTATTTCTATCTTTAGGTTTTTGAGGAATCACCACACTGTCTTCCACAATGGTTGAACTAATTTACACTCCCACCAACAGTGTATAAGCATTCCTTTCGCTTCACAACCTCTCCAGCACCTGTTAGTTTTTTACTTTTCAGTAACAGCCATTCTGACTGGTGTGAGATGGTATCTCATTGTGGTTTTGATTTGTGTTTCTCTAGTGATCAGTGATGTTGAGCTTTTTTTCATATGCTTTTGGCCACATGTATGTCTTCTTTTGAAAAGTGTCTGTTAATGTCCTTTCCCGCTTTTTAATGGATTTTTTTGTTTTTTCTTGCAAATTTAAGTTCCTTATAGATGCTAAATATTAGACCTTTGTCATGTGCATAGTTCTCAAATAGTTTCTCCCATTCTGTAGATTTTCTGTTTACTCTGTTGATAGTTTCCTTTGCTGTGCAGATGAACTTTCATTTAATTAGATCTGATTTGTTGATTTTTGCTTTTGTTGCAATTGCTTTTGGCATCTTCATCATTAAATATTTGCCCATTCCTATGTACAGAATGGTATTGCCTAGATTGCCTTCCAGGGGATTTATGGTTTTGGGTTTTACATTTAAGTCTTTAATCCACCTTGAATTGATTTTTGTATATGGTGTAAGGAAGGGGTCCAGTTTCAATCTTCTGCATATGGCTAGCCAGTTATCCCAGCATTTACTAAATAGGGAGTCCTCTCCCCAGTGTTTGAATAACAGATTTTTTTAAACCTTCTACATTAATGATTTGAAAATGATTTACCAAAATATTGTAAGTCTCTGTGTTAGTTCGTTTTCATGCTGCTGATAAGGACATGCAGGAGACTGGGTAATTTATGAAAAAATGAGGTTTAATTTGACTCATAGTTCCACATGGCTCGGAAGGCCTCACAGTCATGGCCAAAGGTAAAAGGCCTATCTTGTGTCACAGCAGGCAAGAGAGAGAATAAGAACCAAGTGAAGTGGGTTTCCCCTTATCATACCATCAGATCTTATGAGACTCATTCACTATCATGAGAACAGTGCAGGAAAGGCCCACCCCCAAAATTCAATCACCTCCCACTGGATTCCTCCCACGACACGTGGGAATTGTGGGAGTTACAATTCAAGATGAAATTTGGGTGGGGACACAGACAAACCATATCATTCTGACCCTGGCCACTTCCAAATCTCATGGCCTCACATTTCAAAACCCATCATGCCTTCCCACCAGTCCCCCAAAGCCTTAACTCATTTCAGCATTAACTCAAAAGTCCACAGTCCAAAGTCTCATCTGAAACAAGGCAAGTTCCTCCCACCTATGAGCCTGTAAAATCAAAAGCAAGTTAGTTACTTCCTAGATACAAGGGGGTTATGGGCATTGGATAAATACAGCCATTGCAAATGGGAGACATTGGCCAAAACAAAGGAGCTACAGGCCCCACACAAGTTCAAAATCCAGCAGGGCAGTCAAACCTTAAAGCTCCATAATGATCTCCTTTGACTCCATGTCTCACATCCAGGTCATGCTGATGCAAGAGGTGGGTTCCCATGGTCTTGGGCAGCTCTGCCCCTGTGGCTTTGCAGGATATAGCCCCAATCCTGGCTGCTTTCACAGGCTGGTGTTGAGTGCCTGAAGCTTTTCCAGGTGCATGGTGCAAGCTCTAAGTGGATCTACCGTTCTGGGGTCTGGAGGATGATGGCCCTCTTCTCACAGGTCCACTAAGTGGTGCCCCAGTAGGGACCCTGTGTGGGGGTCCAACCCCACGTTTCCCTTCAGCACTACCCTAGCAGAGGTTCTCCATGAGGTTTCCACCCTTGCAGCAAACTTTAGCCTGGGCATCCAGGCATTTCCATACAATTTTTGAAATCTAGGCAGAGGTTCCCAAATCTCAATTCTTGACTTCTGTGCACCCGCAGGCTCAACACCACATGGAAACTTCCAAGGCTTGGGGCTTCCACCCTCTGAATCAAAAGCCCAAGCTGTACCTTGGCCCCTTTTAGTCACGGCCGGAGTGGCTGGAACACAGGGCACCAAGTCCCTAGACTGCACACAGCATGGGAACCCTAGGCCTGGCCAAGGTAACCATTTTCTCCTAGGCCTCCAGGCCTGTGATTGAAGGGGTTGCTGTGAAGACCTCTGCCATGCCCTGGAGCCATTTTCCCCCATAGTCCTGGGGATTAACATTGCCATTCCACTCCTCATTACTTATGCAAATTTCTGCAGCCAGCATGAATTTCCCCTCAGAAAATGGGTTTTTCTTTTCTATCACATTGTCTGGGTTCAAGTTTTCTGAACTTTTAGGTTCGGCTTCCTGTATAAATCTAAATGCCTTTAACAGCACCCAAGTCATCTGTTGAATGCTTGGCTGCTTAGAAATTTCTTCCACCAGGTAACCTAACTCATCTCTCTCAAGTTCAAAGTTCCACAGGAGCAGGGGCAAAATGCCACCAGTCTCTTTGCTAAAACATAACAAGAGTCGCCTTTGCTCCAGTTTCCAGCAGGTTCCTCATCTCCATCTGAGACTACCTCAGCCTGGACCTTATTGTTCATATCACTATCAGGCTTTTGGTCAAAGCCATTCAACAAGTCTCTAGGAAGTTCCAAGCTTTCCCACATTTTTCTGTCTTCTTCTGAGACCTCCAAGTATCTAGGAAGTTTCAAACTTTCCTACATTTTCCTGTCTTCTTCTAAGCCCTCCAAACTGTTCCAACCTCCGCCTGTTACCCAGTTCCAAAGTCGCTTCCACATTTTTGGGTATCTTTTCAGCAAGACCCCACTCTACTGGTACCAATTTAGTGTATTCGTTCGTTTTCATGCTGCTGATAAAGGCATACCCAAGACCTGGTAATTTACAAAAGAAGAGGTTTAATTCAACTCACAGTTCCACGTGGTGGGGGAGGCCTCACAATCATGGTGGAAGGTGAAAGACCCATCTTACATGGCAGCAGACGAGAGAATGCGAATCAAGTGAAAGGGGTTCCCCTTATCAAACCATCAGATCTCATGAGACTCATTCACTTTCATAAGAACAGCACAGGAAAGACCCGTCCCCATAGTTCAGTCACCTCCCACTGGGCTCCTCCCATGACAGGTGGGAGTTACAATTCAAGATGAGATTTGGGTGGGGACTCCCACTGGGTTCCTCCCATGACAGGTGGGAGTTACAATTCAAGATGAGATTTGGGTGGGGACTCCCACTGGGTTCCTCCCATGACAGGTGGGAGTTACAATTCAAGATGAGATTTGGGTGGGGACACAGCCAAACCGTATCAGTCTCATTGCATAATCTCTATTGTTTTCCAAAATGAGAGCATTTGTCTGGTATTAAATTAAAGAGACATTTTTCCTCATACTTCTAATCTTCTATTTCCTCTCTAACGTGCTCTCAAAGTACTTTAACTTTCCAAAGTAAATACTCCACAAATCGTCTGAAAATCATTCTTTGTTAAAAATATGAGTAGAGGCTGGGCGCAGTGGCTCACGCCTGTAATCTCGGCACTTTGGGAGGCCGAGGCGGGCAGATCATGAGGTCAGGAGATCGAGACCATCCTGGCTAACATGGTGAAACCCCGTCTCTACTAAAAATACAAAAAAATTAGCTGGGCACTGTGGTGGGTACCTGTAGTCCCAGCTACTCAGGAGGCTGAGGCAGGAGAATGGCGTGAACCCGGGAGGCAGAGCTTGCAGTGAGCCAAGATTGCGCCACTGCACTCCAGCCTGGGTGACAGAGCGAGACTCCATCTCCAAAAAAAAAAAAAAAAAAAATATATATATATATATATATATATATATATATATATGAGTAGAAATATGGACATTTCTTCTTTTTGATTTGAATATTTGCCCAATTCTTAAAGAATTAGAAAATATAATTAAGCAAAAACAAATAGACCAATAAAGTCCTATTAAATTTCCAAAATAAGAATTGCATTGAACTCAATCTTTTTACTCTGATGAATGAATAGATGGAGTTTTTTTTAAAAGATGGCTTGAAGTTTTTTTTCCAAAATAAAACCACTAGAAGTGTGTTTATATACCTTTGCTATGGGTGCTGCATATACATGCTCTTGTTCTGCCTTTTTGAATGAATTCAGTTATTCCATCTGGAATGCTATAAGCTTCATAACATGTGTGCTTCTCTACCTGTCTAGAATTCCATGTCTAGAGAGGAATAACAGTCTCTGTCAGTAACATTCTCGTATAAGTGGTCACTGGCACACTTAGCAATCAGTTTGTTTTTATTTTGTTAAATATGAATTTGCTTGATAGTTTCCTGTCAAAATTAAATATACATATATATTAAAGGGGCATATGCAGCATGTCTTACAAATTGCACCGAAAGTCTTAGTGCAGGTAATAATTAACAGTTGTTTACAGAAAGAAAAGAGAATTTCAACTGGCCTTAGACATCAATGATAGTCTGTCAGCAGTAAAATAAAATTGATTGTATAAAAGCCATGGCTTAATAATACATTGATTATATGAGTAGATACTAAGTTCTGTGGGTTGTCTTATCTACTTGAATACCTTACTATATCCTAATGATGACATTACTAAATAAATAGTTCATTGGTCTGAATGTTAAGCATGAAGAAGATAGGGCAGATAGAAATTGCTGTGTGTCTATAGCACAAATAAAGAACATTTTAAATAATCCCAGAGATATACAGTTTTTGGACTTAAGAAGCAGTATGTGGATAATTGTGCATTCGAAGTAACATAAGTCAGCTAAAAAGATTTTCTTTGTATTAAACATTATGCTTTAATGTTCAATTAATAAATCATAACCTTAAGACAGCCAAGTGGTGATCTTATGTGTGAATATCTTTGGATATCAGTTCTTCTCAGAATAAGGCATCATAAATTTAATTTTATATGAAAATCACCTTTTTTACCTCATTTCTCACCTAGAGTAAAAAAAGCAATACTCAATGAAACTTTTATTTTGCAAATTTAGTAGATGTGTCCCTATTGGCCTAACTTATTTTGCTTAATTATATTTTCTAATTTAATTTATATGGAACATTTTAATAGAAATATTTAATAATTAGATCTGGACCAACCTACTCTAGTTAATTGTTATTGTAGTTATGCTACTCAAATGCCAGGAAGTTTTCATGCTTTTGCATGGGAGTATGTAGTATGGAAATGTTGATTTTGTGTGTCTATGTTACTACAGAGAGTTTGCAATTAGTACAGCAATGTATAGTTAGAGATTTCACCTGCTTGCTGAGAAGGTAGACAGTTACATTTTGGAAAGCCCTTGACCAAGAAGCTCAACTTTATCTCTAGGAAAATTGTAAGTAATCAAATAGATAGCTTTTACATTTATACAGCAAAGGTTGAACAAGAGGTGCCAGCATAGGTTAAGGAAAAGCAAACTACGTCAAACTGAAAGGCTATGTCAACTTGCCAAGGCTGGCAAATCAGTGTAATTTCATGTATATATTAGTGCATTTGAACTCCAGCAAGACATTCTACAAATTACATTGCAAGCTTGTAAAAATACTGGAAAAATATATACTGATTAAAATGTTTGTGTGCATTTATAACTTGTTGAATGGCTATGCTAAACATTTCCATTAGTAGAGATAATCTTTCTAAAATAGTTATATACCAAGGTATAAAACTGCTTTATTTTTATCCTCTTCAATATTTTTATTAAAGTTTCAGATGAAGACATTAAAGACATAGATCAGATATGTAGATTAAGTTAAATTCTTAGAGCACAACTCTCAAATCAAAGTTAGAATTTAAACCCAGGTTTACATGTTTTTATAGCTTCTCCAACTGTATTTTAAAAAAAAAAGGTAATTGGAATCACTCACCAAAATCAAAATGAAATTGAGCTAGAAAACATTTAAACAAGTTCATGGAAGTGTCAAAAACTAACAATTGTTCATGTGAAAAGCCCTAGAATTTCTAGTTATATAAAAGTTGTACATGGTCTAACTGTGTAATTTGGATGTTCTAATAGGCAGAATTTTTCCATAGGAAAGTTGGGTAGTCAGATCAGAGTATTATACACAAAGGATAAGACTGGAGTAATAAATTGCTTAGAGGAGGGAGCTGGGGATAATAGATTTGTAAATCACAGAAACAGCTGAGGAAATTAGGGATATTTAACATGGGGAATTAAAGAATAAGTAGCACATCTGGTAGTTATGCTCAAGTATTTAAGGACTATCATATTTATGTATAGGTAGATTTTTCTCCCCCCCTTATTTGATAGGTGCAGCCTGGGAGAAAATACACTTTGGAAGATTTACTTTGCTTCATTACAGAGAACCTTAACTTAATTAGGACTGTCCAGCAGTAGAATGGAGGTTTTGTGTAAATAACATCATTGTCTTTCAAGGATGCGGTAGACAGGACCCCGTTATTTGGAGGAAAGCCAAGCTAGATATCTTCTAAGATTCTTTCCAACACAATCATTTAACCACTAGGATGTATTGTATACATGCTCTATAAATTTTGTGCCTTATGGTAAATTGTAGATTTTCTGGAAAAGAAGGAAGCCCATTCTACTGGGGAAATAAAAGTGTTTCTTAATTAAAAAAAAATAAGGGGAATCATTTTTCCTCTGGCTTAGCACGAACTGCTTCTTTGCACTGTGTTACCTAATTTTGCCATAAATCTATGGAACTACCAATCCCCTGCCTCAGTGTAGATTGTAGATTGGTTTTCAAAAACTAGAATCCAAACAGTGAACACACTGTAATATCATCACAAGCACTACGATCAAACCAGAACAAAACACTCCAAAGATGAATGGAGGAGCATTTTTATGGTGTATGTTTTCTCTACGATATTTGCTGTAAAACATCCAAAATTCCACTGAAAGCTTCTAAGCCCTGTGGAATAGAAATAGATTGATATCATCTTCAGCCTTTTGATAAAAGAAGGGCAACCTAAATGTAATTATTATTTTACAAGTCTCTAGAGAACAGGAGAGATGTGTCTCAAATGGCACATTATCTAAAACAAAGTCAGAAATACCTTGGGGAAAGCAATAGTGGTTCCTTTTACTATTACAGTAATATTAACTTATTCTGTTGGTTTTTTTTGTCTCCATCTCTGTGTCTTAATGTTTGTCTTTCTTTACTTGTTTATATATGTTTTTTAGTTTGTAAAAGAAAAAAAATAGAGACAGACAAAGGAGAAACCAGAGGATTAATGGTTAATTTCTGATTTCATAATAATGTCTCCTACTTTGAGGAGAGGTCCCATTCTGTTATACTGAACTATTTTATACATTATAAAATGAATATATATTTATTTTCAATAAGAATCATTATGGTGTGTATTTTGAGTTCTTATATATGCTCAATATAAATATATTTTTCATGATTTTACATATGAAGCTAAATATGGAATAAATATTTCATCATTTAAGTATGATTACAAGTAAACCAATGATAATTTAGAATTTGCTGCAAATTTATGCTCCATTTTATTTTTAAAAATATTTTAAAGATGGGATCTTGCTATGCTGCCCAGCCTAGAGCGCCGTGGCTAGTCACAGATGTGATCATGGTGCACTGTGGACTTGAACTCCTGGACAGGAGCAATCCTCTTGCCTCAGCCTCCTGAGTATCTTGGACTTGAACTCCTGGACAGGAGCAATCCTCTTGCCTCAGCCTCCTGAGTATCTGGGACTTGAACTCCTGGACATGAGCAATCCTCTTGCCTCAGCCTCCTGAGTATCTGGGGCTACAGGCAAACACCACCATGCCAAGCTTCCATTTCATTTTTAATAGAACCTCTTTATTGATATTTAACATTCAAAAGAAATATTTCTCAGACATTTTCCCCAATATTTTGATTAGTGTGCTGTGGCAAATACCTTGTCTTACAAAGTTAAAAATAATATTTTATGCTGAAATAGTTACTTGTTTGTAAAGGTTTATTCTAGAGTTGTACTAAAATAGTAATATTTAGTACTAATATTTGAAATTGAAATATACTTTCATAGATGTGCATTATTGCTTCAAAGAAGGCACAACTCACTAAAAATTCCCTCTGATTCACACTTTGCACATTCAGTAAATGATTGGATGTTCTATGTGACTTTAATTTCTATCTCCTACATTAGAAAAAAAATTTTGTGTTTTTGACATTCACTGAACTTATTTGCTAGAATTGGTAAAAGACATCACCTATCACCCAGCAAATATTTGAAGTCATCTTGACATCTCCTTCTCTCTTATCACGTAGAAAACACTTTTGAGGAACAAATATTGATGCTATCCACTCAAAAATCTTTCAAATCTATTCTCTTCTTCCCACCCACACTGTATAGCTTAGACCTGACCTTCAACACTTCTTGCTAAGATTATAAACCTATCTTCCTAACTGGTTTTCTTGCTTCCAGGTGTTTCTACTCCATCAAATTGCTTATGGATTCATAGAGTTGTTAACATGATTTTCTTTAAAGAGAAAAACAAAGCAAACAAACAAAACCCTCTGCTTACAAATCCTCCATAAAGTTTTACAGTCTTCTGGACAAAATTTAAACTTTGCAATATGTTATTAAATCCATTTCATAATCCAATTTCTGTGGACTTCCTCAACCTCCTGTTCTGTTACTTTGCCACACAGATGTTATGTGCCCAGCATATAAAGCTGCCATTAGTATCATCCTTTCTCACCCTTCTTGGGCAGTGATGCTTTGTCTTCTTGAAGTGCCATCCCATTCTGTCAGCCTTACTATACCTTCAGTGGGGAGAGAAGAAAGGGACTGTGGAGGAATGAGTCTTGGCAAAGACCTTCAGATTGAACGTGGAAGGAAAGACAAAATTAAAATAAGGTATGGAGGATGAGTATTTGCCAATCTCTTTAGCCTCATGTTTCGCCATACACTCTTGGCCCATTTTTTGCTCACCCACTCCTAAGCCCCTTACATCCAGACCAGTGGTTCTCAACTAGGATGGTTTGGACAATCACTTTGTTGATTGTTTCCTTTGCTGTGCAGAAGACCTTTAACTTTGTATGATCCCATTCATCTATTTTTGCTTTGCTTTCCTGTGCTTGTGGGGTATTATTCAAGAAATCTTTGCCCAGACCAACATCCTGGAGAGTTTTCCCAATGTGTTTTTTTAGAAGTTTTATAGTTTGAGATCTTAAATTTAAGTCTTTAATTTTGATTTTATTTTCCTATGTGGTGAGACATAGGGTCTTATTTCTTCTGCATATGGATATCCAGTTTTTCCAGCACCTTGTATTTTTTAAATTTTCATAGTATTTGGGATACAGGTAGTTTTTGGTGATTAGTGCACCCACCAACTGAGCAGTGTACACTGTATTCAATATGTAGTCTTTTTTCCCTCACCTCCTCCCAACCTTTCCCCGAGCCTCCAAGTCCACTGTATCATTCTTATGACTTGCATTCTTATAGCTTAGCTTCCCCACATAAGTGAGAACATACAGTAATTGATTTTTCATTTCTTAGCTATCCGTAATGCTACTTCACTTAGATAAATGGCCTCCAGCTCCATCCAAGTTTACAGCACCATTTACTGAAGAGACTGTTCTTTCCCCAGTGCATGTTCTTGGCACCTTTGTTGAAAATGAGTTCACTGTAGGTGTGTGGAGTTGTTTCTGGGTTCTCTATTCTGTTTCATTTGTCTATATGTCTGTTTTTATACCAGTTCCATGCTGTTTTGGTTATTATACCTTTGTAGTATAATTTGAAGTTAGGTAGTGTGATTACTCCAGTTTTGTTTTTTTACTTAGGACAGGTTTGGCTATTCTTGGTCTTTTGTGGTTTCATATAAATTAAAGGATTGTTTTTCCCTTCAATTTCTTTCATCAGTGTTTTATAATTTTCATTGTAGAGTTCTTTCACTTATTTTATTAAGTTAATCCATAGGTATTTAATTTTCTTTGCCATTATTATAAATGGAATTGCTCTTCGATTTTTTTTTTCAGATTGCTCACTGTTGGCATATAGAAATGCTACTGATTTTTTAAGTTCATTTTGTATCCTGCAACTTTACTGAATTTGTTTATTAGCTTGGATAGGTTTTTGGTTAAATCTTTGGGTTTTTCCCAATATAAGATCCTATCATCTGAAAACAAATATAGTTTGACTTCTGCCTTTACAATGTGGATGCCCTTTATTTCTTTCTCTTCTCTGATTGCTTTAGCTAGGACTTCCAATACTATGTTGAATAACAGTGTTGAAAGTGGACATCCTTGTCTTCTTCCAGATCTTGAAGAAAAGTTTTAATTTATTTCTCATTCAGTATGATACTAGCTGTGGGTCTGTCACATGTGGTTTTTATATACCCAGATTTTTTAGGGCTTTGAAATTAGGGCTTAGAGATGTTGAATTTTATATAATCCTTTTCAGCATCAATTGAAATGATTCTGGGTTTTTGTCCTTCATTCTGTTTATATGACATATCCATATCACATTGATTGATTTGTGTATGTTGAGCCATCCTTGCATCCCAGGAATAAATCCCGCTTGGTCATGATGAAAAAATTTTTTAACGTGTTGTTAAATTCGGTTTAATAGCATTTGGTTGAGGATTTTTGCATCGATGTTCATCAAGGATATTGGTCTATAGTTTCACTGATGTGTCTTTGTCTGGTTTTGGTATCAAGATAATACTAGCCTTGTACTGGTAATGTTACAGGATTCCTTTGGAGCCGCTTCACCAGCCAGAAAGCTCTGCAGCTGCTCCCACCTCTGCCCAGGCCTCACTCGGGGCCCCCTGGGTTCGCTCAGCCCGCTCAGCCAGGCAGGCCTCTCTTGGCTCACATCCCCTGCCCGTATCCTGCAACCTCAGCAGCTCCGTGCTCAGCCCACAGCTGGAACGGCGTGGGGTGAGCAGCTTCCACCTTGGGCGCCAGTGTCTAGTTGAGGGGAACGCAGTGGCACCCTAAAACCCAGAGATGCCAGCAATTGTGGGGCCCCAAGGGGTGTTATAACTCTTGCTCGGAAAGTCCCAAGGTCTAAGCCCCCAAGAGATGTTGCAGCTCTTCACTCCCATAGCTTGGCGAGTGGGAGCATGTCACAGCTCTCCTTCTCCTGTGGTCCAGTGAGCAGGAGCACGTTCAGCTCTTTCATTCTCACTGCGCGTCCTGTGTGGTCCAGTGAGCAGGAGCATGTCACAGCTCTCTTTCTCCTGTGGTCCAGCGAGCAGGAGCATGTCACAGCTCTCTTTCTCCTGTGGTCCAGCGAGCAGGAGCATGTCACAGCTCTCCTTCTCCTGCGGTCCAGCGAGCAGGAGCACGTTACAGCTCTTTTACTCTCACTGCGCGCCACTGGGCAGGTTCCAAATTCATGTCCTGAGACCAAGAGGAATAAGGTGCGTGGACACTGGAGAGTGAATAAGGCAGATAATAATTTTATTGAGTGACAGAAGGAAAGCTCTCAGCTGTGAGAGGGGACCCGAGAGTGGGTAGCCCTTCATGTGGCTGGGTCTGGGGTTATGCTGGACTTAGAACGGTGGAGTGTGGGCTGATTGGTTCATGGGTGGGCGTGGAAAAACCACCATTCGATTGATTAAAAGGTATCATCCACAAGGAACCCGTCGAGAGAGAGAGGGTAGGACGGGGTTAGAAGTTGTCCCTTGGATCGTGCACTCCATCTGGAACTGGCAGATGGGTTTTCAGGCTGTAAACTGTCTTTTGCTTGAAGGTCAGATTTCACTGAGGACCCATCCCTGTCTGCCTAGGAATTTGTCTGTCTCCTGTCGCTATCAGTAATGCTGGCCTCATACATACTGAATAGCTTTAGTAGGATTTGTATTTTTTTTCTTTAAATATTTGGTAAAATTTAGCAGGAAAACCACTGGGTCCTGGACTTTTCTTTGCCGGAAGGCTTTTTATTACAGCTTCAATCTCATTACCTGTTATTGGTCTGTTCAGGTTTTGGATTTCTTTATGGTTCAGTCTAGGTAGGATGTATGTGTCTAGGAACTTAACAATTTCTTCTAGGTTTTCCGATTTATTGGCATACCGCTGCTCATAGTAGCCTCTAAGGATCCTTTGAATTTCTGTAGTATCAGTTGTAATGTTTCAGTTTTCATCTCTGATTTTATTTATTGAGATATTCTCTCTTTATGTCTTAGTCTGGCTAAAGTTTTGTCGATTTTATTTATCTTTTTGAAAAAACAACTTTTTGTTTCATTGATCATTTGTATTGTTTTCTTTCTTTCATTTATTTCTGCTCTAATCTTTCTTATTTCTTTTCTGCTACTAATTTTTGATTTGGATTGCTCTTGCTTTTCTAGTTCTTTAAGATATACCTTTAGGTTGTTTATTTAAAGTTTATCCACTTTTTTTGAGGCATTTACTGCTATAAACTTTCCTCTTGGTACTACTTTTGCAGTATTCCATAGTTGTTGGTATATTGTGTTTCCATTTTCACTTGCTTCAAAAAATTTCCTAATTTCCTTCTTCATTTCTTATTGACCCATTGGTCATTCAGAAGCATTGTTTAATTTCCATGTTTGTGCAGTTAACAAAGTTTCTCTAGTCACTAATTTCTAGTTTTATTCTATTGTGGTCAAAGAAGATACCTGATATGATTTCAGTAGTTTTGAATTTTGTAAGACATGTTTTGTGGCCTATCAAACGATCTATCCTTGAGAATGTTCCCTGTGCTGAAGAGAAGAATGTGTATTCTGTAGCTGTTGGATAAAATGTTCTGTAAATATCCATTGGGTCCATTGGGTCTATAGCGCAGATTAAATCTGATGCTTCTTTGTTGATTTTCTATCTGGATAATCTGTCGAATGCTGAGAGTGGGGTGTTGAAGTCTCCAGCTATTACTATATCGGGGTCTATCTCTCTCTTTAGCTGTATAATATTATTGGCTTTACAACATTCTCAGCAAACTAACACAGGAACAGAAAACCAAACACCACATGTTCTCACTCATAAGTAGGAGCTGAACAATGAGAACACATGGACACAGGGAGGGGAACATCACGTACCAGGCCCTGTTTGGGGTAGGGGACAAGGGGAGAACATTAGGACAAATACCCAATGCATGTGGGGCTTAAAACCTAGATAATGGGTTGATAGGTGCAGCAAACCACCATGGCACATGTATACCTATGTAAGAAACTGGCATGTTCTGCACATGTATCCCAGAAGTTAAAGTAAAATTAAAAATAATAATAATAATATTGGCTTTACATATCTACATGCTTCTGTGTTGGACGAATACATATTCACAACTGTTATATCCTCTTGTCTAATTGATCTCTTTATGATTATATAACGATCTCCTTTGTCTCTTTTTGTAGTTTTTGTTTTGAAGTCTATTTTTTTCTGACATAAGTATAGCTACTACTGCTCTTTTTTGATTTCCATTCATATGGAATACCTTTTGCTATCCTTTTATTTTCAGTCTATATGTGTCTTTATAGGTGAAGTGCATTTCTTGTAGGCAACAGATGATTCGGTCTTGTTTTTTTCTTCATTTTGTTTTCATTTTTGTTTTAATTCATTCAGCCACTCTGTGTCTTTTGATTCTAGAATTTAGTCCATAGATATTCAATGTCATTATTGAAAAGTAAGGACTTACTCCTGCCATTTTTTACTGGTTTACTGGTTATTTTGTGGTGCTCTCTGTCTTCTTGTTTTCATTCCTGTCTTCCTTTCAGTGAAGATGATTTTCTCTGTTGGTATGTTTTATTCTCTTGCTTTTTATTTTTTGTGTCCACTGTCATATGCTTTTTGAGTTAAGATTACTATGCATGCAAATGCTTTTTGTGTGTCTGAATCTCTCTGTCTCTCACTTTTATTTCTCTCTCTCAAGGTTTATTTAGCTAAATACTACTAATTCTGATTATCTCAGTTTAAATAAAACTCTCATAAGGAAGCCTATTCTGATCCTTTTCTGTCAGCATTAAATGTCTTTTGTAATGTACAC
Source organism: Homo sapiens (assembly GCF_000001405.40). Taxonomy (NCBI): domain Eukaryota; kingdom Metazoa; phylum Chordata; class Mammalia; order Primates; family Hominidae; genus Homo; species Homo sapiens. Next base: position 76,613,482 of record NC_000003.12, read on the forward strand.
CAATAGCTCATAGCACACTCCTCCTCCTTTAGTTATGTACATTATCAATATTCATTTAATTGTAAATACCTGTTTTTGTAGCCAGAGAGCAATCTCCCTAAGTGCAGAGAGAAGACGGTAATGTTCATCATGTTATCTCATATGCCTAGAGTACTGCCTGTCTCCCAGTTAGAGTACAATATGTATTTGTAGAAAGGAGAGGGGCGTGAGTTAAAGATAAAGTGACTAATTTATGCCACCTATCAATAAAGTTCATCTCTTTAAAGGATTTTCTCAGCTTAAGAAGTAGATGTGCTTTATACAAATTGAAAGGTGAAAATAAGCATCTTAAAGCTCACTTTCAGCCATTAGTTACATTAAGAACTTGGATTCATGTCTGAACTAAAAATATACCTAATCAATTAATTTCTTTTTGAAAAATGATAGGATAATATAGGTTTATTGGTTTATTTCCAGTACCCTTATACATTTTTTTTTCATGGGTGTATGCATGCATGCAATGACTAAGCATACAGAATTGCTTGTGAAAATTCTGGCCATTTCTCTAATACTGAATTTATTTCACCTTATACTATGGTGCAGGCAGATGATCATAGATTGTCTTAAAGCCACCACAGCAAATTCTTCTTACTACAATGTAGAGGCAAAGACAAATTCAGAAGCATGAACTATGCATATCAGCCTGAGTTCAAGAAGTTTTACATATAGCAAATACATTTTTAAATCATAAGTGATAAAATTATAAGCTTTCTCTCCCTTCATGTCATAATGGATCTAAATCCCTGTATCTCAGACTACCCACCTTGTCCTTAAAAATGTGATCAATAGAAATAATATCAAATCGAGCACTGGAAAGTCCTTTTCACATGATTTATGATGCTAATAAAAGTGTTTTTAGATAAGAAATATAACGAGAGAGCTTGTTAGTACCTCTCATAATACTTGTTATCATTAACATTTACTCATACCAGCTCCTTCCTGCCTTGCACTACATAGAAGACAAACCATTGTTCTCTGTGAGAGTTTTTTTTTAATTTTTATGAACTACAGGCACAGAAATCAAATTATCATGTTTGCCCACTCTTTCTGCACTGGAAGTTAGGCATATTTATTAGCTACAACACAGCATTTCAAGTTGGCATTTAGATCATTTCAATAACTAATGTTTGTTTTATCAACAATGGTTTAATTTGACATGCTGCATAATGCATGCGCAATAACAGTGCCATGTTTGATGGATAAATGCCTAGGAAAAAAATTCAAATTGGCTAATAAATAAAATTGAATTTCAGGACCCCATTTATTTTAAGGAAACTTGTCACGGGTTATTAACTGTACTAAATAACGGCTTGTTTATGTCGGTGCATAAATAATTTGAAACAAATCGGGGTGACATAGGAACTATCATACTTCACTTACTGGTAAATGCAAGTGAAAGCAAGATTCCTTCACTCCTGATCACCAGAGCTGGTATTTTTCAGAAATGATTTCTACTTGTTGACAAGATTAGGACCAAAACTTAAACAAGCTTTCATACTTTTAATATAAATCTATTATTTAGACATCCGGAATTTCTACCAATAGGAAATTAAACTGAAATTCTGACTCTAGACCAATGGTTTTTTGATTTCACTACATACTAAAATTAAGTGGGATAGTTTTTTATGTTATTATAATGCTGATGTTTTGGTTCTCATTCTGGAGATTCTAAATCAATTGGTGTAGATGGTTTATTTATTGCTGCTCTTTTTTATTATTTTGCTTTTGAAAATCAGTTGTATTGTTTGCTTGATTTTTTAACCCACAAGCAATTATAAATGCAAAGCCAGGATTGAGAATTTCTGCTCTAACACAGTGTTCTGGTCACTACTGCACATCAATTCATGGAATTCACTTGGGTAACTGAGATCAAATTGTTTAATAATAATAATCATCCCCTTCAATAAAGAGTTTTCTGAGCAAGCCTTTTTAGTACCATGAAATTCTGGTTCTAAGGGGATTACCAAGATAGTATTTGTTCTAAAGAAGTTTATGTATAGAAACACAAGTGATAATATTGAAAGACAAAATAAGATAATTGCCCCAAGTGAAATGCAAACAGTTTATGAGAGCATATCTAGACATAAGGAAGGGCCAAAAAATAATTTTTGGAATATGTGGAATTCAGTCAGCCTTGCCAATAAATACAGTTACATAGTTTCACCTTGTTAATGCCTTTATACTTCATAATCTCACAATAATTCAGTTAAGCAAACCAAGTATTTTTACTTTATTAATGATAAAAACAATAATTCCATGTGTGCATTCTGTTTTACAGTGTGCAAACAGGTTTAGATATGTCATCACTTTCGAGGCTCACAACATATGGGTATGCAATTCAGTATTCCTATTTTGGGATGAGGAGTCAGAGGCTCAGAATGTAAATGAATTATCCAATTTACAAAGCCAGCAAGTGCCAGAGTTGAGTATAAGATGAGTCCTCCTGAGTCCTACATAGTTCAGACCTTTTTAAGCATTGCAATTTGAAGTTGAGAATTTGCTGAGCTTGGGTTAGATTCCAGGTCTCTTAAAACTGAACTGCTCTCTTAGGATATGCTCTGCCACACAAACACTTAATGTTACATATTTCCAGTAACTATAGCTCAATGCCTTTTTAGAAAAATAACTTTTCAAAAGGTAATTGGAAACTGATACTCTAATGTATTTTTTAAAGCACAATACCAGCAAATTCACTACCTTACCACTTTTATCCAAATCTAACTTTTCTTATTCTTTGTATAAACTATGAAATCATACTTAATACCTAGATCTTGGAAAATTTTAAAAGCTGAGTTAATGTAGAAACTATAAAAGCTCAAGAGAGATAGAAGTCATTGAGTGTTAGCTTTGGATATCTCCCTTCTGATAGTTCAGTTCTGTCCAACAGGTAGGAACACCTTGTGTGATTCATCAGGGGCCACGTGTGGTTGCTCTGTAGCTCTTCATTCTGTGGCTTCCATGATGTGTTATTAGCATTTTTTTTCTGAGATTTCCACTCAGATTTCCACAGAAAAGCTGTTATACTAACAGTTATGACTTATTTCTGCTAAAAGATGCAGGTTAGAAAGCAAAGGCAACTAATTAGAGTGGAGTTCTGAGCTTCCTGTTGTCCTCTCCCAGAGGAGTCACACGAACTGTGCTTACTCCTCCAAACAAAGATATGTAATAACATGTAAGACATATTGCCAACCAAGGAAGCTCTTCTAAGCCTTGAATTTAGAGAGGTTTTTTGTTTGTTTAAGAGACAGGCCCTTGCTATGTTGCCTAGCCTTGAGGGCAATGAATAGTGGCTATTCATAGGTGCAATCATAGTGCACTACAGCTCAAACTCCGGGGCCCAAGTGATCCTCCTGCCTTAGTCTCTCAAGTAGCTGTGACTACAGGCATGTGCCACTGTGTCTAAGTCTAAAGTTCTTATTGTGGCTCAGTCAAATAGGCATGGATGGCCTAGGTCACTGACCTTAGCTACTCAGTCTCCAGTCTCCAACCCTATTCCCAAGAATCAAACCTACACAGTGTGGCCCAGGGCATTGGATATATATATATCCAATATTTAATCTTCAGATATATTCACTATAAGTCACATTGTTAGGATGAACTAACTAGCGTGGTCCAAAGCCCCAGGTATGAAAAGATACTCTTATCAAGCAGGCTATTCTAAGGGCTTAGAGATCATCTCCCCGAAACCTGAAAAGGGCCCATCCTTTCTTTAAATGTGCAGGGTTTGACTAACCCAAGCCTAGTAAGTTAACCCTTTATTGTATATATATATATATATAAGGATTATGACTTGTGATTTGTCTTGAATGGGGAACCCCTGGATTAAAGTTTACTTTCCATTTGCAACTCATTTTTTATCGTATGAAACTTTATAATCTAAACAAAGAATCTTTCTGAAACTTAGTAAGGATTATATCTGTTTGGGTTTTATATTTTTCTATAGATTGGTTTTATTGTTGTTACTGTTACAATGGTATTAAGAGATAGTTCAGTATATCTCATATGATATTGTTAATCTTCATTTATTTTTCATTCAATAATTAGTAGAATTTGGCAATGGAAAAGGATAACTATGAAGACAGCTACTTCATGGACTAGTCGAAAAAGCTAGAGAGTTTTTTTGGTGTGTTCAGCCCTTCTTCTATTCCATTTGGTGAATGATTAAAGACCTATAGACCACCTGTATTAGTCTGTTTTTATGCTGCTATAAAGAAATATCCAAGACTATGCAATTTATAAAGAAAAGAGATGTAACTGATTTACAGTTCTGCATGGCTGGGGAAGCCTCAGGAAACTTTTAGTCATGGTGGAAGGCACTTCACAGTGAGGCAGGAGAGAGAATGAGAGCTTAGCAAAGGAGGAAATGCCCCTTATAAAACCATCACCCCATGATTCAATTACCTCCCACTGGGTAACTCCCACAACATGTGGGAGTTATGGGAACTACAATTCAAGATAAGATTTGGGTGGGGACACAGCCACAGCATATCACCACCGAACTTCCAGGAAGTGTGGCAAAATGACCCTCAAAGACAACTTTAAAGGCTTCCTAGAAGAATAATTATACTTTGTCTCCAGTCACAGCAAAGACTCACAAACCAGAGCCAGGGAGGACTAGCTTCTTTCGACCCCATCTGACTTGCAATCAGCTTGACCCAGCAATAACAATATCTGTCCCTAGAATTTTTTGGAAGAATTAGTGAGGTCATAAATGGAAAAGTATTACCCCATGCTTGGCATGTTGTAAATGCCCATTACATAGAGACTGCTGTTATTTTTACCATTACTGTTGATTATAATAAAGCCTAGTAATTTATAGGTGGTTTTCACAAATACTGTTTCATTAATTGGAGTATTATGACACTTTTCCACACAAAGGAAATTAAAACTAAAAAATTCAGGACATAGGAAATAGGATATATATATATAAATATATATATAATCTCATACATATATCAGCAATTATATATATAATTTTCTCATCTCTCCTTATGCTATAAAATACAAGCAGCTGTTGACATTTTTGACAACTTTAAACACTTTTGTCTGTGACTCTTCAAACTACCTGATAATTCCTTGAACATAATGCTCCAATGGGGGAAAAATAGTGTTTAGCTTTCTCATATGTGTATTCTTTTAAAATATTAGAGCATTTCTCTTGTGTATTAGTTCCTGGCACCTAATATACCTAATACACAAATGTACAATATTACATTTAATCACAATTGACGGATCCTGATAAAAAGTGAATACATGGATACTTTCACTAGATAGCTTTTCCAGTGTAAATAATGTTTCAAATAGCATTCGTTTTTAATTTTACTATGTCACTATATTATTTGAATAGATTGATAGGAGAGCCCACAAGAAAAACTAAAGTGTGTTCACCCCCAGGAGTAATTCAGCACAGAGATTCCCTTAACATCTGTTCCACTAAAAAGAAATAATTTTTAAGGGCCACTTGGAGAGTAAGTAATCATAAACCTCTGAGCATTTAAGTTAAAAGAGAGAGTGAGAGAAAAAGGAAAGAAAAAAATAGGCCGGGCGCGGTGGCTCACGCCTGTAATCCCAGCACTTTGGGAGGCCGAGGCGGGCGGATCACGAGGTCAGGAGATCGAGACCATCCTGGCTAACACGGTGAAACCCCGTCTCTACTAAAAATACAAAAAATTAGCCGGGCGTGGTAGCGGGCGCCTGTAGTCCCAGCTACTTGGGAGGCTGAGGCAGGAGAATGGCGTGAACCCGGGAGGCGGAGCTTGCAGTGAGCCGAGATCGCGCCACTGCACTCCAGCCTGGGCGACAGAGCGAGACTCCGTCTCAAAAAAAAAAAAAGAAAAAAATAGCCTCTAGTCTTTCAAATTATCTCTGTGTCTCCTAATGAATTGCCATGGAGCAATTTCTTTTCTTACGGTGAACTTTTAAAAAGATATCGAGTTTATGTTTCTTCTTCATTTTATTCACATTCTGTTCTCCAGTTTGATAGAGCCACTATTTGAGGTCATTCATGAGCACTGCCATATTTGGAGTATTCTTCTCCATACAGTAAGGATATTAAAGTTATTGTCTAACTCCAGCATATTATCATTACAAAGTAGCACACACCATTAGAGAGAGACTCAGTGAAGGACATTATCATTATGTATTAGCACACATCATTAGACAGGAGTTTCAACTGCAAAACCTACTGAGGAGGATAGATTCATAACATCACAGCCCTCCTGGGTAATATAACTCAAAACTGTTAAATCATTCAGCCGAGGTGAGCTCGGAACCCATGATTGGCACCTAACATCACTTTGAGCTTTCAGTGGCTATTTACTTTGTGAGAAACAGTTCTTTTTCCTGATTTGGAAGAAAGTCTTAAGGAAGCACCCAAGGAATTTTATCTTAATTCAGCCCAGGTAAAACTCATTACAAATTAATAATAATAAAAAATAATTATAATAATTAACAGTGGTGCTTGGCTTAAGGCTTGGAAATATAAAACATATGTCTAGTTGGGAAATTGAACATTTAAATATTTTTGTACCAGTAGATACAGGGAATTATAAATGATGCTCAGTGAACTTATCTAAATGAAACAAAAGAAATAACCTCATGTTTTCTTTTAAAATCTTAGCATTAAGTAATGTCAAAGTGATGTTTCTTTGTCCCACCAAATGTCAAGGTTATTTGTATATGATATGACTAAATGCCATTTCTCCATGAGGATTTTCTTAATATGCTGTTTATTCTCATGAAACATTAATGTACTCTATGAATATTTGCCTATGAAAAGGAAAAGCTACAAATTTTACAGTTCTCAGATGAAGATTAATCTTGAATGAGATTAACTTGCATCATTTGCATTTTCTATGGATAACGAAAAATCATTCGTAAATAAAAGGTTTATCGTGGAGCAAAAAAAATGGTATGTTCGAGGATGTAACTTTCATCTAAACCGCATTCTAGGAGTTAGTAGTTGCTGTATTTTACATGACTGAGAATATTTTAGCTCCTAATTCAGCATAGAAATATAAAATTAGGGGTAAACCTGATAAAATATATCAATTAATTACCCAATACTAATTTTTATGTGTTTAATATTTGTCTTTTTAAAACTGCTCGGTCACCAATAGATACAAAGTTATGAAATAATACATATAGTTTATATGTACATATCTGTATAGCTATTTCTATACATTATGGCCAGTGGCAAAAATTTATGGGTTCTTAACTAGCTTATAAATACTAAAGCTTAGGGACCAGTTCCAATTCTATATTATAAGTAAGAAATAACAAAACGCCGGTCTTGGGTACATACTAACAGTCAAAATAAAATACTCTCTAACTATTGGAGTAGTATGCACGTGCTACCGAGGCAACTGCTAAACCTAAATGGTTTCATGTTTTGTTTTTAATTTTAGATGTATAAAGAAATATCCAAATCATTAGAAACATCATGTATAGGAATGAACAGGAGAAAGTCACTTATGTGCACGGCTGACTCTGTTGCGATTTTCAGTCCTTGAAAGGTCACTGAGAGGGGAAGGGGACATACAAAAGTTTTAATACTCATTTCACCAGAAGGAAACCTCCTAAACACATACACATATCTTTTTTAGTTTATGCTTTTTTTTTTTTTCAGGCAAGGGAATAATTCCAGCTGATCATTTATTCTTTATTAAATGGTTGTATGTTACAGATTTGTGTGGCATGTCATTTTATTGCTTTACTTACAGTGCATTGTGGGATTTTACTGTTTGTAAATAAGTATTGCTGTGTGTACTCATATCCTTTTTGGCAGATAGAAGATTCTTACACGCTTTGGTCTGTTAAGATCTCAGAAGGCTATACATTCAGTGCATAACTGCATTCTGCTTTGCATTATGTGCTGAAAATGGTTTTACCCAAATCTCTGCAAATACCACATCTTAAAAGGCTGGTAAAGCCAAGAATGGTGAATAGCTCTGATGATTCCAAGTCCTTTGAACATCTTTATGACCTATTAAGAACTACTGGATATTGAATTCAAATCCTAACTTCACCATCTACCAAGTGTGAAAACTTGGACAAATTCTTAACTTTTCTGAACCCTGAGTTCCTCATCTGTAAATGAAAATAATAATAGCACCCACTTCATATGTGTTACTGTGAGGTTTAAATGAGTTAATATTTGTTAACCACTTAGAAAATAGTTCCTGAAAAATAGGTACCACATAAGTACTTGTTACTGCTATTAGTTTTAATTCAGGGAGATTTTAAAAATAAAATTATTTTAAATCTAGTTTATGAAATTAAACTGTACACAAATACAGACTCCACAGTATGGCAGTAATGCATAATAAAATGCCAAACAAAAATTTTAATTATGATGAACTGCTTGTCAAATGATTAACTATACAAATATCTCAGTGACACCATTGTAAGCCGTGTGGTTCATATATGCTTTCTTGTTTGGGTTTGACCTCTCCCATTCCTTCTTTATTATACCACTTATTCAAACCATCCCTTAGTCTCCTTAAGACCCTATACTGACCTTGTATCCTTCTTTGTGAATAAGATCTATTCTTGTGGCTCATGTGTGTAATCCCAGTACCTTGGGAGGCTGAGGCAGGAGGACTGATTGGGCTCTAGAGTTTGCGACTAGCCTGGACAACATAGCAAGACCTCATATCTACTAAAAAAAAGAAAGGAAGGAAGGAAGGAAGGAAGGAAGGAAGGAAGGAAGGAAGGAAGAAAGAAAGAAAGAAAGAAAGAAAGAAAGAAAGAAAGAAAGAAAGAAAGAAAGAAAGAAAGAAAGAAAGAAAGAAAACATAGCCAGGTGTAGTGGTGCATACCTGTAGTCCCAGCTACTTGGGAGGCTAAGGTGGGAGGATTGCTTGAGCCCAGGAGTTCAAGGATAGCATGAGCCATGATCATGCCACTGCCCTCCAGCTGGAGCAAAAGAGCAAGACCCTGTCTCAAAAATGAAAAATTTATTCTATCTTATTGTTCTATTTAACAGTCCCATCCCCTATCACCCATCACTTTATCTACAACAGGAGTCATTCAAAAAACTAAAGAGCCAGGTAGTTCAAAATGCAAGATTCTTCATTGCCTGGTCCAAATCTGTCTTTCCAGTTTCAATCCCCATCATTTCCTTAATGCCTGCTCTGCCCCAGTCATTGACCACCAGGATCTCCCCAAATGTGCTGTTCTCTTTCCAAACCTCTGAGAACTTGCACATATTGTTTCTTTGCCTACAATCTCTCTCCTATCCACTTGTCAAGCTTCTATGTATACTTTATTACTTGGCTTACAATGTGGTTTCTATTCCCAAAAGAGTGCCAAGAAACTACATATGTTGCAGGCACCTGTCAATAAAGAAAATCCTACCATTGAATCCAAGTCAGGCGCTGAGGTCCTGATATCCAGTGACAGGCTTCCCCGATGTGAGAGCCTTCCTCCGCTGTGTATTTCAGCCATGCTCCACAGATCTTGCAATCTTACCCTTTCTCTCTCACTCCTCTGGTACTATCTACTCTCTTCACTCAAGAACCAGTGAAGCATCAATGCATGTACTATCTGAAATCTTTCAGGCGTAAAAGTAGTTATGGCTTTTTCTACTGTGCTCCCATACACTTGCGACTGAATAACAAAACTTTAGGCTTAAATACTTTTTCAGTATGTACATTGACTAGAGCATTTTTATGCACATTTGGGGTGTACTGAGGGACACAAAATGCTAGAGAAACACTACAGAAATAACTTTTTTCCAGGTAGCTAAGAACAGAAGAGCTATCTTGCCAATGTGCTCGGGTTTATTTTTGTCTGCTGAGGCATTGGTGCACTAGATGGGTTTTTGAGGTTTAATGAGTCTCATTGGTTCTAATTAGAGTAACCTTGGTAGAAACAGATATTATTACTCTGCAAATCATGGCTAAATTGCTGTTAAATAATTTGCATTCTATTACATGCTTTATGTGCTAATACAGACGGAAGCATCCAGGACCAAGTCCTTAAGTATTTACTAATGCATACCAGCAATTTTAGCCTCACGTAATAAGGATTTAAAATGTGTCTGACACATTTTATCCAACCTACACTCTAAAGTATCTTTGCAAGTAATTAGATACGTCATGCACTGCAGCCTTAAACAGGCACAATTTTGTCTATACTTCCAGAACCTACATTATTCTGAAATCTTTAACAACATAAGGTTTAGATACCATTTGCATTGAGTACCCACTAGGTGCCGACTCTTTTAAAGTGCATTTTTAGTTTCATTATCTCAACTTTGTAATGTTGGCATCATTATTCCCATTTTACAGAAGATAAAATTGAAGCAAAGTCAAGTTTAGGGGATTTTCAAGGTTGTACAGTACAACTGGGTGACAAAATTTTTGCTCTTTCAATGATAATGAGGCCTCTGACATCTTCCTTTCTCATAAGACTACATTTAGTATAACTTATATATTTTATCAGTCAACAACTATCTTTTGAGAACTTGTACACCCAGGACTGTGTAATGGGCTGTTGGTTTTATACAGAATTATAAGAATACTCTCTTTCCTTTCTCCATTAAAAAAAAAGCGATTATGTTCTCACCTGAAGAAGATTATGAATACGTGAACATAATTGTGTAAGAATTAACTGCTAATGTATTAATTTCAACCATTACACTCTTTTATAAGTTTTTATTTCACATGTCATAAATTGCAACAAAGAATTTAGGATATAAGGATTGCTTACCTTTACCACACGTTTTTAAATTTAGTCTTAGGGTCAAGAACGGGCAGAACCTGGTAAGTGGTGCTTGTTTTCTCAGCTGAGTCCCTTCCGGGTCAAAGTTATGTTTGGGTGAATCTGATTGGTAGCCTCAAGTCACATGAGTATGTTTTCCTCTTCAAGGTGCTTATAGAGCCAGGCTTTCTCTTTTATATTAATTCATAACTCTTGAAATTTCCCCCCAAGAAATGGTATTTCTCATTGCCCAGAAAGCATCACAAATGTACATTAGAATGTCTTTATAGAGGCCGGGCGCGGTGGGCTCACACCTGTAATCCCAGAACTTTGGAAAGCCGAGGCGGGCGGATCGCCTGAGGTTAGGAGTTTGCCACCAGCCTGGCCAACGTGGTGAAACCCCGTCTCTACTAAAAATACAAAAAATTAGCCGGGCATGGTGGCATCCCTGTAATCCCAGCTGCTCAGGAGGCTGAGGGAGGAGAATCGCTTGCACCTGGGAGGCTGAGCTTGCAGTGAACTGAGATCGCGCTATTCTTTCCAGCCTGAGTGACAGAGTGAGACTCCGTCTCAAAAAAAAAAAAAAAAAAAAAAAAAAAAAAAAAAAAAAGAATATCCTTATAGAAAACTGTGATATCTGGAAAATGAATTTTGAAAAATACTTGTCTACTAGTCCAACCACCAAGATGACTAAATAAATAGTAAGTCTTATAAATTGTAATATTTGGGGGTTTAGCCATGCGGTTCTAAATCATTTCTAATGCTATAGCTTCTAATCACAAGTTTGCATTTATCTTTTCCCGTCATAATCCATTTAATGCAGTTGCCCTAATCCATCTCCTCGCCTCATTTTTTTCTAGTAAAATAACAGAACTTAGATCTATCAATTTTGTACACTGATTTGTCCCCATGATGCCAAAAAGGTGGATGTAAAATACTAATTTAATAAAATTCCCTGTTATATAGCAGAATTTAATCTTTAGCCAAAGAAATCATAAATCTCTCAAGCCAGCTTGTGTGTGGAAACCACGGCTTTTTTTCATTTTCTACTCACCATGTTTATATTAGCTTCTTTTTAAGAAGCCTGTATTGTAAAACATATAACTAAAGACTACATGAAATGTATTAAACAACTTACTCAATATTGTGCGAGTTTCTATTCTAGGCACCAGAGTTACTGCAGCAAACAACACAGCCAGATGTCATTTTTTGTAAAGCATACATGTACTATGGGGGCCAAAAAAATAAGCAAATAATCAAGGAAAATATGTTTTGAATTCGGTGGTATTACGTGCAGCAGGAAAAAAAAAATATCAAAAAGTTTGGAAAATGCAAGAAGAGGGAGCTTTAAGTAGGGTGGTTAGAGAAGGCTAAAAAAGGAAGTAAAGGAGGAAGTTACGTGGATCTATGAGAAAAAGATATTCCTGGCAGAGCAAAAGCTCCAGAACTTCAATATGCTTGACATGTTTGAGGGACAGCAAAGGAATCAGTACAGCTGGCAAATAAAAGGCATATTAGCAGGAAGCGCAACGTTGTGGGGGAAAAGGGAGTCGTATCATACAGGACTTGTAAGCCAATATACAACCTTTGGTTCTTACTCAGGGAAATGGGAAACCACTGAGAGATTTTAACAGATGAAAATGTGATTTTTTTTTCGAAGGATTCTATTGCCTTTGGTGTGTTAAAAAGAGTGAAGGGTAAGGGCAAAGGTCAAAGCAGGCAACTGATCCAGTGACATGATCCAGGTGAAAGTTAGATTATTGCAATAGCCCAGTGTGGGAGTAGCAGAGATAGTGAGAGGTACTTTGCATCAGCTTGTATTCTCAGATTGTGTCAACAAAGTTTGGATGATAGATCTAATAGATCCAGAAGCAGAAGACTTTAAGAATAAGATAATTCCAAAGTTTTTGTTTCAGCAACTGAAAGGATGGGGTCACCATGTATTGAAATGGAAAACACTGTCATAAAATGGTTTTGAGGGAGAAGATCAGGAGTCAGGGTTTTAGATGTTAAGATTGTTGTTTTCACTATGTGAAGGTGTAAGCAGAAGTTGTATATATAAATCTGGACTTCTGGGGAGTGGTGTGCGGTAGAGATATAAACTGGGAAGTTTCCAGTATAGCAAACATATCTGGAGGCTGAGCCTGGAGAAGACAATACATAGAGAAGACACAGAGCAAAACAGAGATGAGTTTAGGCTGATGGAAAATAAAGTAGCACCTGCCCAAATGAGATTGCTGAGAAGGGATCAAAAAAGTACCAAGAAAATGAGGAGAGATAAAGAAGTATTTTGTGGAAGGAGTGATCAAACATGTCTAATGTTGCTGCTAGGTCAATGACATGATACATAGCATGTATAGTTTAAATAATTACAGTGATAACAGCAATAAAGCCAACATCTCTATCCATTATCAGCTTAGGAAATAGTGTATTCTCTTTCTTAACTTATTGTCATTTAGAATCTTTTATCTTTTTTTTTTTCTTTTGAGACGGAGTCTCACTCTGTCGCCCAGGCTGGAGTGCAGTGGCGTGATCTCTGCTCACTGCAAGTTCCGCCTCCCGGGTTCACGTCATTCTCCTGCCTCAGCCTCCCGAGTAGCTGGGACTACAGGCGCCACCACCACACCCAGCTAATTTTTTGTATTTTAGTGGAGACGAAGTTTCACCATTTTCGCCAGGATGGTCTCAATCTCCTGACCTTGTGGTCCGCCCGCCTCGGCCTCCCAAAGTGCTGGGATTACAGGCGTGAGCCACCATGCCCAGCCCTGTCATTTAGATTCTTAAGGGACAATCTAATATGCCTCTATTCAAGGAGATGAAAGGGCTAAAATAACTTGTAGAGGTAGTGGATATATTTCTTGATGTGACAGTTACCCATTATATCAGTGCAAAATATTTCTCATACTTTCCAAGTTTAACATGCATAGATAAGCACAGTTTGGTTGTTACTTCCTTCACCTTACTTAGTTTGCATTCTTCTTTTGAATTAATGGACTCTCTTATGGGGCTTAATTTTACTCTCTCTACACTGTAACCTCACCCTCTACATTGGAGCTTCAGTCATTGAAGTATGAAATCTTCATTTGAGCTTTGTAGTTCACCTCAAAGAGCAAATCTAAATGGGTTGTGTCTAACGGTTCCAGAGAGAGCCAGAGAATCCCGCATATTCATGATGTAAGGGATAAAGATAACTGTTTAGCTGTGCCCCCAGATAGGCATATTGTTCGCGTATGGAAGCAACTGGCTTTAGCATGCAGATGATGGCTGCTAAGGAATGTCTCACATCAACTGTCATATCCCAGCAGTACAAATTTATAAGATGAAACAACTCTCTAATCCCTTAAACTGTTAATACATAGCTAAGAATCCTTGTGCATAAATAATAAAATTTACATTTACTAAGCTTCAATTTCTTTGAAAGTCTGTTTTATTTGATTTTTCAGAAAGCAATAAGGAAAAAAAGTGCAATGAACACTGAGAGGATGTGTTTGGAAGGGAAGAGGAATGTAATAGGAGTTCAATGTATAAATGAAGTGCATCTCGGGAAAGCTCACTTGTCTGCCTGTATTAATTATTTCTGCAGTGGGAGTGTAGCAAATGATGTCTCTGAACATGAAATTAATGCTTGTGTGTTTTAAGGGATTTTTTTCTTGTTTAATATTTTCCTATGTATGTGAATTTTGGCCATAATCCTAAAACTAAGTCTAGAAACAAATGAATACCCAAAAATGGCAGGAATGGTTGATGACTATAAATTAGTTACTTTGAATATATTATAACAAGAGTAGTTTTAAGTCCTTTGGCTAAGGAAAAAAGGTATATTAGGTGACTTAAGTCATAAAAAAATAAAGCTTTTGTTTTGAGTTCTCATGCCAGAATGGTTTCTAAGCTTTAAATACATCTAAGTAGAAAGTAGAATAAGTGTGCCTGCTACTTGATTTTTATTCACTAGAGATATCTTTTGTCCTTTTTCAGTTCCCACTTAATACTTGTCGACTGCTAAGATAAAAACAACGTGTGTTTTTTTCTTTCTTTTTTTTATTGAGACAGGATCTCACTCTGCCACCCAGGCTGGAGTACAGTGGCACGATCACAGCTTACCGCAACCCCAAACTCCGCAACCCCAAACTCCTAGGCTCAAGTGACCCTCACACTACAGCCTCCAGAGTAGCTGGGACTACAGTCACTCGCTATCCACTAATTTTTAGGTTTTTTTTTTTTTTTTTAGAGATGGGGTCTTGCTATGTTGTCCAGGCTTGTCCTAAACTCCTGGGCTCAAAGAATCACCTTCAGCTCCCAAACTGCTGAGATTAAAGGTGTGAAAATTCAAATTTCAAGAAGCAAATCCAGTCTTACCTACTATCTCATTTCATGCCTCTCTGAAAAGGAAACTTTTTTTTCCTCACTGGTCTAAAAAGTTGTATCTAATGTTATCTGATATGCTTCTCTTTAAACAGCTGTGAAAATGTAGTCAAAAGTGATTCTTTTCTTCCAGATGAAATGTATTTGTTTTGTGACTCACATCTATCAATTCTACTAGTTTTGTTTTTGCCATTGTTCATCTGTTTCAGTTTTCCAATTTGTAGTCTCACAGAATTTCCTCCATAAATAAAAGACAGGGCAATGTATAGTTTAAGAGTTTTTGAAATATAGTCAATTATGTATCTAACAAACATAATGTAAGTTGTTGAGTAGAAGTCTATATTCTAGAAGTTGTACGTTGGTACTCATCATTCCAAATATGTTGAAGGTATACTAAGCATAATATAGCGTCACTTTTGTAGAACTGGTGTTGTTGCAATCTTGGCAATTGCACTGACTGTGCCATCTCTCATCCAGGTTCCCTTGAAACCAACATCACACATTTGGAAAAGGGCTGAAACTGAGAAAAAGTAACTAGATTCTCAAAACTAGCATATCTGGTTGTGCTCAATGACACAAATGGTTCAAAAAAACACTTGGATGTAAGGAGGGTGAGAGTAAATCCACCCAAAATCCACACTGTTCTTCTTCAAAGCAACCAAAATATAGTAACAATTTTCTTTATTGTGTACAACTAATTTTTTTTCCAACTGCATTAGTCAGGGTTCTCTAGAGGGACAGAACTAATAGATGTCTACATTAAGAGGAGTTTATTAAGGAGTGTTGATTCACATAATCACAAGATGGGGTCCCACAATAGGCCCTCTGCAAGCTGAGGAGCAAAGAAGCCAGTCCAAGTTCCAAAGCTGAAGAACTTGGAGTCCAATATCTGAGGACAGGAAGCATCCTGCATGCAGAAAGATGCAGGCCAAAAGACTAAACCCGTCTAGTCTTTCCATGTTCTTCTGCCTGCTTTTATTCTGGCCATGCTGGCAGTTGATTCGATGATGCCCATCTAGATTGAGGGTGAATCTGCCTTTCCCATCCACTGACTCAAATGTTAAACCCCTTTGACAGCATCCTCACAGACACGCCCAGAAACAATACGTTGCACCCTTCAATCCAATCAAATTGACACTCAATATTAACCATCACACCAGTCTTTAGTAAATTTTGAATAAGTACATCTTTAGAGAATAAATGTATTATCAGCAAACTTGCTTAGTAATATAATCTAAGTGAAAACAGCCCATTTGCTGTCTATGCAAGTACATCATCAACACCCCTTTCCAAACAACTTACCATACTTTTCTGAGAATTCTGGAGGTTGCCAATGCCATGATGACATGCTTGCTGTGCCTCCATTCTGTGTTTCCTCACCTTTCTCCATCTCTTTTGACATAGAATCAGGTGGCACCCGTTCCCTGAGTAGTTGTTTTTTGCTGCTGCCTCCCCGCTTGGCTGACTTTGGTTTGCATTCTTCTTCTAGTACAGCAGCTCCTCAAATAATGTCATTTTGTTATAATGTTGATGAGAGAAAACATTGATTACTGGCTAGGGCCATAGTCTGTGTAGAGTTTGCATGTTCTCTCTATGTCGGCTGGGTTTCCTTCCACATCACAAAGATGTGCATGTTAGGTATCTACGTCGTTCATGTCTGCATGAGTGTGGGTGTGTGTGAGCGTGCCCTGCAGTGGGGTGGTGTCCTGTCCAGGGTTGGTTCCTGCCCTGAGCTTGTGCCCTGAGATGGCTCTGGCCACTCAGGAACTTGAACTGGAATAAGCAAGTAAATAATTGTGCCACTTGTATTTGCTAATCTCTCTTAAATGTATGTATAGCTCACATTTATTTCAATGTTTAATATTAGACATGTTTTGGTCTTTATTTAGAAGTTTGTGAAATTTATGTGACCAGAAATATGCTGCAGGAACTTAACTCCTATTTATATCAATTACCGTATGGTAAAAATTGGTTTCAGTATACATTGTTTCATTTAAGGTAGAAGTTTCTAAGAACCTATGGATGATGTTAGGTGAAAACTTACTGTATCATGCAGAGATTTTAAGCTAAGCCACCTGAGTGGTGAATGGAGAAATTGACAAAGATTAAAAAATTTGAAGTGCTTGTTAAAAATGACTCCAGGTGTGTAAGATCAATATCTTTTAAAAAATAAATGTTTTTTTAAAAACACAGATAATCTGAAGATAGAATATCTGCAGCTAAATCTACCTCTCTATTATGTATTTCTTAAACCGTGGTTATCCTAAAACTGAATCCTAAAATTAAATTCAGTAACTTTGTACAAGAGGTGCAAAGAAGGGGAAAATGGGACAAATCTGGAACACATTTCTCTTCGATGTCTAAATTCACATCCTGAATTTAAAGTCAGAAAGTAACCATCCAGAGTGCATGTGTGCTGGGCTGAATGTGCGAGAATTTAGCTGTATCTTTCAGCAAAGAGTTAATGGTATCCATTATGACTTTAATATCTAAACCTCTTTTATTTCCAGAATTATTGGAAAATAAGGTAAAATAATAAATATAATTGAGAAAAAGGCAGGCTATAGTACATTTTATGATATTTAAAGGAAATATTAAATCTAATTTTAATTTTATTCAGTGGAAAAATGCTAATATTAAAATGAATATCTTTCAGAATCCAAGTTACAGAACAGTAGTTTATGTAACAATGCTCAGTTTAGGTTAGAAACAATCTTGCTATATTTTGGGAAAAAAATCTTGTCATCTTTTGTTGGCGTTAAAATGCGGGAGCCTCTGGTAAAGATTCCCTTGCTTGGACAATAATGAAAAGGTTCCCATTCTCTAGTGTACGGGTAGAAAAAAAAAAGTAAGTATTTTGCAGCCCAAGGGCATAGGGCATGGCACAATAAGCACACAGCATTTGAGATGGATCAAAGAGGGTATTATTCAAGTTCTGAATCTGGGAAAAAAAGAAAAAGAAAAGCAGAAAATATGCCTTCATTGTAAACATAAGATCGTAAGCCTGGATCCCTATGAAATCAGGACTGGTTTGGAAAGGCATATTTTAAAAAGAAAATGGAAAAAATCCTTTTGCATAGAGTTAGAGCATGGTCAGGGTGTCAGATGTCTCTTCTTAATGGCAACTGGCTATAGGGCATTGGAAAAACCACAATTATTGTTAAACCTGGCTTCTTGGTCGGTTGATTAGCAATCCCACCTCCCTAGAATGAAGAGGAGGAGTAGATAAGTAACTTTAAGTACTGGCGGATGTGTACAGATGATGAGAAATAGCTGTTAGCCAACCAGCCAGCCAGGAAAGAAAGAATGTTCACTCTCTCTGCAGTAACAAGCAGGTTTGGATTAAAATAATAAGGCATTACTTCAGCAAATACCAACATATCATTATCTGGAAATAGTTTAGCAAACTACTGAATAAAAGTCTGTTTCTTCATGTATTAATTCATTCATTTATTTGACACATCCTAATAGTGAGTTGATGTGAGACTCTGATATTGTACCGCCTTTCTCTGCCCTAGGAGTTGAAATCATTCAGCAGGCTTAGCAAAGAAACGTAAAGTGGGACTGTGAGTTATAAACATGAATTGTCACTAGCTTGCAGGGAAACATTGGAGAAGTCACTTAACTTCAGTAGAATCCTATAATGTCCTCATCTGTAAATGAGGCTACCCATAAGTTTTCACTGAGCACTTGGCAAATAGACCTTGGGAAGGAAATGATAGATTTCGTTCCTTTGTCACAGCTGAGCTGTCACACACCCTTGCTTGCTTCTGTGCATTAGCCTGTTTAAGTACATCAAGGAAGGGTCTCAAGCCTTACCTGTTAATGCATTTATCTGGCATTAGGGGCTACCTGAGTGTAATGAATGGTGTCTAAAGAAGGTTGCCTCATTGTGAGGTAAGTTAGAGCACAATTCTTACCAAATGTCATAGTAGTAAAGTCATTAAATTTGTAAAACAATAGAAAATCATCAAAGAAAGGAAAAGTAGAAGCTGGAAATGATAAATCAAGAAAAGATTCATACTGTCACATTAAGAATATCTTATCAATATGCGATCTAGATCATTTAAATCATTTTAATTTACATAGTATACTAACTAGAAATAAATCACAAGGGTAGATTTCTCATTTAACGAATTTCAAAAACATAAGTAATATGTACTAAAAAGTCATCCAATAAGTCCTCTACATTGGGATGTCTAATTTTTTGTGAGGAAAACATAACCAACACATTAGAATGATCCATCTCCTCATATATTATGCTAAATTGCTGGAGGATCCATTGCTGTCACGATAACAATACAATGAAAAATGTGTTAATCAAATATCTAGTTAAATAGATTGTGGAAAATACATTTTTTATTCTGCTTGCTGAAAGGACAAAGAAAAATGCATTATAGCATTGCGCCTTTCAGATGAGTATTACTTGATTAGCCTACAGGGAAAGATGTCACAACATGTTTACAGGATTATTGTAATTCTAATTAAACCCATACTTTCAAAGTAAGAATTGCAATGGGAATATATAGCTTGAAATTACTAAGAAGAGAATTTTTAAATGTGTCAATACCAGGTACTGCTTTTAATAGTATTTATTATATCAAAATTTAAAAGAAAGATGATTTATAAAACAGGCTGTTTTGAGCTCTAAGAATCATAGCAATAAAAACAAATATTTTCTTATTTATTTATCTCCCCACCCCCGCACATGAAATCAGGCAAGCAAGTACTTGAGAGCCATAGCTGGTAGCTGCAGAAGATCCCCTGATATTTGTGAATGTATTGTGAGTCAAGGTCAAAAGAGTCACTTTTATTTTGGGGTAAAATGTGGAGAGGAAATGAGTGGAAAATGAATGAAAGCAAAATGTCTATTGGAAAGATCTCATCCACATTCTCATCATTCACAAAAAGAAAAAGACACGAAGGAGAAAGAAGATGAGAAAGGTAAGCTCTCCTAGAGTTTTAAAAGTCTTTGTTGAAAACACCAACCAAATAAGCAAATAGTGACCTGGGAACATGGCCTGGTTGAATTCACTACACCAAGAAATGGTTTCCCAAGCACTTTCTTCCATGGAATGTAGGGAAATAGTCTACGCCAGGCATGTCCTAAATGCTTTATGTGGATTAATCTGCACAACAATTCTATGACGTAGATACAATTATTATCCCCACTTTATAGATGAGGAATTAAGGCAGAGAATGCTTATGTAATTTAATCAAGAACAACCAGCTAATAAGTAGCAGAGCTGGGATTTGCACTGGGTGCCCACAGCCTCAGCTTCTAACTACTATGCCTCACTGATAACCCCAACAAGCGTTACTGACTGAGAGTCAACTCATCACTGGTTGCCTACAATTGATGCATTTGTGTGCAACATTGGCCTTGCAAAATCATTTTTAAATGAGTCATTAATTTAAAAGATAATGTAATGGAAAGAATACTGTATTCATTTGCTAACATCACAATTATGCTAATCACAAAATACCACAGATTGGATGGCTTAAACAACAGAAATTTATTTTCTCACAGTTCAGCAAGCTAGCGAGCAAAAAATCAAGGTTGAATTTCTTTGCGGCTTTTCTCCTTGGCTTGCAGATAGCTGCCTTCTCACTGTGTCCTCACATGGTCTTCCTTCTGTGCTCCTGCATCCCTGGTTTCACTTTTGTGGGTCTGAATTTCCTCTTCTTAAAAGGACATCAGGCTGGCACAGTGGCTTATGCCTGTAATCCCAGCACTTTGGGAAGCCGAGGCAGGCAGATCACTTGAGGTCAGGAGTTCCAGACCAGCCTGGCCAACATGGTGAAACCCCGTCTCTACTAAAACAACAAAAATTAGCCAGGTGTGGTGGCGTGTACCTGTAATCCCAGCTACTCAGGAGGCTGAGGCAGGAGAATCGCTTGAACCTGGGAGGCAGGGGTTGCAGTGAGCCGAGATCGCGCCACTGCACTCCAGCCTGGGCAACAAAGTGAGACTTCGTCTCAAAGAGAAAAAAAAAAAAAGGACATCAGTCAGATTGAATTAAGGACCACTCTAATGGCCTCATTTTTGATTAATCACCTCTTCAAAGGCTCTATCTCCAAACACAGTCACACTTAAAAGTGCTAGAGGTTAGGGCTTCAACAAAAGAAATTGCAAGGCACACACTTCATCCTATAACATAGAAGCCCCCAACCCCAGAGCACCAGACTGATACCAGTAAGTGGCCTGTTAGAACCTGGCCACGCAGCAGGAGGTGAGCAGCAGGAGGTGCGCAGCAGGCCCACAAGCATTACCTCCAGAGCTCTGCCTCCTGCCAGATCAGTGGCGGCATTGGATTCTCATAGGAGTGTGAACCCTATTGTGAATTGCGCATGCAAGGGATCTAGGTTGCACACTCCTTATGACAATATAATGCCTGATGATCTGATGATCTGAGGTGGAACAGTTTCATCCTGAAACCATCTGCTCCCAACCCACTGTGGAAAAACTGTCTTCCATGAAATCTGTCCCTAGCGCCAAAATGTCGGGGACCGCTGCTATTACAAATACTAATATCGGTGTTGTTATTGGAGTTCTTACTTGGGTTTTGCTGCCGTATGACTTAGACTAAGTCATTTCCTCTCTTTTGAAGGGTACCTGCTGCCTAAACACTGATGCTGTCTGGCTCTTGACTGAGTTTACATCTTCAGCTTCCCTAATTCTGTGAATTATGCTATCATCTTCGTATGTACATACACATAGATAAGGCTTTTTTGCCTAAGGTAGCTAGAGATTTTGTTGCATAAAACTCACAACTTCTAATTAGAACGCTGACTTTTGCTTATAGCTTTGCTGGGGTTTTGATATACTCTGGTCTATCCAGTCTGTAAAATGGAGTAAATAATGCCTATGTCATAGGAATGCCGGAAGAACTGAATGACATATTGTACGTAAATGGCTGAGTGCAATGTCTGAAAAGCAGGAGGTACTTTGCAAATGTTCATTTTCTGTTTCTTACTCACCAGCTCTACCAGCTTTCATGCTTACTCTTTCATTACCTTTGAACTTCCCCTCTATGTCAGCATTTGTCTCACATACTCTTGGCCAAGCATCATAAAAGCTACTTTTCATCTTCTATATGATAGAGATTTTCAAAACCTCCAATGCGAGTGCAGACACTTCCTCACGAGCTCAAAAACAGGGAGATTCATGATTCAACTTGGCTTTCAAAAATGTTCAAGTTTTAGAATTTAACAGAATTGTTTATTGTAGCCAATGTTTTCCTAGAACACTGACTTTGGCTTAGAAAACTTCTTCAGAACTGAGCAGAGGAGGCAAGGCCCTGGGGCTGCTCTGGACCACACAAAGTTGGACAATTAGCAGAGCATCAGCCCAGCCTGCTAGCCTGACTGCTGACAACCAACAGCAACTGTGAGGATTATGTTTTTGTGTTGATGATTTGTGTTGATTCAGGTTACATTTGAGACTTAATTATCTACTTAATCATTTGGACATATTTCATAAAATAATAGTCACATGATACTATTTCATCATAAAAATAATGATTATACATAATATTATGTATTTATTTCCATCACTTATCCTCATTCTCTCCTACTAAACGTTAGAAATATTGCATAAATTCCAAAGGAGTAATGACATTGAGACAAGAAAAATTGATGAGTGTTATTTTCAGATATAGAGGAGGCAATGTAGGTTGAATCTCTTTGGTTTAAAAGCAAGTGATAAGAATCTGTTGTTTATGTCATGTGCTGGTGAATAATATTGACATCTGCCTGTCATCTTTAGCTGTAAACTACCTTTAGATGAAGTTGCAGTTAGTGATAATTAGACAATGTCATGGGTTCCCCAAGCCCCCCAAATTAAAGGGCATTTATTCAAGAGAAGCTCACGGAACCATAGCTGAGGCAGAGTTTTTCAAGAAAGATGGTTTCCAGCATCACTCAGGAGTAGCATCATCATGAGCTGTGAGTCCCCAGTCCTGACTCCCAGCAATGGTCCAAATTCACTTGATTCCAGAAACCCAGATTCAAAGACACACAGGGTGCAAGTCTTTGGAAGCAACACTTAGGCAGAATTTTGAGCAAAAGTCTAGATAAGTCTCTTATCAAAGTTGGAATGGATTCCTACAGGTGGCTTGTCAAAAGCCACAGTAGGACCCAACCATAGCTCCCAGGACATTAGAGGTGACTTCAGAGTGGTGCTCCTAATGTGTTGTTTATAGATCATAGGAACTGTAACAAAGGCAAGAGACTCAGGTTGCTTCTAGGCAGGGTGACAATAGGTGATTTAATATCTTCCGATGTCCCGTAAAGCAATAGTATTGATATCAGCCAGGGTGAGGGGAAGGAGGACAAAGTGGGTAGAATAGAGTGATGGCAGGCCAACAATGGGGAAAACTGTGGCGGTGAATTCAAGGAGAGTGAGCCCTGATGATTTCCAGGGGAGTTTTGGGACTGAGCAAGCAGCAAGGAATAGATAAGATGCCTTCACAAGAGTGTGAAATAAATGGGGGGCCTTAGGGTGTACATGGTTATTTTAACATCTCCAGCCCAACTTTGGAACCAGTCAGGAGGACTATACAGCAGTGTTCACAACGTTCACAACAGCAGCAGTGGCACAGGGAGAAGCCCTGTGTGTCTGCAACCTAAGAGGCAACCAGCAGGAGAAAGTCTTTAGCAAGAGACAAACCCTGGAGATGTTGAGGTTCACCAGGAGCTTCAAATTTGAGCTGACCTGGACTTAGGAAGGAGGCTAGATGGAAACTTAGGTACTTACATTTTCTGAGAATGGAACCCTTTCAAAGACTTCAAAGACCTGCATTTCTTTCTTTCTTTCTTTATAAAGTTCTAGAAATAAAAAAAAAAATGAAAAAAAAAATACTTGGGGGAAAACACCTTCTTATATCCCACCAAGTGCCTGGGACAGGAGGGGTTGTGTGTATATATGGCGGGGGAGCCAACTGAGTGTGGAGGCTGATTTTTTACATTAAATTTCACTATTTCAGTATAGTTTTTCCCACATGCAAGATTTTTAATTTGAAATAATAACAGACTGCTCTTCCGGGCACATACACTGTTTTATATAACTCAGTGAAAGGTGAGCTTTTGAAATGCTAGAGGAGAGCCATTAAGTAATAGAAGATATTTGGTTATTATAGAAACTATATTATGCATTAGCAAGTTTTCAAAAAGCTTTTTATATTATACCATAAGACTAATCTAGGAAAGTCTAAGCTTTTGTCCTCATAAAAGCAGTGCTGCCAAAATTCATATAATACATGATTTGTGATCCAGCAGATTTACATAGAATCTAAAATAACAGGGTTTCTTGAAATACTATTGAGTCTCTGTATAGTATTATGGAGATATGCATATTAATTGTAAAAAATTTAATTCAGATGAATAGAACTGACTTAATTTGCATTTTCTTATAGTATTAAGTGGCATAAAATCATAGGGTTCCTTTTTGTTTAAAAAATTGCAGTTTATTTTTTAAAGTGTTTGGAAGCATGAAGATACTATCATGTACTTGATCCAGTCTTAAATTTTCAACTTTGTTCAAATGAATCCTGCCTAAATAACCATCTGATGACATTTTTATCCAGTTATAGGAAGCCCTCACATGAATGCATTTGAATGCTTTTGTGACTGTGTGAAATGAATCACTGATGATTCATGAAAGAGACAGTCCTATCATTAGCCTTGATAAGATGGTAATTTGATTATCTGATAGTCCTGTTGCTCATTCCATTTTTTAAACATGAATATTTAAAATATTGGAAGGGCAAAATAATTCCAAAGAAAGAATTGGTGGTCAATAATTCAAAGTAATATATTACTCACAATTCCTGTTAACTCTAGCTCCAGAATATCAAATTAGGCTTTTTTTAAAATTGTTAACATAGAAAAGTAACAAAAATATTTTTGAATAAAAATATTTAAGTTAGATTTGTGTCAATTTTATCTTCAACTATCAGCTCAGGTACATGAATTCAGAATGTTTATTTTTTGAAAATTTTAAATTATTGGGTAAAAGTGGTTTCAATCTATGTTTCCAGAAATAACGTAGCATGTTTAGAATCATCCATAATAGGTATAATGTTGCTATTTTTTAAAAATTCAAAATTATAGTGATGAAGTTCTTTAGCTTATCAGTAGCCTTTTTTGTCTGCTATCATCTTTTAACAGGTATTTGGCTGGTTTTTACTCTGAGTATGTAGGAAAATAATAGAATAAATTATGATTGATTCAGATCATTTCTGTATTTCAGCTTTTGGATATGGCAAACATATTGGTTTCTTTTCTTTAGACTTGAAAGTAGACGATAACTCACAGTTTTAGCGCTCACAGTCACTCCCTGCCTGTCAAGCACTGGGGTGATATCTGTGATGTACTGCATTACGTCCCTCCAGTGTTTTTGCCTTTATTTTGAAGTTTTTGGCACTTCTATTCCAAAGACTCCAACTACACAGACACTCTGCTTGAATTGACACAAAGCCTGAAGCACTAGTTTATCTCACACTGGATTTGTCAAACAAAGGTGATTCACTTTAAATAAAAGTAATATATATGTATCTATACATATGTGCATGTATACATATGTGTATATATGTATACATGTGTATATGTATCTATAAGCATGTATATGTACATATTTACATATACAGACGTGCATATGTATATTTATATGTATGTTTATATGTACATATACATATAGGTATATATGTATGTGTGTATATGTATCTATATGGACATGTATATATGTGTGTGTGTATGTATATGTACATGCATATATACCTGCATATGTTTGTATGTGTGTGTAAATATATATACACATACATACATAAATACATATATAAACATATACGTGTATATATAAGTGTACCTACACTCTCTCACACACACACACACACACACACACATATCCCCAAACTGAGAGAACAAATTAGTACTATGAAACGAGGAGCAGTTTCTCATCAAATAGTTATTGTTCACAAAATGTCTATACCATCATTTCTACTTTCCCTAACAGACCTTTAAAAAGTACACACTTCAATTTTAAGGGGGAAACAAGGCTCAAGAAGAATCATGCAGAGGTTGGTAGAGGGAGAGAATGAATAGTGAAGACATGATTCATCTCACACGAATACATGATGCTCTTCCGCTGACACTCCAACAGAAACCATAGGGCTAAAAGGTAACTTTTTGTCCACTACCACACCACATAAATTGGACGAAAGGGAAAATTTCCCCACACATTTAAAAGCTTCTAGTAGGTCAATTCATAAGAAAAATAATACCACCTAACACATATATAGTGAAGAGCTAATCTAACTTTGAATAAGTCTGTGTCGACTGGATACTATAAAGCTAAAGACTAAAATAACTATGCATAAATACTGTACTCTAGAAAGAAAATCTATTTTTACGGGGTTATGATTCAGCAAGTCTGCAGCTACTTTAGGTTTAGCATTTTTTAACTGCGTTGTACTTTCCGTACTAGACTTGAACAAATAAGTGACTATATACGATACGATGAGAGCCATATTCTTTGCTCAGAGATGTCACATACAAAAGGAAAAGGAGACAGCTAGGATGAACTTTGTGGTGCTGGATTAGAATCAGAGCTATCAGTTTAATTTTTAATATGTAAACAGATAGACATCAAAATAAACATCAGGGCCGGGCGCGGTGGCTCACGCCTGTAATCCCAACACTTTGGGAAGCCTAGGGGAGCGGATTGCCTGAGGTCAGGAGTTTGAGACCAGTCTGACCCACACGGTGAAACCTCGTCTCTACTAAAAATACAAAAATTAGTCAGGCGTGGTGGCAGATGCCTGTAATCCCAGCTACTCGGGAGGCTAAGGCCACAGAATCACTTGAATCTGGGAGGTGGAGGTTGCAGTGAGCCAAGATGGGGCCTTGACACTCCATCCAGCCTGGGCAACGAGTGAAGCTCCGTCTCAAAAATAATAAATAAATAAATAAATAAATAAATAAATAAATATCAATGCGTGTTTGCGTGTGAGTGTGTGTGTGTGTGTGTGTGTGTGTGTGTGTGGCCGGGGGATGTGTTGGCTGAGAGAACACAAAAGCAACTCAACCCAGTAGCAGTGAACATATCCAATACCCAGATCTTGGTGTCTACACATTATTCTTTAATAAAAGGAACCAGGGTTTCTTGGAGAAGTGGTTAATTCTGGAGTTGGAGCAGGCAAATACAGTAAGCCTGCAACATAATGGTGGAAAATAAGGACGTTCTCAAAAAAAAGAATCAAGATAAGTAAAAAGGACAGAAGAGCCAACCTGAGGGAGTGCACAGTGGCCAAAGCCAAGATCATTTGAGCGGCAAAATGAATACTACTGCTGGATTATGCCCATAGAATAAAATACCCATGAGTCTAACATAAATTAAAAGCTGAATAAATATGTAAATGCAGAATAATTAACTCTTCCTTATAAAAATATTCTAATCAATACATATAGAAGAACTGACGAAAATTCAAAATCACCATTGGACATAAGCCACAGTAACTATTGCAGGCAAAATATACTAATCAATGATAAAATCAGTAGCCCACAGTCTGAAGAGAAACAGGATACAGGCATAGTTTTGACATACCACCCCAAGATAAATATCCACTACAAACTGAATAACATTAGCATTACAGGGATGAAATCTAGCCTGTATCACCCTAGCCATGCAATCAAGGTTAAGATCTCCAATTAACCTTGAAATAGCAATATCAGGTACTCTTTGATATGATGCATACAGAACACAATATCACCTCTGTGATATTGTTATCAACAATACACAAACTCAATATAATCATCAGAAAATATCATGTAAATCCAACTTAAGATAAACCCAGATTAAGAGTTCATCCTTGGAATAACTGACCACCTTTTTTCAAAAGTACATAGATCATGAAGGACAAGGAAGGACTGAGGAATTGTGTCAAGTTGGAGGGAGACTGCAGAGGCACAAGAACAGAAGCAATATATGATCCTGAATTCATTCCTGGAATAGAAAAGAGATGTTTGAGAAAAACAAAAAACAAAAAAAACCCACAAAGCTGGTGAACTTCTAATAAGGCCTGTAGCTTACACAAAAGTGATATGGTAATTTTAACTTCTTGGTCTGGATAATTATAGTATGGTATGTAGGTTTTTATTTATTTATTTAATAGAGACAGAGTCCTCTCTATCACCTAGGCTGAGTTCAGTGGCGTGATTATAGCTCACTGCAGCTTTAAACTCCCGGACTTAGGCCATCCTCCCACCTCAGCCTCCCGAGCAGCCAGGACTGTAGGCATGTACCACCATGCCTGGCTAATTTTTTATTTTATTTTATTTTGTAGAGATGGTCTCGAACTCTTGGGCTCAAGTTATCCTCCTGCCTCAGCCTCCCAAAGTGTTGGGAATACAGGCATGAGCCACTGCACTAGCCTGGTTAGTTAAGTTTTTAAAAGCTGACGTAGGGTTAGGTGAACTCCATGTACTATTTTTGCAATTTTTCTATAAGTTTAAAATTATTTCCAAACTAAACATTAAAACAAATTGTTTTAGTCCTATGACAACACCATGAAATACATAGCATCACTCTCTTTTACCAGAGGAGAAAACTGAAGAATAGAGAGGTTAATAAACTTGCCCAAGAGCACCAAGTTAGAACATTCCAGAGCCGACAGTCTGGCTTCAGAGCTCAAGACCTTGACCGCTGTGATTTGATGTGGTCTGAAGCTCAGCTAATTCAGAAATATTTACACTTGCTTTTTTTTTTTTTTTTTTTTTTTTTTTTTGAGACGGAGACTCGCTCTGTCGCCCAGGCTGGAGTGTAATGGCGTGATCTCAATTCACTGCAAATTCTGCCTCCCGGGTTCAAGCCATTCTCCTGCCTCAGCCTCCTGAGTACCTGGGATTACAGGCATGCGCCACCACGCCCTGCCAATTTTGTATTTTTAGTAGACACGGGGTTTCTGCATGTTGGTCAGCCTGGTCTCAAACTCCTGACCTCAGGTGATCTGCCCGCCTCGGCCTCCCAAAGTGCTGGGGTTACAGGTGTGAGCCACCGCGCCCAGCCTACACCTGCTCTTAATTGTGTTTTGACATGCTGGGTACTACAACATTACATAAAACATAACCATGGAAAAAGAAGTGAGTACTTTACAATCTTCAATGATATGTGATACAAGAAAACTTCATTCTTCTGCAGCAATTGTCCACCAAATACGTAAAACCATGAAATATTAAGTGAGCTCTTACAAAATAACTGAAAGTATTTGCATTCAAAAATGAAAATGCGTCCATAAGACTTTTATGCTTCATTACTAAAAAAATCATTAATAATAAAATAAATAATGACAGACAGTTACTAATGCAATAAAGTTGCTAAAATGAGATGGAAAATTACTAATAATGTATTTTATTACATGCAAAGAAGGCTTCAGGTGGCTGTGGTCTGGCTCTGAATTTGTTATAGATAATTAGTAGCTTAGGTCTTTCTGTATTAAAAGAGGTCCTTTTTATCATCGAAAATTGTTTTTAAAACTGGTAATTCTTTTCAGGAATGCAAGAAACTTAAAGCCTTCCCTCATATATAATCAGCAATCAGAAATAACTTAGTAAAAAAATGTAATTGTTGTCTTCTGTTCAATGTATGTAATTATAAGGTTAAGTAGGTTGTGTATAGCAATTCAGCCAAAAGAAGCAATCTCTTAATAAATTAAAAACTAGATAAATGTGAATTATGTGAGTATACATTATGATAGTTACAAAATATGATTGAGATTTAAGTTAAATGAGAGAAGAATATCTCTGAGATTACAGTTTTTTAAACTAGAAAGAAATATCGTTTTTGATGAAGATACGACATCCAAACAAGTAAAATTAGTGCTGATTAGAGAGCATGTATTTAATAAGTATATACTGTCCTGCAATAAATGCAAACCTAAGACTGTTGAAAATGTTAAAATATAAAAGCTTCATCTTACTTAATGTACATTGAAGTCTAACCAGGAAAAAGGAGGATGTGCAAAAGTATGTTTGTGTTATTATTTTGTGCTTTGTTTTAGCTTAATACATAATTTATGTCTACCCCTGTTTCTGCTCTTAAAATACACTATAGGAAAATGCTATCTGGACATTCTTTAAGCCTTTCTGAAAAGTACTTGTAACAGAAGCCTTTCCATTTAATGGTTTAAAAAAAAAGTAAATAGAATTTATGGCTGTCCTGGGCCCAATTAAATTTCCATTCAAACTTGTCCTGACTGGAAAATAAATTGCCTATGGATTCTGAATAAGGGGTTTGCACACTTGGAGAAAAAAAAAAGAGTATATCTGTGGAGAACTATGATTTATGAAAGTATTGATTTCTATGTTAAATAATGAATTAGATGTCCTACCACAATATTATTTATCAAACTTTTTTGTCATATAATTAAATTGTCACATAATGGATTGTACCCATATAGAGTCATTAAATATTAAAAACTACATGTGACACTACTCACCTTATCTTTGGCTAACAACACATTTCCTCTATTCTTTTCTATTAAGGTCAATAAGGGCAGGCACTATCTTCACTATCAATGCTTACAGCCCTTGCTTACCAAGGCTGCAGTAGCCCTGAGCACATTCCCTTAGCTTCTGCAGGAAAACCCTGCCATGACTGAAACTATCCACATTTGAAAAGCAAGTGGTGTTAAAAAAAAATTCATTCAATTCAAGACAACTCAACAAATGAGCATAAGGGGTAAAAAAGCCTATAAACAAACAAAAATATGCTTAGACATATTAAAACGAGATTTGCATTTGACCAGTCTCACCCATGTCAATCACTCCTGATTTTTCCCTGGAACCTCTGCCACAGCTCTATCTTGCGCTGGGCCCTCTGGGTTCTTTTTTTCAGTGTACCTTGCCCTCCATATATTATAACTACAGCCACTCACAAAGCATCACCAGCTACATAAATGTATTTCTGCCTTCTCCTGATCACGAATTCATATTCCCACTTGCACTGACCTTCCCGTAGGACTAACTTGAAGTCTTCACCATAATTAATACTTTTGGTGGCCACATAATCCATCTTCACTCCCTCCCACCCTACAAATGTAATAGATGCTTGTTTCTCTGCATTTGACATTCAAGAGCTGACATTGTTTTGGAAGTGAATTCCTGTATCCCATTAACCACATCCACAGCTGTATAGGGTAGTTTTGTGTGGACTGGGAGATGCTGAGGCAGTTAATAATAATAAAAGCTTACATTAATTGTATGCTTACTATATGTCAGGCATTACGCTAAACTTTTTACATGCATTATCTTAATCATTATGACAACCCTATGAAATGGGCACTCAGAATTTTCTTGTTCCATTTATGAGCAAACTGCCAATTAAAGAGGATTCGTCATATTTTAAGGGCACAATGCCAGGAAATTACAGCAAGAAATCAAAAATCAAATATGTCTGTTTTGGGAATCAATGTGTACAGGCTCTGTGCTCCATTGCTTCTCCATGAATAGGTGAAAAGAAAAACTAAGGTCCACAGGTAATTCTTATTCTGCAATCTTTGTAATGGGTTGGTAATTTATTTTAAAATCCAATAATTCTGTGGTCATGAATTATCTCTGCTGCTATTTTAAGACCTAAAATGTTTCTCTTTTATTAAAGAATGAGGGGATTTCAAAAAGCTTGTACTTCCCATAGTGCTTCTTTGTAGAATCCTATTCTAACCTATTTTATTACAGATGAATTGGAAACAGAAATAAAAATGTTTATCTCCGTAGGCTGTAGAATATATGAACTTAAGTTCTTAGGCCCAGCTGAACTTGTTCTGCCTAAAGAGCAGTACTTTTTGTTCAGAGAACTGAGAGGATATCGAAAATCAGCAAAGCATTTTGGGAAGCTAAACAAGAGCGAAACACAGTCCTTCCCTTTCAGAATTTTTCCAGTCTATATGAATGTAAGTGTTATAAGGAAAGTAATATAGTGAACTCTTAGTCTAGACAGAGAGAGAGAGAATAAGAGAGTGGGCAGGGAGGGAGAGGACTGTTATCTGAGGATTTCAGGACAGACTTCATGGAAGAAGTAGTTTTAGAGAATTTGAAAAAGATGTTGGCGACTAAAGGCATTCAAAAATTTTTGGAGTAAATGAATGGGTAAAAGAATGAGAAAATTTGACTTTATAGATAAGGAAAGAGAGAAATTCAGGAGAGAAAAGAACTTAAAGTCAGAAACAATAAAAGGCTTACAATTACTTTCAACAATTACTACAGTATGTATTTTTTATTCCTTCCTGCATTTATTCACAAGTCATGTATTGTGTACAAGGAGCTGTCCATTGTATAGAGAAGAAAAGCAAAAAAAGACACTGTGTCTTGTTTGTATTTAAGTGGTTTGATTTGAAGAGTATTCAAGGCTTGGGCATAAAAAAGGTGAGTTGGGCTTGGGTCAGAGAGTCTGAAATGCTGGGCTAAGTGTTCGAGACGTGATTCCTCAGGTAATTGAGATTCTTTCACAACTTTAGGAAGAAGAATGAGATGATCAATTTAGAGTCAATTGGTGCTAAGTTTTATATCAGGTTAAAGAGGAGTTGTAAGACTGGAGTTTTCATGGCTTTGGAGATACCCTTGTAGTCCTGGGAAAGCCTGAGTTGCTGAGCTAGGAAGAAGGAGGCTAAGTGGAAAGGATTTCTTGTCTGTGGAAGAGTGACGGGAAAGAAAGCCAACGCCGATGCAGAAAGAAGATGCCGAAAAGAAGGTTACTGAGAGTTTGCTTGTAGAAGTTTCAGATTTTCTGAGGATATGGAATAGATGGGCCATTGATTGGTACAGCTTGTGGCTGAAGCACAGTTGTGAAGTCTAACAATCCCAACAAGAATCTCAACACCTTCCACTCACAAGCTCCAGACCACAGAGCTACTTAATTTCTGTAAGCCTTGTTCTCTCATTCATGAAATGTGAATAATAAATATTATTAACCTCTTGGTAATAGTGCAAAGATTAAATATGAATATGCAATTAAAGTATTTAGCACAATTCCTAACACAGAGTAAACGCTGAAAAAATATTGAAAGTTTCCATGATATACATGTAGACACAGCAATAAGAGTTAAGTTGCTTTGCTGACGTCTTTACCTCTGCCAAGAAGTCACTCTGAAAGTTATGGATGGGCCATAATGATGGTTTGTCTAAGGCACCAAACAGGATGCAATAATCACAGCAATTATTTAAATAGAGATATTTTAATATTTAAAAAACTGTTAACTAGATAAAAAGTTGTTGACTAGGTAACTGAAAAGACATGATAGTAAGAGTACCACAGTTACTATCAGAACTAGCAATTCAGTAAGTCATCACCACCCCTATGGCTGGGGGAACAAAGGGAAGAGGCTGGCCTTATTAAGACTTAGAAGCCTGGAAATGTTAGAACTCAGACCTCAGAAAAGGGCACACGCTTGCCTAGGACTAGAGACTCTGACCTTGAAAAAGGGGAGGGCCCTATGACGCAGAGAACTCAGAGGAGGCTGCGTTGCTCGTCTTGTTCTGGTGTTTCTTAGGTCAGAGTAGGGGTCGCATGGGGTGGGACCCAGATCTCCGTGGTGGGTGAGCTACAAGTCTGGGCTAGTGTCTCTGAGGGGGGCTATGATGTAGCTAGCTCTGCAAGTGCAGGGGGGAAATGCAAACTGGATTCCACTGCTGCTACAAGAAATTTCCGTGGTTCAAATGAAGAAGTTCCCAAGAATTGTACAGACAAAGCCCTTCCTCCTCTAGCCTTTCAGTCTCCCACTAGTGCCCCCTATCGGCAGAGCCTAAGAGATAGGAGAGGACAAAGCAGAAACGGGGCGAGCCGAGCTGCAGTTCAAACGTCACAAAGCCGGATATGGAAAGTTGTGCCTGGGCTGAGAAACACTGGCTTATCATCTGGACAAAAGTAAAAGAAAGAAAAAATTGAAAATGGTTAAAATCTTTTAAAAATCCCAAAATACCTTCTCAATTAAACACAGGAGTTAGGATGAATTTTAATATAACCTTGAGGCAAAAATGGTGAAGCTGTGTATGATTGCGGACTTAATGGCTGTAATTTTTTTTATTAATGCACTGTGCACGTGGACAGGATTTTGGTAATCAAGGTTGTGGGAGGTGAAAAGAATCGCCTGTCTGGGGAGGACATGAGGCAGACTAAAAAGGGAAGAATACAGTAATTGTCAGAGGAAAAAAAAATGGGGGAAAGAAGATCTAGGTAAAAGTTACGTTGAAATATTTTTTCTGTGGGCTGTAAAGTAAATGTGGGGGAAAAACAAAAATCATAAATATTTTCAGAATGAGATTGTGGATGTGTATTTATGAATTTATTTCCTCATGACATTAGCACGAAAGACAGCCTTGGGTTACAGCAAGGCCAGCCATAAAACATACAGTTAAAATTGGGATAGAAATATTAAAACCCTATCTAATTATTTTTAAATTCTCGTATTATTTTTTAATTCTTATATTCTTTTTTTTAAAATTCTCATATTATTGTGATAGCATGTTTTTGGGATATTAGTGTACATTGTTGCTTATTTCTATAACACATAGTAATCTATTAAAATAAATGACCCATTCTACTAAAAATAGTGGAAAACAAAATAAACATGCAATTCAATTAGATGAGGAAAATCTGAAGCATTAAAAATAAATCTTTTGATGCTGTGAAAAAGATATAAATTTTCCTATGAGTCTATAAGCATATAAAAACTTTAAAAATTTGAAGTAAGATGTTAGAAAGTAGGTATATGGAATACTTAAAAGTAAATGACACATAGAAAATTATTTTAAAGTTAAGAAGCCCAAAGAAAAACAAAAACAAAATGCAATGCACGATCTTTGATTCAATCTTGGATCAAAGAACATTGAAGGCTACTACAATGATTATCTAGGGTGGCCTGAATGTGGGCTGTCTATTCAATAATAGCATTATATCAATTCTAAATATTCTGAGTATGATAACTGTATTGTGATTATATAGGAAAATGCTGCCATATTTAGAGTAAACTGACATGATGTTTTCAACATACTATCAAAACTTTCAGAGAATAAGTAAATCATAAATAAATAGATATATGAGGTCAGGTATCAATGATTGACGAAGGGTATATGAGTATCCACTGTACTATTCTTACAATTTCACTTTGGGTTTGAAATATTTCAAAATTTAAAAATTAAAGAATAAATATCTTATAATAAGACTAGTTGATGGCTTTTTAAGAAACTTAAGTGCAATAATTCTCATAATTTGTTTATAAAATTCAAATGTTATGAAATTTAAAATTTTTTATTTGTAAAATTAAAGTTTATATTCTCACTAATCTCATCTTAGTCACAAAATAAGGATGTCGGTGTACAACTATTTTATGCTGCCTCTAAGTCAAATATTTTGTCATCATATGTGAGTTTAATGATGCAGTACGTCAGGAAATGGAATCTCTTTCAGATATTGACTTGATTTCAAATCCAGTATAGTAGGAAGATGATGTGAATGATTAGTATTCTCAGAGGTGGTTTTTTTAATCAGAAAATAACTTTGGAAGCAGAAAAATGTGGCTCAATTTCTAGAAAATATTTTGGGGGTCTTTGTGTCTTAGTTTTGTTTTGTTACAACTCAACCAATTCTAGTTTTTTAAATTATTCTATTATATCATGAATTAGCCATGTTCAGAAACTGCGTTTCTTTGGGCCAGCAGAGTGCTATGTTGTCCTACAGATTAATACTTCACACACTGCTACTCCAGCGATTTCAGAATAAACTTAATTTATTTAATCACCAAGAGAATTATGCTATGGAAGAATACAGCTCCAGACATAACACAAGAGAATGTGTTGATTCAGGTGTTGTTGCTGGTTTTTTTAGAGAATCTGAGTGTCAATATTTCACATTCCTAAAACAATTAACTGGTTTATAACTCAACTTAAAACTCACTCAATCTTTTCTAAAATAAGAAGTTAAAAATTTATTAGGTTTAAAAGGAGGTGAGAATTTTATCCAGTGACCTTCACTGGTCATTCAAAAAAATTTTTATATGGAGAGATGTTTAGAAATACAAGTTTAAAATATAAGTTACTTGAGAAATACTATTGTGTTGACTAATATTGAATCAATGAACTATGCTTGAAAACTATTTTTGAAACATTTACATTAAAAGAACAGTTGGATATGAATAGGTATCAGGGTTAGAAGTCACATTTGTTCTATGGAAGAAAGAACAAAAAAGAAGAGAAAAGGCACGACTCTTATAAAACCATATTAACAAACTGTTTAAAAATCCATGAATAGTAATATTATAGCATTGATGATTAAAACTAGTTTTCAGATCATATATTGTTATTATTACCTTTTGAAGAGTTATTTAAATCGTGAATATTCCTCTGAAGGAATAAAAAGTCTTTTAGGTAGCTATCTTGTATTTAATCTAACATGCCAACAAACGTATTACCCACCATATTTCAACCTTCTCACCCATTCATCCCTTTCCAACACAACCTTATTCCCAGAGAAAGAAACATATTCAAAAAGAAGCTGAGGTAAAACAAAAACTAAAACAAAATAAACAAGCTAGGAATAAAGAGAAAAAAGGAACACAAAAAATAAAAAACTGAAACCAAAGAAAACTCACTAAAAATAAGTGTTGGCTACACGGTACACTAATACAATGACCGCCTGTTTGTACCTCACCTTGTTTAAAGGTAGAACATTGCATCACTTTGGGAGGAGACAGCGTGCCTTCGTTCTTTCCCTTCCTTTCCCTTCCCTTTTCTCAGAGCTAATTACTAGGCTATTTTCTGTGTAGCATTCTCTGGCTTTGCTTTATAGTTTTACCAAATAAGTTTCTTAATACTGAGTGCTAACCAGGGAGTTTGTTCCTTCTTTCTCTTTTTTTTTTTATTTTTTTCTTTATTTTCTGTTGTGAGGGAAAATGTTTCTATTCTTACTGAAGTGATTCTAAGCTCTGTTTGCTGATAATTAACAGGTGAAAGTTCTTGACAGTTTTGCAACGTGAAGGTACAAGCAGGTAGCAGTTATTTCCAAGTCATCACATTTTCCTCACATAAATTCTATTTTTACCACAAACATTCTAAGCATGGGGCTGAGTGTGGTGGCTTCAAACTGTGTCTAAGCAGAATTCTGGAATAGAAATAATCCCTGAAATGCAAGCATTTTTCAAGCTCTAAAGATGCTCAGATATCACGTAGGAAATAGCATAGCAGGAGTACTGAGATTATTTTGAATTTCAAGAAAATACAGGAAAGGATTAAACCTTAAGACGTTAATAGTAGCTAAAGTGTAGTAAAAACATGCACATTAACTTGATCATAAATTTAACTGTTAAAAGACCTTTGCTAAACAAAGTTAATTTGTGGTCGTCTGTATATTTCCACCATTACAAAGTCTAAATCAATTTTATTAGTCAGAAGCCTTACTTTACTTGCAAAGAGTGAAAAACCCACCTCAAATGGCTTAAGTGGGCAAGGAAGAGGAGGGGTTGAAGTTTCCCATAATTGCCAGTTGAAAAGCATGATGATTTTCAGGCATGTATGCATTCAGGCACTCAAAACCTCAGGGGTCTGTATCTGTCCATCTCTCAACTCAACTTCTCTGTCATCTTTAGGGAGAATTCTTCCTCATCGCGGCCAGGATGACTCCCAGAAGTTCCAGGGTTCTAGCTCTAAGCGTCCGAAGGTGGTGATCCACTGGTGGATCACCCACCCTTCCAACCATTGTTGTCCCTGTGAGGTATTCTAAGCTTGGCCAGGCCAGGCTCATGCCCTCCTCCTAGGATACTGCAAATCTCACAAGTGCAAGGACTCTGTCTTATATGTTTTTGTGAACTCAGAGTGTAGCATACATAAAAGTCACTTAATTTATATTTGCTGAGTGAATTATCTTAAGTTTATTATCTTAATTTATACATGCATTAAATGAGAGAGATGACTAGTAGCTCAATGTATATGTAAAGAGTGGCCCTCCAGCCCTACTGATGCACTATTATTGCTTGCATTTGACATTAAAAAAAAAAAGAATTGAAAAATTATGGGGAGAAAGTGAAAAACTACTTGAATAATTAAATGTGAAAACTAGTTACACTTTAAAAATATGCCTTTAAAAAATTATTTTATTCCTTCCATCTCCCCCTTTTAACTACTTTGCTATTCACATATGCAAGGACTTGCCTTTCTTTCTGTGTGGCTTCTAGCTACCCTTGGACCTCATAGAAGTGTATTGGTCCTTGTTCTTAGCTCTCAGCTTTTGCCCCTCTCTTGCTCACAAGTGTACCTCACTCTCTCAAACTATTGTTTGATCTCAAACAAGTACCTCCCCTTCCTTGCTAGGTCCAGCCTTTTCTGGAGGAGATGGTTCTGATACCTTTGTCTTACCAAATGGAGGATGTCGCTCCCTGCAGGATATCTTACAGACCAGCAGCAAGAAAATTAACTGCAGCAGTGGAAAAAATATGACTGTAGATGGGACTTCAAAGCAGCTTAATTTCCAACAAATTAGCCATTAGTAAAAGACTATGCTCTCATTAGGAGACCAAAGGCTAACTCAGAATTACTAGTCAGCCATGATTTTATCTTCTTCTGACCAATTTTAATCACTTCTATCAGAGGTAGTAGCTGTACCCACAAATGAGGTGGATAATTAAAATTATAGTATGTACCATTATCTGAGGATTATTATGTACTAGGCATCTTGCTAAGTACTTTATGTGCATTGTTAAATTTCTGTGACAAGATGGTTAGTTGGTATTAACAATCCCACTTTATAGATGCAAAAGCTGTATTAAAATGTTGCACAACTTACTTGAGCTCACTCATTTTATAAGGGAAAAGCTGAGATTTGAATCCAGCTCTCTGGACACCACATTCTGTCCTCTTTACCTTTGTGCTATACTCTGTACCTTAAATTCAGATGAGTTGTTCATCTTGATTACATTTTTAATATTTAATACGTACAAAAGAATATCTTTCATGCAATTTAGCAGTTTAAGATATATATGACTAAATTTATATCTTTAAGTCTTTATACTTCATGACTTTTTGCTTTTTGTAATCCAACTTTTCTGCAAACATTGAAACAGAGTAATGAAATCTCAGATAATTAGCTGTGTCAGCATCCTGGAAAATACAGCTGAAAGTCATGGTTTTGGTGGAAAAAAAAAAGAGCTAGGCATAAAGTTCTGCTAGAGAGTTCAATGATGCTTGAAAAATAAAGAATAGTACCATTAGAAAAACAATGAAGGGTTATGGCCTCTTTTTTTAATTCTAGCATTCTGGCATTGTGATTTCTATTCTTCAATATTTTTCTACATATGGGACCTATAAGTAGTTGCTTTTTAACTATCATGTTGACTAAAATATATTCATGATATTTGCCATTTATTACAAATTTTCTGAGGTTCCTTGAGAGAGTTAATTTCATTATTCAGTAGCCCTATAAATTGATTCTAATGACACCATTTTGCTTTTTTTGTTTTGTTTTGTTTTACATATACCAAATTACACCAAACTTACTAACACACACATCCTACCATCTTCCCTTAGGTCAACATTATTGTAGAAATATTGCTTATCTGTATTATGTATCAATTAATTCATTCATAAAACCTATATATTGTCTTCTTTTTGAGTAATACTGTCATAGGAATTCTCACATGCTTATAATTAGATAATAAACTTATATTCTCTTGCAAATGTGAAGTAACTACCTTATTTTACTTTTGATATTTGTCTGCTGAATTTTCTAAAGCATGCTCTGCTTATACGTATAGTAAAATATATATAATATATATGAATATTAAATATATATTCATGAGAATGATGCAGGTTTTGAAATGCCTAGTGAATTTTGCCATCTACTAAGTTTCTCAAATTATTCGACAAAGCCAAAGTAATGATTTACTATTTCAAAAATTATATTTCTTAAAGTGAAATGGAGGAAAATGCTGATTCTTATATCTTACTATCCTGCTTTTTTTTAAATTATACACACAGAGTTCATCAGTGAAACTGCAGGTTTTATAATTAAATATAAAAATCGAGGCGTTCACACAGATATGCTAATAACTCCATTAAACTTCTCCCTTTATATGTAAATTCAAGCCC
The DNA here is from genome assembly GCF_000001405.40 of Homo sapiens. Classification (NCBI taxonomy): domain Eukaryota; kingdom Metazoa; phylum Chordata; class Mammalia; order Primates; family Hominidae; genus Homo; species Homo sapiens. The sequence goes on from NC_000003.12 coordinate 76,653,712, forward strand.
AGATGTTGCATCATTTGCAAATCTTGCAATTAAAGCATTTTATAACTTCAGTTATGCAAAGGGGCAGCAGACTGGAAAATGGGTAAAATTGCTTGGCTAGGACATTACCATGGCAACACACTGACCTCCATTCAATTAGTTACCACCGAAGATTCAGCTATTAATTATAGTGGTCAAAAGTGGATATCATCTGGATCTCCTCTTACCTTTTTAATATGGACATTTTTCACTCACCATAAATCTTTGACTTTTAGAGGCAAGGCTTCCAAACTGAGGTGTTAAAAAGTGATACTGCTTAAGTACTGATGGAAGTGAGGGTCAGAAAGGGAATCCCATTTATCAGCCATATTCAGGATAGTTCCTCAACTTTCTGTAATCTAAGCACTCTGTCATGCAGGCTTCGAAGTGAATATTCATTACTGCTCATATTCCTCATTGAACCCTTTGCGTTATGTGTGTCAGCAATTACCTCTCACTTTAGAAAGCCGTCATTAATTAGGGCCACAACAATCATCACCAAGGGGCTTCTGAAATAGATAGATGCCCCATTTTGGGTTGAGTTTTACATTTTCCAGCAAAAAAGTTATTATTTTCTTGGCAGAGTATAAAAGAAGTGTTGGCAGTTAATTACAGAGGTACTTTATAAATGATGAAAAAAACCTTCTGCATTTTTATTGCACACTTGAAGATAAGAATCTTGTATTCGGTGAAGGTAAAACATACTGTTATTACAGAACATGTTTTAATCAGTGCATCCATAGTCCAAAATAATAAATGCTCTCAGACACACCAAAGCATGGTCACCAGACACCATAACACATCAACACCACACAGATCATGGCTTCTTCCTTTAACAGAGATTAACTGACCACCTACTGTGTACAAGGCACCATTCGGCATGCTGGGGTAATAGGGACTTTCAAGGGTGACAAGATCTGTGCTCACTTGGAAGGAGATAGAAAAATAATCAAATGAAAAGAAAATTAGATCATAAGAAGCGCTATACCAAGAATTAAAACTAAGCTAGAGAATTACCAGAGATCTATTTTGGGTAGTGTTAGTTCTTGTGCTAGTAGTATAAATGAAAATAAAGACACAAATTCAGAAAAATTTTCCTTGATTATAATTTTTTTATATATATATACACACACGTACATATATGTGTGCGTATATACATATGCATGTGTGTACATATGTGTGTGTATATATATATATATTTATATATATAAATTTAAAGTTCAAATTTGAAGTTCAAATCAAAAGTAAAGATACCTTAATATTCACTTGATTTCACAACAGGCCCATGCATGAGAATGTTGGTCCTTTCTAATAAAGAAATTTCTTTGGTTAAAGTTGAAAAAGCGGGGTTACAATTTTTTAAATTTTATGAATAGTATGGCTGTGAACATTCCTGATGCATATGTGCAAGAATTTCTCCTATTAATATTCGCAGGGGTGGAATTGCTGATTTTTATCGTAAGAGAATAGTCAAAATTCTATCAACAGAAAACTGAAGAAATAGATTGTCATCTGTTCTACCATAAAATATTATATAGCCTTGAAAATGCATGAATTATGGCTAAACACAAACAAGGTATAATATTAATACAAAGTTTAATGAAAAATAAGAACCTGTAAAATTACATGCTAATATTTATAAAAACAAATTTCAAAAAAAAAACTATTTGAAATATCTAAAAGGGTGTTTCTGTGTATGGATTTTTTTCCATATATATATATATATGGATTTTTTTCCCTTCAGGAAAAGAAATGACAGTGATAACATTCAAGGTATTAGTTATCTTTGTTGCAGGAAGGAAACGAAGGGATGGGGTACAGAGAGAGCACAGAGGTTCATTTAAGCTTTTGGTACTCTAGTTTTTGAGTTAGGGTATGGATTCATTGTTATTCATTATATTATTAAAAATTAATGAAAAAAGAGAAAGAAGAAAAAAAAGAAAGAAAGAGAGGGGCAGGTAGGCAGGCAGACAAGCAGGAAAGGGAGGAAGGGAGAAAGGGAGGGAGGGAGGGAGGAAAGAAGGAAGGAAGGAAGGAAAGAAGGAAGGAAGGGATGAAGGGGGTCAAATCATTCCCAGTTTTTGGAATACATCATAAACTAGAGATTATGATTGATCCAATATATTTCAACACAAAGTTCTTAAAAATAAAAATACATTTTTATTGTATGACATTATTACATATATACAACAGACTTAATAACAGAATAATTTCCTATAAATGTTTGGCTTAATGGTGGCATGTTATTCTTGCTTAGAATATTATAGATTCTGATGCAGATGTTTTAAATCATATAGATTTAATTATTAAACGACTCTTCCAATTCTTGGCTCAATTTTAAGTGTACTAAGCAAAAACAGCCAAGAGCAAACAGTAAAATCTAGAAAAATGTATATAATAAGTTGCTCATGATGGAGTTTTAGGAAGAAGTTCTTGTGACTAAAAGCTTGTTGCTTTGTGACCTCATTGACAAATGACTGATGGTAGCCAAAACTCCACAGTACCTGTCAGTAACTGAAAGTTCATTGTTTACTTTTCAATGTCCAAATTAGTTAAAACTGGCATGAAAATTGTTTATATTTTGTGTTCCCATCAAAACATTATTATATCCTTCGTTCCCTGTAATGCCATCAGTACCACTAGCATTTACACTGATAAATAACAATAATCATCTCATGAAAACACTACACATAGCACTATTAATCTTTTCTCTCAACAAGCACATTACCTGCACTTCTTGTGAAGGCACTGCTCATAAAGATCTGTTAAAACTGGCCAGAAAAGAAAGCCATCTCTCCAAAATTGACAAGTAGAAGCATGGATAGGAGAAAAATGCTCAGAATCGAAAGAGCTGTCTACTTTATGGGCACTTGTAAGGTTCATTACCTTTGTTTTGTTTTGTTTTGTTTTGTTTACATTTTTAGAGACCGCAAGAAACTGACTAAAGCTAAATCATTAGTTATTTTTCCCACTGTAAACCTCAGACCTCCGAGACATTATGGCAGCCTTGAACTTGCAGTGACTGTTCTTTTGCCTCAGGGCGTTAGAAAATCAGTAAAGTCTGTAGTGGAAAGGATTATCACCTAAACCCCTTTTTACTTCATCATTTTAACCAATTGCTTGATTCTCATTTTATGCAAAATTAAAAGTTAGCAGCATTGTGATTGCAACCCTTAGTCTTTAACTGGCTGTCTATTTAGTCTTTAACTGGCTCTCTATTTAGTCTTTAACTGGCTCTCTATTTTGGAGAGATACAATTCAAATGCTAATCAAGTCTCTAAGCACCTTGCTTAGTTTTCCTTTTTCTCTTTAGATTTCTTATCTTGGATTCCTCTTTTTTTTCCCTATACTTTTCTGCTGGCCACTTCTTTATGTCTTTCTTTTTGATTTTTTTCAAGATTTTAAAAATGCATTGGCTGGGCGCGGTGGCTCACGCCTGTAATCCCAGCACTTTGGGAAGCCGAGGCAGGCAGATCACGAGGTCAGGAGATCGAGACCATCCTGGCTAACACGGTGAAACCCCGTCACTACTAAAAATACAAAAAATTATCTGGGCTTGGTGGCGGGCGCCTGTAGTCCCAGCTACTCGGGAAGCTGAGGCAGGAGAATGGCGTGAACCCCGGAGGCCAAGCTTGCAGTGAGCCGAGATCGCGCCCCTGCACTCCAGCCTGGGCCACAGAGAGAGACTCCGTCTCAAACAAACAAACAAAAAAATTACATTAAAAAAAAAAATTGGCCAGCTGCGGTGGCTCACGCCTGTAGTTCTAACACTTTGTGAGGCCAAGACAGGATAATCCCTCGAGCCCAGGAGTTCCAGACCAGCCTGGGAAACATGGTGAAACCCTGCCTCTCTAAAAAAAATATATATATGTATATATATATTCATATATATGTGTATATATATTCATATATATGTGTATATATATTCATATATATGTGTATATATATACATATATGTGTGTATATATATTCATATATGTGTGTATATATATTCATATATGAGTGTATATATATTCATATATATGTATATATATATGTTCATAGGTATGTGTATATATATGTTCATATATATGTGTGTATATATATAGTGTGTATATATATGTATATGTGTATATGTATGTGTATATATGAACATTATATATATGTGTGTGTGTGTATATATATATATGTGTGTGTATCTATATGAACATTAGCTGGGCATGGTGGCACGCACCTCAGTCCTACCTACTCCAGAGGCTGAGGTCGGAGGATCACTTGAGCCCAGGGCGTTGAGGCTGTGGTGAGCCATTATTATGCCACGGCACTCCAGCTTGGGTGACAGAGCGAGATCCTGTCTGAATAAATAAATAAATAAATAAATAAATAAATAAATAAATAAATAAATAAAATATGTTAAAATAATAAAACTATATTTAAAAGTTATATATTATAGAATTACTTTTAAAAGTGCACATTTTCTGTAATTCCAATACCCAGACATAGTCACTATTATCTCTTTTTTTTGGTGTGTGTTCTTCCAGATGATTTTTTCTATGTACATATTAACAGGTTACATTAGTCTTATATAAAATATGATTATACTTTACACTTCCTATGTTGAAACTTGCCTTTTTTTTTATTATTATACTTTAAGTTCTGGGACACATGTGCAGAACATGCAGGTTTGTTACATAAGTATACACGTGCCATGGTGGTTTGCTGCACCCATCAACTCGTCATCTACATTAGGTGTTTCTCCTAATGCTCTCCCTCCCCTAGCCTCGCACCCCGCAACAGGCCCCGGCATGTGATGTTCCCCTCCCTGTGTCCATGTGTTCTCACTGTTCAAATCCCACTTATCAGTGAGAACATGCAGTGCTTGGTTTTCTGTCTCTGTCTTAGTTTGCTGAGAATGATGGTTTCCAGCTTCATCCATGTCTCTGCAAAGGACATACACTCATCCTTTCTATGGATGCGTAGTATTCCAAGGTGTATATGTGCCACATTTTCTTTATCCAGTCTATCATTGGTGGACATCTGGGTTGGTTCCAAGTCTTTGCTATTGTGAATAGTGCTGCAATTGCCTTTTTAACTTAATAGTGTTTCTTGAGTCATATCTTTTCATGCTAGGATATATTATACAAACCTGTCTCATTCATTTAGCTGAATAATATTCCATTGAATAGCTATTTAGTTTATTTTATTTAAGTTATCCTTTATTAGTAGTTATTATGCTTTCATAAAGAGAGATACAATGACGGTATGAATTTCCCTAAGATAAATTTCTACAATGAGGCCTTCATTCAAAGGATATGTTTTTTAAAAACTTAGATTGAGGAGCCAGTTCAGATTATTTTGGACATACTGATGTTTCAGCTCCCTTAGAAACATTTGAGGGAGGCATTAAGTACAGGCTTGCACTTGAATATTCAATTCTGAAGTGCACAGGAATAATCTAGGTTTGAGCTATACATTTCAGATGATCCATGCCATGATGATTTATTGTAATGCAATTATATTATATTATATTTATTATATTATTACTATTTGTCTTTGATATATTTCCAGGGGTTGGGGGAAGGTGAGGAATGTGTGTGAAAAATGTGTGTGCATATTTATACATATACATATATAATGCATATAAATATATACATATATTATGTATATAATTCCTATGTAATATATATAATATTATATTACATACATACTCCATTACAGAGCTCCACATCTGTATTTATTCATCTACATGTAATATGACTTAGGGCAGTATATTGCTCTGTATTCTGTTGGCCTGTGAGAATCGGCTCACCCTGTACTATAATTTCTCTCAGCTAATGGGCTGTGCCTTCTCTTTCTTCCATTTCCTGTGTTCTGGTGCCCATAATGGCTGACCAAGACAAAACCTAATAGATGTTTTAAAAGGAAGCCTACGACTTAGATGTTAAAATGCAAGTTTAAGAAAAGTAGGAAATTAATATTTTAAAGAATTGGCTGATGAAACAAAGAGCTTGTTGGGATTAACAGAAATAATCTGCCATTAGGGAGGCAAAGTAAATACATAAATAAACAACTTTACCACCACTGAGGGTTATTCCACAGTTGTATGAGTGAGAGCTGGGAAAAACCATGGCCAGGGTGTGTCCTGTCTTAGATGATTTGAAGGGGATGAAGAAGCCATTGTCAATATACAGTGCTAAGAAAATGTTCCCCAGTAATTATGCTTTAAAGACCCTTTAGAAAACTGAGTAGCAAATAGTCCCATTTCCAGACCTCCCTTGGTGAATTGAAGATTTAAGTGTCTTCCAGTATGGACTGTAGACAAATGCTGGATGGAGAAATTTGTTACTTGCCATTAATAAAATGAAGACAGAAATTGAGCATAATCATTCATAACAAAGTTTTATGGCCGTTAGACAGAGTAATTTTATGCTTGTGAAATCAATAATAATTTTAAAATTGGATGTGCATTTTTGTCTTTGGATTCACAATTTTGTTTTCTAGCAGTGTATTTTCAGTGTACTTTACTAAATATCAGTAAAATAATGTTTGCAAGAGATTAGAAATGTTAAATGTGAAATTAACTGGACTTTTCCACAGATAGTTTGAGAGGCACTGGAGCGGTGACCCAGTCGAAGAGTATAGTAGCAACAGTGAATTGAAAGATTAGTATTAAATCTACAGTTCCCAAGTGAACACTTGGATTTCTCAGGACTGAAGACCACAAATCAGGCTCACTCTTGATCCTTACATATATGAAAGGATGTTACTGGTTCTATAACTGAGGAATGTGCTATACCACGTGTAGAGCCCCAGTGGTTTTCAAGGGCATGATTATAATTGCTGCACCAAATAAAAACATTAATTGGATGATTTAAAGCAAGACCTATAGAAGCTGTTATCCACTCACATGTATTGTCAATAAATCATCTTTATTTAGGTCTTTCTAGTGATTATGTAGAAGTCATTTCTAGAGTTGTAGTTCATTTTAGAACATTAAGAGCTTAGTTGTTGATTCCCCCTGAATAATACCAAGAGCCAATATTTTATGAGCTAATGATTTGGTTAATTTATTTATGTACATCAAAGCTATTTTGACAATTTGGCACTCAAAAAGAATTTACAGCTATTGAATGTTTATGGACTTATTCACTTTAAGTACCTAGTTTTTTTCATCAACTAAAGTTTTCTCTAATGTATGTAGCCTATATATCTATAGGTAGAAAAATGAGGATGTATTTTTTCTTAAAAATATTAAAATATGAAGAGGGTAATGGAGAATTTTACAGGATATTAAATACAGAATATTTCTCAATGAAAGTAATGAGAAATGAATAATAGCCAGAGAAGCAACCACTTTGAAGTGAGTAGCTAGACTTTTTTAAACCATAAAAACCACATTATCCATATTATCAATTTTATTTACATGTTAATTGAATCTGTTTGGTCAGTGTCAAGTGACTAAGATAAAAGTCTCTAAAGTAGATGCAGTGTTTTATGCAGTTCCTGGAAGTTCCTGGCTCTATGTAGGCCAAACCAGAAAGATTGAACAAGAAATTTTAAGTGACCTGAACACTCTAAAGTAGGAAAATACAAGAATGTCTAGGTCACAATCACTAGATTGCTGAAAACAGAGTATATAATGTTATAAACCAAAAAGTATCTGAGATAAGTCTCTTGATCAGTTTAGAAGTTTATTTTGTCAAGGTTAAGGACATACCCATGACACAACCTCAGGAGGTCCTGAGAGTATGTACTCAAGATGGTCAGGTCACAGTTTGATTTTATACATTTAGAGGGGCAGAGATTACAGGCAGACATCAATCAATAGACGTAAGGTGTACATTGGTTCAGTCTGGAAAGGTGGGATATCTTGAGGGGTCTGGGAATACAGGTCATAGGTGGACTCAGAACTGGCAATTGGTTGAGAGAGTTGTTTCGTCCAAAGAGTTGAAGTCAGCAGAAAGAAATGCTTAGGGTTAAGATAAGGGGGATTGTGGAAGCCAAGGTTCTTGTTATGCAGATGAAGCCTCCAGGAAGCAGGCTTCAGAGGCAATAGATGGTAAAGGTCTTCTTATCACCTTAAAAGGTGTTAGACTCTGCTGAAAAGACCTAATAAGGGAAGGAGATTGTCTACAGAATGTAAATTTTCCTCACAAGAGACAGCTTTGCAGGGTCATTTAAAAACATATCAAAAAATATATTTTGGTATCAAATACTTCAATTTCTTTCAGGGCCTGTTATCTGTCATGTGATGCTATACTACAGTCAGCTTGGAATTTGGTATCTTGTTTCTACAAAGAGTGTTTTGTTAGTCTTAAGAAGTTCATTTTAATGTTAACGCTAGTGAGTTATGCCTGAATTCCAAAGAGAGGAGGGTGTAAGGAGACATATTCAATGCCCCACTTCCCATCATGGCCTGAACTAGTTTTTAAGTTAACTTTGGAGGCTCTTGGCCAAAAGAAGGGGTCCCTTCAGTTGGTTGGAGGTGGGGGCCTTGGAATTTTATTTTTGGTCTTCCCTGTCCATGAAATGACATTTGGAAAGCTCTATTCTGAGGCCACAGTTGTTCTTGCAAGTCAACTGACCATGTTACCATAGGGCAACTTATTACTTCTTTAAAAAAAATTTTTTTCATTATTGTGGGTACATAGTAGGTGTATATATTTATGGGGTACATATGATATTTTGATACATAATTACTTTTTTCTTCCCTTATTTTCCTCTAGTAAACCTTTATTAAACACCTAACTCTGGAGGCACTATGGATTCAAAAACAGCTAAGATATGTTTCTCACTCTTGAGGAACTCAGATTTTTTTTTTTAAGAGAATAAAAATAAACATTACAGTCAAAGTGGAAGAATAAGGTAGTACTAATGCGAGTTAGGTGAGGAGTACCTAATTCAATTTCATAAATTGCAGAATATTTTTTCAGTGAATGTAATATCTCATCTAGACTTAAGGTACATATTAGCAACATGGAAGGGTCAGGAGAGAGAAGGAAATGCAGTGGATAGAGGAAGAGCTATGTCAGGAACAGGGGACAGTCTGAGCAGAGTTGAGGAGTCAGGAAGGAAAACAGTATGGGCACTGTATTTAGCTGAATGGTGACATGTGAGGCAAGGAGTAAACTGATATGAGCATAGACAGGTCAGTGAGAAAGGACATGGAGTGTCCTTCACCAGATGTTGAAGAAATTGAACTCAGGTCCACAGATGAACAGGGAAATGCAGAAAAATCTGAGATAGATGAGTCAGGGTCAGACTTGGATTTTATATATAGCATCCTAACACCCATGGAGGTCTTAGAGGAAGTGGATCACAGAAAAGAAGTGTGGTTAGTAGTTTAGGTATAAAATAATGAAGATTTGAACCAAGAAAGTGTATCAGTGGCAAAGTGGAAGAGACCTGCTTGAGAAATATTAGAAAGAAATAAAATATCCTGGATGTGAGAGACAAAGGAAAAGAAGAGATCAGGGATGTCTCCAAGTTTTTCTCTTGGGAAACCGACTGAGTATTGGTACCATCAACAGACAAGAGAAATTCAGTTAGAGAAATCAGGTTTAGGGTTGAAGAAGATGAGTTCATATTTAGGCAGGCTAAGTTTGTGGAGCCTGTGTAATATCCACATGAACTGCATGGCTCAGAAAAGATCTCTGGGCTGCAGAATACATTTTGCCGTCCTTACTGAAGGGGGAGCAGTAAAAGACAGAGATGAGTGTGTATCACAGTCTTCAGCAGGTCTTTCCAAAGATTGTTTAGTGCTTCTATAGTCTTTCCTTCCCAGTTTAATTCTAACCAACAAATGTCTGTTGTGCTCCTGCCTTTACCTGGAGTAGCTAGGAATAATGACAGACAAGTGACTGATCATAACATATGGCCGAATAAATAAAGATAGGAACAAATCTCCAGAGATGCAGAGAGAAATTAGTCATTCGTTATGATGCTAATTGGAAGAAAGAATGAGGCCAGACTCCAAGTGGAAGTGGAATTTGAGCTCAGACTTGATGAATAGCTAGGACCTAATTGTGTAAAGCAAAGACATTGCAGTTTGAGTTAAGACATAAGAGATAGTCTAATCCCAGCTACTCGGGAGGCTGAGGCAGGAGAATCGCTTGAACCCGGGAGGCGGAGGTTGCAGTGAGTCAAGATTGCGCCACTGCACTTCTGCCTGGCAACAAGAGCGAAACTCCATCTCAGGAAAAAAAAAAAAGAAAAGGCATTTAGCTGAGACAGGCCTAGAACTGACAATTGTTGATGGGATAGTCAGCCTGTGGAGAAAGGGGGCAAAAGGGTATAAAAAGGGAGAGTTGGGCCAAATGATAGAGAAAGCATTTTAGTTCCAGGCAAAAGGGACCAGATTTTAGTTTATAGGCTATTTCCCTATGGGGAAGTCTGTCAACACTGAGGACACAGCTAGAATTAGGCTTTGTGAAAATTAAACAGGCAACATTGTGTAAAAGGGGTTGATAAAGATCACAGAAGCTGTTATGTCTATTCTAATTGTCTAATTAGAGAAAAGATGAAGGTCTGATGTTGGGTAGTGACCAGTGGAAATGGAATGGAGAGTAAAGGTGGGAGACTTGTTAAAAGAAGCTGTCTTAAGTGCTTAGACTAATTCAAGGTGAGGGAAGAAAAACTGAAGGCTACTAGCATTGATACCAGGAAGAATCATGTGCCTACTTACTAACTGAGCTTGAGAAAAGAGGAAATATCATTTAGAAGGAAGTATACCAAGATCACATTTAAACACAGTGAATTTGAAAATCTAAAGGGACATACATAGGAAACGTCCAGAGGGCTTTGGAAGTTGAGTATGGAGCTTGGGACAGAGGTTTAAAGTAGAGATAAATATGCAAAACTTATACCTTTGTTATGCGTTTGGAAAACGCTTCAGGTCACTCAGGTTAAGAATTTTAAAAAGCTATGTGGGTTTCTACTGTAACCTCCAGTGAAATAAAACTTTCTTAAGGGTGAAGAATGAGTCTTATTTTTCTTTAAACATACCATTCTCAACTTCCCATGCATTGCTGGGCGCTGGACATCAGTAAACTCAATATATATTTAGGTAGTTGAGTTGAATGGAATAAAGTGAAATATAATTAAAAGTGGTCAAAGCAAAATATTCAGGAAATTAAGTCATAATGTTTAAGGGACAATTGAAGAAGCCAGAGCTGATATTGGAGTGAGATGGAGTCAGTCAAGGAGAACCAGGAGACAGTACTGGAAAGAATGGTGGTCAACAGAGTCAAACGCTACAGAGATGAATTGCGTGAGGGCCAGTAAGAGGCAACGTGTGAGATTTGTGGTTGAGTTTGTCACAGATGACATTTGATAGCACCATTTTTTTCCAATATTTTGAGATCCACCAAAGCTAGATCATGGCTGAGGAATGTATGGAAGTTATATATAAACTACTCTCTCTTTCCCCTCAATGTTTTCCTTTTCTATTCTCAGCTTCCTGATTCTTCCTTTTCAGATTCTATATTCATACCTCCATTTCTTGTATTCTCTGGCCTGCCTAAGTTGTAAGTCCTGATAACATCCAACTAACAAAAAATATTTCATATATGTTATTGAAATCCTCAATAGCAAAGGAGATATTATCATTCCATTTGAATAATTAATATTTCAAATGAAGTTTAAATAAGTTAAATAACTTGCCCAAGTTTATATGGCCAGAAATTGAGTTAATATATGAATCATATCTGATGTCAAATGTTGCACCCACAGCTTCTGATATCTGTTTTGTTCTTGTCAATGCACTAAGCTAAAACTCCAAAGTCCTAGACCACAAGCACCTCCTACATCCATCCTCACTATACCCAGATTTCAACAGCACAGATGCTTAAGGCCAATGATGGAACAATACCAATAAATACATTCAGCATACAAGATTTTCAAGGTTTGATGTTAGGAATTCTTAAATTCATATCTCAGCCTCTCCTAAGGAAGTTGCTAACTTCCTTTGGTTCTTGACACTATGAATGACCAAGACTCTGAGCTTAAAACATAAAATTATTCTTTTTCATATTGTATCAGCTTATCATTTTAAATTCATCTTTATCCCTTTCCAAACTTTCCAAAACACTGAATATGGTGCTTTTTAAAGCTAACTATATTTCATTTATTAAAAATATTGTGTGATTGTACGTGTATGTATATACGTATTATATATATAATATATACATATTATATATAATATACACATATTTTATATGTAATATACATATAATATATTATATATAATATATACATATAATATATATAATATATACATGTAATATATATAATATATAATATATACATATTATATATTATATATATTATATATATACTAGATATATGCCTCTAAATATGTTCTCCACATAAGCAAACTCTCCATTTTGTTTCCCTTTCCTATAGCTGTAAATATAGCTATTGTAGATGTTTTTCAAACTGCTAGGAAAATGAATAACTATTACGATTGTTACTCTACAAATCAGGATGTATAATATAATTTGAAGCTCTCTGGGATTAATTTTTCTTGTGCTTAGCACATAACAGCTACGATTTTTCAGCATACCAACTTTATGTATTTCTTTAATTAGATTGTGAGCTGAAGTTCTCAATGATGACCAACTTTTAAGCAGGCAATTTAACCATGTTAGGAGACATCAGTTCACCGTGACCCAAATGCTCTGCCTGATGACACTTATTTCAAGTATAACTTGGTAAACATTATCAGCATGACATAGTTTCATTTTTATTTTATATCGAACAGTAAAACATTAGTGAATTTGGGTTATCTGAGCAGAACTATGGTGTTTTTAAAATGTAGCTGGAGGTCTTGCATGAAAGTCAAATGAAAACACCAATAATGGAATATTATTAACTGATTCTGACCCTACATTTCTCAGGACTCAGTCTATTGGAAAATGAAAAAAAATACAGTCAAACTGATTATTTCACATCTAATATCTCATCCCACCATCAAAACCTTCCTGGCTCTTAGGCTTATTTCAATTATTTTTCACTGAAAAAAAAGTAATCAAACCAGTTTACGTCTGATTTACTTTATTATCAGCACATAAGCACCTTTGGAAAATTAATTCTGTTATTGATTACATTTATTTTTAAAGCTTGTTGATGTGTTAAAAAAATAACTAATAATGATTTAGAAAACAGTTATCCTCAGCAGTGACAGCATTTCATCAAGAGTTTACTGATTTCTTCTCTGATAATATTTCTATGTCTATATATATATTATATGACATATATATATGACATATATAACATTTCAGAATGCATTTAACTCAGAGGAACACGCTCATATTCATTTGCATATGTTGGACAGGGGACCATTCACAAGGATGTTTTATGGTGGCAACATACTTGTATTGAGAAACTGACAAAGACGGTGAAAAGTATGCTTCTTAATAGCATAAAAACGTCCCAGGGGAGAAGTTACAGGTGAGGGCAGTTAGATTTTTAGAATTATACAAAGAAGATAGCTCTACCTCAAAGAGACTTTTGGGGTTGGTTATTGATAGATAACTGTGGAAACCCTAAGAACTGATAACAACTTGCCAATCTACTTAGAATACAATTTAACTAAAATATTCCATACACCCAATATCAACAAGATTCCCAAATGCAGTCACCTGTTTTTTCCTGTTATTGTAAAAGCAGCTATTGAAAGCTAAATGCAAATCAAATAATGTTTGAAAAAATGTAGAGACGGTTTAGGCTTTTTTGTTGGTTTCTGTTCTCTTGCTTTCTCTTCCTTTGCTTACTCTATACGCAGTAGTGGTCAGAAAGACCAGTATGTTATTTAATAATAGACCTCAATCTAAAATTTAAAATAAGCAGGTTAATGATCAAATCAGAAAAAACAACATTAATTTGACATATTTTAATTGAACATTAATGATTTGTGTATTTTAGAGTAATCAGGCGTACTGTTTTTGGTAAATATAATTGTTCTTATTGTTTAGGGCTATTTTTAGCAGTGATCAGACTTTTTGGCTCATAAGTGCTCTAAACAATTTTAAACTATATGTTCCCCATTCTTTAATATCTCAAATAATTTTTCTTATTATCTAATAAAAGATAGAAAATGTTCAATATTTCATAAGATTACATAAAAACGACTGTAGTTATAACAAATATTCTACAGCATGATTTAATAAAAATAGGTTTTTATGCACTACTGAATAAAGCACAGTAAGTTTGAAAAAAAAACTATGTAAAATTTTTATCCATAGATTTTGTCCAACATATCTCAAAAATTTGTAAGCCCCTGAAGCATTTTATTTAAATTTTAAAAAATGAGTTATCAGACACTCTACTGCTGTGGCTGTTATGAATTTGAAAAATCCCCATAGAGACCAAAATACTTCTCTCTCTTAGCTCAGGACCAAACAATATTATCAGTCCATGTGGAAATTACAAATTCAGACTGGAGTGTAGCGGCCCCATTATGGCTCACTGCAGCCTCGACCTCCTAGACTCTGGTGATCCTCCCACCTCAGCTTCTGGAGTAGCTGGGACTATAGGAATGTGCTACCACGCCCAGCTATTAAAAAAAAATTGTAGAGAGAGAAAGAGAAAGGGACTTGCTATATTACCAGGGCTTGTCTCAATCTCCTGGGCTCAAGTGATCCTCCCACCTCAGCCTCCCAAAGTATTGGAATTACAGGCTGCACCCGGCCCTTAAATACCATTAGAGGCCAATCAGGTATCTTACAGAGGTGAAGTCCCTGGTAGAAGATGGCTTGGTCAATAAAACTTGTTAGATCTGGATAATTTATGTCCTACCCAAAGACATCTAACTTAAAAATAAAAAACCCAGAGATGGGCCAAGCAAAACCGCTGTACAACTTGGGTTGAAGTAACTCCTTTATTCACACCCAAAGTTTGAAATAAGATTAACTTGATTTACCAAGGAAAATTTCCTAGGAAGACAGGGCATAAATTTCAGAACTTTCCCACAATTAGGATGTGTTTTGCCTGTTAAAACATATTAAATTCAGACTAGGTTGGAGCTTCCAAACTCAGAGAAAAAAAAAAAATTCAGTTAGCAGCTAATACTGCCATGGTAGTAAGAATGAGACTTGTTTGGTCATCTATAGTTTATTTCTGAGGAACTGAAAGTGTAATTTGAGAAATAGGAAAATAGAAAAGCTGACTGCAGCGGTTGGGGTGGTTTCATCTTTCTTTGGAGGAAGAGGATGGCTAAGAGGGCAACCGGAAAATCTGCCATGAAAAATAGAACATAAGCCAGTTTAGAAGGCAAACTTGACATGAGACGCCTTTTTTGTAGTACAGCGAGAGAGGGGCATGCTTCTCTCAAGAAGATATTGTACTCTTTTCAGTTTAGGATTCCAGATCATGATGTTTAAACATATGAAAACAGGCTCCTCTGACCCTACGGAATGGGAAGCACCCTCTTTTCATCCCATATTATTGTCCTTTCTGTGTCTGAAGGGAATCCCACTCAGTCCGATCAAAACTGCTAAGAAATGGGGTGAAATCTGATGAGAAGAGAAGGCATTGCAGCTGTTTCAGGGAAAATAAAATGCTTCTCGTAACTCTGCTTCTACGCAAATGCATCTATGAAATATTTTTATGGGGAAAAGAATTCCATAAAAAAGGCAAAAACTTAACATATTTCTTTCTCTTAGCTTGTAAAATAGTCTCCATTTTGGCAAAGAGACCGTACAACAGGAAGTCCAAGGTCCGGGTAGTCTGTGTTTGAAGGCCAAGAAAAAGGGAATATGAAAGGAACGTGCAACCAGGAAACCAGTGTAAAGGTTCTATCAGTCATGAGTATGGCCAGTTTTATTCTACTGTTGTCTCACCTGCTCTGCCACCCTGCCTGCCCCCTTCCTTTATAAGAGAAGCAATAAAAAGATAGATAAGGAAGTCAAATGTTAGCATATTCTTTGGCTTCAGTAAATGGATGGACCTCCATCAACCGGGGACGGGGACCATAGTTCTCCCTGGGACACAGATAAAAGCAATGTGGTGCAAGTTTCATGCTGTTACATCTTTAACTACTCTTAAGAGCAGAATTAACCATTACTATTGCTGCTCGCAATATTTATTAATTTAATTAAAACTTTGTTTCCATCAATACGTTAACCACACAAGTTTTCTTCTCAGCACACATTTTTATTATTATACCCTGTGTATTCTAATTTGAAGCAGAGCCTTTAATTAAGGGAGACTTGTTTTCTTATACTACCCAATATGTAATAATTTCTCAAATGTGCTTCTTACAATCATATTTTTCCTGTGATAAGGCATATACTAATTTGTATTGATGCAATTAAAGCTGAATATAGTAAGTGTCTTATATGACAAAATATTGAAGCTACATGGTTTATGAATTTTATATTGATTTGATAACTCTCATTTGTTTGCATTTATGCAAAATACCTTGTATAATTTTTAGATAGATACAGAAACCTTAGGAAATGGTTATAAATTCTTTATAAAACTTGCATGCAAGTTAGTTTTAATTAATCTTTTCCTTTAAGAGTTCTGTGTATTTTAGCTTTTATACATTTTATGAATTTCCCTGGTTTTAATAAGTTTTATTTAAGAAAGAATGACATAAATCCTGTAGTAGGTTTTTTTTTTTTCATAGTAGTTTCTTTCAGGTGTGTTTCTAGGCTAGTTTTGCCAGAAAAAGGTCAAATTATTTGGCCTTCATCATCCCATGGGTTTGTAAAGAATGAGGGATCAAATAGCCTCGGTATGGCTGCCAGAAATGTCACCTGTATTTAATATACTACATAAAAATCAGTCAGCAAGTGTCAAAGCAGGGAGTTAAAGTCATCTGGCTCTAGGCGCTGTGCTTTCTACCCTCTGGGCAAACCTGCATTCTTCATTCATACTGATCTATTACATGCTGTAAGGAGCATGAAAGGGTGACTATCTCTGTCTTGCTCACCATTGTACAACTAGAGCCTTCTGTGGTGTCACAATGAATAAATATGTTTTATAATAGAGAGTACATGTATTTATAGTATTTAGAAAAATGGTTATTTTACCCTTATATTAATTATAAATTAATTATAACTTATAAATTTATTAATTAATATCATCTTACAACTATTGTATTCAGCCTTTAGAGATGATTTTATTATTGTTATTTTCATGCTATTATTGTTTTTTAAAATTGGTCATTTTGTTTGCTTAATGAACCCTTAAAATGAATGATTTATTTTAGATGAACTTACTTTTTTTTTTTTTAATCCACTGCTTGGCTCTATTCTATATGCTATGAATAACTCACAGGAAGTATCTCTTTCTCATCCTCAGACAGTTTACAATCCTGTTGGAGAAATTAGCAACAAATAAATGAAAACTTAACAGTACTTTAAAACAAAATGCCATAAGGCATTACATGCTTAACTAACTGACATGTCTTCTCTAAATAGTCATGTAAAGCAGAAATAATTAGTGGATACATCTAATTGAGGTAAAATTTACATATATTACTCTATTACAAAGGTAACCTGAAAAGTCAATGGAAGACATTATATTAGACATATATTCACTTTGGGCTTTTTTTCCCCCTCACGCCATGCAGGACATCTAAATAGCAGGTACAGTACTCATGTGTACTTGGAGAATAACGCTGGCCTTCTCCCCTGTAGAACGTAAAACCTAAACTGAAACTTACCTCTTTTTTAATATTGACGCATTAAGCAAAATACACCCTGATTTGAAAAGCTATTAACTCTTGAGTGCGTTTTAACATTTACGTTGTCATTTGAACAGCATGGCTCACACAATACTTCTCAGGAAATATAATTTCAAAGCATAGATATGAAAATTCCAGTCATTTATTCTCATAGGTTGCTGTTTTGTAATTTGAAAATCACATATAATGTTTCCTTGCTTAGCAACACAACATTGAGATATGGGAGAGGAGATTCTAAAGTAATGCTAACAGTCATACAAGATTTATGAGAATATTAAAACATAAGTATATAAATATTTCATTTAGAAAATACATCTTTTTGAAAAATATTTAAAATAATCTATAATCAGTACATAAACTTTTGTGCAGATATTTAAAGGCCTACCCATACATATTTGTATTTTTAAAATAATTTAAATTACTGCTATAATTTAAATAGTATAGTAAATGCTATACTATTTTTTAATCTAGAAGCCTTAATTTAAGAACACTTCAGAAGTCTGTTATGGTTGATTCAGAAACTGATTTTACACAGTATTTTTTATGTAGCATGTACTGAAAACAAGTGAATAAACTATGGTTTCTGCCCTCAAGGAGTTCACAAAGATAGATTTTATATAATTTGTGATTAAGATGGTCTATGAATAAGTGACCCTAAAAACATTACTTCAACAAAAAAAAGCTTATTTTTATTTTTTTCGAATACGTATCCACAGGTAGAAATCTTAGTGAGGGCCAGCCAGCTTCTAGCTTTCTGCTTTGCCATCACTACGCTGTGGACTTCTTTGTGGGCTAAGATAATTTCAGAACCCACATTTACATATCAAGCAGAAAAATGAAGAGCAAGGACAAAGGGAGGATTCTAGCCATATTTTAAGAAAGAGTCCCCAGAACTACCACATAAAACTTCTACTTATGAACTTGGCCAGAACTTCATGTCCTAGTGACACTTAGCTATAAGTCATACTAGACAATATCTTTATTTTGGAAGAAAGTGTACCCATTTCAATGAAAACAAAGTCCTATTTACTTTGGAAGAAAGGGAAAACAGATTTTGAGGGATCTTACCATAGACAAGTAAACAAAATACTAATAATACAATATGAGAAGCCCTATAATGTTGTACGTATAAAGTATATGAGAAACATAAGTAAAAATAATCAAGAGTGTTTGTACATTTGAGGGAGGAAGACAGCATTCAATATCAATAAATTTTATACCTAGATGCTCTAGGTTAGAGGTATGTAGGGGGAATTACCGACTCAAGCACAATGAGCAGCTTTGACTTTTCATGCATTTTATTCTTCAGTCACCAGTGTGCCCATCTCCGTGGCCATGAACAGTAAGCAGGTTATGCTAATTTCTTCACAACCTCACAGACATGGGGTGTTATATTTGATTGTTTAAAGCCAGCTACTTCTATGTATAACATGAAAAGTATTGCAAATTTATTGATACACGTATCTTTGATTTTCAGAAGTTTTAAGCTTTTCTAATGTGTTATATTTTCATTTAATTTTAATATTGATTGTATTCTCCATGTGAGAATTTTAACCATTATCTTGGATTCCAGTGTCTGTGCTCTTTTTACTACACAAGTGTCTTAAGTGACAGAAATGATAGTAAAAGTATGTGAAGCAGTAATGGTGGGGAAATAGCAGCTAATGCTTTCCAGGTTTTCCTAAATCCACTTCTGGTAAGCTTGTCTGTGTCTTTCTCAAGGCCATTTACTAAAACAGTAATGCTTTAGTAACACTAAAACAGTAAACGGTTCATCTCCAGTAACCCTATACAAGATGATTACAGTCCTCATCTCACCAATGTAGGTTTTCTTCAAGATCTGCAATGACAAAGTCTTATGGGCTCTGCTTATCACAGGGATTCTCATACTTCATTGAGATCGGAAACATCAGGAGAGTGTTAAACCACAGAGGGCTGAGCCCCACCCTCAGAGTTTCTGGCCAGGCAGTGGTGGGTTGGGTGAACTCTGAGAGTTCGCATTTTTAACTGGTTAGCAATACACGAACAAGTCCATTTTCACAGGAGTCTTGTGGACATTTTACTGGCAAGGAAAGGCAGGTACAGGATTTAAATACGCTTCTATGCTTCAACTTTCAGAACCATTCATATGTTTTAAAATGTTGAAAACAATGTCATTCATAGTAAATAGAAATCAAGAAATGTTAACTTTTAAAAACGCTCAAAACAATTATGCGTCAACTATCACTGGCCTCATTTTCAGATTTAAAAAAGTTCAGATTGTGGAGAAGAAGGATTTTCTTTCATCATTATAAGTTTCTAGGACCAATAGGATCGTTTTTTTTTAGCAAGGTGAAAATGAAAATAGACCCAAAATTCAAAGATTTGTTAGTGCAAGTCAAGAATAAATAATAAGCTTCACACGATAATTTATTATAAGTAATTCCTTTGGTTTAACTTAATTTTTTCATTGATAATGCATTCCCTTAATCACCAGAAAATCAATATAACCTATTTATTAGACTTACAGTCTTATAATGTGATCTATGTAATAGAATAGAATGGATGAGTTGAAAATGTTTTAAATCTAATATGGAAAGTTAGCTGGTTTTAGTGCTGTCTTTCATACATTCAGAGTTGGAACTCCCCCTCTGAACGTGGCTTTGAATGTTAAATTGTCATTCATTTTATATATTCTAGCCAATCACAAATTTCAATCAGAGATAACTCTTAAGTAATACATAGTATTTTCTAGAAATCTACATTCCAATTGATACTCTGTAAACAAAAGGGGAAGGATGGAACTGGAGGGATACATCCAAAACTAAATCCATTCCATTATCTTTCAAAAATCAAAATGGAAAAATTAAAATCCCAATAAACAAAATATAGAGATATTTTGCCTTTCTTAAAATTGCAGAGCAACTCGTCAGATGCTGATAATCTTGGAACGGCACTAAACATGGCAGCATCCCCCAGGTGGGAAAACGTGTAGTGCTGGGCACCAGGTCACTGTCAGCACTCCCCATCCCAGGATCAAGCAGGGACCTCACAAGTCTTCATCATTGGCTGTCATGCTTTACCCAAGGGAACCCAGCTGGACCCTGAGTTCCAATTGACGGCAGTCTCTCAAGTCCTTTCCAAAAGATTTTACAAAGATAGAAAGTGAGAATTTTCTAATAGAGACTGTGTTTTCTAACCCTAGCCCACCTCCTAGTTCACACACACACACACACACACACACACACACAGAAACCTGTAGAAAGTGCAAATTAAATAGCACAAACAAACAGTGCTTCTCAAACTTTAATGTGTTTAAAAACCAGATTCTGAATTGGTGGCACTGGGGTGGGCCTGAGATTCTGTCTGCGTTTCTAACGTGCTTCCAGGGGCTTCTCCAAGGTGGGCAACCACACACTCACTAGCAACGCCTTCACACCTAGGCTTTGTTTTTGAGAAAGTCTGGCTATTTCTTTTAAATCAAACTCCACCATGTGGCGAAGTTTAAATTTCTGGTATACAATGAGTAGGAAAAAGCAGCAAAAAAAAACCCACACATGAAAAAAAACAAACAAAAAGAAACCTTTGTGTTGTTTAAAGCAAAGCATAGTAGCTCCTTTGGAGAGCGTCATAAAATATTAATTGTGTTTAATTTATGGAGAATAGAAGTAGGAGAGGGCTGAAAAGCAGCCCATAGCCATAGACTATTCTTCAAAATATAAGGGCACAGCATTGGCTGTCTTTAGTAAAAATCTCTGAATTAGTTGCATGTCTCTCTGACTAGAAAGTTCCAACATGCCTCTGCAAATGTCCCTGAGTTTCCTCCAGGGGACAATTTTCCTGAAGGATACGAGGAATTAGTAAAACCCCTTCCACTGGTTCTTGCAAGGACTAGCTGAGAAAACAAAGTCTCTAAAGCAAGCTATATCCTTGCCACATTCCCAAGTAGAAATCAGAGAGTACTCGAAGCAATTTACATACTGCAGAAAAAATCTTACATTTCTCTAGAGTTTTTGCTCCCTTTGAGAACAATGATTTTCTCCCCAGGGGGGAAAAAGAAACGAAAACACATTTACAAATGCATATGGCATTTTATATATAACCTATATAGCCATCATGGAAGGGTTCATGAATGCTTTGAAGTCCAGATCTTACAATGACCTGCAAATTAACCCTATGTTAGAATCCTCTATGCATGAAGCCTTCCTAGACTAGGGCTTAGAGTTGACAGACTTTGACAGGACTTAATTTTATAGTGTGTCCTACGGGACTATGGATCAACCCCAGGGTTTATTTAGACCATATTCAACAAAAATTCTGAGAACAAAGGTTTTAAAAGATACAATATAGCTTTGAGGAAAAAAGACCTCCTCTTCTAAGTCTCAGAATTTAAACACGTTAAGAGGATTTTTTTCTTAATATTCCAAATGTACAAAAGTCATGGGGAAGACATAAATTCATGTTTGTTTCTGCATTTATTGAAGGCAATTTTCCAAGTGGCTGGTTGAAAGAGTTATAAGACCATGGACATATAGCTTTAAAGTATACTAAGATTTTTTTTAGTTGTTTCAAAATTAATTATTTAAAATGTGCCCTTGCCATTAAGTGGATACGGTGAATTTATTAACACATTGTCATAATCAGAACATATGCTATATTGTTAAGTTTTTTAAAAGGGAAATTTAGAAAGCAAACATGTAGGTTGTAATTACATTATTGAATAAAAATAAAACAAGTGATATGGTTTGGCCATGTCCCCACCCAAAATCTCATCTTGAATTGTAATCCGAATTATAATCCCCACGTGTTGGGGGAGGGGCCTCTTGGGAGGTGATTAGATTATGGAGGCGATTTCCCCGTGCTGTTCTCATGAGAGTGATTTCTCATGAGATCTGATGGTTTTGTAAAGGGTTTGCCCCTCTTCACTTTGCACTTCTCCTTCCTGGCGCTTTGCACTTTTCCTTCCTTGCTTCACCTTCTGCTATGATAGTAAGTTTTCTGAGGCCTCCCTAGCCCTGCAGAACTGTGAGTCAATTCAACCTCTTTCCTTTATAACTGCCTCTTCTTGGGCAGTTCTTTATAGCAGCGTGAAAACGGACTAATACAACAAGGTATAAACAAAGTGTATCTCGACAGGTAAGATAGGATTGTGGGTATTTGTGTGTGTAAGTGTGTGTGTGTGATTTCTTTTTTGCGTGCACGTTTGTTTTTCTAAAATGAGCTGAAGCAACCTCACAATCTTCAGATTTCAGCCTTCTCTTCAATACCCAAGTAGGAATAGCCTGATTTCATGCCATGCCCCAAGTGTTCTGCTAGGCATGTATATTTCTCCGAGGAAATACACATGGAAACATGCATATACTCTGAAGACTGCGAACATGTTGCATAAATACATTTTGGTTGTAGGGCTTTTTTTTCCTCTCTCCCTCAGGTAACATCTGTTCCCAGGCCACTTCAAACTTCTTCTGTCCCTTTTTCTTATCATTTGAGGTTTCTTCTTTAGGTTCATGCCCATCACCTGAGGAAGGTACCACTCTACCTGGGACTACATAGAACCCCCTCCAGGCTTCCACACAATACAGATTAATTTTACTGTATCATTTAATAAAACTCTAATGTTCTGAAATAGCAGAAAGACATTATAATGTTGAAAAGAAAATTTAAAACTGGTACTGTATACAAGTGCTACTAAAGTTTCTAGGCAATTTTTTTTTCTTTCTAGGGTTTATCTTTCCAATGCTTTTATAGGATATAACAACATTCCTTAATGGAAGTATCACTATGTACCCAAACAGTGTACCCAGGGGAAATCTAGACCTCTCATCTTCTCTTGGACAGAAGAAGAAAAAAGGAGGTAGGAGGGAGAGAAGAAGGAGGAACAGGAGAAATAAGAGAATGAGGAGAAGAAAAAGGATGAGGAGGGGAAGCCGCAGAAAACAACTCCATCACACTTAGTCTAGGGCAGTGGTCCCAACCCAGGTGCACAAGAGAAGTTAAAATTACTGACTTACTCTCACTAAATAATTAAATGTTCTCAGATGAGGCCTTGGAAATAGGTATTTCTCTAAACGTCCCACATGATTCTAAAGTATTGTCAAGGCCCAGAACCATTGGTCTAGGTTCTGCCTCCAATTCAAGAAAATAATCTGTAGAGAAACAATCATGTTTCCTCAGGTCACTCTACCCTCAGCAGTCACAGAAAGAGCAGTTGCCGTAGCCACAGGACCCAGAGTGCGAGGTGGCAGAAAAATCCATCTCTTCTTCATAAAGTAATAGCTAGGGGTCACAATATTTTGCCTGCTCTGATTCTATACAGTACTTTTATACTAAGAAAGAAAAAAAGATTTTTTAAATTTAAAATATATAGAAGCTTAAATTGTGTGAAATAATTTTGTGATCATGTGATTATAAGTTACTATGAAACATATCCCAGACAATAATCATATAAGATATTACTGCTAGCTTCTAGCATAATCCCAGGGTTATGTCTCTGCTGACTTGCCTATGATTGTTATATGTTCATGACTTTTATGACTAACCTATAGGATCTATTTTCTCTCACAGAGAAAGAAAATATGCTTTTTTTTTTTTTTTTTTTTTTTTTTTTTGAGATAGAGTCTTGCTCTTGTCACTCAGGCTGGCGTGCAGTGGCGTGATCTCAGCCTACTGCAAACTCCACCTACCAGGTTCAAGCGATTCTCCTGCCTCAGCCTCCTGAATAGCTGGGATTACAGGCACACACCACCACGCCCGGCTAATTTTTGTACTTTTAGTAGAGACAGGGTTTCGCCATGTTGGCCAAGCTGGTCTCAAACTCCTGACCTCAGGTGATCTGACCGCCTCGACTTCCCAAAGTACTGGGGTTACAGATGTGAGCCAACACACCTGGCTGAAAATATGCTTTTAATTGTCGAGTTTTTTCTTCTTCATTTATTCATAGTCTATATAAATGGCAGATAGCTGGTGTAGTTTATTCTGAGTCCTTTTTATAATGAACTTGGTGTTAATGGATTGAGATTTGCGCTGGTCCAAGGTAAACTATTGTGTATGGTGTAGGGGCTTGACAGATGGGGCATTGTGGAGATCCACTGATGATCAGGTTCCAAAGTTCTGCATTAGCATTAATGTAATTAATATAAGACAAGCAGGCTCTTAATGATCACAGAGATACTTGTCTTTGACGTTAAAGTTTTTATTTATAGGATCTATGATTTTTGTTTTTGTTTTTACAATTACTCTTTATTTGAAACATTTTTATAGATGAATAGATGAATGTTATAAGTATTTATGTAACTTTTAGTGGATGTCAGTGCAGTGCTCCATTAAAAAAGGGGCTCTGGAGACAAGTACTTAGGTGGAAATTTTTGCTCAGCCGCTAATATTGGTATGAAATTGAACAAGTGCTCAATTTCTCTGTGCATTAGTTAGTTTCGTTATCCATAAAACAGGGATAATAAGAGACATGAAATGGAATAATTTATGAGTTTTTAATGGTATTATTCATGAGAGCCCTTAAAATATAGAAATATAGGATGTCCTCATTACTTATTTACTTATAGCACAATTATGATTATTGTTGTCATATTTAGGCTAGCTCTAGTCACATGTTATGGAATTTATCATAACACCTCCACTCATTAAGTTACATTTACTCTATTTGACAGATGGGACAAGTATGGCAATGGCCACCAGTGTTGTAAATGGTGATTCAGAACTTTAACAGAGCTTTTTTGTGACTTCAAAAATTTTGGCTTTTCCTCCACATAATACTTTTAGCTTAATTTATTCTTTGTTTTCTTAAATAACACCCTCATTTTTTAATCATTTGAATGTTTCTATTTTGTTTCTAGGAACTGTTTTGGTCAATTAACTTAAGAAATAAAGAAAAACTCAAATTACCTGTGGCAGATAAAACCTTATTAACATTTTATAGACATTTATTTTATCTTATAAGATCTTATCTATTAATCAATGTTTATATTTTGTGTTTAGGAGTCAACTCTCCTTTAAAAAATTTCTAATCTGAGTTACACTGAACTTTTTTTATACTAAAATTGTAAGCTGCAGAGAAAGCTGTAAGTTTACGTATGTTTCTATGTAGTTATATAAATATAAAACTATATAGGCATGCTTTATGCTGCCTGCTAAACAATTCAGCGCTAAAATCTGTAAACCTAAACTTGGAACCTAAATTTGGAAGAAAACAGCTTTTTTCCTTAGGAAACTTACCTTCTTCAGCCTGCTATTTGGATACTTTATTCTAGAAGCTGTTAACAAAAATAACACTATTAGTCCACTTGGTGGGGTAGGAGTCATTGAAATAGAGATTTTGCTACATTAGGTAACATATAATTATGTAGTGAAATTCTTTGTGTCTTTTTATTTTATTCTAACTTGTGCCTTACAAAATTAGCTATTCCACATAAGAAAGTTGCAGTAATTATTTTCTTAAAAATCTCTGAATGTGTACTAATCTGGGGATAGTTATCTTTATTCCTTCTTTGGCTTATTACAGATTTAAATTAAGCTGAGATTTCTTTAGTGTTATTTTTCCAGAGCCATTGGGATTAGAGATGCTGGATTTTGTGGTGCTCTGAGTGTAGTTAAGCTCTTGTCAACAGAAGTATAAAATTATTGCTGTGTGTAGTTGGTATATTGCTGTGTGCAGGTAATTAAAGCTAAACATTGTGCAAAGAAAGATGATTAGAAATCTTAAATTCACAAAGAAATCTAACTTTGGCACCTAAAACCTCAAATTCTTTACGTGAAACAAATCTATTGGACTTGAAATTTTATAGGAAACTTGGTGATACTTTCAATATCAACCAAAATGCCGACGCTTACTTAGTTCTATAAAATGTATAAGCCTTACCTCCTACACCCCAAGCACTGCCTGAATATTTTAGAACATTTTTTGTTTGTTTGTTTGTTTTCCTTTTAGTATTAAATGCTCTATATACTTCCTGACATGGATATATTAAAAAAAAAAAAAAAACGGCGAACAAAACCAGATTTAATATGTTACCTCTTTCCTTTCTTTTCTTCTTAAACTGTCCATTTAAAATGTATTTTTTAACTCCTAACATTGCTGATTTCATAATTTTAGAGTGATTAGGAATGTAGATGTAGACAAATGCAGGAGAAGGTAGGCTGATGCCAAAAGCTAGCATGTTTGGTGTCAACAGGTAATTTGAGTTGCTCCTAGCTTCTCCTTTCCATATTCCCACATAAAATAGTCTCAATATTTTGTGTGATATAGATTTTTTTCTATTCACTCCTTTAGTTTTAAAATCCTAAGGAGAAGATTAGAAATATTGTTGTCAAATATCACAAATTTAAAAAAATTATGATGACCTTATCACCATTCAGTACAGTATAATTTATATTTTATTTTTATTTTTATTTTATATTTTTGAGACAGGGTCTCACTCTTGTCGCCCAGGCTAGAGTGCAGTGGCGCAATCTCGCTCACTACAGCCTCTGCTTCCCCGGGTTCAAGTGATGGTTGTGCCTCAGCCTCCCGAGTAGCGGAGACTACCGGGATGCACCATCACGCCCAGCTAAGTTTTGTACTTTTAGTAGAGACAGGGTTTCAGTATGTTGCCCAGGCTGGTCTCGAACTCCTGACCTCATGTGATCCGCCCACCTCAGCCTCCCAAAGTGCTGGGATTACAGGCATGAGCCACCACTCCCAGCAGATTTTATATTTTAAGTAAACAGTTATATTATTGTCTAAAACTCTGCCAGTGAGCATATGAATACCACAAAGACAATTAATCTAAAATCAAACTTTAATAAGAGGTTTTTATGATGTTGGAGCACAATGCAATGAAATGATTAGAGAAAGAGAACCCAACACTATAAAGTATCGTCTGTTGGTTGAGTACATGTGAGGGGAAAGCATAATTTGACCATGTTGATGAATGAAGAGAAAAAGAGGCACGGAAATAATAATTTTTGCAGGCTTACCATACAGCAGCTATTGCATTCTAAGCACTTTGCATTCAACCACTTCAATCCTTTCAACAACCTTATGAAGTTCATAGTGTTATCATTTTACAGATTTAAAAAAATGAGGCTCAGAGAAGTTTCCAAACTCACCCAAAGTTAATTAGCAAGTGGCTGAGTCTGGCTTATAAGCCTATTTTGGGTGAGGTGATCAATGGAAGCTTTTTCCTCCAGAGTAAGCATTTAAATTGCGACCTAAAGATGAAAGGGAACTAGCCATGTGAAGGGGTATGGTGTGGAACAGCATCCAGGAGAGAAATTGACTTGTGCAAAGACCCTGGAGCAGACAAGAGAGTATGGAGATTTGAATATAAGAAAGAGGGTCAGTGTGGCTGGAAAGGCATG
Source organism: Homo sapiens (assembly GCF_000001405.40). Lineage (NCBI taxonomy): Eukaryota > Metazoa > Chordata > Mammalia > Primates > Hominidae > Homo > Homo sapiens. The sequence continues at coordinate 76,681,733 of NC_000003.12, forward strand.
AGCTTGCGAGTGAGAGGTATTAGGCTGGTGCAAAATAATTGCAGGTGAGATTTTGGCCATTACTTTCAATGGCAAAAACAGCAATTACTGTTGCACCAACTTAATACAAGGAGATGTTAGAGAGATAGGCAAGGGCTAGATTATTTGAAGTCTTGTATTACATGGAAAGACCCTGGATTTCATTTGAAATAAAGTCAGAAGCCATCAGGCTAGGAGTAAACTGACTTGTCTGGAATTTGAAGAATACATTTACGGGAGGTCATATGTGTGCCTGCAGTAGTGAAGATGGGAAGGCATTTTAGGAGGCTACTATTGTGTGCCAGATGTGAAGTAAGAGCCAGTAAACAAAGAAGAAGGACACATTGCGGAAATATTTTTGTATGTGGTATTCATGTGAGTTGCAGATGAATTTGAACCAGGGATGGCAGGGGGTGGACGTAGAGAAGGGGAAAGAAAAAGGGAGAAATCAAGAATGACAGTTTTGAACCCTAATATCAACTATGGACTCAGGGATTATGATTCACCAATTTAGCTTCATCTATGCAACGAATGTACCTCTCTGGTGCAGGATGTCAGTAGTGGAGGAGGCTGTACATATTGGTGTGGAAGATAATTCGTGGAAAGTCTATACTTTCCACTAATTTTGCTGTGAACTTAAAACTGTTCTAAAAATAGTCTATTAAAAATTTCTTTTGAGACGGAGTCTTGCTCTGTTGACCAGGCTGGAGTGCAGTAGCACGATCTCGGTTCACTGTGACCTCCACCTCCTGGGTTCAAGCAGTTCTCTGCCTCAGCCTCCTGAGTAGCTGGGATTACAGGCGCCCACCACCATGCCCAGCTAATTTTGGCATTTTTAGTAGAGACGGGATTTCACCATCTTGGCCAGGCTGGTCTTGAACTCCTGACCTCGTGATCCACCTGCCTCTGCCTCCCAAAGTGCTGGGATTGAAGGCGTGAGCCACGGTGCCCGGCCCAAAAATTTCTTTAAAATTGAAAAAGAATGACATATGTAAGCTTGAGTATCTTGCCAAAGGTGCTACCATTTGCTGAAATGTGGAAGGCTGGAGAGTTATAATAGTAAAAATCAAGCACTCCATTATTCACGTGTTAGGTTGAAGATATCTGCAGGACATTCAGGGGTACACGTCAACTAAGCAATTGTATAAGAGAACTGGCGCTCAGAAGAAAGGGCTAGATTGAGGGTCTACATTTGAGAACCGTTAGTACAAAAAAGAGATTTAAATGATACTTGATGAGATTAGCCAGACAGAACAATCAGAGAATCTGGGAAGGATCAGATGTGAGCCTTACAGAACCCCTACATCGTCAGATAAATGATCTAAACAAATATTTCATAAGAAATAGGTTAGGTCTCATGTATTTTACAAGGAAAAGGAGCAACAGAGTAATTGTGGCATCCAGAGGCATATTTACTAATTTTAAACCAGAAAATATAATTACCAAGGACAATGAAATTAAGGTAAAATAATATTTCTGTAATTTAATTACTTTGAAAATAACTTAAGACACTTATTGAGAAATTGAAACCAACCCATACTTGGTCAAAAACCATTTCAGTTTAATATTACAAATGACTGCTTGGATTTTATAGCTGCTGATTTTTTTTTTATAGATGGTAATCTGTTTAAAATTCCAGTTGCTTCAGTATAATATGATTCAGCGCAATATAGATTTGGATGATAAAGTTCTTTTTATAAGTAACCCCCACCGAAAAAAAAAAAAAAAAACCTGGAAAACACATGCATGTGTCATCTGGTGTCTATCAAGCATTAGGTTACAAGCTGTTTCTTCAAATTCATTACCTTGTGGTTCTCCAGTTGATTACAAATGTTTCATTTACGTTACATCTTCTATAATCTCATGTAACTAGGATTTCTGAGACATATATTTGAAATAGTTTTTAAGATCTTATATACATTTGTTAGGCTTGAAATAAGAAAACAAAAAAATTCAATTTAAGTGAACATTTCCAATGGTTGTGAAAGCCTTTTCACAAACTATCCCAGGATTTTATCTATTTCTTTAGCTCCTTTGACTAAACGGAGAAGTTATAAAACAACAACCAAACAAGGACAATGCTGAATCGAGTTTTATTCCCGTTTGAAATTTAAATTGAACTTTAAAACTTCTAATTTCTAAGTTTAAAAAAGAAATAAAAAGTTTATATTTTTTTCTCTTTAAACATAGATAAATTTTATTAAATTTCAGTTGTTTCAAGCACTTAGATTCTAGAAAGACTTTGCAAATTTGGATTTCCTTTCAAGAGGCTGTTTGTAACTGCGATGCCAACTGGAGATGATTGAAAACGAATGTATATTAGGACATCATTAGAAAGAGAAGAGGTATGTATTGTTAGGAGAAGGAAAAATGAGTCTATTGATTAAAAAAACAAACAAGCAACAAACAAACAAAAAACCCATCATACCATGGAATTTCATGCTGTGAAATTGTCCAAACCATTTTCTCCCTTTCTTCTCTCTTGTTCTTTTGCTTCTCTGCATCCCCTCAGTTGGAAGCTATAGGGCCTCGCTGGGTTCTAGAAAAGCTGTAAGGTGAAAAAAGTGTCTGCAAGGGCTTTTGACAAGAAAACAGTTTGACTGTCTAAAGCTGTGAGTGATCTATAGTAGAGATTTGTTAAGTTCCATGTATACGGTGAGTTAATTCTACTTCAATCCCACAGGGAAAGAGTAGGGGATATTAAAAGGAGAAAAAGGGCAATACTAAATTGATTTTAGTAATTAGTAAATTTTAGTGCAGAGAATAATTTGCCCATTACTTAGTTCCTTATTTTCTTTGCAATTTGCTTTATTTCTATATTAATTTTACATTATAGTAAGAGTTTACATCAATGCATAAAAATTCTGTCATAAAACATAGAACTGTATTCTACTTCCAAGAATATCACTGACTAAAACTGTACATATTTTGTTATACTACTATGTAAAAATAAACAAAATAAAAACATGTTTTCTTAAGGCTGTGCCCCCACACTGGCAAAACTGATGGCATCTATTTAAAATATTTTTTTATCTTTCTGAACTTTTGTCACTTTTAATCAGTGTTACATAAAGTTATCTTTCTTTATTCTTAGCCATGGTTTCAGGTAAAGAAAATGATTTGTATGTGTATTTATTTTAAATAGCACTTGATTAGAAGAGAATTAAAAACCCCAGGCAAAATTTTTGTATAGCATATGAAATAAATTGTAACATTTGCAGTACAAATGCAAAAGTCTTTCCACCACCCATGGAAAGGAAAAAAAAAAATTCCCCCACCCCCAGAAGGAAAAGTCTCTACATAGGACATTTTTTCAATAAAACTTGCACAGAACAATCACAAGAGTTAATTGGTATAACCATAACTAATTCTTGAAATCATAGACCACCCAGCCCTTTGTCCAGCCACCAAACTATTCATGGGTTGTTGTGGGTTGGTTGTGTTTTTTTTTTTTTTTTTTCCAGTAATTTCAGCTTAATGAGTACCAAAAAGTATCTGGGACAAAGAAAGACAGTCGAGGTTTTGAAGCACAATGGGGACTCAAGAAAAAGAAAATGCTACGGGATATCCTGTTCTTTAATTTTGACACTGTGCTTCAAATTATCGTAAAATCATATTTTAAAGGTTTAAAGCTTAAACTATTTTTATTAAAGAACAAGAGTTTTAAATTATTGAAAAATTTCTTTCTGATAAAATAGTAGAAATGGTCAAAGTATGAAAAGTAAGAACAAACATGTTAGTGATTCATATTTCTAGTTTTCCAATGGAGTTTCAACTCATTGTTGACTTCCGATCACTTAACTATACTTTCCCCTTCTGCAGTTTTATTTCATGAATTCTGGGTTTTTCCAATTCTTTAAAAACACTTTCTAACTAAAGTTTTGGTATCCATTTGACAACAAAATTTGAGTAAATAAAACTAGTCCTTTTTTAAAAAACAAAGTCACTTTAGTTTATCTTCAAAATAGAAGGTTCATACACAGTTGGAACTTGTAACTGGAGCCTGAATATTTTCTTTGCAATTAATCCTTAGACAAAGTAAATGAATATTAATGTGCATCGACAATGAATAATAATGGAGGTATTGTTTTATTTAAATGATTTAGATACGCATGACTTTAATTAATTCATCTTCAAGTTTTAGCAGAGAGTATGCATCCTTTCTATGTATCCTTTCTTGGCTTTGCTTAACTTTGGAAGGTAGAAAACATGGCCTTGAGAGCATAAGCAAAAGGTTAATGAGAAGCTAGAGCGACGGTGAATCACCCTCTTCACTTCTCCCTGAAGTCTGTGTTTTCCTTTCCTTATCACTGAAAGCATGCGATAGCCATCCAAGTGGAGGGGAAAGGGCCATCCCTTTGATCTTCAGTTTAGTGGGAAGACACAGTCATAACCTATTTGCCATAATCAAAGGTTTTCTGTTAGTTTTCTGGTTGAATCAGTCGGTGTAGAGAGGAAAAGGAGTTAGGTGCTTACAATGACTTTAAAACCCATTACTAGTGTGTACTTTTCCCATAAAATAATTTTTGATTGTATCATTTAGAGGTTTCAGTGTTAGTTTTCAAATTTCTAGTCTGTTCTGTCCATAAAGAAAAGTAATCTTCCTGCCAAATCAATTTATTCAGATAAATTACTTAAAAAGAATCCATAAAAGAGTAAAATGTACAGCTAAATTCTCATACACCAACAATCCTAATATTTTCCTGCTCATGGTTCCTGCTAAGGATCTTATATAAGCCATATATTCTCTCCTTCAAAACAGCAAATAAATATACCAGTTTTTAAAAATAGTTTGAGAGTCTATGTAATCCCCATAAAGTCCATGAGGAGACTTGCAATACCCCATTTGTTCTCAAGATCATATTAGTGTTTGAATACTAACTGAGAGAGAAACAGAAACATTCCCATGCCAAAAATATTTCACAGCCAGGTATACTGGCTCATGCCTATAATTCCAGCTACTTGGGAGGCTGAGACTGGAGGATGGCTTGACTTCTGGAGTTCAAGACCAGCCTTGGCAAACAAGGCAAGAGACCCCCATCTCAAAAAAGAAAAAGAAAAAAAAGTATTTTACAATAAATACTATAATATAAAAGCTACAGCTATGTCATTGCATTCTAATACCTGACCCATTTCTGTTTTGCCCATTTGACTATATATTTCATGAGAAACATTGTGTTATTTATTCTGTATTCAAGGCTTCCTGCTATATACCAGGCACTTTAATATGTGTTAAATGTGTGCATATTGGGTTTGTCTCTTGTTTTCTATGTATCCTTTGACTTCTAAAATTTTCATATATCTATTATTTATCATGCACGTATTCATGTATAGGTTTAAATGTTGCGATACCTATTTACAGCTATATAGGTAAATACGTATTGCAGCATTTAAACTGCTGCATGAATAAGTGCAATATTTTAGAGCCTGTATTATTGATCATAGCACAGAGGTCAATAATACAGGCTCTGAATCCAGGCTACCTGGGGTCAAATTCCTACTGGCCATGTGACATTGGACAAATACTTTAATTTCTCTGTGTCTACATTTCTCATATGTAAAATGGACAAAACATCATGTGAGAATTAAATGAGTTAATATATATAGAGAGAGTATAAAGGAATATCTTGTACATTGTTCATATTCAATAAATATATGTCATTATTTTCATTTGGCAGCTCCAGCATTAAAATAAGTATGAACACTCCCAGGGCCTTAAAGATGACAGTCACATGATCAAAAAGAAAGATTTTAAAAAATACCAAAGTAGACACTTAAAATAAAACTCGAGAAAGAAACGGGCTCAGGAAAACAGTCCTCTAGGCTTCAACAGCCCCTGGAGACATCCTTATGTAACAGAACAGAACAACAATATGTTCATAATAAAACTGAGCCATTAAGAACACATTGAATTTTATTCATTGTGATCAGCTTCAAAAAGCAGGAAATGGTTAACACAAGTTTTGGCAACACAACCAACCTTTTTTCAAACTAAGGATTAGAAAAAAAGTTTTATTTTCTGAAAAAAATTACCATGAAATACCAAAAATGTCAAATCAATACCAGATAAATGAAGTGTCTCCATATTCTATAGCCAATATTAAGGGCAAAGGAGAGCCACATGTTCTTTAAACACTAAATCTCCTTAAACACCACAATTTTGAAAAGGGCATATTTAACTATGGGTTTGTATATATTGGCTTATGCCACTTTGTATGAAGAAATTTTTAAATCTCTACTGAAAATATGAAATGTTAAAGTATTCAAATTATATTTTTTCTCCTTATTAGCTTTTAAATACTTCATAAAGAAATTATAGGAGAATCATATCGATGACTGAAGATTGAATAGCTACACTGAAAAGTAGTAATCATATTAAGGGAACATATTATGTAATATTGTATGGTGTATCTGCATTTTCACATATATTATGCTGGTTGGCAAATAATCTATCATAGCATTTATTAAGGAAAAGGCAAGGCATGCTTCAGAAAACCGCAAAATGATCATTCTGATAATTGTTCAATTGTGATCAATTGTTGGTGAGAATTTATTACGAATACAAACATGGTTAGGTGATTTTTTAAGATAGGGGTTTGATAAGTTACACAAGCCATGCAAAGTAATTCAGATTTAAATCAGGAGATGGTAAGAAATTAATAGACTATTTTTTAAAGAAGCAAATAGTGATACTTTGTGTTTCAGAAAGTTCTGGATTATTTCCTCACCGAGAAAATTTAAACGTTGAATATTTAGTAACTAAACATTAAAGTATGAAATAACTAAGCACTAGTGAGAAAAAGGAAGGTAATGAAAGTCTTTTTTTGTAGACTAGGGAGAGAAATTTTAGTGGTGTGTGTGTGTGTGTGTGTGTGTGCATGCAAGAAACCAAGAACAGCGCAGTCCTAGTCCTTTGAAGTTATTTGTTAAATATTTATGAAAATAAAGCTGTCATTATTTTCCTGTGAATGAGCTGTTTCACTCCTTGTAATCATCTTTCTCATTGATTATTTAAAACTCCGCAGCTTTATACCCAATTTGTAATTGTAACTCATTTCATAATCTCTCCTTTCAATCTCTCCCTCTCTTGGTCTCATCTTTCTTCTCCTTTTTTAAAAACATGGTATAAAAAATGAGTCTATCTATGAGTGATGTCTTTTTTGCCTGTTACATGAACATATAATCTCATAGGCATAAAGAAATAATGAATCATTGCTTACCTTGGTTTTAAGTTGATAGGATATTGCAATGATGTATTTCTAAAACAAAGTTTTAAAAAATCAAATGATTGAAAAATAATACATAATGTTAAATGCGCATATTTATTTCTAAAAGATTATTAAAATTGATTGCAATTGCTGTCTCTTTCATTAATAATTATACAGCTTTGAATTGCTAGCCTCTGGTATCTTATTGACAAATTCAATTATGTTTCAGAAATATATAACATCATGTTTATTCATGCATTTTTTATATATTTTTTGATTCATTTACTAAACATTTACTTATTACTTATTCTGCAACTGGTACTGGGCTAGCAAAGTTAATAAATCTTGTACTAGTGAAGCTTAATATTTATCAGAGAAATCACACAGTTAAACAGACAATTACAATACAATGCATGGAGCACCAAGTAATTAAAATATGGCTCAGACTTCTCCAATCCACTTTATTAATTCATTTGTATATTTTTCCATCATCTCAACATTTATCTTGTCTTTGTGTTGGGAAAATTACAATTATAGTTTTCTAGCTATTTTGAAATATACAATAAATTATTGTTAATTATAATTTCCTGTCTCCTACTTCTGCACACAAACTTTTCCACCTCTCCCATCCCCCAAAAAAGAAAATGTAGGAAACCCAACTTGACTACTAGAAACCTTAATAAACAATGATCATCTCTATTGCAGTGTTCCTTGAAGAAGAGCATGGGAGAGATTATGTAGCCATCATACGGAAAGCTTTCCAGTAGTTCTGCATAGGCATTTCTCCTTTTCTCCACCTTTTCCTCCTTCTAGCAGGTATTAAAATTCTTTTTTCCTCTTTGCCCATCCAGTTCCCCGTTCTCTCTGTGTGTAGTCAGTTCTGTCTACCAAATTCTTTGTCCAATTTCTGACCTTTCTTTACTCTTTGCTTACGTTTCCCAACATGTAACATAACCTTCCCTCGGAAATGTATTCCGTCTTCCATTTTACTCCCTCCTCCTTGAGAATTAACCTGGTCGTTGAAATTGATTACTCCCACAATAGGTGAAATATAAGGTGCCACAAGAATACATTGCATGGCACCTACATTTACCTAGACATTGAAATAAACCAAAATAATAAGTAGGAGTTGTCCAGAATCAAAAATGTCTGGCAGCAAGGGGAGTATGGAAACATTTTCTAATCAGAGGAAGCATCTTATAGAAATAACAGGAAAAGAGACTATAATTCCCTATGGACCAAGACTGCTAAGTAGATGCTCAATCATGGAGTATCTGTGGAGCCATATTAAGGAGTTGGTCCTTGCTATGACCTGAATGTGTCCACCCGTATTTGTTTTAGAAACTTAATCACCAATGTTATCGTATTAAGACATGGGGCCTGGAAGAGGTGCATGAATCATGAGAGCAGAGCCCTCATGGTTGGGAGTAGCAGCCCCTTATAAAAGGGGTTGGGAAAGTGGCTTTATCCCCTTTCATCATCTTGGAGGATACAACATCAAGGCACCATCTTGGAATCAGAGATCAGCCTTCACCAGACACCAAACCTGCCTCCATATTGATCTTGAACTTCCCAGCCCCAGAACTGTAAGAAATAAATTTCTGTTATTTATAAATTATCCAGTCTTAAGTATTTTGTTACAGCAACACAGACTAAGACAGTCCTTATCATATTTATATTTTTATATTTATTATTGTATGAATTTTTATATTCCCCTCTAGATGAAAAGAGCTATACAGCAGAGCCCATGTCTGGCTTCTCGCTATTGTATCCCTAGTACCTTACTGGTTCCTGGAACCTAGAAGATATCATTAGATATTATTTTACCAAATGATGAATTAATAAGCGTATCTGTGAAGACAGGAAATTTATCCAATGTTGAGATTTTTCCAGGTAGGCATGTGCTATGCATGTGCCTTCTAAAACTCATGTTGAAATTTAATTGACACTGTGACAATATTAACAGGTGGGTCCTCTGGAGCCTGGCATGCTGGCATGTATCTGTAGTCCTAGCTTCTCAAGAGGCTAAGTTGGGAGGATCACTTGAGCCCAGGAGTTTGAGACCAGGCTGGACAACATAGCAAAGAGTTCTGTCTAAAAAAAAGAACAATAATTAACCAAGAATTTAAAGTGAGACCTTTAACAGGTGATTAGATCATGAGGGGTCTGCCCTCATGAATGGATTCATTCATTATCTTGGGAGAGGGTAAGTTATCAAGGGAATGGGCTCCTAACAAAGGAATAAGTTCGGCCCAATTTTTCTATCTCTGTTTTGTAAGTGCTCACTTTCCCTTCCACCATGTTACATCACAGCAAGAAGGCCCTCACAAGATGCAGTCCAACAATGTTGGACTTGCCAGCCTCCAGAACCATAAGCCAAATTAACTTCCACTGTTTATAATTTACCCAGTCTGTGCTATCTTGAGTAAGACAGTGTGAGATTAGGAAACGGGGGTTGTGATGAAATAATTAATAATGAACTATACATTGGAAACGGATCAAAAATAGGTGGAAGCTAAAAAAAAATTAAATGGGCAAAGGAATTGAAGATATTAATGAGCGGAAAAAAATGATAATTGGGAATGGAAGTATGATAGAGCTAGAGGAAAAAGAGGCTTCGATGAGAGAATGAATGTGAAAATAATAATTCAGATGTGAAGTGGTTCTGGACAATGTTGATACAATCCAAGGCATGGACATAGGAGAGGATGGTTTAAAGTGAATGTTTTTGGAGATCATGAGATCAATAAACAGAGAGAACAGAGTGACTTGCAGGTTGAAAGCAGGATCTAGAGTGGAGGAGGCTGTGAGTCTTATACCAAAGCGATGACCTGAAAATGATGAGGCAACTAGAGAGAAGCATAGCAGAAAAATATGTGGAATAAGAAGGAAGCTCACCAACTTCCAAACCCGAGGTGTACAAATTCTAGTGACGAACAATCACGAGTGGAGAAGATTTAGGAGAACTGATCATTTCAGAGAAGAGCCAAGTTACATCTTAGCCAAGAATAGGGAGAAGAACTTCAGAGAAGTAGTTGTGTGTGTAGGAGCTCATTAAACCTTGTCCCAGGAGAAATAATTTGAAGGTTGGGAGAGATGAAGGAGGAGGAATTGGGAGAAGAATGGAGATGTAGGAGAAGAGACGAAAAGAGAGACTAGATGACTTTGGCACTCACCAAAAATAACAAGGTTGGGGGAATTAGCTGACCACTCCCACTGAATGATCAGGGGAGAGGGGGCAGCAGGTGCTTGAGGTCACTCAGAATGCTGCCACACTCTGGCCATAGTCATTTCCAAGGAAATTCTTTGGATTAGTATATGAGAAGTCTCTGGTCCCTTTGCAAGGAAACAAATGTGGTTAGATTGGATTAACCCCAAAACCTAAAACCCAAGTATGAAACTCCCCAGTGCTGGTTACAGGCCTGGTACATTTGTGCCGAGGATGGTGGGCAAAATCGCTGACTCCCAAGGCTTAGTCTGTAAATCCCAAAGACAGGATATAAGCAATTCAGCTTCTAAAGAGCATGTTTTCTATTCGTCACAAGGACCATTTCTAGCATTTGAGGCAGTTTTTTAGAACAATGAGATTTACAATATTTACAGGTCTTCTGAGATGATCAATTGACTGACTTTCAGTTATAAATTTACCTGTCAGGCAGATCTGACATCTGAGTAAGTTTGGCAATACCCTTTTCTTCTTATATTCAAGATATTTGGGAAGCCACGTTTTCCAAGGGGAAGCTTTAAAAATTTTCCCAAAGCTCCAAATTTTGAGTAGAAACCATGAAAATTTCTGGAATGCATAATCCAAGTCACTTTTGGGGGTATTTATATATTTTTATATGCATAATTCTCTTTGATAGAGAAATGTATTATTCAGGGCTCTCCAGAGAAACAGAACACACTCACAAACACACTATATAACTCTCTCTCTCTCTCTCTATATATATAGTGTGTGTGTATCTATATATAGTGTGTATATATAGTGTACATACACATATCCCTATATATGTATGTATATACACATATGTGTATGTATATATGTATGTATATACACATATGTGTATATACATACATAAGTCTCTCTCCCTATATATATAGTGTGTATCTATATATAGTGTATATATTTAGTGTACATACACATATCCCTATATATGTATGTGTATATACATATATATGTGTATATACATACATAAGTCTCTCTCTCTATATATAGTGTATCTATATATAGTGTATATATATAGTGTACATACACATATCCCTATATATGTATGCGTATATACATATATGTGTATATACATACATGTCTCTCTCTCTATATATAGTGTGTATCTATATGTAGTGTGTGTATATATATATAGTGTACATACACATATCCCTATATATATTTAGCATATATATGTATGTGTATGTAGCATATATCCCTATATATGTATGTGTATGTAAACTATATATATACACTACATATAGATACACACTCTATATATGTGTATATATATACACATATATATGTATTGTGTGTGTGTGTATATATACATATATAGATGAAATTCTTTGTGGAAATTTATTGTGAAAATTGGCTCACATCATGATTTTGGAGGCGGAGAAGTCCCATGATAGGCTATCTGCAAACTGGAGTACCAGCGAAGCCATGACATAGCGCAGTCCAAGTCTGAAGGCCTGAGAACAAGAGGAGTTGATCGTGTATCTCTCAATCTCTCAGCCTGAGGCCAAAGCCTGGAGAAACATGGGGCCACTGGTGCAAGTTACACAGTCTGAAGGTCAAAGAACCTGTAGTTCTAGATGTCTAAGGGCAGGAGATGAGTGTCCCAGCTCCAAAAGAGAGAGAGAATTTATCTTGCCTTTTAAAATCTATCCAGGCCTTCAATCGATTGGGTGGTGCCCACCCACATTGGATGAGCTTCAGTCTCCTTACTCAGTTCATTGATTCAAGTATCAGTCTCTCCTGGAAACATCCTCACAGACATACTTAAAAATAATGCTTTACCAGCCATCTGGCTAACACCTAAAACTAACCATCACAAGGAGGATTATGGAGAGCTCTCCACGTGCCTACATTTTCATAACCTAATGCCATTTGTCTGGATATAAAACTTTCCAAAATATTTGTCTGGAGAGAAAGGCTTACTGCATCAGTGACAGCATGCAGTGGTTTGCCCTAATGCCTCACTTACATCAGTCGTGCACTGCTGCCTTCTTGCTATGCTTGCATACTACTGAATGTTAGCATGATAAATTAAATGGGCGTTTTTCTTTATTCCAAATCAGTGCCAGAGATCAAAAAGCTGCTAAAAGTCCTTTCCACAAGAACGCCTCTCAGAAAATGATGAGTTATAGTTATTCTCGCCAAGAGATGCCTTCTGTTGTACTCTATCACTTCCTACGATCCAATAGCTTGAAACTGTGCCAAGCTAATTAGCTAGTTCAGTGACTGTTATATTAAGAGCCCAAATAAGCCAAAAGAGGTCATCCTCTTACTACTCAAGTGCAGCTTTATTATTTTTCTCACCAATCAGAAAGCCACACAAAGTCTTTCGACTAAACCCAATCTAGTATTTTCATGTAGACACTTTATAATGTTTTTTTTCAAGAACTGTTGCCATTTGTTTAAGTCGGGCACTTCATAGGAAAGCGTTCCTATCTTGTAAAAAAAGGGTATCTTTTAACTATTTAATTTTGAAATGTACTTTTATCAACTCAGTAAACATAAACTTCTAATATATGCAAAGTATATGGTGCTATGGGAAATCACCCTTTTATGAAGCAGAGGAAATTATGTTTTCCTTCTTTCTTAATATGAACATTGACCATGTTATCCTTTCATAATTAGTATTATGATACCTTAGTTTTATCTTCTTTTATTAAAACTTATTTTTCACTTTGGGAGGCTAAGGCAGGTGGATCACCTGAGGTCAGGAGTTCAAGACCAGCATGGCCAACATGGTGAAACCCCATTTCTACTAAAAATACAAAAATTAGCCAGGCATGGTGGCACATGCTTCTAATCCCAGCTGCTCAGGAGGCTGAGGCAGGAGAATCGCTTGAATTCGGGAGGTGGAGATTGCAGTGACCCGAGATAGTGCCATTGCACTCCAGCCTGGGCGATGGAGTGAGGCCCTGTCTCCAAAAACAAACAAACAAAAACACAAAAAACTTATTTTTTTAAATATGAGCAAGTCAAACATCATAGCAAGATCCTTAGCCCTGAGTTTTTGTTTGGGCACAGATAATGAACCCCTGAACCTCTGGAATAATGTTATTCATCCCTTTGGAGATCTCACTGTTTTGGCATCAGTGGGAAGATAGTGTACAGAGGTCAGTGATGTATTTTTCTATGCCTGTCAGGCAGATCTGTCAGATAAACACACTAAAATTGTTTGTTTCTTAGTAGGCCGTCTTCATAAGTAATTATTACTACCTTTGAAATTCTCAGGCTTGTTTTTTTTTAAGTTGAAAAATATTTTCACTGCCTCTTGACAATGGTGTACTGTTAATATTTATTGATAAAGAAGCTTTATAATGAGAAAAGGCTACTGTAAATATAACAATGCCTTTGAAATAGTTTTTGTTTTATTATTAGTTTGTATTATTAATTCATATTATATGGCATTTTATAGCTACATTTGTCCTGTAAATATACTGATGGCAAACACTTGTGGTACTATTTACTGTGTACCAAGTCCTATTCCAAAAACTTTAGATGTTTTAACTCACTTAGCTCTCATAACCATTCAGAGGGAGGTACCACTCGTTCTCCCATTTTATAGACAAGGGAACAGAGGCTCAGAGAGGTTGTATAACTTGGGCAAGTCACCTGGCTAAGAAATAGGATTTGAATCCAGGTAGTCTGGCTTCCTTCCATATACCTAATCACTATAATACACTGCCTCTGTCAATAAGATATGGATATCCAGGCAGTAGTGCACATTTGATTTGATGATTTTTTTAAAAATACCTTCATGCTTTCCATGAACTTACAACTTCCCACTGCTTGGATGGTCCACAGCCCAGTTTGGGAACTATAGTTACATAATTTACTAATGGGTGAACTGTAGTTTTTAAAATTTCTTCTCCCTTGTGATCTCTCATCAAAGTGTTCTTAGCCAGTTTCAAATATATTTAATTCTGATCCAATTCCTGCCGCACAACTCAGCTGTGAATGACTTGAGGCGGGAAAGTCGTAACGAGTCTAGCCTCCGCAGAATTGTAATGGAGCAGGAACGTCGTAGCGAGTCTAGCCTCCCCAGATTTGTAATGGAGACATTTTATCTGGATTCTTCCTTATTATATGAATTTTTAAATAGCAATCAACAAAGACGTAATATTGCTGCCTTTTCCTTTGTTTATCCCAGTTACCCCTAGACACTTATTTTTTAAATAAATACAATTTTAAATGGATCTCTTTTTTTTTTTTTCAGTTGCAAGATTTAATAGCGTGAAAACAGAGCTCCCATACGAAGGGAGGGGACCCAAAGGGGGTTGCCATTGCTGGCTCGAATGCCTGGGTTTATATCCCGATCATTTAATGAACCATTAGAAATCATTAACACCTGCCCTTAACTGAGTCATTGTAGCTACCCACCTTCTGGGAAAAGTTAGATAAAAGCAAGCCATTATATTCTATTTTTCTTGGTTAAACTTGTCACTCTGTATCTCTACTATGATACGAAGTGACAGAATAACTTCTTGTTTGTGCATCTCAAGGGTACAGAGCTATGATACGGGTCTTCCAATTAAAGTCAACATTGCCTACTGCAATTTACACCTATTGATATGTTAGCAGCTAATTCAAAAGCATAGCTTGCCGATTTCCACTTTGCACCACAGTTTCAATTGTCACAAGGGAGAAAGCACAATTCTTATTGCCTTTCTTCTGTTTTATGTTTGTCTACAGGGCTGCTCCTCATATTATATTTGGATGTGTTAAATGATTTTTTCTGTTTGCATGTGGAAATCTCTTTCTGCTTGTTGTTTACTTTTGTACAACAGTGGTGCTGGACTGGGATATTGAGATAAAGTATTTTTATGTATAATTTGAGATATAGCTGGAATATCATGAAGTCTATAAAGGGCTACATGTTTATCAGACAGAATAAGTGCAATGTAAATCCACATTTGCCCATATGAATATCATTGACACATGGTATTGATAGCATTGTCATAGCCAGATCTATCAAATGTGTTCAAATTCATAAGAGAGCAATATAACCATGGAAGAGAGTTATTAACATTTACTTTCATCGAAATATGTGGGCTCCTAAATACTGTTTTTTCTTTAATGTATTTTTTCTGATATTCATTTAATCAAGACAATATGTGAACTGTTTGTCCAGGTCAAATGATGAATAAACATGTTTGAAACCCTCAAAACATTTACATTATAGTTGGGCACAGTGGCTCACACCTGTAGTTCCAGCACTTCGAGAGTCCAAGGCAGGAGGATCGCTTGAGTCCAGGAATTGAAGACCAGCATGGGAAACATGGCAAAACCCTTTCTGTACAAAAATGAAATAAAGAATTAGCCGGGCATGGTGCCGCATGCCTGTGGTCCCAGCTACTCAGGAGGTGGAGGTGGGAGAATCGCTTGAACCTGCGATTTCTAGCTGCAGTGAACCATAATTGCAACACTGCACTCCAGCCTGGGCGACAGAGTGAAACCCTGTCTCAAAAAAGAACAAAAATTTACATTATAGTAGAAAATGAAAATATTAGACAATTGTATTAGATTGATCTGTATAAAATTGGTAAAATTCCACTCTTTTTTGCCTACAAAATGTCATTTTCTATGATTCAGTCTGATATTTTGAGCCAAAATGAAATAACCATCACAATAGAAATACAAGCCACCTCAAAAGAGCGAAGGAAAAAAAAATTGAGGGAACTGTGATAGTCTACAGAGAGCAGGTGGCATTTGAATAGTATCTTAAAAAATTTGGAAGAATTGGATATAGAATGCCTGTAGAAGCTCCTCTATTTTATTCATTGGTTGGAAGAACTGGATGTAGAATGCCTGTAGAAGCTCTTCTATTTTATTCATTGGTTGGAAGAATTGGATGTAGAATGCCTGTAGAAGCTCTTCTATTTTATTCATTGGTTGGAAGAATTGGATGTAGAATGCCTGCAGAAGCTCTTCTATTTTATTCACTGGTTAGGCTTTTTCCATCTGTACTATGTTAGCTTGTTGTTTGGCATTGCAATATGGAGTCAGTTCTATGAGCACGCCAGTGAGAATGGAGGCAGGAAAGCCCTGAAGCATTCCTGGGCGATGGGCTGAAAATGAAAATAAGCATTGACCATTGACACGGTGTTTTATCGACAGGTTCCCTGGCAAAGTGTTAATGACTTACTGTGGCTCTGTTCAGAGAAATGATAAAAAGCAGAGTGAGGATAGTGACAGTGGTGTGTTTGGTAAATGTTTAATAGCTGGTCTCTGGAAGGGGGTGGGGGAGCCCTCATGTGTAGCTTTTGACAATTTTCAAGACCAATTTCAAGCTACCGACCTGATGGTATGGGAGGCAGTGCTGGAAAGAGATATGCACGTTCAGCTCTCTGGAGCCAAGCCAGTGTGGGTGGACTCCAGCACACTTGGAGTAATAGGAATTTTTCCTCAAAACAAAGTAACCATTTGAACCCTGGTTGAAAGTGCTGTGTTCAAGTGCACAGTGTCATTACATTTGTATTATAATCCTGGTCAGATTTATAACGTTTTCAAGATCTATCTGGAATACTTGTGTGGAGACCACTCCAAATTATTTTTAACAGTGGTAGAAAACTATTTATTTATCTTTCAGTATGCTACAGATTTTACATCCCCTTCCCACCAGAAATACTATGGGGTAGGGAGAGGTTATCAGCCAATGCATTTTTTAAATAAATGTTTATATTTTGTACTTGTGATAAAAATGGAATTTACTCTAGGTTTTCATAATTGTTTTGATGCCCAGTGCTTATCCATTTTAGAAAGTAAAGGTTATTTTTTAAAAGTATGTAACATTTTTCTCTTTAGTAAAAATTAAAGAAATAAGGTCCTTATGGACATCTTTCTGATTTCTTACTTGACACAAATGACAGAAATTTAAATACAAATATAACTGTAATTTAAATTCTCTAGGCATTTATTTTCTAGTCTGCCAATTTGAGCCACACTGAAAAGTATAAGGACTTTAACATTGTCAGTATCAGATGTCAGCTTAATCTCAGTGAATATATTGAGATCTTTTCCGACCTCTAAGCAGCAGCCATGGTGCTTCTTTTGTTTGGCTCCTAATCAGATCTGCTGTTTATCCAGGTCTGTTGAATAAACAAAATTTGCATGAGAGGCTTTTGCCATCTGAGAAAAGTGCTTTACACTTCAGTTGTCTTTTCTAGCGACTTAGTTTAGGGGAAGGGAATTTTCCCCACCATATCAGACTTCTCCAGGCAGGCCTTCATCTCATGAAGACTTTTTTTCTCTTTTATTTGGACGTTCTGATATCCGGATTCCTTTTGGTCCTGTCAACACAGATGTGTGTGTGTCTGTACAAAAGATCCCCATATTGATATTAAATCTCCTTCTAACCCGTGCCTTTGTTTTAAATTGCTGCCCAGACTTGGAGGCAATGTAATCTGAAGAACGTAGTTTCCTTTTTTAGTCCCATCTGCTCCATGTGCAAATGTTTAAATACATTTCCAGGTTTCTTTTAAAAGCACATATCCTTTGACACAATGCACAACATTTTATAGCCCTGAACCATTGATGCCTTGTAAAAGCGAGTCTTTGCAAGGTTATGTTTATCATTTCCTAATGTGCTGCTCGTTCTCTGTAACTTTGCAGCTAACACTGACCTTCCTCCCCCTGTTTCCTCTTTAATTGTTTTATATCTAACTCTATGCTTGAAGATGTGCTGAGAGCTGCCATGGGTTTCTCTGTAACACTATGGATATTGCTGCTAAATGAATGTCTCCTGTTGAGGCACAGAGCATGGTAAATGCAACTTATGGCCTCATGTCCCTTTTGGGTAAATCCTATCTGGGGCAAATAAGAGAAAGAAAAATAGCAAAAAAAACCCATGGGCCTTGGGCACCCCCTAGTTCTCAGGGTGGGTGCTGTACCAAGGCTTTCAACAACAAAAAACTTCTTGGCAAACAGATGCCACAATCCTCACACTCCTCTGCAACATCACTATTCTTTTCCCCAAGTTTTTCCTCCCTTCTCTTCTTATTCTTTCTGTCATTTTTTGTCCATTAAGCAATTGTCCACTTTTCTTCTATTCTTTAGCATCGTTTTCCTGGTTTTAATTACAACTGTGACTCTAGTCATCATTTTATAATCTTACTTTATATTACTCAAATATCCTTCCCAAAGAGCGATGTTTCATAACTCATCTTTTCCCCCCTTTCTTCCTTCACCCTTACTCTTTGACCACAAATGTTTTTCTTTTGTTTAAACTTCATGAAAATCACCTGCTGGAAAACTTTCCAGAGAGACACCAGTATATATTTGTTGGGAAATAAAATTTTTAACTCTGTACTCATCTGTTTTTTCTTCTAATGCCAGGAAACCTCTCTGAAGGCAAAGCTGGGCTCCGACAGTCTTGATGAGCTCATTTTGAAAATATGACTATATACAGGGTGTCATTCATTTAGTCTCTCATCTTAGCCTAATATCCACATTGGAAACTGCTTCCTTTGAGGACGTTCTTGACTATCTTCTTCAATGAAGTGTGCCTTTGGAAACTGTCATGTAGTGAAGCCCCAAGTCTATGTGTATAGCCCTTCTAATAGTTCAAAAGGAAGCTTTCTCTCCTTAAGGAGGACTTTAAAAATAATTTTCTTTGTTCTTAGAGTCCAGTCTTGTCTCTACCCAGTCAGTCTTACAATTTTAGACTGTGTTATGTCTGTAATAATACATTTTCATAGTCATTCATTCACTTGTATACTCATTAAATACCACTGTGTTGGACATTTTCATTTTAAAGAATATTTAATCATGATTCCTCTTAATTACTATACACCAGAAATTATCATAGTGTATTGAAGCTGTGTTACAAATTCCTAATGGGGCCCATAAGAAAGATACCTAGTGGCCAGGTGGAAAAGCAAGTGATCTAGTTCAATGAATGGTATATTTAGGTCTTCCACAGCACCAAAGAATAAAAAATGCCCGCTTTTTGCAAAAGGAATACCATCAAAATGGCTAAAAACCATATTAATTTGCTGATGCTTGCAAAGTTCTTTAGGTTTGAGATATTTGTTGAATAGATGAAGGAAACCTGTTATTTTAATTGTTCCATTTAGTTTAAGAGCATAATCAAAAGTAATTTTGTCCTCTGCCTCATCCTGAGTATGCAACAAGCATTTAATTCTAGTATATGTCAGTATGTTAGTGGCTTTTCAAAGTTAAGTATATAAAATATGAGAGTCAGATGTGTGTTTTGACTCCAGGTAAAAGGAGTCAAATGCAATTTAATTTGATTATTAGCATTGTGCTTTAGGTGATTGGATGCTACTTGATCAGAAGAGAGGAATTAAGTTGATTTGACAGCCCTCCAATTTTGCTTTTACTGTTATTGATTCATTGAATCCAGCCTCTTCTGTTCAAGGCTTGCTCTTGAAAAAGGCAATGATGGGCACATGTAGTCTAATCACATTTCATTGTCCATTTTCTGTGTGTAATGATAAATTTCACTACCCAAATCAATTCTGGCCCAATTTCCTTTAATAGAATACAACTTAAAGAAGGCTGTTAGATTAAAAGCAATTTCTTTTATAAGGTATATTATTATAAAAGAAGAAAATGAATTGCAGGCATTTTCTTTATAATTTTGGTTTAGATTTTATTTGAGGTATACCACCAATATATAATTACCTTGAGTAGTGTGTAGCAGTCTAAAAAAAAAAAAAAACAAAGGTCACTTTTATGTTTAAAGAAGTTGTTCGGAGAACTGTATGTATTTAGAAATGCCGCTCTTCATTTATTCAGACTTAAACAGGCTCAGAGTCATATGAATCAGAGTAGGAAATGAAACTTTTTCTGCACCAATATCTATATATTTTGTCAATTTATCATACATGTTGCTCCCTAAAATTTCACTAGCAAATAAATGAATATTCTTTCCAGAGTATATGACCATGTATTATATTTTCTATATTTAAATGGAACCTATAATTAGCTCTTTAATTTTTTTTATATCTTTATCCCTTTCCATTACCAAATTAGAAACATAATTGCTTACCAAAATGCACAGTGAATTGTTTTAGAGGGTTAATATTGTGCATGTTCCCAGAAGCCAGTTATGTTTGGAGGATTTGGGGGTTGTGATGAACTGTACCTAGATTGATGTATGCAATTAAAATCTTTCTAACCTATGTATCAAGAGAATTGTTTAAGCATTGAAGAGTTAATACGGGGAAATGAGTTTCATTTAATGCACATAATTCCAGTGCTGTGAAAACATAGGGGGAAAAATCAATTGAGGTTCATATACAAAACAAACAAACAAACAAACAGAAAACCACACACACACATTCAGAGAAGTTATTTATTTATTTTGTATGTGTGTGTGAAAGACAGAGAGACAGAGAGAAATAGACAGAGAAAGAGAGAGAATTAGAAATGATTGAATTAAAGTGATTTAAAAATCCTGAATCCAGCGTATGGTGTGTTGTGATGATAGATGTTGAATCGAAGTTTTGTCAAAAACAAAATGAACGTTATATAATAATAATAAAGATTTGAATCTATTCTGAGTTAGATGAAAAGAGTCAATGGAAGCAATAAAGGAAGAAAGAGAAAGAAAAAGTGAGAAAAGGGAGGAAGGAGATAAAACAAAAAAAGTCAGACTCCAAGAAATGCTAGATTCGAGAAGGTAAGACGAAAGTTGACATACCTGAGCCTCAGCATGTTACTGCTATTGAAACGCTAATTAGCTAATTCAATTCTTTAGAGCTTTTACTTTTAAACCTTCCTATGCTTCTAGAAAATACACTTAATCTTTTAGGCAGTTAACAGAACACAGAGATGTTGAAGACCATATGAAAATCAGTGGAAGGGTCAAGCCTAGTCAGAAGTTCTCCTCAACCATATCTGCCCTCCAAATAATATATCATGAACCACTACTAGTGTTTGTATTGAAAATTCCTTCAGTATATATCCAGACAAATTCAGTAAAACAAATACAGGTAGTTGTTGCTTTACATGGCAGTGCAATACTATAAAAAGACCATGAAAGTTGAAATTGTGCAAAGAGATCTTAATAATCAATGGAGGAAATTATGACTGCTCTATGACCTTTAAGGACTTAGGTCGCAACATTACAGTTTCTTACACTCTCTATTGTAAATGAAGAGGGATTTTCAGAAAAGCACTAAACACCAATATTTACTTAGTACCCTGTCATTTATTTTGTTTTGTTTTGTTTAATATGCTTTAAATTCTGGGACACATGTGCAGAACGTGCAGGTTTGTTACATAAGTATACACGTACCATGGTGGTTTGCTGCACCCATCAACCAGTCACCTACATTAGGTATTTCTCCTAATGCTCTCCCTCCCCTTTCCCCCACCCCCGACAGGCTCCAGTGTGTGATGTTCCCCTCCCTGTGTCCATGTGTTCTCATTGTTCAGCTCCCACTTATGAGTGAGAACATCTGGTGTTTGGTTTTCTGTTCCTGTGTTAGTTTGCTGAGAATGATGGTTTCCAGCTTCATCCATGTCTCTGAAAAGGAGATGAACTCATTCTTTTTTATGGTTGTGTAGTATTCTATGGTATATATTTGCCACGTTTTCTTTGTCTAGTCTATCATTGATGGGTGTTTGGATTGGTTCCAACTCTTTGCTATTGTGAATAGTGCTGCAGTAAACATATGTGTGCATGTGTCTTTATAGCAGAATGATTTATAATCCTTTGGGTATAAACCCAGTAATGGGATTGCTGGGTCAAATGGTATTTCTGACTAGAAATGTTGAGAATTAAAATGTTATTGCTTATAAGAAAATTAATCAACAGTAGTTCAAATAGTACTTCTTTTTTTTTTTCCTTTTTGTTATAGTTTCTGATATGGAATGGGCATCTTTTCTATGTCTTTGTACATCATTATACTTTTTTCTGAGTTTGGATCAACTTCTAACAACTTATTCTTTTGTAAAGAAATGTCTGAGTTTTCCTGTAATGTCAAGTTTCAGAGCATCATTTCTTCTGGGATATCTTCATCATTTTTGACACAACTTCTTCCCTCATTTATGTCAACAAGTTCATTTTCACAAAGTTCCTCTGGCTGTGTATCAGAGTCCCTCTGAAAAGTGAGAGTGTGAACATTCACACAGCAATTGCTTTCAAAACTCCATCTTTGTTTAATTTGAATTTCACTTCCAATATCATCACTTTTTGTTTCTTTACTGCATTTTGACTTTTGTTGATCAATTTCTTCTATCAGTTATCCATTTGTGCAAAATGGCATGTGGGTTATCGCTGGAGGACAAGGCGTCAACATAAATACCCAACTACTGTCTATGTATGAACTGAATGATAGATGTACAGTAACCAATCACAGACAGACTTTGAAAGGGGTAACACGATGAATCATAGATCAATTTACTGGGACACAATAGTTACAATAGAAAGTACCATATATCATTATGCCTTCCTTTACTTCCTTTCCATGCTTGGGTCCTAGGGATAAGGAACCCACTACTGCAGATTGGGCTCTGCACACTTGAAACTAGAATTGTGAAGGAGATAGCATGAGGTTTTCTTGAATCTTTTTAGATGACCAGTTACACTGGGTATACACACTTATTCTTGCAGAAAGGTGCCAAAAATTAAGGTCATAGCTAAGCAGGGCTCTCTAGAAGACTCAAGACAAAAACCAGTTCAGCACTACCCTCCTATCTTGGCATAAAGCCTTATAATGAAGGTGTTTTTGATTAATTAATTAATTAATTTATTTTGCATCTAAAAAGAGGAATGGTTCTCTTCTAAGGTCAGTAAATCAGTACTCTAACCAGGGGCCTGTGGACTTTTTCTGGGTAAAGTTAGAGAGTAAATATTTTAGCTTTGTACCACATACAGCCTCTATGCCAACTCTTCAACTCTGCCCTTGCAGTGCAAAGCAGTCACGGACAATAGGTAAGTGAATGAGATTTTAGTTACACAAATACAGGAGACTGGATTTGGCCCACAGGTATGGTCTGCCCACCTCTGATCTCACTCATTATCTCTGTGTATGTTGTACTTTTAGCTCTGTGATAAATGCCTTATAATTCTTCATATTGAAAAACAGATATCCCAGTTGCCTGAATAATACAATATATCCCAGTTGCCTAGAGTAATACAATGTATAGTAATACAATATAGCTAATACAATTAACTTTTCATAAACCCTAGTAGTCTATCATTAACAAGATTTTAAAAGGACAAAAATCATACACACAGTGATAAATACGTAAAGGGGTATGTGTGTCTTTAAAATGACTTTATTCTCTGATAGAGAGTGTACATTCAAGAAAGAAGAGGGCATGAGCAGCATCCAATGATGCAACACTGTCCAGAAGATGACAAGTAAAAAAGGCCATTGGATTTGTCAATTAGCGAGTGATTGAGGACCTTCAAGAAAGCAGTTTCAGTAGAATCATTGGGGAGAAACTAAAATGCAAAATATTTAGGGCTGATAATAATGAGCTATACAAGCTCTTCTCATAAGAAATACAGGTTAATTTTAAATGCATTCAACCGAAATATTATCTTTACTTAAACACACTTCCAGAATCACTTTAAAATACTTTAAATAAATGTATCACTAAAGTAGGTCTGTTTGCAGCATGATTTCTTTCTATTTGCATAAAGTTATTGATTAAATTTCCTATGCCACAGTTGAATTTAAAGCTGTGACCTGTGATCTCAAAATGACTTCCTGACAATAATGATTAGAATGGCGGGTGAACAGCACAAATTTACTGAAATCTGTCTGTGGTAAAGTCAATGATTCTTTTTTCCAAAGACAGAATCCAGTTATACATTTTTTTAAAAAGACTTTCATTAACATATTTCCTTAATCTATTTCATTTTCTAGTCACAGTGTAAACATATGTTAAGCTTTTATAGTAATCCATAGAAGAAAGCAATAATAGTATTCATATTTAATTATTTTGTCATAACAATTGGCATTTTAACTTGAAGTATTAAGAAAGCACCTCAATAGAATAGAAAATAGTTACAAACTTTGATTTATACTGTGCAGAAACACAAAATAGAATTTTCAACTTGAATATGGGAATACAAACAATTATAAAGAAACATTAAAACATTGTTCATTTTTTATCTTGCTTACAGTTCCTTTGTTCCAGTAAATATTTGCATTTTAAAAGTATTTGGTATTATTGAAGTCAATTTGATTACCTCATCCGGAAGGTACAGGCTTCCCATTTCTGCCACCCAAAATTCAAAAGTGAAAATGTTATCATATTTTGACTTTTGAGGTTGGAAAGGAATAATTATTTCTCTTTCTGCTCCCCCTGATCCCTCCCCCAGCCTCCTAACTCTCCATTTTCACTCAGTACTATAGAATGTCACATGGTTGATTGAGTCCTGTTTTCTGAGTCTTCTAAATAAATTTAGTATAAATTTAATATAAACTTCATTTATAAACAAATTGAATATAAACTTTGCCTTTCTATGGGGAAAGAAATAATAGACTATAAAGATATATGATGGCAATTTTATTCTTATTTGGAAACATTGTAGAATATTTCCAAGGAATTAAATTACACCTAAATATTTGTTCTTTGTGTCCTTTTATTCTTTAATGATTTAGTTAAGTGTTTGCAACATATTGGAATTGTGTAAGTAACTTGTGACTCAAAAATAAATAGATGACAGCTTCTATTATCTTTTAACACACATTTAGAGGGTGACAATTTTTTTCTAAAACATGGTAAACCAATGTGATAAGTTAATTATTAGAGGTAGGAACAGATGTCTATGGGAGAATAGAGGATGAAGCCTAAATTTGTTCAGACAACTTGACAGATTTCTAAAGTGTCTTTGTGTGTATATGTATACATATATATATATATTCTAATGTGTGTATGCATGTATATATACATATTTTCTGTGTGTGTATATATAGTGTATGTGTATGTATATGTATACATAGACTATATATTAATTTTAACTCCATTCAAGTGTATTTATTTGTTTTAAAGCCAGAAGAGCATTACTCTTGCAGGATCCAACTTTTCCCCTCTGATTCCCTGGCATAACACCAGTACCTAAAGAAACACCGCACTAATCTACAAAAATAATGTGCACTGTTTCCCTATTGCTAACAGACTAAAAAGTTTGTACCTGAGAATAATAGGTGATTCCTTTGGCCATTATTGGTTAAGTCCACTCTCTTCAGCTTGCCAATGACAGGTGATGCTTTACATTACAATCAATTAATACTCTAAGATTCTTAGAAATGGACAAACCACTTTTTTCCTATTTTGGTTGTTTCTGAATAGTTACTACCTGTGTGGAAAAATTCAAAGTGCTAAACAGCAGTATCACTTTATGGCCTCATACCACACTGGAGCATGCCACAAGTTCCCAAGGCTGGTGACTCCTCCCTCTACTGACAGGTACTACGAGAGATCTTCACACACTACAGACCTCAGTTACTAACACCTAAATACTAAGACCCATGGGATTTTCATTCTCTGTGTTCATGCCTAGTACTTTGGTAAGATCCACACCAGGCACACATACACACACACATTAGAATACATGTGTGTGTATATATATATATATATATATATATATATAAATCTTAAAAGCAAGGCTGAGATTTCTGTATCAAGACAATTTCTCCAGACCACCCTCCTCCAATCTGAGTCAGAGTGATGACAGCCAACTGGCTAAGGCTGTGTGTAGAAAAGGATTTGTGTACCACAGAAAAAGAACTCCAAAATTACGAATCTTGAACTATATATGTGAGCTGCTATACAGCTGCTATCATCCCCTCTTGAGAGAAAAAGAGAAGATTTGTCTCTCAAATGTATCACAAGTTGGAAATGTAAACTGGAATTTGGAATGTATGTGCAAGTAAGCCTACAAGTTTTCATTCCCCTTTGAAGCAAAAGCACATAGCTCTAGGGAGATATATCTTTATATCTCTGAAATTGCTGTCTATTCAATTATGCTTTAACTTTCAAAGCATATCCTTTAACCCACTTTCCAGTTTTCTTTGCCTAGAATACCCTAGCATAGGGAAATATGAAAATATTTTCTCTATACTTCTACATGATTGAGGAAACGCTTTCTTGTAGAGATGGCATTTGAACCTAGAAGGTTGGATACCTATGAATTTACCAAACAAAAGGTAAACCCATTCCTGGCAGAGGGAACAGAAGCACAACGGTT
This sequence comes from Homo sapiens, assembly GCF_000001405.40. NCBI lineage: Eukaryota > Metazoa > Chordata > Mammalia > Primates > Hominidae > Homo > Homo sapiens. Next base: position 76,708,359 of record NC_000003.12, read on the forward strand.
TGGCAGTAGGAAAGAACATGGCAGAATTCACATCAATTGTTTAATAGCTGTTATTTCTGGGAAATGGAATGTTAGGATGAAGTGGAAGTTTAAGGATATCTTTTCAATTTTGCTCTACTTGAATCATCTGAATTATTTGCATAATAAACTTCAAGTAAAAACAACAACCAAAAACCACACAAAAAACAGTACACTGTCATCCAGGACACATACGTCACTGCATCAGGTATTAACTGAAGATGTAGCAGAAAAACAAAAAGCCTATCATAGGTCATCAGAATTTATATGCCTTGCCCAGCAATTTGGACTTCATTCTATGGGTAGACAGATCTCCTGAAAGTTTTCCAGAAAGGAGTAATAAAATTGTGTTCACGTTTTAGAACCATTGCTCTGGCAGAACCAGAATGAATGGATGAAGATGAGGGGATTGGAAGCAAGGGGAGAAATTTAGAGTTTCAGTGCCAGATTGACATCTTCAAACAATAGTAGTGGGAATAGAGGGAAGGGCAAGCACCCAAGAGATATTAGGTAAAGCAAATCAACGAGCAGACCTCAGTGAGTGATGGGACATGAGAATCACTGGGACAGTGGGAGTCAGGAAAACTCCTTGGGTTCTCTTTTGGACAATTGGGTAGATGAGGGTGCCATTTACTCAAAAGGTCAATATAGATATTTTGTTTTTGGTTTTGAGTTGGAGAAGATAATGGATTTATTTTTTATATCCTAAATCTGAGCTCTCTATGAAGTACCTTGATGAAGATATCCAATAGTACCATGAAAAGGTTGGCATTAAACAGTCATTGAAAATTAGATATGCATTCCCCAAGGGAGAATCTAGAGAAGAAGAGGGAATACATATACATAAAAACACAGCTACCATTCACACAACATTTAAGATCTGAAGTTCTGCGGCTATTGGCATTGGTTCAGCAGCTCAACAATGTCAGATTTAGTATCTCCATGTTTTTTGAGGCTGTGCCTTCATACTTGCCACCTCATTGTTCTTACAGATATCACAGCCACTTTCACCACAGGAAGAAAGGGTAGGGATTTGTATCAGTCTTGTTCATCTCCTTTCATCAGGGAAGGAAAAGCTTCTTCAGAATCTCCAGAAGATTTTCACTTGTATCTCACCGGCCAGAACTGTGTCACATATCAACACATACCTGTGAATGGAGCTGGAAAAGCACGTATTACTTGGACACATTATTGTCAGAACACAGGAAGGATTATGATGCCATAGAAAAGGGGTGAGTGGTTATTTAGTAGGAACTTCAGGGGCTGGACAGGAGATTTGAAGCAGGAAAGTGAGTTCAGCAATGTTATATGCCATAGTGCTCATTACATCATCTGGATTTTCCAGAGCCAGGGTAATTAGTTTTCAGATTAAAATTAGTTTTCAGATTATTTCTTTAAAATGAAGTATATTTGCAAAAATAAAATCATTAAATAGTAAAAAATGTCAATACTGAAAGAGACCTGCTGTTAGAGGCCACACTGTCTATTGCAATGTGGGGCTGCCTCTCAGCCAATGAGAAGTATAACCAGACCACTTCCTTCTGCCAACAGCTCTTCTGAGGACATGGGATAGCAAAGGCTGCAGATCTCAACACAACTTTAGAGGTAGGATTTTGAGGATAAAGAAAACAAGTAAAGAAAGGGGAGGGAGAGAGACACGTGGAGAGAAAGAGACATGGAGAGAGAGGACTAAGGAAAGTGGCTGAGGCCTGCCCCTCTTCCAAACACTTGTCCTTTTCTTTTTCTTTTCTTTTTTTTTTTGAGATAGAGTCTCACTCTGTCGCGCCAAGCTGGAGTGCAGTGGCACAATCTCAGCTCACTGCAACCTCTGCCTCCTTGGTTCAAGCAATTCTCCTGCCTCAGCCTCCCGAGTAGCTGGGACTAGAGGTCCGCACCACCCTGCCAAGCTTATTTTTGTATTTTTAGCAGACACGGGGTTTCACCATGTTGGCCAGGATGGTCTTGATCCCTTGACCTTGTGATCCTCCTGCCTTGGCCTCCCAAAGTGCTGGGATTACAGGTGTGAGCCACTGCGTCCAGCATGTCCTATTCTCATATTCAGAAAAAGGCTAGGCTCAGCTAAGAAAAGATAAGAAGACATTATTTAAACTAGTAGTAATTTGTTTGGCCAATTTCCAAGTTAATTACTACTTGACCCTACTGAAAACTGCCTTTTGGATTTGGTTATAGAATGCCTTGGAGTTATGGAGACAGAAGTCAGAATACAGCAGGTTGAGAAGTAACTCGTCAAGGTAGGGAACTGAGACTGCTCTTTCTGATCTGGGCTTCGTGGGAAAAGAAAGGTGGATAGAGAATAATGAACTATTGAAGGATTACTTTTTTGTTTGTTTCTTTTGAAAATGTGAGCAACTTGATCGTATTTACAGACTTAGGGGAGCTTAGAGAAATGAGCTAAAGATATAACAGATAAGATGCAATTAAAAGAGAGGAGAGCTGAACCCATCCTCAGACAGGATGATGCGATAGAAAGTGAGAAAAACCAGACAAAAGAAAGTAGTTCACGGCTAGCACTTTTCCTTCATTTATCTGTCATTTATCAATAATCTTTTACATTCTGTTTCCTGATATTGGGCTTTCAAAATTATAGAAAATACAATGGAATTGTAGATTTTGATTTTAAAATGGTTGACTGGTCCATAGAAAATTTAAGATTTATATTATTGCTATCGCTGCTTTTCCAAGTTTGACTATCGTATTAGTCCATTCTCAAATGCTATGTAAAACTACCCAAGACTGGGAAATTTATAAAGAAAAGAGGTTTAGTTGACTCACATTTCTGCAGGATTAACAGGGAACATGACTAGGAAGTCTCAGGAAACTTATAACCATTGTGGAAAGCAAAGCGGAAGCAAGCATTTTCTTCATACAGCAGCAACAGAGAGAAAGAGCGAAGGGGGAAGTGTCGCACACTTTTAAACCATCAGGAGAAGAGCAAGAGGGAAATCTGCCCCCATGAACAAACCACCTCCTACCAGGCCCCTCCCCTGACACGTGGGGATTACAACGAAACGTGAGATTTGGGTGGGTGCACAGAGCCAAACCGTACCAACTACGTTCATTGTATTTCACAATTATCTGTAATTCAGATTCCCGTCTTTAGGTGGATAGACAAAGGGAAAGGTGATTAGGCTCACTAGCTGGAAATAGAAATTTTAAGATAACGAAATCCATCCACACATCTACATTAAGCACCTGTCAAATGGCAGGGACTGTGCAAGAACGCCTAACGTACAACAGAGTAGGGAAGCTTGCTAAGTCGACCGTCTAGAATGGTGCACACTTAGATAGCCACACGGTGCTGGGCAAGAGTCAGTTTTCATCATGCACCATGCTGCTTCTCACTTACCTGTCATGAAAGCACTCTTTCTGGAATCTTTTTCTGCTTCACGCTTTGACCCCTTCGAAACTCCTATTGATTTTAACAGATTCAGTTTAAATGTCACTTCTTCCTGGGAGCCACGTTTTATGACTCCAAGCAATGCCAAGAGCTTCCTCCTTTCTCCAGTTGAGTGCCTTGTTCATATCTCTAACATGGCATTAATTCATTTGTCCTGATTATTTGTTAATGTCTATGTTACCTCCAAGTAATGGCAGCTTCCAGAATATAGGAAGTTTCCTCAATTTACTTTTATAATAAGGGGTTACCAAACTTTTTGGGAAAAAGAGTAGGCTTGCATTAATACTTACTGATTGGCTATAAAAATGAATAAGAAAACACTTCTGTTTTTGCCTCTCATACCCTGAAAAATCTAACACATTTTAAAATTAGGTTTATATATTAGTTCTTAAAAGATTTATTTGCACCCTTGCAGAAAGCAAATCAATAGATACAATCCTTACATAAGCTAGATCAAGTGGGTCCTTGTGATTTCTGTGTGCTCTTTTTACCAGGTGTGTTTTAGTGAAGAAAATTCATTTTATCTTTATCTTCTATAGTGTTATGGCCCAGGACTTGATCCTATATTTAAATAATGACATCAGTATCTCTGCTTTTAGGCCAGGCATGGTGGCTCACACCTGTAATCTCAGCACTTTGGGAGGCCGAGGTGGGCGGATCACCTGAGGTCAGGAATTCAAAACCAGCCCGGCCAACATGGTGAAACCTCATCTCTACTAAAAATACAAAAATTAGCTGGGTGTGGTGGTATGTGCCTGTAATCCCAGGTACTTGGAAGGCTGAGGCCAGAGAATCACTTGAACCTGGGAGGCAGAGGTTGCAGTGAGCTGAGATCATGCTGCTGCACTCCAGCCTGGGCGGCACAGTGAGATGCCGTCTCAAAAAAAAAATAATAATAATAATTAAAAAAAATTTAAATGAAAAAAGCTCTATATTTAAATGAGGATACATTATAGGAGCAGCTATAAAATCATTTTCGCCAGCAAACTCTTGCTTTGTTCCTTTCTTTTCCAATTTTCTCTTCATTTCTTATATTAGAATGATTTTACTAATCTTTTCCAATTTTTAAAGTAACTTTTTCACATTAATCTTCTGTAATGGCAACTTTTTAAAATAAATGATCATTGGATTCTTATTCACAACATGTTTCTAAAACTTATTTTCTGAGTTTCACAAGGAGTAAGGACATATCCAAGGCTCTGATATCTAAAATAATAAAACCAAATAAACTGTGCCATAAAGGCACTCAATAAGTTAATTGTCTTTTAAAAACTGACGTTTTTCCAAAATTGCCTGATTTGGAGCTACTTTCTAACATCATATTTGTAAACATCATATGGGATGAGTGTTCCAGCTAACAAGTTTTGGTAAAGTGCTTTATTGCAATGCAAGAAGAAAATCTTCCAGGCAAATTTGACTTCTTAATTGAGAATTTCAAAATCTTTATGCCATTTTAAATTTGTTTATTTTAATGTTGCTTTGGATAATCAGATAAAGTACTTAATTATGATTCTTTGAATTAAAAGTCAAATAATTTCTTTCTAGTTTTAATCAGTGATTCCCATACAATGATTCCTTTATGCATTTTAAAAAGATTTTTGTTGTTATCCTAAGATTTTTTTCTTAGTCACTTGGCTGTGTCTTCCCCCACTGATGAATTTTCTATGTTCATATTAATAAAATATTTCCGAGGAACTGTATTGGATGTAGTTTAATATTCAAATGAGTGTCAAATGTGGTTTGGTCAGAAATGAATAATTCACTTTTTAAAAACTTACTTTTGACTAACTAGCTCTCTCAGGATTAAGTACAGTGAGTATTAAACATAGTCTTAAGAAAAGCTGGTAAGTTTTTCTTGCATTAACTTGTTTGAACAAGAAAATTACCTCTTTGCTTTACATGTTTCTACTTCCAGTCACTTGGTAGGATTTAATTAGGCATCTTTATTCAACATTAACAACATGCTTTTAAGCGTACTTCTATTTTTAAGTAGTTTAGTAAGTTCTCAGTCATAACTATGAAGTACAGAGGAATTTCCATTCCATTGTAAGCCATTATTACTGGGAGGTAACATACATGAAGGAAAAAAACATGCTGGACTGCATTTAATTGGATGAAATCAGGGTAGTTTCTTAAGTAGTAAGTTTAGAACTGTGCATTTTAAAAGTAAAAAAAAAAATGAGACTTCAGAAAATTATAGAAAACTGCATTTGAAAAAAACTGTACAGAAAACCGTAGTTAGTATGTTCAGAAATAGGGCGGCCTGCTTAAAGGAATGAAGTCTTTTAATACCTGTAGGTTTATTTTTGTTTTGTTTGATAGTATGAAACAATGGTCTTGTGTAGAAATCTTCCATACACTCCAAAATTAGGAGGAAAATTTTGCCCATGTGCAGCGTATACATTTTCCTTTTTAACAACTAGATATAACCTTGAGCATAATAAACTCTCTCCAGAAGTGGTGTTGCTGGTGTTCATTGGGAGGGAATGAGATGAGGTCTTTGCTCCAAGAGTTAATTTTTCTAAGGGTGTGGAAAAGTAGATAATTACAGCTCAGGCGTGGACGGGTGGGATCTGTGTTTAAAAGTATCATTATTTACAATTGGTCTGAACTCATTGAACAACAAGGAAACTTTTGATAATAGCCAGGACTAAAGAGGAAGTTTAAACAAATTTCATTATGACAAAGGAAATTGTGAGATTGACACATAGCAAAAGGCATCAATCAGAAAATACATTTGTGGAAAATGTTGTATATCCAGCTATGCTTCCCTTTCTTGAAACAGAAATCTTAAGGGAACAGAACATGACAGTGTTAGATAGTGACTAGGGGACCCCCATAACTCAGAATTTGGAGAGTAGTCTTTGCTGGACTCAACACATTTCAGTTTTACAAAATTAACACCAGACTTAAGTAGGATAAAGATATACATTAAAATAGTACACAAATCTATTGCCAATAGCACTGACTCTGGGAACTTTTAAATAAATAATTCCATTGTAACAGATCAGTATCCGATGTGAAATATAGAGACTTACGGTTCTGCCACAGAGTCTATTAACTGTTCAAGACAGTCTGTTTTTCTTGTTAGTGCCCACCAAGTGTGTATTGAGTAAAGAAATAAGAGGAGTAACTTCTCATCCTGTAAACCTTAATTTGCAACAGGTGACCCCAAGCTCATAAACATTATTTCTTTCATTTTGATACCAGCCTAGAAACATTTTAAGCTTTTGATCTATTTATTGTAAATTATGGGATGCAATGCCACTTTGTATTTGCACAATGATTAGGGATAAAATAGGTTTTCCAAACTATAATTAGACACAGAGAAAGAGGTCTTTTTCCTCTTCCATCTCGTAAATAATTAGAGACCCAAACCCACATTAATAGGTGTTCCCACAGGATCTTATTTTAATCTCTGGCAAACAACTTGCTCAAATTCTAAGGAAAAAAGTTAATAATCTTCCAGGTATTAATACTTCATGATATGCTTTTGTTACGAAGAATACCACCACCACTAACATCAACAAAACAAAACAAAAACCCTGTATGACTATCATTAAAATACACATTCAACAAAGATGGACTCAGTTTTATACTTCAGAATTGTGGGAGACAGAAAAATGAAAATCTTAAAGGCTGGCCTTTTTCAGGTGCAGTCTAGCTCAGTAGCAGAGACAGTACAGGACTTAACAGTTCTCAAAGCATTTCCTTTTGTTCTTGTTGTATCACTTACACCTAATAGCATTTGAACAAGAATCTTGGTCCATGGTCTGTAATGTGATGCAATGCGAGAATGCTAAATGTGTGTCATGTGGAAAGCATCTGATGTTGTGTTGTGCATTGCAATAAACTACTAAAGGTCAGAGCCATGAGAATGAAAGAAACCAAAATCTATAATTATTGGCATTTGTGGGAATTGTTCTAAGAACATTTAGCCATTTCAATCCAATTTTCTTTCTTTATGGGCCTTAACAAAGAGGGGAATATACACAGAGGCTTTCAATCCACAGCCACTCTTTTATTCTCTCTTATTGGAGAATAGAAACCAGACCTATGGCTTATCTCAAATATAAATCTTATTCAACATACAACAAAGGGGACACATATATTCACAATGAATTTTTGTCATCTTGTGTCTTCAAAAGAGATTTTAGGTTGGCTTTGGCTGCAAAAAAATTATATGTTGACTTTTGGTTGGAAGCTTTGTTCTGAAATATTTTATCAAAATGATATTCTTATAAAGGGCTACTTTGTAAATAATACTAAAATGGCCAAATTTGTAAGACTTAAGTTATGAATTTTTTGGTATTACTTTATTCAGTTTTAACATAGTTTTGCATATGATAGATGACCATAAATATATGCAGTTGATTTATTTTATTGGCATCTGTGTATTGTCAAAGTAGATATGTTAATGATGCATTCACTCAGGCAACTTTCCATAGATACTGTTTTTGGAGTCTCTATCAAATGGCCTTTAAAGCTGCTTAACTACAATAAAACTGGCATCATTACTTGAGTAAACATTTGAGCTTAACCCCCCAAAAGAAGAAAAAATGTATATCTTACGTTTTCTCACCCATCTTTTCCTTATCTTTTTTCTTTATTCTTCACAGGTAATAGATGTAGTTCTAAACACTATTTGGCTATTAAAAAATCTCTGCCCTTAGATATTCCATGCTGAGGTTATTTAAAAGAATATGCTGCAGATACTGAAGAAAACTGCAGTGTAGATGAATCTAGATTGTTATATATATCAGAGAACAAATATCACCTAATGTGCTAGAGCAAGAAAGAAAATTAATGGATGAATAAATTATCTCTTATGTAAACTTCAAATAAGCAAATTGGTTGTTTACCTAGCAGCTTGAGCCTTCTCTATAGACCACTAATGATCATTAAAAATGAAACAGTTGAGCTATCATGTGAATCTGTTTTCATTTCTGACTTCTGTGACTGAGCTCAGATGTTGTGTGTACTTAAATCTGCCTGTAGGGTATCTTTGAGTGCTTCATGGGATGGCCAGTGGCAAGCTCTGCCCCACATTAACTGACTCTAGCAAATCCTTTTGAAGAACTAACATCCTCCTGTTTAAGTCATGTCTACTCTCATGAAAATATACTAACATCACCTTGTAGTTTATTGCGAGGATGTTAGAGTGAAATAACTGCCACATTTCTATTAGTATTCATCCATTTTCTGTGTGCATTTTTGCTTAGAAAGTGGGTTTGAAGCCACCAACCGTGTTGATGTGAAGGTGATATCTGGCGTAAGTTTTGTAGCCACAGAGAAGACTGGTTAGCAGATTGTTGCTGTATAATTACTCTGTTTTCATTCCTAACTCTATAAATCTTTTACAAAGAATCTGTTCATCATTTCTTCATGAAAGGTAGCTTGAAGAAAAGCCCCACTATGGCTGGGCACGGTGGCTCACGCCTGTAATCCCTGCACTTTGGGAGGCTGAGTTGGGTGGATCACGAGGTCAGGAGTTCAAGACCAGACTGGCCAAGATGGTGAAACCCCGTCTCAACTAAAAATACAAAAATTAGCTGGGCATGGTGGCAGGCACTTGTAATCCCAGCTACTCAGGTGGCTGAGACAGAGAATTGCTTGAAGCAGGGAGGTGGAGGTTGCAGTGAGCCAAGAATGCGCCACTGCACTCCACCCTGGGCGACAGAGTGAGACCCTGTCTCCAAAAAAAAAAAAAAAGAAAAAAGAAAAGCCCCACTATCAACCTAACAGAGTTGTGGAGAGTGTAAATGTGAGTATTGTGTATTTGCACCACGGAATATCAGCTGAGTTTGGTGCTTCAGGTAGGCGATCAAACTGAATATATCAGTTTTATTTTTGAAAAGGAAATATGAACAATAGGTAAGAGTTTTGATATTCTTCTGAAATCTGTGAACTCACTCTAAAGCAGGTCTTAAAAAAGAATCTCTATAATTTGCAATCAAAGGAATCAAAAGCAAAACCTCCTGATGTAAAGAGTTTTACTGGCTGTGCAAGATTTGCTTGGCCATAACCAAGATTTGCAGGTAACACAGAGGATCACAAAATTATTTTTTAATCTCCCACCACAATGATTTCAAAACAGAAACTCATTAGATATTATTTACTAATAAAAATACTTTGCAGCTCCTATATATATTTATTTCTGACCACCAAGGCTTAAATTTCAACTGATATAAGTATCACATTCATCAGATAAGATGCTTGTAATTCTGGCATATTCATTTTTACCAGCATTGCATAACCTGCCCAAACTGGATGGTAGTCCATCATTCCCTAAAGAAGTGAGTGGATAAACGATGTGTATAAGTGTCTACCATAGACAGGATTATCTCTATAACAACTCTATATGGAAACATTAACCCACAACAGGTCTCTGCTAAAGGATTTTTGTGACATCCATCTAATTGTCACAGAAGCACAGATGCAAGCTTAGGAGTCCTGTGAGAACAGCTATTGCTACCATCCAGTTTAGCATCAGAAAACAGAGCAGATCATGTAATGCTAGCACAGATAATAAACCAGGATTCCTATCATTCTCACCGATGAATTTTACATTTAACATTATCTTCAACTTAAATCTAAGTGGTTAGGATAAACCATAGTTTCATCAAATTCTGTTTCCATTGCCACTGTTATTTTGACACATCCTCAAAATAACTGCCTTCACCCTTTCTTAGTTGAAAGATAGACAGTGTTTTTCTCAATTTTCATCTTGGAACAATTTACTGAAAGAAAACTTACGATGAGTGAGCTTAAAACTCTTAGCAACTTAGGCCTGAATGTCATTAAATTAAGAAAGCCCCTCTGTGATTATAAATAGTCACAGGGCATTAGTGATGTAGGTCTGAAGAGCTCTAATCTATTACAAAAACTTTCCTTCAGAGGCTTTGATTTGTGAGCAATGCTATTTTACAGGGAGAGGTATTGAGCCTTTACATTTACTGTTAGACAAATGTAGGTTGAAATAATGTACCTGCAGTACAAAGGTCACATATTAAGGACTTTATTCACTTGAAAACTGAAAACCATTGCCTAGAACATTTTACTTACTTTTATTGAAAACATTTTATTGGCTGTTTCTGTGGACATGTGTCCTTTCAAATGACACAAAATATGGTATTCAACTCAATACAGACACATTCAACAAAGCACGGACATATTTTTCAAGCTTTGGTTCTTTTGACTTTATTATGTTACCCATCATTCCTTTAACTTTTTTTTAAATAAAATCACTTACGCATTCCCTACATGTAGCACCAAGAAATTCTACTGTGGCCCTATTTTGTTAATTTTAGAGATAGAAAATTGAAGAAGGTTTATTTTTATATTGGTTGCTAAGGTTTTGCTCCACCTAAATTATGTGTACATACAACAGAAACTGTGCACCTTACACATAATAGAAAATACTAATTTGCTGCTAACATAGATAAACTGACAGAAGAAACAATTTATTTGAATGTATAGATTCAGTCCCTTTTTCAATTATGTAGACATCATAACAATATTCATGTTGCCACACACAAATGACAATTTTAAAGTGTTAGTTAAATAGGGTGTCACTCTCATCCAGGCTGGTGTGCAGTTGTCACAATCACAGCTCACTGCAGCCTTCAGTTCCAGGGCTCAAGCGGTCCTCCTGCCTCATCCTCCTGAATAGCTAGCACTACAGGCTCACACCACCACACTGGCTGACCCCTATATAATTTAAAGTAAAAAAATCCATCTGAAATACATATCATTAATTCGTTCTGAATTTTGTTGTTAACAATTTTTTGTAAGAAATTTACAATAAGGCCGGGTGTGGTGGCTCACGCCTGTATTCCCAGCACTTTGGGAGGCCGAGGCGGGTGGATCGCCTGAGGTCAGGAGTTTGAGACCAGCCTGGCCAACATGGTGAAACCCTGTCTCGACTAAAAATACAAAAATTAGCTGGGTGTGGTGGTGAGCACCTGTAGTCCCAGCTACTCAGGAGGCTGAGGCACGAGAATCGCTTGAACCTGGGAGGCAGAGGTTGCGGTGAGCTGAGATTGCGCCACTGCACTCCAGCCTGGGTGACAGAGTGAGACTGTGTCTCAAAAAAAAAAAAAAAAGCATTTCTTTAGAGAAAAAAATGTGTTTGAAAATCACTTAACTTCTTAATTGAGAACTTATCAAATATGGGGCTACATAAGAAAGTGGGATACTGTTATGGACTAAATATTTGGGTCCTCCCAAATATTCTTATGTTGAAATTCTAACATCCAATGCGATGGAATTAGGAGATGGGCCTCTGACAGGAGATTCAGTAATAACAGCAGATCCCTCATCAGTGTTATTGGTGCCCTTTTAAAAGAGACATCAAAGCACTCCCTCACTCCTTCAGCCATGGGAGGATACAGCAAGAAGAGGGTTGTCCATGAACCACGAAGCAGGCCCTCAGCAGACACTAAATTTGCTAGCATCTTGATCTTGAATTTCCCAGCCTCCTGAAATGTGAGGAAAGGAAAAAATCTATTGTGTCCAAGCCATCCAGTCTGTGATATTGTATTAGAACAGCCTAAATGGGCTGAGACAGAACACTAGATTGGTTATGTGGGTTGGTAGCATTAATACAAAGAAATAATGTTTGCCATTCAGAAAAAGTCTGGAAGCCTTCATCCTCAGGAATATGAGAAATCTGGACTTTCAGAGGCATTTACTCTCTGAAAGGAACAGTAACAACAAAAACAACAAAAAAAGAGATGGAGATAATTCTTACTCGGTACAGATTTACATACTTTGCAAGTTTGCCTTAGGCAGAAACAAAGCAAGGCAGCATACTTATTTTTAACTTTTGTTTGTTAAAGAAGCTATAGACTAGTGTATTATAAAATTCAAATTCATATTTATAGTTAAATTAGTCATTCAGGTAAAAGAATGAGGCTAAAAATAATTTCGCTTTCCAATTAAAATAGAGATTTAGGAGATTAGCGATTTGCCCACTCTCTTTTGCAAAGCCTGCCACTGAAGTTAGGAAAGGTTAAAAGTATTGGAATTTATAATTCTAGTCATCAAGAGCATTTTGTTTGTCAACTAGATTTCTTGGCACAACAATCAAATTCTGATAATATGGCAATTAGTTACTAATTTCTTTTTGTCCACTACGACACACAAAAATATCCCAAGTAGTGTATCAAAAGCTTTTTTAGTGCACGTATATGATTGGACAAAACCCAAGATTTTTCAAAATCTGGCATAAATTCTTAAACAGTTTGAGTTCCTCAACATGAGTCAAGTGGCTTGTTTACAATTAGCTAGGAAAACTTACAGCTTCCATTTACCTGTAGTACAAATTATCACCTTTAATAAAAAATCAATCTGTAATCTCAAGTTTATTGATGGATATCTAAAATCTAAAATCTCTCAAGTATTTCAGTGGTAAAATTAAAAATTTTTACAAAGTTTCCTAACTTCTACATAAAACATTTTTCTTAACTTTTGAAGTATTTTGTACATTACCTGAGCTTCTGTGATAAGAGAAATAAACACATTTTAATATGCTTTTCATCTGTTCCTTCCTATTAATTATAAAGTAGCATATTTCTGATGAGTCTTTTGGCTCTTCCATTTCATTTCCTTCATAATATAATAGACGGAACTGTCGTTGTGATATATTAGTAGTCAGAAATAGTTTTCAGTTTATTAAGTTCCTTAACTATACTACATTCCTCTCTGAATCTGATTACTTCCTGCATTATTTACTCATTTATTTCATCTTCTTTTGACCAGCCTGATTCTGTTGTGTGGCTTTTCATCTTTCATCTTCAAAGCTCGATTCTGGATCATATGTGACTGTCTAAAGTTAGTTGCTGGTATAAACTTCAAATGCAAAACTTTTGTTAAAAAATTCCAGCTGAGGTTTATCATCCCTAAAAATGTACTGCTGTTTCTACCACACTATTCTTTTTATTGTCATGATCATAAGGCTGAATAGAGAAACAGGCTGTTTTCATTTCAATCATGCTAACAATCCAGGAAAATTAGGCTTTGATCTTTGGGAAGAAGATTTGGGACACCCAGTGTGTTACAATTGGCTTTAGAGATTTATTTTACAAGAAACTTGCGTGTATGTATCAGAATGTGTTTTATATTCATTGCCAAGGGGGTAGAGTTGAGGTAGGAAGTCATTCTGCTGTCTGCCATGAAGAAATCAGGTTTAAGTGATTTGAAAAGACTTAGGTGGGACTTCTATGACTGAATGAAATAGGTTTCCAGGTTAATAGTAATGCCTCTGGAAATGTTTCCTAAAAATTGAAGGCAGGAAAGAGTGAACCAACTGTAAACTGGGAACAGAGGGAATGAAGTAGGAGGAAACACTGTTGGGGGCCTTGTCATTGGGTTGACCACAGGTTTATCCTGGAGGGAGATCTTAGATGGAAAACTTTGTGTTTCACGCCGTTCTTCTGCCTCAGTCTCCCAAGTAGCCGGGATTACAGGTGCCTGCCACCCACGCCTGGCTAATTTTTGTATTTTTAGTAGAGACAGGGTTTCGCAATGTTGGCCAGGCTGATATCGAACTCCTGACCTCATGATCCGCCCTTCTCAGCCTCCCAAAGTGCTAGGACTACAGGCGTGAACCACCGCACCTGGCCAAAACTTTGTATTTTTTAAACAGCTTGATTGAGAGACAGTTTACCTACCATAAAGTCCACCAGCTTAAAGTACACAATTTAGTGGGTTTTAGCACATTTACAGAATTATGCAACCATCATCATAACCTAATTTTAGAATATACCACTTAAATGAAACCTGGTGTTTATTAGCACTCACTACCCATTCTCTCTCCCTACACCCTCAGGCTGGCCCCAGGGTCAATCACTAATCTACATTCTATCGCCACAGTTGTGTCTCTTCTGGATATTTTGTGTAGGTGGAAGCACACCATGTGTGATCTTTTGTGAATGGCTTCTTTCACTTAGAATATTTTTGAGGTTTATCCATATTGTAGCATATATCAGTACTTCATTGCTTTTTGTTACTGAATAGTGTTTCATCACATTTTGGTTATCAATTTACCAGTTAATGGGCATTGGATTGCTTCCAACTTTTGTCTACGATTAATAAAGCTGCTATGAACATTAGACAAAATGCTTTTCAAATTTAAGGTACTTTTTTGTTTATGTACATAATTTATATTAATTTCTTACAATTGAAATATGGAAAATAAAACTATAGATATGTTTTGTCAGAAAATAACACTGCTTCTAATTTTACATACTAAAATTAGAATATGATTACTTTTAAAGGTGAAAATATATAAATGTGTGTTTCATACATTATTCCTTGTGTTATACAATTTTTCTATTTGGATGGAAAAGAAAAATTAACATTTTACTTGTCAGAATTATTATTTTTAAAGTATGTATTACAATAGTATACATTCATATCACATCATTTTCGAAATAAAATATGCTATTAAGGTAAGTTTCTATCAACTGATTAAATGCCAAGTTCATATATAAAGAAGAAATAAATATTATTTTTAAAATGTATTGAGTTCCTTTTATATACATAGAAAATGTGGGAGATAAAATATGAGTAGTGCACCATCTTTGGGGAAAAAAATCCATAAACATAAGTGACAAGACTATTTGTTTGCTTTATTTAAACTTTGGCTCTTCCTTGAAGAAAATAATGTTCTGGGAAGGTCTTTGTGCAGAGGCAACACAGTTTCCTTACTGTCTCCCCACCGAGGGATGGAACTGCCATTCTCCCAGCCTCCTATTATAAGTCTAGGCCCCGCCCACTTCATTCTCATACAAAATTCTTTGTCTCCTCTTTGTCCTTGTCTTCCAGTGCTAGTAAGCCCCATAGCTACATATTCTATTGTTTACTGACTTATTTCCCCATTCATCTCCATTCATTAAAGACTTTGGTGACTGGTGGACACACTTTTCTCTTTCATCCAAAGTCTTGCTTTCATACTGCTATCAACAATATTTATACAGATTATAATTCTAACCTTCTATAGCAGTTTCTCTAAGTGTGAGTTGTCTACTACCTGTATCCAAATCATCTGGGTTAAGGGGGCAAATTCATGAATACCATACCAGACCTCTTAAATCAGAATCCCTAGAAGTAAAATCAGCAAGTTCTGCATCACAAGCTCTCCAAACTATGTTTCCACACATTAAAGTTTGAGAATGGCCGTCTAGATTCTCTTGCTTATTGTACTCAGCAATCACATTCAGCATCTACACTGTCTAGTCACCCACTCCCATGTAGACACTGTGGTCGATTATTCTACCTCTGACATCATGAATTCCACTCTTGGCACATAAACTTTTATCTTTTAATTCCTATTAATTATACTTTCAGCTTTTGTCCTTAGATGTTTTAGCATTCTCCTGTCTTCATTTGCTTCTCCATCCAGCCCAAATCCCAATATCCAACACTGCAGTAGCTCCTGACCAGCCCTCTGGACCCCCTTAGGCCAAGATCATGCCACCACACTCCAGCAGGGGCAGCAGACTGAAACTCTGTCTCATATTTTCAATCAAATATGTTCAACAAACCACAATCTTATGTTAATCCAACTACCATCTTGACTGCTATATCCAGCCATCTCAGAACAGCTGGCAACTATTTCCGCAAGTCTTCAGATTATTGACAGTACCATATTTGTTATTCTCCACCTACACCATTTAATACACTGCTTACCAGCTAGTCAGCTCTCTGCTCTATTCTCCCCAATAGCTAATTCAGAAATTTATGATGCCAAGAATTCCATTTCCCCAGCACTGTTTTCTTTCAGCAGGTGATCTTGCTTCCTGTTTCATACCTCCAGACCCCAATATCTATTTGTTTACCAAATACATCCTCTTGAATTTCCAGCAGCCACTTAAAATTAAATATGTCCGTAGTAGGCTGAGTAATGGCCCCAAAGATATCACACCCTAATCTCTGCAACCTATAAATGTTACTTATATGGAAAAATGGTCTTTGAAGACGTGATTCTGTTAAGGACTTTGAGATAGGGAGATTAGCTTTTATTATCCAGGTGGCCCTAAATTCAATCATGAGTGTCCTTACGAGAGAGGCAGGGGAGGATTCCATAGGCGCAGAAAAGAAGTCAGTGTGACCACAGAGGCAGAGGGTGGAGTAATTTGGCTGCAATTCAGGGAACTCCAGCAGCCATCAGAAGCTATAATAAAAGTGGCAAGCAGCATGTTTTTCCCTAGAGTCTCTGCAGGGAACATATCCCTGCTGACAACTTGATGTCAGCTCAGTAATACTGATTTCAGACTTCTGCCCTCCGTAACTGTGAGAAAATAAGTTTGTTGTTTTAAACCACCAAGTTTGTGGTCATTTATTATAGCGCCCAGAAGGCACTAAGGTAATGGCCAAGAATTTTTTTTTTCAAATTTTCTACTCTTTTTTAAGTAACAGGCACAAACTTCTCTAAATATTTTTTAATTTTTATCCCTAATATCTAACATGTCAAGTTCTGTTGATTCTATTTAATACATCTCTCTCTAAATTATTCCTTCTTTTACAGACCCACTGCCATTGTCCTTGCACAAATGACTTTTGATCCAGCCTTCTAGAATTGGCTCTGTGGCAAACTGACCTAAGTTCTTGTTATTTCAGAAATTATTATGTTCCTTTTGTAAATACTGGTGGCTTTCAGTGACTAGGGATAGGAAGTGATTATACTTGTCTCTAAAAATTTTTTCTGGTTTGCTATAATGAGACATATGCCAGATCAAAATCTGCTATATGTGCAGATGCTTATTAGTAAGCAATAACAAAGTTTCATTTCATACATGTTCCTGAAACTCAGCAAGCTTCTGTTTTCTTTCTGTAAGAACTCTATGGGAACCAGTCCCTGAGTCAACGTAGTCATATTTTGGCCTTTGGAGCAGCCAAAGTTCTAGTTGGATCAAAGGCAGGTATTCTCTGTTAGGTGGGGGAATGCAGGCCTCAGTGGAATTCTACACTGAGGGCACTACTCTGAAGGTAGCAAGCTCTTTAACTGTTTATTTCCCCTAGAGTATCCACAGAGGAGCAATGAGCCTTCGGAATCTTTCTAGCTAAACAAACACTTGGAGTGTTCCCCATTTCTCCAACGAATATTAATGTCTAACATCCTTTAACTAAGCTAATTAGTGAAACTTCTGCCATAGATTAGGTCATATGCGAATTACTTACAGAGCTATCTCTTGGATGTGTGTTCAAGATTGGGTCCCTTCAAATGCTAAGAAACCATCCTTAGAGTACCCAAGAAAGCTAACATCACACGCGCATACATCAGTCTGTTTTTTCTTAGTTAATTAAAGTAAATTACTTCAAAGAAAATTTGCACAGACTCACTTCTTTTTGCTTTTTCTGTCTCTCCCTGCATATCCATTTCTATACTGTTTCCAGGCTGATCTTGTAAACAGTGTACCTGTCACTCATCTTTGAAGGCTGTCATACCTCCAGGGCATGTGCTGATCTCTGTCTACCTGTTCAGTCTCATTTTGTTCTCCATACGCTTCATTTTTCAGAAATCGTTAATTATTAGTAGTTCTAAAAAAAATTAGGCTATGATTTTTTTAGGTATATTGTTAACACTTTGCCCTCCCGCAACTTGCTTACTGCAATTTTTCTCATTCTCTAGATTTGTGTTCAGAATAGTGATCCTCTATGAAGTTTTCATGTTTCTCTGTGTACCTTGGGCTGCCTTTTGTCTTCACTTTTCTGAGTTTACAACCTTATAATTTACTGATACTTTTTTTCATGTCGAGTGAGTCCTCTCCACCTCCACCAACTCTGTAAGGTCCCAAGTGTGGTTTCTGCATCTGCTTCGTATTGAGGAGCCTCACTCCTACCATTTTTCTGAAAATTGACCTATTTCTTTTCTGAAATAATCCTTTCCTAAAGTTAACTCTTATGATATCAGATGTTATTGCGACTTGTATTTTCCCAAGCCTTGTTTATTTGTGCCTAATTAGTTCTTCATAAATATCTGACAAATATATAAAAGAGTGAAGGAATGAAGGAATGAATTCCAGAGGCAAAGAACATTTTTTATTCATTCAGAGGAAAAAGCTATCTCGTACAGCTACAAAAAGGAGGCTTATACAGGTTTTAGGCCCTTTGTTTTCAGGAGTAGAAAAGGGGTTCCGATGTGTTATTACAACCTGAATTATTTATGACTGACACACGTAAAACTGGAACTGATGTTCCCAATGATCGAGTCATTACATTCTTTGAGCATTTCTTTGGTCTGTGCTAATTCTTAATCCTGAAGTAATATCAAAATTGAATATTGGTTTTCTTGACTGTTGCATATGTCATATTTTCATTGTCTCAAAGAATATAACATGCAGTATTTGTAACATAGAAAAAGCTGATGAACATCTGTTTCTCTTTTCATGATGTTTTGGCTGCTAGACTCTAAGAATAAAGTTATTGAAGTCAGAAGATCTGGGCTCCAGTCTTGAGGACACCAGTTAGTTCTAAAATGATCTTAAGTAAGGAAATATAACAAACACAAAATGAAGAAAATAGAAAGGAAGACAGAAGCATAGAAATGGAAATATTTAAAAAGCCCTGATTCCTGATTTGTAGCCCTACTTGCTGCCCTAAATTCATTTTATTCATTTTTATTTGGCCAATTTATTTTGAGTAATGTGCTTTTATTTTCATTCATTCAACAAATATTGAGCCCTAATATGTATTAGACTCTAATGTACTGAGAATAAAAACTAAAGAAAATGTGGTATAAACATACAACGGAATAGTCTTCAACCATAAAAAAGAATGAAATTCTGGTATTTCCAACAAGGCGCATGGAACTGGAAGTCATGATATGTGGAATAAGTTGGGCACGGAAACAAATATCGCAAGTTCTCATTCATTTGTGGAAGCTAAAAAAGTTGATCTCAGGGAGGTAGAGAGTAGAATGCTAGATACAGAGGCTAGGAAATGTCAGGAAGGGGGCAGGAAATGGATAGTAAAGAGAAAGTGGTTAATGGGCACAAATCTACAGTTAGATAAAAGGAAAAAGTTCTCGTGTTCGATGGCATGGTAGGGTGACTATAGTTAACAACAATGTATGGTATATTTCAAAATAGCTGGAAGAGATGATTTGAAATGCCCTAACACAAAGAAATGACAAATGCTTGAGGTGATGGATAACCTAAGTACCCTGATTTGATTGTTACACATTGTATGCATGTATCAAAATATCACATATACTGTATAGATATGTACAAATATTTTGTATTAATATTTATAAATGAAAAAACACCGAGAAATGAAGGACAAGTAACCTATTGCTGAAGACAGACATTACAAAAAATATTCCTAGTTGTAGGCACGTGCTCTTGCTATAGAAATATAAAATGTCATCATACAGGTCTTTGCTATACCACAAACAAACAATTTTAGAAACATATTCATTCTGTGTGTGTATGTGCCCCCTTGTTTTCCCCTACTAGTGTAATTATTGGGTTGTGTTGTTACACCAAAATTAGCATTCATCAAGTCATTTCATGTTTTGAAAAATAAGCAAGAGTTTGTTTTATGGTTAATTAAAACACTATGAAATACGTTTATTATATTTTTTGAAAATTGACCTATTTCTTTTCCTAAATAATCCTTTTCTAAAGTTAACTCTTATAATATCAGATGTTATTGCAAATTGTATTTTGCCAAGCCTTGCTTGTTTGTTTTAAAACATTAGTAAATCATTAAATCGCTATCTTCGTGTGTGAAAGCATGTCTATTTTATTCAGTCCTGTCAGTTCTATAAAACAGTTTTCACTGAGAACCATGATGCTAAAAACTCATATATTACAATTATGTCCCCCTAGAGGCCAGTAATTATTGGAAAAACAGTTAACTGGTTTTACAGTCAACCATTGTCTAGAAGTTCATCCCTGCAACCTACAGTCCAGTCACCCTGGATCGCAGCTTACAATGTGAATACAAGTAGAAATGGTAATTCGACAGTAAAATATGCTTATACAAAAATCTATCATTTACTGCTAAAAATGTGCCAGAGGGCATCTTGATAAAAACGTTTCCCCATTTTTGTTTTAGAAGTCATTTTAGTTTATAGAGTACCAGTAGTAAAAGTATTGACCATAAGTTGTTTTTTTTTTATTCATTTATTCTTTTCTTCTACTCCTCCTTCCCTATCTCTATGTTTCTCTCTGTCTCTGCCTCTCTCTATTTTTGTCCTTTTTTGGTACTTAAAACATCTTATAGTCACAATAAATGTAGACTTTACTAGTGATCCAGTGATTATTTCTGTCTCAGTCATTTGAGACAGTTTCAACCCTGATATACTAAAATCATAACAGTCCCTGTCAGAGATTTGCTTATTACTTTGTTCATTATCCAGAGTCATTTTCAGTTCCAGCTTAACAGATTGAGCTCTATAAATGAATTGTGACTGTACTACCAGAGTAACTGTCTTTTTTTTTTTTAACACAAATAAATAAAACAATTACCAAGGTTTTCTAATTGTTTTCAAATGGAGCCAAATTCTAGGATATAGTAATAAAAATCATACTAGAAATTGACTCTGAAAACAATGTGGGAATACTCTCTCCCCTTTTGCAATAATTCACCACTCTAATAGTTACAGATTATTAAATTAAGATCACTTTGCAAACCTATGGCAGCTGAGGTTTAATCTACCCATACTTTTATGACTGTCATGAGAATAAGCCATGAAAAAATAAAACAATGAAAGGAATTGGAAGGTTTGGTATGTTTTAGGGCTTATTTTCAGTGATTATATTTATATTTAAACATTCTGAATATGCCACTTTTTCCTGTTGAGTACACATGTATTTCTTTTCTGTCTCTCTCTCTCTTTTTTTTTTTTTTTTGAGACAGTGTCTCACTCTGTTGCCCAGGTTGGAGCACAGTGGTTAAATCTCAGCTCCCTGCAGCCTCTGCCTCCCATGTTCAAGCAATTCTTTTGCCTCAGCCTCCTGAGTAGCTGGGATTACAGCCACGTGCCACCACGCCTGGCTAATTTTTGTTTTTTTAGTAGAGACGAGGTTTTGCCATCTTGGCCAGGCTGGTCTCGAACTCCTGACCTCAGGTGATCCACCCGCCTCAGCTTCCCAAAGTGTAGGGATTATGGGCGTGAGCCACTTCGCCCGGCCTACACATGTATTTCTAAGACACTTCCATCAGTATAGTCTTGAGAGGTTGATAGCCTGGTGTCTGATTTACTTTCTTAGTTTGGGAATATAAAACAAATATTTTGAAAAGCATCAACGTTTGTCTTCACCATCTATTAGTATTATCCTTTCTGATCATTCCCACGTCAGCATCCTCTATTTCTTACTGTCCTTCACTCTCCTACCTCCTATTTCACCTCCTACTCCCCAACCCACTTTTCCTCACCTCCTACTCCCTACTCGCTTGTCCTCACCTCCTACTCCCTACCCACCTCTCCTCACCTCCTACTCCCTACCCGCTTCTCCTCACCTCCTACTCCCTACCCGCTTGTCCTCACCTCCTACTCCCTACCCGCTTCTCCTCACCTCCTACTCCCTACCCACCTCTCCTCACCTCCTACTCCCTACCCGCTTGTCCTCACCTCCTACTCCCTACCCGCTTCTCCTCACCTCCTACTCCCTACCCGCTTTTCCTCACCTCCTACTCCCTACCCGCTTGTCCTCACCTCCTACTCCCTACCCGCTTCTCCTCACCTCCTACTCCCTACCCGCTTCTCCTCACCTCCTACTCCCTACCCGCTTGTCCTCACCTCCTACTCCCTACCCGCTTTTCCTCACCTCCTACTCCCTACCCGCTTTTCCTCACCTCCTACTCCCTACCCGCTTTTCCTCACCTCCTACTCCCTACCCGCTTGTCCTCACCTCCTACTCCCTACCCGCTTGTCCTCACCTCCTACTCCCTACCCGCTTTTCCTCACCTCCTACTCCCTACCCGCTTGTCCTCACCTCCTACTCCCTACCCGCTTGTCCTCACCTCCTACTCCCTACCCGCTTGTCCTCACCTCCTACTCCCTACCCGCTTGTCCTCACCTCCTACTCCCTACCCGCTTGTCCTCACCTCCTACTCCCTACCCGCTTGTCCTCACCTCCTACTCCCTACCCGCTTGTCCTCACCTCCTACTCCCTACCCGCTTGTCCTCACCTCCTACTCCCTACCCGCTTCTCCTCACCTCCTACTCCCTACCCGCTTGTCCTCACCTCCTACTCCCTACCCGCTTTTCCTCACCTCCTACTCCCTACCCGCTTTTCTTCACCTCCTATTCCCTACCCGCTTTTCCATGCCCAGGAGACACACTGTGTTGTGTTCCTCAGTGATCCCTTAACTTTCATTAAAATAGCAAAGGAAGTCTACTAAGATAATTCAAATTGTTTTATGAAATTATATGTATGTCTATTTTAACCAACATGACAACATTATAATTCATATTTGGATTTCTCCATTTTAAATTGCCTTTATTTTTATGAATACTACACATTTTGGGTTCAGCGTTTAGTTTAATGAAAGCTTTCCTGAATACGTAAATGCCAAGGGAAGACACTGGGTACCACAGAACTTCTCATTGTTGTTGTAGGATTTTAAGAATTCCTGGGAGGCTATTATGCATTTTCCAGGCAAATCCTATGAGCATAGCATTGTGACCATATCCCGCTTTTTGACTTCAAATTCTCAATTCTAGGACACAAAATGTTTTTTTTTTCAAGTTCTTTCTCAATGGTAACTTAAAGGAATACAGTCTTAGTTAATACTACTCCTTTCTGTTGCCTGGCATTGAATGACCAGATTGAAATAATTTTCCTATTGGACAGAATAGTGACTCTGTTACTGTATTTGGATCCTGCTTTTTATGAGGCTAATAAATGCAGAAACATAGAAAGAACTCTGCAATTAAGTTTCACCTCTCTATTAACAAATCAAAGAGCCTGAACAAGACACCACTTTCTGGTACTCATACAATTCTCTCTAACACTTTGTGAACATAATTGTAATGAGAGAAGAAAGGACGATGTCTTAGGAATTCATGGGGACTCTATTTTGAAAAGAGAAGATGGGGTGATGTAAATACTTCAGGGAAATATCAAATATGCCTGAAGTGTGAGTCCAATTCATTAATTTGTTTAACATGTATTTATTGATTATCTACTATGAGCCAATATTGCAACAGAAATGAGGAAATACAACAAATTTCCATGCAGCCAGGCATGATTTTTCATCTTTCAGAGCCCAGACTGCCAGTTATTTCACCCGGGAATCATGTGATTTTAAATACCATAATGAAATTATGTGCCATTAGTAGAAACTGGAAGGAAGGAATGGCTTACTGTGACTTTGAAAATCAGAGAAAACTTTAGCAAGAAAGTGAACCCCTGAGATTATTTTTGGAGTATGTGTAGTAGTTTTACAAGTAAAGGAGAGTGTTTGGTAGAAAATATAAGAGTATGGGGAAGTCTTAGAAGACTGAAGGAGACTGGTGCATATGTTGATGTGGCTGAAGTTGAAGCCAGAAAGATAAATTGAAGTACATTTTGAAATCTTCATATGATTTCATATGATGACGAGAACTTGGGATTTTATCCTGAAGTTTCTAGGGGAATTATTGGAGGCTTAACTAGGGAAGAATGGAGATGAATTTTAGAAAGATAACTGTTGCTGATGGGAGGTGGCAGGGTAGGAGGCAGCGTGTGGGAAATGGGAACTGAAGCTGACCAATAGGCTGGGAAATTTATCAATTCTTGATGAACCTGCTCTCCTCCAGTTGATTTTTAAAATTTTTCAGTGTAGTTACCCAGTTTTATTAAATTTTTTTGGCCCCTAAATAATGCTTGCTACACAAAGGCACTTACTCTTTGATGGTTGACAGAAGAAAGAAAGAAAGGAACACAAGCATTAGTAAGTGATGAAGCGGTCTGAGTGTGTAATGATGAGGACTGACATGAAATGATTGTCATGGGATGGCCAGAAAAGAGAGATTGGTGAAGGACTGGCAACATAATTTAGCAAACAGATTTTACTTCTGTATATATGGCCAATAAATATCTTTTGCTTTTGTTCTAATACGCATTGGAGAATGTGAGGTTTATGATGAGTCCAATGCACTAAGCTGATTGTGCATAGCAGATCTTAAGAGTCATGTAGTCTTCCTTATGGCCCTGAAGTGTTCATTTCTGAGCATACTGATGACATTTCAGTTGACTGGGGGTGGGGGGGGGAGGTGTTTCTCAGGTAACTAGAGGCATATTTTGATGCTATCTTCTGAATTATAATTTATGAAGAAATGCACAGAAAAGCAATTCTATGAGAAGAAGAGAGATATTCACTGGCTTGGGGGTGATCAGATACAAATTACCCATTTGAACATGAAAAAAATGTTTTGTGAATGTTGATTCTTCAGGCTGTGTCCCTGCCCAGAAGGAAAAAAATAGAAAAATTCAAGTTTCCCCAGGTATCAACAGACTGTGTATACAAAGAAGGGAGATTACGTCAACTGAACAAATTCAAATGTGCTGGTTCACACAGTTACCATTTCCCTATGACTCTCAGGGATATTCCTGTGAAACCCTAGAAATATATTGTACATGCTGTATGTCAAGTATTAGAAAACAAAATTGAGAAAGGACATTGTTCCCAGGCCAATTCACTAAAAGATCAATTCATTTATTTTGCTAAATTTACCAACTTATTGTTAGCAATGATGTCTACATCTTATATGGCACTAAGCATGTGCCAAGCACATTAGAGCAGTTTACATAAACTAAATCATTTTATCTTCACACTGTTTTTATCACCATTTTGCAGATGAGGAAATAGAAGTACAAAAAGCTTAAATTAACAGGCCCAAGTCCCTCAGCTAACAGGTAATTCCTGTTACAGTTTTTAAAATCTGTTCTCAGGAATTATAAATATCAGTAAATGAAAAAATAATGTTTCATGTGGGAATTTTTTTTGTTTTATACTCATTTATGTTTGTCCACTGTCTTAGTCAATTCAGGCTTCTATAAACAATTACGAATGGCTGGATGGCTTACACAACATGCATTTATTTCTTATAGTTCTGGAGGCTGGGAAGTCCAAGATCAAGGTGCTGGCAGAGCCAGTGTCTGCTGAGGGCCTGTTTCATGGTTTGTAACTAGGCATCTTTTTGTTATATCTCTATGTGAAGGAAACCAGAAAGAGCATCTATCGTTATATTTTCACATGTAGGAGACCACAGAGGGCATCTTTCCCATGTCTCTGCTTATGAGGGAACTAATCCCATTCATGAGGGCCTCATCCTCATAAGCTAACCAAAGCTCCATCTCCTAATACCATCAGATTTGGGGTTTGTACTTCAACATACGAACATGGGGGCGGGGGACAAAAACGTCTAGCCCATAATACCCACATTTTAGAATCTTTAGAATTCTACTAATTTATCAAGATATATGTTAATATTTGGAAAAATATTATCTCCTCTGTAACAAAAATAAAATTTCTCTATTAAATAAGGTGGCCATATAATTCATCTTCCAAGTTGAAACACATTTGAGAGTAAAAGGGGGCACTATTAGTGATTGCCCAATGACAACGGGTATAAACTGAGATCCTACCAGGCAAACTGGGATGTGTAGTCTGCATATTATTAAACTGTTTAACGTTTTTGGTTAGTACTTTTACACATCACTGTCACAGCTTTTAAATGTATAAACCCACAGCTCATAAATTTGGTAATTATCTTTTTGGAAAGCTGACTCTTTGGAGAAACGACTTTCAGCAAATTGATTTTTCTTCTATGTTTTCTTCTGGCTCTTAACCTGAGCCAGGGTTAGACCGCCTTGGCTCAGGTCTAGTTCACAGTGCCCCAAACACACCTTTCCAGCATGAACAACTCATGCAAAGTTGTGCTTTGTCCCTCTTTCTCCCAGACTCTTCAATAACTAAAATTGCCATTAACTAGGGACTAGCATTTGGCAGTTTTAAAAAGACACTGTAAAACTGCTGAATAAAGAGCCACATAAACTAAGATCAGCACCCCCAAAACTGTGAAAGTGCTTAAACCTTAACACAAGGTTTAAAATAAACTCTTGATTGAATTCATCTACTCCATTTTCTCTCTTCAATAAATAAGATGAATTTCAAGCAGCCAAAGCTATTTGACATAAGTAGTAATGCAAATAAAAATTCCTCGCTAGAATGCTTATGCATTGTTGGTAGGAATGTAAATTAGTTAAACCACTGTAGGAAGCAGTTTGGAGATTTCTGGAAGAACTTAACAGAGAGCTACCATTCCACTCAGCAATCCCATTACTATTAAGTTTATATCCAAAGGAAAATAAATTGTTCTACGAAAAAGATAGATGCAATCATATGTTCATCACAGTGCTATTCACAATAGCAAAGACATGGAATCAACCTAGGTGCTCATCAACAGTGGAATGGATTAAAAAGAATATGGTACATGTGCCCCATGGAATACCACCAAGCCAAACAAAAGAATGAAATCATGTCCTTTGCAGAAACATGGGTGCAGCTGTAGGCCGTAATCTTAAGCAAATAAACTCAGAAATGGAAAATCAAATACTGCATGTTCTTACTTGTAAGTGAGAGCAAAACATTGTGTATTCATAGACATCAAGACAGGAACAATGGTCACTGAGGATTATTTAGAGGGGGAGGAAGGCAGCGGGGCATGGGTTAAAAACCTGTTGGGGCCAGGCACAGTGTCTCACGCCTGTAATCTCAGCACTTTGGGAGGCCAAGGCAGGCAGATCACTTGAATCCAGGGGTTCCTGACCAGCCTGGGCAATACGGTGAAACCCCATCTCTACTAAAAACACAAAACTTATCTGGCCATAGTGGTGCACACCTGTAGTACCAGCTACTAGAGAGGCTGAGGTGAGGGGATGGCCTGAGTCCAGGAGGCAGAGAATGCAGTGAGCAGAGATCACGTACAGCTTCAGCCCAGGGTGACGGAGGGAGACCCTGTCTCAAAAAAAAAAAAAAAAGAAAAAAAAAAGGGGAAAGGGAAAAGAAAAAAGAAAAACTCCCTATAGTACCTTTGAGTACTATGCTCACTGTCTTGGTTACAGGAGCTGTACCCCAAACCTCAGCATCATGCAATATACCCATGTAACAAACCTGTGCACACCCCTATTTTATTTATCTTATAAATAAAAATAACTTTATTCTAAAATAAAAGTCAAAACTCTTTTTTAAAATAATCCCTACAAAGGCCGGGCGCGGTGGCTCACACCTGTAATCCCAGCACTTTGGGAGGCCGAGGCGGGCGGATCACGAGGTCAGGAGATCGAGACCATCCTGGCTAACACGGTGAAACCCCGTCTCTACTAAAAATACAAAAAATTATCCGGGCGTGGTGGTGGCGCCTGCAGTCCCAGCTACTCGGGAGGCTGAGGCAGGAGAATGGGGGGAACCCGGGAGGCGGAGCTTGCAGTGAGCCGAGATCGCGTCCCTGCACTCCAGCCTGGGCGACAGAGCGAGACTCCGTCTCAAAAAATAAAATAAAATAAAATAAAATAAAATAAAATAATAAAGCCTACAAACGTATCAGTAGACACTGAATATTAAGTGGATACAATTTAGTGTTGTCCTAGTTTGTGTGGTTTGGGGGCATTTTCACAGCGGCAATGCTGAATGCCGTCAGTATTAAGGGAAGCTGTTTGACATTTGAAATGACTTCTTCAAGGAGGCAAATTCACACACAAAAAACTGATTATCCAACAATCAGTTACTTTTTTCACCAATAAATGTTTTGTTTGGAACATGTGCTTTGGAGGATAAAAATAGACAGACTTTTAGAATTTCTGGAAGAGGATCTGCAGTAAGTAACATTTATAAATAGAAGTATAGATTTAAATGAAACCTGGCTCATCTTTTAATATAAACTGGACTTTGAAAACTCTTTTGAGGACATTACCCATTAGCTTCATTACCTAAAGGTATGATCTAATCTATTTCATTCTGAACCTGAAGGACATAATTCGTGTACTGAATCCATGAAAATTTTGGATAAAGCCTAGCATAAAATCATCACTACTTACTAATGTTCTCAGTAAGAGTTTAAAACTTACTGCTTAACAAAAGTACCTTTCTATATTGTCGACAGTAAATGGTAATCTAAAATATGTGAGGCAGAAAAGAATGATAATATTTCATTGTTACAGCATACTCTATCCTGCTTTTATGTGCATTCCCAAGATGTGCATATATGAACTCTGTTTTGGGGGCAGGCTCTGCAAAGTTATTGAGAATGGCAGAGAATTGAGCTTAGTATAGGTTTAAAAATATGTTGTAAGAATCACATGTTTTTACGTGCAATAATTATAACCATAGCTTCCAGATTGGAAACTAATATAGTGTTTTTTTCTCTTTGAAATATAATCACTATTTCTAGATAAAACTTTTGTATGAAGTTTTATAAAGTATTATTCATGTTTGCATTATTTTATAGTAAGAAAGAGACTTCTGTTATTTTTATCATCTAGAATAGGGTTTATTACATTGGTCTTTTTATTATTCACAAGTTTTTTTTTTTCTGGTATTTTCTGTTGTGGTGTCTGCTATAAACATTCCTCCATGCTCAAAGGAATTTTTTCCTCAATTTCGTTTGTAAATTATTTTCTGAGAATTGGAATCCAACAATAGGAAACAAACAATATGCAAACAAATAATTCAAAATTTTAAAGGGCAGATGAGATTTTTGACCAGCCACAAAAGGCCTATTTAAGCTTTTATAAATGCTGTAGTAACCTAAAATGCTCATAAATATCAATAGTAGCAGACCTGAATCCAAGCTACTCCAAGCTCTATTTTTCCTTAGCTATATAAAATTCTATACTTCAATAAATCTTTGTATCTATGAGTTTCTCATCTTTCAGCATGTAGATGGACAGAAGAAGGGGAAACAACAAGAACTTCAACTTTACTCTAGAGAAATTGTATAGTGAAGGGTTGGCAGTCAGGTAAACCCTCCTGTAAAAGTAGAAGCAATCTATTTGACTTTTAATTAAATGTTTAAGCAGATCACTAACTAAAGCAATAATCCTGTGAGAACAGTATTATTTAAGAAATGCAGACTGGGAACGGTGGCTCACACCTGTAATTCCAGCACTTTGGGAGGCACAGGCAGGCAGATCACTTGGGTTCAAGACCAGCCTGGGTGGGAGACCCCACCTCTACAAAAAAATACAAAAATTAGCTGGGTGGGATGGCACATGCCTGTAGTCCTAGCTACCTGGGAGACTGTGGTGGGAGGATCACTTCAGCCCAGGAGGTCGAGGCTGCAGTGAGCCGTGATCGCAACACTGCACTCCAGCCCAGGTGACACAGGGAGACCCTGACTCAAAAAAAATAAAAAATAAAAAAAAGAGAAGAAAGGCCTTTAACAAATATTTATTGCGTGCCTACTCTGCGAAAAGCCACTTTTCTACACATAATAAAGCAATGAAAAACAAGATAGGTAAGGCCTGATACTCATTAGGCTTATGTTTTGGGGGAGCCACATAGACAATAAATAGGTATTTAAAACAGTGGAATGTTGTTGGAAAGTTAAGATAGTTCAGGGCTTCTCAACGTCAGCACTGTTGACCTTTTGGGCCAAATAATATTTTGTTGTGGGAGGCTTTTCTGAGCACCGTAGGATGCTGACTAGATTCCCGACCTCAGTTTACTAGATGTCAGTTGTAGCACAACTCCAAGTTTTGACAACCAAAAATGTCTCCAGACATCGCCACTTGTCCCCTGGAGGAGGGAGAAAAAGGCCTATGAGTAAAGAGATACCAATTCTGCCCCCAGTGAGAACCACTGTGCTACATGAATAGAGAAAATTGCTCTTCGAACACGGTAAGATGGAAGTCATTGATGACTTTGATAAACACAGTTTAAATTGGAGTGCTGGCAATATATATGAGAATGATATGGCCGAGTGAATGAGAAGCAAAGAAATGTAGACAAGTGTTTTCTGTGAAGGAAAAGAAATAGTGCAAAATCTCATGATAGATGTGGCACATGAAATGAGGCTGGTTTTATTATTTCTGTTTTCTCTTGATTGTTTTTTTTTCTTTTTAAAAATACTACTACATGTTTGTAAGTAGTTGGGTAAAATTTGATAGGGCAGGAAAAGTTGGTGTGGAATAGGGAGAATAAATGAACTAACTCAGCAAGCAAAAAGGTAGTTGGGTGTGATTCAGACGTTAAGTGGTAGAGTTGACATTTGGTTAAACACTTCTTGCATTATAACAGAGCATACAGAAATGGTGGGTACAGATTCAGGTCAGTGTGGCGATTCCTCAGGGATCTAGAACTAGAAATACCATTTGACCCAGCCATCTCATTACTGGGTATATACCCAAAGGACTATAAATCATGCTGCTATAAAGACACACGCACACATATGTTTATTGCGGCACTATTCACGATAGCAAAGACTTGGAACCAACCCAAATGTCCAACAATGATAGACTGGATTAAGAAAATGTGGCACATTTACAGCATGGAATACTATGCAGCCATAAAAAATGATGAGTTCATGTCCTTTGTAGTGACATGGATGAAATTGGAAATCATCATTCTCAGCAAACTATCACAAGGACAAAAAACCAAACACTGCATGTTCTCACTCGTAGATGGGAATTGAACAATGAGAACACATGGACACAAGAAGGGGAACATCACACTCTGGGGACTGTTGTGGGGTTGGGGGAGGGGGGAGGGATAGCATTAGGAGATATACCTAATGCTAGATGACGAGTTGGTGCAGCACACCAGCATGGCACATGTATACATATGTAACTGACCTGCACGTTGTGCACATGTACCCTAAAACTTAAAAGTATAATTAAAAAAAAAAGTGTAGTTTGGTTGATGTATTTTCTTGCTGAGGTGGGTAGCAAGGGCATCACCTGGTAAAGCACAGGGTGGGTTGAGAAATTAATAAAAGTAGAGTTTGACTTTCATGACTTGACTCGGAATTTACTGTAAAAAAAAGGATAGAATCCAGAAATTCCTTATGAAGCCCTCTGACATAGATCTTAAAATCATTGTTTACATAAAGCATCCTCCTAATTCTAAGTTTTATTGCTATGGAATAATACACTTTATGTAGAACTAAATAAAATTCCAGTGTTTAAGTTTTTTTCTAAAAAAGTTATTAGTTGTGTGCTTGTAGCACATAAAAATATTATGGGTCTTCCATTTCAAAACTAAGAAAAATGGCGTTTTTGAACATATCTTTTTGCCTATATAACACTGTATCCTAAACAATAGCAGTACCATAAGGAAAATTATTTTTAAGGAACAACTTTATCGTTAAATCAATATAGCCTCTGACTTGAAGTCAATTTGCTTAGAGTTGTATATGGCTTTATTGATTTGAATCATAAAAGATACAAAGGAGGATACACTTGTACAAGTTCAATAAGATAAAAAGGAGAAAAATGTCTTGTGAAAACCTCGAATGGTAACTCAGTGTGTTGATGAGTGCAGAAATTTTAGAACAAAATAAATTGTTTCCTTTTCTATCACAAATCTGGAAGAATTCTGTAGTCTGTCTGCTATGTTGCGTTATACTGTCTTCTGGCCTAGATATTCTGTGTGGAATGTATTGAGATGTATACTATTGGCTTATTCTTTAGAAAGTAGTAAGTCACACCCCAGAGACCTGAACATAAATTGAGGAAATGTTCACTTTGACCTTTATTTTAAAAGCTTGACCGATGTGTTGAATTCTCCTGCCCAGATTCATCTTTAGTAGGTTTATTTTCTGACCTGGAAGAGTGAAGCATATTTACATGCATAAAAAGCTTTGACTTTGATGACTAATGGATGTTAATTATCATGACAGTGACATTTTATATCTTGCCTATATTTCTAGGTTAACTTTTATAGGAAAATCTTTGAGAACTAAATTACCAGGGCTTTTAGAAAAACTAAAATATATTGCTTTCTAAAAATACAAAATTATTGCTAACATAAAGCTTACTGTAAATGATATGAGATTCCAAGATTTTTTCTTACATTTCTGTGACATTTTCTTGTTTTACATTAATAATTTTGAATTTTTTAAAAGCTAATTAAATAACTGCATGAGCAAAAATAGTTATTCTGTTTTGGGTGTTTATAAAATCTTTGTTTAATCAATTTACTTGCCTTATCTTATCCTTATTATTTTAAGAAAGTACAGCCTTTTGAACTAGGAAACAGTTTTGAAAGACCAATGGCTTACTACAAATAGTATTTTATAAAAGCTCTGATGTTTACTATAATCTTTTCTAGCTGGTTCTACTTAGTCTGTTAGTCCCTGTAGGACATTTCTAATCTCATTGCTTTGGTGGGGACTCGGTTTATAGGCTAACACATTTACAGAAACATCTGAAACATACTTAGGTCTTCACCAGAAACACCTTGTTTATCTACTGTTTCCTGCTGTGTTTAGCTCAAATCCAGATAAAAATTTCCAATTTTTAAAAATATAAAAAGAAATTAAAATAAATTAAACATGTTCAACTTGATGGTTAACTAATTAACAATAAATGAAAAGTAACTAATGGAACATCCAAAGTTTTAAGTAAGTTTTATGTGCTCAGATTTTAAATATTTATGTGCCTAATCATTATTAAAGTAGCCAGATAAACCCTAAAAGTCTTTTAACATAAGTGAAGATGCCCTTGCCTAGAAATGTGGCTGATATTTACCACAGGTGAAAGAGTAGTTTGGTTGATGTATTTTCTTATTGAAGTGGACTGCAAGGTTAACACCTTGAAAAAGATAGTTGATTGAGGAGGTAATAAAAACAGACTTTCATTTACATGACTTACTTTGAGTTTACTGTATTAAAAATGAAAATAATCCAGATATTCTTGGTCAAGCTGAATTACATTTTTACTTATTTATAAGAATACAAACTTTTTTCTGTTTTTTCTCTAATTTTTATCCATGGCATGACTTCATAGTCATCAAAGATTAAATAACTGTATAATGAAAAGTAATTTCTGAAAACAAATTTGCAATTTAGGAATTCTGGGCTAGAATGGCATTGTGTTTCTCTTATTTATTTTTTTCTGAATGTCCAAGTTTTATACTTTAGGGCATTGAGAGGTAAATGGCCTTCTTTTTATGCCCTAATATAGTATAATGAGGCCTTTATAAGAGTTATGTCTATAGTTATCTGTGAGTGGTGGATGATGTGTCAGGATTTGACATCATCCCACATAAGTGATAGAGTTTTATTTTTATTATTTTATTCTCAGATCAGTCAACAGCTAATAAATGAGTGAAAAATTTCATTATATACGAAGATTTGAATACCTTCATGAGAGTAGAAACAGGCTTATCTAATTAGATTTCCTGACAATGATCAAACAATTAATGCTAAAATATATCAACAGAGATGCTATATACAAAGATAAAGATGTTCTACATATTTTACCTAAAGAAGACATTTTGTAGAACTGCCTATACCCTTAATTTTTGTGTGTTTCTAAACAATGAAGGGCTAGACAATGATTAAATCTCTGTCAGATATAAATCTTGCATTCTTATAATTTAGGCAAATAAATGTTTCATAGGTAAAAGTTGTCCTTTACCCACTGGATAAAAGGGTCATTTTTTAACTACTCCATTTGAAACTGCAGAGCAAGAAAAGTTGCAAGCATACACACAACGGAAAAACAGCACTGAAAGGAAGATGTGAAGAAATATACTTAGAGCATTTTTCATATTCCATTTAATTCATAAAAGAGGTAAGAGCATATTTCACCTCCTCACCCCAAATGAAGATTTTTTTTAAAATGTGAAAACCTGTAGTATAATTTTAAGACTGATTTTTCACACAAGCCTTTGGAAATAGGTTAGCTTTTTACAAGAACATCACATCACATTAGTGTTATCTTGGTTTTAGTATTATGCTATTTTTTTTCTGGATAAATAAGGACTTAACACCAGCATTTTTTTATTTGCTTTGGTTCACAAAAAAATATGATTAGGAACACACACACCCACACACACACCCACCCACCCAACCCCACACACATATTCACACATACCAAAATCCTCATTCATTTCTTAATGAAATTATATTAACTCCTTAATTTAACCCTGTGATGGGATCCAGGGGATAGATACTAATTAAATAAAATCAGCTCTATGGCCAACAGTGTTATGATGAAACATGAGCAAATTACTATATACTTTCAATTGGCATGGTCTTTTAGAAAAATCCTCCTATTTTAGGTGACTATTTTCAGACAGGCTTTCTGACATCACAATATGGCGGCCTACAGCAATTGAGGCACCATATCGCAGGTTATGAACAAGGCCAAAAATATATTTTCCCTCAACCTTAGAATACAAGTCTTGGGCTTCACTGTGATTGGATAACTTAAGTCAAGTGTCAGTCTCTCAACCATTCCCTTTGGCTAGGACTAGGGATTTTGCTGATTGGCTTAGACCCAAATGGAGACTTGAGCCCTACTAAGCCCAACCCTGGAACATAAAGACTCCCTAAGGTAATGGAGTCCTAGAGAAAATAATGGAATAAAAATGTAATGAAATCAAGACTGAGTTACCTATGTTCACTATTTTGGTGATGGGTTCACCAAAAGCCCAAACCTCAGCATGGCTCAATATTCCCATTAACAAACCTGTACATGTACATCCTGAATCTGACTTTTTTTTAAAAAAAGAGTACTGTTACTCATAGATGGGAGAATCAACTGAATTGCTAAAATCTGAACAACTATAGACATATTTTTAAAAGTTATCCAGTAACAAAAGAAATTATATTTCTACTTTCTGCAGTGAATCATGTAAACATAAAATCAATGATTTAATGAAAAAATACATGAGGTGGTAAATAGAGAAGAATTGGGTTATATATTAAAATAAATATTACTTTCATTTCTAAGACTTTCATTCCTTTTCATTCTTCCTTTTTTTCTCTTATACTATGCAAATTTAGCACTTATATTGCATGGAACATAACAGAAGCTCAATAAATTATAAATTATTTAATATAATTAATTAAAATGAGGGAGAGGGAAAACCAGGAGGCAAACCTGAGAAGGGAAAGAAAGATAGAATGTTAAGAGGAAGAGCTCAGTCAATGTTGTCAAAACTCTCAATAGTTCTAATGGAATGGGGACTGAGGAAAGATTATTGGGTTTTGTAATTAGGAAAATGCTAATGACTCAAGCAAGGGAAATGGAAAGGAAATTTATTGAATAACTACTGTGTGTACACTGACAGATGACTTCACATACAACAATATGAAAACAACATCAGCAGATTAGGGAGGAAGAGCTCATACCAGAGTACCACTAGTTAAGGAGAAAATGAAGTTAGAAGATGAGAGTTCGTTAGTTTTCTAGAGCTATCATAACAAAGTATTACAAAATGGATGGCTTAAACAATAGGATTTTGTTTTTTCATAGCTTTGGAGGCTGAAAGTTCAAGACCAAGGTATCATCAGGGTAGGTTTCTTCTCCGCCTGTTACTTCTTCTTCTTCCCCTCCTCTTCCTCTTCCGTCTTTTTCTTCTTCTCTTTCTTTCCTCCTCCTCCTCCTTTTCCTTCTTCTTCTTCTTTTTCTTTTTGAGATAGGGTCTCCTTATGCCACCCAGGCTATAGTGCAGTGGCACAATCATAGCTCACTACAGCCTCCACCTCCTGGGCCCCCATGATCCTCCCACCTCAGCCTCCTGAGTAGCTGGGGCTACAGGCATGCACTACCATGACCGGCTAATTTTTTTCAATTTTTAGTAGCAATGAGGTCTCGCTCTGTTGCCCAGGCTGGTCTCAAATTTCTGTCTTCAAGCAATCCTTCCACTTCAACATCCTAAAATGCTGGGATTACAGAGTTCAGCCACCACGCCTGGCAAGAATTGACCGCTTTTGAGGCCTCCTTGGCTTGTAGATAGCCATCTTCTCCCAGTGTCTTCAGAGGATCTTGAGTTTTAACATAAACTTAAAAAAAATCTACTAAAAACTCAAATTTAAATAAATATTTTAAAAGGGAATAATTGGCTGTCCTCTTTCAAAAGTATAATATTTTAGCTTGAAAAGAATTTGTGCTATGAACAAAATGTGTACGTTCACTCTGTCCTAATCAAAGGGTGCTATTTTTTCCCCTGAAAGTGTTCAACTTTAAACATGATTTATTGTATACTTACTTTTAGCTTTTCCTGCCAGAAGACAAAGGATTCCGATCAATTACCTTTTCTAATTCTACGAATGTTCTGTAAAATTGTCCCTTGCCTTTCAAATTACATTAAAAATAAAAAGTGCACGTGACTTTCAAAAGATTTGTCTTTCCTTAAGTATATTTGAGGATTAATCTTTTTGCTATTAATTTTATTTGCGTATTAACAAGTTAAAGTGGCATTTTGAGGGGAAATAGATATCTACCATACCAATATATCTCTATATTGGTGGATCGATAGATCAACGTAGATATTAAAAAAGTATAAAATAGTTACTGAAAACTCGAGTTACTATATTTCTTCCTCTATGTCTACCCTGTTTTCAGTGACTAATTTTACTCCAGGTTCTTTGATTGCAACAGCTGGTGTGATTTCAGTTCTCTTTAGCTATTATATGTGAGCTGTAAAAGGCACATTGCAATAAGATGAAAGACTAGAATTTTATTCTAGATAATCCTAGAATGATATGGTTTTGAATCATTCCAGTTTTTTCTTCCCAGATTGAAGGTGAGAGAACAATTTGTCTGTATGCTTTTCCTTCTGAGCTGTTAGAAAATAATTTTGCAACAAAAATCCAAGTGATCCCACCCAGTTCCACTTAGAATCTTGTCTCTGTTCCTGATTGTGGCCCTTTTGTGTGTGCTTGAGCATCTTGATAAAGTGTATCATTTTACACCTCTATGACAATTCTTTATATATTGGAGGACAGCTATCAAATTTTCTTTGAATCTCCTCTGCATTTTCTGCAGAATTCCTCACTATCTCTGAGTAACTCTCTTCTAAAAATACTCAAATAATTTTTTTAAAAAATTTATTTTTATTTATTTATTTATTTATTTATTTATTTATTTATTTTATTATTATTATACTTTAAGTTTTAGGGTACATGTGCACAATGTGCAGGTTAGTTACATATGTATACATGTGCCATGCTGGTGTGCTGCACCCATTAACTCGTCATTTAACATTAGGTATATCTCCTAATGCTATCCCTCCCTCCTTCCCCCACCCCAAAACAGTCCCCAGAGTGTGATGTTCCCCTTCCTGTGTCCATGTGTTCTCATTGTTCAAATCCCACCTATGAGTGAGAATATACAGTGTTTGGTTTTTTGTTCTTGCGATAGTTTACTGAGAATGATGATTTCCAATTTCATCCATGTCCCTAAAAATGACATGAACTCATCCTTTTTTATGGCTGCATAGTATTCCATGCTGTATATGTGCCACATTTTCTTAATCCAGTCTATCATTGTTGGACATTTGGGTTGGTTCCAAGTCTTTGCTATCGTGAATAGTGCCGCAATAAACATACGTGTGCGTGTGTCTTTATAGCAGCATGATTTATAGTCCTTTGGGTATATACCCAGTAATGGGATGGCTGGGTCAAATGGTATTTCTAGTTCTAGGTCCCTGAGGAATCTCCACACTGACTTCCACAATGGTTGAACTAGTTTACAGTCCCACCAACAGTGTAAAAGTGTTCCTATTTCTCCACATCCTCTCCAGCACCTGTTGTTTCCTGACTTTTTAATGATTGCCATTCTAATTGGTGTGAGATGGTATCTCATTGTGGTTTTGATTTGCATTTCTCTGATAGCC
The DNA here is from genome assembly GCF_000001405.40 of Homo sapiens. Classification (NCBI taxonomy): domain Eukaryota; kingdom Metazoa; phylum Chordata; class Mammalia; order Primates; family Hominidae; genus Homo; species Homo sapiens. Next base: position 76,746,583 of record NC_000003.12, read on the forward strand.
AGTGATGGTGAGCATTTAATCCTCAATAAAATACTGGCAAACCGAATCCAGCAGCACATCAAAAAGCTTATTTTTATTTTAAGTTCCAGGGTACATAGGCAGGATGTTCAGGTTTGTTACACAGGTAAACGTGTGCCACGGTGGTTTGCTGCACAGAACAACCCATCACCTAGGTATTAAGCCCAGCATGCATTAGCTGTTTTTCCTAATGCTTTCGCTCCCACCACTCCATCCTCTGACAAGCCCCAGTGTTTGTTGTTACGCTCCCTGTGTCCATATGATCTTATTGTGTTCCCACTTATAAGTGAGAACATGCGGCATTTGGTTTTCTGATCCTGTGTTAGTTTGCTGAGGATAATGGCGTCCAGGTCCATCCATGTCCCTGCAAACAACGTGATCTTGTTCCTTTTTATGGCTGCATAGTATTCCATGGTGTATATGTACCACATTTTCTTTATCCAGTCTATCATTGATGGGCATTTGGGTTGATTCCATGTCTTTGCTATTGTCAATAGTGCTGCAATAAACATATGCGTGCATGTATCTTTGTAATAAAAAATACTCAAATACATATGTCAAGTCCTTCCGTCTTAAAATGTCTGCTTGTTTTTACCCAGAAATATGTGTAAAAGCAAACAACATCTGTTTAGTTTAGTTGAACAACAAAGTGATTTGCAGAGCAGTGTACGCAAAATTTCATATAACTTTTTATATGAAATTTATGACAATTTTCTTGTAAGTCTAATTTTTCTTAACATTGTTTAAGTGTAAAGGTATTTTTACTGACATATATACTTATCTTTCATAGAATTTTAACTGTATATTTTTAGTTTTATTTCTAAATAAACTGTATATTTTGTTTTAGAAACAAAAATAAAAATATTTGACCAAAGAAAAAGGAGGAAATTAGCATTAATATCATGACTTAGAGAAACTGACTTTTGCACCTTGTCATGAATACGTGAATATGTGAATGAAACTGCATGTGAATGGCAGTTGAGTCTATTCAAAAATTAAAATATAGTTAAGAATTTTAAATTTAAAAATCACAGATTTTATTTCTTTGGTTTTTTTAATGATTGATCTCTGATATTATAATTTTACTATTAATGAGCTAAAACATGACTAAATCCCAGTAAATTTTTAAGTGTTACAGAAAACATACATTTGGTCCTTGTCAGTATTCTATATAAAAATCTTATCTGTATGTATTTAAAAAAATAGTTGAATTCAAATTATTGGAATACTGAAACATACTTACATCTAGTTTTAATAAATTAAGCATGTATTCTTCCTCTGAAATTAGTTTATGGGTTTAAATTTAACCTGTATAAATTTCATTTAATATTCGAATTCTCAGGGGAGGAATGAAAAACATTATGTAGATTTAGGGATTTGGTTTGGAAACTCCATATCATATGATAACAGAAGAGAGTTAATGAACATAGTAAGATGAGCTAAACTCATCTACACAGGTTGCTAAGGGGACTAGTCAAAAAACATCTTGATTCTCCTATTCATCCCATTCATTATTTTTGAAACCAGCCTATACCTTTCAATCCAGATAAATCGAATGTGGCAGCATTTTTACTCTACATTGTTGTTAGTGAGTTAACAGAAGGTTCTATTATTGAAGGTGAGGATATTGGGTTTTGTCCCTCTCTCATTTAGTGGTTGATTGCTAATTAATATATATTAAAGTATTATTTGTATAAAAATAAAGAAATCAAAATACTAGAGAAAAGTAATGATTAATATTATATGTATGATGTTGATACATTTATTACCAAGCCTAAAACTAAGATAAAAATCACAAAAAATATGAATTGATTTGCCTTATATATAAAAATGCATATTGAAAGTTTAAAAACAACTGGTACTGTATATGTATATGTAATTCATATAATATACCTGATGTATAAAAAGTTTTAAGGATTGATCAATAAAAATGTAAATGAAACATTAAAACATGGAAAAACAACATAATATATTTTGATTAATATAATTATTAATATGGAAGTAATTTAATTTAAATGGGACTTAAAGACAAATTAAAACAAGTGGGTACATTTTTCACTTATCTAATTGGTGGTGTGTTTTTAGGTAAATCACCCAGCGTTAATAAGGGCATGAGAAATCATGCTGGTAGGGTCATAAACTGTTACATTTTAAAGGACAATTTAAAAGTATCATAAACATGAAAAGTGTTTAAAATGTACATATTCTTTGACCCAGCTATTCAAATTTTATGAATTTGTTTTAAGGAGACAATCACATGTATACAAATATAAAAGTATTAGAATATTCGTTACATCATGATTTGTAATATTAAAAAGAAAAACTAAAGCAAGCTAAAATTCAACCATATTATAGCTAAATATGTTTTGACTTATCTTTCTTACAATAAAATATTTATGATACACTAAAAATAATGCTATTATGGTAGAATATTTAATGACAAATATATTGGACTGTATTGTTAAATGAAAAGACAAGATACAAAATGTATAGTATGATTCATTTTTTGTAAAAATTATATATAGATTCAAATACTGAAATAATACTATGTTAATAAATATAATCTTTCAATGTTTAGATTATGTATCATTCTATTTTTATTTTCTGAATATTCAAAAATTATGATGCATTATTTTTGTAATAATTTCTTTAGAAAAAAATAGAATTTTTTTTTCAAATATATATGTATACCACTACAATACAATTGTACCTTAAAGTCATCTCAACTCAAAATTTACTCAGATGAGATTCAAGGTAGGCATTCTTAAACTGTAGTTTGCATCCTGCTATGGGACATGAAATTATTTTTTATTGGTAGATAAAATAGGAGAAACTTATTAAAAGATATCAGAGAGCTTTCCTTGCTGTTCCTGTTCTCAGCTGCTCATGATCTAGGGAGTGAGTTAGCTATACCATCACAAGTTCTTATTTGAGTAGAATTTATCAAGAAAGAAGACAGAGGTGGGCCTTCCAGGAAGAAGCTTCAATTTGAGCAAAGGTATGGAGTTCAAAATTTAAAAATGATAATGAAAGAATATATTTTATATTAATGGGTATACAAGTATCAATGGCAGGGCATAGGCCAAAATACGTGCCATGGAAAGATGTTTGTATTTTCTACTATGGACAATGATGTAGCATCAAAAACGTATACTGAGACTGAGGGTGATTGGCAGTCTGTTGATAAGGGATAGGTAGGGTCAGGTTTAAGATGGCACAACCCTAGTCCAGGACCAGATGGATTCACAGCTGAATTCTACCAGAGGTGCAAAGAGGAGCTGGTACCATTCCTTCTGCAACTATTCCAATCGACAGGAAAAGAGGGAATCCTCCCTAACTCATTTTCTGAGGCCAGCATCATCCTGATACCAAAGCCGGGCAGAGACACAACAGAAAAAGAGAATTTTAGACCAATATCCCTGATGAACATTGATGCAAAAATCCGCAATAAAATACTGGCAAACTGTATCCAGCAGCATGTCATAAAGCTTATCCACCATGATCAAGTGGGCTTCATCCCTGGGATGCAAGGCTGGTTCAACATACAAAAATCATTAAATGTAATGCATCACATAAACAGAACCAAAGAAAAAACCACATGATTATCTCAGTAGATGCAGAAAAGGCCTTTGACAAAATTCAACAGTCCTTCATGCTAAAAACTCTCAATAAATTAGGTATTGATGGGACGTATCTCAAAATAATGAGAGCTATTTATGACAAACCCACAGCCAATATCGTACTGAATGGGCAAAAACTGGAAGCATTCCCTTTGAAAACTGGCACAAGACAGGGATGCCCTCTCTCACCACTCCTATTCAACATAGTGTTGGAAGTTCTGGCCAGGGCAATCAGGCGGGAGAAAGAAATAAAGGGTATTCAATTAGGAAAAGAGGAAGTCAAATTGTCCCTGTTTGCAGATGACATGATTGTATATTTAGAAAACCCCATCATCTCAGCCCCAAATCTCCTTAAGCTGATAAGCAACTTCAGCAAAGTCAGGATACAAAATCAATGTGCAAAAATCACAAGCATTCCTATACACCAATAACAGACAAACAGAGAGCCAAATCATGAGTGAACTCCCATTCACAATTGCTTCAAAGAGAATAAAATACCTAGGAATCCAACTTACAAGGGATGTGAAGGACCTCTTCAAGGAGAATTAGAAACTACTGCTCAATGAAATAAAAGAGGACACAAACAAATGGAAGAACATTCCATGCTCATGGGTAGGAAGACTCAATATCGTGAAAATGGCCATACTGCCAAAGGTAATTTATAGATTCAATGCCATCCCCATCAAGCTATCAATGACTTTCTTCACAGAATTGGAAAAAACTACTTTAAAGTTCATATGGAACCTAAAAAGAGCCCACATTGCCAAGACAATCCTAAGCCAAAAGAACAAAGCTGGAGGCATCACGCTACCTGACTTCAAACTATACTACAAGGCTACAGTAACCAAAACAGCATGGTACTGGTACCAAAACAGAGATATAGACCAATGGAACAGAACAGAGCCCTCAGAAATAATACCACACATCTATAACCATCTGATCTTTGATAAACCTGACAAAAACAAGAAATAGGGAAAGGATTCCCTATTTAATAAATGGTGCTGGGAAAACTGGCTAGCCATATGTAGAAAGCTGAAACCTGAAACTGGATCCCTTCCTTGCACCTTATACAAAAACTAATTCAAGATGGATTAAAGACTTACATGTTAGACCTAAAACCATAAAAACCCTAGAAGAAAACCTAGGCAATACCATTCAGGACATAGGCATGGGCAAGGATTTCATGTCTAAAACACCAAAAGTAACAACAACAAAAGTCAAAATTGAGAAATGGGATCTAATTAAACTAAAGAATTTAAAAGAAACTACCATCAGAGTGAATAGGCAATGTACAGAATGGGAGAAAATGTTTGCAATCTACTCATCTGACAAAGGGCTAATATCCAGAACCTGCAAAGAACTTAAATTTATAAGAGAAAATCAAACAACCCCATCAAAAAGTGGGCAAAGAATATGAACAGACACTTCTCAAAAGAAGACATTTATGCAGCCAACAGACACATGAAAAAAATGCTCATCATCACTGGCCATCAGAGAAATGCAAATCAAAACCACAATGAGATACCATCTCACACCAGTTAGAATGGCGATCATTAAAAAGTCAGGAAACAACAGGTGCTGGAGAGGATGTGGAGAAATAGGAACACTTTTACACTGTTGGCGGGACTGTAAACTAGTTCAACCATTGTGGAAGACAGTGTGGCGATTCCTCAAGGATCTAGAACTAGAAATACCATTTGACCCAGCCATCCCATTACTGGGTATATACCCAGATGTTTATAAATCATACTCCCAAAAAGACACATGCACACGTATGTTTATTGTGGCACTATTCACAATAGCAAAGACTTGGAACCAACCCAAATGTCCATCAATGATAGACTAGATTAAGAAAATGTGACACATATACAGCATGGAATACTATGCAGCCATAAAAAAGGATGAGTTCATGTCTTTTGTAGGGATATGGATGAAGCCAGAAACCATCATTCTGAACTATCGCAAGGACAGAAAACCAAACACCGCATGTTCTCACTCATAGGTGGGAATTAAACAATGAGAACACTTGGACACAAGGTGGGGAACATCACACACCGGGGCCTGTAGTGGGGTGGGGGTAGGGGGGAGGGATAGCATTAGGAGATATACCTAATGTTAAATGACGAGTTAGTGGGTGCAGCACACCAACATGGCACATGTATACATATGTAACAAACCACGTTGTGCACATGTACCCTAGAACATAAAGTATAAAACAAAAAAAAAAAAGAAAAAAAATGATGGCACATCCCTGGGGACATGGCCAAGACAGTCCTTTGTGATACATTTTTTCTCTAGATTAGTCCAGAAGTGTTCAAGATTGAGGAGGTGTTAGGTAAGGACTAAGACTAAAGCAGTCTCAGTATTCATCCTTAAAGAATTAGAATCACATTACAGAAAATATATTCCCCAAAGAGACCAGTCCCATAAGATCTTCATAGGTTTGCTATGAAAAAGAGTTTCCGTGTTACTGAAGTGTTTGAGGAAAACTGGATTAGAGAAAATTAAACATGTTTCTTTACTAAAGGATGCATTAAAGAGTTGAATATGCTAATTTGCACTCAGAATCTTTAAGGGAATATAGTATGCAGCATTTAAAAAAAAACTTCTAAGGCTTTAGGGACTTTTTTGTATTTTTGTTTCTAAGTAGCATATGAGAGGATTGTGATTACACAGAACATATTTTGCAAAACACTTAGAATGCAAACATTAGAAAATTCAATATTGCCCAATGAAGAATTCATAATATGACCCAATTAAACAAATATGTTAATGTTTATCATTTGGATATTAATTCAAAAGAGTTAAGTAAGACATTTCTGGTATTTTTAAAGGTATATGCAAAACATACGTACACACAAATCATTTCAGTTCTTTAAATGTCTTGTCAAAGACTTAAATAGACAAAGAAACACTGTGCTGAAGTTAGGTGTAAAGCCATTTGGGAAGACATGTCAGAAAAGGAGAAGAAAATATAAGCACAGAATTATTTCCATTTGTTTTAAATTCTTTTGTTATTATTCATCAATTACCTCCAACAAAATGGTGATTAGAGCAAGAAAAAAGTTTTAAAATATTTTAAATCAATTTTTGTTGATTTCCTGATTTCATTTATGGGGCCATAATTTTAAACATATATAATGTTTTATTATTTTTTAATATGCCCTTATGCATTTGGAAAATAATGATTCAATAATGTATGAATCCAATAAAATTATACTTTTATTTCAAACTACAAATATACATCCACAGTATGCTTCCTTAGTTTTTCCTTGTTAACAGATGAATTTTGTCAAAGGCTGATTTTGGCAAGCTCTCTGTCAAGTGGAAGGTTGTTTGAGCATTATCTAAAACAATTTCTTCAAAGGAAACAAAAAATGAGATTTAAGTATTTGATACTTCATATGCGATTTATAGCAAATATGGCAGGTCACATACTGAAAAAGAGTAAAAAAAGAGACCATTGCTATTTAAAAAGACAGAACGCTCCAATATTTTCTGTTCTAATATTTTAACTTTTTTCATTAAAATTTCCCCTGTCTCAATTATATGACTGTAACCAGTAGGGGCTGCTCTTAGCATTACAGGCAAAGTAATTTCTCTGGAGTTGATAGTTTCAGGACTGGCTCTCAATATAACTGAAACAAATTTAGCTTGGTGAACATTTTATGGCAAAACTATTGCCCTTTTCTTTGTCCAGTTAGATATTATTTTTAATTCCTTGCCTTTATGCTTTGTTTTTAAGCATCCAATATATAAAACCTATATAAATCAGTGAAAATAATACTACCTGCTACTAATCTTTGTAAAATTTTTTATTGGTATAAATATAATAAAGGAAAGACATTAGAGGCTGTATATTCAAAAGATAAACTGCATTTCTAATAGAAATAGCAGGAAGGAGAAAGAAAATATACTTTCATTAATAGCTGTGATTTCAAACAGGAGCTGGCTTTCCTTTTGGGCAGTTCAGAATAATATATTCACCAAAAATTCAAAAAAAGAAAATGTTTTCTCTCTAGGCCGTTAGAGAAATTAGAATATAAGACTGGTTCTGTCAAATAGCTTTTGAAGGTGTACTTTGAAAGACACGAAATATTCTGTATATTAGTATCTGGACAGAAGCCTCGTTATCTGTCAAAGGTTAACTGCACCGTATACATTACGGCTGCAACACTGAAGCGGAGGGGCAGCATAACCCCTTCATAATTCCTAAACTGCACTGTGATTTCCCCAGTCTTGCTGCTCTTCTGTGTTTTATTTATGTTCTAGTGTGCCTGGAGAAGCTCCAAATAGTTGAATAAATCACATGCCTTATGATGTGTAAGTATCATAACTAAGAAAGTCTGATTACTTGTGGTAATACTGTTTCTTTTATTATTTCCAATTAAGAAACATACTGCTAGCCAGATATTATTAGGACTATCCAAGTGCTGGAATCATGTTTTGGACAAGACATCCCTATCAATAACTCATGCATAGACGCCTCAAGGTTATTGCTAATAACATACTTGAGATAGCTGAATTTGAGACTCATTATTAATTAGGAAGTTTGGTACTTTGTCATTACACATAGGGATTTAAGTATCAGCTTGTGGCACTATTGTGTGACAGGAGGGTTGGGAAATTGCAAAATAATTTAGGAATTTTAAAATCTAATGAAGAAAATATCAGGCCTAAATGTATGCATTGTGAATTCTATACAACTAGAAACCTTTAAGTGAAAAAACACAATGGCTATTTAGGTATTCACATTAGATAAATTTTGTCTCTAGTGATCTACCTACACATTATAAACTTTTTCTATACTCTTGTTAAATTCATCCATGAGGTAATTAAATAAATTCTGTAATTAGCCCTCAATTTTATGTTTATTAGAAATAGTTTGACTGTGTGTCTTTTTCTTTTATACTCAGATTATTGATTAAATGAATTTTCCTATGTAATAAATTCTAATACATATTAAAATCTATTTATTTTGGTGTCCAGTGTATATTCTCTCATTCACTGAATATTTACCAAACAGTTTTCATGAGACAAGTACTTTCTAGATTCTAGATGTGCTGCTTCAAATAAACTCATTCTATATCTTTGGATTATCAGACCTCGTATTATTATAAAACCAGTAAGTGCTAAGAGACATCTACCCCAGAGTAAGGACTAGTAACCATGGTAACTAGGGGAGTCATGTCATAAATTAATTTCCAAATTGTATCCTGGGAAAGGTCATAGATGAAGATTTTTGCTAGCAAGATTAGGAGGAAGAAAGAGATACTTAAAGCGTAACTAAAACAGAGTTTTAAAACTAGCTAACCTTCAAGGCAATCCACCTGTTCCTGTCTTGATTCCATTCACATCTCAACTTCTATAGCCCAAAGATTTTTGTTCTCATGGTGACACCTCCAATGAACTCAACTTCCTTGTTGTAATGGACAATATCTTTTTTCAGTTTTGTACATAAAGCATTTATAATAATAATTGCTATAAAGTTGTCCTCAATCAGTAAATACATTAATCAGTGACTTTGATTTTTGTTTTGTCCATGGGGTTAATATTTGTACTTTATCTCTAAATTATGTTTAGGAAATCAGTTTTTCCTCTTTGAATTTGCCTTAGTTGGGTCTGCAGTCTCAAAGCTTGTAATAGAAAAACTCCCTAATCCAACCATTGTATCCCTTCCTTTAGACACATGATCACCATCAGGAGATACTACCCTACTCACCTAATGGTATGAGAAGTAAAAAAGCTATTAAAAACCCTTGAGAATTTCTTTAATTTTTAATACCCTATGTATGATATCAATTTTTAATTAGCTTTGAGTATGTGGCAATTTTAATTCTTGTAATAATGTAATATTCACCTAGTAGTCTTAGGCTTTATATTATAAAAATATAAGTTGGATTTTCATGGTCTATTGGCCAGGCTCAAGAAAAAACTCTTGTCTCAAGCAAATATGTTACAGCGTTATTTTTACTCTTCGAATATGTTTCTGGCTACAAAATGTAAAGACTCCCAATTACCAATATGAGAAATAAGAGAAATAATGGAAAAATAGTTATAAAATTAATAAACCATTGTAGAATATTTGCAAAATATTTTTACAGGAGGTGAAATGTAGTAATGGATTGTTTTATAGTTTGGTCCGTTTTTGAATTGGGAATTTAAAAAAGTAACCTAGAATAAAGTATGTCTATTCTTGTAACTCCAGACATTCCATTGCAGTGAGATTAGCATGGATTTGGGGTGAAAAAGTAGTATATACTTTCAAATGACCAATGAAAATACAGTTTACCTTTCAATAGTCTTATGATTATGTTATTTAAAGATGTTTGGAAGATCAAAAGGAAAATATGCAGTAGACATAGTTATTGCAATTTGCACATGGTTTCCATAAACCAGATGATCCATCAGAGTTAACATGGTTCTTTACTTTTAATTATCTATTTTTCTTAGTATGTTTTCCTACTGGATAGCGGCCGGGAGTACTCCACCTAAGACCGCATGCTCTGTCAATCTGTTACCAGGAAGCTTTCAAACCGGTTTTGATTACGAGCAAATCTGTCTACAGGAAGACACGCCCTGCCTTCCCAAGCCACAGGGCTTCGTTGAACGAAGTAGGGATTTTTATGAAGTTCTTTAAATTGCAACAGCAGCAGCATGTTATTTATAAACACCAAACACATTGAAATGTGGAGAAAGACTGTGAAGGGATTATTAGTGATAAATAGATAAGAGAGAGCTGGGCACATAAACTGTTTTGCCTGATCACATTGATGTCCAAAGGCCTTGGAGATTACAGCTGCTAAACTTTTGGTTGCAATTCTTTATATTTTTATAGTGCTTTGGATTTTGCAATCTATTTAAGGTATTTGTTTACCAGATTTTATGCATACACCAGCTCAGTAAGCAAGATAGATATGAATAATTATCTCCATTTTGCAGAGAAGAAAATGGAGATAGAGGTTATATTTAATTTGGGTTTACATAAGAAGTAAATGGAACAGTCAGTCAGGACTACATCTTAGGTCTTACAGTTCTAATCTTAGTGTACATGGCCTCTTGGTCTGTAAAATGCAATTACATGATACCCAGAGATACTGAACTTTTAGGTTGTACATCCAAAATAAAGAGAGGAACGCCTTAGCTGGAACAAAAAGAAGAGTATATGTAACTTAAGATCTTTCATTGTGCTATGCCTCTTCCATGTTTGAGTTACAGGGTTTTCGTGTGGTCACTAAGTAAAGAAAACAGGGGGATGAGTTGATGCTTGCTAGGTGGGGTTGTTGGCCCTGACCTGACTTGGACTTCTCAGAAATATCACAGTGTTAAGAATAATCAATTTTGATCTTACAACTGCAGCAGCCCTAATAGATGAAGAGTGGTTTATTTTTTTTTTAAGTCTATGTTGTTTCAAGCCAGCTAGAGCGTTGCTTTGTTAATCAAATAAACTATTATTTGTTTCTGAAACAGTGGGGGAGGGAAAATATAAACATAATAACTGATAATGTCATAATTACACAAATGAGTTTTTAATACTCCTCCAGAGAGATTGAACCTTCTAAACCACAGAGTTCACTCAGAAGAGGTGAGGAAGAGGAAATGAGGACTAAAACTTGAGTTAACAGCATCCCTAGGGGAGTTTTCATCTCTTTATCTAGTAAGGATTCAGGAACAATATTTTTCCTAAAAGGCACGATTTGTGAAAGAAAACAATAAGGTGACTTTAAGGGAGAACCAGAGCCTCTAGTAAGTTCTAGGAGGCCACGGTGTCTCCAGCATTTTGCATAATGCATGGCACAGGTTAAATGTTCAACAGTTAATTATTAAAATCAAAAGATATACTCTAATATTTCATTAAAGGCAGTTTAGGAAAGACAACTTAAGACATAACTCGATACAAAAGCAAAAAATAGCTTAAATTATCTGTTGTGAAAGCATCTAAAACATGCATTGACAAGGAAAATAGGTAATTTTGTTCCATGGAAAAAAAAATACCATCCATTCCTGCAGCACTTTTTACATTTAATACCTTCTTCTGAAAGTCATTATCCGTCCTGTTGAACAAAGACTATTGGGAAAAGATCTTAAAGACTAGATGAGACAAGCTTGCCTGTACTAAAACAGAGGAATTGTCTTTGGCGTCAAGGAAGCCGACCAGTAGTGTGAGGGATCTGGCTCCATTGAGCTTCATGGACAGGGTGTGAGGTCTGTAAATGTGTATTCTCAGGTTTTGTCCTTAACTACCTTATGTCTCATTGATCTTTACAACTCTTTTCAAATAAGTGCCCTTGAAATCTCTGGTGCTTTAAGAGATCAAGCAATGTTCCTGATCCTTCAGAAATTTCCCAAGGAGCTGAAATTTTACTACCTGCTTTTTGAGGATTGCACCAACCCATTACCTTCTCATCAGCTGTAATGGTTATCCCACCTCTCTGTTGGGAAAATGAAACTTCTATGATCAAAGGTGATCTACAAACATATGGTTGATAGGAATCTTAACACAATAGACCATCACGTCTGCTACTGGCAGACATTATTGTCCATTGGTGTTTATTTTCAATGTTAAAGAAATAAAGATCACACCAAGGAATTATAGTGGGAAGGGCTTTGGTTATATAAATACATGGTCTTTGTTTCTAATAAAAGAGAATGGTATGTGTATGTATAAATGATAGATGTATATAACACTGCCCACCTCACATACATGAAATTTTGTCCTAAATTTTGCTATGCGTATGAAGGACAGAGTAGATATATTGTTTTAAAATAGATGTCATGTCAACATAGTTTGGTATCTTTTGAGCTATCCTTTGTTTAAGGCAATTATTGACTAAACATATTGCAGCTTGAAAATATATTTACTTTTTCCAATCTCCACTGTGTTAGAACTGGAACGAAACTTAAATTAGAAGTCATATTTTTTCATCTTGCAAATAAGGAAAGTGAGGCACAGATAGATAGGCTGAGTGCTAAGGTCAAAGCTAATAAAAAGGAATATTATGACTGGAAGTCATCTTTAATTTCTAGTCTTATGCTTTTCCCCTCCACCTATACTCACTAAAATCGAATCAATTATACAACTCTTAGGTTTGGTTGCATAATTTAATTAAATGTCAGAATTTAAACAATACAAAATCCAAATATTTTTTGACAACAATTTCAGTGTGTTCTTCCTTATAACACTACATCTCTTAAATCATTAATTATTACAATGATGTGGATTTTTTTAGTGTACCTAAAAATTTTGAGGGTGCTAGACTTAAACATATATTAATATATATAGAAGGTTGGCGATATGGCACAACGTCTAGCACATAGTTGGATCTCCGGAAAAGTGAGTTAAATAAATATATTCATTAACTTGATGCAGAAACATGAAAGGGATCAAGTATTTGACCAAACCATAAAAAGTACATGGAATTTCAGAAATGTCTGTCTCCTCGGATTAAGAGGAGTTTGTATGTGTTATAAAATATCAGGGGGTATTAGAAAGTGACTAACTTGCCTAGGGGTTAAGAAACACGGGTTCTAGTTGATCTTTGTGGTAACTATCTAGCCATGAAACTTCTCTTCATTGCTGTAACTTCCTAAGTTGTAAAATAAGAAATTTGGAGCCGGTGGGATTCCCAGGTGCTTTTCACAGCAGCGGCTCCGCGATTCTCTTCACTTAGGCCCTGGTACTGGTTTACTCAGGCTGTCATAACCAAGAATCTCATCCTAGTCTCAGAACTCTGGGACTCAGAATTCTCATCCATAACATTGAACCAGATTGTCTCTTAAGTTCGTTCCAACTCTAACAGAAGGATGGAAGGAAATTGATGAATATGATTTCAAGGAAGTGGTATGTGAAGCAAAAGAGTGGAGAAGGCACAAGGGAAAAGAGACTAGAGGTAGCTGTTGTGTTGCTCGTACCCAGATATCATATCAGCTCCCTCAAAGGTTTGATGTAGGTAATATGATTCTAACAATAAAACATTATTGAAATCTGTAAGTTTCAGGTGGACCTTTTTAAAATGTTTTAAACATTTATGAGAATACTTAAAATAGACTCTTTCCAAATTACCGAAAGTAGTATCCTCTATTTTTCCTATTGTAAAATAGTTTCTGATTACCTGCTGGCAAACTTTAGCCTCTGATTTTTTTAATGGGCACACCATGGCTGAAAATAAATATCTGGTTTTAAAAGAAGATGTGGTTTTTAAAAATGAGTATAGCAAAATGCCAAGAACACTTCTTCTATAGCCAACCTCCTGAGTTTCTGGCTTCAAGAAAAGGCTGGTAGAAAACAGGTGTCACTAATCACCATGCAATCTGGGATCTCCAGCTGAAGGTAGAGAGATCCCCAACCAGCTGTTTTCTCCTCTGATTAAAAATTCCTTCATATTCAACTACTAACCTTTTGCTCTTACACACACACACATTTTATATTTTCTACGCATACGTTGCAGGGGCTGGGGGAAATGAATGGATTAGCAGTATCTTACCTCTGAGTCGGTAAGTTAAAGAGTGTGTATATAAAGTGGAATAATGAATTATTTAGCTGATAACAAACATGATATAAAATTCCATTTATTGGATAGTCAATTCAATTTTATTAGTTTTAGAGTTATATGAATTATTTTTAACAGAATGCAAAAAATATTTCATATTTGCAGATTTGTTTTTAATATGGTACATTTATTGTTCTACAACCTTGTATCTTTTTTTTATACTTTGTGGAATGTTTTAAGTATTTGATTGGAAAATGAGGCAGTTTGATTAAGAAGGAAATTATGCACCTTCTACATCAGGAACACATGAAAGCCTGAATGATCCCTGTATTTTACCTCTTCTTTCTTTTCTAGCCTGGTACTGTCTCTAACCCTTTTAACAATATGTCCTTTTTCAAAGGTAATTAATTACACCAGATCACTCTTAACTAGGGATCAATTTGTTAAACACAAATAGCAGTGGACAAACCCTTATTTGCATGCCTCTTCAAAAAGGAACAATTGTATAAGCTATATACGATTACTTTGAAATCAAACCTTAGAGAAAAAAATAAGCCTTTCTGAGTAAGAGAGTTCAGATTAGGCTCAGCTCTGTTTCTCTCATTTCTCATTTCTATTGGATGAGCATTTACATCTCCTTGCATGCAGGGTGACCATACATTCCAGTTTGCCTGCGAGAGTCCCAGTTTAAGTGAGCTGCCTCGCCATCCTGTTGTGTGATTATTCCTTTTCAGCCTCAAAAGTGTCCTGGCTGGGAAAATATATTATATGATTCTTTACCATATGGCATATAACCATTCCACAAATTGGTTATTCCAGATAAGTGTAAAATAAGAATTTTTGTTGCCGTTACTTGCCAATTTAAATATTATATACTGTCTTTTTTCTCTGATCTAGACTTTTGGTGTTATGTCTTCTCACCTAAATGAGTAATACTCTTAAGAGATTTGCAGAAAGGCAAAGTCCTGTGGTCTTCTGAAAATGTGAATGTTATTTGGTTAAAGTTGTGACTTTGTATAATGCAATAAATAGTCAACATGTCTTGATAGAACATTGAATTTAGAATATTGGGTGGCTGAGTTTTGACCTTGGGATATTTAACTTTCTAAGGCTCCATTTCCTCTTCTACCATGTGAGGATAGAAAGGTTTTTTGAAAATTTGTAAGAATTGAGGTATTGTATTTCTGGTACCCAGTTCAGTGTTTGATAGATAGCCAGTACAGAAAATATGGTAATGATCATAAACTTTTTTTTATCTAATAAGATCATGAGACATTTATGGGAATCAATAGAGAAAAACAGTTTTTTTTTTTCATTTTCAGAAGACATTCTCCAAACCGAGTAGAGTTCAACCTAAGTTGAACTTCATAATGTGGAGGAGTCCTTATTAGATTCTGAGATTAATATTCATTCAGGCATTTAAAAATATGGATTTTTTAAGCATTTAGACAATTAGAACTAAAGATGGAACAGAAATTCTAAAACCTCTTTTAAAGCTATTTTATGCAATTGCCTTTGTTTCTGATGAATTTGAACAATTTTAGGGTGAACAACATGTTGCAAGAATAATATTATACGACTTAAAAATAAAGATTTTTGATTTGTCAAGTAACAAATTTGTATAAAAAATACAATAGAATGTACCTTTGTATAAATCAAATATTTATGCAATAAAATTAAGCAATAATATGTTCTTTAATTGCTTTTGTTCTTCTCCACAATGAGAATCCAGCTGTTTTTTTTTTTTTTTTAACATGAGTGAACTGTTTCTGAGAAGCAAGTAACATTGAAAATATACTCAGTATTTACATGGACAATCAAAACTAACTGCAAACAACCATCTTTTGGTCGGATTATAAATTGTATCCTAAGTTTGGAATTAAAAATGAGGTTCATGACAGAGGAACATTTTCTCAGTGTTTAATCAGAATATACACTTCACGTTCTGGTTTTACCTATGATTCGAAAAAGTTGTTTATTCTCAGAACTTGAACATTCATAACAACCTCTTCTTGATGCTTATTATTTTAAAGAACACACTTTATTACAGAGGCTCTACAGTGCCTAAATGGGCAAGTGTATCGCACTGAGGAAAAAGAGATGCAGAATATGGTTACTGGTTCCCAGGGTTACCTATATTGTGTTATTTTCATTTATATTTCAACAATGACAAAGTGTAACATTTCCCCAACCTCTTTCATTCATATCAGAAGGAGTATTGTTCACGATGCCTGCTTGAAATCCTTCATGTTACAATTTACAATATAAATTGGTAAATTAATTAAGCTAATAAAATTCAGTTTAATTAAAAAGTTAATTCAAAAGTTAGTAGGCATTTCCATAGCAGCTAACTATCTTAGTCTTTGTTAAACAAAGGCAATAACATGTAAAAATTATCTTCCTTAGAAGACAATTGAAAATACTATCTTTAATGCGTGAACATTCTTAACATCAATCACGCACTAAAAGGTTTTGTCATATACCTGTTGATTTTAAGAGTTATTACAAAGTAGACAAGTTGAAAGCATTTGTCTAATGATGCCAACTACCCATTGCACCTACTTCTCTGGAATGTTGTGAGGCTCAAAGTGAAATAATGTATGCAAAATTAAATGATAAAATGATATATGTAAAGCTTATTTAGTCAATTAACATTGATATTGAACGGCTACCATGTGCCAGCCAATGTCTCAGGCACTTAGTAGCTGACTACAGCTACTTCTAGCTGTCCATTATTTATTTCAACTCTTCATATCAGATAAATATCTATATTTACATCTATTCACCTATCTATATTTCAGACTGACTTGTTAACATTAATTACTTATTCAATCCTCCTTTTAAAAAATATTTTCCATCATCTTTTTTTTTACATGTTTCCTCCTCTTCAAGACTTGATTTATGTTCTTTCAACTAATTCATAAAAACCAACACAAAGGTCTCTACTACGGCTTTGAAAGCTAACTGGAACCTCATTGTGCATTCATAATTTGTTGATTTTAGTGTTCATAGGGATCACCTGGGGATCTGGGTAAACTGTGGAATCGTATTCAGTGGACCTCAGATTCTGCATTTCTAACAAGCTCCAAACTGCTGCCATTGCTGCTGCTTTGCCAGCGCAGTTTGAATAGCAAGGCTCTATTGCATTGAGCCTGTGGATCAGAGCCGCATTTGCTCTTGCTATACTATTGTCCTCCATCCCATTTATTTTTGACAGACCTTCTTCTTATAAATAATTACATTTTTGAGATATAAACAAAATCCTGCATATTTATTCCAACTTTAACATATCCCTTGGCCGGGAAATTTTAACAACAAAGAATCTTCGTTTTATACTTTATCTAGAAAACTCTCACATTAATTAGCCAACTCACACACAGTAAAATCAGAAGACCATTTGATGCAAGCTTTGTGTGTTTTGTCCTTTGAGAATTAGAATATAGAATCTAATCTCCCTGTTGCTTTCTCTGTTTTGATTACTGTATGTAAATGCAAATACTGAACGACTGAAACATAACCCAAAACATGTCACGGCTAAGTTAAATTATGTCAACACCTGATTTCAATCCAATTTCATTTGTTTCATGTAAGCATTGTATTGAGCATCCATAGTTTGTTTAAACATGCTTCCTTTCTGCTCCACATTCTATTGTAACTGTATGCAGTTCTGACTACTTTAAAATATTTTAATCATACTGTATTTATTGTTTGAAAATATTTGCACAGATTTTTAATAATACTAATGTTTACTTTCCAATTGTTTCATGAGTTACAGTATTAATATTAAATGACCATTTATACAAACTCTTGACCATGATTAAAACATCATTCAATTGCCTGCCTGACTTAATTTTCCAGGCTCATCTTTTACTACCACTTATATATCTTAGGCTATAGCTTTATCAAGTTTAATTCAGTATTTTTGTTCATGTTTCATGCCATCTCAAATGCTTTCAGAATGACATTGTCTTCTGTAAGGGAGAGGTCTGGCCACCTGTCTATCAAAACTCCCTCCCAGATGCCTCTCTAACCTCAAACTTTTTCAGCCACCTCTCTAATCTCCTATGCAGTAAAGTTCTTCCACAGCCCACCCTGTACATACTTCTGTTACAGTACACTTAGCAAGACTATTTCCAACTCTATGCATATATATTTTGCCTTTCTTGATAGACTTGCTGGCAAGTTTTAATTTTTTTTAATTTTCATATTTATAGATTTATGGGATACAAAAGTGCAGATTTATTATGTGCATATATTGTGTGGTGGTGAAGCCTGGGCTGTTAGTGCACCCTTCACCCAAATAGTGAACATTGTACCCAATAGGTAATTTTTCAACCCTCATCCCTCTCCGACCCTTCCACCCTCTGCAGTCTCTAATGTCTATTGTTCCACTCTGTATGTCCATTTTCTTTAATAGTTGGATTCTCAGTATCTTGATTCAGGGCTTTCATACATCAGTGCCCAACTATATCTTGTTGAATTTTTTTATTAGATAATAGGCAGCTAAACTTTAAATATGAAATACATAACATCTTTTTTATTTTCAAGTCAAGTATAGTTACAGCATGAGAACTACATACCTGGTTGTCAAGGAAAACATGGGAAAAACTTTTCATTAAGTTTCTTAGTAGAAGGGTCAGAATTTAGTGGGGTACCCCAGACTGAACCCAGAGTGTGGTGGTTTTTGAAAAGAGTTGAAAATTCTTTGATACTCCTACTGTTGAGATGTGGGGTTGATGTCTCCTCCCATTGAATCTGGGCAGGATCGTGAGTGCTTTGACCAATAAAGGATGATAGAAATGATGCTGAATGACTTGCAACGTTACTTCATAAAAGGTCCTATAGCTACCACCTGGTTCTCTTGGCACACTCACTGTGGAGGGAGCCATATACAATGAGACCTTCCTGTTGGAGAGGCCATCTGTAAGTGCTCCACTTGAAAGCCCAGCTGAGCTCCCAACCAAGAGCCAGTATGTGCTGCCTGCCAGGTTAGTAAATCATTACGGATGTCCAGTTCAGCTAACATTTCAGATGGGTGCAGCCAGCATCAGCTGACGTCTGATTACTAGTGTGTGAGACACTCCAGGTGCAAACTATTAAGCCAAGTTCTGCCCCAATTCCTGACCTACAAAATGAGAGCAAAATAAAAGGACTGTTTCGAGGCACCCACTTTTGGGACAATTTGTTACACATCAATCGTAACTGGAATCAACCTAGCGTCAGGATTAGGACTCAGATCCCAACTTTATTTGCATGCTTCTAGGAAACCTACTCTTCCTTTTTAGATCTCAATTAATCATTTGGTAATTATTAACAGTAATAACTTACATTTTCAAAATACTTTTATCTACCTAGTCACATTTCTAAATTCACAAATCGAATAACTGTCATTGTTATTGTGCCTGAAACCATTGCCTGAAGTCTCAGAATTAGGCTTCTGCAACACAAGCACTTGAACCCAAGACTTACTATGGGTTCTGTATAAGTCAACGAAACCTCCAACCTAAAAATTTGCGTACACTCCTACCTCTGACCCACTTCACCTACAATGAGAATTATCTATTAAATTGATGATCTCTAAAATCTGATCTGGCTCTTTGATTCCAAGACTATATAATGCTTAGATAATAATAATTCCTTTCCATTTCAATCTATGGACGTAATGGAGGAAGTAATAATGTGAAGAAGGCCAGCTAGCAGCTTTTAAAAATGGAGTGTTGCTGTAAAGTGTAAATAAGAAAATGGCAGAAAGGAAAGTTAAGCAATGACTTGCTTGAGAAATGAAAAGACAAGCAATTATTCAGATGGGAACATCATATAAAATATGTGAGCAAGATAAAGCAGTAACATTTTTCTGAATTGTTATTTTTATAATGAGAAACGTAATGCTTAACACACATTTTCCTACTGTGGACAATGTGCTGTCCCAAACTCCTGAGTTGTGATGATTTTACTGGGACTCTCAATGGATCTTTTCCTTAACAACAAAGTTGGGGGTGGAGTGCTAATTTCTAAATAGGTGAAGCTCTTATTGGGATAAATGGATAATGGAACAATAGCTAACGATTTACCATAAATCACTGTTAATATTTGCCATTGCTGTCTGCTGGGTAATTGAATACTCTGAGGACAGATATAGGACTATGGAACTGTAGACTGTGTATCTTGACTCTAATATTGACTTTCTGAATGACAATAGAAAAGCAAGTTAGCTTACGTGGGTTGAGAAATGGAAGGATTTCTACAAGGTGAAAGAATAATTCACTTCACATTATTTATAAAGTTCACAAGGAGATTAATACATTAATACATAGACAAAAATGAATTACCTAAAAATGATAAATATAGGAAAATAGATTAACTGAATCTCAAGCAGAAGTGCTTAAAAACACCTAAAATAGTTGTATCACTAGATTTCTTTCAGCTAGCTTGTCTCCTTTGTATTAACC
This sequence comes from Homo sapiens, assembly GCF_000001405.40. Taxonomy (NCBI): domain Eukaryota; kingdom Metazoa; phylum Chordata; class Mammalia; order Primates; family Hominidae; genus Homo; species Homo sapiens. Next base: position 76,767,160 of record NC_000003.12, read on the forward strand.
CTTCTCAATCAACGGCTACTACAAAAGCCTTTTAGTACGTGAAGTTCAGAATATACATGCATTAAGCATGATATTTTCAATTATCGTCTAAGAATGGATGACTTTTACAATTTATTGCCTTTGTTATTTAAAAGAACTGAAATATTTCACTTTTAGATAAATACTTATAAAAGTCTGTAGATCAGAGGGGTTAGCCTGCCAGGATTCATAAAATAATCAATAAGCAATTAATTTGTCTACTTATATCTCTTCTTGTTCGAAGAACGATTTAAAGTAGGCATCATGTACATTGTAATTTACAATATGTGAATGACGTAGATAAGTAAAATATTTAGAACATTGTGTTTAAGGAAATAGAAATGGAAAGAAATTTTCTTTCAATGATAAAGAATAAATATATTCTGTATCTTTTTCTCTTCCATGTATGACTTTGGACCATTTTAGTGCAGAACAACCTCCATAAAGAAAAGTGCATACAAAAGTTGATTTTAAGAAGGACTTTGTAGAGTGTAATGCTGTACTCTTTTTTATTAAACTTTTTTGCTTTATTTTTTAATTAATGTATCACATTGACATATTGTATAGTGAGTACAGGAGAAACACATTGCTTAGATGTTTTAGCTTCCACTTCAATATGTGTAAGGATCCATTTATATATACAGAAAGCCATTGACGTGCTTACATCATCAAAAACATAAATTTTAATTCTAAATCACTATTTTGTGGACATTAACTTTTGATGAATGTGGGATCTACTTTTTTGAAGTTTCATTGAAAATAAGCAAAAAGGAACAGGATTTTTTGGTAGTAAGTAAAGAATCATCTACTTAATTGACACATAACTATAATATTAAATTTGTTTTTAGCCAATTGGCACTGATACAATAGGCATTGATAACTTCTTATAGAAACACAAAAAGTCCTTTACAAAATATCAGTGTACGTCCTATGATAAAATATAAAATAACATATTAATAAAATGTTTGAGAATGTTTATGTGTTTTTTTAATGGCAGTAATTTAACCTTAGTAATTTAATATACTAATCTTTATTGTGAAGCCCTCAGAGTTCCTCCAACTTGTTTTACACAGTGCACACTTCTTTACAGACCTTTACGAGGTCAGTTTTCTGCGGAAGACAGTTTAGAATAATTTGCTCCAGGCAGCATTTTCTGATGTAAATAATCTCATCCTTCCATCCTGTTACTGACAAATGAATTCGACCGCCTTTTCTCAAAGACTCCGGAGTTTTGCCATCTTGATTTCGTCTCATGATGTATAATCAAGTTGAAACTAATTTTTAATCACTTCTTTGTTCTAGAAGTATTTATTAGATTAAAAGTAACCTGAAATTTTAGCACGTTTTGTTGGTAATTGGCAGAGAAATATATTAGAAAACTATATACTGTATAGTAGATTGTAAAAATCACTTTCCATTTGAGATGAAAAGTGTTTTAAAGAATAAAGATTTAATATAATCAAAATGTAATATAATATATAAATATAATATGTAAAACTTTAGTTTAAATTAACAATTATGTTAAATTTTAGGCTAGTTAACAGAATCATATAATTCTAGATAGTTTTTAAGTGTAATAACAGTTCATTGCCATTTTGAAAAAGGATTTCTTTGAAATGATTTCAGTGCATAGTGAAGCACACATATACATAGATATACATAATTATTTTTTCATTGGCTAAACAAATCTATATATCTTGGTCAGATGAAGAAAATTGTCTATTTAATGTCCCTTTATATACTTGAAGATTGTTGAACAAAAGTACAATCTTTTTAATTTAAATCTTAAGCTTATTCCTTTTTAAAATTTCTGTGGATTAAGTGGGAAAATACCAACAAAAACATATGTAGATTAGAAGCACATAATAGATTTTTTCCCCAACTAAATATGATTTTTCATCCTTGGCCGTGTAGACTGCTACGTGGCAACACCTAGCAACCACACAAGTTTCCTTGACAGACCCAGTTGTTCTTTGTTTGGTAGATGTGATGATGCTCAAAGTATAGTAAGATCTGGCGACACTTGTTAAAATGTAAATGAAAAACGAATATATGTAGAACAACAGTTATTAGTATTTAATACACATTCAGATTATGTGGGGATCTTGTTAAAATTCATATTCTGATTAAGTAGATCTAGAGTGGGGTCAGAGAGTCTGTATTTGTAAATCCCAGATGATGATGATGATGATGATGATACTACTCCAACGACCATGCTTTGAGGAGTAAAAACAGAGAAGTAGGTTAACTTATCTTGGTCGGCTGTACAACTCAGGGCTCTATCAGTGATCTGCATTGACCTATTCTGTAAATATTATGTAGATTGTTTATTTGTAAATCATAATTCAGAACAAAGGCCAAAATAACTATTGTCATAAGACAAAATATGAAACAAAAAGACAATAGTCATTTCATTTTAGTCAGCAATCATTTGTGGTTATGCTTGTAATCTACTTTTAAATTTGCTTTGTATTCTTCAAAATGTGGACTTCACAATGAGCTATCCATCTATAATTACTTTATTGTCTCTTGCCGTGTAGTCCAGGCTCTGCTAAAATTCACCCCTGATGTTTCAGTGTACAGACAGGTAGGTAAATTATTCTCCCCTACTGTCTATTGAAGGTACATGTTCTTTCATTTAAAGTTGTCTGCCTTTAAAAAGGCCTGCTTGATAATTTATTCTTGCTCATCTCTTCCATGGTTTAGTTCAGTGTCTTGATACCTGTCATTGTGTTCTGCATTCCTGCAGTCTCTCTTAAATGACTATTTTCCATTCTTGAATAATTACTGGAAGCTTCCAAGAAAAAATATTACCATTGCCAACATGTATTTTTCACTTTGTGTCAACTATGTTTATCTCTTCACAATTAATTTTAATACAATATTATTATCCAAGTATAGCAGGGTCTTTTTAAATTACCATCATGTAATGTTTTAATTCACTGGTTTAGACTGAACATTATTCTGAAAAATAAATGTCAGGCATAATTCGATAACAAAATATTTGCAGATTTTGTGAAGTTGATGGCTTTAAGTAGATATAAAATTTGATTGGCTTAGGATTGTAAACTATGGTTAAATTATAACTCCACTTGTCTAGCTGTGCTCATAGTCTCTCCTCTCTCCTTTTTTCATCATAATTTCTCAGTGAAAATACTCACTTATTAAATATACTGATGGAAAATACAACCACTCATCATAGTGGTGCCCTTTTTTTCTAGATGATCATAATTAATCAATTACAAATTTATGAGAAAGAAACACCTGGCACACTTCCATAAACAAATAGATTTCCTGTGGTTTTAAGAACAGTTGAGGGTATTACAAAGGGTCAGGGCGATCTGTGAGTAAAGCTCTTTTCACAGTTTGACTTCCCCCACATCCCTGTTTCTCATAAATATGCACCCTTACACCCAACATACATGTATGTATTTACTTACTCAGCAGGCACATGTTGCAAAGGCTATGGAGAAACAAAGAATGTAAAGGAGAAAGAGAAAAATTGAACTTAAAAACATATGCATATTTAAAACATTGTGTTTTTAAAAATATATTTTTCAAAGGACCATAAGTCTAAACCAAAGAAGATGAAAAATGGAAGTTTTATGAGTAAGAAAGATACAGCTTAATGCCTCCAACTGAGGTGATTTTATCCTACAAGTTAGTGCCGGCCATCGGTGTTGGATCCAAGGCACTGATAAAAGAAGGATGCTCCGATACTTCCTTCAGCTGCTCTTCCAGACCTACTTTCTCACCCTTGACTACAATTTTGTGGAAGAATCTACTGGTATGTTTTCACATTTGAGAGGGAAATATACTAAATTTATGATACTGAGATGTTTTCTACCTTTGCACATCTATATATTTTTATCTGGCCTTCATTAAATGCAGTTTTCTTTTAAAAGACAGGGTTTGTGACAGTTGCTACCCAGTATTCAAAAGACCGTGCTGTTAAGTGTGGTGGCTACTACCCATATGTACAATTTGAGATGTGCTATTAGTTTGAAACATAACCAGATTTTCAGGACTGAGGACACAAAAAAAGAGTACAAAACATGCCACCGATGATCTTCTTACATTGATTACATGCTGAAATGATATTCTGACTATATTGGGGTTAAGCAGGATCTATTGTTAAAATTAATTTCACCTGTTCTTTTTTGTCCTTTTAAATATGGCTACTAGCAAACTTAAAATTACATATGTGACTCATGTGATACTTATTTTGAACAGCACCACTATAAGGGTTTGGTTTGGTTTTTCTTCCTATGTTTTAAATTCTGTAATGCATAATATTATTTTCTCATTTTGATGTCTTTATTCCTAATCAGTCAGAATCTTAAAACAACTCCTCAAAAATTTGACCTGAAAAACCTGAAAAGAATGTCCTTTTGCCCCAAACCATATATTTAAGTCAAACTTAAAGCTAATGTCTACTCTTTTTAAGTATTTAAGTATCATAAACTGATAAATTTAAGTAATTGAATTTTCATCACTGGTGTTACACAGTAATCAACAATATTATGCAAAATAAAAATACGATTTTTATAAATATTTTAAAATTTGCTTTTAGTTTAAAACTCTGGGGAAAATACTATAAAAATAAATCTAGACTAATGAGGAAAAATCTACTGCTTTTGAAACTTAAGGAATTTAACTACATATTGTATAGCTTATGCATTTTCAATTTTTTATAAAATGCTTGGTATAAACTACTGAGTACCAATTTTTACTTTCTCAAAAAATTGTAATTCTAATTTTTAAATTACGGTATGGAAATATTGAAGGTACAAATATTATCGTTGCTACCAACATAATAATGCATGTACTAATCAAAATAGCATTAAGATTTTTCCCAACATTATTTAGTAAACAACAGGAATCAGAATAGGGCAAGTCTGTGCTGATTCTTTTCAGGGCTGTTGAGGGTTTGGGACAGCAAAAGAGCCCCACGGCATGTGGGCTTTGTTTGTAAAATAGTCCTGGTCTATGGTTTTAGATTATATTTTTAGTTCATGATTTCAGATTATATTTTTAAGGGTTTCTTGTATTTAACTTACAACATTGTTCTCCAGAATCATAGTGGTATCTAGGAGGAACTTTGCAGAAAAACAGAGTGCTTTCTCAATATGTTTTAAAAAATTAGTCACTAAATAATCATGAACAGTAAGAAAAATATATATATAATACACATTTATATGTATATAAATATATATGCATCTATGTGTATTTATATGCACACACACATATATGTATGTTTTAAAAACACCTACTAGGTAAAGTTTTCCATGATTATTGCTCTTCTCTCCCCACCCCTGACATTATACCTTGGGTTTTTTCTTTTTTTTTTTTTTAATTTGAAAATCCGTGTTAAGAAATGGGACTGGATTTTTCTATACACTAATTTTTATTCAGATTTATTTTAAGTTTACTTTGTTATTACTGGATCTATTGATCTAGAGAGCAGTGAAGTGAGCATACAGTGGCCACTGCACTACAATTTATTCCTGTTAAGGGGTACTGTAATCATCATGGCATGGTCATTTGCCAGAGTGGACTATTACTAAATCATGTGGATGATTTGTACCAGTTCCAGAGGATTCAATAGTTTTCCATTTTCATTAGTGGGAATCTATGTCCTTCAAAATCAATGATTTATATTTAAGTCAACAACTGAAACAAAGAAATTTGAATTGGAGCAGTAATGGAATGAGAGTGAAATTTTTCTGTGTGCACTTTCTGTTTCATCATAGTGCGTTAAAATTTTGGCATCGATGGAAATTCTAAAGTACTATGGTGACAGTCTTCAATTCTGATAAAAAGCATTTAAATACCATAACCAATGTAAAGTTAAAGGCGAAATGAGATTTCAAAGAAAACACAAATGTAAGAAGTCACACATGTACTTGAGACGTTCATTGTTTCCATGTAAAGAGAAGTGCAATCTAATGAATGGTCATGGTCAAAACCTCTTAATCAATAATAAAATGCAGCATTTAGTCACAACATGATTAAATCTGTCATGAAGGTTTCTTTTGTTGTAAGGTGACTATTTTTTTCTTTAGAAAGTTTAAAGTCTGATTACATTAATAAACTGTTATATTTATTCTGTTTTTTTTAATGAGAAATTAAATTGTGACTTCATGAAGGATTTTTTTCTTGAAAACTTCTAAGAGTGGTCAGTCAGTCATATTGTACAGATATGTTTTATTCTTTCCCCACACATATTAGCCTGGATCTGTGACTGACAAGATTTCCATATATACATACATGCACCTTACCTTTCTGCCTGGGTCTTTCCTGCTTCTTCATTAACATATGTCATTCCTGAGTCATTATTTGGATCTCACAATTTGTGAAGAGCTTCAAAATTAAGGGTCTTATTTTTTTACAAGATTAATTTTTTTTTAATTTTGCAGCATAGTAAAACACCTGTGAAATAAACTTCAATACATTCTCAAAGAGAGAGACTAATATATCTAATAAAACATACCTTACCAGAGAAAGTGAGAAAGAATCTTATATTCCTATATCATATATAGTCATATTTTTAGACCACTGAGATCAAATTTGGACCCTCTGATTAGATAGAGATATCTTACGAGCAATCAAAAAAAGAATGGGAAAAATCCTTGCAAAATGGCCCTGGGAAGAATACAAAGAAACTGGATTTATTTTTTCTCTAAAAAAGTCAGAGGTGGGGACCTTAATAACATGAGCTATAAATTACCATTTGAGGAACTGGAGCTGTGAAATTTGCTCCACTGGATATTTGTTATGGAAAGTATGGACAAATATTGATTTTTTCCCTAGACTGCTACAAATATGCTCCTTTTAAGAAGCAAGTGGATGATGATGTTGTTATTTCTGTGGGGCTTCAAGTCATTGAATAATTGAGCAAGCAGTAAATATGTTCAGAAACTAAATCATAAACACAATTAAGATTATCTCTACTTTGAAAGGAATGTACCTTCATCCAATGAGTATGTTAAATGAATTATATTGTAATTCTGGAATTCATGAGTCGACTGTGTATTTCTAATGTATTTTGTGAATCATTAAAAATACCAAGCTAACTCTGAAACTCTAATTTGCAAGATATGATTCTCTGGTCCTGGCATAACAACAAATTTATTGTATTTTCTGCATTTACATGCAAAAGTGATTTTAGAATCATAGAATATCAGAGTTGGGGAAAGATCCTATCTGGTAACTTTCTTCTTATTTGATTGAAAGAAAGGTCAGTCTTTATAGAAATAATTTCATAGCTTAGTCTAATTCATCGTATATCTTAGTTTAAATCTTCCCATTTTCTGGTGAATCATGTTTTTAAAAGGAAAAACCTGATAGAAAGCATGATTTGTATTAATTCCCTTAAATTAGTAAATGTTGCTCCTTAAAAAGGCAAGCTGTAAAACTGCCAGAGATCTTCAGTTGGTGGGGATAAGGACAATAAGATGGAAGATCAAGACTAGAGACAGATAGGAAGCACCCTCTATATAGTTTATAGGGCTGTAATTATTTGCGTTTGAAAGAAATCTATGTTTTTAAAAGGCAGTATTTTCTGTGGCTGTTTGAATTTCTTATTTTTTGCCTTCAATTAGAAATGGGAAAAGCTTGGAACTTAGAATATCCTCTTTTTTTTTTTCCCGAGAGGTAGTAATTGTAAACATTGTTTCATCTATTATGGGTCACTTTAAAAATAATGGAAAATAGTTTGGATGCAAAGCTGGCACGAAGGCTCAAAATACACAAGAGAATGTGATTCATCTGAAGGAGTTTTGGGATTAATTGGATTTGCTTTGGTCTAGCTTCATGATCAAGATTAAATTTATACAACAAATATAATTGATATAAAAATATATACAGTAAAACTACAAAATGACCAAATATTTTCTAAAAACTTATTTTTCTAAAATGAAGGAAAATTTCAAGTCTTATTATGTCTATTCGATTAGAAAATATATTTATCCATGTCTTTATGTAGCTACATATGTAGTCCTAATGGATACCTAACTGCTTAACCCCTACATACAGGAAAACAGAAATGTTTTTACTGTTTTGACAGGCTTACTGTTGCGCATCTTGAAGTTATATAATTACCTGCTTATAAAGTCTGAGAAAGAAATATTATTGATTTCAAAACTCTTCAAAAGTATTTCTTCTTAATTTGTAGACTATGACATATAAATTATGAATAAACATTGAAGCTTTGAATTTTGAAGAAAATAATAGGTATTAAGTTTATTTGTAAGATATTTACAGGATTGACAACAAGTTACTGGACGAAAGTAAACTTTAATTGAAATCTAAAAATTACTTTTATCTACTTCATTATTTTCCTGCTAAATCATGGAAACTTGCTGTACTTAGCAATGAATAACTTGATTTTATCACAGTTGCACAAAAATACCAAATATAAAACTTATTAATGTCATAGGTTTATTTCTTTAGAATCAATTCAACTTAATTCTGTCCATAGCATTAACATCTTTTCAGAAGGAAATATGAATGAAAATTATTGATCTTTTGACAAAATCTATTTCATGGAATACATCGATGTTATTTAATTGTTCACTCTTACTAAGCCTTCAAATTGTATTACGAAGCTTAGGAATTTAAACCTAAGTGATATCTAAAATTGGAATAAAATTTTTAATTATCACTATAGCATATTAAGTGGGAAAAAAGTATGTAGCACCTAAACACCTAAAAACAAGGATATATTGTGTATTGTCTATTTATGAGTTTAAAAGGATGCAATATCCATGTCTGTAAAGCAACTCTTCCCTACTATCACAACCCACAATATCACTGTCTTTTCTGTACTTTTGACCTCAGTTTCTGTATCATTCACATAATTCAATTTAATACTTATCTAAACCCCTATGTAACTTCTTTCTCTACTCAGAAAAATATTATTATGCCTTGACAGAACATACATTTTGAGATTCTAACCAAAGCAATGGATCATCTCCCCAAAGAAAAGCATGCACATTAACACACACAGTCAACATTTTGAACTCTATATAGTTAAAAACTATCTTAGCAACTTTTCATCGTTAAAGCCATAATAATTCAAATAATACCTGATGCTGATAACTGATTGATTTTTAAAAATTCAATGGCAGTAAAAACATATGTGTGAAGCATTTGTTTGATGTTTTTATGTTTTTAAATTTCTTAAATGGGAACTATTGTATGTATGTATTACTGTTAAAAATTGTGTTTAGCTCATATAAATAAGTATTGTTTTGATCATTAGGCCAACTAAAAGGAAGATTGGTACACATCACAAAAATTTAAAGTAGATAGAGGAAATATTCTTGATACTTACTAGAAAGAGTTCTGGGTACTTCACACCCTTTAAGGGCAGATGCAGATATGCCATTGCACTTTTTCATAGCTCATTCCCCATGTGAATAAATGATCCATTGCTCATCATAGTGATGATGATGCTTTACACACAGTGAAAACACAGTAAATATTGTTTACTAACCAGAAGACACCATACAATAAATTATTAGTATGTGGTATCTTTAATGGAGCACATATAGCAGAGATACACATCTCAAAGAGGCTAATACTAAATTTGGCTACATTGCTGCTCCCAACATTTCCAATCACCCTAGTTAAACTTTCATTTTCAATGGCAAATTTTAATAGTATCATAAAATTATAATATGAAGGGCAGATTCCTAATGCCTTTTGCCAGCTGCCTTTTCCCTGTGGATTTAAATATCTTGTTGATATATTATGAGGTAACAATTTTGCAGTTAACTCACGTTCAGAGTATCTTGTTAAAAGTGAATAACTTATTCAGTGGTAGAGATCCACACTAGCATTCCTTTGGTTCTGCAATATAATCCTTAATGTGAAATGAAGTTTGATTGTTTTAACTACAAAACATAAAGGAGTCTGCACTACATCCAAGGGCTTTAATCAAAACTAATGGAATTTTTGGCATAAAATAGTAGAATTAATTAGATCCAGCAAGGCACACTGTTTAACTGCTAGCCTGCCATTTTACACTGATTCGAAGTCATACATACTTAACAAAAGACATGGGTTGATTGCACAAAGGAGTTGAACACTCTTTTCACATTCGCTGTGTAAGTTATTATCCACTGTGAAAAGATTATTGACTTTTTTTAAGGAGATATTATGGACAGAAATGATTGCTACCAGGATGACTGGTAGAATTATGTATGAGATAAGTAATAACTCTAATTTCTCATCTGCTAAATAAATGGCTTTAATTTTAAAATACTAGTTAGTGCATATGAGATTTCTGCTGAATTGAGCAGAATTATAAAAGCTGGCTTGGAAATGTAATGGACACTGAGAGCGAAGCATAAAACAAAATGTTTTTTCTTTCTTTTTTTTTTTAACAAAACGTTTTTTCTATACCTTTGCCTTTCAGTAGTTATTTGTCCTACATTGTTAGTGACGTTCCTTATATCTTATTTCTTCCTAAAGTTTGATCTAAAAATTGCACGTGCTTTACTCTGGATTTATACTAATAGGCTGTAGAAAAGACCCGTACCTCTGGTTCTTGTATAAGAGATGGAACATATTTATTGAGAGTTGATGAGAGTTTAGTTAGTCTGGAGAAAAGATCAACTACATCTAGGTAATACTCAGTTAAATGCCTAAAGGCTTCTTGTGTATTTTTTCTATAATATATTCTTCCCATTATTGTGATTTTCTGTAACTGAGTACCTCAACTTTGCCTGATCATTATAAATATCTGAAAAGCTTGTTATAAAATAAGTTACCATAGGCCCCTCTAATGGAGAATCACCATTCTAGGATGTGTGCATGTATTTCCCTACATATACCTACCTCCCTTGCACCCAGGCAGGCTTAAGATATGCAATGAGTTCTGGCCATTGGACCATGAGGAGAGGTGGTGTGTAGTGTCAGGATGTGGCCATTAAGAAAGAAGTGGTGAGCCTCCCCTGCTTCATTCTTCTCTTGTTCTGTTGTAGAGACATTGGAGGCCATATGTCCCTGATTGTATGTGTATCAGATAGAGAAAAAGGCTCACTTCACATAAATGTGGTAGTCATTAATGCTATTTGCTGAGTACTCCCTATTCTTCCTTTTGAACACTTAGCATACACCTGTGATGAATTTTACTCCTTGGAGCCATGGGTCTAGTTCTAGTGTGTATGAGCTATGAGCAAAGGTTATGTGTTTTAGTTCTGGATCAGGGCATTAAATTCTAAGTGTGAGATTCTTCAGCTCCTGTTCAATGTGGTAGATATCTATTAGCTAGTGTTCTTGAGTAATTTGAAGAGCAGACCATGATGAACACATAACAGGAAAATAAATGAACGTTGTTGTTTGAAGACTCTCAGGACAAATTATGGGCCCATAAAAAATAATCCCAATCTTAATTGATATAAGAATGACAAATAAACCTTTATTTTATTAAGTTCATTGATATTTGGGGATCTTTCTGTTTTGGCTACTATTCTTAATTTTCCAAAATATTACAATGTATAGGCAATCTCTTTTTGCATGGTCTGATATGCAGATTTCAGTTACCACAGTTTAATTCAATAAATAGCACAAGTCCTCCAATATCACAGTTCAATTCCCATCACCATTAGCAGTGAGTAATTGCATAAAGAATGAACTTCAGTGGTAACTCTTTGGTCCACAAATCAGTAATTAAATAATAGATGTGCATGATGATCAGTGACCAGTTACTTCTACGAAAGCCTATCAAATTGTCACTGCATACATATTATTTAGTACTCACACAATCAGCAACATCACATGTGTTTGTGTTAACTCCTTATCTCCCAATGGTAACCTGTGGCATTTGCAAAAATAGGTAATCAACAGAACTGTCTGACTTCATAATCTCTACCTCTCATCCAGGCTGAATCCTAAGAAAAGACACCAAAGTGTTCAGTGTTAGTCTGTGGTACCATGGAGGCATTTTCTTCATTGGCACATATTATTTTCTTCTACTCCTTTAAAAAATATTGAAGTAAGATTTACACATAAAAAGTTGTACATATTTAATGTACACAAAGTAAGGAGTTTGAGGATAAGCATATACTCATGAAACTATCAATATCGTCAACGCCAAAAATATACCCGTCACCTCCCAAAGTTTCCTCTAGCCTCCTTTATTATTATTACTGAAATTTATGTGGGTGTGTTGTAAGAATGCAACATAAGATCTACCATCTTAGCAAATTTTAAGTTGGCAAAAAATTATTAGCTTTAGGCACTGTGCTAGTAGTAGATCTCAATAACTTATTTATCTCCCATAACTGAAACTTTGCACCCCTTAAACATCAACTTTCATTTTTCCCTCCCCAAGCACCTGACAACCACTATTCTACTATCTGCTTCTATGGGTTTGGCTATTTTAGGTTCTACATATAAGTGAAATCACATAATATTTGTCTTTCTGCGTCTGGCTTATTTCACTTGGCATAATGTCCTCAGGGTTCATGAGATATGTTGTCACTGATGACAAAAATTTCTCTTTTTTAAGGCTAGTCAAGTGAAGCAGTGGAAGTAAAAATTTTCCTTTTTTAAGGATGAGTAGTGTTCTATTTTTATGTATTTACAACATTTTCTTTATCTCTTCATCTATCAATGGACATTTAGTTTGTTTCTATAGTTTGGCTATTTTAAATAATGCTACATGAAACTGGAACTGCAGATATCTCTTAGAAATCCTGATTTCATTTCCTTTGAATGTATATCTAGAAGTGAGATTGTTGGATCATATTGTAGTTCTATTTTTTAATCCTTGAAGAAACTCCATAGTATTTTCTATAATTGCTGTACCAATTTTTGTTCCCACCAACAGTGTACAGAGGATTCCTTTTCTTCATATTCTCATCAACACTAATTATCTTTGGTTTTTAATAGCAGACATTTTAACAGGTACAAGGTGATATCTTATTGTTTTGATTTGCATTTCTCTGATGATTAGTAATGTTGAGCACCTTTACATGTTGGGCATTTGTGTGGAGACAGTTTTTTTTTTGTTTGTTTGTTTTTTTTTTGGAGAGCTGTCTATTCATGTTCTTCGCCTATTTTTTAATTGAGTTTTGTTGGTTTTGTTTTGTTTAGTTGTGATTCAATTGTATCAATCCCTTGAATATTTCAGATGTTAAACCCTTATTAGATGTATGGTTTACAAATGTTTCCTCCCACGCTGTAGGTTGCTTTTTCATCTTGTTGATTGTTTTATTTTCTGTGTAGAAGCTTTTTAGTTTGATGTCATCTTGCTTGTTTAGTTTTGCTTTGTTTGTCTAAGCTTTTGGTGTCAGAACCAAATAATAAAAATCGTTGCCAAGACCCATGTCGAGAAGGTTTTTCCCTGTTTTCCTCTAAGAATTTTATAGTTTCAGATGTTATATTTTGTCTTTCATCCATTTTGAGTTGATTTTTGTGTATGCTGCAGTTTAAGGGTTCAATTTTACTTTTGTGCCTGTGGATATCTAATTTTTCCAACACCATTTACTAAAGAGACTATCCTTTCCCCACTGTGTATTCTTGTCAAAAATTAGCTGACCGTATATGCATGGCTTTATTTCTGGAATTTCTATTTTGTTCCATGTATCTGTTTCTATGCCAGTACCATCCTGTTTTAATTACTATAGCTTTGTAATATTATTTGAAATCAGAAAGTGTAATGTTTTCAGCTTTGTTCTTTTTTTTCAAGAGTGCTTTGGTTATTCAGTCTTTTGTGATTCCACAGGAATTATAGGATGGTTTTTATATTTCTGAGAAAAAAATGCTATTGTAATTTTTAAAGGCATTGCTTTGAATCTATAAATCACTTTAGGTATTATGAACATTTCAACAATATTAGTTCTTCCAATTCACAAATATGAAATATTTTTCTATTTATTTGTGTCTTCTTCAATTTCTTTCATCAGTGTTTTACAGTTTTTCAAGAATAGCTCTCTTACCTCCTTGGTTAAATGAATTCATAAGTATTTTATTCCTTTTGATGATATTATAAATGGGAATGTTTTCTTATTTGTTTTTTAGACAGTTTGTTGTTAGTGTATAAAAATGCAACTGAAACTCTATGTTGCATTTGTATCCCAAAACTTCACAAAATTGATTAATTCTCATTTATTTTTTATGGAGTCTTTAGGGTTTTCTATATATAAGATCAGGTTATATGCAGAAAGAGACAATTCTACTTCTTTCTTTCAAACTTGAATGTCTTTATTGCCTTCCATTGACTAATTGTTCTGGCTAGAACTTCCAGTACTACGTTGTTTAGAAATGACAAGAGTGGCATTCTTATCTTGTACATAATGTTAGAGAAATAGCTTTCAGCATTTTGACTTTTATTATGTTGTATTTACATTTGACCTTTATTATGTTGTACATTTCTTCTATACCTAATATGTCAAGAGTTTTAATCATGAAAATGTGTTGAATTTTGCCAAATGCTTTGTCTCCATTGGGATGATCATATGATTTTTATAATTTATTCTGTTCATGTGGTATATAACATTTACTGATTTGCGTATGTTAAATTATCCTTATATTTGAAAGATAAATCCTCCTTGATCATAGCGAATGATTCTTTTAATGTGCTGTTGAATTTGGTTTGCTAAGATTTGGTTAAGGATTTTTGCATCTATGTACTTTTCTTGTAATGTTCTTGCCCGGCTTTGGTATCAGGGTAATTCTGTCCTTATTAAATGAGTTTATAAATGTTTCTTCCTCTTCAAGTTTTTGGAAAGAGTCAGAGAAGATCTGGCATTAATTCTTTAATGTTTAGTAGCATTCATCCATGAAGCCATCGGATCATGGCTTGTTGTTGCTCTTGGGAGGTTTTTGATTACGGATTCAGTCTACTTGTATGTTATTGGTCTGTTCAGATTTTTTATATTATCATGATTAAGTCTTGGTAGATTGTAAGTTTTTAGGAATTCATCCATTTCCCTTTTGATTTCTTCTTTAACCCATTGGTTGTTCAGAAGTATATTGCTTAATTTTCACATATTTGTGAATTATCTGATTTTCTTCCTAGTATTGATTTCTAGTTTCATACCGTTATGGTAGAAAAGATGCTTGATATTTTAATCTTTCGAAATCAGTTAAGACTTCTTTTGTGACCTATCATCTGATCTACTCTGGAGAATTCTGTGTGAACATTCCATGTGATTAATGTGTTTCCTACTGCTGTTTGATAAAAAACTTTTATATATGTCTATTAGTTCCATTTGATTTTTAGTGTTTAAGTCTGTTTCCTTATTGATTTTGTTTCTAGATAATCTGTCCTTGTTAAAAGTGGGGTATTGAAATTCCCTACGATTATTTTATTGCTATTTCCTTCTTCAGTTCTGATAATATTTACTTTATATATCATGATGCTCTAATATTGAGTGCACATATATTTATAATGGTAATGTCCATTTGATAAACTCATGACTTTGTTCTTTTGTAATAACTTTCTTTGTCCCATTTTACAGTTTTTGACTTAAAATCTACTTCATCTCATATATATATAACCAACTCTGCTCTGTTTTGGTTACAACTTGTGTAGAATATCTTTTTTCATCCACTTACTTTCAGGCTGTGTATATTCTGAAAGCTAAAGTGAGTCTCTTGTAGAATCTCGTTTTTTTATCCTTTAGTCACTATATATTTTGATTGAAAAATTTCATCCATTTGCATTTGTAGTAATTAGTTATTATTGATAGTTAAAGACTTACTATTGCCATTTTGTTAGTTTTGGGGTTTTTCTTTTTTACAATTTTGTAGTGGCTTTTATTCTCCCTCTCTTGCTCTCCTTCTTGGTGATTTGATAAAATTTTTACTTGTGTGCTTTGATTTATTTTTCTTTATCTTTTATGTATCTAACATATGTTTTACCTTTGTGATTTCCATGAGACTTATATAAAACTTGATAGTTGAAACAATCTATTTAGCCTGATAACAACTTAATTTTTGTTACATATAAAAACTCTGTATTTTCATTCCTGAACATACATTTTATGATATTGATGTCACAATTTACAACTTTTTATATGGTGTATGCATTAAGTAATTACTGTAGCCATAACTATATTGAATACTTTGCCTTTTAACTTTCATAGTAGAGTTAAAAGTAATTTGTGCAACATAATTACACTACTAGAGTATTGAGACTTTGACTATATTTTTCCCTTAACCGTTGCATGTTTTCATGTTGCTAATTAGCAACTCTTCATTTCATTTCTTGAAAAATGATGAAATCTCAGTGTTTGTTTGTCTGGGAATGTCCTTATCACTCTTTCATTTCTGAAGAATAGCCTTGCCAAGTATAGTATTTTTGTTTGGTAGTTTCTTTCTTTTTTTTTTTTTTCCAGTGCTTTCAATATGTCATCCAACACTCTCCTGCTCTGTAAGATTTCTGTTGAGAAATCCACTGATAGTCTTATGAAGATTCCCTTATACTTGATGAATTGCCTTTCTCTGGCTGCTTTCAAAATTCTCTTTGATTTTGGACAATGTTATTAGAATGTCTCGATAAAAGCCTCTATGTTCAATATGTTGGGGTTATTTGTGCTTCAACTATCTGGATGTTCATTTCAATATTTAGATTTGGGGAGTTTTCTGTCATTATTTCTTAAAATAAGTTTTCTGGCCCTTTCTCTTTCTCTGCTTCTTCTGGAACTTTTATAATGTGTACATTAGTTCACTTGATGGTGTTTCATACATATCATCAGCTTTCTTTACTCTTTTTTATTCTTTTATCTTTTTATTCCACTAATTGGATCATTTCAAATTATCTATCTTTGAGTTCACTGACTTTTTTTTCTACATAATTAAATATGCTGTTGTAGCTCTCTTTTGAATTTTTCAGTTGGAACACTGTATTCTTCAGCTGAGCTTCTTTCAGATGATTATTTCAAATTTGTTGTCAGGAAATTCATAGATCTCCATTTCAATGAGCTCAGTCACTGGAGCTTTATTTTATTTTATGGCAATATTATATTACCTTGATGATTCATGTTCCTTGAATCCTTGCATTACTTTCTTCACATTTGAAAAACAACAATTACCTTCTCTAGTTGTTACTGACTGGCTAGAGGAGAGAAAGACTTTCAACAGTCAACCTGACTAGAGGGATTCTGGAGGGCTTGTAGATCTTTCCCATGAGTATATCTGCTCCACTTCTCTTGTTTCTTCTTGGGGAGGATGTCTTGGGATTGTGTGTCTTCTTTTGATCCTGCAAAGCCAGGCTTGGTGCTGAGAGCCTCTCATTTATTTTCCCTAGGACAGTGCCCTAATGCATTTAAACTAGCATGCCTTCTTCCAATACAGCAGAGTTAAGCTGGTTGCTGAGATCCATATCTGCTATTAAGATCTGTTCAATGTCCAAGATAGCTCATATGTGTTATCTATGTAGATATATTGAGTACCATGCATGGAGATGCATAAGATGCCAGCCACAGGACAGTATATAGGATGCTTGGGGCATTCCTTGATAGGTTAGGGAGGTACACAAAAGAGTCATCCTGCAGGTTCATGGAAAGGCTTCTTGATGTAGTCCTCAAACTGGTTAGCAGGAATTGTGGCCAATTGTTGAGATTCATGCTCTAGTTTCTGTTATTTTCTGACCTTTCTTTTTGTTCCTAGTTGTTACCAGATGATACAGCCATGTTGATTCCCTCAGTGTCCTGGGTTGGGCAAGACAAACATGGGCCTTCTAGGTATTTCACTTTTTTTCTCACTTTCTTCTGTGTGAGAAATCTTTGTGACACTGCTTATCTTACCTTCTTCAATGTGTCCACTCTTGAATTTTTTGGACCACCAAATGCTGAAATCACTCAGTTGTACTTTGGGACCTCTTTAAAGTATTCTTATTTGTGGTTTGTTTCTACGGGGAAATGAGAGCCAGAAATTCCTATTCTGTTTGCTGATGTCATTCCCACATATCTTTTTTTCTTTATCTTCTCTATCCTTGGTGATATGGGCCTTGATACATTGTAAAACTCTCTATTACTGACATTACAGATCTTCCATTACTAAGATTAAAGTATTTCCATTACTTTCATCTCAACAGGAAACTTAAAGAAAGACAATTTTGAGTTTGGCATGGTATGGTATAACAAGTGTACTGTATTTTAATTGTTTGTATTCTGGGAGTCATCAGGATCTGAAAATCAATCAGCTGGAGCATTCATTGAACTCTTATAGTACTCTCTTGTTAAGGTGCTAGGAAAGCTTGGTCCAAGTTCATCTGTAAGCAGGTCTTCCTAAAGTATAGTGGTATGCTAATAGCTCATCTGATAATATGTATTCACAGGGTAAGTATATTTTATTTATCACATCATATATGTTTGGTGATTTTGTTGTAGTGCTATGGCAATGGACAGTTGGTGGCTTTTCTTTTTTAAAAAAATTAAGTTAACTTTAAATAAATATTTATTTCCTACTGCAATTGTTCTAGAAGTTTAAACAACTTAGACCGAGACTCACCTATCTGAGAGAGAAAGAATGATGTTTTCATGGTCTGTTTACATATGACACTATCCATATTCATAATTTTCACTCCTCCCCCTTGCCACTGCCAGAAATGTCCAAGAGTGCCAACTAAGTCAGCCCTATTTACCTAGCTGCTTCATGTCAGCAAAAGTTAAATACAGATGTATCACACTTTATCTAAAAAGATTGTTGGTCTTAATATTCAGATTAATTTGGATCTGCTACAATTGTTTCAAAAATACTTAACATTTGTTCTAAGTTTTTATATGTATTAGAGTCAAGTACAGTGAGGATGTAGAGAATGGGAAAGACATCCAACTGAAGGTCAAATCAGTAAGTCCTAATCAAGTTCCTGATATATATTTACCTCTTTAACCTTGTGGATGTATATCAACATATATCAGAGTTGGAAAACCCATATATCATATGGATATAAGCACTCTGTTTATTTATAATTTTCTAGAGAACAAAATTTTCAAGGTTTTAATCACCTGTATTCTCATACCTAATGTACATTTTCAGTTTGTATTTCTGATCCATATAAACATAATGACTGAGAAATATTCTACCTTCATTTGATGCAGGAGAATACTGAATTGTCTTATTAATAAAATTTTAAATGAGACCTATATTAGTCCATTATCGCACCACTATAAAGATGTACCTGAGACTGGGTAATTTATATAAAAAACACAATTTAATTGGCTCATGGTTCTGTGGGCTGTATAGGCTTCTGCTTCTGCATAGGTCTCAGGAAACTTACAGTGATGGCAGAAGGTGAAGGGGAAGTAGGCATATCTTACAAGGTGGTAGCAGAAAGAAGAGAGAGAAGGGGGAGGTGCTACATATTTTAAACAACCAGATCTTTTGAGAACTCTATCATGAGACAGCATTAGGGGGATGGTGCTAAACAACTGGAAACCACTCCCATGATTCAATTACCTCCCACCACGCTCCACCTCCAACATTGCGGATTACAATAAAACATGAGATTTTGGTTGGGACACAGAGCCAAACCATATCAATGCCTTAGGCAACGAGTAAGCAAATTTCTTTTGTCAAGGGCTGGATTGTAAAGATGTAGGTTTCATGAGCTATAGGGTCTCTGTCACAACTACTCAACTCTTCAATTATGTAGCTCTTAAAAGAGCTATATAAACTATGTAAATAATGAGTTGTAGAAATATGCATTAGTCCATTCTCACACTGCTATAAAGAGCTACCTGATAAATTTCTAAAGAAAAGAGGTTTAATTGACTCATAGTTCACAGGCTACACAGGATGCATGGCTGGGGAGGCCAGGAAATTTACAATCATGGCAGAAGATTGAATGAGAAACAAGCACATCTTCATATGGTGGCAGGAGAGAAAGATAGCTAAGAGGGAAGTTCTACATATGTTCAAACAACCAGGTCTCATGAGAACTCACTCAATATCAAGAGAACAGCAAGAGGGAAGTCCGCTCTCATGATCCAGTCACCTCCCACCATGTCCCTCACTCAACCCTGGGAATTACAATTCAACATGAGATTTGGGTGGGGACACAGAGCCAAACCATATCACAATGCCTTTATAAAATTTTACTTATGGACAGTAAAATCTGAATTTTTATAATCTTCACATGTCACAACATGTGAAGTTTGAATTTTTTCCAGTCATTAAATGTAAACACACCACACACACACACACACACACACACACACACACACACAGAGTTTGTTAGCTTGTGGCCCAAAGACAAATGGCTGACTAGATTTGGCCCATGGGTCATAGTTGTTCCTACCTTAGTATTACTTATTCTCACTAGAGGGCAAGGTTTAAATTTGTTTCTGAAGCTACCAAAAATCTCATGCAGAAAGAGACACCACAAAACCTACAAATGCTAAAGGGAATGTGACTTTCTGCAATATAATTGTAAAATTATCTTTTGTTATCTATAAGTTCTCTATATGTATTTTATTCAATATATATTCAAAAAAGACAAATGACATGCACATTTCACTCTCTTGGAAGTGACAAAGTTGTTAGCTCATCTACCAGCCATTAGCGATCAAGCTAGAGATTTGGCTAATATGTAAAATAAATATATTTTAAAAGACCAAAATATCAACAATTATCAAGGTATTTGGATCTACAGCAAGTACTAGGTTATAAGAAAAATTAGTATATATTTGTTGTTTATGCTGTTAGCAAAATATTTTTACACATCATACGTATCTTAATTGCTTTTACAACAACCCATCATGATATTAGTATTACGTATATAGAGCAGAAACAGTACCTAAGCACCTGGGCAGCAACTCTCAATTGCAGTAAAAATAAATCTAATGTTGAGAACAGCTTAGAACAAACTTGAGTCCAAATAGAAAACAGAATTAAACAAACAAGACTTTTTTTTTTCTTATCAACCTTCCCATCATATTTCCAAAAGATTCCAAATCTATTGTTAATAGAGCAGAAGGGAAATAATAAAAAAGAGAAGTATTGGGCAGAAAGGAGATCATATTTGTTGAGTACCTAGAATACACCAGGCAAATAATAATATAATAATAAAAAATAGACTTTGGACAAAATGTGTGAGAAGAGGAAACAATATTTTTTAGCAGTCTACCTCTACTTGACACAGCACATACTCTAATAAACTCCACTCTCCTTTCCTACCTTAAATGGTATTAAGTGCCATCTGTGCCTTACCTTCTTAGCCCTTACTATGCCAACTATAGTGTTTATAGTTCTTTTTATCTCTCTAAACTAACCTATTGTAACTATTAACCAAGTAAGAAAAACTAGGCCTCAGGGAAGTTAATGTGTCTAAGTTTATAATCTAATAAAAAGAATCAAGGACAGGACTTGGACTACATCAGACTCAACTGTCTTTTAATGTAGATATTACCAAATTTGTAGGACTTTTATGATAAGAAATTAGACTGTGAAATTACTTTTTAGCAGATTGACAGGAAAGTTATTACTTTAAATTATATCCATTTCAGGCATGGCTTTATAATAACCATAGAAATGATATGGAATATCTATACAGTAGAAATTTTTTATTATTCTTTATCTGAACCTCTTAAGGAGAAGAATATCTATTATTGTGGCTTCAAAGATGTCCACTAATATTTCAGTAGTCGGGCCTTTGATATAGCACGGTTCCATAAGTCTTTTTCCTCTAGCAAGCTAGGGGATACTAAGAGAAAGTTTAACAGTGATAATCAAAAGAAACTTAGGGTTGAACACTGATCCTATTATAGCAAATGATTAGTACAGGTGGACCTTTCTTGATGTTCAGTGACTGTTGGTAATCCTTAAATAATCAGGCAGCTGCTATATAGCAAGAAAATGTCAAGTCGAACACCTGGGTGTTAAACATTTATACATGCTTGTAGGCCACTTTTGATCTATCTGCCCAACATGCCAAATGTCAGTGGCTTCACATAGGTTAGGAGGAAATCACCTCATTAGAGCATAGCTAGAGTTTGCTTAGAGTCAAAAGGCACAAAGAACACTGTATCCTTAGATGCAGGGTGGTTATTTTCCTGTGCACTGAGCTTGCTAGTATTTTTGAGTAGCTCATGTCCTCTATTGTCTATGTGTCTATAAACTACTCTTTTCTCTTTAAAAAGAACATAGCAATGGCTTCGTTTTTCCAAGCAGAACAGTACAAATTACTGTTTAATGGCCTAGGATGCCATTATACGAAGGAGCAGCCTGCGCTGGCAACTCCCAATTACACTTGGAGTTCTTCAAGGAGTTAATGACTGGTGGCTACACACTGTATACAGGGGTAATCAGCACAAGATAAGGTGGCATCCTGGCTCACAGGATGTTGTGCAGACAGAAGCATGTTGTCTGATTGCCTTCCTTAACCTTCAATTCAGTTCTGTTCCCCTTCCTATTGTACTGCGGATGCAGTAATTAGTTTGCAAAGAGCTTGGGGAAAATGGACTCACAAGCCAACTCATTTTCTTTTTTCAAAGAAGCTGCCCAAGTTCATAAACTGTAGTGAGAGCCTTACTCAAATCAATGTAGAGTTTATAAGTGAAAAAGGACAAAGAGCATAACGCAAATTGAAACTTGATTTTTCCATCCAATTTAGAGGACAGCAAATTTGATTTAAGAAATAGAACGTCAAGAAAAAGGAATGTCATGTATTAAGTCAAGGGCTCACACACAAAAATTAACAAGTCCATGAGGAAACTTTTTATTCTACCATAGTTCCCTACATCATACAACTCTCCCAATTCTATAATTTGGAAAGTAATTTGTAGAGCACAGTCTATTTAGAATACGATGTTAATTTGGCCACATATAAACCATTTATCTCTATATTTTACATGATTATCATAAATAATGTGAAATAATTTTAAAGTTTAAACTATGATTGAATTTTTATTTTGGCAAGTAGTTGTAAGTTTTGGTTAAGAAAATCATTGTCATATGTGTTTGACTAGAATCAAGATTAGTCTCATACTGCTGAATCAATCAAACTTTCCACCCAGTCTGAAGATTAATTTATTCAATCAAAATTGAATGTGGCTCCTAAAGGTAGAGTTTCCTCTACATCTCCTCAGTAACCTGGCGATATTCTTGGTAACTTGGATTTCTGAGTGTGATAGAAACTTTTAGCCAAACTTGAGCTTTTAGGACAATTATAGGAACTTGCCACCAAGCCAAAGGAATTGATGAAGGAGTTGCAGAGTACGTTTTCAGAAGCCTTAATGGTGTGGAACAATACAGTTTCAAACATGACTGCAATGGCATTGCCCTTCCACTAGTGCTAATTGAACTACAGATGCTTCTCCACTTAAAATGGATTTACTATCTGACAAACTCATTGTTAAGTTGAAAATGTAATAAATCAAAAATGTATTTAATACATCTAACCTGCCAAACATTTTAGTTTAGCCTAGCCTACCTTAAACATGCTCAGAACATTGTGTTACCCTACAGTTGGGCAAAATTATCTAACACGAAGCTTACTTTTTAATAAAGTATCAACTACATCGCATTTCCCAAATTAAACATATATTACTATTTTAAAAGAAAATAACAACATATTAAACAGTCACTCAAATAATGGAAAGAAAAACCAAAAATGTTTATTACTAAATTGGAGCTATTTCTTACCTATACCTTTAAAATAAATGAAGGTATATAACATTGGTTAAAAGCATGGGCCCTTGTGACAAATAGATCTGGGTTCTTTTCAGCCCTATCACTTACTACTTGTGTGATCTTAGACAAGTTATATAAATTTCTTTATTTTCTTCTTTAGTTAAATGGGAATGATAATAGTAGCTTCTACATAATAAAGTTGTTTTAGGATTACTTGAGATGAAACAGGTAAAAGGCAAAGAAAAGTTTCAGCAAATGTTCTCTTCTGTTGCCATCATCATAGTCTTCAATAATCATTAAAATTATCTGATGAACATAAGAGGAAAAGGCTGCATTTTCGCCAGTGTGATGAAGAAAATCTTCCCAGAAGTGTACCTTGCAGAATAGTTGGAATGACTTGGAGTGTCAATTATAAGAAGGAATAAGTACAAGTAGAAAAGAACATGGAAAAAGTTGAGGACAGCTCAAAATAAATAGATGGACAGATAAGCTGTCTTGATTTTACATGTGGTAGTGAGCCTGCAGAATGGTCCACAACTATCCTTGCCTCTTGCTGTCCCCAGCCCTGTGTGATACTCTCTCATGTTGTGCCAAAGGTAGTCTGTGTGATCAATAGACTGTGGCAGAAGAGATGGGTTATCACTTCTGAAATTGGGTTTTATAAGATATTTCTGCTTTCATGTCTCTCTCTCTCTCTTTTCTCTCTCTCTCTCTGTGTTTTTCTCTTTTCTCTCTCTCTGTTTCACACACTCTCTCTCTCTCTCTCACACACACATACACACACTGACACCAACTAAAGTCTCTTGCCAATAGCCACAGGAGTGCTCTAATCAAGCTTCAGAGGCCATAGCCCTGGTCTACAGCTTCACTGCTATCTCATGAGAGAGGCTTAGCTGAACCAACCAACTAAGCTGCTCCCAAATTCTGGATCTTCAGAAAGTGAGATGATATCTGGCTTTAAGCCGATAAATTTGGGGTGCAATCAGCTCTCTATAGCCATGGATTCTGCATCCACAGATTCAACCAACCATGGATTGGTTGAATAGTCACACACACACACACAAAATGATACAGCAATTAAAAATAGTACAAACTTTAAAAATACAGTATAACAGCTATTTACATAGCCTTTTACATTTTGTTAATTATTATAAATAATCAAGAGGTAATTTAAAGTACATAGGAAGATGTGCAAAGGTTATATGCAATTACTTTGGCATTTGCCAACATTTTGGCTGTCACATTACCTATTTGATTGTGTCTAAAATATAATTCAAGCATTTGGAACTAGGAGACAATGTTGATTTATTTAAAGACAAAAAGAAAAAACGTTCTGGTAAGGAATAAGTTTTTCAACCAAAAATATTTTTTAAGTTGTAGGATATGAATAGCTGAATTAGAGCTAGCTTCTAAAATGTGGCTCAATAATAAAATTAATATAAATGCACAGCACTCTCATATGTCATAAAGTTTTTGCAAGTGTTAAGAGTTTGCAACATAGAAATATTTGAGAATGTATACTTAACTGTCTAAATTTTCTTAAATTATGCTATATTGAATGTTTCTATTTTGGGGATTGGAGCATCCCCTAATTTTGGTATCCTCGGGGGTCCTGGGACCCATCCCCTGCAGATACCAAGGAACAACTGTAATTTGTTTTTTTGGGATAGATAACGAATACTGTACGAGCTGTTATTTTAATGTGAAAATAGATCATCAGAATCTACTTTCCTTTATCACCTCCATTATCATTTTCTGGGGGTTCCTTTTAATTATAAATAAAGGTAATTCTACTTCTTAAGAATAGAAAAAATTTCAGCAATATTACATATAAAGTTTGAAAATTTTTTTTTTGGAAAGTAGCTGTCACATTGCCTATTTCACTATGTCTAAAATATAATTCAAGCATTTGAAACAAGGAGACGATGTTGGTTTACTTAAAGACAAAAAGCAAAAAACAACAACAACAACAAAAAAATCCTCTGGTAAGAAGTAAGTTTGTCAACCCAAACTTTTTTTCTAAGTTGTAGGATATGAATAGCTGAATTAGAGCTAGCTTCTAAAATGAGGCTCAATAATAAAATTAATTTAAATGCATGGCACTCTCATATGTCATAAAGTTTTTGAAAGTGTTGAGTTTACAACATATATATTTGAGAATGTATACTTAACTGTTTAAATTTTCTTAAATTATGCTATATTGAATATTTCTATTTTCACAGCAAAATTTCAGAATTTTAAATGTATAAAGGCAATATAATAAGTGTAAAAATAGAAACAAAAATGCGATTCCATCTTTCTGGTTCTCTAATTTCAGTTGTTTTTGTATTTGTATCCCAAATTTTCCCATATATAGAAAAATCACACTTCTGTAAGACTGTATTTATAATATTGAGACTAGTTTTTTAAATTAAAAAAATTAAGATATAAGCAGCACATAGAAGGCAATTTTTAAAACTCTTTGAAAATATGAACTTAACAAATATCTATTATTAATATTTTGTTCATTATCCTAGAAGCCTCTTTATTATCTCACCCTGATCATTTATAAGTGGGAATACAAAATGCCAAAACCCAAGATCCACATTGCTAATAGGGGGAACCTGAACGGCGTTAGCTTTGGTCACATGGTCACTTTAGGTACGAGGTTTGGTGAACAGGAAATGGAAAACAATTGAGAACTTCCTGATAAAATTCTCACCATGACTTCAGAGAGGGTAGAATGAGCTGATCTCAAGTGAAAGTATTACAGGAAGTAAAAAACATAGCAGGTACCAAACACAGTAAGCATTCTGTAGGAGTAAAATCATAATAGTGAATTCTTTTTTTTTCTTTTATTATTATTATACTGTAAGTTTTAGGGTACATGTGCACAATGTGCAGGTTTGTTACATATGTATACATGTGCCATGGTGGTGTACTGCACCCATTAACTCGTCATAATAGTGAATTCTTAATGAGTCCTCCTTTCTACCACATCACTCTGCTATTTCTGTATCACCTATTTTGACTCCATTCCCTCACCTCTTATTCTCTCCAATCTGCCTTTTACTCTTACAAATTCACAGAAACATTGCAAGTAATATGTAGTGTTCTAATTCTGTCCAGAGATTTTATCATACTGTAGCATTCTGGTTTCAAATCTTTATCCTATTTGATTTTTTTGAAGAGTTTGAGATCATTGTCCATCTATTTGTTGCCTTCTTGAAAGTCTTTTTATTGGCTTCAAGGATGCTCCTCTCTTGGGGTTCCACCTTTCCCTGGAATAGGACTCTTCTTTTGGTTCTAATGCCTTGAATCTTGAAATCTTGTAATGATGCTTAAACAGCGAAAAGTTTCAAATAAAAACGTCTTATTAAAATTTGAATGGTGCAGAATTCATACCAGTACAGCTTGAAAAATTGAATAAATGAGGAAAAAATTATGGAAAAAATTAGTAGAACTGTAAAGGGAACAAATTTTGCCTTATATATTTACGTTCTGGAAATTTTCAATGTCACATTTAACATTAATAACTGATCCTAGCAAGCTATTCAGGGTAGGCTAAAGTCATTTTCTTAAAGTTTATTCTAAATTTAGAAACACTTGCATTTTATCCTTTGTTAATAATAGTCTTCTAGCTAACCTAACAAGTGGACATAATAAAGGTTATTAAACATTCATAGGATTCCTAATTTCAAGAAGAAGTTCTATAAATATAGTATACGTGAAGGTAATGTATCAAGGGTTTTGAAATTTGGGATAAAGCTGTATGGGTTATTTTCATTAAAATGGTTTTCTCTGTCTGAACAATCTATGTTATTCATTTCTATATATCATGTTCTGATACTGTTTTAAGCCATTTTTTGACCTTACAGCAATCGGATTCATTAAAATTTATTACAGCTTTATTAAATACAGGTAGCAATATAAAATATGCCCAGACTAAATCATTTGTGACAATTCTGGTGTCGATCTATTTAAAATAAAGATAATGCCCTCATGCTAACTTAGTAGACCTTCGTGGAAGTCTTTTCACAAGCATTTCTATTCTGGCTAATTAATCAATTTTGGTAAACCTCATCATTTTTTCTAAGACACAATTTTCTTATTTGTAAAATAAAAGTAATGACTACCTCACATAATTGTTTGTATTTTTTTAGTAGTCTGTCTGATACAAATGTGCAGGCATACCTCAGAGATATTGCACATTCAGGTCCAGACCACCACAAGTAGCAAGTTGCAATAAAGGAAGTGACAATAATTTGTTGCTTTCTCAGTGTGT
This sequence comes from Homo sapiens, assembly GCF_000001405.40. Classification (NCBI taxonomy): domain Eukaryota; kingdom Metazoa; phylum Chordata; class Mammalia; order Primates; family Hominidae; genus Homo; species Homo sapiens. The sequence goes on from NC_000003.12 coordinate 76,795,034, forward strand.
ATGAAAGTTATATTTATATATACTGTAGACAATTAAGTGTGCAATACCATTATGTCTAAAAATGTTAATATATTAATAAAAATAATTCGTAGCTGAAAACTGCTAATTATCATCTGAGACGTCAGCAAGTCATAGTCTTTTCACTGGTTGAAGGTCTTTCCTTGATATTGATGGCTGCTGGCATCAGGGTGGTGGTTGAAGGTTAGGGGAGCTGTGGCAATTTCTTAATATTAGTCCCAATGAAGCTTGCTGCATCAATTGACTCTTCCTTTCACAGAATAATTCTCTGTAGCATGCAATGCTGATTAATAATAGCATTTTACCCACTGTAGAACTTCTTTCAGAATTAGTTAAGACTCTCAAACCCTGCCACTATTTGGTCAACTAATTTTATGTAGTATTCTAAATGCTTTGTTATCATTTTAACAATGTTCACAGCATCATCACCAGAAGTAGATTCCATCTCAAGAAACCACTCTCTTTGCTCATCCATAAGAAACAACTTCTCATTCATTAAAATTATGTAATGAGATTGCAGCAATTCAGTCACATTTTCAGGCTCTACTTCCAACTGTAGTTCTCTTGCTATTTCCATGATATATGCAATTACTTCCTCCACTTCAGTCTTAAACTTCTCAAACTCATCCATGAGGTTTGGAATCAACTCTTTTGAACATCCCATTAATGTTGGCATTTTGACTTCCACTCATGAGTCACAAATATTCTTAATGGCATCTAGAAAGGTGAATCCTTTTCAGAAGGTTTTCAAAGTACTTTGTCCAGATACATCAGAAAAATCACTATCTATGTCAGCTGTAGCCTTACTGAATGTATTTCTTAAATGATAATACTTCCAAGTTGTATACACATTGATCCATGGGTTGCAGAATGGATATTGCATTAGCAGGCATGAAACAACATTAATTTTTTTATACATCTCCATCAGAACTCTTGAGTGACTAGGTGTACTATCAATGAGCAACAAAGTTTTGAAAGGAATCTTCTTTCTGAGCAATAGGTCTCAAAATTGAGTTTAAAATATTCAGTAAACCATGCTGTTTAATTCTCAAGAGCCCTAGGATTTTCAAAATTGTCAGTGAGCATTGGCTTCAACTTCAAATCACCAGGGCACCAGCTGCTAACAAGAGAGTCAACCTGTCCATCGAAGCCAGGCATTAACTTCTTTCTAGCTATGAGAGTCTTAGGTGGTATCTTCTTCCAGTAGAAGGCTACCTAATCTAACCTGAAAAATATGTTTTTTAGTGTAGCCACTTTCATCAATGTTCTTAGCTAGATCTGATATCAAAACATCTACAATATATATACAAAAATATAAAGCAAGAAATTAAAACATACCACCAGAGAAAATCACTTTCACAGGAAGGAAAAAAAAAAGAAGGAAGAAAAGAAGGAAGAAAGAAAAAAGACCCAAAGGAAGGAAGGAAGGAGGGAAGGAAGGAAGGAAGGAAAGAAGGAAAGAAGGAAGGAAGGAAGGAAGGAAGGAAGGGAGGAGCCACAAAACAATCAGAAAATGAATAATAAAATGACAATAATAAGCTATTACTTATCAATAAAAACATTAACTATAAATGGACTACACTCTCCAATCAAAAGACATACAGTGTCTGAATGGTTAAAAAACAAGACCCAACAATCGGTTGCCTATAAAAATACACTTCACCTATAGAGACAAATGTAGACTCTAAATAAAGAGATGAAAAAAGATATTCCATGCAAATGGAAACCAAAGAAGAGCAGGTATATCTACATTTGGATCATACAAAATAGACTTCAAGATAAAAACTGTAAAAGGAATCAAGCCCCTTATATAATTATAAGGGGATAAATTCAGGAAGAGGATATAACAAGTGTAAATATATATGCACCCAACATTGGAGCACCCAGATATATAAAGCAAATATCTTCAGAGCTAAAGAGAGAGACAGATGTCAATACAATAATAGCTAGAGACTTCAGCACTCTACTTTGAGAAGTGGACAGATCATCCAGCTACAAATTCAACAAAAAAACATTGGATCTAATCTGCACTATAAATCAAATGGACCTAACAGATATGTACGGAACATTTCATCCAATGGCTGCAGAATACACATTCTTCTCCTCAGCACATGGATAAGTCTCAAGAACAGACCTTACATTAGGCCAAAAAATAAGTCTTACAAAATCAGAAAAACATGATATCATATCAAGATTCTTCTCTGACCACAATGGAATAAAATTGGAAATCAATAACAAGAAGAAACTACAAATATGTGGAAATTAAACAATGTCCTCTTGAATGACTAGTGGGTCAATGAAGAAATTAAGAAAAAAATTTACAAATTTCCTGACACAAATGAAATGGAAACACAACATACCAAAACCTATGGCATACAGCAAAAGCAGTACTAAGAGGAAAGTTTATAGCAATGAGCACCTATATAAAAAAGTACAAAACCTTAAAATAAACAACCTAACATCATAAGGAACTAGAAAAGCAAGAACAAATCATACCCAAATACTAGAGGAAAAGAAAAATAAAAAGATCAGATTAGAAAAAAGAAAATCAAAACAAAAAAGACAATACAAAATGAAACAAAAAAGTGATTTTTGAAAAGATAAAAGCAACAAGCTTTTAGCTAGACTAAATAAGAAAAAAGAAAGAAGACCCAAATAAATAAAAATCAGAGATGAAAAGGGAGACATTAAAATTGATAATTCAGAAATTAAAAGGATCATTAGAGACTACTATGAGAAACTATATGGCAAAAAAAATTAAAACCTAAAAGAAATGGGTAAATTCCTAGACACATACAATCTGTCAAGATTCAACCATGAAGAAATGTAAAACCAAAACCTGAATCAACCAATAACAAATAACAATCAAAGCCATAATAAAAAGTCTCCCAGCAAAGAAAACCGAGGACTCTGTGGTTTAAATGTTGAATTCTACCAAATACCAAATCCTACCCAAATTATTCCAAAAAGTAGAATAGTAGGAAATTTTTCCAAACTCATTCTACAAGGTCAGTATTACCCTGATACCAAAAACAGACAAAGACACATTAAAAAAAAGAAAGAAGAGAAAGAAGAAAGAAAGAAGAAAGAGAAAGAAAGAAAGAAAGAAAGAAAGAAAGGGAGAGAAAGAAAGAAAGAAAAAGAAGAAAGAAAGAGAAAGAGAAAAAGAAAGAAAGAGAAAGAAAGAAAAAAAGAAGAAAGAAAGAAGGAAAGAAAGAAAGAAAGAAAGAAAGAAAGAAAGAAAGAAAGAAAGAAAGAAAGAAAAAAGAACGAATGAACTAAAGGCCAATATTTATGTTGAGCATTTATGCAAAAATCCTCAACAAAATACTAGCAAACTGAATTCAACAACACCCTAAAAAGATCATTCAGCATGACCAATAGGGATTCATACCAGTGGTGCAAGGATAGTTCAACATATGCAAGTCAGTCAATGTGATACATCATTTGAACTGAATGAAGAACAAAAACCATATGATCCTTTCAACTGATGCTGAAAACGCTTTGATAAAATTCAGTATTGCTTCATGATAAAAGCCCTCAAAAAACTGGATATAAGGCTAGGTGCAGTGGCTCATGCCTATAATCCCAACACTTTGGGATGCCAAGGTGGGTGGATCACTTGAGCCCAGGAGTTTGCCACCAGCCTGGGCAGCAAGGCAAACCCTGCCTCTATTTGAAAAATACAAAAAGTAGCTAGGCATGGTGGTGCACATCTGTAGTCCCAGCTACTCAGCAGGCTGAGATGGGAGAATTGGTTGAGACTGGAAAGTTGAGGCTTCAGTGAATCATGATCATGCCACTACACTCCAACCTGGGTGACAGAGTGAGACCTTTTCTAAACAACAACAACAACAACAACAACAAACCCTGGATATAGCAGGAACATATCTCAACAAAATAAAAACCATATACAACTTTGGGAGGCCGAGGCGGGTGCATCACAAGGTCAGGAGATGGAGACCATCCTGGCTAACATGGTGAAACCCCGTCTCTACTAAAAATACAAAAAATTAGCTGGGCATGGTGGCAGGCGCCTGCAGTCCCAGCTACTCGGGAGGCTGAGGCAGGAGAATCACTTGAACCCAGGAGACGGAGGCTGCGGTGAGCCGAGATGGCGCCACTGCACTCCAGCCTGGGCGACAGAGTGAGACTCCGTCTCAAAAAAAACAAAAACAAAACAAAAAAAAAACGTATATAACAGACTCATAGCTGGTATCCTGCTGAATGGGAAAAAATTGAAAGCCTTTCATCTAAGATCTTGAACAAGGCAAGGATGCCTACTCTCACCACTGTTATTCAAATAGTACTGGAAGTTCTAGCTAAAGCAATCCAACAAGGGAAAGTAAATGCATCCAAACTGCAAAGGAAAACGTCTAATTATCTTTGCTTGCAGTTGATATGTTCTTATATTTAAAAAAACCTAAAGACTTCACAAAAATATTAGATCTGACAAAAAAAAAACCCAGTAAAGTGGCAGGATACAAAATTAACATACAAAAATCAGTAACATTTTTATATGTTAACAGGGAATAATCTGAAAAAGAAATCAAGAAAGTAATCCCATTTACAATAGCTACAAAGAAAACAAAATACCCAGGAATAAAGCCAAAGAAATAAAAGATCTCTACAATGAAAAGTATAAAATATTTAGGCAAGAAATAGAAATGTTCACAAAAATGAAAGGATATTTCATATCCATAGATTGGAAAAATAAATATTGTTAAAATGTTCATACTACCCAAAACAATCTATAGATTCAATACAATCTTTATCAAAATACCAAAATGCCAATCTTTACATTCTTCACAGAAACAGAAATAACAATCCCAAAATTAGATAAAGGACCCAGAATAGCCAAAGCTGTCTTGAGCAAAAAGAACAAAACTGGAGGAATCACATTACTTGACTTCAAACTATACTACAAAGCTATAGTAACCAAACCTGCATGGTACTGGCATAAAAACAGACACAAAGACCAACGAAACAGAATAGAGAACCCAGAAATAAATCCATACATCTAAAGTGAACTCATTTTTGACAAAGGTGTCAAGAACATACATTGGAGAAAGGACAGTTTATTCAATAAATAGTGCTGGAAAAACTGGATATCCACATGCAGAAGAATGAACCAAGATGTCCATCTCTTGCCATATACAAAAATCTAATCAAAATGAATTAAAGACTTAAATTTAAACCTCAAACTGTAAAACTACTAAACGGAAACATTAGGAAGACTCTTCAAGACATTGGCCTAGGCAAAGATTTCTTGAGCAATACACCACAAGCTCAGACAACAAAGGCAAAAATGGCTGAATGGGATCACATCAAGTTAAATATCTTCTGCACAAAAAAGGAAACAATCAACAAAGTGAAGAGACAACCCAGAGAACGGAAGAAAATATTTGGAAACTATCCATCTGACAAGGGATTAATAACCAGAATATATAAGGAGCTCAAAAAGCTCTAGAGGAAAAAAATCTAATAATCTGATTTAAAAATAGGGAAAGGATCTGAATAGACAGTTCTCAAAAGAAGACATACAAATGGCAAACACATGTAGAAAAAGGTGCTCAAGATTATTGATCATCAGAGAAATGCAAATTAAAACTACAGTGAGCTACCATCTCACCCCAGCTAAAAAGGCTTATATGCAAAAGGCAGGCAATAACAAATGCTGGTGGGGGTATGGAGAAAGGGTAGCTCTCATACACTCTTGTCAGGCATGTAAATTAGTACAGCCACTGCGGAGAACAGTATGGGGGTTCCTCAAATATTTAAAAATAAAACTAAAAATAAAACTTCCTCAAATATTTAAAAATATGATCCAGGGATCCCACAGCTAGGTATACCCCCTGCAAAAAGGAAATCAGTATATTGAAGAGATATCTGAACTCCCATATTTATTGTAGCACTATTCATAATAGCCACAATTTGGAATTAACCTAAGTGTGCATCAACAGACAAATGAATAAAAGAAAACATGGTACATATACACAATGGAGTGCTATTCAGCCATGAAAAAGAATGAGATCCTGTCATTTGCAACAACATGTATAACACTGGAGGACATTATGTTAAGTGAAATAAACCAGGCACAGAAAGACAAACTTTGCATGTTCTCACTTATAACTGTAGGAGCTAAAAATAAAAACAATTGAACTCATGCAGATAGAGAGTAGAGTAGTATGACAGTTACACAGCCTGGGAAGGGTCGTGTGGGAGTGGGAAAGAAATGAAGATGGTCAGTGGATAAAAAGCATATAGTTATATACAAAGAATAAGATCTGGTATTTGATAGCACAACAGGATGACTACAGTCAGTAATAATTTGTTGTATATTTTAGAATAACTGAGGGAGTACAATTGGATTATTCATAACACAAGTAAATAATAAATGCTTGAGGTGTTGGATGCCCCATTTACCCTGATGTGATTATTAAACATTGTATGCCTGTATGCAAATATCTCATGTACCCCATAAATATATAAATATAAATATATATATACACTATGTATCCATAAAGTTTTTTTTTTAAAAAAAGAAAAGAATATCGCGGCAGATCTTTTATCGAGACCAGCAAAACTTTCTCTGTATCAGCAATGATGCCGTTTTGCTTTCTTATCACTTGCGTATTCACTGGAGTAGCACTTTTAATTTCCTTCAAGAACTTTCCCTTTGCATTCACAACTTTGCCATTAGGTGCGAGAGGCCTAGCTTTCAGCCTGCCTCGCTGCTGGCATGCTCACTAATGTTAATCATTTTTAACTTTTGATGTAAAGTGAGCAACATGTGACTCCTTTTTTCACTTGAGCCCTTAGAGTCCTTTGTAGGGTTATTAATTAGCTTATTTCAATATTGTTTTGTCTCAGGAAATAGGGAGGTCTGAGGAGAGAGAGAGATGAGGGGATGGCTGGTCAGAGGAGAAGTCAGAACACACACCTGTATTGATTAAGTTTACTATCTTATGTGAGCAGGGTCCATGGCACCCAAAAACAATTACAACAGTAACATCAAAGATCACTGCTCACCAGCTCACCATAATAAACGAATACTAATACATTTTTGCATATTGTGGGAATTATCAAAATATGACACAGAGGTACAAAGTGAGCACACGCTGCTGGAACAATGGCACTGACAGGCTTGCTTCATGCAGGGTTGCCACTAACCTTCAGTTTATAAAAAAAGTGCAATATCTGCAGAGTGCAATCAAGCGAAGCACAATAAAATGAGATTTTTCCCGTGTTATAGGAAATGATTATTCTGAATAAATGGTACATTGTCTTGAAAATCTATTAGTTTACCATGAATTTACCATTCATAGTACCTGGCCTTCCAGCATATTGGAGATAATGGGGTCCTTAAAACCACTGTAAGATACCACCTTCAGAGGCCGGGCGCGGTGGCTCACGCCTGTGATCCCAGCACTTTGGGAGGCTGAGGAGGGCGGATCACAAAGTCAGGAGATTGAGACCATCCTGGCTAACACGGTGAAACCCCGTCTCTACTAAAAATACAGAAAAATTAGCCGGGCGTGGTGGCGGCACCTGTAGTCCCAGCTACTCGGGAGGCTGAGGCAGGAGAATGGCGGGAACCCAGGAGGCGGAGCTTGCAGTGAGCCAAGATGGCGTCACTGCACTCCAGCCTGGGCGACAGAGCGAGACTCCGTCTCAAAAAAAAAAAAAAAAAGATACCACCTTCAGAATAGTTTCTTTTGACTTAAAAATAATTGAGTTTGGTGTAAGACAAATGACTGTAGTAATAATGCAGACACTGTTTACCTTACTTTAGCTTAGTAAATATTTAGCCATATGCCACATGAGTGAAGCCCAAGGACAAATGGTATTTGTGGCCAGGAGAGAAGCAGAACTCCAAGTCTATGATTTATGGAAGGCTATCTAGATAGTTGTTTTCTTTATTGTCTGTGGAGCGTAAACTTCAAGATCATGGATAAATACAATTTGGAGATCATTTTTGATCTCATTACATTAATAGAAAAGAGACAGAGCATGGAGTGTTTTGCTGAAAACAATTGTGATAAGACCTTGAAAGACACAACCAACTCAATAGTAAATATTAGTCATATTTGTATAATTTGTCTCTTACTTCATAAGAGAGACACCATGGTAAAAATGGAGTTGTTCATTATTCTGCTTATTTTTGAGGAATTCAGAGGAGGTCGTTAGGTTTAATTTAATGAACTTGAACATACTTTCTGGAGCAAAGGAGATTCCTCTGGATAGCAAATGTTCCTTTTCTCTTTCATTCTGCCTAACCTGAAAAGGAGGAGGAGGAGAAGCGGGAGGAGGAAGAGGAGGAGGAGGATACAGAAAAGGAGGAGGAGGATACAGAAAAGGAGGAGGAGGATACAAAAGAGGAGGAAGGATGGAGGGAAGGAAGGAAGGAAGAAAGGAAGGAAGGGAGGGAGGGAGGGAGAGAGGAAGGGAGGAGGGGAGAGAGGGAGGCGAGAAAAAAGAAAGGAAAGTAGGAAAAGAGAAAAGGAGAGAGGAAAAAAAACACACAGACGTACACACATACAAACTTATCTTTCTCTACTTTTCTCAAACTATTTTATCAATTTTATTCAGGATTACTCACTTGTTAATTTTTTGCGTGTTTTCAAATAAATTATATATTTATGCAAGACCAGGACCGTATCTTGTATTTATTGGTCTTTATACACTCGACTCAAGTTGGACAACTAAAACAAATTTATATAAGTGCTTTTAACAACTTCCAGGAAATGTTAGGATGTCTAGAGGGAATATGATAAACAGAGAAGGCGGAATCACTTCTAGCTAAGTCATGTAAGAGTATGATTCTTATTATTGACGAATGACACATTAAAGGGAGCTAAGACGTGAAGCTATAGGAAAATGATGTGTTCACTTAAAATGCAGATTTTCTGTTCACACTTACATGGCTGGGCAAGCAGAGTGATGAACTAATATTTATGAGCTGCATTCGAGGCTTACGGAAATTTCATAGTCACTTTATTCATTCAGCAGATATTTACTGAGTTCCTATCTTGTGTGGGTGTAGAGGTGATCAAGAGTGATGGTCACATTCTCTTAGGGAGAGAATAAAAGTAAACAAATGAGAGAACGATGAATGCTAAGGGGTTTGCTGGCTAAAGAGAGAGGACAGCACAGTGGTGGGCTAGTGGGTTACTAGTTAGGGAAGGGAACCTTCTCTGAGAGATAGTTTGATCTTAGACAAAAGTCTCAGAAGAGATCCATCTATGTGAAACCATGAAGGAAGGAAGATATTTTTGGTAGTGAGAACTACAAGTCCAAAACCTTTCGGCAGAATTGAACATGGTACAGCTAGAAGGAGTGTGATTCGTAGCAGTCGGTTTTCTAACAAGGATAGGTGCACAAACTGAGAAACGATGTCATAAATCAGAGGATCTTTATACTAATAGTAGTAATGGGTAATAATTAGTGTGGACTTACCTTGTGCCACTAGGTCAAACTTTCTGCATAGACTGCATTTAAAGACAACAGTAGCATAATATTAAAGTTAAGGTTTTGAGAGCAGACAGTCCCTAAATTTGAATGCTATTTCTTGCCAATTATTAGCTTCGCAAACACTAGTAGATTTCTTAATATATCATCTTTTCTTCCCCTTGTTTAGACTGAGTATAATAATAGTGCCAACCTCCTATGACTGTTCTGACAAATAAATAATAGCAGTTAACGTTTACTGAGTACTAACTATGAGCCAGTTCCTTAACATGAATTCACTTAACCCCGCCAGATTAGTAAAGCTCATTAGGCCAGGGTCAGAGCTTATGCTCTTCGTAATAAACGCACTATAAAGCATTACCTGAATTCTTTCTATGTGTTCATAAGTAAGGTAGTATAAGGAAAAATTTTGAAGCATTCTAAGACTAGATTTATTTCCATTAAAATCAATGATGTTAAATATTGCATTATGATAACCACCTTTTTTGTGATAATCCCAAAATATTGTGAGCATTTTGAGCGTCAGAAATGTGTTTTAAACATTTTCAATGCTCCATATCATAGTGTCTAAAGCATAGTAGGCTCAGGGTAAATGTTTGTTAAATGAATAAGTAAACATTAGAGTTTCTGTGGATAGAGTATTCAATTTTAACTGACTTCTTTTTCCTTTTCTTTTCTTGACTCTGTCAATACAAGCGCCTTCCCTTTGCACTTTCATTTTTGCTTTTTCTGCTCTACTTCACCTTCGATTATTTTTTCCAAGTGCAAGTTCCACTTAATACTTTTACAGCTGGGAATATCTACTTTTCTTTTAAAGCTTTTGGTTTTACTCCTTTCCTTGAGTGCTTTCTTTCTATCATTTTGAATATATCCTGCCACCAAAACATCTTGAAAAGGAAGCTAGGCATCTTTTATTTTGACCATTACTTTTATTTTGATTTTTTGTTCTAGAAATATATGTTCCCCCCATATATATATATACACACACACATATGTATATATGTAGAAATATATATATTTCAACAAATGTATATATTTCATAGATTTTGAGAAATTAATTTTAGCCAATTTTAGTAGTAACATAGATCAGAAAAGCGATATAAAGCTCTATTTTTTTTGTTCATGAGCCTCTTAATTCTATTGGAATACGTGTGTGTGTGTGTGTGTGTGTGTGTGAATTTAAGTGTATTCCAACCTACTGGTATTTATATATCAATAAGCAACCTTCACATCTTACAGACTGAACCTAAAATTTGGCCTCATAGGTCAAACTTGGATCTTGCACAGCTCCAAACATAGCCATTGGTGTCTTAAATTAAAGTCCCCCTCTGTATTTCTTTCCTTTTAACAGACCAGAGAAAGAGCCCCAGTTGCTCTCTTGATGTGAAATCAATTTCCTTCTTTGTATTGAGGCTTGTTTCTCTTGTACTAAGATTACATCTAGTCTTCTTCCTCTAGCTGTCTGTGTTCTTAATGCATTACACGGTTCTGCTTGAAGGTCTGCTTTCCCTATATCTGGGTGATTTTAATTAGTCTTTTGAAGTTTCTTTTGAAATTCTTCTGTTTCCCTTTTGATTATGACTGTCTACAGTTCCCATTATCTCAGTCTTTATGTCAAATTCTTTTCTACGTTATTATTTCTTCTGGAAATTTAACTCCAGTTATCAGGGTGTTTGTTTATTTTCTGTGTGCGTGTGTGTGTGTGTGTGTGTGTGTGTGTGTTACTATACATATACATACATGTACACATAAATACATTTTTCTCTTTTTGAAATTCTTGTCCTGCTTCCTCTTGCACACCCAGGGGAACAGAAGTACGTCCTGATTATTGCACTGTTACTCAAAATGTCTAGATGAGTAAATAAATGTTCTCTGAACAGTGAGGTAGATTGTATGACAATGAAGCCTACAGAAGAAATATTTTAGCAAACTCATTCTGGTCAAGTTGTTAAGGAAGGTGCAATGTAGTTTGTCTTCAATAAGTGTTTGCCAAAAAAAAACATGAATAAAAATGAAACATTTTGGATATGGTCACATCAAAAGCAACTGCATCTTCTGAAATAAGGCACTTCAGCTTCTCAGAGATGCAATCCAAAACGATTGGCACACTCGTCATTTAAAACTATGCAACAGAATTCCCAACAGCGTTTAATGAGGAAGAGCTTCAGTCTACATTAGAGAAATCCACAGTAGGTACCACCTCTAGTACTGAAATAATAAGCTTTTGTTTGTCACTTACTTCTCTAAGTTGCACTATATAGACACAGATATACGTATACATATCAGAGCATTCTATTTCACATGATTAATTTCTGCATATGATGAGAATATGTATCACTTCCTTTATTGTCTTAGTATCATATTTTGTACTCAGATTATGAGCTGCACAATCTCACTTGGAATTGAATCTTGACTTGTGATTTGTGGACAAGTTTTTATGATGGATTAATGAGAAATTAGATTAAAAGAAATTAGAATCAATATAATGACACTACGTTTCTCTACACCAAAAGTTGGGGAAGAAGACTTAAAATTCTGGTTACAATGGAAATAGACTTATTTATTTTAATTATTGCAATTCTAAAGTGTTAGTCTTGTACATGGTATGTGTGAAATAGTTTTATATACTGTCATTCAGAGAAATTGTAGAATAATACATCTGAGTTCTATCAAATGGTTGTTTATGAAATTATTTATTTTTCAGCATGTCAGTAGTGGAATAGTTCATAACAACCTGAACTTGTAGATTTTGCTTGAAAATGCAGTCAGGACCCTGTAACAAATTAGTTTTCAGCTTCAGTATTTTCAGTTCCTACTGTGTTCGCCCCTGAAATTAACCTATACAAATATCTCTTTATAAATGCTTATTTTCTATTTATGGCAGTTTTTAAAAACTCTTCATTTATTGGCAGACCAAGATGTAGAAGACCTCCTGCAGACATGTTCATTGATAAGAACACCTGCTAATGGATTTTATTAGCTATCTATTTCAAAACTTATTAACTCATCAAAAATTGAATATTACCTCATCATCTTTTAGGTTCTAACTATTTTAACCTCTGACACCAATTTATTAGAGAAGTAAACTGAGTTCTTTGTGTGTTTATAGTCTTTTGAATAACATTCCCATGAAAAGTGTTAATATCAAGTTATACACTGTCAGTCCTCTTGTAAAGGAGTATGCATAATGTTTTAAAGTCTCTGATATGCTTTAGAACAATATAGTGAAAGGGCATCAGTTATATGTATTCTAAAGAGATGTTGACTGCTTTAAACAATATAATATATGAAAAATATTTAAATAAGTAGGCAGATAAATTATGATGAGGTTCTCATCACTGAAAACACTATTCCATAATTATTCATGCACAAAAACTTAGGACGGTTAATGCCTAAAGGATTTATTATTATTTTACAGACCATCAAATTACTTGACAAAAAATATGTAGGCAGTTAAGCTACCAAAGTCAAAATATTAAAAGCTACTGTCCATAGAAAATCAATACGATGTTAAGAGAAAATATATTTGAAAGTATAATCTGAATTATAATAAATATAATGTACTTGAAGGAGACTTCAAAGGATATGATGAATATATAATATTACTTAGAATTATTATACAAAAGTACAATATCCAACTTTTTTCTTCTATCCAAGGATATTTGTTGTGTTACTTAAGCTGCACTGGACTTACTCCAACGATGCACTGCAAATAACACAGGACCCCTGTCCTTAACCCAATTGAAGATATGACGTGCACACTCGTAAACTGAACAATAAGTTAACATATGAGATTGGACATAACTTTACAGTTTCAATAGTAAATAAGTTGTTAGTACAAGGGTTATGAGTTTATTCAGCAAGTATTTTTTGAGCACCTCCTTCCTCCTCTGTCCCAGGTAATATTCTAGGTGTTAGGAACACATTAGTGAATTAAACATAAATATTTTTGTCTTCATGGACCTGACAAAGAAGAAGACAAAAAATAAGCAATGTAAATATAAAAAAGTTAAAATATATGGTATATAAGAGCCCGTCTTACTGACTTTGTAGTAGAAAGAGATTACTGGGCTTAACAGAATTATCAGAATGATTAAAAAATGGGTTGAATCATTCTAAGAAGAATGATTAAGAATGTCTAAAGGGCACAATGGAAAGTGGCTCAAATGTGGGTGTTAGAATCAGACCTGCAGAGAGCAGTAAATCAATGACTGTGATGAGAGACGTGTCTATTTGGAAGGAGCAAGTGATGAATTCGGATATAGAAGTTAAAGCACAAATAGCCAAGTATAGTCATTATATTTTCAGTGATTGGGGAATGAAAAAATTCATGCAAAGTGTGTGGTAGGAAAATAAATATGGAAATGATGGTACAGGAAGGCAATTGTGTATTGGAAATATAGCACTAACCTTATCACAAACTCCAGGTAGGATCTTGGCTCTCCCAATTATCACCTCCTGAGAGTAGATCGTCTACGCATCAGAATTACAATTTGCTTTTTGAAAGTAAAATACTTTGCAATGAATTAACAAATAATAGAATATTTTATTAGTTTCCCATGATGCTTAATAAATTATCATATACTTAGTGGTTTAAAACAATATCCATTTATCACTGGACAGTTTCTGTGGGTCAATAATCCAAGCAAGACTTAGCTGGCCTTCTGCTCAGGATTTCACTAGGCTGAAATTTTATCAGAGGCTTGACTGGGGAAAAGTCTTCTTCAAGCTCCCTCAGGTTGTTGGCAGAATTCATATCATTATGGTTATAGGACTGAGATCATTCTCTTGCTGGTTGTTGGCCAGTGAGTGGAGTCTCTGTTTTTAGAGGCTGCCTGATTTCCACTGATAGGTGGTGCTCCCCATAGTCTTCTCACACTGTGGCAGCTTGCTTCTTCAAACCAGTAAGGGAGAAAAGCCTCTCACCTCTGTCTACAAAGACAGCCTTATATAACATAGCATATTCAAGGATGCGATTATAACTTTTTAAATTTCCCTTGATTGGATCAAATCACCAATTCCACCTGGATGCAAGAGGAAGAGACAGCACAAAGGTGCAACTTTAGGAGTCACAAAATATTGGTATCGCCTTAGGGAATGCCCACTATGAATGGGAAGCTGAATTTGTTGGTCACTCTTAGCAAAGACACCTTCTAACCTTATTTGTGGCTCCTTTTAATGATTGTATTTTTGCTTATCATATTTCTGATTTTAAAAAAATTTTAAAGGAGGCATTCTTTTTAAATTACCTTATATCATTTTTTGAACAAAGGAAGGGAGAGAGGAAAACATTTTAAACAGGAGAAATTTCTCAATTAAGGAAAGATGAGAAAATTAATGGCAGAATACAAAATTGACACTAGAGAACAGGACAATTTTATATATGTCAGAGAGAAGGTAAAAAAAACTAGAATATGGAAAATATAATGGAAATAGGAAGAAAAGGTTGTATTTCAGAGATATTATTATGCAAAAATCAAAATAAAATATGAATTGCCAATTTATTTTGACTGGAAAGATTTAGAGTTCAAAATATAGGGAAAATTAAAATGAGTTATTGAGCCTAGGAGATTAGAAGAATGGGGATACACATCAAAGAAACAGGAAAGTCATGAAGGAAAAAAGAGTATGGAGAAAATGACCAGTGTTAATCATCAAATCACACCATATTGGAGGGCAG
The DNA here is from genome assembly GCF_000001405.40 of Homo sapiens. Taxonomy (NCBI): domain Eukaryota; kingdom Metazoa; phylum Chordata; class Mammalia; order Primates; family Hominidae; genus Homo; species Homo sapiens. The sequence continues at coordinate 76,810,203 of NC_000003.12, forward strand.
AGAAATGTACAAATTCCTGCAATATCCATGTCTTAAAAACAAGGCAGTCAACGTCCTAAGGAATTCAGTAACACGGAGGAAGGTCACACAATCAGTCAGAGGCACACCCAGTTCGCCAACCCAAACTTTTTGATTATTTATAGCGTCAAATGACTTTTTCTTGGACCACAGTTACTTTTCAATATTGAATTCTGGGTGAAAGAAGAATATTTGATAGACATATGTAATAAAGATAAACAGAGAAAAAAGATGACATTTGGGAAGGTAGGTGCACTTGAGGAAAAAATTTAGGTGTCATTTGGGTAGAAATAAAGCATTTATCAGATTAGATCTCTAAGAAAAGAGTAAAGAGAGGAAGACACCAGCTAGGAGATAAACTTAGGCAGCATTCATATTTTGGGGGCAGGAAGAAGAAGAAACAGCTACTACAGACACAATTTAAAAGGATTCAAGACTACTGAATATTATCATTTTGCTGAGTATTTAGCATGAAGGTTTTAGGTACAATATTTTATGTAACATTACCCAAGAAATGGTGAAAAGCTAACCTGAAAACAAAAAATTACATAATTTAGCTTTTAAAATTCCATTTGTAAGTGTAGTAAGAGACTGGCATTTGAAATTAAGAAAGGTATTAAGAAACAAAGCATTACTATTTGGAGAAGATAGATAATTCCTTCCAAGACTAAACTATTTAGTGACAGTATGTGAGATGAAGATAATTTGGTTGTTTATTAATAAGATGCAAGTTACTTGCCTAATGAACCATTTTAATCAGTGATTTATCAGTTAATCAGTGTTAATCAGCATTTCATTACTAAATAAGGACTTCATGATGAGGTGGACAAACTCATAGTGTTGCATGACTAATAAGCAGACATCAATTTTTTTCAAAATGATTTTTATTATTGAGGTCTATAATATTCAAAGTTTGGGAAAAGACTATCTTTAGGTTAGCAGAATCCAGTGGCTTCATGAGAGAAGTCCAGCATTTGTGGTTGGATGATTTTGAGATATAGAGTACTTGGTGAATGTCCAGCTTTTCCAAGAACAAGGACCTGGAGAAAATGATGGTATTGTTAACTCTAAGTGAAAACACAGAATAGTCTCAGATAAATTATTATTTCATGTTTGTTCATTTTTCATTTTCTTATCAGTAAAATAATATTGCTTATGTCATACCTTAAAAGGATGAAATTCTAGAATGTTGAGATAAAATCAAACAGATCTTGGGAAGTAGTTGTTCAACTATTCTCTTTGCTCATCAGAGGATGTCTGGAACATTAGATTTGGTTTTAAATGTCGTGTTTTAAATGTTGTGGACTTTATACCTCATCCAAACTCCTGGTGACCAACTCACCCATAACTACAAGTTTTGGTGAATCATCACCCTGTAGGCATTTTTAGCTCTGGGCCTTGTGTCCTCTGAGCTAGAAAACCAAATCTCAATTCTTGACATTCACATCAAGAAAGGATTGGGAGACAGACTGCTGTAATTTCAAGACTTCATGCCTATATCTCATCTCCAGACTGCTTGTCTGGCTTTTTGCTTAATTACCTTTCTCTCTTTCCCTCCTTCCTTCCTTCCTTCCTTCCTTCCTTCCTTCCTTCCTTCCTTCCTTCCTTCCTTCCTTCTTTCCTTCCTTCCTTCCTTCCTTCCTTCCTTCCTTCCTTCCTTCCTTTTTTGAGATGGGGTCTCATTCTGTATCCCACGCTGGAGTGCAATGGCACAATCTTGGCTCACTGCAACCTCCACCTCCCAGGTTCAAGCGATTCTCCTGCCTCAGCCTCCCAAGTAGCTAGGACTATAGGTGCCCACCACCATGCCCAGCTAATTTTTGTATTTTTAGTGCAGACAGGGTTTCACCGTGTTAGCAAGCCAGGATGGTCTTGATCTCTGGACCTCATGATCCACTTGCCTCAGCCTCCCAAAGTGCTAGGATTACAGGTGTGAGCCACCGTGCCCAGCCTCATTTTTTTAGTAAGGGAGCTGGATACAATTCCAGGTGATGTCCTTCCTAAACTGCTAAATTTATTTTATGTTAAATGATTTGCAGCATTATTTCTTATATTGAAACAAATTGATATACCACAGGCTAAAAATTTTAAAAATTATACAAATTTTAAAGATAAAAGCTATTTGAAAAAAAAAAAAAAAAAACGTGTTTGAAGTAGGCCATTTCATGCCCAAAGACCATGAGTATTTGAGCATCGCAGCCCTTAGTTATCAGAGAGATTTGTAAATCTGGGAAGGATTTTTGGGGGACTTGAGTGAAACAGAAGTTTCTGCCTTAATTTAAAAAAAAAGGGAAACTTGAACAACAAAACACAATAACAGAAAAGAATTGGACATCTATGGTATTTTTCTACCTTTCTGGATTACAATCAATTATGTATTATGATGACTTTTTAATCTTTCTCTCAGAAAGAAAATATTCAGTTGCACACAGAAGCAAAAAATATTAGTTCTCAAATAAAAAACTTATAATTAAAATAAGACAGTAGAGCTTTCTAAAGTGTACTCATAAAATATTAATAGATATCCTGCCAACACTTTTTAAACATAAGAAATGCAACTGTGAAAGACATAGAGCAAAATTAGTAACGGAAGAAATTTTCTCACAAGTGTTATTAATGGCATGAACAGAAATCCAATTAAATGTAATCTGTTTCCTACAATAAAAGTGTCCTGGCACAGAAGTATAAATTTTTTTTTTTTTTTTTTTTTTTTTTAGCAAATCTCATCCATGACACAAATCAAAAAGACACTTGCTTAGGAGATTCCTCAAATAGTTGAATAAATAAATACATCTTATTGTTTGTACTGGCACACTTACTGAGCAAGCTTTGGAACTTGGAAGAATATTAAAACAATTTCTATCAGGAAATTCGAGTGAACATAGCACACAGACTCTTTTAAGTACAGTCATAGCTCATTAAGAACATTCTGCCTGCAGCACCTCTCTCCAAGTGTATTTACATATGCAAGACTAAAATAATTATATTTTAAGACATTTTCCATGTTTAAATAACATTACTTTTTGAAACTTTAACCTTCATTGATCTTTAGCCAAAGAATTCACAAAGTACTACACATTTACTAATCTGTAGCTAATATAAACCTGAGACTTGGAACATTTTTATGAAGTTTTGGATTGATTCCTTTAATCATCAGATAATTTTGTCTATAATTGTTTTGCCCATCGTTTTTGTCAAAACTTATTTAAAACTTTGTTTTAAAATACTGTTTTGTAGAAACAAGAATAATTTTCTCTCATTAAAATATGCTGCCTTTTTGCTTTAAGAAAACTTAAAAATGATAAGTGACAAATGATGTAGTCTCTAATTTATGCTTTTTGAGTGATACGAAGTAACTATTCCCAAATTTATGAAATTATTGTGATAAGCAAAAACATGTAAATATTCTAAATGATTCCTTACTCTATGTTAAAATAAAATAGCGCAGCATCTATCTCTATTGTGTTCTATCTGGTAACTCACAGGAGAAACTCACCTTGATACATACACATATGCATTTTTTTCAGTCTCCCAATTTTTGGCATTTTCTGCATTAGAGATAATTGAAGATGAAAAGGAGAAATGCTTTAAGTTCTTGATGAGAAAGCTATTTGTACTGATTTTTAAACAGTGAAATGCGATGTAAACATGTTTAAAAGATAAGTGAGAAACTGAGACTAATATAAAGCTTTAATATAATAATATAGCAATCTTTTCAATAAGTAACTTTTAAATGATCACATAATAGAAACTTGATCAAAGTATAAGAAAGTCATTCCAAAACAAATACATATGCCTGAGAAACAAAAATAATATTCAATCTCATTATAATCGGAACATATAAATATAAAATGACATTGTAGTTTTAAAAACTAGATGGGCAAATTAAAAACGAAGTATCCGTCTGGTTAGTATGTAAGATAAAGAGCATTCCCAAGCAATGCTGATGACAGCGCAAATACACCCAAATCAAAATAGACTGACTGTTTCAACTCAACTGTGGGCACTGCAAATGCTAGATGGATATGGTGATGGAGTAACTTGTGAGTTCTAATATTGTGTCCAGAGATGGTGCGAGAAAGAATGGCAGAGGTAAGTGAATGAGGTTCAACTGAAACTAAGAGTTACAACTATCCCTTTTCTCTTTTCCACATCTTTTTTGTCTCCACTTTCCAAAAGGAACATAAACCTTGGCAGCTGTCACTGTAAGGAGCAAATATAGTGCGTGCCAATCTATCCCATTTATTGGAAACATCAATTTCTGTGATAAGTTAAAATGAACCACTATGGCTAATAGGAAGCAGCTAAACGTGGTTTGTGCAAAATTATTTTAGTTAAATTAGTCGAAACCATACAATACATAAAAGGATCGGTTTTTTTTGTCATTGATCAATGAAATATTTATCCTGCAAAACCTACACTCAGCATGCCTTTATATATTTTAGAAAAAAGTCCCTACTGAGAGATAGGTCTGTAAACCATGTCATATAAGAAATATAAAGAAGAAACTTTATAAAATTCATCTGGTAGCTGTCTTCACAATACATTTATTTTACATTATGCCAAAAAAGAATAAGTAGAAATAACATGTAAGAATAATTTCTGGAAAAAAATATAAGTAACTTGTAATAAAGGAATTCACCATTTTCTCAGCCAGGCCAGTATGTGTTGGGGGTGGGAGAGGAAGTCATTTGCAAAGGATCTACTAGTACTGAGGATTCCGATAAGAAAACAAGCAATTCATGCATCCAAGGAGCTTACAATCAGGCTTTCCCTTCAGTTATGATGTTGAAACATGAATTGTTAGTATAGTGGCTCTGAAATTAGAAGTTGTGAGCAGAAAATTAAAAAAGGGCTACATGTTACATTCTACCCATTTAACAGGTTAGCCAAGCTACCGATCTATTGCCTGAAAATAAATGAGAATAATTTTGGAGCTAAAAAAATTTAGTATCTAAATTTTTGTAAAGGATCTAGCTGGAATTCTAAATATAAAATGTGTTAACAGTCAACAAAGAATAACACAACAAATATCAAATTTTCTCTGGTAGGAAAGTAGATAACTTGAAAATCATCATCACATCTCTGTGGAATTTAGGTAAGTTATGGTACAGAATCTTTGAGTCCAATAAGCTGAGCTATTTTAAACCTAATTGTGCACAACTATGTAAATGTTTGAAAACCTGCTCCCAGTCAACAGCAAGAAACACTGTCCAGAAAAATTGAAAAAAAAAAAGTGTTAACAGAATCAACATCAAGAAACAACTTTGATTAAAAATATTGTACCCAGCGTAGGAGTGTTGTGTTTTCAACTATTTTGTATCAGTTTCTAAAATTAGTCACATAATACCATGTTCTTCTTTTTATCTTTTTTTTCTTTTTCTATTTTAAACAAAATCATTCTTTAAGGGCTAGAGAAAATGGCCTATCTTCTGGGTAAATTGCATGTCAAACATTTCAGAGCTTAGAAACCAGCTAATGAGAGTGTAATATTAAAATGTCAAACATGCACATACCATTTTCCTCCTCTTCCTGCCCCCAAACCCTCTGGTAACAACTATAATGATCTGTTTAGGCTTCAGTCCATTGTTCCCTTTCCTCACTCATATTTAGTAATTACTTTCTCCTCAAGGCTGCACTTTTCCAGAGAAAAGTAAATTTCCAAAGCAGTGTTCAGTTTTGAATTAAATTCTGCTTATATGACAGCAAAGACACATTAGGGGAGTGCATTCGACAGCTTGTAGCTTTTCTCATTTATTTCCAGCTCCACAAAGTGCCTTTCAAAATATTCATGTATACTTTTCTCTGTTGAAGACGGTTTTTTCTTAGAAAACTTTCTGACTGACTGGATAACAGCAGAGAAGATTTTAAATTGCGTGATATGTGTTATCCTCTTCGCTACTCAAACAGGGAATGAGAAGGGAAAAGGAAAAGATTTGGGTGAACAAGTGCTGAGTAATTGAAAATAAGGTCTCTAATGTGGTGACAAGACATTCATATTGGAAGGCCACGTGTGGATCGGACGTTTTATTATCAGTGACACTTGAAAGAAGAATGCAATATGAAGTAACGTATTTATAAAAACACATTCTTTCCAATTCTAGTTCATGTTCAAAGCGAATGTACATGACAAATTGTTAGCGCCATGCGGTATTCGATAGGAAGAGTACAGAATTATCAACAAGAAATGCTCCATGAATAGGTATAACATCAAGAGAGCCAAAGCGTGTGATTCAGAGTGTAGCAGTGGCCATAATTGCTTTGCTATTGTTTTTAAGTGCAAGGTCATTCTAACATATGAGATAGTTATGATATTAATAACATGTTTGATGTGATGTTTGTCATGCTCAAGTATGTGTGGCTTGCTCTAATGCCAACCATTAGCCTATTAAAAACAACTCAGAGCACTGTCTTCCACAACTATTGTGGAAGACAGTGTGGCAATTCCTCAAGGATTTAGAACTAGAAATACCATTTGACCCAGCCATCCCATTACTGGTTATATACACAAAGGATTATAAATCATGCTGCTATAAAGACACATGCACATATATGTTTATTGTGGCACTATTCACAATAGCAAAGACTTGGAACCAACCCAAATGCCCATAAATGTTAGACTGGAAAAAGAAATGTGGCACATATACACCATGGAATACTATGTAGCCATAAAAAAAAGGATGAGTTCATGTCATTTGCAGGGACATGGATGAAGCTGGAAACCATCATTCTCAGCAAACTAACACAGGAACAGAAAACCAAACGCCGCATGTTCTCACTCATAAGTGGGAGTTGAACAGTAAGAACATATCAACACAGGGAGGGGAACATCAAACACTGGAGAGTGTGGGGGGCATTGGGGACAAGGGAGGGATAGCACTAGGAGAAATACCTAATGTAGGGTTGATGGGTGCAGCAAACCACCACGGCACATGTATACCTGTGTAGCAAACCTGCATGTTCTGCATGTTTCCCATAACTTAAAGTGTAATAAAAAATTAAAACAATAATAATTTGGAGCTATTTCCAACACTTGGAGTCTTTGTGCACATAAACAAAGAATGGGATGCTATATTATCCGTTTATTAGGCTGGTAAGTATTATATGTGGTTTTGTAGAGTGTGTACTATAAAGTTAGGCATTTTTGTGTTTCTCAGGGCATCATTGGAATAATTGTATTTTTCATGCTGAAACAAACAGAGCTGTGACTGCAAACCAGAAGAAGACAATTGGTAAAGAGTGATAATGAAACATGGTCCAATATTGACTTTTCTTTACATTTTTTTATTTCAATAGGTTTTTGGAGAAGAGGTGGTATTTGGTTACATGAATAAGTTTTTGGTGGTGATTTCTGAGATTTTGGTGCACCAATCACCCAAGCAGTGTACACTGCACCCAATGTGTAGTCTCCTGTCCCTCAACCCCCTTGCACCCTTCCCCCTGAGTCCCCAAAGTCCATTGTATCATTCTTATGCCTTTGCATCCTCACAGCTTAGCTCCGAATTATGAATGAGAACATACGACATTTGGTTTTCCATTCCCGAGTTACTTCACTTTTCTAAGACCATTATTCTTAATGGTTAATGCAAATGCCATTATTTCATTCCTTTTTTTTTTTTTTTTTTGGCTGAGTAGTATTTCATGGTACATATATACTACAATTTCTTTATCCACTTGTTAATTAATGGACATTTCAGGTGGCTCCGTAGTTTTGCAATTGCGAATTATGCTACTATAAACGTGTGTGCAAGTATCATTTTTGTAGCATGACTTCTTTTCCTCTGGGTAGATACCCAGTAGTGGGATTGTTGGATCAAGTGGTAGTTCTATTTTTAGTTCTTTAAGGAATCTCCACACTGTTTTCCATAGTGGTTGTGCTAGTTTACATTTCTACCAGCGGTGTAAAAGTGTTTCCTTTTTACCACATCCACACCGACATCTATTATTTTTTGATTATGGCCATTCTTGTGGGAGTAAGGTGGTATTACATTGTGGTTTTGATTTGAATTTCCCTGATCATTAGTGATGTTGAGCATTTTTTCATATCTTTGTTGGGCATTTGTATATCTTGTTTTGAGAATTGTCTATTCCTGTCCTTATCCCACTTTTTGATGGGATTGTTTGTTTTTTTTCTTGATGATTTGTTTGTGTTTTTTTGTAGATTCTGGATATTAGTCCTTTGTTGGATGTATAGACTGTGAAGATTTTCTCTGACTCTGTGGGTTGTCTTTTTACTCTGCTGATTGTTTCTATTGCTGTGCAGAAGCTTTTTAGTTTAATTAAGTCCCATTTATTTATCTTTGTTTTTGTTGCATTTGCTTTTGAATTCTGGGTCATGAAGTCTTTGCCTAAGCCAGTATTTAAAAGGGTTTTTCTGAAGTTACCTTCTAAAATTTTTATGGTTTCAGATCTTAGATTTAAATTCTGAGAATCTAGTTTCATTCTTCTCCACGTGGCTTGACAATTATCCAGGCACCATTTGTTGAATAGGGTGTCCTTTCCCCACTTTATGTCTTTGTTTGCTTTGTGAAAGATCAGTTGGCTGTAAGTTTTTGGGTTTATTTCTGGGTTCTCTACTCCATTCCATTGGCCCATGTGCCTATTTTTATATCACTACCATGCTGTTTTGGTAACTATGGCCTTACAGTATTGTTTGAAGTCAGATGATGTGATTCCTCCAGATTTGTTCTTTTTGCTTAGTCTTGCTTTGGCTATGTGGGCTCTTTTTTGGTTCCATATGAATTGACTCTTCATCCTCAAACTGTCTATCTTAGATTTTCTCCCTCAGAACCCAGGATAATGCATAAAGGCTTTCATTGATCTTAGGTATCCATTCATTCTTTTAACAAATATTTTTGACTGCCTGTTACGGGAAGGGCAATGGAGATTTAGGGCAAAATTAGATAAACACAGCCCAATAGATAAACAAGTGAGAATGAATTACACAAAGCGGAGAGTGCTAAGAGCACATAACAAGACACCTAATCTAATCATGGGTCAGAGAGGACATCCCTATCCAAACGATATTTAACTTGAGATCTGAAGAATGAGAAGAGTTAGCAAAGGGAAGTGAGGAGTGGAGGTTAGGTTAATTAGGCCATGAACAAATCTGTTGTCTCCTTAGATACCTTCTAGACAAATATTGCCTCTCCGATCCCTTGTTAAGCTAAACCTTCTGTTAAGCTACTGGGCTTTATCTGAAAATTAGGCTGCTTGACTCTGAGGGGTAGCAGGACTCTGAGTGCTGTCCTTTAAAGGGGAATCGGAGGCTCTGGACACTTCCTTCCTTGTCTGAAGACACTGAAACATCTCTAAAAAGTGTAACTTAAGGAAGGAAATAGCATGGTGGTGATCTCTGGGTCAGTTACAAAGCAATAAACATGGCAGGCATTCATTGTTGGAGAGAGCTTGTATGTTGGGATTGTTGTGATTCTTTTTAAACCTCTAGGCTAGTCGGTCAACCTCCGTATTAGAGAAAATATTAATGTATATTAATTAAGTGACCATTGGCTTTATGAAGAAGCATCCCATTTACAAAAACAGTAAAAGGAAATAATTCAATGTGCTTTGGGAAAACAGAGAGTTTATAGCATTCAGAGCAAGATCAAATGCTCTGCTGTTGTACTGCAGTTTCAATTGGGACCTGTGTCGTGTGAGTCTATGTTGGGAGAATGAGGATAAATACTGGTTTGGGTTCAATAGAAGTTTTAAACAAGTCAATCTCTATTCTGTCTGTCTGATGACTCTATTTTTCTGTGTGTTCTAATCAAAGACATAATTCACTTTCACTCAAACAAAATGCTCCACCAGGTAAATCATGAGTGACAGCCTGACTTGAGTTCAATCCTGGTTCAATATCGCCCTGCTAACATGTCAGTTATTGAAAAAGGCCTGTTAATCGATTTGTTTCATGTACACATTTTGATTCACAGTGATTTGAAGCATCACAATTTCAAGTACAATTATATTCTGTTTAAATCACCACCTCTGGCATTCTCAATCACTCACCCTTTCTTTTATTGCCACACAGATGAACACGCATGTTTCTTACCATAAAAGAGGATACAACTTATAAAATTCTCCCTGGCATAACATTAGTTTCAATAGGAAATAACTTTCTACTTGAATCAATATGAAAAATTTTTTTTTTAAATATAGAGGAGTCTGCTACATATACAGTGGTGAAAACCCCTTTTGTTCTCCTATAAATTGCATTAGGTAATTTTAATATAACACTTAGTCTTACTTTCTTAAGATTATATTTAATTTATAGCCATCCTGGTAGGGCCAATAAAGAGGAATGATAATGTTGTTGTATTTCAGTTTTCCTTTAAACATCAAAAAATGGAAAATTTTAGCCATGGCCAAATAAATTACACAAAATGATAGTAATGGCTTGTCTTGAATGAGTTTATATCAGGAAATTCCAGTGGGTAATAGATAAAATTCCCTGCACTAATGTACTTTTAAGTAGGGTTTTTTGAGGTGGATTGAAGTATGAGAGTCTGGAAATATGCAGTTACTGTTTACAATATGTAGTAATGTATAGATGATTCTGTATCTGCTTCGTTATGAATCATTTTACCACCAATAGTACTGTTGGAAATTATGCCATAATCATTCCAGCTATTCAACAGGGTTTTTTTTAATTTAGATTGTTTTTGACAATATGCAGAGAATTTTCCAAGTTTTAAAAGCTGTGACAGAATATGTTGATGAAAATATATAAAGAGTAAATGATGTTTGACTTAAAAAAATCAACACTTGGAAGCTGGTGAAAATTTTAAGTTGAGCTCACAGAAATCAAACTGAAAGCGTTCAATTGTTTATTTGAAGGTGTAATTGTATTAACATGTTCTATCATAATTTTTAACATTCAGGAAATAATCTTCTGCGTATTGTCAAAACAATCGAAAAAATAAACACTACCATATAATTAAACGTAATGTGGCTTCTATGTGCTGGTATTATTTTGTTTTGTTCTTGCATGTGGGACAGAATATATATGCCTAGAATAAAACTGACTTTTGGTTTTAATGATTTAGTTAAGCACATGCCTTTTATCATTTCATCAAGCCCATGGATTTTATATTTCCTTTACATAGTTCAACAATGTAAATATTAAGTTTACAGATAAGAATTCAATTAGCATTTCAAAGAGGTCAAATTAATTCCCTCTCCGATAGTTGCTGTTATTTCAGGCTACGAACTGAAACTCAATTCTGTAACTATACAATTTTTAAAATCATACCTATCAATTTATTCGAGAGAAACAGCATTGGCCCTTTTTAACTGAATAGTTTTTTAACTAAAATCTTGAATCTCTTTTTATATTTCAATTTTCTTTAAAAGGTTGTTATGAGGGACTTTAAAGTAAATATTTGTGTGCTTGGGACCATGCCTGGCATGTAACAAATGCCCCATAAACATAATAATAAATAATAAAATACCAAAATTAAAGGGAGGCATTCTTTTCTCAGTAGTATTGCTTGCATGATTCCAGAATTATCATAAAATATCAGTGGCATCTGCAGGCAGAGGGGCAATAGACATGTTCTGCTGTGTGTGCCATCAACAGAAACAGTAAAAAACTGACTATAAATTGGTCCTTTTTAACTATCACTGCTTTTTAATTATCACTTTTTAACAATGTCAGTGGTATAACACTAGAGTCAGCCTCTTCAACAGCCCTGTCCCCTCTCATATGCCATTGCAAAAAGTAGTAATAAAGAGACCAATACTTGTTTAATTCTTAAATAATGAAACTCCAGTTTTATGTTTCCAAATTAGACATCCAATGCACTTATAAATAAATATTTGGTGGTATTTATGAGATAAATACCAAAAAAAAATTTTCCAGACATCTTTAAAGTCTTTATGACTAGCTTCAGAGTGCTATTTACCAATAAATTAGAATTAAAAACTCAAGATTAATTGAATTCCCACTGGGTGTTCTTTTGTAAAATAATATTTGTTACTTATTTAATGTCTGTCTTTTCCATTAGACTGTAAGATCCATGAAGGCAGGGCAATGCCTACTTAGTTTATTGATAAATTCCTGGTTCCTAGTACACAGTGAATACTGAGTAAATTTTTCCTGAATGTCATGGTTAATTACCAATAAAAGTTAACCAAATTATTCCATAAATATAGACCTGCAATAACCATAAACTTTAATTTTATTACTATAACAATGAAAGAACTTATGAGTTTCATTTTTAGTTTATATGCTATTGCCATGTAGAATATAAAATGGAAATTAACAATAATCATATTAATAATATGTAACATTTGTTGATAATTTACTATTTCTAAACAATGTTCTATGTACTTTACATGTCTAAATTCATTAACTCTTCAACCTATTATCCACAACTTACAGAAAATAATTGAAAAAAATTATCATGATGAATGATCATTTTCATTGATGAGACTTTACAAATAATATAGTAGGAGAACAGGACCATGTGTTATGCCAGGTATAAAGTGTGGTAGATTATGAATTAAAAAAAAAAGAAATGTGGGCAAAAAGGGGAAAAGAAGGACCCTCTACAAATTTTCATGGTTCCCTAAAGAAGATTAAGAAGGTTTCCTGTTCTTTTTACTTTTATTCTTCTTTACTTCTTTTATTTCTATATAATTCTTTTCTTTCCTCTATTTTTCCTCCAAAGTGCAACGGTATCATTTCTTAGAACAAATACAGGAAAAACAAGGTATTTTTCTTATCACTCTGCACTGATCCTATAAAACTACGAGAAATGGTGATTATAAGGACAATTACAAACTACAAAACCTTGGGCAAGTTACCTATTTTCTCTGTGCCTGTCTTACCATTCCTTATCTGTAAACTGGCTAGAAAAATAAATGTATACATTCATCCTTTGCAAATTATTATACTTAATGATGCTTAAATTTTCTCAGCTTTGCTTAGTGGCAGCCTCTTCAGGTTGATTTCTTTTGACATCTAGCTAGTAATATTTGATGGATTCCTTGCTTTCTGGTATGACAACAAGATCAAGCCTCATTTTCTGAATTTATTGACCCACACAATGAATCAACCATTTTTCCAAGGACACATGGTTCCTTTTCATGGAGAGAAGAATTCAAAACAGCAAACTTTAAAAATATTTTCTTTGTTTAGAGAACCTGGTTAGAAAGTTACAAAGTTGCCTTATTTTCAAAGATTTTATAATTTATTTGATACTCTTCAAATTAAATACAAAGGATAAAATTATAAAACAAATGCATATCTAGGTGTTCAAGACAGGAGGGTTCTCACTCAGAAATTGATATTTGGCCTGTGCTTTGTTCAGAAAATAATTGCATTCATAGTTTAAAAAGGTAGAGATTGCTTCAAATCAGGCCAGTCAACAAAAGAATTATGAGTGCGATGAGCTCGCTCTCAAAGGATGTGAGGTATTAAAAATGGAAGCAATAGAAAGAGTAAAAACATCCCAGGCAAAGAGAATAGCAAAGCCCAAGACCATGTTTTAAAGATTAAAAATAAATTTATTTAATTGGACAGACATTTGGATATGACACCAATGGAGGAGAAGGGGAGATAACGGAATAATATTTTAACATGTATGAGCAGTTATAAGTGGATAATAACATCTAAGTTGGATGGAGGCATAAGAAAAAAGAATAATAGTGACTTTCCCTGATTAGCAGTTGTTTTATGGTAAAACTGAGCTGTTATAATAAAAACACACAAAATGACAGTGGCTTAAAACTGTAAAAGTTTGCTTGTAAAACAGGTCGGAGGTGAGCAATCCTGGTTTGTATGGCAGCTCTGTTCCTAACAGTCTTTCAGGGGCCATGATCCTTTCATGTTGTGCCACCACCCTTTAGGGCAACGTTGTCTTCTGCATGGTCAAAGCTGGGTCACCCCATATCTGGGTTCCAGCCAGAAGGAGGAAGGGAATGTACTGGAGACACACATCACCTCTCAAGTTCCAGAGAAGGATATGGCATGTGTCCCTTCCATTTCTACTCCACTGGGAAGAACTTGTTCTTGTGGCCATACATAACTGCAGGGAGGCAAGTAGCTATAGACCAGCCAGGCACGGGCCTGGCTACAGTTCTGTTACTACCTGGAACTACTGACCTCAAGTGATCCACCCACCTCAGCCTTCCAGAGTGCTGGGATTATAGGCGGGGGCCACAGTGCCTGGCCTCAATTCTGTTACTATCAAAGAGTAAAGAAGCAGATTTTAGTGCAGACTAGTGCTGCCACACCAGTTTCTTTTCTTTCACATCTTCCTATTTCATGTGCTTTCATACTTTTCTAAACTTTATTACTTTCAGCTACCCCATATCTTTCTTTCATTTAAAATGTCTCATTACCTCTCCCATCTTGAATATTTTAACTGAGTTTATAAGTCAGAATCCAGTCAGGAGACAGAAGCCACACCAGTTGTTTGAATGTGGGAAGTTTAATATAATTATTAACTGCTAACTAGATTTTACACACTAAGGGGTAAAGAGAATTCCAAAGAATTCAGGAATAGCAGGTATAGAGAGCAGTTACTGCTTCCGAGGCTGAGACAGAGTACCCAAGGAAGAAACCAACCCGGAAAAATTCCCACTCCCTGCCTCCTACCCTGTGCCCCATCACTGAGATTCAGACTTCGTTGGAGAAGCTGTAGCTGTGGCCTCGGGATAGTATAGTTTGCTGAGATGATGCAGCACAGTGCTACCAAGCATGAAGTCACCTGCTGGTCCCAATAAAACCTGCTGGGAAATTTCCAGCTTAGGAGCTCATGAAACTTATTAGGAAGCTTCTCAACTTCTCAGGGAGTGCTGGTAAACTTGCTGTAAGGTGAGTATGACTCAGTGTCTCCTCTCCAATGGCAGTCATGCCCTAGGAGTAATAATTATAAATCACACCAGAACGTGTAAAAGAATACCTTCCTCTTACACTGACCCCCGCCATACCCTCTACCAACAAAGTGTAACAATCTGCCAGCTGGCAAAGGAGATGTGTTTACAGGTCCAGCTTCAGTGTCATTAAACAGGACAAACAAGAATGGATTTGAGCCTGAAAGGCAATAAATGGATGACTGGCACACTGGACATGTTGTGAAATATTTCTATAATGTGCTTGCTGTTTTATCACAATAAGTTTCCTCATTTTAAAACTGAATGAGATGAAAAAAGTTTATAGTTTTTCCCAATATAAAGAAACAAAAACTCCAAAAAATAATGTTGCTTTTAATTCATGAATAATATTCAATATGCAAACTTCCCCTCCTGTTTTCCCCAGTGTTTTAATAACCCTCAGCAAATTCCTTATCCTTACATAAAGTAACTACGAAGAAAAATGGTGTCAATTGGTTAAACAGACTCCAGTAATGGGAGTCTACCCTTTCATCATCTTAGCCAAAAAAAAAAAAAAAAAAAAAAAAAAAAATGAAGATGCATTTTTTTCCCTATTTTCACAAAAGGCAGTGTCTGTTTCATAGGATTTCCTGCGACCATCTCCTCAATGACCCTGTCATTATCAGTGTGAGTAGTGAGAAAACGAAAACCAAAGCTGCAGATGTGGCTCCTTTGGAAGGCAATTTACTTACCTAAAAATACTCACACGCATATGGACATCCCCCTCCCTTAACGTAACAGATTCCTAAAACTGTTAACATTCGTTCCGTTGAGTTTACAAAAAAAGCATTTCTCTTGTGCATACTGTTCTTTTGTTAATATTCATATGTGGTATCTGAGAAAAAGAAGCAACTCAACACATCCTAGGGAGCAGGAAAAATCTGTTGACGAGATTTTTTTTTTTTCAAATCAAAAGCATTCTTTTAGGCACATTCAATCAGTGAGTTTGTGGGTTTTTTTTTTTTTAAGTGGCTGTAATAGTGTCACATTTTGAATTAGTAATTTAGAGTTTGATTCTAAACTAATTTTTGTATGCAGAGTTCTGAAAGGTAGATTTCCAATAGGCTGTGATCATCTTTGAAAATTTTTGGCTGAGCGTAAGCCTGCCAGCATTGGAAATTTGAAATCTTCAAGCATGGGCATTGCAATTGCCATGTAGATAGAATAATCTAAGGCACACACTAGGGCCTCATCCATCATCGTTTTGCTGCTTGGTTCAGTAAGAATAAAGACAGTTTCAGGTTGTAGGTGCAATGTTGCCCATTGCTGCAGAGATATGGTTGTAGTAGTCATATCATCTCAGAATTACCCTCCAGTAATCAGTGGATGAGTTTATTTATTATTACGTCATAGCACTTTTATACTATGAAATGCTAATGGCAAGTGCTCAGGTAATGCCCATGCATACTAGCTGAAGGGTCATCAGGTAATGGTGAGCTTGGGAGGTATGGCCCCGTAATAACAAGAGCATGCTACATAAGGCTAGAGGTATGCAGGACCTCCCATACTGAGTGTTCTAGTATAAGCTGATTCCTGAATCTTAAGGCTAACGATATATGACACATTAAATACCTAGCACATCCCTGTATTCCAAAAATATGTTAGTTCTATAATAGTAAACTTGGTTTAAAAAGAAAACTATTGATTTTGTGCTGGTCTCCATAATTTTACCTGACATACTCATACCCTAAATTATAAAAATGATGCTCTTTTACATTTTTAGCTTGTCAAAGTGTTTTCAAATAGCCCAGAAGTAAGAGCAAAGTAGAGAAACAGCTGTCCCTTGT
Source organism: Homo sapiens (assembly GCF_000001405.40). Lineage (NCBI taxonomy): Eukaryota > Metazoa > Chordata > Mammalia > Primates > Hominidae > Homo > Homo sapiens. The sequence continues at coordinate 76,826,888 of NC_000003.12, forward strand.
TATTTTGTTTCCTGAATACAAATAGTGTTAAATTGCTGTAAATGGAAAGGCTGGAATGAATTCAAACACTGTTTGTTTAAATACACTCAGGCTGATGTTTGTGTGTTGGGACCTTTGGAGAGGGTAGCACTAGCAAATACTACACATTAACTTGTCGCACATGACAATATACGGTTATGGCTTCCCTTTTGTTTGCGAGGTAGAGTTGCATTGGTATCGTTCAGAAATTTTGTGGGAGTAAATCACAAGAGATTTGGACTAAGATAGCTGAACAGCACCATTAAATCCTGAGGCATTTAGTGCAATTTTCAGTCTGACGACTCTTAGGAAAACAAAAGCTCTTTTGGACTTAACATAATTAACTGAGTTCAGGCAGATGTTTCAGATTTTTCTACTACATCAAGAAAGAAATGAATGAATATATCTAATCTTTTCTCTTTCCTTCTGACTTCTGAACACTTACTATTTGAAAAGTTAGTATATATGTAATAGCCCAAGTAGGTGATTCATTTGTTTTCTCCCCATAACCCATGAAGTTTAAGATAATCCCTATTCTCAAGATGTTCTTAAATAGAGTTGTATCCAATAGCTTTATTAAATATTTGAGACTCTAAAGATGGTCTAACAAATTTCTTCTTTCTTTGCGGAAACAGAAGTATAGAAAGTTTAAGAAAGTTGACAACATTACAGGGTTCAAGTTTAATGACATAGTCATAAATAAGTTCCTGGTGTTCAGACTTGCAGTTCTGTGTTTTTATCATAAAAGCATTTTCACAATTCAGTTCAAGGATTTTCTCTAGCTAGTGTACAACCTCCTCCAAATTTCTTTATTGCATTATTACATAATATTTCAGATTATTTTCCTGTTTGACGCACCCACAAACTCATTGCCTAGTACTTAGTGTAGCAGCTTGGAAAAAAAAAAGTCATTATGCTCAGCCTTTTGAAGTTAAAACTGCTGTGATTTTACTACCTCACAGATTACTTTAAGATTGTAAAGTTACATAACCACTGAAGCAGAAAGGAAGTCAAAGACTGAGGACCATTAAGAAATCAGACTTATTTATTGAAGAAAATAATAATAAACTGTGAGTTAAGGGTCTTAAAATAAAGAGTTGTAAACAGAAGATAAGAATCCATTTTTGTTTATCCCCACTACAGATCTGGACAGGGAAATAAAATAAAGTTATGTCATTAGACATGGTCACAGACTATATTTAAGGCAACACCCTGCCTGCAATCTGGAGAGACCTGAGTTCATGACTTGGGCTTGCTTTGTGCCTTTGGATAAATTTGTGAAACTCTATGAGTCACAGTTTCTATGTCACTGTGTGGTTATGAGGATTAAATTATATAAAGTCTCTACCTAGTACAAGAGTGGCATGTGGTAGGTGTTCAATAAATAATTCCTTTATACACTTTATTTTATCTATATTATTATATATGAAATTTTAATCAGTTAATTGATTTAATAATATTTAACTCACATTACTCTCCCAACTAAACACACCCACCCTTAAACAAACATATGTATTATATATAGAATTATTTTTTCACTTACTCTTAGCACAAACTTAATGCTCATTGTACAGTATGGAAAGAGAGTGAATGCTCTGTAAAATTTGTCAGAGCACCAAAATTACTAGAGCATAAGCATAAGGTACACATTAGTGAAAGTTACCAGCCATGCTTGAAAGTTCATTCATGGAGTCTTAGAGTCACTGTCCCATTATTAGGTAATAATTTTCTAGGCTCTTTAAAGCATCATAAAATATTCACCTTCATAGTAAAAATCTATGTTCTGGGGACATTTTTGTTCATGTAACTGACATAAAATATATCTAAGCATACCTGGTCCCTTGATATTTTTCTTATCCTTTATGTCCTGTGTTGGATCTGATCTTTGTAGGGTCCAATAGCTTTCTAATCAACCTGACATAGCCATCTGTGCCAAAAGACAGATGTTTTTGTACCTCTTTTTACAGACAGAAAAAAAAAAGATCTTTCCCTTTGAGAGCTATCTTTTCCTCTGGAGAACTCACACTCTTTGCCTACCTCCTTCTTGCCTTCCGGTCTACATCCATGATTCTTTTGCCCACCTCCTTCTTGCCTTCTGGTCTACATCCATGATTCTTTCCTTAAACTGCCCTTTACAGTTCAGCATCTTCCCTTTCTCTTTCCTCTAAGACCACATCTGAGTAGTTCCATTCCAATTACAGACACACCTTGAACTCCACCTTCCGTAAGTCACCTGCTTTTTCTTCTTCAACCCACCAAACTCACATAATCTATGCTCACAGTGTCTTCTTCCTCACCTTTAATTGGCAACCTAATCTAATCTGCTTTTCCCTCAACCTAGTCTTAAAAATGTCCTGTCAAAATGCTGTTAATTGCTAAGCCCAGTCATATCTTTTCATGTTTCATGTTAGTTGATCTCCTAGTAGCATTGGATAAAATCTCTTTCTTCTTTCTAGAAAATCCTCCTAATGTAGATGACAGGTTGGTGGGTGCAGCAAACCACCATGGCACGTGTATACCTATGTAATAAACCTGCACATTCTGCACATGTACCCCAGAACTGAAAGTATAATAAAAAAAAAGAAAGAAAGAAAATCCTCCCTTGCATGACACTCCCAGTACGTTTTCCTCATTTTCCTTCCTTATCTAATTCCATTCTAGGTTTCTTCTCAGACTCTTCTCCCACCATCATCCCTTAGATGCTATCTCTTCTCTTCTTTTCTTTTTCTTTTCCCTTTCCTTTCCTTTTCTTTCTTTTTTTTTCTTTTTCTTTTTTTTTTGAGATAGAGTTTCACTCTTGTTGCCCAGGCTGGAGTGCAATGGCACAATCTTGGCTCACTGCAACCTCTGCCTCCCAGGTTCAAGCGATTCTCCTGCCTCAACCTGCCAAGTAGCTGGGATTACAGGCATGCGCCACCATGCCCGGCTAATTTTGTATTTTTAGTACAGACGGGGTTTCACCATGTTGACCAGGTTGGTTTCGAACCTCTGATCTCAGGTGATCCACTCGCCTCGGCCTCCCCAAGTGCTGGGATTACAGGCGTAAGCCACCGTACCCAGCCTAGATGCTATGTTTTTTAAGGCACCATCTTCAGCTCTCTTCTTTCTGTCTAAACTCTGTTTTGAAACCACCTCCAATCATTCTCAGTTTCATGTGTATTGAGGAACTCTAACAGATAATCTTTTCTCCTGTTCTGGCCTGTCTCCTGAAATCCCAGCCTAGATTTTACAATGGTTTCCAGAACAGCTACAACTCAACTGTCCCCCCCTCCATGCATGCTATTCTTTCCTTATTGGCCTTCTTGGTTATTAGAAAAAGTGTCTGTGTATTCAGAACCTCAGCCATTCGAACAGGCGTTTCTCCCTCATTCCACAACTGGCTAGCCTCCAGGTACTGTGGTGTTACCTTAGAAATGTCTGTTACCTCTGTTCTCTGGATTCCATTTTAACAGATATTGTTCTAATTCCTTTGCATAAGGTTTTCCCCTTTCTAGTTTTTCTCTTTCTTTTTCAGTATAGCTTTCATAATTTCAACAAAATACCCTTTCCAATGCAAATATCTAATATCATCCCCTACTCAAAAAAAATTTGACTTTTAACTGCTTGCATAATAAACTATATTATTTTTAGTGTTTTCCACAATCAGGACTTTATCAAATGTCACATCCTCCAGGCAGTTCAAGTACTTTGAAGAATTTTCTCTCCTCTATGACTTTCCACATGTTGTTTTATTTCTCCACGTATGTATTCTACGTATATTTCAAAAATACTAATCAAAAGTCACCTAGGGGCTGGGCACGGTGGCTCACGCTTGTAATCCCAGCATCTCGGGAGGCTGAGGCAGAAGAATCGCTTGAGACCCAGAATTTGAGATGACGCTGGGCAACAAAGCAAGACCTCATTTCTAAAAAAAAAAAAAAAAAAGTTCTTTTAATTAGCAGGGGATGGTGGTATGTGCCTACAGTCCCAGCAATTCAAGAGGCTGAAGTGGGAGGATAGTTTGAGCCCAGAAGATGTAGGCTCTAACGAGCTATGATCATGCCACTGCACTCCAGCCTGGGTGCACAGTGAGACCCTGTTGTTCAAAAAAATAAATTAATTAATAATAATAACAAATCACCTTGACACATTACAATTAGAATTGCTGCCATTATCTTACATTTATTCTTTTTCTCAGCATTTATCACAGTTTGCTAGGTCTTCTTCAATGAATTTTTGAGTCCAATTACCACAGGCTATATTCAAAATAACATCCAGAGATAACGTTGTACATCTAGAAGCATCCTGAGTCAAAAATATCCTGATGGGTCCATACGAGTTTTTTGGATTTTTTAATCATAAGCTTTCTCCCCTGCTATTTAGGTATGTAATAAAATGAGTATTTTCAAATCAAAAATATGCGATTTTGTAATATGGTAAGTCCCCTTATCTACTTAAAGAACTTTGAAAACACATTACTGATTTGATAAATCTCAAAGGCAGCCTTAGCACATAAACAATATGGATTACTGTGAAAAATCTGCTAGACTATCTAAATATGTGAATTTGTATAGGGTTATATTTTGAGGCATAAAATTACTTAAAGTGTGTCTTCTAAAGAGAAAAAATATGAGGCCATGTTTTTCAGCTCCATTAAAATTTTCTATAATAATAAATGTATCAGCTTTTCCTCATGACTCAACTCGTTATAGGAGACCAGCGCAGCCATTTGTGACTGGTTTCATATTTATACATTTGTATTATCTATTTTCTATCTTTTAATGTCTTCTCATATTGTTTCCCTAAAATAGCAAAACTAAGACAAACTATTGTTAGGATGCTTTGAGTTGTATACTTAATAGAAATCCCAACATAAATTATTTTAAACATTGTAGGATATTCATTAGACCACATACCTAAAAACACAGAGATTCTTATTGGTACAATTAGTTGAACTTTGTGCTGAGTGGGTCAACTTGGAATCAGCTTTGTGGCCAGGGGGAAGATATGTCCTGACTGACTTAGGCTAGGCTTGCTGGAATTTACCAGAATAGAAAAGAGTACTTACTTCTTTAATCCAGTTAAAGCAGTTTATGAAATTTAGGGGGAAGGGCAAAAATCAATCCCTTTCAAATTACATGACTGCTATACATAGGGTAGGGTAAAATGGATAAAATGAATGTTGGGAAGACAAGTACAATAACTACCAATAAGATTAATTGATAGTTTTGACTTCATTTAATGCTTTCACTCTGAAGTTTTCTACATAAGAATGTGAAGAAATTTAACACAAATCAATGAATTAATTAAAGTGCTTCCATGCTATATCCAAAGAAAGTAAAAACTTATTGAACTAATTTTCAATTTAATGTGTCTCTAAATAAGCATAGAATTTCAGAACTGTTGGATATTATGCCAGACTATTTCCTGCTCTCTGTTAAAATCAATATGAAATTATAGCACACTTATTAATGGCAAAGATCATAGAATTTATATAAGCCTTCGTCTTTGCCCTCAAGAAATTAACAACTTTGGTTGCAGAGACACACAACATCCAAACACATAAAAAAACTGAGGAATGACAACGTTTAATGCATCATAACGTGCAAATTGAGGAGAGAATCATGATACAAGATAAATGCTCCCTTGAGAAAGGGAACTTTCATTGTTGACCAGAGTTAATGGAGGTAGGCTTCTAGAATTAGGTGGGCACTGAGATGACCGCTGAAGGGTGGTATAATTTAGATAAGTAGAAAAAGAAAGAAAATACATTCAAGGTCAAGAAAATAAGCAAGTACAAACGGTTTCAGGAGGCACGTACTGGGTGTATGTGGGGAGGTCTGGGAGCTGGAGAGAAGTAAGTGACAAAGAACAGGGAAGATGGCCTCTTTGCAGAAATAAGTTCTTGTTCAGGGCGGATGTTACAGAGCATTTTATAATTACGTTATGGTTAGATTATACCTAACATTCCAGCATGTGGGCATGTTTTAGAAGTATATAAATTGAGCATTCTTTATCAGAGAGAAAACATGATCAAAGCAGTAGTCTTTTTAAAATTAATCTGATTAGACTCATACAAGTCCAGGCACAATAAAAACAAAGGGAGAGGTTAAAGTTCAATTTTAGGGAGAAAAAATTATATATAACATGGAGCGTGATAGGAAAGAGTGAATACAAGAGACTTGGCCAAAGTCAGTTTCAAGGTCAAGAAGTGCAAATATGGGATTAGGACCTTTTAATTCTTACAAAATGTGGGACTCTGAAGAAGTAATTTACCTCTTGAGATTTCAGTTCCCTCATTCAGAAAACAAAGGAGAGGGTTTCAAATGCCCCTTAGGCCTGGTTATATAGTCCGCGGACAGTAAAGACTGTCAACATTGTTTTACTTATTTTCAGGTTTTACTTAGTTTGAAACATGTGACAACTATTGGTGGCATCACATGCGTAGCCCCCAAAATTGACGAGTATGTAGCAATATATGATTACCACAAGGTGTCAGATATTTCAGCAAAAGTGCAGCATTTTGAGAGAGATAAAAGTTTGTGGGATAGAATGCTCTCTCTGAGAATTTTCAAGAAATAAATTATTTAGAAGACAAAACGATATGAGGAAACAGAGTGAAGTCAATAGCTTTTCACTTAGATCTTGATTGGAGTTGTAAGAATACTTCTAAAGAGATATCCACTAAACTTAGACATGCTGGTGGGAATGTATCAAATATGAACTAACATAGAATGTTGTTATCTGTAGCCCACAAGTGTGCCTAAATACTGTGTCTCAAACATTCTTTTGATGTCCTCTTTTTCTCACTGTCCAATCCTATTCTATCCTCTCGTAACTTCCCCTCTCATCTCTTTTATCCTCCTTCCTCCCTTTACACTGGTAAGTGCCCACAGGGACACAGTCATTCTCAAGTACACATACAAGTTTCAAACCCACTTCCTTCAATCAGTTAAAATGAATTGAAATGCTTACTGTGTTTTTGCACTGGGTGGATTTGAGTTTTGGAAGATAATGACATGCTCAGACTTTTTTTTCTTTTTTCCTTCCTTCCTTCTTTTTTTCTTTTCTTCCTTCCTTTCTTTCTCTTTCTTTTCTTTCTTTCTTTCTTTCCTTCTTTCTTTCTTTCCTTTCTTTCTTTTCTTTCTTTCTTTCCTTTCTTTCTCTCCTTTCTTTCTTTTCTTTCTTTCTTTCTTTCTTTCTTTCTTTCTTTCTTTCTTTCTTTCTTTCTCTCTGTCTCTCCTTCCTTCTTTCCTTCCTTCCTTTCTTTCTCTCTCTTTCTTTCTTTCTCTCTCTCTCTCTCTCTTTCTTTCTTTCTTTCTTTCTTGTTTTTTTCTTGAGACAAGGTCTTACTATGTCACCCAAGCTGGAGTGCAGTGGTACAATCATAGCTCCTGGGCTCAAGGGATCCTCCTGCCTCAGCTTCCCAAGTAGCTGTAACTACAGGGGCACACTACCATGCCCTGCTAATTATTTATTTATTTACTTATTTATTTTTGAGATGAGGTCTCACTCTGTTGCCCAGGCTGGAGTGCAGGGGCACCATCTTGGATCACTGGCTCACTGCAACCTCCTCCTCCTAGGTTTAAGTAATTCTCATGCCTCAGCCTTGCATGTAGCTGAGATTACAGGCACACACCACCGTGCCTGGCTAATTTTTATATTTTTTGTAGAGACGGGTTTCAACATGTTGGCAAGGCTGGTCTCAAGCTACTGACCTCAAGTGATCTGCCCACCTCCCAAAGTACTGGAATTACAGGCATGAGCCATTGCATCTGGCCTAATTTTTAAATTTTTTTGTAGAAACATTGTCTTGCTCGTTGATCAGGCTGGTCTCTAACCCCTGGCCTCAAATGATTCTCTTAAGTTCTGGGATTACAGAATTTAAGGAGTAAATAGCTATAGCACATCTATATAGATATAGACATGCAATCATTTCATTGGCCAAAGCATTCCATTCTTTAAATTCTTGAGGCAACCCAATTGTTTATAACGTATTGTTTACAACATTTGCCGTTCTGTTTACAGAGTTCCTGTGGAACAAAGAGTGGAAAATAACTTTGAACATCTGTTAGAAAAATTCAACTAAGTCTATGCTTTCATGATGTTACACAAGCAAAAGGAATTATATCTTATAAATATTAAGAATTTTTATAAAACAATTGTGACTATAGAATGCAAACTTTTTAGGATAAATGAATACTCAACAAGCATATTACTAAGTTGATTACCAAAAACGTCACATTCCCTTGCTAGTAAACTGTTCATATAATGTGTCTCTTCTCATCTTTAAAACTGACTTAGAACAATAAAAATTGGGAATTTTTATCGTGAAAAATCTACGACTTGAAAAGTTGCTTTTTAATGTGGAAATATTGGTAAAGCTTAGAAGTTTTCAAACTTACATTTTATATGACACATACAATGTGTTATTTTTAAAATAAAGGGAAACCTCTGTGAATATATATGCACACATATATGTGCAAACACAATAATACATTATATGTATTATATATAATAATATATAATATATATAATATATACAAACATATAATGTAATACATTATATGTTTGCACATATGTGCAAACACAATAATACATTATAAATCATAGGCAAAGACTAATAGATGTATACATACACAGTCACAAACAATTTTTCATTGTTACAAAGGGATCGTTGATACATATGTTAAGTTTGATAAGAACCACTTTGAGTCTTAATTGTACTTTCTCCAGGTACCAAATAATTTGCATTTTGCATATTAGTTTTCATTTATTCTAAACTATATTAAATTCAGGGTTTTTCACATTATCAGTATTTTGTCAAGCGTGTTGACATATTTTTCTAACATGGATCTCCAACTTTGTGATTCCTACTTTTATTCATTTAAACTGGTTTCTGAAAATTTATGGTTCCTAGAGAATAAATTACGTTTCACCTGGATTTTGCATTCTAAAAGCCAAGACCATGTATAAAGCACATATGAGATTTAACTTTTCAACTATGAGCTCTTTTGACACAGCGTGATTAGACAATTTGGATTCTTGAATTTGGTACCAATGAGACTAAGCTGCTGAGAGCCATATTTGGAACTAGGTCTCCCCCATCTAATAGATGGATTGTAAGAACAATCTCTGTTATATACTATATTTTGATGATACCATATGAGGATTTATTTTAAATTATGACTTCTATTTGATTACTATTTAGTTGAATAGAGGCTTAGTCATTCAGAATATTTTTTATGAATTAATTTGAAGCTGTTATTAATATATTATTTTAAGCCTATGAATGAACTATAGAGCTGTGCTTTTTTACCTGGTCTACTACTTGTTGATTACTACTTCCTTAATGTAGGACGTTCCTATCAATTGAAAAAATGTTTGTGGAATTTTCCCACATCAGATATTCAATTTATTCACAATGACTTGTTCAATTAAAAACAAATAAATCACCACCTGCTTTTTTAACATGCTTAATTTTATTTCTGAGTGAACTATTATCCTCAGCTATTTTGGTCATTACTTTTACAGTATGTGTTAATTTTTTTGTTTTTTTTTTTTAGATTCTTGAATTAAAAAAAGACTTTGGGGGGGCAGGAAAAATATGGAATTTGTTTTCAGTAGCTTCATTTTTTAAAACTCTTTGCTTCTATATTCTATTTTCACTTTTATTTGATCCACATACTTTCTAATTTCCTTTAGAGAGTACAAATACTTTCTAATTTCTCTTTTGATTTTTATTTGACCCATGGATTTTTTAGAAGTATCTTATTTAATTTTCAAATATTTGGGAATTTTCTAGATATCTAGATATCTTTCTTTTATTGGTTTTTATTTTAATGCCATTATAGTCAGAAAAAATATTTTGTAAGTCCTCAATTATTTTAAATTTACTTAGACTAGCTTTATAACCCAGAATATGTTCTATCGCAGTAAACATTCCTTAAAAACTTGAATATGTATTCTTCTGCTGTTGGGTGGAGTGTTCTGCAAATATCAATTAGGTCGATTTGGTTGATGACGTTACTTGCATCTTATATATCCTTATAGATTTTCTGTCAATATGCTCTATCAGTTACTTTTTTAAAGGGGCGTTAAAATATCTGACTATAATTGTGAAATTGCATATTATATTATATATTATGTTATATGAGAAAATGTCCTTTACGCATGTCATGAATTACCAAGTTAATATTATCTACATGTATTTGGTTTGGGTAGTGCATTTTTATTACAACGTTTTCCTATAGATTCCCATGCTTTCATTTACAGTTGAAGCAATTTGATAGAACCAAGGAACAGTCAGTTTAAGAAGGTGGACCATATTTTACACTAAATATTTCAATTGATAGGTAGCACAAACACTTTAGCTTTATAAAATATTTGAAGCTTTACATAATGCACATACTAAAAACCATTCACTAATATGTTAACTGGCTTCAAATTAATCAATAAGGAATTTATAAGAAAATACCTCAAGAATCAACTACCTACATAGATATTTAATTCATGTAAATTAAAATATTTGTATTGAAAGAGTTGAGGTTTTTAAAATACTTCCTATCCCTTGAAGAGTTAAACCATTTAATACGGTGTTCCTATCATTTTACATAGTTTTTTTTCTTTTTATGTTTAAAAAAAAAACCCAAACATATAGAAAGTTTGCAGTAGTGCAATTAGCTCACATATAACTTTCTCTTGGATTCACAATGTGACATTTTATTATGCTTGTTTTGGCATCCTCTATTTATATATATTATTAATATCGTTGTTGTTGTTGACTCATTTGCAGCTTGCAAACAGCAAATCCCCCCTACTCTAAATAATTCAAGTTTTATCTCTTAAGAACAAGTACAATCTTGTTCATAACCACAGTATAGTTATGAAATTCAGGATACGTAACATTTGTGCCATACTATCTAATATACAGTTCATATCTACATTTTACTAATTGTCCTAATAATACCTCTAATGGCATTTGTTTTCATCTATGATCCACTGGAAGATAAAATTGAATTTAGTTGTCTTGTTTCTTAGTGTTGTTCAATTTGGAGTATTTTCCCAACCTTTATATGCAGTCTTCTTAAAGCTAAAGAGGCAATACTCTTTCATCTAATGAAATGTTTCATTACGCTAGACAATATTCAAGAAATATCCTAGCAGCCATGAAAAAGAGTGATATCATGTCTTTTACGGGAACATGGATGGAGCTGGTGGCTATTATCCTCACCAAACTAACAAGGAACAGAAAACCGAATACCATGTTCTCACTTATAAGTGGAACCTAAATGATGAGAACTTAGGAACATAAAGAAGAAAACAACAGACACTGGGGTTTACTTGAGAGTGGATGGTGGGAGGAGGGAAAGGAGCAGAAAAGTTAACCATTGGGTATTGGCCTTAATTCCTGGGTGATGAAATAATCAGTATAACGAACCCACAGATATGAGTTTACTTGTGTAATAAACCTTCACATGTACCCCAGAACCTAAAATAAAGGCTTTAAAAAAAGAAATATTTTAGCAGAAATTCACTTTTTGAGGTTTTGCATTAAAATGCCACATAGTTTTTCAAATTACAAACAAGTCTCGCATTGAGGTAGTGTGAAAAGGAAAGGTTCTAGTAGGGGTCATTGAGAATATTTGACCATGGATCTTCCCTCATGTCTTATGAGCAGTCAGTCCTTTCAGCTCCTCTCAAAATTACATCAGGTGGCCACATAAACTAAGCTATTATGTGATTATTGGGCCTAGCAACATTAAATCGCTGTAGTTTAAAAAATGTTATTTGCTTATCTCCATTCGTAAATTACAAATGACCTTATGGCATTATGTTATTCATTGTAAGGGCTCCGAAAGTGGAATTCTTATTTTCAACTCCTACTCTACCCTTGGTGAATACTGAATAGGCTCTTCAAACTCATTAATTTCAGTTTCTTCATCTGTAAAATATGGTGGATAAACATGGTACCTTCCAAGAGGAATGTTAGGAGAATTTAATGAGTACATGACATTCAATCCACATGAAACTTGTAGACAATGACTAGCATTTTGTATTAGCTATTATCAGTTTATAAAACCACTGAACTGAAGTCATTTCTTAAAGATTTGAACACTCTGCCTCACTGTGATATAAAGCCACCACTGATGCAATCTAGATGTTCTTTAAAATAAAACCCTTCACATTTACAAGGCAAATGACATCATTAAAATTCAGAAATGGCAGAGCAAAGGAAAGTAGTCACTCAAATTATTACTTTCTAGAATAGAAAAAGAAAAAAACTTCAAAGCAAGAATTCTACAAAACCAAGAAGGAATTGAATCTTGAGCCACAAAATGCAAATTAAATGATGAAGATATTTTATGGGACAATAATAAGCACTGTTGACATTCAGTGAAATAAAAGCCTTGGACTCAGACACAATAGAGTTTAAAGTCTAGTTGGTGAAATAAGGCATGTAGGAAAAGATAACTAACAATTTATTGAGTTCATGAGGCTTAGGAACCTTATTTCACTTAATGTAATATCCTCTGGTTCCATCCATGTTGTCCTTCATTCTGTTGATGTGATGTACCACGTTGATTGATTTGCATATGTTGAACCATCCTTGCATCCCAGAGATGAATCCCATTTGGTCATGATAAATGATCTTTTTAGTGTATTGTCGAATTCATTATGCTAGTATTTTGTTGAGGATTATTGTATAAATGCTTATCAGAGATATTGGCCTGCAGTTTTCTTTTGTTTTGATATGTTTTGTCTGGTTATGGTATCAGGGTAACACTGGCATTGTAGAATGAGTTTAGGAACATTATTTCCTCTTCTATTTTTCAAAACAGTTGGAGTAGGATTGGTATTAGCTCTTCTTTAAACATTTGGTAGAATTTAGCAGTGGAGCCAATGGGTCTTGTGCTTTTCTTTGCTGGAAGAGATTTCATTATGGCTTTGATCTCATTACCTGTTATTGGTGTATTTAGGTTTTTTATTTCTTCATGGATAAATCTTGGTAGATTATATGTATCTTGGACTTCGTCCATTTCTTTTAGATTTTCTAATTTATTCACATATAGTTGCTCATAGGTACCTCTACTAATCCTTTAAATTCCTGCTGTGTTGGTTATAAAGTCCTCTATTTCATCTTTGATTTTATTTGAGTCTTCTCTCTTTTTTCTTATTTTATTTAGTCTGCCTAAAGGTTTGTCAATTTTGTTTATTTTTTCAAATTTTGTTTATCTTTTCAAAACCCAACTTTTTGTTTCATTTATCTTTTGTATTTTTTTAATTTCAATTTAATGTATTTCTGCTCTAATCTGTTTTATTTCTTTTTTTTCCGATTTTGGGTTTGGTTGCTCTTGCTTTTCTAATTCTTTAAGATACATCATTAGAAAGGGGCTGATATTTTATTCTATAGGCAATTGTTCTCATCAAAAATTATGAAGTGGCTGGGCGCGGTAGCTCATACCTGTAATCCCAGCACTTTGGGAGGCCGAGGCAGGCGGATCACGAGGTCAGGAGATTGAGACCATCCTGGCTAACACGGTGAAACCCCGTCTCTACTAAAAATACAAAAAAAATAGCTGGGTGTGGTGGCAGGCGCCTGTAGTCCCAGCTACTCGGGAGGCTGAGGCAGGAGAATCGCTTGAACCCAGAAGGTGGAACTTGCAGTGAGCCGAGATCGCACCACTGCACTCCAGCCTGGGCATCAGAGTGAGACTCTGTCTCAAAAAAAAAAATTATATATATATATTAATTATATTTTATATATATATATATATATATATATATATAAGATGAAGTAAGAATATGTTATCATGCAGAATTTCTCAATTGAAAGTAACCAAAATTCTTTGATTAAACTTTTGCTAAAATGAACAACAGAAAATATTGTCATTTTAGCCAAAGCATTTGTTGGTGGAAATTGTGGGACAACACTCACAGTAAAACTGCTCTAGCTGGAACCCTCCCTTTGTTTGAAAACCCTCCAATTGAGAAAACAACCTCCAACTATTTTCTTCTGTTTTTATGATGCTCCAAGATTCTAGGTCTTTGAGGGGAACATCTGATGGTCCAACTACAAGCCTATCTCTATCTGAGTGGTTAGAAGAAGGATCTGACCTCTCCTGCTATTGTACTACTGTAGATTTCCACAGTAGAAAGGCGATACACAAGGAAGCAGAGATAATTCTCCAAACACAAATAGGAGTGTGGCTAAGAAAAAAGGTCTCCAACATGCTAAAAACAATAATTTAGAGAACTAAAATCTTGTAGCACTGTGCAAGCGCCATTGGATTAGAAAGAACCCAGATAGAAACAACTATAGCCTTGTAGTAGCCCAGATATGTGGGGCTAACATTATGGACCTAAGGGTGTGTGTGGCCACAGAATCACTCACGGAGCTTCTGACTTCCATACATAGGTTTCTAGCTCTCCACGATTTCCTCTGTATTTGTCAGTGTCCTTAATATTTGGTGTTTATAACTTATAGATGCCAACACCACAAACATAAAGAGGGAAGAAAGATAGAAGATACAGAATACTCAGTTGTAGAAGAAACGTGTGGTAAACTGGCCAATGTTAAGTAATTTGTTTGGATGAGGGCTGGTACATTGCCCCCCTCCCCCTTTTATTTTTCCTGTGGAAGAACTTTAGCAATCCTGAAATCCTTATTCCTCTTTTTACTGTACACGTAATAAATCCAATTTCATTAGTTTTAAAACTGCTAATAAAAGATAAATGGTTAGCTTTAATAGGCACCACTATTAGTAACACAGAACAGAGAGGACCATTGGTGTTTTGTTCATGCCACCTAATTGAAAAAATATGAGAAAAAAGAGGAAGATTTATTAGCCGCTTCTAAATCCTCAAGAAGGAAGGACATCTTTTCTACATAAATCTAAAAATATTCTCTTAAGGAGAATTAAAAGTACTATTCAGTGCAAATTTGTGGCTGGCAGCTAGCTGAAGCAGAAGTTGTCTATTTGCTGCAGCTGATGCCGATCAGACTCCAAGGCGCAGTATGTACCAGCTGAAGTCTGTCAACAGGGAGACCAGCATAAGGGCAATCTGATAGTCAAAACAGGATAAAACCACAGTCTAAACAAGATGACATGAGCATTTGTGCAATTAACAGCATCAGCAAGGGGAAAGTTGTGTTTGGAACATTCCACTAGAAATCCATAAAAGGCAGGTTGCTTATTTTGCCACAATCGTGTTGTTATATGTGGCTAAATAGAATCAATGACACGATGGAAAACACTGCATAGACAATAGAGAAGGATCGAGAAAAAGCTGATGACAGAGTCATAAGATTGAAAACGTTATTACGGCTGTTGCTGTTGTAAGTGGAGCACACCCCAAATTCAATATTCACTTACATCCTCATTCATGACTGCAGTCAGGGTATTGGCTGCTAACTGTGAGCCAGGCACTGTGCTGACTTTTCAATAATTATTATTTGGTTGAATTTTTAAAACAAGTGTTCCTTGTCCACATTATTAGTCCTGTGTCACAGATGACAAAGACACTGGGAACGGTTTTCAGCACCACTGTAGTGGAAAGACCAAGAACTGTGAGTGTAGACAAATCTAAACTGGACTACCAGTTCTGCTGCTTATAAACCCTAGAGACTTTAGGTAAACAACATACATTTGCTGGATTTGATTGTCCTTATATGAAGTATAAGCTTCAGACATGTATGATTTAATGAGATTAGTTATTGCTTTTCACACAATGCTTGACATGAAGTAGGTCTTCTATAAATGCGAGAACCGATATTGTTATTGCTGTTATGAGTTAAATCATGAAACGTGGTTTATAAATATTTTTTTATTTATGTAATTTTCACAGCAGCTCAGATTATTAAGAGTACTAATATTTTAAGATAGAAATTTTAGGTTACTAACCAGGGGCAGACACAGTGCTAAGGACTTTCCATACATTATGGAATTCATTATTATATTCATTTCATTATCCCAGCTTGACATGAATGAGTTATTATTCCTGCTTTTCTATTCAAGAAGCAGAGGCTCATGGCAGTTTTGATCACACAAGTAGTTATTTTATTACAAGCCTTCTCATTTTCAAATCTGATACTCATGCCACTATTTCAACCTTTTCACTGATTTTAAAATAACAAAAACAAATGTTGTTTGTTAATAATCTACAAAGCAAAAGGTGAGGGAGTCTTTATCCCATTTCCACTTGAGCTTTATAGAAGTACCTTATAATTGTGTTTATTTTTAAATGCCATCAATCACAGCATTGGCTCACAATTTTGTCCCTAATGATGTTTTGTTATATAATTTATATTAGATTATTAATATAAATATATTATAACAAATATATTTATTTGCTAAATGTAATATCATAAATCATATGAAAATAAATAATTAAATATATGTATCTGATGCTGTTCAAACTCTGCTTCCAGAAGAAGGGTTGAGAGGGATCATATGACTCAAAATAGAATATTAGTGCATCAATTACATTGTTGGTATAGTAAATATTTTATGAGTATTAATGAGAAATTTAAAGAATTACTATCTGTTGACAGGAATATAGGGCACTGGTCTGTGTGGCTGGTGACATTTTCCTGAGCTCAGTTTTCTTTACCTACTTATAGAAGAAGACATAATAATAATTCCTGCTGCATTATATTATCTTCTTCTTGAGTTATTTAGATTTGCATGATTTTTACATCAAAACTTTGGTAGTACTTTCAAGATTTGATGGACTATCCCTTCTCAGTGTCTTCTAGGACCTTGTTGCTACTCAGAGTAGAATGGATATCACCTGGTGGCTTAATAGAAATGCAGAATCTGGGGTCGCTCACCAGAATTGCAGAATTCAATTCTGCATTTTTACAAGATCCCCAGGTGATTTGTCTATATGTTAATGTTTTATAAGTCCTGTTCTAAAAACGACCAGGTACAAAAGTTATGATTTTGCTGGACACAACTCTCATGTCTCGTGAAAATAAAAGAAGATTTAGGTTACCCTGATCTTCTTGTAGCAAGAGGAGCTAAATTGCAGCAGAAAAGTTTAAAAAGCTGATATCCTTTTAGGTGCAGAAAATAAGGTGGGATTTTTTAATCATATCATTATTACATATTTGAGTTCTAAATTTAATGTGTTTAGGTTATTTTAGTGAATTAAGTGATATAAATCTCCCTAGAAGCGTTCCGGTTCTTTGTTGCTAAGGGACGTTGGCATCTGTTTTTTATGCTTGTTTGTTTCCCCAACACTTACATATTTGAATAAATAGCATATTTATTTGGGGTTAAAATGCTTCATGCAACGTCATTTGCAATTGAGTAAATATGAGTTGGTTTTGATGCAACTGGTACAAATAATAGAATACTCTATTGGGAATAAAATATGGTTTTGCAATCTTCCTGAACAGATTTCACATTACCAAGCAATCTTAACATAAATTCTCCTGGATCAGTGAGAATTTCATGCCAACAAATTAGAATATATAGAAAGATCTATGTATGTAGTAAGCCACATATGCAAATTAAACTACTTCATCAGGAGAAATGGTTTCTCACTTCAAGGCTGTAGGTTTCAGATCATGGAGCAGTAAGTGAAAACCGTGAATAGTATTTCAAAAAAAATGCTTAAATTATCTATTGTAACATTGTGTACTTGAGCCTCTATATTTACTTCAGTGATTTTTCTCTCCAAGCCTCACTTATACACTGGCCCATCAAAGCTTAATTCCATAAATGTTGTGTTCAAAATCCAATTTAAGGGTTCTCTTTAAATATATTTTATAATTTAAAAGTTGTAGTGTCCAGGAAAGCAGAAGTTGCCATAGATTTATATAGGATTCTATTTTGCTATGATAACACTCAATCTAGAGGTTTGCCTTTTCTGTTCCTCCTTGTACCTAAGACTGAAGAAAGAATAAAAACCTAGGTCTTTATAAAATTGCAAAATAAAGATGCATTTACTACATATGAAAAATCAACAAAGTAGTAGTGACTTTAGATGAGTATAAAGCAAAGTGAGGACTGTTGTATAGCAAATTTTTAAATAATTTTAAAAAGAACCTACTAAGTCAGGAAGGTCCTCTGAGAGATTTTTTAGATAATACTCTAAACTATTTTCAGCCTGGGCCTTATCTGCATATTCTCTGCTGATCAAAATGCAGTTGTGGTCATCATTTTGAAACGTAAAAGAATCAAAGATTTTACAACCTACTAGAATCTAATAACCTTGGCTAAAACAAAAGTTAAATCGCCAAATACCGTGGTTAAAAAGGATAACTTTTATAAAGCAATTTTTAAATACTTCCCATTTGTATTTTAGAAATTGTCTCGTCAATTTTTGGTTAAGAAACAAAAAAAATTCAGATGCAATTTAGTATCTTCTAACAGAGAATGTTATCTGAGACGTTTAAATTGTAAATCCTTCACAAATTATGAAAGGAGAATAAAATATCTGTGATTTGAAAGACTGTTCTTACCTTTCTAAAAAATATTTTTGACAACCATCATTAGTATAGTGATCTAAAATTCACTATATATTTTTATATAAACAATCCCAATTATTTGTATTTAATCGAACTGGGGATCTTTATCTTTCCAATGTGACAGAGATATAGAAGGACTTACCCCAAGATCTCGAAGTTGCAAAGCATGGAATGTGTATTGAATTTCAGGTCTCCTGTTCCAAATCCTTTGTCTACACCACCATACTGTAATCTCCTAATTCAAGTCTCTTACTCCCTTTAAGCCTGCCAATACATTGTGTATCCATAATTGATTTTTCACCCCTTTCTCTGCAGTGCTTTATACTTTCTTCAATCATGCTTACACATAGACAACATTTCTCTACTTTCATACTTTCTTTTTTAAAAAATCAACATGGTAACCTTCATTTATCCCTCTTGAATTTCATCATAATTCTGACAACTTGTGAAAGTTCCTAAGGTTATATTATATTCTCATTCTTTTCCTCTGAAGTTCTGGAGATGTCATTCTCCACAACTTATCTGCAAAATTAATGATCATGTTCCCAATTCAATCATCAAAGTCACTGATTAAAATGCTCAACAATGGGTCTGGAACCAACCACTGTGGAACATTACTTATGTCACCTGAACTTGGCAATGGCCCATCAAATACAACTCATTCAATAATACTGTAGCTCTGTGCTTTAACCTAATGGTGGTTGAAACAAGACAATATATCCCAATTTATTGATGACAGTTGGCATGCAGTACAGAACCCAAACCTTTATGAAATAAAACTGTATTGGACATATCACTTTTTCCTTGATTTGTCATGTCTGTCATTCTGTCATAGATGACATTTATCATAAGGATATATATTCCTTGTTAGTAATTAACAAAGCAGTTATTCCTTTGTACTGGTAATTAACAGAATAGTTATTAATCTTCTTTGCACATAAACTAGTATTGAAAGAAACGCTTTACCTAGATTGCTTGTAGCGTGTTGCAATGAATATGATATTTGGCCCAAATTTTACTTCAAAGGTATTCCTACCATTGGTACTAATTGAATTAAGTTCATAATGTGCATATGAGAAACATCTTAACATATTTAAGAAACCTGAAAACCTGAAAGATGAATCGATTTTTTGTTTTCTTACTTTAGTATCTCTGAATGACTATTTGAAGAATCAATACTTCAAATTACTATTAACACTGATGGGTACATTGTTATTCTAATTACTCGATAACGTTGTCTGGGCTAGAAGTGGTTTTTAAAAGACTTTTCTTCTTTTATTTTTACCGATTTACTGGCTCTTCAGAGATTAAATAAGCTAAAATAACCTATGTGCTTAAACTCACAAACTATTTAGTTTCTTATTTTTTTCCAATCATTTTAACTTAGAAGTTTAAAGTTGTATACATTTTCACTTATCAGCAAAGCAGCCGACTAAGATAGTAAATCTATATTATACACTCAGTGATCACTGTAGTCTGCTTTTTGACCAATACTGGTCTGTAGCTATAATTCAGTTCAGAGTCTGGCTAACCTTGTGATTCACATCTTTCCTGGAACTTAATTAGATAATTGAACAACAATCAACTTATTCACTCTCAGTGGTCCCTCAAGAAGGAAATGTCAATAATAATTCTCTTTTACAGAAGCAAATTTAGGCTTGATTTAAAACCACTGGTCTACTTTGTTAAACATGTCAAACACCCAGTGCCTACGTGGTTAATTTGCTACTGTCCAAGAGTTTTATTTTTCTTTCTTTTCTCATGTATCAACCTTTTGATTAGAAGGTGAGGTGGCATAGCACATACACTGTTCCTGTTAGATTTTCAGAAGTAGGAAAAAAGTGAACATTAAAAATAATCAATTTAAACACTATTCATCATGGTTTGAAGGGCATGGGGCAGTGCTGATCTTAGACCAGCTGTGAGGATGGGTTTAATGAGGCCAGCTGGAAATGGTTTACCTTGTCTCTAGGTTATTTTGCTCATGTTGCTCCTTATGGAACTACACGTTATCAGCACCCAGGAATTATCAAGCTAAGTGAAATGTATGTACAAGAGATTAATGGATAAATCACAGTGGCAGACTATTGAGAGAGAACTGGTAAGAACACCACATACTTGTATTTGGAGAGTGATACTTTTCTCTATAGAAAAATCATGCTTAAAATAAAAAATCTTGTAAGAAACCTAGTAGTGAACATAAAGAAGGAAGCCAGGAATTTAGATAATCTAAAAAGTCCTTGTCAGCTAAGAGAGCTATAGACACCCTATCGCCTTTCCCACTGCACCTGGATAATCTCAACTCGGCATTGCTGAAAGGTGGTATTCCCCTTTCTCAGTATATTTTTCTTGCTATCTTCTTTTGATGACTTTTTTTAAGAAGAGATAATAAAATTATCTGTCCAGCCTGTGGCAAAGCTTTTTCTAATACATGGTATCATTATGGTGTAATAACAAATTTTTTTATTTCTTAGCAAGAATTGTAATTTATTCTGACATTATATCCTTTTTTCTTACTGTTTTAATATTAAATATTCCTTTACTAATGACATTAAGAAGAGATGACGAGATATATTTATAATTATTTCATTGATAAAAATTAAAAACCTTTGGGTGATCCTGGAATTAAAGAAAAAAATGTTTAATTGCAATAAAAAATCTCAGTCTGGAAACTACCAGTTTATGTCATTACTTTCTCATGCTGTAGAACCAGTCATCGTGTAGAAAAAAACACCTCATCTCTTTCATCCCTTTTTGTTCTAAGAACAATTGTTTCATCTGATTCATCTTTTTTGTTCCAGAAACAATTGAGTCACCTAATTTTGGTATATTGCATAGGTGAAGTACTTCTCCAAATAAATCTTATATTGAATTAAATTACTTATGAGTTCTGGGATGTCTCATAGCCTTGGCTATTCAGTGGCATACTGGCGAAGGATGCTGCTAAATATCTAACAACAGGGTAGGGGG
The DNA here is from genome assembly GCF_000001405.40 of Homo sapiens. NCBI lineage: Eukaryota > Metazoa > Chordata > Mammalia > Primates > Hominidae > Homo > Homo sapiens. Next base: position 76,848,333 of record NC_000003.12, read on the forward strand.
TTGGCCAACTTGATTTGTAGCATTGTAACATGATTTTTGTGATTTCAATACTTCTAGGATGATGGACTTCAAGCTACCAGCGTGAAGTCTTTTCCCATAGTTAGGAAGAGATATGCACACTTGGCTGAGAAAGCACAGCTGGTACAAGTTTCAGAAACCCACCGCTACCTCTGGATCTCTCTCTGTCAATTTATCTTAGTCTGTTTAAGCTGCCATAACAAAATACCATAAAATGGACAGTTTATAATTAACATAAAGTACTGCTTACAGCTCTGGAGGTGGGGTAAGATCAAGATGCTGGCAGACCCTGTGTCTTGTGAGGACCCACGTCCTGATGTCACCTCCTTGCTGTGTCTTCACATGGGGAGAGGGAGAAAGAGAGTCTCTAAGGCCTTTTTATAAGGGCACTGATCCCATTTATGAGGGCTCCACTCTCATGGTCTGTTCATTTCCCAAAGATCGTACCTCCCTAATAGACTAACATTGGTGGTTAAATTTCAACATACGAATATTGGGGGAGACACAAACATTCTGTCCATAGCACAATTATAGTTTTTATTAGAAGCATGCTATGTACTTAAGAAAAATTCGCATTTGGCAACAATGGATTGATAAGGGACTTAAAAGAATGAAAATAATTCAATACAAATAAAATAAAGAAAAGTTATAAAAAGTTTTTTAGTTGTTACATCAAATAACATTTTTGCCCAAGTGTCACCCCATCTGTTTCCTAACTGGCTCTGCACCTAAGGCAGTAGAATTTTGAAAAAGATATTTACTGTTTTATTACGTTCTGGTTAGTAAAATTATACTATAATGTAGATAGTAAATATGCTCTGAAGACATTAATTTCCCACCAGGAAAATAACTTGGAAATCTGTTGTATAGTCAAGGAAACAGCTTTTCTTAGGCATCATCTCTAATACACTTAGGGGGTATTCAGTAAATATATAGTGGATCATGAAAGCATGTGTCTTAGAATCTCATATTTGGAAAAAGTTTGGGAGAGACATGTTATATTTTCCTTTGCAGATCTATGTGTTATCCTAAACTCTGATTCCCTTTCATGACCCCATTTGCATTGCATGCTTCAGAACACTATTAATTTTGCAGCTAACTTGAAGTACATAGATGCCTAAGAGAAACAAAAGTCCTTAGACTCCTATCCTCAGATTTCAAAACCAAAAATGATTCCAACATAAGCTATCTCCCAAATTATAAATAGTAATACATTAAATTATAAATGCTAATTTTAAAATATCATAACGTATACATCATTTTTAAAGAATGCTTGTAAAAATCTATTTCTGTTTTGACATGGCATAATTATGGTAACAAGTAGTTCATGCAGCATAGTATTATAGTGAGAGTGATGAATTAATGTATGAACATTATTAGAAGCAGGTAGTGGGCACTCTATTTATTGGTAAGAGTTGTAGGAGCAGTATAATACAAAAATATTATGTTTTTCCTTACTCTGCCATCTTGACAAGATTAAACTATGGCAATAATTTAGAAATCACTTATTCTGTGCTAGCTCCTAGGATACAAGAATATATAAAGTTATTTCTAGGCTGGGTGTGGTGGCTCATGCCTGTAATCCCAGCACTTTGGGAGGCCAAGGTGGGTGGATCACTTGAGGTCAAGAGTTCAAGACCATCCTGGCCAACATGGTGAAATCTCATCTCTACTAAAAATATAAAACTTAGCCAGATGTGGTGGCACAGGCCTCTAGTCCCAGCTACTCAGGAGGCTGAGGCAGGAGAATCACTTGAACCTGAGAGACAGAGGTTGCTTGCAGTGAGTCAAGATCATGCCACTGCACTCCAGCCTGGTAACAGAAAAAAAAAGTTTTCTCTATCTTCATCAGCTCTTAGTGGATTAAGATTTTATGACTAAAAAAAAAATTAAAATAGCTACACTTCATCTTCTCTCTTAGACTATGTAACTTTCTTCCATTATATATATTCAATAAAACATATATTAATTAAGCAGTGATTATAGCTTAACCCTGCGCTGAGTACTTACAACAGAAGCTAGGAATGCTCCATCAGTATCCCGTGACCTTACCTCGTCTTTGGCCTCTGCTGACTTTCTTCTTCCAGGGAGCTTTGACCGATGGAAGCGGATAAATAAATACTCCAGCTCCCTCACTTGAAACATTCTCCCAGTCTTCCAAACTGAGATATCTCTGAAGTATGCATTTCAAACTGTATCTAAGTATTTTCCTCATGGGAATAAGTTCTAGTGCCCACAGTACGGGGCTCGATGATGCTCTTTTTTGCTCCTTAGTCTTTCCTGTATAATTCTCCTACCAATGATCTCCACACTTCCCAAAGACACCAGCTGTATTTGAATCCTGGCCTCTGGATCTGCTTTCAAGCAGTGACACACCAAGGCACTAGAATAGGCTTTTAATCTTAATAAGAGAATAGCAAGCAGAAATTAGGGGAAAAATCTTGAGAACTGCCCATTCAATTTTAGGATATTATGGCAAAAATACTTCCCTGAGAATAAAGGCACCTAAGCTCTGGTCCTTCTTTCTTTACAAAGTGTCTCTGCAACAAGAACACTTGCCTTCCCTGAACACAGTTTCTTGTTTGTAAAATAAGAGTTTCATCTCCAGAGTCCCTTCCAAAGCTAACTTAATATTTCTAAGGCTATAAATGCCTGGAATGTTTGCTTCTGTAAGTGATTTGTAATAATTTCCAAGATGAAAGTTTGACTATAGTAGCTATTTCTTAAGAACCTGAGAAGTTTTGTGCATGTAACTCATTCATTTATTCCACAAAATTGGCTAAATATCTGGTCTGCATACAGCCCTGTAGATCTACATTGTCCAATAGGTAGCCAACTAGCCCCGTGTAGCTAACTTTGAATTCTAATCAATTAAAATCAAATAAAATTAAAAATTCAATTGTTAACCTCACTGCCACATTTCAAGTGCTCAATAACCACATGTATCTGGTGGCTACTGTATTGGACAGAACAATTAGAACATATTCCCATCATTGTAGAGAATGCTATAGGATAGCACTGCTCTGGATGATGTTAAATACTAAATCAGACAACTTGCCTTTAAGAAACAACACCTAAATATTTCAGTAAAATATTAACATGTGGCCGGGCGCGGTGGCTCACGCCTGTAATCCCAGCACTTTGGGAGGCCGAGGCGGGTGGATCATGAGGTCAGGAGATCGAGACCATCCTGGCTAACAAGGTGAAACCCCGTCTCTACTAAAAATACAAAAAATTAGCCGGGCGCGGTGGCGGGCGCCTGTAGTCCCAGCTACTCGGGAGGCTGAGGCAGGAGAATGGCGTGAACCCGGGAAGCGGAGCTTGCAGTGAGCCGAGATTGCGCCACTGCAGTCCGCAGTCCGAGGTGGGCGACAGAGCGAGACTCCGTCTCAAAAAAAAAAAAAAAAAAAAAAAATATTAACATGTGCTTGAATATAGTTAATATTAAGTGAATATTTCAACAGTATGCATTAAAGTCATTGAGATGTAAATTTTCAGTGAAGACTTCCTCATAGACAGGGAATCTGAAGGTTGGAAGAATTGGCTGCTGCAGGCATTATAAGACAGGAATAGAGGCAGGTCAGGGAAGTTGTTTGCAGAACATTCATTAGGCTTAATAGAAGGAGAGAAAGAAAAACTACAGAGTAAAAGCATAAAAAAGACAGTCACCCATGGTTTCCAGGATCCCTTAAAAAGAAAACCTGAGTTATCATCTCCAGCTATACAATCAAATGAGTCAGTAAAACCGTTATTGATAATGAGCAAGGAACTCCCTTTGTCCCTGCAACGCGACACATTGGGAAACTTTTTTTACACCTATCAGTTGCCTTCTTCCCTTTAAAAACTGGAGAAAAGCATTTTAGTGAATGTTTTGACATGCAACATACTTGTTACAGATTATTCTTCTGCATCATACCTTCTGAATATGGACTTTAGAGCTTGGCATATTTGCTTCTATTAATTAAAGGGAGAGTATATTTGTTCCCCAGATATTAAATAAAGTACTGAATCAAAGACCCTGAGCAATTTAAACCTAATTCCTGACCTTTTAATAACAGAGGCTCTAAAACTACTTTCATCTACCAAGGATCTCAGTATGTTCTAGCCGTGTGGTAATTATGTTGATTTGCCTGAAGAAGTGTTCTTGAGATCATGATGTCATCTCAAGGGTAATGGATGCTTCAGAGTTGTTGAATATTTAATTTGTCAGAAGAGGTCAAAGGAAAGAGATGTTATGCTACTTTTCAAGTATTTTAAGAGAGAGAAAATTAGAAGCTCAAACAAGCCCTTAAAAATAACTGATGGAAACTTCCAAATATAATACCCCCAATCTGAAATAATGGCAATATTGTGTTAAGAGTAACATATGTATGGGATGATTAAATATATTTCATTATTTTGTAGTTATTACAAAACTTACATTGGTAGATGCATCTTTCATGCATTCTGCCTATTTGCTTGGCAGTTGGTGGTACATTCACTGTTATATATATGTCGTGATAGTTGTAAATATAATACTAAAAAATCTATATCTGCATACATAAAAGCATTAGCAGGCGTCCCTTAAGAAAATATACATAATTGCTTTTAAACAACTTAGTTATTAAGGGATTGTGTACATTCAAAAAGATGATATCTTAGTGACTAATCTTTTAGAGGACACAGTTTATTTTGGATTGGATGTATGTTGTGATTTACATTTTAAAATAGTATCAGACCTCCTCATACATCTGAAAATTACATACAAGTAATTTTTTTCTAAAGCACATACTTTCCATATTGTTACTATTTAACTCTTGGAATATAATAGACATTTCTTAATATTTAGTTTCTTATTTCCCCATAGCTAATGTTTTTAAAAAATATTTCCAGTAATGATAAAAATGCGCCATGATACAAAGTAACTAAAAAATAGTTGGTAAGATTGCCACTTGGGACTCTAAATGTATTACTTTTCCAAGAGTTACTCAGCCTTAGAAAGTAATCACAAATTTCAATCTAACACATGGATTTATTCTAAGACTTGTTCTAAGTAATGACTAGAGTCTTTCTGTGTATATGGTTTGAGGTGGAGAGTGAACAATACTTAGTTTCTACATTTATGTCATTATATGCTAACATAAAGGAACCACGGTTTGGATCCATGGATAGCCTTAGAGTCAATGTGATAAGTAAGTTTCCTAAATTTACTGCAAATTTGTAGGTGTTTTCATGTATGCACTTTTGGGTGGAGATAACCTATTATGTTTATCAAATATAAAAAGTGTGGCATTGGCCTGCAATTTTAAAATATAGATGAAGTGTAGGCAATTTGATAAAACCCCCAAATAATCAAAGACCACCAGAAGAGCAGTCTCTAACTGTGTCTAGTGCATCAACATTTTAATCTTTAAATATTGTCGTTTGTTCTGTCTCAGTATAAACTCAGACTTTTCATAATGTGGAGTGCCTTTGGAACTGAATTATTTGTGATTAAAATTTTATTTTTTGTGTTTATTATCTGGTAGCTTCACATGATACAATATCTATAAAAATGCAAAACAATTTAGAATAAAAAGTGTGCTGTATATTCACCCAAGGCCCCTAACAGAGGAAATCATTGCTTTGAGTCTCTTTGCAGTCTTCTGGAAAAATGCATAGATAAATGGACAGCCAAAAGCATAGACTTTCTCTCTCTCTCTCTCTCTCTCTCTCTCTCTCTCTCTCTCTCTCTCTCTTTCTCTGTCTGCCTCTCTCTCTCTCATATCAAAATTATAGCATGTTATACCTAAAATTTTGTGCCTTGCTTTTTAAATTTAAAAATATACCTTAAAAATCAGCCCTCATAAGTACTTTTAGAAATAATTCATTCTTTTAACATCTACAAGTAATCCATTGTATGGATGAACCATGATTTATATAACCTGCTCCCTATTAATAGAAATTTAAATTGCTTTCAGTAATGTGCTGTTATAATGTAGGTTGCAATGAATACATTGCATACACATTTCAAGGTAAACTTGTATAGATCCAATTCCAAAAGTGGAATTACTGGTTTAAATGGTATCTGCATATTTAATATCCATAGATGTTAGCAAATTATCTTACACAGACAACACCAGTTTACACTTCCACCAACAATGAATGACTGTGATTGTGCAAACTTTTGAGAACTCAGCATTTACTTTGGTTTTCCAATAATACCCAGTGGTTTGGGGATATATTCAATGAATCTTTTAGTTCAACTTGTTAGAATATTTGAGAAACAGTAACTTATGCCTTCTTGTTTCAGATTTCTGCAAATTTCTTCAAATGCCTCATCTTGTAGAAAATGCAAGGCCAAATATTTAGTTAAAATATTTTAGTTGTTGAGTATAATTACAGCTCAAATTTTTGTTGGCCTAATAGTTCTATTACTATATTGTTCAATAGTTAGCATAGAAATGTGTATTATTAAATATGTATTTTTTTAAATCATAAACTAAAGAGAAAAAAATTTTCTTCACCTACTTAAAAGAGTAGTTAAAAGATAGTAGTCATTGTTGGAGCCTAGAAGGTAAGCCAAAAAATATCCGAACCAAAAGAACCTAATTGTATATGAGAGAATAATCAAATATTCAATGTGTAGTTTTATTGCTTCTGTGAGTCCTTTCCTTGTCTATAAAATTGCTGAACTTCTCCAGGAAATGTTATGTTTTTGTAGCATTCCAACCCTGGTAGTAATCAGGAGGCACTAAAAATGCTCATGAAAACCATATTCCACAAATTAAGTAAAATTCACACATGGCTACATAAGTAACCTAACATGCCTAAGCAAACATTTTATATGGTTTCTCATTTCTAAGCCTTCAAAACAAACTGATTGAAGTAGTTTGTTATCCTCCATTTAAATTATAACCTCAAATTTAATCAAAATCTTTTCTTTAGGGCAAAATAGTCCACTGTGTGTGGATGTTGCTGTAATTGATGTTCAAGGAGTGGGGCAGAGATTTTACATATCACCTAGACTGTTAATGAATGTCTTTACACATGGCTTTACCACAACGAGGTGATAGATGTTTGATGTCTGTCCTCCATAAGCTATCGGAGAGGGTGCCGCTAATGGATACTGAGTTCAAATTTCAGACCTTTGCAATCTGCGTGTATAAAACAAATGTTTTCACAATATAAAAGAAATAGTTCTCTTTTGATAAGATTGCATAATTCCAAGATCAGCATCCATCTGGTGTATATATTTTTTTCTTTTAGCTTATGTTAATGGCTTTATTTGGCAACTTAATGTTTTCCTTTTTCCTTCTAACAGCAGGTGAAAGAATTCATAAATCTGCCATGAACATTTGCCAATGAATATTCATATCTGAGATGTCTGATTGCAGTAGTTTGACATTTTTATTTAATTTCCATCAAGAATAAGAAATGCTTTGTTTCTTAATTCATAATGCATTCTAATGGGTTTCTGCACATTATACCACTGCTTAAGTTATTGTAATTGTCGTATCAAACAACTAATTTATAAAATAAGAATATTTGGTATGAGCCAGAAAAAAAATGACTAAGAATTAATCTCACAAACTCATTGAAAGCAGTATATCTTTGTTTTTATTGCATAATTTGTAAAAAGTTTTACCCATGCTGAGCATTTCCATTCCCTATGCCGAATATATGGAGCTGGTTCTATGGTAAGTGCTGGTATCCCCTGTTGGATGAGCTAGTCAGGTCTCTGTTGGCTGTTGGCACAGAAGCCCCATGAGCAGATAACATAAGCTTGATGGGATATATTTTCAGTATATCGTGGTTATATGAACAAGAAGACATAATTGGTTCAACTGAAGTCGATACAGGCTTAGTACAATTTTAGTGAATATTTGAGATGGTTTGTCAAAGGAGTCACAGCAGCAAAAATAATTTTGCATTATTTACAACCTGCCTTTAGATCGATCCTTTACCACATCCTTCTTTTTTAAATGAATGTTATTGTGTATATTTACATATGTATACAACATGATGTTTTAAGACACATATATGGTAAAATGATTACTACAGTGGAACAAATGAACATAGCCATCATCTCACACAGTTACCCATTCCCTCCAATCCTGCCTGGGGCAAGAGCACCTATAACCTACTCATTTAGCAAAAATTCTGAATGCAATACACTATTTTTCAGTATAGTCCTCATGTTGTATATTTGATCTTTAGCCTTCTTCATCTACCCTGCCCCTACACTTTCTTAAATTAAGTATATGTAAGAATCTTCTGGAAAGCTTACTAAAATACAGATTCCTGGGCAACATCCCCAGAAAACTTCATTCCATGTACCTGGGTTGGGGCCCAATAATTTTCATTCCCAACAAGTTCTCAGGTAATGATGATGGTGCTTTACCACACTATATTTAAGTAATTTATATTACTGGCTATCTATTGGCTTGTATAATATATACAAAAGTCTAGAAAAAATACAGTTCAGCAAATCATAAACAACCCTGTATTAGCAGACAGATTGCAAGAATTATACTGTGGGGAGAGGCTGGGGTTTAGAACAACATATACATTTAATAATCCAACACAGCAAGTGCTTTCTGTAATCCTAGTTCTAAATACCGCATTTGCATATGGCATGTATTACATGCAAGGAGTTAAACCTAAACACGAATGCGTGCTTTTTTTTTCTTTTGAGACGGAGTCTTGCTCTGTTGCCCAGGCTGGAGTGCAGTGGTGTGATCTCGGCTCACTGCTAGCTCCTTCTCCCGGGTTCAAGCGATTCTCGTGCCTCAGCCTCCGGAGTAGCTGGGACTACAGGCGCCCGCCACCACGCCCGGATAATTTTTTGTATTTTTAGTAGAGACGGGGTTTCACCGTGTTAGCCAGGATGGTCTCGATCTCCTGACCTCGTGATCCGCCCGCCTCGGCCTCCCAAAGTGCTGGGATTACAGGTGTGAGCGAATGCATGTTTTTAAATCCTCTTGTGAAATAGAATCTGCATTCCCCAGTTCCTTTTTGTAATTGAAATGCTAAATGTAATGTAACAGTAAATTAATGCATTTCTGTTTTTAATTACCTATAAATAACATACTGAAGAAAAATCTAACAGATTAGAAGACAAAATCGTGGAAATTAGAGGGCATTTTCCTAGCCTATTATTGAACTCAATGCATTTATTTTTAGTCACAATTTATGACATACCGATTTGTGTGTTTTTTCGAAGTGGGCACATATTTTCTTCACTACCCAAAACAATTTTGATGGCCCGTTGGGTTTCAGCACTGACAATGAACACGTTTTTGCTGTGATGGTGATGGTGGTGGCTGTTTTTAAGAAATCAAGGCTTCCTAAGTTGTTTTCTCTACTTTACACACATCCCCTTCCAGCATATTCAACTTTGCTGCCAGGCATCTTTCTAAGACACTCATATGATCATGCAACTCATTATCTTAATTAAAATATTTTAACAGCTTCTCACGGCTTTTAGCATAAAATGAGCATTTCTTAGCCTTACTCACAAGGTCATAATTTGACCCCAGGCTACCTCTTTAGCTTTATAGCTAAGCCTTTTACTTGAGCTGTGAAAAACAAGTTAGGGTTCCTTAAAAAGGCCGTGCATTCTCAAGTTCCCGATTCCCTCTTCCTAAAATGTCTTTATTCCTGTCTCTCCCAGTTAACTCCAGTTTACCCTTCAAGACTCTCCTCATTCTTCCACTTCTTTTGGAAAATTTTCCTTATGGCCCCCATTCCCTGGATCCCCATTATACCCTAGTACGCTCCCAGCATAGCACTCGCTAGTACACTCCCAGCACAGCACTCGCTAGTACACTCCCAGCATAGCACTCACTGATGCTGTTCACCTGCCTCCCAGTAAGTTGCAAGATCCTCAGGACAGGACGGGAGGACGGGCCATTATTATTTATGTTTATCACAGTGCCAACATAAAACAAACACTCAGTAAATAGCTTTGTTTTTTTTGGAGGCAGAGCCTTTCTCTGTCACCCAGGCTAGAGTGATCTTGGCTCACTGCAGCCTCTACCTCTCAAGTTCAAGCAATTCCTGTGCCTCAGCCTCCCAAGTAGCTGGGACTACAAGGCACCCGCCACCACACGTGGCTAATTTTTTGTATTTTTAATAGAACCAGAATTTCTTCCTGTTGCCCAGTTGGTCTCAAACTCCTGAGCTCAGGCAATCTGCCTGCCTTGGCTTCTTAAAGTCCTAGGATTACAAGCGTGAGCCACGGCACCTGGTCAGTAAATAGCTTTTAAACAATTAACTTACTAACCATGTCATGAGTAATAAGAAGTAAGACTCGATATCTAAAGCCAAATAGTAAAGGCCCTGCCCAGCCAGACAGAGAAGTTTGATTTTTCACCTGTTAATAGAGAATTGTTGTGGTGTTTTGAATGTGAAAATGATACAATGCAAACAATGATTTAGGAAAACCAAGACAATGAATTGAAGCTGTCACCACTATAGTTCAGGTGTAGGGTGAGGAAGATCCACATTTGTGTGGTATCAACTTTGGTGGAGCAGTGAGAGAGATGCTGAATCCAGGGTCTGATGATTACAAAAGATCTGTCCTGGAAGATAGAAACCAGGATGGCTGTGCTGTTGGACATATAGTGATGAGAAGGAGAGATGTTTGTTATATGGAAGATGGCAGGATTCTTTTTTAATCATGTTCAGATAGAGGAAAATGGAAAGTAAAGAAAATCTGTAAGTACTTAAATATAAGAGTCCACCCTGTAAATGAGGTTCTAGGATCCAAATTTTGAATATGGGCATCACTTGCATAAACATGAGAGTTGATTTCTTGAGTGCTGAACATCAATTTTGCCAGAGGGAGAGCAAAAGAAGAAGTCAAGGGTGAAAGTGACAGAGAATAATAAAGAAATGATATGCTGACAAAAATAGACATGACTTTCAAGAGAGGCATAGTCAATTTTATCAATGCAAGGACTGTTCAAATTTTTCATATATTTGATGCAATCATTTTTTAGTCACAAATTTTACATATTCTGAAATTTTAGACACATGTAAAAGTAAAATATCTTTGTGAACAGCTCACATAGGATGGCTTGGAGATGCGGGTGCTAAAGGTTTTCTGTGGTTCTGCTCTGGGCTTACTAGCAGGTAACCCAATCCAATTGGCCCTCTGATGATTCTAGCCTCTCCAGAACTCAGCTTCTTCCCCATATCTCAATTTGCTCCCCTTCCCTAATACCTCTGGCTTTCCCTTTCTGTTGTCACGTCTTCCTTTCTGCCTCTCCCATTACATTACATCTCTCAGGAGAGCCCCACCATCGGGGACCCTGAGGATGTGGTGAGAACACATGGGGAAAGCAAAAAGATTCCCATAACTGAACTGAAGCTTTCTCAGCCACAACCTCCTGCAGCCTCTTTTCCCACCCAGCTGGTGGTGGCCACACATCTTCTTGCTATTCTGCTGGCTGGCATATGGCAGTTAACCATTCTCTCTCTAGCAGAGTCATGTTCCTCTAGGCCACTTCCTTTGTTCTTGATGCTGTCTTGCTGTTTAAAATTAAAGATGACTCATTGGAACACTGAGGAAACCAGATATGACATCTGTGGCAAGTCTACCTCTCACCAGCACTGAGATATTTAGACGTGAGTGTTGTTCATCACTTCTTGTTGCTGGTATTATCTTCGACTGCACATGATATTTTACGATTTTCAAAATCATTACCTACCTTTGTGTCATTATTTGTGTTATAAAATGGTTTCATGTATATCATTTTGTTCAATTCTTAAACAAGTCATTGATCTAAAGACAATTATCCTCATTTTGCAAGGGAAGTGATGAGAGTGGCCAAGTGATTTACCCAAAAGGATGTTGGGTAGATGTGGCAGAGTTCACCAGTGCCTGATGCTATTCCCACTATACCCCCGACGGCTTTCTGTTTATTCATGTTTCCTCTAATAATGATAAAGGCATGGAGCATATTCTTTCCTCAATGGCCTTCTAATTTCAAATTTTCACCACAAAAAATGTTTTCGTAGGGCATTTTACAAATAAGAAAATTGAGATATCAAAATTCTAAAGAAGATGAGTTCCCTCAGCTGATTTGTAACAGAGCTAGAAGCAGAAGCCAGGCTTCATGACAATTATCTCCAAACTATTTTTATAGCAGATGTTCTCCTTTGGGTCTTTTTTGTTTTTTGTTTTTTAATTGCTTATGTCTCCAAAAATAGTTGACTCCATTGTTTTCAGGTTTTCTTTTTTGCACTAACTTCTACTAAAATGTAAGGACATTTACCATCCTCTGCTTCAGGCTAATCCTGCCACATGACCTATCCTCGTCATTGTCTGCCAACCTTTCTTGCAACCTAACCCATGTGTTTTCCATTTTCCTCCTACATTTTTTAACAGTCCATCTACTGACCTCTTTACTATATATAATCATACTTAAGTCTCTAAGATTTAACAACAAACAAAAAAATCACTTGTCCCTAGATGCTTCTTGTAATCTCTTGCCTTTTCTTCACAGATAAACAAGACGCCTTTTCTCTCCATTTTCTGATTCCTTCTTTCACTTGTTAAAAACTGCACTTATTTAAAGTGTGTGTGCGTGTGTGTGTATGTGTGTTTGATAAAAGGAAAGCATGAGCTTTCTCTTCAGCCCATTCAGCCCATCCTTATCAAACTTTAGCCCGTTCCTCTAAGATGACTCTCAGCAAGCTCACTGGCGACCTCCAAAATTTCCATCCAGTCAATTCCATCAAGCCCTCTTCCCTCTGCAACATCAGTAATAGCCAATACTGTCACCACTTTGAAATTTTGTCCCTTTCTCTGACATTACACTATTCTGAGTTTCTTCATAAGCCTTGAACTCCTTCATTTATCTTGAGGAAGTTGAGTATAAGAGGGAAGGGCAAGGGCACTGGAACTCATATTGGGCAAACTGTTTAACTTCTGTGCCTATTTCCTTTGAAATGAAAATAATAGTGGTACCTACCTTGTAAGTCCTAACTTACTAAGTCTAAGGTATTATCTTACTGGGTTGTTTTGAGGATTAGAGGTGTAAACACATGTAAAGCACTTATGACAATGCCTACCACATAGTAATTCTTAGTAAATTATTCTAATGCTACTATTTTTGCTGCTGCAACCACCACTATTACTCCTCTTCCTCTCACTCCTCCTCCCTTCTTTTACCCACAGTCTAGAAATGGGTGCTCCCTAGAGTTCTGTTCTTTGCTCTTATCTCCTCTGAGTTCCCTCCAGGGCCATCATGTCTACTGTCAAGTTTTCAAATCACCACATGTATTTTTATATTTCTCAAATCTTCATTTCCAATCCCTCACTTGAATTCTAGAGTGGTGTATATAACTACCTACTGAACAACTCTTCTTTGATATCAGGTTGGTATCTTAAAGTCAAAGTTTATGAATCTAACATCAATAGCTTTCCTCAAAACATGATTTTTAATTCATGTCTTATTAAGATTGGTGACTTCCCATTCAGTAATCATCCAAGACAGTAGTCACAGCCTGCTTTTCCCCTTGCTTTTCTTTTTAATTGACTGCTGTGTCATAAGAAAGAGGTTTTGCTGCAAGTAACAGAGACCATAAGTAAAATGGCTTAACATGATCATTTATTTTATTTTATATATTCTCAGAGGCTCTTGCAGTTCTCTGCTCTTCTTTTCTGAAATAGAGACCTCAAGAACAAAGAGAACTCCAGTCATCTCTTCTATAAGTTCTGGCTGTAGTCCAAAAGTTCAAAGGAACGGTGGAAGGAAAGAAGGAAGGAAGGAAAGAAAGAAGGAAGGAAGAAAGGAAGGAAGGAAAAGAAGGAAAGACATGCCCTCTCTCTTCAAGGTAGAAAGGACTCCCTAAAGCTTCTACACAATATACATTCTCTTACATCTTATTACCCAGAAAGTACTTACATGGTTACACGTAGCTGCAGAGAAGGCTGGAAAATAGCTTCATTCTGGATGGCTTTATCCTCATGTATAAGTTGTAGGAGGAGAAAAGATTTTCCTTGCCCCTGTGAGGGTACCTGGCTAGGTCTACAAGGCAAACTAACAGATAAATTATCAGGAGAAAAACTTTCAGATTTTAAAAAGCACGTTTTATGCCACACAGGAATTTTCATAAGGAAATAAGAATCCAAATAAATGGTTAAATTTGTGAGTTTTTATGCAAGGTTTAATGAAGAAGGAGGCAGTCTTGGAGAAATAGGACTGGACAAAGGGGTTATGATCTAATGATGATAAACGGAAGGAATCCTACCAAGGCTGTGTGTTCAGATTCTCTCTGTGTCCCTGTGTCTTCAGAGATATGGATATTCCTTTTCTCTAAGTATAGGAGGGCACTTCTCAAATGAAGATCTTATGACTTGCTTCCAGGGAGAAGGGTTGGGGAATGTGAGACTGACCTTCCTGTTTCTGCTTTTTTCTCAAATGCCAAGATGTCATATTTTGGGGTCGTATGTCCTGAACCCTTTCAAAATCAATATAGATTAAAAACAATAATATTTTAGGGGATTTAATTAGTGGCCTCTAATATCTACTATCTTGTCAATTATAGCTTTAACAATTTTCACGTCTCTTTTCTCTCTCCATTGCCTTTACAACTGCCTTGATTTAATGTATCACCATCCCAGAAAGCAAATGCAAAGAAATTTGGTCTCAGCATTGCAGATAAAGTCAGCTTTCTAGAACACATACCTAATCATTAACTTATCAGCTAAAAATCCTTCCTTAAATCTTTCGTGCTGTAACTTCTATATTTCTTATTATAAAGGGCAAAAATTGCCCTCTGCAATACAAACTGAACCTCATTACATAGCCTTACCTCCCAAGAGTCTGTGACTTGTCTTCTAGCCACGTGAAATTCCTTGCAATTTCTGGAAGTTGTTCATTTATTTGTCCCTGTGGGTTTGTACAGGCTGTTTCTTCTGTGTAAAATCTTATTTCACTCCATCAATCTGTTGACTGTGTACATGTCCTTCATAATTCAGATAAGATGGTACTCTCCTGTTAAGTTGTTGGTTGTTGGTTTTTTAAAAATCAGATTGTTGGGAAGTCGAGGCTACAGTGAGCTGTGATTACGTCACTCCATTCCAGCCTGGGTGACAGAGTGAGAACCTGTCTCAAAAAAAAAGAAAAAAGAAAAGAAAAGAAAGAAAATAAAGCAGAAAAAAACCAAATCATTTGAGTTATCTATTACGCCTTCCTATTCTCATAGAACAGTGTATCTTATATACATAATAGATTCTAATGTAGTATTTATTTTGTTGTCTTGTAAGTAAAATTTGATTTATCTGTCTTCTCTCTTAGACTGTGAATTCCATGGGAATTTGTGGGGCATACCTGTTTATCTTAGCACGGATATGCCAAAGGAGTAGGTTCTTAATAAATGTTTACTGAATTGCTAGCCATATGAAATTAAATATATAACATGTAAGTTAATTATTATGAGAATGTGTGACTATAAAGACAATAACTACCCCCTACCAGTTACTGCCTCAAGCAATAACAATGATAAACTTTATCTCAATCTAAATTTAAAGCAGGTAATTTAAATTTTTTCCTAAATAATTGTCTTTTGTTGAAGCTTAATAAAGATTTTTGTTCTTTAAATAAAAGGCAATCCTGATGAGAATTAAGGAATTTCACTGTCATGAAATATAACTTCTCTAATAAATATAGGGTGTAACATTTCCAGGTGAGTGGGCATTTCCTAGGAGCTCCATGTAGTTCTCTGGTAGAGTAATCTACTACATTTCATTCTACTGAATTGAACACGATCCTTCTCCAGAATTGGTTCTCTCATTTAGTAGGATCTGGGCCACAGATTTTAAAAAATTATAAATGCTTAAAATACATCTGGGAACTTTATCACTCACAGTATGTTTTTATTTGATGGTTCTCCTTCCGGGGGTTTACAAATCTGACTATTGTTTTTACACAATTAAGAATATTTTGCTTGGTTTATATTTTCAGTAAAGTATTTCTCACTGTATGCAAGAAAGTAGATGGAATAATTTCTCACTTCAATTCATCTTGTTCTGGAATATTAGTTAAGCTACCAATCTTCCTTCACTTCATCTTGATGAATAGAAAAATTATTCCACCGACATCACAGAACTAATCATGAGAATCCCATCGTTTCTGCATTTCATATCCCATGTTCAGTTTTTTCTCATCCATTATGTCTCTAGGGTAGAATTGCCAGAAACTCAAGTTGACATCATACCATTTCTTACTCCCAGCATGTGCCTTTATTTTGACATTCATCAAAAATTCTGTCACCGTATGTCTGTAGGTACATAAAGGTCTTTAGGTATGAGCATCAATTTGCCATAAATAAAGAAAAAGCAGTTTAGCTATCCCTTGATAGCAATTTGTGTTTAAATTTGACATCCGCAGGCACAAAAATAATGTTTTGTTGTCTAACAATTAGATTATTAGAAGGTATGTATATATGGGCATATAAACAACTAAAATCAATAATGATCTAAACTTCAGACAAACTATTTTCCATCTAAGCTGTAAAAGTTAGCTAAATAGATTTGTACTAAAATAATTAAAAATGGCAAATGACAAAATGTGGGACTAGTCATTGCAGTTTTTTGAAGGTCAAGACAAATTTTAACAATGCACAATATAATATTTGTCTAACAGATTTAGCATAGCTAAATTGAAAGCTCTGTCAGCACGGCAGAAAATCAGAATTTAAATTATTGAGTAATGGCACTATCATTAAAAATGTCAAGCATCAAGTTTATTTTCCCTAGAGACATCTTACAGACCATTCTATTTCCATGCTGTGTATTTCTTTTCTTTCTAAAAAAAAAAATCCAAAAATATATGTGAGCATATAATCCACACCATTGCTTCTCAAATTATCATTGGTGAAGCATTATGTTTTTGTCTGTGATTTCACTTTTCATTTGCATTCTGTTGTGGCCCAATACTTTTGTAAAATACAAAAAGAATGAATTACTAGAAAAATAAAATGAAAAGATCAAGTTATGCAGATTAAAATGAGCAATTCTTAACATTGTTATTAGATTCAAGAGCATCAAATAACTGTCCTATGGCTATCTAGGCTTGCTTTCAAGTTCTGTATTTAATCCTCTGCACACTGGTAACAAGCAGTTTGTGGACTAGCAATTGTCCACGGACCACACTTTGAGTAGTACTGCTTTACACCGTCACTAGTGCAGAAGACATTCTGGTTCATCCACACTCTGAGTCACTCTAATATGTTCTACCACAGTCTAGATTAACTTAAAAGTATGGATCACCAAGGTCATAACCAGATTTGTTACACTGACCTCACCATTTATTCCAGATTACCAAATAAATGTCATTGATATAAATGTCACTGATATTTGTCAGCCTGATTCATTGTAGTGAAACAAAATTTTGTTTAATTACAGGTATTGAATGAAATTTTCAAAGTTGTAAGGAATATCCTCTTCTACCCACCAAAATTATCTTAAAAGGAGCTGATAAAATCAATTTCTAGTACAAATGCTGTATTACGTTTTGAATTAAGAGGCATTTTATTCCCAAAGGTAGAATTTTAGGATCAATTATAGCTACCTTGTATTTTAGTAGGTACTTCAGCATGATTTTATTAATTTAGACATAAAAATCGAGCTACTTATGCAGGAGTTTAAGTATAAGAGAGCTTTTCAATAGGCTCCTTATTTTAAGCCTTACCAGCCAAATTACAGTGTAATTGCTTTTATTTGATCTTTTCCTATCTAAAAACTGCCTTGAGGGTGCATGTTTCAGTCCATTTAATTTTATCAAAGAAAGAGAAGTTCATGAGTTTTTCAAAGGACTTCCAGATTCAAAGTGGGAAAGAATATTCTATGTATTTTTACTACTCCGTATGGACAAGTAACTTAAACTGCTTTGACAAAAAAGGAAAAAAAGAAAAGAAAAAGATGCACAGGATATGTAGCTGTCCAATAAAATTATTTAGCTTCATATTTTTAAGGTAAACATAATCTTTGGAAGAACGCTATTTGTATTTGCCATGGTTCTGTTATTATCAATCACATAAAGTGTTTACATTAATCCTTCATCTATTTGTTAAAATGTTATTTTGTATTTATTTTTCCTCTAGCTTTATTTCATCATCATCATCATCATTTATTTAAAATATTGTTATTGACAAACTTTAATTGCATACCAAATAGTTGGTTTTATTAATTTACATTAAACTAAAATTAATCCATTTGGGAACTAATAATGATAAATTCAGCACTATCCAAGACTCCAGCCCTTGAGGAACACTCATGACTGTCTCTTTGTGAGTTAATCTATCTCATCTATATTACTTCTATACACTTAATTCTCAAAAAGTTTAAAACCCCAAATCAGCATACCAACTCTTGTTCTATGAAACTGGTAGTTTATTTTATTTTATTATTTTCTTTTTAGCAAACAAGAAACAAATGAAAAACGAGGATGACTGTTTATACATAATCAGGTTGAATAAGAGAAGAGTAGGATAATTTGCATAATCCACACTCGCTGTAAGTAGACACACCTGCACATCTCAACCACTACCTCCCAGTCCCCTGGGATTTTCTCAAGGGCCTCATCTTACTCATTTAATGAACTATATGTTAATTCTTCAGCCATTTCTAGTGACAGAGTGAAGCCACTAAGTGACTTAGAATATGCAGTGAACCATCTGACAACGTAACAGTAGCTACATTTTAACTCAAAAGCATGACCACAACTTATTTTTAAGCAAGGAAAAGGGGAGGACATTGGTTCATTTCAACAGACATTTATTAAGTGTTTACATGTTGGGAGAGTATTAACACTAGCCTAGATTACTGTTATTTTGTAAGACAAGAGGAAATAACATATAATGGACTATCAGCTTGAACTTTGTTCTCCAGGAAGTCTTGTTCAGTGAAAAACTTGTCATTCGGGCTGTCATAAAGCATTCGTTTATTATTTTAGTAAGGAATATAGGTTAATGGGCACTTACACATTATATGCCAGTCTCAGTCTAGTGCTATTGAGGAATGTACACTCAGGGATCATTTTCAAGATGGAACCATTTTATAAATGTTTATGTATGTTATAGGATGTGGTGCTTTAATTTTACTTGTTTTGCCTTTTTTTGTTTTAACTCCCAGAGTTTGGATTTAAGAAAAACATAGCCCATAGAAATGTAAACCTTAAAAGGCCACTATTGCTAAAGCTCAATTTGGGGACACTTTTCGTTAACACTGCTCAACATGAGAGAAATGCAACCACGATGGACTTGCCCAGATTCTTTTAATAGAAAATGTTGGCATCAATTTCCAATGGAATGCATTTGCAGTTTCATTCTTGCACTTAAACTGTTACAAATTAGAAAGATTTTCTAAAAATAAAAGAAATGTTTCTTTGGGACAAAGCTCTTGTTGATTCTCTCCTCGAAAACCATTGCATTTTGTTGGGGAAATTGAGCTCATTGCATGAGCCTTGGGAAAGGGAAAGGGAAAAGTGCTTTCAATAAGAGAGAACATTGTTTTCTTTGTGGAGTTTTCGATGTGGCAGCAGGGTTACCAGTAATACTTGAGGCAAATGATCAAAATATCAGGTATGCATTTCATGCCAAGGATTCTGTTTCTCAGACCCTCCAAGATGAATGTTTTCTCCTGGCACTGAGGGCTTAGCATTGTTCTCTCCCCTCGAGATACAAAATAATTTTCTCCATCATAAATCATCAGACAACATTCATTTGGCTCCATTTTAGGAGTATCCTATGCATATGATAGTACACATTTTCATAGGCAATGGGCATCTATTTTCAGGCATAGTAAATACATACATATTTCAATTTTGTAAGTTACGATTTGTTTTTTTTACCCAACCTGGATTTTTCTCAGCAACCTCCCTAATTTCTGATTTTTTATTTTCTTCCTGAAACACCTACAGTTCTTCTTGAATTTCAGGTGACAAATGTGTAATCTGTCTACCCAGTGACTATGCTCTTTTAAATAATTTTTTCTCTTTCTCTCAAATTCCACTTCTTTCTTTTCATAGTATATTTGTGTTGATCATTGCTCCTGAATGAACGAGAATTGACCACAGATTGTCTCTTTGGGGACAGAGCTCTCACTATCAAAACATACTTGTTACGTTCATTAATACATTAAAATTTAGACAAACACTTATTTTTAGACAATAAATCACAACGTTCTATGTTTGAAATAATAAAAAATTGCATGGGTAATGCAATCTTATCAAATTGGATCTAAGTTGCCTCTGTTGCTAAAATAACTAAGTCGAATATATGTATCTCAGCTAAAAATCTCAATAAGGAATATTAGGATCACATTATGTTTTACAACAAGTGGATTAACAATAACACAACAGGAATGAAGGGAAAGTATCCAGTCTTTAAATGTCATATTGTGCTTATGAAACATCTAAAAATCACTCGATGATTTTTAAACAGAGTTAATAGGAACTCAAAAAAAAAGCATGTATCAGATAAATAACACGTATTGTGCTAATGTGTATTTTTTCTCTTTGGTGTATCACCAAATAATATTAGGAGCAGTTATCTGTATCGGTAATATTATGATTACATGAAAATTTTGAACTGCAACCAGAATAACTTTTTTCAGAATGGATAACTAGATATGCCTCCCCCACCAAAAAAGGAGTCAAGAAAATGAGATAATAACACTTATTAAACATCATTCTGTGCATTTTTTTTCTATTCCTAGGTGCTCCACATTTCTTAACTCATTTAATCCTCACCAAACCCTAAGGAATAGACACAATCATGCTTATTCTATAAATGAAGAAACTGAGGCACAGATTGCTCAGGGACCTTGCTGAAAGTGACATAAGTGGTAGAATTTAGGATTTGAAACTAAGTCGTCCTAACCATTGGGTAAACTACCTCTCAGTGCAGATGTAGATCTGCAAACTTGCATTGCTAATAACTTAAATAACATATTTTCGCAACAAATGGACATGTATAGTATTTGTTGAATATTTTATGTGCCTAGTAGAAATTGATGTTTTTTTTTTTTTTTTTTTTTTTTTGAGACGGAGTCTGACTCTGTCGCCCAGGCTGGAGTGCAGTGGCGCGATCTCGGCTCACTGCAAGCTCCGCCTCCCGGGTTCACGCCATTCTCCTGCCTCAGCCTCCCGAGTAGCTGGGACTACAGGCTCCCGACACCACGCCTCGTATTTTTTTTGTATTTTTAGTGGAGACGGGGTTTCACCGTGTTGGCCAGGATGGTCTCGATCTCCTGACCTCGTGATCCGCCCGCCTCGGCCTCCCAAAGTGCTGGGATTACAGGCGTGAGCCACCGCGCCCGGCCGATCTTTTTTTAGTATTGGAAATTTCTTACCATTGAAATTGGGAATATCAAGATTTTAAAATCCTTGAACATAATTTATTCTATTTCCTGCATTTATATTGAAAAAAGTAGAGTCTCTTCATAATCAAAATTGCCACTTGTTTGGTCTATTTATATCTTTAGACCATACACTGAGAGCAAAGACATGCAGTAAGATTTTGGAGCGTTGTTTCAGTTTGACTGGTTCTAGTTTAGAGGGGCCCTTTAACAATTCTCATCCTCCCACTCAGACTTCATGCCCAATACCACACAGTTATGACACACCTAAGACTTCCTCCCAATTAAAGTACTCTACTCTCAAAGGAATAAAATACCCCAAATCACATAATACACCCAGTTTCCTAGGACCTATTGCATGAGAGTGGAACTGGAGAAACTGACCAGCTGGAGAGATGTGGTATAAAGGCTTCCAACATCCCTAAGCAGTATGGATTTCTACTAGAATTTGCAAATTTTTGCAACTTTGGCTGTGCTGTGAGTTGAACAGATGTTTGAGTTGTAATAATCCCAGAGACAAACCGCTATGTGGCCTTGTGCAAATAAATGATTGACCTCTTTGTCTACATCTCCGAGAAAGATTTTGAAACTTGCAGTTATTTACAAACCTGGCTTTCATCAGAATCACCTGGGGACATTATTTAAAATCATAAATTCACACTCCAGCTCTAGAGCCTAATCAATAAATATTATATGGGCCTCTGGAATCTCTACTTTTATAAGTTTCCCCAGTTTTTTCTGTTTAGCCAACATACAGACTGTTATTTAAAAACATGTGTTCAGATGATCTTCCAGTTTTGTAGTAAGCCCATTTCCATGAGATGTGTGAGGATTATCTCTGGCTATGGATCCAGAGGATCTCTCTGCTAAACTACAGTTTCTCACTAGACTATGAACACCTAGAGATTATGTTCATGCATTATGGTTACCCAGAGTCCAGGAGAGAGTACGGCATTTGGTAAATATTAATTTAATAAATCTTCAGCTTAGTTATGATCCAGTTTCCTTCCCCTACATCTATTCATATTCTCCAATCACCCACCTTTCTGATTGGAGTTCCTTTTTATTTTCTTTTTTGGTGAAGTGGTAAATTTATTTTGGCAAGTAAACAACAAAACATTAAAAAAAAACACTCTGCCAATTGCTTCATTGCATACCCACGTTGAGAAACAACTGTGGTTTATAAAATGTATTTAGTTTTCATTTTATTAAGTATGGGAATTATGAAATTATCTAAGGGAATTTTGCAGAGTAGAAACAAAATACATAGACATTTTTATATAACAGATTTACGCCATCAAGCTATTTAGCCCTCTGCCAATAGAGACAACGAACAACAATGATAGCATGAAACTTACTCTGTAGTTCTTGGACTTGAAATTATACATAACGTAGTGACTATATTTTGGTTTTGTGTCATGCAGTGATTTGCTCTTGTCAGGCACAAGGAATGTATTCCTAAATGATTTCGTCATCACTCACTATTTCAAATTCCTTAAATAACCGTATACTTTAGTTTTTAACACCTCTGCACTTTGTGAAGATTTGACTAACTGAATCCAGAATTTTGTCTTTGAAAAATACCTCTGGCCGGGCGCGGTGGCTCACGCCTGTAATCCCAGCACTTTGGGAGGCCGAGGCAGGCGGATCACGAGGTCAGGAGATCGAGACCATCCCGGCTAAAACGGTGAAACCCCGTCTCTACTAAAAATACAAAAAATTAGCCGGGCGTAGTGGCGGGCGCCTGTAGTCCCAGCTACTTGGGAGGCTGAGGCAGGAGAATGGCGTGAACCCGGGAGGCGGAGCTTGCAGTGAGCCGAGATCCCGCCACTGCACTCCAGCCTGGGCGACAGAGCGAGACTCCGTCTCAAAAAAAGAAAAAAAAAGAAAAAGAAAAATACCTCCTTAGCTAAACTTCCAATCAACCATTGAGTCACTTAAGGAAATTATTAGTAGAATTTATACAGATAAAACATATTTTTCAGGGAAATTAACTAAATTGATTGGGAGCCGTGACACATGTCATGATTGTTACCTATTATCTGGAGATTTGTGACTGTGAATGGCAGCCAACTTTTTCATGGAAACCCACTGGCTGGCTAATGTGACAACAGTAGAAAGAGTCTTGTAGCCACCAGCTCTTGCTTACATTAGAGCTAGACTGACCATAAATGTAATTAGCCTTGAAGGGCTGTGGCTGCAGATGGCCATAGGGATGTAAACCTGGCAGAAATAATGACAAGGCTGCAACTCAGCAGTAAGTCTTCACATTTTTTAAAATTTTCTTTCATTCTTTCTTTTTCATGAAAGCTCTAAACTTGGAAAATTATAACACCTGGAGATTTGTCATAAATGTCACTGAAATATTAATCAAGGCACCCACTGAGAATAACAACTTTGCATTTTCTTTTATTCTACAAAGATGATCTCTCTTAAATTTTAGGCACATAACCCCAAAATAGTAATTATCAGTTGAACAATAAACTCTGCCCAATGAAAGTATTCCTGTGAATTTCTTTTTCTGATTTATCTTGATGACCAGAAGCCAAAGTATTCTTGGTAGAAACATTAAAAATATGACTGAAATAAATGTTTGTATCATGACCTGAAAAATTAATTACTAAACCAAATCAGTCTTATTTTAGAAAAATATAAAAAATACAGAAAACATAATGAAACCACAAATTATCCATAACCCTAACACTCAAATTTTTTTTGTTGTTTCTCTGTAATTATATTTTTATCCATTTAAAACCTTTTATTCCATATTAGGCTTTGGAAGTTAAGCAGCTCTGTATATTAGAAAGAGATACATAAAGTGCTCAAGAAATATATTATTTAAATTCTTATATTTTCAAATATCTTATTACATTCCAAAAAAGGTATAGAATTGTAGACTTATTTGTTAGGCTATGAAACTTAAAATCAATAAAGCCACAAACTGTGTAAGCTTTGGTGAGAAAGAAACTATATGGCATCAGGATATTTTTTCTATGTTTTCTATAAATTTTAAATATGAATGAAGTGCATTTTTGACATGATTTATCTAAGGTTTTGAATTACATATATTTCTGCTTCTATAAAATAAATATATTTATTATTAAGACTTTATACACCCTTTCTTTTGTTGCTTTCTTTGGCATCTGTCCAGTATTTTATATTTATGTAAGCCAGAGTCATCAATGTGGCTAGGGAGGAAAAAAAAATCACATTATTTCAAAGTGAGCAGTAGAAACATGAAGATCTTAAATGTATTTAGATACTGGCAATTTTAAAAGTGTTACTTAAAAGTGGCGTTCTGTTCAAAAAATTCAGATGATATATTGGTATTTTAAATATATTTTACAAAAATAGAAAACAAATCTTATATTTCTAACTCTTACTTGACTAAAAAATAGCCAGGAACTTCTTAT
Source organism: Homo sapiens (assembly GCF_000001405.40). Lineage (NCBI taxonomy): Eukaryota > Metazoa > Chordata > Mammalia > Primates > Hominidae > Homo > Homo sapiens. The sequence continues at coordinate 76,873,098 of NC_000003.12, forward strand.
TCTTCAGAAGAATAATGTTAAACCAAGATTACTTTTAGTGCACATTAAACATTACAAAGGTTAATAAATGTCACATTACAATGGATCTGTCAATATTTAAGCCTCTTCTAAGGCAAAGTTCATGTGCTCTAGGGCAAGGAAAAAAGCTTCATAAATATTTTAATTATTTCAGAACCGGAAAAAGGGGTGTATTTAAAGACTTGTAAACCATAGGAATTATTTTATTTTTAAATCTAGCATCCAGAATCTATACACATTCCTAAGAACATCCAGCATTTGAGAAACTCCTTCTACTATCAGCAAACAAAACTTTTTGTTTAAATTTACAACATCTTATATAAAACATTCTTTAAATTATGGAATGAAATAAATAATTTGCTTTCTAGAAACTTGTGGCACTTCTCACATACATTGATGGGTCTTGTACTGCCAGTTGCATTTCTTAAGGAAGTTAGTAGTTAGTAGTAGTAGTAGTAGTCGTCGTCGTCGTCGTTGTCGTCGTCGTAGTAGTAGTATGAAATGAGGGTCTTACTATGTTGCCCAGGATGGTCTCAAACTCCAGGGCTCAAAGGGTTCTCCTGCTTCAGCCTCCCAAGTAGCTGGGATTGCAGGCACTCTCTAACCTGCCCAGCAAACAATGGTGGCGTCAACACAAACTTTGCCCTGAAAGTTTTCTCATGAAATTTGCTCATTTGACAGAAGAGCAGCTGATGCTTGCTGCTTAGAAAAGAGGTTCTCTTTGCATTCCTTATTTCCTGTAGCCAGAGGCATATTGTGTATCTGAAGTTTACCACCCAGAAAGACAAGGCCTCGGCCTCCTCCTAATTTGATTATTGACCCCTGTGGCCTTGAAATAGAAAATGGCACTAGCCAAGATAAATAGAATGGAGAGAGAACCAAACAGAAGCATAACAGAAGTAGGCTAAAGAATGTAAATTTCCTCCAGTTCCCCAAGTTAAGAGGGAGCAGGTTAGTGGGCCAGCCACAGTTGATTGACTAAGGAGATAAGTCACCCTGGGAATTTGAGAAAAGGAATTTAAGTGCCATTAGGTTAAACAAAGGCTTTAGCTTAAACACTTTATGTAAAAGTTGGTTGTTTGTTTTCAGACCAATAAAAAAAAAAAAAGTAGCTTTGACTTCCAACAACCATTAACTTTGTTTTTGTCAGCCCATACTTCATCTCACCCATTAAGAATCTTCCAAAGTCAAACAGGGGACAAGTTTTTCATCTTCAAGCTGCCTCAGGTTTCTCGATTCTTTTTTCCCTTTCAATTCATTATTCATTATTGCCCAAAAATTTCCCTGAGAAAATCTAAGGGTGCTCTTGCTTTCTTTTTAAACTACATAAGAAATTCCAGGGATGAGCTGACATGGTTTTGTTTTAAATTACACATTTTCAAAATGAAAGGATACTTAAATTCTGATTGTCAAGCTAGCAGAGGGGCCATGGTGCCTGCACTTCCACCGCAGCTTATCACAGAAGTTCATATCAAAGACTCAGGGGTGAGGAGAAAATGATGGTTATTTGAAAGAGCATTTTAAATGTACCTGCAGTTCCTTAAATTAAGCAACTAACATTAAATTAAAATATAGACAGAAGATAAAATGGAAAACTTTAAAGGGGCATGGAATGAGTAAACAAAATTTGAGAGATGATCATTTAATTTCTTCACAGTTGATGCAAAAAGAGGGTGCCAGACCCGGACAGGCCAAGTGACTTCCTAAGGTGACACAGTTAATCAGTGACAGAGCCTAGACAAGAACACAGATCCCCTGACCCAGTGGGAACACATGGTTGAGATATGATATATGTAACGGAATTCATTCTGTCTGTGATTTTATGGTTCAATGTTTTAACATGAGAACATTTTCCTTGCCATTATGGTTTGCATGTGTCCCCTCCAAAATTGATGTGTTGAATGAAACTAATGGCCAAAAGAGGTGGGGCCTGAAGAAGTGATTAGGCCATGATGGCTCCTCCCTCATAAATGGGATTAAGGCCCTTATAAAAGAGGCTTCATGCAGTGTTCAACCCTCTTCACCCCTTCCATCCCTTCTGCCATGTGAGGATATAGCATTCTCCACTTCAGGAGGATGCGGCAACGGGGCACCAGTCTTGGAGACAGCAACACTCACCAGAAAACCAAACGTGCCAGTGCCTTGATCTTGAGCTTCCCAGCCCCCAGAACTGTGAGAAATACGTTTCTGTTCTTTGTAAATTACCAGTCTCAGGTGTTTTGCTATAGCAGCACAAAGGGACTAAGACAATTGCTGTGCATAGTGTATTAGATTCCTATGGCTGCTATAACAAATTATCACAAACTTAGTGGTTTAAGACAATATACATTAATCATATGAGAGTTCTGGAGGTCAGAAGTGCCAAATGGGCTTTATGGTGCTAAAATCAAGGTGTCAACAAAGTGGCATTCGTCTTGGAGATCCTGACTGGATCTATTCCTTGCCTTTTCCAGCCTCCAGAGGTCACCTGCTTCCTTTGGCTGATAGCCACTTTACTCTGAACTCTATCATACTTCCTTTTTGGATTCAGACCCTTTTGCCTCCATCTTTATTTTTTGATACAGAGTCTCACTCTGTTGCCTGGGCTAGAGTGCAGTGGTGCCATCTCAGCTCACTGCAACCTCTGCTTCCCAGGTTCAAGCAATTCTCCGCCTCCACCTCTCAAGTATCTGGGATTATAGGTGCCTGCTACCACATCCTGTTAATTTTTGTATTTTTAGTAGAGATGGGGTTTCACCATGTTGACCAGGCTGGTCTTGAACTCCTGACCTCAGGTGATCTGCCTGCTTTGGCCTCCTAAAGTGCCAGAATTACAGGCGTGAGCTACCACACCTAGCCCTGCCTCCTTCTTATAAAGACCCTATGATTACATTGGGCCCACCAAGAAATTCCAGCATAATGCCCCATCTCAAGATTTTTAATTTAATCATATCTGCACAGTCCCTTTGTCATGTCAAGGTAACATAGTCACAACCGTGGGGGATTAGGCTATGGACATCTTTTGGGTACCTTTATTTTGTACACTATACCTACTATTGAACCAAACACCAAGTTGGAGATAAGAAGCATGAATTTGAGAAGAATCACTTTCTCCATGGTTTTGCTGTTCAAGTATTAACTCATCAAACGAAAACATTTTGACCATATTATTGCATGTACTAAGAGTAATGGAAGTTTTATAAAAATATGGTCAGTTACCAAGTGAATCTGTTCCAATTATTAGACACATAAGAGGTCTTCTTTGCAGTTGCTTTGACTTATATAAAGAGTATCTTAAGGGTGGGCATGGTGGCTCATGCCTGTAATCCCAGAACTTTATGAGGCTGAGGCAGACAGATCACCTGAGGTCAGCAGTTTAAAACCAGCCTGGCTAACATGATAAAACCCTGCCTCTACTAAAAATATAAAAATGAGCCAGGCATGGTGGTGCATGCCTTTAATCCCAACTACTTGGGAGGCTGAGGCAGGAGAATTGCTTGAACCTGAGAGGCAGAGTCTGCAGTGAGCCGAGATCATGCCACTGCACTCCAGCCTGGGTGACAGAATGAGACTCTGTCTCAAGAAAAAAAAAAAAGAGTATCTTGAAGGTTAATTGTGAGAATTTATATATTGCAAAGAAATACAGGGTTTACATACTATTGCAATAATTAATGCACAAGTGTTTAACAAAATAAGACCCTATCCAGAATAATTGCATGCAAGAAGAAAAATTCACAAAAATTTGCTATTTCACTGCAATTAGAAAGTGTTAGCACTTTCATTAAGAACTATTGCTCTGCCATAATCAAAGTACAGAGATTTGCTTTCTGATATTCTAGAATGATGATGAATTCCTAGAGGATACTATCATTTTTAAGACACTAAAATTTAGAAAAAATACATCTACATATGCATATATATATTTTACAAGTCCTAGGTAAAAGGATATTTTACATTTTCCATAAGAGTAAAGAAAAAAAATATTTTCCAAGATTAAAATTACACAAATGTTTTGTACATGAACATGTAATATAAAATAGTATCATTTTATTAGTGTTTGAAAGTTAAGGCTTCTAATAGCAGTAACACTAAAGAAATAAGATTATAACATTTCTCTGCACAGACCAGTTTTTAATATTAGCTTAAGGTTTTTCTTAGAAGTGCTCTGGTTCTAGTCAAAAGATGGTAGTCTTAATCGTACGCAAACAGTACACACCTAAGTGTGTTTTCTTTCAGAATACGACGCTGTTAGGCCAAAATCCAAGCCTAATTAATTTAGTATTCTGTGCTCTAAGGTTGTGGAATCTTTGGAATACTAAGCTGCCAAAGGAGGATAAAAACAAATGTTTTAGAACGATGAGTTTGGGGGAGGGAGGTTTATGAGAAACATGATCAATACAAACCCAGTAGTTGATACACAGCTCTTCAGGGGCTTTTTACTTCTAGTATGAAGTAAATGATGACATGTTTGCTTTGGTTTTGACCACTCTGTTCCACTTTGTATCTTCGAAAGTTCTATGGCACACAGTAGATAGTCTATACATATAACCTGCTGTCTTATAAATAACCTGCTGTCTTAGTTGGCTCCAGCTGCCATAGCAAATTACCATAGACTGGGTGGCTTAAACAACAATTTATTTGCTCACAATACTGGAGGCGCATAGCTCAAGATCAGGGTGCCAGAATGGCTGAGTTGTGATTAGGGCTCTCTGGCTTGCACAGTTACCTTCCTGCTGTTTGCTCACATGGCCTTTCCTAAGTGCAGAGAGAGAGAGGAAGAAGTAAAAGGGCAGGAGGAAAGGAAAGGGCAAGGTGGAGGAGAAGGGAGAGAAGGAAGGAGACATGGAGATTTCATCTTTCTCTCTTCCTCTTCTTATAGGGCCACCAGACCTATCAGATTAGGGCCTCACCCATATGACCATTCAACCTTTAATTACCTTCTAAAAGCCCTATCTCCAAATGCAGTGGCATTAGGGATTAGAACTTCAACATATGAATTTGGTGTCGGAGTATGATTCAGTCCATAGCATTCCACCCTATGATGCATTGAGCACATTTAAGTTAAAAAAAGTTTCCTTAATGCATGACGTCTTCAAAAAAAACCTTATAAAAATGGATAGAGAAGTGAATGGAAGAAATGTTTTACCTCTGGCTGATAATTGTTAATGTATTTTTAATACTTTGTGTATCTTTTTGGAAAGACTCATAAGCAGCTAATGTTAAATGAAATGAAATAAAGACAAACAAAAAAATGACACAAGGTGCTTTATCTGTTATTCCCTCCTTATCGATACCTTTTTCACTAAAATTTATTCTTTTGGTTCTAATGGTATGTAATTGGCTTAAAATAAAAAGAATTCAGAACTCCTTTGAACATTTCCCACATAAATAAGTATAAAATAAATGAAATATGATCTGATCATTGTTTTATATTCAAAAACATCCAGAACATTGCCACAATGTCATACTGAATAAGAAAATCTGACCTAAGACCAATATGAAAATTGTGTACCAAGATTACCAAGTAAATTTTTGCCAACTAGCCGTATTTTCTTTTCTCGTTTATTCAATAGGGAGAACATAGTTTTTATAGTTGGAGGAAGAAGTAGCCTAGTTCTTCATTTAGCACACCAATGGTGTTTATTCAGACACCCAGAGATACCTTAAAAATTAGATTAGAGCTGTAAGTGAAACAAGGCTAGTGGCTTACAAGATAGCCATCAAAAATCCTAAACTGCATTTTAATAATGCAAAAACAAACAGGGTTAATGTTCATTTTAATCTCTTGATGATCTGTTTCATGCTCCACTTTCCTTCTCAGGTATTTACAGAGAGAAATAGTACGGCTAAAGTTTCTAATATTAAAAAGAAAAAGAATTAACATATTCAACTTGACTCAGAAATATGTAGAGGGAATGATTTAATAATATTCTTAAATTTGAAGTTAATTCATTTTAAATGTAAATGTCAATCGGAGAAACCCAGATGATTTATTCAGCAAAAAGATTCATCAGGTGATTTTCCTAATTCTACTTTTATGTAAACGTTCATTGCTCTACTGAGTTTTCATGTCGTATTTAATTGACCCTTTTATATTGAAAACATAGTCGAAGGAAATGTGAAGGGGAGAAGAGAAAAATCATGTATTCACTTTCAGATCAGTATGTTCAGCAGTTCTCAACTTTAATGTGCGTTTGGGTCACCTGAGAATCTGGTTAATGTAGATTTTCCAACTTAGTAGGTCTGGGGTGTGTGTCTAAGAATCTGCATTTCTAACAAGCTCCCGGGAGAGGTCCATGAAATATCATTTTGCTTATCAAGGTGCTAGAGAATAGGTGGTAGTGGGAAAAATCTAAGCAATCCCAAGAAGTGAACTCTCTTCCTCTGAAAAAATAATATGAAGAAGAAAATTCAAATTTAAACATCAATCGACCAACATAACTATAAAGTAAAACTGCCAACAAGCAGAATACATGTGAAGAGGCCTCTGTCGTTATTTCAAGTCCAGAAGATCAAAGCAAACAAACACAATCAAGAAGCTAGGGATACAGTAATAGAACAAATCTGCTATAGGTTGTATCCAGAGTCATTAAACTGATGATCATATGATAATAATAATGAAACTAATATATATTGTACCAGTACTGTCTACAATGTTTATTCGTAGTTAACTTTGATTATAGTTATCTGAAATGAAAACCATTGTGTTCTAAACTGTTCGTTATCTGTCCTGATTAACAAAAGATGACACTATTAAGAAGGTAAAAGCAAAAATATATTGGGAGTGTAATATGATGTCTTTCACATTTGACTGAGTAAATTTTGCTGTAGGATATAAATGCATTGGGTTTCTGATGCAAATTACTCATTATAAGACAAAGAAAAATAATAGAAGTAGTTCTCAGAGTAATGATTTAGGGCTTGGGTTTTACATGTTTTCCAAGGGCCTTTATGGTCATACATAATTCATGAATCCTTATTTCTGTAATGTTTGAAATTTCTCCCCTCGAAGTGTTTTTTAATGATTAGGTCACATGGTCAGAACAGTCCTTTAATGTCCTTTAATGTCTCCCTTTTTCCCGGTTTATCATTTTTCCATTTGGCCTAGGAATACATTAGCCTTTGCTACATACCCTCAAAACATCTACTTTCATAATCAGCTTGGAACAGAAAATGAACAGTGGGACCTAATTGAATATTATGTGTTTAAGATGGCTAAACCGGATAAAATTTTGAAATAAGAAATGCATATACATACATATAAAATAAAGATTAAAAGATGATCAGCACAAATAAAGAAATGTATGCTAGCTGAACATATTTCAGTGTGTAGGCAAAAGTATTTATTGAGTATAAAAAAGCATGCTGTCCTGAAATGGTGTAAGTGTTTCTATATGAAGACCAAAGTGGTTTCAAACTTTAAATATAAAACATTTCATTTATAACTAGTTCATTAGACATGTTAGTATGGTTTTTAACTTAAAAATTTGAATTTTTTGGAGGCCTTTTTAAAAATTCTAGGAATTTAGACATGATTTTAATGTTGGTGGTCTTTGTTTTGCCTAGCAAAATACAACTTATGTTCTCATATATGATCCTTAACAGCCCCAAATTGTTTGATACTCATTTGTTAAATGGAGTAAAAGGTTCATTCTTGATAACGCTAGATGAAAACATGTATGAGTACAGTGAATTTAAAAGAATATGCCACAGATCAAACTAATAGGCATTTTAAGCATTCTTAGAAGTTTGGACTTTGTGATACTTTATTAACACGGACTATTTTAAGATAGGAATTTGGAAAGAATCTTATTTTGTTTATTATTCAGCCTTTTCTCTCCTGGGAGAGTTTTCCTATATTAATTGCTTCTGTGCTCAGATGCCTCTAATTATTAACCTGCAGGTGTCTCTAATCACTGTTTCTTCCAGCAGAGTTTTGTTCGAGGGCCATTAGCTGTGATGCTTAATTACAATACACTGTACCTAGTTTTGTGTACTGTTTGATCTTTCACATAGCTTCCCAGACCCAGAAAATAGTCACTGGCAATCATTTTCTACAATTAACCACAGTGCCCTGTATCTCTTTCTCTATTATTAAATTGGGTCAGAGTGCGGAGAATTATACAAGAGCTAATCCTTAAAACTGAAGACACTAATCTCTGACACATCTAATGATACTTGTTCTCTAGGATATTAAAATCAAAGAAGGTAAATGTATTTCTATGTCTTAGAGTCTGAACAGTGAAGTAAATATAAAGACGTTTAGAGTGACTGAATGTGGAAATGTGCAGGGTCCTTAGAAATACACTATTTCTTGCGTTTTAAACTTAGAAAAGTATGGCTGCAATAGACTTAACCTAAATGAGACTTTTCTTTTTCTGGACTTCATCTGCTACATTGCATTGTCAGACTACTCACTTCCTAATGCCATTTTCAAACATGTAAAAAATACAAACTCTTGGAATAATTAGAATAATATCAACATAAGGACATATATCTGCTGCAAAATTATTCTTGGAATACAAAATATGTATTTTCTATTTTACATTGGAATAAATTACATGTTGAATGAAAATCTACATGCAAATAAAGAAGTTCATAGGTCAATAGTTTTCTCTTACTCAAAATGCTTATTTAGATCTCTGAATATGTCTTTTGACCCAGACGTGGCATCTAAATGGGGCCCTGTGATTATGGCCTTGGCTATGGCAGAATGTGTGGAGGCCAGGCCTGATGCTGTGATCAAACCTAATTCCATCTGGTGGCTTTCATGCCTTCCCTTGTAATTACTGTTTGGCTGGACTCAGCAGGATCACCAGGGTGTCTGTTGGGTGGTAGGTTGGTTGTGTGTGTGTATGTGTGTCTGTTGGGTGGTAGGTTGGTTTTGTGTGTGTGTGTGTGTCTGTTGGGTGGTAGTTTGGTTGTGTGTGTGTGTATGTGGGTGGCTGGGCTCAGCAGGATCACCACTGTGTCTGTTGGGTCGTAGGTTGGTTGTGTGTGTGTGTGTGTGTGTGTGTGTCTGTGTGTGTGTCTTTTGGGTGGTAGGTTGGTTGGGGGGGTGTGTGTGCGTGGGTGATGTTTGTTTCATTTTGTTTTGATTTGGTGGTTGTAGGTTTGGGTTTGTTGTTGCTGTGGTTGTTAGTTAAAATCCATGTTTCAAGATGTAAAATCCAATGTTTCAACAGTACAAATTCTCGCAGAGGTGAAACAAGTATCTGGCAATCTCTTAGTGTCACATTCAAAATCAGAATTATTTCATGTGTTCCACAGCTGAGTTTATCTTTCTCGGTTTTACCTACTAAGTTCACATTTAGCACATTTGAAGGTGTAATGTCATCACTCCTCTTTCAGGACTCGGTCACTCCCCCATCCCCGCCCTATATTACAAATACTTTCAGGGTATCAAAATAGCTTTTAAAAACACTTTTTTTTTTCAAGTGAAAACAGCATTAGTGTTTTTAGCACTTTCAGTGCCTGTTACCTGTGTTTCTTAGCATACTCAACAAAAAATACTCCCAAGTAACTAAAAATAAAATTAGCAAAACATACAGTTCTAATACAAATTTACAGTAAGGTTATATGCTTTTAAAAATCTATCAGAATCTTACGGGGAAAACATTTTTCCCATTTCTTACTGTATCTGTTCATTGTTAAATTTTTCTGCCCATCCATGAAATTTATTCTTGTACGTTTGTACTAGGAAACTAAAATTTTATTACACTGGAAACTCAACTCTTGCATAGAAGCTTTAAGCTACTCCATCTTTGAATGATAATTTTGAAGGTGAATAACTCTTAAACATGACATTTCAAATGGTTTTGGATTCAGTCTCCATAATTTGTTTCCATTATCAGTTTGTTTTGTGTATGTTAGCGTTACTTGTATCTGTAAAAGGATATTAACCTGGAATTCTGCCTACAGGAAGGAGAATGGCCTCTTTTGCTTACATGATCCCAAACAAAAACACCATCATCACCCGTTAGATAACCTATTTTAGGGTTTCCCTGATTTTATAAAGCATTTGTCTGACATATTATAACTATTTTAATTACTAAAAAATACCCATATGTATTATGCACTCTATATACACATAAGATATAAATGGCTGAACTAAAATCCTCATTGGAAAATTCTTGTATATTCTTTTAAAAGTCCACAGCATAAAAGTCTACTTTGTGAGCCTGAAAAAGTAGACTTCTACATCATCAGCATGTAAAAAATCTTTAAATCTCATTGAAACCTATTCTTAATTATTTAACACTCCTATCATGTTCAAATGTTGTGATTAATAGAAATGATCCTAAACTTTGTAGTCATTCGCAAAGCCCTATAATATGCTATAAAAACAATCTACTGACTTGTTATCTGGGTTCTTCATTCTAATCTTTCTGAATAATGAGGTGACTTCGGTATATTAATGATGTCATTTTCTGGTTTTTATCCTCAACAGAAGCATATGATGGAAACCATTTATCTCAAACCAATTTAGTATCACACTGTAGAAGACAGTAAATGGAAGAAGTCTTGTATTGTGATTTATTTCATGCCGTATGATCTAAGGTTGCTAACTATTCATTGACTTTATCTGGTGTCCAATACACGATTGCCTAATTAAATTTTGGTGTCTAAGGCATAGCTACTGTCAATGCAATGGTTTCCTAAAACTGGTAAAACGATTAACTGTGGAATTTGTGCTGGAACTTTTTGTTCAACAATATTATCTCTCAATATATCATGAGAGAGTTTTGCTTAAGAGAGTCTTCAACTTAATTATTCAAGTTGAAGCTATATTCATGCTATGGTGCAATGCAATGAACAGAATTCAATTCTAGAAATAGACTCCAGCTGGTTTACAATGACCATTTATATTTTGTCCTTTGTTATATGTAGCATATTCACAATAATTAATAAACATTTATCAATCCTCTGTATGAGTGCACTAGGGGGTTTAATCATCTCTTCTTGCTTAGAATAGGCATAAGCATTATTATGAATCATCTAAGTAGCACATCTTCATATGCTTTTTTGATAGATGAAAAGCATCTTAATAGAAGTTAAGTTTAAATTTGGCATAATTCTGTTTTATAATGTAACAGTTACAAATACAAAATAAGTAGAAATATCCCCTTTTTCAGTTAATGAAATTGAATGGAATAACATCTATTTTGAGAAGACTATATAAATTGTTAATATTTTATGTGGAAGTATGCATAAAAATTGTCATTTCTGTCCAAACCTTTATTAAAGATCTATTATTCTCTAAGCTGCACCACACATCAGAGATACAGAGATAAATAAGAGACAGTCCCTGTTCTCACAGAACTCACTTTCTAGTTGGGGAAATGGTACTGTAGAGCAGCAAACACATTACTGTTATGGCTGCAGAGAAACGCAGCAGAGAAACCTTGCACAGAGGCCAGCTGGTATGTCAAATCAGAATTCACCAGGCAAGCGTCCCCTAGGACTCTAACCACCTTTGACTCAGTTCTCAGCTTTGCAATCTAGGAACATAGTTGTCAGCAACTAAAAGATCAAATCAAGGAAACAGATTTTTATTTAGTAAGTTACTAGAAGCCTAGAGCTGTTTCAATATTTTATGTTAGTTTTCCCAATACTTTCCTATTAGATTATATTTTAATCTTTTTAATTAAATTTTATTAATTTTAATGTGAATGCATTGGAATTGTTAATTCTGAGGTTAATGCTTGTCTAAGAGGAGACAATATTATATCCAAATAGGAGACAGCTGTGAGGGATGCCTCACTTTCACATCTCCCCAAACAGAAATGATAAATATAAGTTTCCTGCCAATAGCTTAAAGAGGGTGAAATGAAGACACAGAGGAGAGATGGTTAATCTTTTTGAGAAGATCTGGGTCAAGAGAGTTGAATCAGACACCTGATTCAACTCGATTAAATAAACAATGGATGCAAATCGGCTGAAAAGGTCAAAAGCAAAAATGATAGAAGGGACGTCTGAATGATTTAAGGCTTTCTTGAGACTTGAGCCAGGAGAAAAAAACTGACTAGCCAATAACTGCAGGATTTTATGTAGGTTTATATAAGCAAGCCATAGATATGTAACAGTGTTCCTAGATGGTGATTATTTCTGTGGGTAATTTTACTGTCCTCAATTTTTTCCTTACACACTGACTAGAAACTTAAATTTGAATAAAATTTAACCATGCAATACAGTATAATCTTTATAGAGAAAAGGTGACTATTGAATTAAGCTTTGAATATGTGTGCAATTTTCTCCGATGCAAAATGCAAAAGCCACTTCAGGTTGACAGAACACATATTTATTAAACAAATATAAAAAGGATTTATCTGATATTATAAGATTTCAAATATCAAGCCGTACAAAAATAAAGCTGTTATACGTTTTATCATAATTTATTAATGATAGAGTTAATAAGCAAGCCCATGATTCCTACTGAAACTATTCCAGGATGTGTGTTAGCTAAAAATACCAATGTTCACACACGTGTACATGCATTGCCCATAATTAACCCATCACAAAAGTAGATCTCAAATTAGAAGATGAATGCAAACCACCCTTGAGTGCTAAAATCAGAAAAGACAAAATGAAGTGGTTGGTACTTATGAACTATATCAGGTACCTCTAGTGCTGCCTAAGAATCTCTCTCTGGGGCCCTTGAACACTTATCTCATTCCAGATCTGGCAAGTACTGATTTTGAATGATTACATCTTTCTTTATGCTCACATGGCACATTTTTCCTGCCTCCTTCATGTTTTCCTCTTGTTCCTGAGACAAGAGATGCAACTGGGACACATCAGGGCTTCCTTATGTGCAACCTGAAAGTGTGTGTTGGCAGGTGAGGAGCGGGGGAGGGCAGGTTCATGGCCTATGAAGAAAACCTGTCACAGTGGAAACTGGAAAAGACTGATTAATTATTTTTTCCTTCCCCCAAGGTAGACTGAGGTACAGCAGTTCATGCCGCCTTTTGAAGATGGCAAAATTGCGCTTGATGCAGAGTGTTGACAGCTTGGGAATGCACCTGCATGTTTTTGCTCTCCCTCTGTCTCTTTACTCTGGTTCTGACTTCCTTGGGAGAGCACTTCCTAATAAAGAATTAGCACATAAACTTTTTCTTGAGATTCTACGCCTTTTATAGCTAGGAGAATAACCAATTCCAAAAAAATATATATATATATATAGACCCTTTGGATTGCAGATAACTTCATTAAAGCTTTGGAAAAGCAAGGACACATAGTTCTTCAAAACTGTTTCTATGGAGATTTAAGGAATAAATGTTTGCAGACTTCAGCCTTTTAACTTAAAAAAAAAAACAACCTTTCTGGTTGCAAACACAATAAAGATCAGTAAGCCCAGCTTCTGAGTTATGGTTCATGGTCTGATACCCGGAGCCAAGTCCTCTGGCTACTTCAGAAGGAGGGAATGTAGGTTTTCCTTCTTTGCACTTCCGGTAGATGCTGTTTACAGATGGGTGGAAGATCAGCAAACTTTCTCAGGGAAAGCATAATGTGATTAAAACATAAAAAGCAAATAGAAGTTGGCAAGGGAAAGGGAAGTGAGGAATTTGGGAGTAATACTAGATGACTAGAAATCAGGATGACTAGAAATCAGGAGAGCACAGTTGCATTCACGAAACTGGATTCAATATGGTCACGTTATAAAGTGATGGCTGAGGGTGTGGTGAGAGATGAGACTAGAGAGGAAGGAGAAGACTAAGTCTGAGCTATTTGAGTTGGTGGCCACTAGCTATATGTGGCTACTTAAATGTAAGTTAACTGTAATTAAAGATTTCAGTCTTCATTCACATTAGCCACATTCGAAGTGTTCAGTAGCCCCATGTGGCTAGTAGCCACTACCTTGGACAGAGCAGAAACATCATAGAAAGTTTTCATTGGGCACAACTTGGATAGTTTTCTAAAGGTGTTCTAAGGTATTCTTATGCAATAACCATTTGTATTTATTGACAGATTTAAAGCAGTGTGTTTCTTTCAAAAGCATCAATTTAAAGGGAAAGATGGGGCATTTTATTGTATTTATTTTATTTTGTTATTTGCTTTTTAATTACTAGTGAGATTGCCCTGCCTTTGCTTCAGGAAGCATTTTTTTTTTTTTTTTTTTTTTTTTTGGTAAGGAATGACATGATGAGAAAAGCACTGGACTAGACTCTAGTCCAAAAATTAGCCATGTCATTTTAGGCAAATCCCCTGATTTTATTGATTCTCTGTTTTCTCAACTGTTAAGGTCATTAAACTTCTGTGTCGCTAGTTCTAACTCCTAGTTAGTAAATAATGTAAAATAAATAATAAAATAAAGCAAAAACAGAGGGAAAGAGTTGAAAACCCTTTTTCAGAGGATCATTAACTGAGTCGTAAGGTGCAGTGGTGGGTGCATCAAGGGGGTTGTGCGGTGGCTGACAAGAGGTTGTAATGTGGGGAAGGGCAGGAGCGGGCTGGTCTTTACCCACTGCCATCCCCGTCCTCTTATTAAATAGAGATTCCTAGTATTGCTGTTATAAAAAATGTCCTGCTAAACATAGTTCTCTCAAAAATATTTTTCTGAGATTCTCTGACAATTAAATCTGGATCCCAGCCCCAATATTCACCTGCAATTACATTATGGATGAAATTAAATGTGCACTTTCTATGGTGTACATTTATTTTTCAAACCTCAGGAAGCCATATTGAGCTCTTAATCTCAGGTCAAGTGTCTTCTTATATCCCCTCCCTTGATTTTTGTACTCATAAGGTTGTATCCAGAGAGAAGTTTGAGGAATAATTCATTACCTGGGAATTAAAGTAAACCTTGAGCTTGGGAGTCCTAACATATAACCATCTCTAAAATTCTGCAACTGTAGATTTTTAATCATCTAATTTTAGGGACTTCAAAATATTTTTCTGACTTTACCTACATTCGAATTAAGTTAAAATAGCACTGATAATGGATAGTAGGATCCAAACAGAAACATTTTAAATGAATCTAGTTAAGTATTGAGCCGGGCACAGTGGCTCACACCTGTAATCCCAGCACTTCGGGAGGCCCAGGTGGGTGGATGACTTGAGGCTGGGAGTTGGTGACCAGCCTGGCTAATGTGGTGAAACCCCGTCTCCACTAAAAATATAAAGATTAGCCAGGTGTAGTGGTGCACGCCTGTAATCCCAGCTACTCAGGAGGCTGAGGCAGGAGGATTGCTGGAACCTGGGATGCAGAGGCTGCTGTGAGCCGAAATCACGGCCCTGCACTCCAGCCTGGGTGACAGAACCAGTCTCTGCTCCAAACAGTCAAACAAACAAAAGAGAATCTAGTTAAGTGTTGATGGTGAACATCAGCAGGCCCAGGCTTAATACTTATTTTTCCAACTTGCTTACTATAAATAGGAATAGATTTATTCTTGCCCATATTGTACCCGTAATAGGCATGAAAATCAAATTAAAATAAATATGAATAGGAATTAAAGTTTTATAACAACTTCAATCAAATCAATATGTGCACTCCATCAGAATTACAATTGATATAGTATATAGGAAAAATTGTGTTATCTAGGTTGTGTTTACATATGACATCGTAGTCTTTACCATTGATGAATCACCATCTATAGATACATCACCCTTTAAAAATGCCTCGGATTATCTCATGCCACTGGAAGACTTTTGGCTCCAGGTTTTAATCAGTACTAGCAAGAGTTAAGGAAGCTGATTTATTGGCTCAGTTTGTAGTGTGAATGTTCACACGTATGTAATGTTTAAAATCCTCTAATCTCTGTGCAACCTCTCTGGGTTGTGTTTCCTCCAGAAAAATATTATCTGTTAAGGAATAATAACCTTTAACACTAAAGCCAATTTTTCCTGGAGCTTGTAATCTCTCTCAAAAGCTGACAGATTGTTTGGTCAGAATGTTGGGAAGGATCTTCATCATTTTTATTCATTCTTCACACGATGTACACACCACAGTGGCTCCTGTGTTGGAGCCAGGCCTACACAACTTCCTGTGAGCTTCTCCAAATCATAGCTGTGCTGCCAGGTCTTGACTGATGATAGTTGTTGAGAATCTGATTCATATTTACAATGATAGAGAGAAACCCTTCACCTAGCCAGACTGATCACTGAGATGAGACTGACTCACTTGCTTAGTGTAGGCACAAAAGCTGATTTTTAAGTCTTGGCATTTTATTCTCAAAGTAACTCATAAAAAAGAGATTCAAAATATAGGCATTATTTTTACAAAAATATTCATAACTTGTTAAGGTATCAAATCTTATAAGAAATGGGTGTCAAGAAATGTTTGAAGAAAATTTACCTGGGATATTAGAAAAATCATAGATTAGGGATGATTCCTATTTTAGGAAGTAAGGGAAATAAAATGATAAAATCACCAAAAGAACATGCTGATAAACATGGTAAAGACTTCTAATATTTAAAAGTTAGTATTTCAACACATGCAAATAAATTCAATAGCTCCATTTCATAGTGATAACATTGGAATAATAATATGGTCATGTAACAAATGTTTATCGAATATATACTGTGTGCCAGGCAGTGTTCTAGGTTCTGGGGAAAAAAAGAAGAAAACCATTAAAATCCCCTGTGTGGATTACACTTTGCTAAGGAAGATAGTAACAGATGTTTATGTAAAATAGAAAAGCTATTACATAGTGATAATTTTATAAGAAAATTGGAATAGAGAGTGCTTGGGGAAAAGCTGGTTGGGTTGTATTTGTTTTTTGTTTTTTTCCTCAATTTTAGAGTGGTCAGGAATATTCTCTAGAAAAAGGTGGCATTTAAGCAAAGGGATGAAAGAGGTAACATATTATGGCAAGCTTAGTGCAGATTGCTCAGAGTGGAGGAAATGGGCTATGCAAGAGACCTGAGAGAGAAGTGAGAGCGATGTAGGAGTAGAGAGGGAACTTTGAAGCAAGTAGTAAAGGGCCGTTTGTGCCATCCTAAGGACTTTCCTTTCACTCTGCGTGTAATGAGAAGTCATTTCAGGATTCTGAGCCAGACACTATCATCATCTGTTTGACATTTTCACAGATCATTCTGCGTTTGGAACAGACTGTGGACTAGAAATATGATAGTGGGTTATTGAGCTATTACCAAGTGCCAGGCGTTGAACTAAGAAATTTACATATCGTATGCTATTTAACAGTCCAATAAATGTAGATATTATGATTAGCCTTCATTTACTGAGAATAGGAAATTGAGGCTAAGAAGAATGAAATCAACAGCATCCTTAGTAAATTACACAGTGAAGATTTGAGCCCAGTTCATCTGTTCCAAGTATCTGCATTGCTCACGACTATACTTTATTACCTAAGATCAGGTGAAAATCACCACTAGCATAAGTAGTTTCAAAGTGGCAATATCAAGGGTGTTCTACCTCTACCCCAAACATCTCTTCTCAGTAGCTGTCTGTCCCAGAAGAGCCATAGCCATTTCCAAATAGGGCCTGAAATTTTCTTAGGATGACTTCTGGTGTGTGTGTATGTGTGTGTACAGTATTGATAGATTAGACGGGTAAATATATATTGCTATGGTGAATCCAATAATTTTTCTATCGTATTTTATCTATCACATATTACTTTTTCTATATTGACTGTGTAACTTTGCCACTTACTGGACACTCCAACTAGTAACAATGCTAGCATTTTTATTAAATATTTTGTGTTATCTTAGCAGACACTGTCTTTAATGACAATTTTGTAGCTGCCTTTCTACTGTTTGCTCCTCTTATTTCTTCTTCTTCTTGCCTGTTGCACTTAATATGTTGGTGGCAGTAGGTAGCCTTATCTCATTTCTCACCTTAGTGGTAATTTTTCTAATATGTCACTATTAAGAATGATGTTTGTTGAAGGTTTCTGGTATATATTATTTGTGAAATTAAGACAAATCTTTCTTTTCTGAGCTTGCTAAGCAATTTTAAAGTTAGGATTGGGTTTTGAATGTTGTCAAGTGCTTTTTCAGCTTCAAAATCTCATGATTTATTATTTCACTTTTTGTTCATTAATATACTTGATGGAATTTAATTTATGTAGTTCTTAATATCGAACTATCTTTACATTTCTCATGATTGATTTTTAAATATTTCTGTATTTTTCTTACCAGTATTTTGTTTAGAAGTTTGCAAATATGCTCAGAATTTAGATTGAACAATAGTTTTTTCTTTGTGCTAACATTATCCAGTTTGGATATTAAGAATATGCCATTTTATGGAATAAATTGGATGGATTTCTGTATTTTCCTAAGCTGTTGAACAATTTAAATAAATTTAAAATTATTATTTTTGATTTTTAATAAAAATCTATGCAAAACCATCAGATCCTAGTATCTCTTAGGAGATTTACGACTACTTTTCCAGCATTGTTTATGTTCGTGGATCTATTGGTTTTTCCATCTCTTCTTGAGTTGATGTGGACATTGAAATTCGAGTATAATGACAGGTGTGGTGTTGGAGGGAAAGAGTGTTCAAGCAAGCTCCAGTTGATGGTATTTCAAGACACAAAAGGGAATGACAGAAAGTCCAGTGGATAACAAAAACAAGAACTGTAAGTAGACAATCGAATCTAATGGTTTACGCTTCAGAAAACTCACATGAATTGAAGGAGGATGGAGAAATAATGGTCTGGATCTTCACGAAAAGGAGGAGAACCTATAAATCACCTTGAGCTCAAGGAAGACAGTTTATAGGAGACAAAATTTTCTCCACCTAAGAGGGTATCAGTGGAAGTAGTAGACTAAAAAGAAATAGCAATTTTAGTTTTGTAACATTTAGAGAAGAAAGTAACTACCTTGGAGAATTTTGGTGTAAAGTGGTTCGAGTTCTAGAAAGTGCAGTGGAAGGGTCTGGGGGTCAGGAGAGGTGGCAGATCGGACAAATTTAGCAAATGTGCCTACAGTGGTGAAAGCCTCTGTGTAGGAGGTGACCTGGGAGTTAAACTTCTCGTGGGAATGGAGGTGACAGGAATGTGGGACATTGATGAGATTAGACCTGAAGGATTTTCAGGAAACCTGTGACAATAACACTGCAAATACTGGCATAATTTTTAAAGAATGGGAAGGTAAGAAGCGTCCTGCAGGAGCATGCCGAATTCTGTGTCACTCAGTGGTTCCGTCTCCCCGTGGCTGTATGGAGGTCACACGAGGGAGATGTGCCAACTGCACACAGAACTAACTGCCTAGGCAGCTTTGCCAGGAGTATTTATGGCTCTGTCTTAAATCTCTGATTTTGATATCCACAAATAGGATAGCATCATAGTTTTGGACTCTTTGACACCAATTTCGACCTGTCATCTACTTAGCCCATAGCCATTACCATAATCTCAAAATCAAGCATTCCACTCTTAGACATTATTTCCCACCTTTACTGTCAGCCCATCTAGTGCCCAGATGCCAATAACAATTCCAACTCTTTTGGATTTCCAATTTATGGAAACTTCCCCACTGCCTTCAGGTGTCTTTTTACCTGACTGATTTCCCTGGTCCAACGTAACGAACACTCCCTCAAATGTAAGCTCTATATGCTTTGTCCTGTCTCTCTTCATTTTCCCTACATATCTACCAAAAATACAACTCTGGTTAAATTTTTCATCTATTCTTCACCTGAATAGTTGGAGAAAAACACACAACCAAACTTGCTTGATTCATTTTAGATTCATAACCAATGATCTCCAATAGAAACAAGAACTCTCACTTCTCTAGCCAATTCACTTTCTCTCTTCCCAAGATGAAGATTTCACACCTTCTCTATCCTCCTCAAACCTATAAGACGTCCTTTCCAGTTCTTTCTCCAAGTTGATTATTTTGCTTGTTAATTCATTGAGGAAATATAAACAACTAAGGAAAATTCCCATCTGTTCCAACAACTCTTCAACCTACCTTCTTCTCTACCTGCCGATGTGGCCAACCTCCTACCTCAAAAGATAAATAGCTATTCTGTTTTTTGCCTGAAACTGTCTCCTCCAATTGGAACCCTGGATTCCATCCCATAGCCTAGAATAATTGCCATTTTTATCAATTAATTAAAAATGTTGGCTGCCTCTTCAAAATATACGGTACGCATTATCCTTTGAGTTATTTTTGCAATGTTATCATCATCTCTTCCCCTTTGGGCCAGACACACACACACATACACATGCATTCAAATTCTGAACTATTCAACAAGATGACAGCAAGAATGAGGGATAAAACAAGAAAAAAAAAACAAATTTAGAACTTTTCAAGTGAACACACACACACACACACGCACTACACTGTAAGAAAAATGCAGAACCAGACTAGCTGAATTCATTTAATTCATTTTTAGATCATTGGGGAAGAGCAGGATGGCTAGGAATTACCTTGGTGATGAAAAAAATGACTCCTTCAAAATCAAAATAATGTCTAATTGAATATACTGATTATTTCCTTCTGAAATAATTTCAATTAGTTCATTTTTCTTTTTTCTTTTTTATTGATGTATAACATATTACATATATATGGGTTATATGCAATATTTTGTTACATGCATAATATGTATAATGATCAAGTCAGGGTGTTTAAGGTATCCATGAATTCAAATATTTATAATTTCTATGTGTTAGGAACAATTCAAGTCCTCTCTTCTAACTACTTTGAAATATACAATACATTATTGTTAAGTATAATTACTCTACTCTGCTGTGGAATGATAGAACTTATACCTTTTATCTAACACTATGTTTATGCCCATTAACCTTCCATTCTTCATACCCTCCTCCCACCGACCCACCCTTCTCAGCCTCTAGCATCTATCATTCTGCTCTTTACCTTTATAAGATCAACTTTTTAGCTCCCATATATGAGTGAGAACATATGATATTTGTCTTTTGTTTTTATAAACAAGAAGTGAATAATTACCCCTGATTTAAGAAGCCTGTGAATTGATAGACGATTTTGCCTAACTGATATGGAAAAGTTTGCTCTTTCAACAGTAGAGATTAATAAAGGATTCCCTTGAATGGCGATACACCCTTTTGAAGTCTTGGTCTGTACTTTGTTATTCAGGTAGTACTGCTTATTATCTGTGGGAGGAAAAAAAATCTTTTTTCCTGCTTCACTAAACCTATTACCAATACTTGCATTACAACTTGTTATTTCAATGCATTTTGGATTCCATTAGGTGTTTGCATATGATTTTGTGTATATTTTGGTGTTTTAAAATGTTGTCCCTGTGGATCAAAATATGATAACTAAATTATCAATCATGTTGGTATTGCTGTAGATCAGATTATTGTTGTCTTATAAAACAGGTATGGCCTGTTTAAGTCTTAGAAGTCTTTTATTTAGTATGTTTTACTATCTTAAATTGTTATGTCAAAATATGTAAGAACGACATTGTGTTGATATATTTTTATAGGTAAAATAATTTCTCATTGTGATTATGTAATTTTCTTTCCATTAAGGTGTGAAGCACAGGGTCTTTGAAAAATAAACTGCTGACTGTGTTTTGCTTGTCATTGGTAGTATTGCCATATAAAAAGATATCTGACAAGGAAATATTTTATGACTTGTGCTGAAGCAGTCAGTAAGTTATCATAGTTCTCATTTGAGTAGTTGTAGGCCTCTCAATTGCTTCCTAAGTAAAAAGTTTTTCTGGCCAATTTTAATCTTGCTCAGAAACATGAAAATGTATTTCCTGTGTATACCATGGACAAAGTTCCTGGAGAAAACATGTTTATCTAACTTTAGTCACTTTTTTTCTGAATCATGTGATGGTTTTGACTTAATTCAACTGTATTAACTCAAAGAAATCCAAATTTTCAATTCAACCAGAAACAAATGGAATTGTACTTGCATGGAAGAACCAAGATTATTTTCTTTTAAGTAACACAGTTTGGTTTTTTTCCTTTCAGAAAATATATTAGAGAATTGTTTGTGTTAACTATTTTAACATTGTGCATGTCAGTAGTAATTAAAACCTTAAAATCAAAAAGTAGATTTTTAACTTTGAATTGAGATATTCCTGACTGGAGGGATTTGTTTCTCCTCTTTTTCTTTCTCTGTTTCCTTCTATTCATCCTCTTTTATCTTCCTCTTCTTTCTTACATTCTCTTGTTGAAGTATCTGGGTGATCATTTTTTTCTAATGTCTTTACTCTAAATCATTTAGCTTTAAAAGGAAAGCTTATAAAGGTAGCAAACAACTCCTTCGGGTAAAATAAGTATGTGCTGACTGGTGGTACGCAAAATACCTACCTGATATTTTCCCTACTTGAAATGCACTGTGCCCAAATCATAATAAATTTTCAAATAAATAAAATTTGTGATAGTTCACACAGAGGCCAGAACATTGCATGTTTGCTGTCATAAATAAGTATTATATTTATAATTCTTAAAATTAAATTATATATTCATTCATTATACTTTATCATAGCATATTTGTAGCACAGTGCTTTATAATTTCTTTATTGATTATTGTGTGAAGTCTATATGATTAGAACCAAGTACCATTCATATAAGAATAGTGTTTTAAAAATAGCTTTGTAAACAGTAGTAGACACCTTCAGAAAAGGAAATCTCACTTTCCTTTGGACTCATAACTAGCAAAGCTAAGGTCTTGGAAGTCTGCAATATTGAACTGAAATAGCTAAAATAACTGCAAAATATGATTATATGACAGAGTGCTTAAGAAAAGCTTTCATGTTCCTTGTAGGAAGATAGTTTTCATTTACTCGAATTAGGTTACTCTTTTCTACTTTAGAATAAGACATTTTTTAAGTAATTTCATTTTGGCAGCTCTAATTCTCCCAAGAATGTCCTTTGTATTTCTCACTTTGCAAAACGGCACTGCTTGCTTGTTTGATCTTTTCCCTTGGAAAGTAATAGGACGCTTTCCTTTTGCTCCTTGGACAGCCTGACTCGCCTTCTAATCCATCACAACGGCATGTGAGAGGCCTTGCCTCTGGAATCCTGACCCCACCCCGGGAGCTCAGTTCTTTACTTGCAATATTACTGCCAATTTGGCATATTTGAGAGTTCAGTGTCTCCTCCGCCTCTGGCAGAAAGAAAAACCCATTCCTGACCTTTCACCCACATATGAGCCTCTTATTATCTATTATTAATGTACACATTATATAGACTATCAATAGCTGAGAATGAGAGAAAACATTTCTATTTAGAGAATTCTAATATGTCTTTTATTGTTAACTCAATTCTTAGCCATAAGGGTTAAAACTACTGTAACTACCTGCAAAACTGAACACATTATCTTTTCATTTAAAATAGTAAAAGTAGCCTCAATCTTTGAGCTCTTCATTTTATGATCTTGATTTTTTTAACTTTGGAACTTTTTCTTTATTGGAGTTGTGAGGATGTATTGACTACTTAAATCCTGCATTTAATGCAAAGAATATACAAATATTAGCAAGACAAATAATAATAAATTGGGATATATTTATATTTCAAATAAATGCTATTGGGTGAATATGTGATATAGATGATCATGCACCTTCACATATTTAAATGCTATTATCCTCAATTCTTAATTGAGAATGTCCGGTTCAGTTAAAAAAGTTAGTATTAGAATCTTATCAGGTACAAGAGCTAAAATTAAAATGCTAAAATTATGACCTTATGTAACTCACTTGATATAATTTTCTTAGTCTGATAACATTGGTGACTGGGAGTTTATCATATCCTCACTAGATAAGAACTGTTGTCATTACAATTTTCCTAATAATTGAGCCCATTGATTTTGATAATGAATACTTGAGGACTTAGGAGAATTTCTAAACTTTTAGGAAATTTCTCAGTACTTTTAAAATAGTATTTTTAAGCTCCAAATTTCAAAATATACAGGAGTTAAATCTTGCCACTCTCTCTGTGAATACTGGATCATTGATGGGAGGCAGTGGAGAGCTAACTCACATTTAGGGCTTATTCCACTGTGTGGACAGTTGTCAGCACTGTGTGTGATAACTAAGCACTCTACCTCTAGAGTCCATTCAAATATTTTACTCATAGAAGGGTCTAAGAATATGGACCAATGGTCCAATATATGAGCACTGAGTTTGTCTATTGTACCTAAAACTACGTTAAGCAGTTTTCATTTTCACTTCACATTTATGATGGATCTATCAGTAGTTGAAACAGGATTGAAATTTAGATTCACATTTAAAATGCTAATTATATTCTTGTGTAACTGCATAACAACATCAGGAAACAGCTGCTTTCACCAAAAAAAAATGCTGGCTTTAACTTATATTAAAGAGAGTTTCAGCAGTTTTGTAAAACTTTGGAGCACCCCCAGTGCATTTTGGGGATAATTTTTATGAGGCCTGGAAATTCTATCCATGAAAATGTTTAAGACACAGGAGGATCATCTTGAAAACGGCAAAACAGAGGGTGAGATATTGACATCAATACCAAACACATTGAAAAATCACATTTTGCTCTGATGCAGATGTTGATGTAAAGTGCAGACACCGTAAACCAACCTACATGACATGATTATAAAGTGACAAGTACTAGGGAAAAAAAGTACCTCAGTTAAAACTAGAGGGTCCTAAAGATCAAATTGGCCTCATCAATGTGCTTCTTTCCTTTGGTGAATGTATGTTCTGTTTACTTTGTTAAAATTGAAATTTATCCAGGATAGAGTGGCCCTCACTTTTTTTTTTTTTGAAATTTTTTTAGAGCTGGATATGGAATATGAAGTTTATATGTTACTGAGTAAATTGATGAATAATTACATGGAAACTTTCTCTTCATTTGTCTGTCCAATGGCTATATCCGATATTGATAGCATGTTGTTGTATATTTATGTACAGTTAATTGAACAATTAATGATCAACAACAAAAACTGTTCATAACTGATTTGTTGTTTGTAGAATTTTCTAGTGTAGTTGTTATACATTTGTTGTTAGTTTACCTGGTTTTCTAAAGTATATTTTCATGTCAACACATTCCTGATGGTAAGATTGCTGCTTGGTCACTGAAGGGTCTGAGTGGAAATGGGTGCATTGTCTCTCATAAGGGACATTCTCCTCCACAGAATTGACAATAGCAGCTATTACATATTGATGATTGCTTTGGTGCACTTTATTATTTAATTGAAATTATTACATCTCATGGAAAGACCATAGGATAAAACACTTCCATAAAAGTTTATTTTATTTATTAAAGGCTTTATTTTTAAAGTGCTATTTTACAATTTGAATTGCCTTTATAATTGTAGTACAGTTTTAACACAATTCAATAGCATAAGACATCCCAAAATTAAGATAAACAGTGCCAACAGGTGTGATTCAATAAATCCATCTAAAATGAGTATTAATTTACCTTTTTAAAAGACTTACTCTTAAGATGGCACATATAATTTATAAATAATATGTATAAATAGCAAAAACTTTAATACACATACACATAAAATCTGATTCATAATATCTACATCTAATTGCGATATTTGTAAAACACATTTTTAATAACAATGGGTTACATGCTAAGATCCTATATTTGGTATTCATCATCTCACATTGTAATTTTACAAATGAACATTAACAATTCTCAATTTGAAGTTCAGACAAAAAATGGAGTCAACCGACCCCCATAAATTCATTTTTAGGAGGAATTTTACTTAGTCTTCATCAGTTCAGTTATTTTCCTTACGTTTGAGAACAGCAAGTCTTCCTTCAGCAGTATGGCGGTGTGAAGAATCATTATTACATTAACTAAAATGTTTCTGTACTTTCAAGGTCATCTCAAGTTCTTAAATAATATAAATATTTGTTAAAAATATATGTTCTATTATATGCAGCATAGAAAGAAAAAGAGTACTTCTATCTGGTATTTATTATATTTGCGTTATGTGCAAACACTTCAGATCAGGAACGTGGACATTCAAGAACACAGCCCCTTCCTTTATGTGACAGTGGAGAAGAATGGGTCTCATAAACAGCCTAAGACATAAAGGAAGGTAATTGAACACCTATTCCATGTGTTTCCAAAATCACCAGTACCGGATGTAGAATGTACACAACAATTCTTCTGCTTTCTCCAAATGGAAAATCGCCTTTTTATAGCCAATCATCTCGTATAGAACTATAAATAAAACCAGATTTATTTTTCAAGGTAATGGGGGAAGTTTTGACAGAGCTCTTCATCAGGGATTTAAAATCCTGTTCACAATTTTTTTTCAACTGTTATCTAAGAGAACAAAAAGAATTAGGATGCTTAAAAAATTAAAAATTTAATCCACTTCGTATGTCAAAAACATTCAAGTTCATGTATGTGTGATGGTTATTAAGTAAATGAACAAAAGAGCACAGAATAACAATACAACGGAGGTAAAAAATACCATTGGATTTAAATATGCCTCCTGCTTAGGGTCCGAAAGTTCTCTCTTACAGGGACTTATGTCTTGCCTTCCAAACATGTGAATATTATTTTACTTTGTAGGACTAACATTTCCAAGTCACACTTTTTATTCAATTTCTTCAATAGCCATTTTCTTTTCATAGAAAGGATAATGCTTTAATTTATAAAGATATGGACTTGTCGTCTATTTAACAAAGACGTGCTATTTTTCATTTATTAATCAAACATTTATTGAATACCTCTTGAGTGTCTGACATTATTTAAGGTGAACAACTTAGAGAAAGCCCTGCCCTCATCAAGCTTTCATTCTCTTCCCTCCTCTGAGGTGTGATTCATTTCATGGGCCTTGTACCATTTTTTTAAGTCACAGAAACAAAATCATTGAGAATCAGATGAGTCTTAGTCATATATTATGATGCTCATAAGTATATGTTTTGTCCTCATTCGTATATATTTTTTAACCATAGGGAATTCCTTGGGAGCAATATTAAAGGGGAGTAATATTTTTATAACCCTCTGTATTAGTCTGTTTTCACACTGCTGATAAAGACACACCTGAGACTGGACAATTTACAATAGAATGACATTTATTAAACTTACAATTCCACGTGGCTGGGGAGGCCTCACAATCATGGCAGAAGGCAAGAAGGAGCAAGTCACAGCTTAAGTGGATGGCAGCAGCCAAAGCTTGTGCCCTGCACAAGCTGCTTTTAAAACCAGCAGATTTCATGAGCCTCATTCACTATCACAAGAACGGCACGGGAAAGATCCGCCCCCATAATTCATTCATCTCCCACCAGGTCCCTCCCACAACATGTGGGAATTATGGAAACTACAAGATGAGATTTGGGTGGGGACGTAAAGCCCAACCATATTACCCTCTGTCACAGAGTGGAAGTGGCCTCTTTCCCAAAGTTTGCCTTAAGTTTGACTCTAAGCTTAGGTTGGTTGGAGAAGACCTTTCCATGACAATTCTCTAGAAAGTTTATCATTTCAGATGGTGTCATGATGTGACAAGTTGCACGATGAGGAAGTTGGGCCAAATCAATAAAAGTATTTTCAATGTGCATAAATCCTGGATTATCATGCTTTTCTCAAGACTCTAGAAGATTCTTTTCCCCATAGTCCTTGAAAAGGGTAAGAAACAATGTTGGTTATTGGAAAACTCCCATAAGGGAAGCAGCCTGCCAGTTAAGGCTGGAATTTGGGACCAACGCTGCTAGACGATATGTAAAAACATTAAAACACATTACAAGAGAAGCTGCTGTTGATTATTAAGAAATAAACATTCCTGTGGCTCATTTGAAGGCAAATCTGTAATAATCAGTGGAGGATTCATGTGACCACATCTGAAGCCTGGAATTTCCAAGTTCCTGTATGCAGTGAGAAGCTGAGTGCCACAGCAAGGCAGATGAAGAAAAGATGGTGTTGAACTGCTTCCTTTCCATCTGGTGTTTTACAGCAGCTCTGCTCACAGTTACTCTTAAAGGAAAATAGAATGAAGAAAAATAAATTCACAATCTTGTGTTGTTTAGGCTGAATAATCTAAGCCAAATTATTGCTTAGGAATAAATTAAATATTGTACAAAGCAGAGTCCAAACATAAATAAAATACACTGGAGGGAGACCTCTCACTTAATGAGACCCTGAGCTAATGTAATTTGCCCAATAACAGCAACATAACTATACCAGTGCCAAGTATGAGGGTTAGTATGGGTCCTGTCATTTTTCACTGACTAACCTGTATTAAATTGCAACACTCCCAGTATTCTCTGCCACTTTTCCTAATTTATTTTATCTATAGAATATACCCCCACATAAAATATTACATATTTAACTTTTAATTTTTATTTTTCCCCTCTTGCATTGGAATATAAGCTCCCCAGGCAAGAATTTCGAAATGTTTTATATCCTTTTCAATCCCTGGCTCATAATAGGCACTCAACATATATCTATTAAAGAAATAGAAAAATAATTTTCTTTCTTTAAAGATGATGCAGAAGGCCAGGCATGGTAGCTCATGCCTGTAATCCCAGCTACTTGAAAGGCTGAGGCAGGAGAATTGCTTGAAACTGGGAGGCAGAGGTTACAGTGAGCTGAGATCGCACCATTGTACTCCATCCTGGGCAACAAGAGCAAAATTTCATCTCAAAAAAAAAAAAAAAAAAAAAGATACAGAAGTAGGTAATATATAATATAAAATATTTATTCCAAATGCATTCTAGTTATTGAAAGACACTTTTAATTCAAGAAGAAGTTTGTTAATTAATTCATCTTTTTATTTTTTACCCAGATGCTTAAGAACAATGGATATTTTCTTGTTAAAGCACTTTTTGACCCACTTAAATTTCTTAAAAAACATGTTCATATATGCAACTAACATATATGCACACATTTGATCAAAGATAAGATTTTAGTACAAATTTTTATTTTTCTTCTTATTTAGTTTGGTTCAATCCTAACTTTTTTCTTCCTGCTCCTTCCTACCTTTCACCATACACACCTAAGGGTACCCATGTTGAAAACCCAATATATGTCCTTCCATATTTTTTCCTGCATTCATAAATCCTCTTTTTTAAACATGTTTTATATAATTTTTTACTGTTTTATAAAAATGAATAAATATTAAGTAGACTTTTGGTATATTGTTTTCCTCATTCAACAATAATATGAACATTTATCTTAATCTAGATTAAATTCATTCTTATTTAAAAGCTACACGATATTATATATACAATGGAGGTACCATAACATTATTGGTGGACATTTCTTTATACCTACTTTTTACTTCAATACTCATAATGTAATAAATAGCTTTGTTTGCATTATTCAGCGTTTTATACTAGTGGTCTTATTTTTAATATATATAAAGGCTATAATACTACATTCTCTGTTCATATGCACTACTCTGTTTATTTGGCAATGCTATGTAAGTTTATTAGTTGTTTTGATATCTGGTGAGAGTACACTCTTACTTTTCTACTTCTTATTAACTTTCAAGCTATATTAGGCATTTAATGCAAATTTTAAGATAATTTCATAAAATTCTAGAAAATATCAGATGTGGTTTAATGTGATTTTAATCAAATTTATACATTTATTTTGAAAAATATCTCAAAACATACTTTGCTTTTCAGTTGTCTGGACCCTTTAATAATTTCAAATAAGATTCTATAGTGTTCTTCAGCTAGATTCTGCAACTTGTTAGATTAATTCCATAGCTTTTAACATTTTCCCTGTTGCAAATTTTATTTTTCATTGCTTATTGCAAGAGTAAAGCTGCTGATTGTCTTGTATTCACATTTTACTTGACCACTATCCAATTCTTATTAATTGTAGAATTTTATAAAAGTTTATTTGGTATTGTAAGCATGTAATCCTATCGTAAGGAGATTGGTTCATATTTTCCTTTCTGTTACTGTTTTAAAAAGATCTTATTTCATTAATAACACAAAAACTATGTTATATAATAATAATAATAGGCATTCTCATTGAGCTCTTGTTTTAATTGATATGTTTTTAGTGTATCATTACTTGGATAACATTTTCTGTTGAGTTTTCATAGATTTCATCTTATTTATGTAGATTTTCACTATTCTTGTTTTACAAGGAATATTTATTACCCATGGCAGTTCAATTTTATGTGATTTTCTTAACATGTATTAATATTATAGTACAGTTTTCTTATTGATTAATATAATACCTTATGTAGAAAAAATGACCGATATTGAACTAACTTTGCATTCTCAAAATAAACCCTAAGTGGTTTTATCATTTTATATGTTAACTTTTTGCATCTTTATCAAAACCAATGTTTCTCTTAACCTGTTTTTAGTACCATCTTTATCACATTATAAGTTATATTGGTTTGACAAAATTATTAAGAGGTTTTTCTTCTGCCTATATCCTTCTTCAATCCTTAAATGCTCCAACTTTACCCCTCAATTATACAGTTTTCCACTCTCTCTTCAGTGGCTGTATTCTGCTGGGAGTCAATTGGACTTGACCATTGTCTCTCTGACTGTCAATTGTACAGGTTTGTTTTCATTGATGATTCAGTGAAACTCAGGTATGGTTTTTGGAGTACCTTTCAGTGGTCCTGAAATTGAAGGAAAGAAAGTTTTTCTCCATCCCCCACACCATCCCAGTACTGGTAGTTTATAAATAAGGAGGCTTTTCTCTCCTTCCTCTCACAAACTTCCCTTCAATCTCCTAGATTTGCCAAGCTCCAAGGGCAAATAGGCATAGCCCAATTCAGTTCATTCTTTATTTTGAGGGAACCAGGGAAATCAAATCATTTACATGGGATTGCTATTGATTATTCTTGTGTAACGATAGGCACAGAATTCCCCGATAGCCATTTGCTTCTTCTTTTCATTTCTACCCTTGTTCTCCCATTACTTTCTCTCCTTCAAATATTTTTCTAGAAACTGAAACAGGGTCTGAGTTTGCATGCATCCTGTTGCTCATTACAGCCACTTGGCATAAGAGGCAAAGGGACTTGTACTTGGGAAGAAAAGAAAAAGAAAAAGAAAAAGAAATTTGTATTCATTTTATCATGTTGCCAGTTTTCTCCACTATTTCACTTCTAACAGTCTCTATTACCTTCACAAAAAAAGTACATGAAAAACTTAAGGATAATTTTTTTTTGTTAATCATTGCATAAAATTTATCAATCTCCTCCTAAATACATAATAATTTATATGGAGAAAAAACATGTACTTTTTATGATTCATTTTAACTATTTTTAAGGATTTATTTGTAAATAATTTGCTGAAAAACAAAAAGCTCTGTTTAGTGTATCCTTAATGATGTGTGCCTATTTCTGCTAGGGTAAAGACATGATTTAATCATGAAAATATAGGAATTGCTCATCATACGGAAACTACAACAACATGTGTGGTTTATAGAAAAAGCTGTTCTTCAGATTGTCTTTCAGTACATTTTCTGATGGTAATGTTGCCAAATATAGCAGTTACATTTATTGCTAAGCTGACAAAACCTACTGAACCAAATATAATTGAAGTATTTTACTTTCATAATAATATACTAGGGCTTAATATCTATTTAAAAGAATGATTCTTTAAAAGAACACATGCTTTTATTTCAGATGCAGTACCAGTTTCATCTCTCTTCAGTGAGAGAACTAAGCAATTCCACTCCTTTCTTACTGCCCCTACCTGCTGGCAAATGAGATTGACAGTTCTCCATCCCGTGGCTCAGAGGGTCTGGGATTTAAGAACAGGCTCCTGTAGCCCAGTTAATCTAAGGAGACATCTTAGTTTGGTCCTGAATCCCTGCTCTGCCTAATCTTCTGTCTGCATATTCTCCATAAATGTGAGCCTTTCCCACGCAAAGAACATCTTATATTTTGTATTCCCAAAACATAAAGCTCTTATTTGCCTCTATGATACCACCATCTTTTATTTCTGATTCATGTTTCTCTTGCCCATGACTAAGTCTGGTAGAGGGATCCTTTAATACTTCTTCTTCTTTTCTCCAAACTGCATAGTTTCTTGACAGTTATGAAAGTATTATCCTATAAGTAATGAAAAGTGATTAAGTTTTTTGTTTGTTTTTAGGAAACATACAGGCTACCTCCAAACTTTTTCTTTCTTTCTGTTTTTTAAACATGACTATTACTGGAAGAATGACTTTGTTTCAGAGTTTCGCTTAATTTCAGTCTCTCTTAGACATTACTTTGCAAGGATATGGGTTAGATAAACGAGTGGGAGTATATTGAGAGATTGATGTTTTATCCCAGCCACTATGTAGGAGATGACTGAGGAAGAGTCACAGTTTTCCTCTCTGCTCTTCAGTTCCTCTACCACATGTCCTATTTGTCAGAAAGGGGAGGCGTTATAATCGGGATGAAATTAAGGTGAAGAGAAACAAAAGGACAAGGCAATCACGTATAGGGGGCACACAAGAGAAAAAAAGTCGGAAACTATCAAGGGAGACTCGTGTAGAGTTAAAGAAGGCTTATGATCTGACACTTGAAAAAATATATATTTTTAACATTTACATTTTCAATTATCAGAATTTCTTGAGGATACTATGGTTTGTTCCCATTAGTCCAAATAATAAAGTCTTATTTTAAAAGCATAGAAGAGTCAATACCAAGCTAGATATGACCCAAACCCACATTTTCAGACCTCTCCTTCAGTCCCTTTTCACTGTCCTGGCCTTTCTGGGGATTACCTCATTAAAAACAATATCCCTTATCCTTTCCACCAGGATACTGCCATTGCTGAAAATTATAACTCATATGTAAAAACCCAAAATATAATGAGAATCTTTTGTTGTAGTTTTTCTCGACATAAATTACTATGACTGTCTTACATGCTTCTTATTTCTGCTCCTCATTCAGCCATCATTTATGAGTGCGGAGTTACTAGAATGTTATCCTTTAAAGACTTTGATGTAAATATTTGTCAGAATCAGTACAGTAAAATCTGTTACTCATGTTTCCCAAGTTTAGTTCCTGGAGTTACCTCAATTTTTCATCTCTTAATGGCTTTATTTTTCTCATCAAGGGATAGTTTTGAAGACAAGTATAAGAACTGATAGCTATCAATAAAATCTTTCATTTGTTTTTCTTCTCCATGGTTTGCATTTGTTATAGCAACCACACAGATAATGAACTGCTTCTCTCAAATTCAGTGAGTCTATGGACAATTGATTATTGTGGTCCACAGGTGATTATAAAAAGCCTTTATAAGATCTACTAATAATTCTCATGTCAAAAACTGACATTCATAAAATTATTATTACTTAACACCAGAAATAAACTTTTTCTTTTAATAATATATTTGCACAAAATTATATTATTTGACATAAGTATTTATGTATGTTTTATAACCAAATACGCATAAGATATATTACATATATATAAATTCAATGCAATATATGTAGATGTTGGACATGTTACATACATTTTACATAAAATAACTTTAATAAAATATAATGCCCTAATAGCAATAACGATTTGCAAATAAGTTCTTGATTCATTAGGTTATTTAGCTGCACAGACACATATTATACATAACTGACAATTAATTTATTCGGTGGTATCTGATAATAATAATTATTATTAAGTAAAGGGTACCTGGCACATAGTATGTAATATATATATATAATTGCTAATTCATTTGATCTGAAGAATAACACTGTAATAGATGCTGTTGTTGTTATCCAGTTTACAGATGATGAAACTACGGCACAGAGAAGTTAAATAACCTGCTCAGGACACAGAAAGTAAATGGCCTTGTTGAAATTAGACCTTAGGCAGTCTGAACTCCAAAATCTGTTTTCTTAACCATGTTGCTACACAGTCTCTATTATTATAATTTCTTAAATGTCCATCCCTTTTCTCCAATATGTTATAGATTTTAGTTTATCCTTTTTCCTCTCTATATTGGTATCTCTCTGTTTGACTACAAATATATTAAATGACTCATTTTGAATTCATATTTGGTTAAGATCCATTTATAATTCTGAATAAATTTAGACTTTATGAAAAATGTTATTCAGTTATACACGCCTAAGGGAGAAAGCCAACAGGTTTTCTTCCTCCTGCTAGAATGCAAGCTTCAAAGAAGACAGCATTTTTTTTTATTTGTTTGTTTGTCTGTTTTGTTAATTACTCTATCCCCAAGTGTCTATAATATTACCTGCATCATAGTTGAATACATGGATGAATGAATGAATGAATGGATGGATGAGCAAGTTAAGGCAGAGGGTGGTAGAGAAGAAAGATAAAAAGAACCTGAGTCCCCAGGAAAGTCATTTAGGCATTACATCAACCACGTTACTCCTTCCTTTTTGGGTTCCTTGTTATGTGAAATCATCAATGTCCTTATTTGTTTAACACGTTAATTTTTAAGTTAATTGGATGCCTTTCCTACTTGAAGACGACAGTCTTCCTCAGTAAAGCAAACATTTTAGATTATTACAGTAGAACGAGACTGGATTTTAGATTATTACAGTAGAACGAGACTGGATTTTAGATTATTACAGTAGAACGAGATTGGATGGCTGTATTTTTTATTTCTCTCATCTTTTGTTCCCCCTCTTTCTTTCTCTCTCTTCTTGTATCCAACAGCAGATATATGTAACCAAGCTTATTGGAGTAACAGATACAGTCTGCCCCCATGGATGAGCAGTAGGGACAAAATAAAACTTCTTCCTTTCTGTAAGATTCATTTAACAATTTGATAATATTTTTAGGGGGTGCCCATTGTGTGCTGGGGAGTCTAGTAGATCCCCAAGCTGGTATGAGAAGCAGAAATTTATGTAATTGCTACTGTAATGGAGAAATCTAATGGGAAATAATCATTAATAAAAGGCTAGAGGAAATGACCCTCATGGATATTCATGGCCTTTCTGCTGTTTGTTTGTTTGGGGTGTGTGTGTGTGTGTGTGTGTGTGTGTGTGTTTGAGATGGAGTCTTGCTCTGTCGCCCAGGCTGCAGTGCACTGGCACGACCTCAGGTCACTATAACCTCCACCTCCCGGGTTCAAGCAATTCTCCTGCCTCAGCCTCCAGAGTAGCTGGGATTATAGGCGCCCACCACCGTGCCTGGCTAATTTTTCTATTGTTAGTAGAAACGGGTTTTCACCATGTTGGCCAGGCTGGTCTCAAACTCCTGACCTCAAGTGATCTGCCCGCCTCGGCTTCCCAAAGTGCTAGGATTACAGGCGTGAGCCATCAAACCCAGCCTGCCTTTCTGTTTTAATACCATGTTACAAATAAGTCAAAAGTCAAAGAAAAATTGTCAACCTCCAAATTAAGAAAAAAAAACTGCAAACATTTCTTTGTAAAATTAATTCCTTTCTGTCCTTTGGATGAAGTTTAGTATTTATGGAAAAGAATCAGCACTAAAAATTTAATGTGTTGCTCCAACTTGGCAGCACACACATTTTGGTACTGTTCCAACTTTAATTCTCGACTAAAATAAAATGTAGTTCACCTACAAAGCAGCATTCTCAGCACAGACCCAGATATATCAGTCATTGATGTGACACCATCTAGTAGGAAAAAAACTAGGTGACTGGTTTCACTAACTTTCAGAGTAGAAAGATTCTCAAAACCACAGCCCTACCAAGTTTGTCAACACAACTTCACAATGTCTTTTTTCCTGCAGCCCTTACACTCAAAACTTTGCATCAAGCAATTTACTTAGATAATCCTTTTACGAACAACTGCTACTCAGGAGGCACAGAGAAATCACTACCAGAGGTGAAAGGTTACTTTTGGAAATAAAGACCAGAGAAATCACAAGTACAAGTGAAACCTACAACTAAGAAAGTTTTTACTTAGGAGAGTTGGTTATTCTACTATTTCATATACAATTGTGTATGAGAAGCCTGTTTACTAGGTGGGTTGATTAGAATTATAACTTTCAAAGTAGTGTTGAAATGAAGGATTTGGTACATTATATGAAGATAATTGATAATTGAATCATTCCTTCAGTCGGATAAAACTAAAATAATGTGCAACCTTTTTAATTCTTAAAACAATTTCTAGTTTAGGTGCAGTGGTTCATGCCTGTAATTCCCGCACTTTGGGAGGCTGAGCAGGGAGAATTGCTTAAGGCCAGGGGTTAGAGACCAGCCTGGGTAATCATCTCTAAAAAATATATACATATTTTTAAATTAGCTGGGCTTAGTGGCGCACACAGCCTGTTGTCCCAACTACTCTGGAGGCTAAGGCAGGAGCATTGCCTTGAGCCCAGGGTTTGAGGTTGCAGTGAGCTGCGATCAAATCACTGTACTCCAGCCTCAGTGACAGGTCTACTTTGACTGAAAAACTTTTGAGACATTGACCTTGTATAGTGATCTATTCAAACAGATAGAAATAAACCAAAATAGGATCTTCACTCATTAAAACACACGCTTGCCTCTGCATGTGCACTCGCAGACACACACAGTGTCAACAATATGCTAGGACGAGAGAAAAAAGATCAATAGAATTTAACTTCAACTGACACAGAGGAGGGGGTTCTGGGGAGGGATAAAAGATGACATAATGAGTACAGTGTTCACTGTTCATGGGATGAGCACCCTAAAATCTCAGAACTCACCACTGTACAACTCATTCATGTAACCAAACCTCTCCCCTCAAAAAACTGAAACAAAAAAAATAATAATTTTTTCAAAAAGAATTTAACCTCAGCTACACTTACTCTCATTTCAGTGTCTGAAACTATTCAGTAATTCTTAGTGCGTTGTTTTTTAAATTGACATTTTAACCTAGATCTTCTGAAACCCTTTCAGTACTTGTGTCTTATTCGACATTAGAGTCTCATAATTCTAGATTGTTAAAATCAAAAGTTAAGACAAATTTTATTTCGTGTAAAACTTTCAGTTAATCTTTTCAAGAGACTAGCAGTCATGATTTGAGGGGAAAAGTCTATTTTTACATTTCTTCTCCTTGTCATAAAATATGCTTGGGAGACAGAACAACATGAAGAAATAAGTGCTGGACTTGGAATTAGAAAATAAGGGTTCCAGATTTCCTTCTCAAGAGCTTTGTAAATTTAAACAATTTTCTTAACATCTTGGAGATTTCATTTCTTTCCACTATTTTTGTGAAGATCTAAAATAATCATGGAATCATGTTTACAATGACATAAAACTGGCATGTAACTACTGCTGCTGTTACTGGTAAAATATAGGTAAGCCTAGGTCAAAGTGGTTGGTACAAGATGTCCTCATTTTAGCCACTCATTGGTCTTCCTAGAGAAGCATTATTTCAGTGCCTTACTCAAGATGTTTTGATTGGGACACTGTTCAAAAAATCTTTGAAATTTATTAAGTCATTAGCTACTACAAAAACTTTTACTGAATATAAAAAAAACTAATACATCCTCAACAACTTGTAGATGAGTCTGTTGATTTTGCTAAACACGAGGCTATTCAAATTCTTCTTTTTTTTTATACACTTATGAAATGATGAGAAAGCAGTACAAGTTTGGTTTGAATGGGCTATGGAAAGGGGCACTTTTAGAAATCATATACATTGTTGGCCGCACATGGTGGCTCACGCCTGTAATCCCAGCACTTTGGGAGGCCAAGGTGGGCGGATCACAAGGTCAAAAGATCAAGACCATCCTGGCCAGCATGGTGAAACCCCGTCTCTGCTAAAAATAGAAAAATTAGCTGGGCGTGGTGGCATGCACCTGTAGTCCGAGCTACTCGGGAGGCTGAGGCAGGAGAATCGCTTGAACCCAGCAGGCGGAGGTTGCAGTGAGCCGAGATCACACCACTGCACTCCAGCCTGGGCCACAGAGTGAAACTCTGTCTCAAAAAAAAAAAAAAAAAAAGAAAAAAAAAGAAATCATATACATTGTTACTATGAAAATAATGTTTACACTAAGTGAATATATATGAGGAAGCATTAATCATTAAAATATTTTTCATGTGTTTCCTTTTGAGGAGGGGCATATATCATGTATTTATTTCAAAAAGAGATTTGGGGGGATAAGTCCTTTTTTTGCTTCATTCGAATACATTAAGTACTCTACTTAAATACTCTCCACAAAATTGTATCCTAAATGATTCTGAGAAAATACATAATTTTAATAGTGTATGTGTTGGCGTGCATTTGGAAAGGTTCTATAATCTACCATCTGCACTCCTAAGATAAACAAGTGAGAGGAATTCATTTAGTAACTAAGCAGGAACTTATTTTAAGAAATGAAAAAGTATGGTACTTGGTGGTAATTTCATTTTCAGGATGAAAAACATAGTTGTGGCACACAACAAACTCCTTTCCAAGGAAATGAAAATGACTGTCAATAAGTAGTATTGTATTTGTTGCTAAGCACAAGTCTTATTGATCTGACATAACCTTTCCTTTTTACCTCTTAATGATTTATTTGAGTTTCTGAGGAATCTAATGCTACTTTGTATTTGCAAGTAAAATTGGAAAACCTTTTCCCCTTAAAATCAGGGGAAAAACATGGCAGTGCCTTTCAAATTTAAACCAAAATACAAGGAAGTTACTGTTGGGTTTATTCAAGGAATAAGAAATGGGTTAGAATTGAGCCAGGCAAACCTAGTAATGATCAAGTGATGAAGAAACTATCAAGGCTACACAAAATAGGCTAGATGAGGACAACTTTGATGTACCCAATCATGTCACTTAATAAAGTGTGTCAGCAGTTCCTATAATTAGAAAAGCACCTTGGCTAAAAATTACATTTTTCCTAGGTTCTCAGATACATGCTATTACTATCTCCAAGTTTGAAAGATTTTTTTAATTCTCAAAATTCATAAATAAATTTCTTAAATACAAATTATTTTTGACTGGCAATGCATAAAAGGTAGATATCAAAAGGTTCTATAAGATTTCCAAAAAGACAACAATAACAACAACAACAGTAAAACACAACATTCTGCTGGGTGTGGTGGCGCATGCCTGTAATCCCAGCACTTTGGGAGGCCAAGGCAGGCAAATATGACTTGAGCCCAGGAGGTCAGGGTTGCAGTGAGCTGTAATTGTATCACTGCACTCCAGAAGGGCAACAGAGCTGGACCCTGTCTCAAAAAAAAAATATTTTAATTAATCCCCAGTAGGATTTTTTAAGTAGATGTGAAGTTTATCATGTAAATTTTCAGATATTGAAACCAAAGACCAATTCTAAAAGCCTAATAAATAAGATATTGAACATTAGACATAGGATCCCATTTTCTTATGCTGATTCAGTCTAGTTTTGTGATCCCGAGCAAATTAATTCTCTGTATTTGCTTTCTTCTCTGTAACAGGAAATACTGAATTAGATGCTCCCCAAAATCCTTTAAAATACTAGGGAGTTCATGAAATAGCAGCTCCTATTGTCAAATCACAAGTGAAAATTTTTTAGTTCTAGTGATACAATAAGGTTTTATATTCAGAAATAAGATACAGATAGTTTTTAAAAATTATATTTATTTGCTTTCTGAATTAATGCTTCTCTTACTTGTAGTTTTTTGCAATAATAATAAAAATCACAGGGACAACCCAGCACAGATTGTTTAAGAATGTCCATCAAGGAACATAAGTTGTTTAAAAGGCTAAAATGTCATTTGGTAAATAAAATATTTTACAAGCCTATCAACTTTATCAGCATGTAATAATCAGTAGCCAATTAATTTCTTAGATGTTCTTACAATTTTTAATCGATAACAGCCAATTGCTCCATTTTCCAATTAAAGACTCTCCAATGAATGAGCTAAATAAAACTTCAGAAAGAAATAGGAGTGAACATTATCATATCAGAAACAATTTCATAATTGTTTCATAAGAGAATAATTTATAGATAAAATTTCCGTTTCACTAAACTTAACGTTAATTAGGCAATGTGTATTCAACTTTAGGCAAAGAAAACTTTTAAACAAAAAGTATTAGGTTTTTGTCTGAATTTGGAGAAGGGAACTATTAATGACGAATTACTACGTTCACTCTTTACTCTGATATTTGAAATAAAGAAGTACAATGATCCAATCCAGAACCTAGTGAGCTAAGATTACATTCTTTGTACAGAGGGAGTTTAAAAAAAAAAATAGGTCTTATACGTCCAAAGAGCACACAGATAACTTCTGAGTAACTCAAGCATAAACAGGAAAGAAATTTGATAGCAAACCTTGGTGGAGGTCCAGATTGAGTCTAATTACTGCCACTCCTTGTGAAAAATTTTAAATTAATAAGGTGGGAGGACAAAGGAAAAGGCGAAGCATGATGAGCCTTCCGACTTTAAAATCTGAAACTTTGACCCTCTTTCAAAATGTGCCCCTCCCCATAAAACTGCCCGAGTTGATAGATGAGTGAGCGTTTTAGGTGGTGGGAGAGGTCTTTAGGAGGCGTTTCTCTGGTTATTTCACCTGTGTTGAAGATCGTCATTACGGAGGGAGTCACGCTCTCCCTACTCGTGAAAGCCTGCAAGCCATTCTAAGGGCATAGCATTCAATGACTCCCTGCTGCTAATTCAAATGAAAAATTATCTGGATCTGTTATTTAGCATCAACCAGTTATATGTTCTACCTGTACTATGTGTGTATGTTTTTGTGAGAATATTTATTTAATGTTATTTCTATGTATTATTCTTACTACAATAAAATCGAGAAAGCTGTGATTCTACATCTAAGAGTATTTTTTTGTATTATAAATCGAGTTAAAACCTAAGATTTTTTTAAGACAAATTAACTCTGGTGAATAAATAAATTAA
This sequence comes from Homo sapiens, assembly GCF_000001405.40. Classification (NCBI taxonomy): domain Eukaryota; kingdom Metazoa; phylum Chordata; class Mammalia; order Primates; family Hominidae; genus Homo; species Homo sapiens. The sequence goes on from NC_000003.12 coordinate 76,913,628, forward strand.
TGCATTGTAGATGTTTGACAGATTTATTCTGCCTGAAAAACGTGGCAATTACTACAATTCAGCCACTTTTGGGCCACTGCAAGATCATTCCAACTTCTTTCTAGCGAATAATACTCCTTTAGATGAGTAACTGTGAATAATACTCCTTTAGATGAGTAAATGTGAGTAATACTCCTTTAGAGGAGTAACTGTGAATAATACTCCTTTAGATGAGTAACTGTGAAAAATACTCCTTTAGAGGAGTAACTGAATAATACTCCTTTAGAGGAGTAACTGTGAAAAATACTCCTTTAGAGGAGTAACTGTGAATAATACTCCATTACATGAGTAACTGAGTAATACTCCTTTAGATAAGTAACTGTGAATGATACTCCTTTAGATGAGTTACTGTGAATAATACTCCTTTAGATGAGTAAATGTAAAACAAATTGGAATTCAGTTGGGTTAGCAATGCACTTTTGCAAATTAAAATAATAGTTTAAAAAGGAGAATTTATACCAAAGCATCTTGTACTGGGAGTTAGTAACAATTACCCTTAAATGTGCATATTCATGGGAATTTTTAAAATGTATCCTCAGTTGCATGGAGAGGGTATTCCTCTCAGATTAAATAGATTGCACACATCTACCAAGGTTATCAGCATTACATAGATTTCCCTGCTAAGTGCCTTTTGAACTCACCACCAAAAGTAAAAGCCCTTTCAAGTTCACTAAACTTTTAGAATTAAAATACAATCTCAGAATTTCCCTGCTCAAATATACATTAGAGAGTAGCAGAGAAATAGGAAAGTTTAGTCTCTTTTGAATGTAACAGCATGTATTTTGCACATTGTTTTTTTTTTTAATTCATGAATAACTGCTACCTATATCTACTGCTGAATCACTAGTGTTGACTTTTCTGAAGAGCCACTGGAGAAATAATTATTGGATCTTGTTGCCAAGAAAATCTGTGTCATTTCTCAGTAGCTTATAAGCTTTTAACTTAATTTTTGTCAATCGCTGGGAGGCTGAGTGCAGTTATTGGGACAAATTTATACAACATTGCAGTGCCTTTTGCTATACATATCAATATACAGATACTACTTTTGACTACACCAAGATGAAGGAAAATAGAGATAATATTGTTTGCATTTTAGTGAACTTCTTCGATTTGGTTATAAAACAAGCTGACAGGAGCACATGTTGGAAGAAGGGAAAACAGAGTAAGAATTTAGAAAGATGAAAAACAGGACAGGGTGTTCTAAGAAGTCAAGAACAGCATCCCATTCTTACTGAAAAGAATGTGTTTTGTATATATTGTGTTTTACCACTGCCACACTGAGGTGACTATAAAGGAAGAATGAAACCTAATTCACCTTAAATGTCAATATAAGTTTTTCAGAGAAACTTCCTCTACCCCTCTTTAAAATACCAATTTGTAGTTTAAAATACCAATTTGTTAATGTAACACCTTCTTCTTTATAACATTTTCATAACATTCATCACAGTTTGCTGCCTTATTTTTGTTTATTTCTTGTTGTTCTCCCCTGCCAGACTGTAAGTTCCATGACAGCTGGGAATATGGCTGTTTTATTTACCACTCTATTCCCCGTGCTTAGCCATGTCTAGCAAATAATTCACTGTGAAATATATGTGTCAAATACATGAATGATGTGTCTTCTGTGGACTAAGAAACCCACCATAAAAGGATAAAATATGAAATGACTTTAGCCTTAGTAGTGTTGTGAAAAAGAGCTTAAAGATTGAGAAGCTGGCCAGGTGCGGTGGCTCACACCTGTAATCCCAGCACTTTGGGAGGCCAAGGCGGGTGGATCACTGGAGGTCAGGAGTTTGAGTCCAGCCTGGCCCACATGGTGAAACCCTGTCTCCATTAAAAATATAAAAATTAGCTGGGTGTGCTGGGTGTGGTGGTGAGTGCCTGTAACCCCAGCTACTCGGGAGGCTGATGCAGGAGGCTCACTTGAACCTAGGAGGTGGAGGTTGCAGTGAGCCAAGATTGCGTCACTGCACTCCAGCCTGGGTAACAGAGTGAAACTCTCGCTCTCAAAAAAAAAAAAAAAAGAAAAAAAAAGAGTGAAAAGCGTGACTTTCAGGAGGCGGCTCTGTGACTTCCATATCCTTTCTTGCTTAGAGCAAGGATCCTGTCTAAGTAAGTTTGGGCTGCTACAACAAAAATATCACAAACCAGGAGGCCTAAACAGCAAATGTTTATTACTCACGGTTCTGGATCAAGGCGCCAGCAAATCCAGTGTGTGGTGAGGGCCCACTTCCTAGTCTGCAGTCAGCTTTCTTCTTGCTGTATCCTCATACAGTGGAGAACAGAGGCAGAAAGCAAGCTCATATGCCTCTCTTATAATCATACTAATTCCCAGTCACATGGGCTCCACCCTCATGACCTAATCACCTCCCAAAGGCCTTACCTCCTGATATCATCAGATGGAGGGTTAGGGTTTCAATATATGAATTTGGGGGCTGGGGGGACGCAGTCCAAATCAGATACATTAAGTTATAAAATGTTGCAGAAGATACTTCTTTTTAATAAAGATGGGGTTGCTATAATATGCTGCTCTTTTACTTGACATTTGGACATGAACTACATGAATATCTGTACTCGAATGAGACTTGTTTATGCAGCCATCATTAACTTTGGTTAAGAACGTCTGAGTGAAGAAAATGAAATTGTTAGAAAATGCAAATAAAAGAGACTTTATGGACAGATATGTACCTTTTTTGGAGACAGGGTCTTGCTCTGTCACCAAGGTTGGGGTGTAGTGGTGCAATCTCAGCTCACTGCAGCCTTGTCCTCCCAGGCTCAGGCAATCCTCCCACTTCAGCCTCCCGAGCATTTGGGACTACAGGCCCATGGCACCATGCCCCACTAATTTTTTTATTGTTATTTTTTTGTAGAGACACGGTCTCATTTTGTTACGGAAATCTTCGGAGCTGAAGCCATCCTCCCACCCAGGCCTCCCAAAGTGCTGGGATTACAGACGAGAGACACCACACTGGGCCTGATTTTATTTTAAAAGACATATGAGATAGTATCAAGATTGACGTTTATATATGAATTACTGTGATTAATAAAAGGAGTAAAATCATCTAACACCATAACATTTCCTTCTAAGGTTATTCAAAAAGAAAAGAAAAAGAACAAATCCAAAGAAATTACTTAAGTTCAAAAAGAGTGTGAGAACAAGAGACCTAGCCTCCCTCATTGTTATCATGGGATACTACACACAGTTGCTTTTTCTTTTTTTCATTTATTAGGGGTTTATAACATGCAAAACACTCGTCCATTTGAGGAACAGAGAAACTTCTAGTTGAATTTTCTAACCAACTGTCAGCCCATCCTCTCCCCGCAAACAACACATTGACCAAAAAAGCAGACAGATATAGCTTAAAAGGGGGCCTTTAAATTTTAGTGTCTCTTAAAGGCAGGCGTTGATAATGATAACCGACAAACCAAGGCTGGGCTCATGGACAGGGTGGTATCCGTACCCGGAGGGGAGAATGCTGCTGCTTGGCATCAGTGCAATAATGATTCTACTTCATTTTTATGTTCTACGTATGGCAATCAAGCCTCCCATTAAAGAAGAAAGTCTGGTAGTCTGTTGCTTATTATGCACTAGGATCATTGCTATGTGCTTTTTCAGCAAGAGTGATTTCTTTTCTGTCTAGAATTATGCTTTTCCAAGGCAACTCTTACCTTGAGAGGATTCAGAAATTGCAATACCTGCAGGCAACACTTAACATGGACATACAAAAAATGAGGTTCTTCCTGACAAGAAAAATGATTGATAAGTGTATGCTGAGAAAATCATGAAAACATTAGGAAACCCAAGAAAACTATTCAGTGGAATCAGCGCTATGCAAATGAATATCAACATTTGCATATTTCCTTTTCCTGCTTCATGCATTAAGAGGCCCCAGGTGGTGCTGAGAGAAGAGCGCAGTTTGTTTTTGGATTCTATAACAATTTGTGTCTTTTGCTTATTCACCAGCTGTGTCAAATATGGCAAAAAATGGTTTGTAGGGCCTTCTCATTGAGGGAAAATAAAAGTTTTTTTAAAACCTGGCATCTGTCGTTCACATATGTAAGGGGATAATATCTGGTGAGCTAAAAAAAAATGTCTAAGATCTTAAGCTCAGAGTTTTATTCTAAAAAAAAATGGTTTCTTAACTCTCTGGAAAATATGAGCAGGTGTAAAGACAGTTATGTAACCAAGGGGAGCCAGAGCATGAGGAAAAGAGAGAAGAGATCAGATGAAGTAAATACAACTTATGTTTTCTAGATATTAAGAAGAACAGAAATAAAAACATCCCTATTACCTATTTATTTTAGTTAAGAAAATTAAACATACAAGGCAGAGATACGAAATGGATACATAATATGTTGGGCCCTGTGCAAAATGAAAGCATGGATCCCCTCGTTCCAAAAGGAGGAAAGAAAAAGTACAGTTAAAAGTAATAAAATATGAACTATATTGGTTTAAGATATTTGATAGGGCTTGGCTGTATGTCTCCACTCAAATCTTACTTTGATTCTAATAATCCCCATGTATCAAGGGTGGGACCACGTGCCGGTCATTGGATCACGGAGGTGGTTTCCCCCATGCTGTTCTCACGATAGTGAGTGAGTTCTCGTGAGATCTGATGGTTTTATAAGCCTCTGGCATTTCCCCTCTTTGCACTTATTCTCTCTCCTGTGACCCTGTGAAGAGGTGCCTTCTGCCATGATTGTAAGTTTCCTGAGGCCTCCCTAGCCATGCAGAACTGAGTCAATTAAACCTCTTTTCTCTACAAATTACCAAGTCTCAGGTATTTCTTCATAGCAGTGTGAGAACAGACTAATACAATATTTTATTATGTATATAATATAATAGGGGTTACACATCAGTAATAAACTGTCAACTTGCAAAAAATAATATTTTAGTGTCATAATTTTATGTAATACAGTAATGCTTTGTTAATATGATTTCTTGATTGATCATGAGTTTTTTTGGTTCATTTGCCTATGCATTTATTTATTAAATCATTAAAGGTATACTTTCAACACTTCATTTTCAGTCAGCATAATTGAAAGTCATCAAGTGGTATTTCCAGTTCTAAATATTTGAATGTCTTCCACAATGGCTGAAATAATTTACGTTCCCACCAATAGTGTAAAAGCATTCCTATTTCTCCACATCCTCGCCAGCATTGGTTGTTTCTTGACTTTTTAATAATCGCCATTCTGACTGGCATGAGGTGGTATCTCATTGTGGTTTTGATTTGCATTTCTCTAATGATCAGTGATGTTGAGCTTTTTTTCATATGCTTGTGTTGGCCACATGTATGTCTTTTTTTTTTTTAGAAGTGTCCATTTATATCCTTTGCCACTTTTAATGGGCTATTTGTTTCTTTCTTGTAAATTTGCTTGAGTTCTTTGTAAATTCTGGATATTAGACCTTTGTCAGATGGCGCAATGCCTAGGTGATGGGTTGATAGGTACAGCAAACCACCATGGCACACATTTACCTGTGTAACAAACCTGCACATTCTGCACATGTACCCCGGAACTTAAAAAAATAAAGTAAAATAAATAAATAAAAAGAAAGTGATGTCAGTCACTCCTGGCAAATGTTTGATAGCAAACAATTTTTGATAATTTTCCATTTAAGAATGTAATTCTGATGATACAATTGCTCTGAAATTTTTAAGAATATTTATAGGCCATGGCAATATTGAGATAAATTTCTGACAAATTATTCCAAAATATAAGGGTTAGCACATATAGAGCTGAACATTCTTATTGGCAAATTTTTCTAAAAAGATTTATCTCCTCATATAAATCAATTTCATGTTAGTCTAAATTTAATTTTATATGTAAATTTAATAGTATCTTCTTGTTTCCTCTGACATTTTCTGTAACTTGTGAGACATTATACAAGGAAACAATCATGACTTCATGATCGGTATATAATTCAAAACACTTGTTTACGCATCCTATCATGTATTTTTAATTGTAAGGAAAAACAATGTTAATATTATCTTCTTGCTTAATGATTGGTTCATCCAAAATAATATTATTTTTTATTGACACATAGACCTTTAAATTTAATTTTTACTTTTAAGCCTGTGACTACTTGCTTTGCAATCTTGAATCACTGATCAAAACCAGAAATCCTAAACTCTTTGAATACTTCTGATAACTCCCTGATATGTTTTATTGTAGTATCATGTGTAAACTTTTATTTTGTAATAATTTACTGACAAAGCTTACTGTCTAAGCAATTAACTTTTCAAAATATTGATATAAGCAGAATAAAAATCTTCCCATGCACCTATTTACTTCACTCAAAGAAATTGGACGTAATAGATTTTTATCAAGGATGGCAACATAATTTGTAAAGCCCAGTGCAAAATAAAAATATAGAGTCCCTTGTTTAAACAGCAGAAAAAATGTGCAATAATCCAAATTCAGTAAATCAAGGTAACTTTTGCCAATAAATGTATCACTTGGCTTTCCGTTATTTTATTTTTTCTGTGACTTAATGTTTTCTCTTTTCCTTTTTTTTTGAGAGGAGAAAACCAACTTAACCTAAAGTCTCAGTATTGAAAGAGAAAATAAATGATACAATATTAATTAGAAAGTGACAAAAAGGAATAAAAACTCACCTTTATTAGCTTATTCATAAAACAGTCTCTAAAGCAGACAGTCTGGGAAACAATAAATTTGCTGCCATCATGTATGTCAAATTTCAACTAGAAAGGAAATTTGGGTTAGCTATTTGACACTTAGGGGTCAGCAGAAACAGCTAAGTTTTTATTGTATACAGAATTGGAGGCATAAAAGTTCACCTTTTCCTAGTCTGAATTTGAAAAGTTAGTTTTTGGTTTCTTCTATGAAGCAGAAAATCCTAAGTTCATGACATACATACAGTAAACTACAATTTGGTGCTGTGGATACTGCACCAAGCCAATGCTTTTTAAACTTCAATTAGTATTTAAGTACATAGTCTTTCAAAGTTGTATCTTGCTTAAAAACATTATATATGACAGCAACATGCCCTTTGGCACTAATGTGAATTCACTTTGAAAAGTTTACATATTGCATATGTTCAACATCAGTGTCAATTAATTGAACTGCTTAGGTTGAAACTTTTGACAAGAAGAGGCAAAGTGATACAAAATATATTTTCAAGACAATACTTCAGCTTTGATTACAAAAGTTAGACAAATTTAAATAGAATGAGTTTTTTTAAAAACTCACAGCTTATAATGAAAGCAAAAACACAGCAATGGTTTTAATAAAGGTTCATTAAAAACTGTGATTCTTGGCAAGCATGTCTATTACTACGTTAAACTATAAAATCTATATGTTCAGAGGGCGAACAGTATTCTCTTTGTTGAGCCAGAGAATGGAGGGTGGGGGGAAATTATTTCAAGCTACAGTAATAAATTTTTAGTGAGTCCTTTCAAGCATCTTGCCAAAACATCAGACAGGTTTAGGAGAATGCTTGGCTGCAAATTGATCCATAATAAATTGATTGATGTCATCACGTGAATGTATGCCTTCTATCATCAGTGAAGTGATTTAGGATGTATTACAGTTTGATATATATTCGTCCCATCAGTAATTTCTCTTGTGAATTTTCTTTAATTATAAAAATTAAATGGAAAAAAGGTAAATGGGAAATTCCATTATAAGGTATCTAATTTTTGGCCAGGCGGGATGGTTCACACCTGTAATCCCAGCACTTTGGGAGGAAGAGGCAGACGGATCGCTTGAGGTCAGCAGTTCAAGACTAGCCTGACCAACATGGTGAAATCCCATCTCCACTAAAAGTACAAAAATTAGCTGGGCGTGGTGACGCACACTTGTAATCCCAGCTACTCAGGGGGCTGAGGCAGGAGAATCGCTTGAACCTGGGAGGCAGAGGTTGTAGTGTGCCGGGATTGCTCCATTGCACTCCAGCCTGGGTGACAGAGCAAGTCTCTGTACCTAATTTTTGCTAGATCCAACCTCAAATATTTGCAGTGTTATTTTTAAAAGCATTGAGTGTTTTTTGTTTGTTTCTTTCTTTCTTTCTTTCTTTTTTTGGTGAAGCACCATTCTTGGCACTTGAGATACTTCAGTGAACAAAAGTAGACCACAAATGAATCTTGAGATAGCCATATTTCTGCCATAGTTCTAAAATATGAGGGTTTTAACAGAATTTTTAGACTCATATCTCACTTTCTAGGATTATGTGAGCTTGTATAATTATCCAGCATTTTTGTCTTAAAATGCATTGAGATGTGAACATATCAGAAGAATCATAACACCTCATGATTTTTTACAAAGCAGAATGAAATAAAGTGTGAGATGCCTTTCTATGAACAGATAAAAATACAAATAGAATTGAGTCACAAAAAAATCAAGGCCAGGCGCGATGGTTCATGCCTGTAATCCCAGCACTTTGGGAGACCAAGGCGGGCAGATCAAGAGGTCAGGAGATCGAGACCATCCTGGCTAACATGGTGAAACCCCGTCTGCACTAAAAATACAAAAAGTTATCCAGGCATGGTGGCGGGTGCCTGTAGTCCCAGCTACTCGGGAGGCTGAGGCAGGAGAATGGTGTGAACCTGGGAGGCAGAGCTTGCAGTGAGCCGAGATCGCACCACTGCACTCCAGCCTGGGCGACAGAGTGAAACTCCATCAATTATTACTGAATGCCTAATGTACAAGTTATGGTGATGGGAACTGGGACGTACAAAGGAGTCGGGTAATTCAAAATCTACCCTTCAGCCAACCAAGGCTTCGAGAGCATGAGGAGGAAATAATTGTGGCTTTAGGTAGCATCCTGGTATAACCAGTAAAACTGAAGCCCAGTCCAAAGCATTCAACGGAAAGAGCTTCCCATTTTTGTTCCTTAAGCAGAAGGGTGAAGAGGAGGCCTAATTTTCAAATGGGAGCCGCCTTATTTCTGGAGGAAGAACAGTGTACCAGGAAGGCCTCCCTCAGAAGGAAAAGCAACGACCTATTTTATCGACCCTGGGGTACTTGGAATAGGAAATTATCCACTTGTCTCGGCATCTCACAGAGGTTGGGAGGCAAAAGCTGTAAATCACTCCTCATCACTTCTCCCAGCCGCCGATTGTGATGGATTGGCTCTGGGCCAGGGGCCTTCCAGAGTCCCAAGACTTGTTGTAAAGGCCTCGTGCTCCACACAGAGCTTTTGGTACCCTTAGAAGCCATGTATTGTTCAATACTGTGTATAGGGCTGTTATTATTTCATTTAGTCACTGATACAGGCTTTCCAGCTTTCCTGACAGGGTGCAAAAGTAACATGTTTTCAATCTTCTCATGATCAGGAATTCATCTTTTATCCGCTCTCAAGAGAACTCAGTGAAATAAAGTTTTGTTTCCTGAAGAACACAGCAAGAGTGGGAACGTTAACATTTATTTCTGTTTCAAGCTGTCACACAGTTGCTTCGGGCATCAAGGGCAGAGTATATGGGCTCCATTCCTTCTGGTGTCCCCAGGATTTATATCTTCATCCAGGTATAAAGAGGTTGCTATGACAGAGACAAAGCTTAACTCACTCAAACTATCAAAAATATGAATCATTGCTGGAGGCTCAGGAAGAACGGCTCCCCGCCATTCTGCTTCTGAACACCGTTATCATCCTTTCTAAAAACAGAAGATAATGTTCCCTCATAATGTTCCGCTGTGGAAAGCTGATCTCTTTATGTGTTTCAAATTTCACTATGATTTGCTCTAGAAGGATGTACATGTATGTAAACAGACAGTTATTGTAACTATGAGTGTAGTGTAGCTAAAATGGCAGGTGGGTGCGAATGTGTATATGATTGTTATTAGCAAAATAGAGTCTCTATTTCATCAAATAGGCTGCATCCAAACTCAGTGAACTGAAGGATGTGACCACACCAAGAAAAGGAAAATGCTAATGGCTCTAGCCCCTTTTTGGTTTTCAATCAGAATTCTTCTGGCTCATTGGCCAAGCTCATTGGCCAGGAATGAGGGAAAAGAGCAAGTAACTATTGGTAATCGTTCTGTTCTGCAAAGTATCATTGGTGCATCAGAAAGATTAATTGCAGAAACACTGTGTCCTGTCTACAACTGTGCTGACAGCCTGAAACTGAGCAGTTGTGCTACTGAATCACACTGAAAGTGTTTCTGGCAACTTACCCTTTCTTTCTGTGCTTCTCCCAAGTTCAGATCTAAAAGATGAATGAAGAAATACTATAGCATGAACTAAATAATGTGAATATGCGTTTGTGTTACCGGGAAGTGGTCCATTTCTTCTTAACTCATTGTTCGGAAACTAAAAATGAGGTAAATTGGAATCAATAGAATATCAAACATCATAATTGTATTTGATTTGTGAAATCATTAATTGTCATCTCTTATGTTTAATCACTTTTTTTCCACTTCTCCGTGAATAAACTGCTTAAGAATTTGAGCGACAGTATGTAGACCATCAAGTTGTAATTTCATCTAAACAGGTTTTTATCACATCAACTACAATAGACCTATATCTATTCTTGTCCCATAATTTTCTACCTTGTATTATTATATAATTATTTATGTACTGGTAGGACCTGAACGTTTCTTCAAATTTTATCTTATAGTATCCGAACTTCCACTGCGATGGTATTGGGAGGCTGGGCCTCTGGAAGGTGATGAGAACACGGGGGCGGCATTCTCATGAATGAGATTATTATTTTCTTTATAAATGCTCTTAAAGGCCCAAGAAAACTGCTTTCCCTCTTTAACTATGTGAGGACACGGCAGGAAGTTACCATCTGTGAACCAGGAAGCAGGCCCTCCACAGACAAGGAATCTGCCAGTGCCTTGATCTTGGGCTTCCTATCCCCGAAACTGTGAAAAATAAACATTTACTGTCTGTAAGCTACCCACATTAAGGCATTTTGTTATAGCAGCCTGAACAGACTAAGACATGCTCCTATATTTTTACTCTTACAAGCTAAAGGTTACCTAAGCAGGAAGCCATATTCAATTTTTATAGGCTCTCCCAGTGCATATATATCACAGTGCTTTGCACAAACTCACTGAATCAGAAGCAGGCATTCGTGTAGTTCTGTTCACGGATTTTGGACTAAGAATGCCATAAATTGGAATTCCAGCTTCACTACCTGATTGGTATGTCCCTTCTGACACCTGAACTCTCAGAATTTTCATTTTTTAAATCTGTGAAATGATAACTCATATTTCAGAATTATTAAAATGATAAAGTGAGTTGACATGTGAAATGCAAAACATAGTGACTCACATTTTTAAAAATCTGGTTTGCGGCCGGGCGCGGTGGCTCACGCCTGTAATCCCAGCACTTTGGGAGGCCGAGGCGGGCGGATCACGAGGTCAGGAGATCGAGACCATCCCGGCTAAAACGGTGAAACCCCGTCTCTACTAAAAATACAAAAAATTAGCCGGGCGTAGTGGCGGGCACCTGTAGTCCCAGCTACTTGGGAGGCTGAGGCAGGAGGAGAATGGCGTGAACCCGGGAGGCGGAGCTTGCAGTGAGCCGAGATCCCGCCACTGCACTCCAGCCTGGGCGACAGAGCGAGACTCCGTCTCAAAAAAAAAAAAAAAAAAAAATCTGGTTTGCTTTTCTAAACCTCAATAAAATAAATATTTGTTGGATAGATAAATAAATAAATGAAGATCTATGAAGACTTGCAGGTTCTGATTTGCCTTTGGGATACTTCATATATTTGCCTAGTAATGGCCTGTTGTAGATATTAAGTCTTTGGAAAATATTTTTCCAAAATTTACATTTGAACTCCAGTTAAATTGCAAATATTTTTTGAAGCCAGTTTTACTAAAATATCAAGATAGTAACTGTCTTCCATATCAAAATTTTAATTATACCAAAATATTAAAATTAGCTCACATGTATTTCTGGAAAAAAATACTTAAACAACATAGCAGAAGTGTCTATAATTGACTAAAAAGGGTAGAATATTGTTTTGATATTTGCAATGCACTTTTCATATTCACATATGCTCTTAAGTGCATGATGCATAGAAGGGAACACAGATGGGGTCAGGGGAGCTGAGAGTGCCGCTTACACCACAACAAACCCAGCCCCAGAAAACCAAGCCACCTAGGAAAGAGAACTACAAATTACAAAAATCTGGTGACCGAAACAAGTTGTCATCTGATCATAGTAGGTTCATTCATTTATTCAGAAAATATTGAATGAGTGCCTACTATGTTTCACACACTCCTATGGATAAAGCCAGTTCAGAAAGAGCCTATAATCCTCTGGACAAAGAAAAGATTAAACTGTGCTTCCAAGATGAGTAAGTGGAATGATGACAGGGACAGGCCTGTCATATGATTGTCTTTACAACTGCCATGCTACCAATTGGTTTTGAGGCAGAATCTATCTTTTGATTTCTGTCTCAGTCTAATATGATGACTTTAACTCCTATCTGGGAATTTTGGGTTTTTCTTGATTGATGCAAACTTCTTTGCCCTCCTCAGAGTCCTAAAGTTGCTGACTTGCAGAAGCCTCACTGTATCTAAATGATATGGAACTCAGAGCCAATATGCCTGCATTTCTTGGACTCCTGTTTTGAAATTCCTTTGGTCGTACTAAAATTTTATCTTTTTGTTAAGCATGGAGGTATTTGAGCACATCCTTTTACATAAAAGCGTGACGACATTTTAATGGTTTACAAAGAATCAGAGAAAACCGATTCCAGGAACTAATTATAGAAATGTCTCTTTCAGGGTCTTTCACTGGAAGGAAGGTGCCATACTTGAGTTATCAGTGAATCCCTTTAGGTTCTTTTAGAGATTTTTATCTTTGCATTGATTGTGCTTCAGAAAAGTTAGGATAATGTATTGGAAGTGTTTGTGGAAGTATATCGTCTCCTGTGGCCTCGCTGTACGTTTTATAAAGTTTGTTTTCTCTTATATCCATGAGCAATTCACTTCACTAATGTGATTGTCCATTTGACAAACTTACCAGATTTACTGACTGATTGACAACACTAGGTAGTAAGTAGGGAGAGAGAGAATCTAGGTAGGTTCTTAAAGAGAAGGGGCTAAATCCTCTAATTCACATTTTAGAAAGCTTGATTAGTTTAAAAATGTCAATAGTGTGAATGAAGCTGCAGATCTCCAGAGAGAGCTGAGTAACTGATCTTATCCCAAATAATCAATTGTTGAGGACACTCTAGCTCGCAGAATCTAGCTCATTATTGTAACCTATTTACTAACTCAGTTCATTTAAAAACTGAAGAAGAGGACTCCGTTTTTTTTCAAGCATTCAAAGCCTAGCAGCAAATAATGGTGGAAAAAAATTGTTTGTTATCCTAAATTTACTCTTATAAAATTTCCTGTTGCCCAGCCTCACTTTAGACTAAATCGCTGTGGAACACATGAGATTACTGACGGAAGACATGAGATTATTGAGAATGTGGCAGTATTTAAGAGGGAATTGCTGAGCTCTGGGCTGTTATTTATAATCTTTTTCTTGTTCCACTCATATGATACAGAACAGTGATTTGCAGCTAACAGATGGTCAACTAATTTTCATTGGATTCAAATGAATAGAACTGTAAGTATCCACAGAACTAACATCATGAAATACATTCCCATAATGTTTGTTGAATAAAAAATTACCACCCCCACCACCAGAAAAAAAGAAAGAGACTAAGAAATCCTTGGCCCAAAACCCTCCCCAAATCATTTTTCACAGTGGATTCTTCCAAACTTCTAAGGACATTTTAAGAAAATTTCCATACAATAAAAGCTCTATAGTTTTCTTCCAATTTTTCACTATTCCAAAGAGCATAGCAGTGGAAAACCTTATACATAAACCCTTGACATTTCTGATTATTTCTTAATACTAGAATTGGTGTTATTAGGACAAAGTCTATAAATATTTTTTAAGGTTCTTGCAACACATTGTCAAGGAAAGAAATACCATTTTATATCAACAACGCATAAGAATTATTTTCATTGAAACCTTTTCAACTTGGCCAAGAAATAAAGTATAGCTTATATTTTTAAATATATGCTTTTTCAAAAAATATAGGAAAATGTAGAAGCAAATATATCAAAAATTTACAATGTTTATTATTAGGTTGTGAAATTAAATGAACTTTCTATTTTCTATCTTTGAGTCCTCGATGGCACTATAGTGAGTGCATGGTCATTCAGTAACACAAATAGCAAAATTAAATGGAAAAATTTTGTGAGTGATGGTGAGAAAGATGAAGTGGTTATGGAGGGAGAGGATGACATATATAAAAAGTTTGTTCCCTTTGAAGTTACAAAAATAGAATGAAAAGAAAAAATAATATTTTATCCAAGAGCAATTCATATTTTCACAGTGGTAGGCAGAATGGCCCCTAAGATATTCATGTTCTAATCCTCAGCGTCTGTGAGTAAGTCAGGCTACATGGCAAAGAGCAATTAAGGTTACAAATAAAATTAAAGTTAGTTGCTTATCAACTGACTTTAAAATAAAATTAGGAGAGGGAGATAGAATACAGAAAGGGAGATGACAATGGAAAAAGACTGGTCAGAGATAGGTAACATTGTTGGCTTTGAATACAGACAAAGAGAGCCATGAGCCACAAAATGGGAGTGGACTCTAGAAGTCAGAACCAGCAAGGGAACAAATTCCCCCCAGAGCTTCTAGAAAGGAAAGCAGCCCTACCTACCCATACCTTGATTTTAGCCTAGTAGTATCTGTGTGAGGCTTCCGAGCTGCAGAGCTAGAAGATAATGCATATGCATATATGTATGTATATATACACATACACAATTGTGTTGTTTGTGTGCTACTAAGTTTATGATAATTTTTTTTTTTTTTTTTGCAGAAGTAAAACTAGAACACTCAAATAACAGCCTTCCAATTCCTGCCCAAATCATTTTAATATTATTAGATGTTCTCATTCAAGATTCTCAGCCAATGTCTATGGGTGATTTCTCTGCCCATTTATTCAGTTCCTCCCATATTGTCCGACTCCATCCTTTTAAATTTCACAGGGTCTCAACAATTCTACCAACTCACACTTGCTTCACTAGGCTTCCAAGAAAGCTCCTGGTTTTCTTCCTCTCTATCAACCACTTCTTTCTCCACAGTTTTGTTAGTCTCTCCTCAACTCCAAGAATTCTCCAGGAGAGCCCTGAGACTTTCTGTCTTTTCATTGTCTCTCACCTCCGTGGTTAACTCATCTCATCTAATGGTTTTAAATATATTTTATATCCTGATGAATCTCCAATCTCTGGCCAGACATCTTTCTCATTCTTCCCCTCAACTGCCCGTGGGTTGCTCAGTACTCACAGATGTAGACATCTCCAATAGAAAACACCCCAACCTGGGCCGGGTGTGGTGGCTCACACTTGTAATCCCAAAACTAGGGGAGGCCAAGGAGGGTGAATCACCTGAGGTCAGGAGTTTGAGACCAGCCTGGCCAACATGGTGAAACCCCATCTGTACTAAAAATACAAAAATTAGCCAGGCGTGATGGCGTTTGCTTGTAGTCTCAGCTACTCTGGAGGCTGAGACAGGAGAATCGCTTGAACCTGGGAGGCAGAGTTTGCAGTGAGCTGAGATTACGCCATTGCACTCCAGGCTGCATGATGGAGCGAGACTCCATCTCAAAAAGAAAGAAAGAAAAGAAAGAAAATACCCAAAACAGAGCTGCTGAGTTCTGCCTTGTGCCCATCTCAGTAAGGAGAAACCCCATTCTAGTTGCTCAGGCCAGAAACCTTGGAGACATTTTCTACTCCTCTTTCTCTTATGCCCAGTACCTGTTCTGTCCACAGATCCTGTGACACTATCTTCAAAGTATATCCAGACTGCAACACTTCACACAACACTCACTACTATCAACCTTATGTAAGCCACAGTCATCTCTCTCCTGGGTCATTGTAATAGATTTCCAATTGTTCTCCCTGCTTCCACTATTGCCTCCACCCTTGTCAAAACAGCAGACAAGATGACCCCTTAAAACGTAAGGCAGAATATGAAGCACTGACCAAAAGACTCCAATGTCTGTGCATCTCAGGGAAGAAGAGACTCCAGTGTGTGTGGATCTCAGGGTAGAAGAGACTCCAGTGTCTGTGAATCTCAGGGAAGAAGAGACTCCAGTGTCTGTGGGTCTCAGGGAAGAAGAGACTCCACTGTGTGTGGATCTCAGAGAAGAAGAGACTCCAATGTCTGTGAATCTCAGGGAAAAAGAGACTCCAGTGTCTGTGGATCTCAGGGAAAAGGCTAAGGCCCATTCTGTGGTTTCCATTCACCTTACCTTTCTGACTTTATCTTTTACTGTTCTTCTCTCACACCCTCTACACTGGCTATTTACTGTTCTTTATACATGTCACACTTGCTTTCATCTTCTTGTATATTACTTTGTCAAATACTCTTTTCTTTTTTTCTTTCGAGACAGATTCTTGCTCTGTCACCCGGGCTGGAGTGCAGTGCCGTGATCTCAGCTCACTACAATCTCTGCCTTTTAGGTTCAAGCGATTCTCATGATTCAGCCTCCCCTGGTAGTGGGACTACAGGCACGTGCCCCCACGCAGGACTAATTTTTGTATTTTTAGTATAAATGCCAGGCTGGTCTCGAACTCCTGGCCTCAAGTGATCTGCCCACCTCTGCCTTCCAAAGTGCTGGGATTACAGGTGTGAGTCACCATGCCCGGCCTACTTTGTCAAATACCCTTCCCCACTCTTTGTGCACAGCTTTCTCCCTCAACTCCCTCAGACCTTTCCTCAAATGTCATGGGTGAAGTCTCACCTGACTGTGCTATAGAAAATTACCATAAAATGTCCCCCAAACACTTCCTATTCATTTTCCCTACTTATTTTTTTTATCACTGTCTAATCCTATTCAGTTTGCTTAATTATCAAGCTTACAGTCTGCATTAGGCAGGGTTCTCCTGCAAAACAGAACCAAGAGTATATAGAGAGATATATACAAGACATTTATTATGGAAGGTTGGTTTACTTGATCAAGGAGGCTAAGTAACCCCACAATCTGCCTCCTGCAAGCTGGAGAAATGGGAAAGCTGGTAATACAGTTCTGGTCAAAATCTGATAGTCTGAGAACCAAGAACTCCAGTGTCAGATGGCAAGAGAAAATGGCTAGCCTGCTGAAGCAGAAAGCAAATTCACCTTTCTTTCACCTTTTTGTTCTGTTCAGGCCCTCAGTGGATTGGAAAATTCCCAGCCACGTTGGTAAGAGCAATCTTCTCTACTCAGTCTTCCAATTCAAATGTTAATCTCTTCCAGAAGCACTCTCACAGACACATCCAAAAACAGTTGTTACAAACTTCTGGGCATCCCTTAGCCCAGTCAAGCTAATGTATTAAAGGAAGCATTGCGTAGCCTTTTTTTTCTCTGCTAGAATGTAAGCTCTGTGAGAGTTGGAATTTTCATCTCTGTTTTCACTGCTGCCTCATGAATGAATGAATCAGAGCAAAGGCAAGGACTGTATAAAGGAACAAAGAGAAGGAAAGCTTTCTGTTACTATGTTAAAGTACTGACCCATTTCTAGTTTTGCCATCAGTACTTGGGCCTTTGTTTTGTTTAAAGTGAAAATTAGAAAAAAAATTTAAAGTCATTGATTAATTTTTAGGTTAAAGGGTTTTCTAAAAAATAACTTTAAGCCAATTAAGTAAGCAGAACCTAATCAATTTATATTTTTATATTTAGAAATATATGCCACATTGTTAGTTTACCACAATTCAGAAAGCAAAATAGTGAAAGCTATCCGTTCTTATTAGATTTCCATTGGAGACACATTTTCTGTAGGTCAAGCATGTGCCTCTTTTCCACCCAAGAAAACACATAAGACTTTTCATTCATTTATGATCTTACATATTTAATTATCTATTTATGCTACCTTTTTAAACTATTATACCACTATGACTTTGTGTGCTTTATAAGACACATACACACACACACACACACACGTATATATGAGCATTTAGTGTCAAGCTTATTCTTTTATCACGGTCATCAGCAATACTTTTAAGTATCTTCGTCAGTCTAGTATTATATTTACGGGGATGTTATACAGACTTTTTTTTAAATTTGAGACAGAGTCTCACTCTGTCACTCAAGCTGGAGTGCAGTGGCATGATCTCAGCTCACTGCAGCCTTTGCTTCCCGGATTCAAGCGATTCTCCTGCCTCAGTCTCCGAGAACCTGGGATTACAGGCACCTGCCACCACGCCTGGCTAATTTTTGTATTTTTAGTAGAGATGGGGTTTCATCATGTTGGGCAGGCTGGTCTCAAACTCCTGACCTCAGGTGATCTACCTGCCTTGGCCTCCCAAAGTGCTGGGATTACAGGCGTGAGCCACCGCACCCTGCCAAATATTTTAAAGTACACAGATGTGCCCAAATCACCATGGAGAAACATCCTCCAAAGACTTTAAGATAGTTTAAATGGCTGTAATGATTCTAAATATCAAGTCATTTTTTCAGCTTCTCTTAGGACTTCCAAACATAGACTACCAAAAAAAATGGCATATAAAAAATAAGAATTCTAGTAGCATTCTTGCTTTGAATGAGTATTCTACTAGAAAACATGAAAAAGAATATGAAATTTTTACAATAAGAGAAAAACAAAAGTTGGAAAAATATTTTATTCATTTATTTATATATGTTCAATAATGATCTCAGCCTCTTCAAACTAATTTAAAAAAGAACATTTATTCCATACCATGAGAAAATCATGCAAAATAAATATAAATAACATATTACCACAAAAAGGAAATGATATTATCATTCATGATTGCATGCATATGTTTAGAAACACACACACACACACACATACACGTGTCACAAATCTATGCTGCAGCTGTAATCCTCAGTGATTTATGTAATGCCTCCTCTTTTCATATGCCATGACTAGTTTTTCCCTTTTCTTTTGGACTCCAAAGCCTATTCTGGCCAGAAAAAGGACCCCTTATTCTGGACTGTGGCACAAAAGTACATCCAGGTAAAACATCAGTGAAAAAGAAGCAAGACCTTTATTTAAATCATGATGTTATTTTTGCTTAAGAGAACTACCTACACAAAAATCTCTAAATTTTAAAAGTCAGTACTTATATGTTGTATTATGAGGAAGACATGGAAAAAAATAACCTTTCACATGTTCACTACCAACATAAAACTGAGACGCAAGCACAGTCCTGAAAGCAGCTCTCCAAGGTCTTCAAGTTCTGAGTATTATCTACTCTCAGGTGTTCATAGAAAATGGGCGCTCGGATATAATGAAGCTGCCCCCGCCCCGGCCCCGAGAAGTCTATTATCCTTGTTATTCAAGCCTGGATTGAGAGATCCTGAACAGACATATTTTGTAATTGTTTCAAGGAACACTTTGCTTGTTAGGATGAGGATATTCTTTTTAAACCTCTGAAATGGAAACCAGGTTTGAGGAAGTGGACAGGAAGTGAAACATAAAATAAAATGTATGCAAATAAAAAACTTCAAATACTCAAGAAAGATTTTGTAGTATTAGCATAACCAGCAAGTATGTTATAATCCTTTCCCAAGTCTCATTAGTTTTTTCATATTCCATATACAATATTGCCAAAAATATGTTAATCTAAATGGAGAATATTTAGTTCCACTGAACTCATTGTTTGTAATTTACTACCATAGTGATTATACTAGTTATCCTATCATGCCAGATATAGAATTGTGTTCCTCTAAGTGAACTATATCTAATTACTTCAGCAAATTTTTAGAACTTGCTTATTTGTCTTTTGGAAAACAACCTACTAGGGAAAAATTTTAAAACTTCCTGACATTATCTATGTAATTTGCTGATGTCAGTTGTTCTAATGATGACTATTAGAGTCAAAATTGAAAATGACACATACCATTCAAAACAAAATATTGTTTTTAACTGTAATTTTTAATCAACTCTAATTTATTGATGGATATTTGTGATCTTGGCCTAATTTTCATTAAATTTCAGAAGTCTGCGTTGTAGCTATGATTTCACAATTGGCTAAAAAGCCTTTCCTCCTCTAAGTTTGGATTGTTGGACTCATACATTATGTATATATTTTAATGAGCCACATAGCCAAGGGATGACACTTTAAATTGATGAGGGTTATATATTCACATGTAGAACAAATTAGTTTAGGGACAAATGAAGAATAGATGTGCAGTTGAGCTAACATGAACTGTTACAATTATAGTGATTATTATAACTGCACTCTAATACTTTCCAGACATCAGCTATCATTTGTGTCTCTATCATAAAGACACAATTCTGTCTCTTCTAAAAATATTATTTCATTATAGAAATATTGCTTATATAAAAATAGTTTAGATACTGCCAGTATTTGCATGTTGAACCACTGTTTTCAAGAATTTAATATTCAGTAGCATAAAATTTGCTTTAAGGCATACCTAGGATTGCAGTTCAGCTCTAAAAGCTTTTGCTGTACTGTGTTCCAGAAACTTTGTTTTGAGAAAGACGATTGGACATCTGACAGCTTCATTGATAGCTGACACAAATTGCTTTCTCATTGCCTTGTTATCATATTCCTGGAAGTGACTTGTGTATGACATGAGATCGAAAATAGAAAAAAAAAAAAGATTAAACCACTTTTTAGGTACAAAACAAATTTTTACAAGCCTTTAAGCCGTCAAATCAGAAAATGTTTCTTTCAAAACGTGATGATTCTCCCTTACTGTTTATGAAATGTTGGAATATCATAGTTTACAGATTTTTGTGGAATGTATGATTTGCTTAAATAAAAATAATAGCTACAAGAGTAAAATGTTAATTGGTGTCCTATTGACAAATGGTTCAATTAAAGAAAAAAAAACTTTGGCTGGGCATGGTGGCCCACACCTATAATCCGAGCACTTTAGGAGAACGAGAGGGCCGGATCACGAGGTCAAGAGATCGATCGAGACCGTCCTGGACAACATGATGAAACCTCCTACCAAAAATACAAAAATTAGCTGGACATGGTGGTGCATGCCTGTAGTCCCAGCTACTTGGGAGGCTGGGGCAGGAGAATCCCTTGAACCCGGGAGGCGGAGGTTGCAGTGAGCCGAGATATACCGCCACTGCACTCCAGCCTGGTGACAGAGCGAGACTCCATCTCAAAAACAAAAACAAAAGCAAGAAAATCCTTAGTTTTAGAAGTAACAGGATTACTAAGTATTACTTCACTAATTAGCTTTTCCAAAATACCAAAATATATAGGAATTATCAGCATAGTCAATTTTTCACAAACAAAATAAAAATTTAAGCCCTTTTGGCTATTACTGTGACTTTTAAACTGTTTTTACTTTATTTTGAAATAATTTCAGGCTTCACAAATTTTTTTTTTTTTAGACCATCTCACTCCTCTTGCCCAGGCTGGAGTTCAGTGGTCTGATAACTGCTCACTGCAGTCTTGACTCCTAGGCTCAGGCGATCCTCCCACCTCAGCCTCCTGAGTAACTAGGACTATAGGCACATGCCACCACACCTGGCTAATTTTTTGTATTTTTAGTAGAGATGGTGTTTCTCCATGTTGCCCAGGCTGATCTCAAACTCCTGGACACAAACTATCCACCCACCTCTGCCTCCCTAATTGCTGGGATTAAAGACATGAGCCACCACACCCAGCCTAGACTTACAAAAATTTTTCCAAAAGAAAACAGTATCCACAGCTTTTGTATTGCCCTTTGCTCACGCTCCCTTAATGTTTACCTAATTACTTAAGATTACGATGATACAATACTGTTAACAAACCTACAGACCTAATTTTTGTCAATTGTCTTGCTAATACATGTTTTCTGTTCCTGGATCCATCCAGTATCTATTGCATTTAGATCTCATGTCTTCTAATCTGGGACAGTTCCTCAGTTTTTCTTTGTCTTTTGCTTTTGGAGTACTGATGGTGTTTGTTCATTCAGGCTACTATCACAGAATACAATAGACTGGGTAGCTATGTATGTAAACAACAAACATTTATTTCTCATAGTTCTAGAGGCTGAGAAGTCCAAGATCAAGGTGCCAGCAGATTGGGTGTCTGCTGACTACCACTTTCAGATTCACAGATGGTGCCTTCTAGCTGTGTTCTGCCATAGTGAAAGTGTAAAACAGCTCTCTGAGACCTCTTTTATAAGGGCACTGATCCCACTTCAGGGATCATAGGTGACCATATTTTGCCTGTGTCTTCACCTGGTAGAAAAGGGAGAAGGAGCTCTCTGGGGTCTTTTTTAATATGAGCACTAATCCCATTCATGAAGACTCTCTGCTCTCAAGACCTCATCACCCCACAAAGGTCCTTCTTCCAAATACCATCACATTGGCGATTAGGTTTCAACATAAGAATTTAGGTGGGGAGGGGACACAAACATAAGTGGCCAATTCTTTTGTTGAAGATTTCTCAATTTGAATTGGTCTGAAATTCTCTCATGAAGAGACTGGGGTAATGCATTATTAGCAAGAATACCACAAAAGTGATTTTGTGTCCTTCTTATGTGTACTATTAAGATGCATATTATGTTCATATGGAAAGAAAGAAAAAAGTAGAAGCTATAGACATGAAAAACATTAAGTAGCTTTATGGTTTCATTAAAAAAAAAATAGATGTATTTGCCAGGACAGAGATCAAAGCTTGGGGATTCATAGATAGATATGTAGTAGCTTTCCAATAATGTGAAGATCTATATCAAAAAAGGTAATTCTTCATATGTCTCCTCTAATCATGGTTTATTTATTGTATATAAAATATCCAGATTGCCTCCAATGACTTACAAACTTTGAAAGATGTTAATTCCAAGTGAAATTGAAAATAATTTTAAATGTGTAAAGATTTTGTATGCAGCAACTTCAAGGCAGTAAATGAAAATGTAAGGGTGGACAGCGTTGCTCCTCCAAGTCAGGGAAGGTGTGACCTGAAGGATTTATGAGGTATTAAAAGCAAGGACTGATAAATTAATTATTTGTGGGAGCCAACACATTACAATTACCACTAACATGTTAACCTTAGTAGGTTTTCTTTATAAATACACATGTTTACTATATATAAATGTTTCCAGATATGCAATTGGGATCATTCTTATAACACTGATTGAGAAACTGGTTCTAAGAATTCATTTTATTCACAACAGCAGTGGATATTTTTAGACTACAGAGTAATTGCATTTTGAGTCTTTAACTCAATTTTACTTTATTACATTCTGCCTTTAACCTTAGTTCCTTTTGTTAATTGAAACACCTAGTTAAATATATACATTCTTATGAAGACATTTGTTTCTGAACTGGTTGTTGGAAACATTATTCCTAGAAAATTACTTAGGATGTCACAGAGTATTAAAATGAAGACTAGCGTCTAAATTAACTAGCACATTTTATGTAGTGTTCATTGATTCTACAAACTGGTACTCATTATTGACCTACCCCTCCTTATCCTCAATCTACTCACATTAATTGAGTCTCCATTTTCTTGCTTGTACTTAGTAAACACCACAAGTGAAGGTGGGGTGAGAGATGAGCTACTTTTGTCACGTTTAATCTTTGTAACGAAGTAAAACTTAGTGGCATCTAAATTATATGGCTGTCCATAGAAGGGCTAGGTCATTTTACCATTATATAATTATAAATATCTGATTCAAATGTCTACCTTACATGTGCCAGATCTGTGGCATGCTATGCTACCTTTTAAATGTTATGAGAAAAGCTTTGCAAAATAGAGAAATAACTTCCAGGGTTTTTGTTTTTTTTAATCTGATGCCATAAAAATTTACTGGAATAATATCAAGATGTATCCTTCTAGTTATTTACCCATGTATTTTTATCACAGCTATAATCAGAGTCTATTATGATTTTGTATTTTGTTATTTGTTTTCACTTAAGTATATTCTTTTTCTTATGTAATTTATTAGTCTGATTAGAAAAACAATGCATGCATCTTAAAATAAAGAAAAGCCAATAAAATAAAATAGTAATCTATAATCACATCTGCCAAAGAAAACTATCTTTGCATATGTGATGTTGGGTCAGTGCAAAAATAATTGTGCTTTTTGGCCATTTGCACCAATTTACATCAAACTGAATATAAAACTCTGCATTTTAACCTAAGCATTTTTAGACATTGTTTCAATCAATGCATATCCATGTAATAAATTTGGAATATTCAACTTTGTGGATGTAATAGTATTTATTTATACTGAATTCAGTTCTTCAAAGTTATGCATAAAGCTGGATGGCCATCATTGTACACACAGTGTTACCGTACCCTCTACCTACCCATACGTATTCGGGAATATTCACTTAGAACCGTATCTTGTTCTGTTTGGAATATTAACAAATCCAAACTAGGATTCAAGTAAAACACCAGCATGGCACTGGGTGCAGTTAGGTAAGAATACTGGAAATATCATGGAACTCATAGGTGGGAATTACGGACGGGCCTCAGAGAACAAGCACCTGGCAACTAGTCAGTAATCAAGAAAACATTTCTTTCTATAAGGCTGGTTTCTTTGGCAGGCCGAGGCGGGCAGATCACGAGGTTAAGAGATTAAGACCATCCTAGCCACCGTGGTGAAACCCGTCTCTACTGAAAATACAAAATTTAGCTGAGTGAGGTGGTGTCACCTGTAGTCCCAGCTACTCGGGAGGCTGAGGCAGGGGATCGCTTGAACCCGGGAGGCGGACGCTGCAGTGAGCCGAGACTGTGCTTCTGCACTCCAGCCTGGAGACAGAGCAAGACTCCGTCCCCCACCTACCCCCCCCAAAAAAGGCTGCATATTGTCCCTCATCTCTGTATGTCTTTACTCCTACACTGGCCTGCTTCCCTCTTTATCTGATTCCTCTACTTGTTATTTTAGGGTAGAGCCCTACAAAACCCACCAACCTACTTTCTGCTTCTCTCTGGTGATCTGCTCTCTCTCTCTCTCTGAGCTTTTCCAATTCTAGAAATTGATAGAAGGCCAGCTCATAGTGAGACCACATGTACCACAGGTGGCTAGCCAGCTGCTCCTCTGGGTCTTGTTCAGAAAGGTTGGATCTATGGAGCTCAATCAGTGGACATCTCTGCACAAAAAAGCAGCCCCGGCCAGGCGCGGTGGCTCACACCCGTAATCCCAGCACTTTGGGAGGCCGAGGCGGGTGGATCCCCTGAGGTCGGGAGATAAAGATCAGCCTGACCAACATGGAGAAACCCCGTCTCTACTAAAAACACAAAAAATTAGCCGGGCGTGGTGGCGCATGCCTGTAATCCCAGCTACTGGGGAGGCTGAGGCAGGAGAATCGCTTAAACCCAAGAGGTGGAGGTTGCAGTGAGCTGAGATCACGCCATTGCACGCTAGCCTGGGCGACAAGAGCAAAACTCAGTCTCAAAAAAAAAAAAAAAAAAAAAAAAAGTAGCCCCACACTGTTTCTCTGGTTTCTCTGAATAGAAAACAATGTACAGAACATATTCAGCCAACAGAGAGGTGGGTAAGGCAGAAAATGGAAAGATAATATTTGTAATAGAATTGATATAATGAGTTACAGCTGCATGACTCTGAGTAAGATATGTTATGATGATAAAAATGAAGAAGAGAAAGGAATTGCCCCATACTTAGCATTAATAAGGTTTCAAAATATGTTTACTTTTCCACTCACTTTTCTTGAGGTTATTTAGCTATTTCTTGATAAATCTTCATGGTAACATATGTGAAAGCAGGCATGTTTATTCTCTGATTTGGTAGAATAAATTATCAAAATTCTGATTTTTAACATTGGTAAAACTGCTGATGAGTGAAACATTCTGATAAATGAAGACTTAATACCAGTGATGAGCTATAAGATTTCCTTCTTGTGAAATTTTCTTTTTCCTTCCAAAATTTAAAGGCTTGTGAACAAAAAGCAGAGGTTTAAATCCCCTCTTCTAAGCCAGGCGCAGTGGCTCACACCTGTAATCCCAGCACTTTGGGAGGCTGAGGTGGGGGTCAGAAGTTCGAGACCAGCCTGGACAACATGGTGAAACCTCATCTCTATTAAAAGAATGTACAAATTATTAGCCAGGCGTGGTGATGCATGCCTGTAATCTCAGCTTCTTGGGGAGCTGAGGCAAGAGAATTACTTGAACCCAGGAGACGGAGGTTGCAGTGAGCTGAGATTTTGCTGCTGCACTCAAGCCTGGGCCACGGAGCAAGATTCTATCTAAAAAAATAAGTAAATAAATCAATCAATCCCCTCTTCTCTTACCTTTATGCACCACAACTAGTTCTGCTAGTTCTGCAGTCCACTGAATCTGTTACTAGAACTATCTTTTAACCTTGTGTAAATTTCTGGATTGCTTTGTGTATCACTATTTAATTTGAAGGAAGAAAGGTGGCAGAGGAAGGACAAAGCAACAGGATTTTTTTTTTTTTTTTTTTTGAGACGGAGTCTCGCTGTGTCACCCAGGCTGGGGTGCGGTGGCGCTACCTCGGCTCACTGCAAGCTCCGCCTCCCGGGTTCACACCATTCTCCTGCCTCAGCCTCCCGAGTAGCTGGGAATACAGGCGCCCGCCACCACGCCCGGGTAATTTTTTTGTATTTTTAGTAGAGACGGGGTTTCACCGTGTTAGCCAGGATGGTCTCGATCTCTTGACCTCGTGATCCGCCTGCCTCGGCCTCCCAAAATGCTGGGATTACAGGCGTGAGCCACTGCGCCTCGCCGCAACAGGATATTTTTAAGCTGCCAAATATTAGAACTATAGACTTTTAAGTGTTTGTGATTTAGCACAATGTAGGATTGAATGGATTTTATCATGCAAATCTCATTGTTATTCTCAAATATTTTTACACTAGGGCCAACAAGGAATTGGCCAATAGCTACTTTCGTTCTCGATACAACAAAAAATCCATTTATCTGCCTGTTTCATTGAAATTACTGGATGTTTTACCAAAAGTGCTTTTTAAAATTGTATTCATTTTAAAATGCCCTTTCCTTGTCTTTCACGCTGACTCTAATTCGTCCCCAGATTACCACAATAGGCATCCATCGGCAGAGTTCCATCATCTCTGATTTGAAAGAGGTTTGAATGCCCTCAGTAACATTCCTGCAAAATAGTCCTTGATCTTACAACTGATCTCACTAACTCAATTCTGCTTCCTTTTGTACACTCTCCATTCCAACGGCTTTATTGCACAATGTATACATTTATCAAAACATCCCATTGTATCACATAAGTATGTACAATTATTGTGTGCCAATCCTAAATTTAAAAAGAAATTCATCTGCAGGCTGATGATATCAAAGTTTTCAGCTTTCATCTAAACTTTTTCTGAGTTTCAGGTCTGTATATCTAACTGCTTGCTTGACTTTGGCATTTGAATTTTTCAAAGCCGCCTCAAATGTAACGTATTTAAATTGAAGCCTTGATATTCCTGCCAAATATTTTCCACCTTTAACCTTTAGTCTGTTACTTCTCAGCAAATGATAACTTCACCCATTCTTTCCCCCAAAGTCTAAAGCTTAGGAGTTATCTTCAAAACATCCCTCACCACCATCACTAAATCCTGTCAATTCACCCTCAAACTAGGTTTCAAATGATTGCATTTTTTTTGATGGATTCTTTCATCTCCTTATTTCAAGACAACCTTCCTTTCACTTGAATTACTCCAGTAGCTGTTTACTTGGCTTCCTTGCTTCTGTGCTTGTCCACTTGTAATATTTTATTTTCACAACTAATAAAGGGGGAATTTTAAATATAAATTTGTTAATTCATCACTGCATTTTAAATCATTTCAAATGTTTTATTATTATTATATATTAAATGTTTAGAGTATACCCCACTATAATACAAATTCTTCACCTAGACTCACAAGGTCCTTCACCCTCTGACCCTTGCCTTCCTCTCTAGGACAATATTTTGCAACTTTCTCCCTACCTCTCAAGGCTTCAGCTACACTAGTCTTCATTCTGCCAAATTATTTTAAAACTGAGTCATCGTGCATGTTGATGCATGATGTACAATTATTACGTACCAATCATCGGAAGGCTCCATGTCTTATGCAGCTAACTTTTGAATTGTGTTACAGTCTGTGTAGTAGATACAATAATGCCTTATACCCAGTAACTTTCCCTTTCAAAACACTTATCTCTTTGGGATGATTGTGTCTCTCTCCCTCACTTGTCTGCAATTTTTAGGAGAATTTCGCTAGAGCACCAGAACTTGATCACTGCTGTGGTTACCGGAACATAATCCAAGGCCTGATGCATAGTAATTTCCTAGTAAATTTACTTTGACTGACCAGAGAAACTTAAAAATTCATGTTTTTAAGTTGGAGAATAAGATCGTATCTGATTAAGAAAGTGAATTCTCTTAGCCTATAAACCACAAGTGATTAGTAAATAAGTATTAAATGAATGATACTTAAAATTATATAAAAGAAACAGTGTGACTTACCTATAATAAATGTTAAAGTCTTCCAGAAAGATCCTGCTACCTGTTTTATTTCCAAAAGTTACAGCAAGTATTGTGATATGAAATTCATATATGTGAAGAATTTCTTAGATTATTATATAGAAAATGTATAGTTACTTAGAAATGGGAGATTTAAACTGTTCAGTAGTTTGTACTTTAAACTTCCTCCTGTTGAAACTCACTGATTTGTTTTCCTTTTCATCTTTCAATCCAGCAGCTCCAACTTTGACATTTTTATCACCCCAGTGGAATGCCTGGTTTTCATTTGCAAAGCACACCTCACTTTTACAAGTGAAGCATCATGGACTAAGTAGAACATGCGAATCTAACAACCAGCCTCCTTTATTGTTTTGACTCCGTATTTCCATAGACCTGGTTTTCTCTTAAAATAAATTGTGTTGTGTAAGTAAAGCCTGTCTGCTGAACTTGCTTATAATTTTTTGCTTGGGAAGCACCACTGATGTTTGAAGAGTGTTGGCCTCACTTATCAACATGCTGATGACAGCTGCTCGTGGAAAAGCAGAAGCTCATATATGCCTGGGGATGCTTTTCTACACTCTTAGGTTGGCTATATACACTCATATCCTTGACTGTAGGGAAAAGGCAGAATGGAAACCTCTCATTGTAGCCTAGAGAAAGTGCTGGTCTCAGGAAGACCGGAAGTCTAATTTTAATTCTGATTCCAACTACTATTGCCTCTTTGACATTGAACACTTCACTGATTTCTCCATTTCAGTTCCCTTAACTGTAAAATATGGGGTTGGTCTGGGTGGACTCCAGATCTCTTTCAACTCTCACTTTCTATTACTCTAATTTTCCAACTCCTAACTGAAAAAAACAATAATATTATTGAATACTATGTTATACTTTATTAACTTATGTTGAGCACCAAACTGTGGCTAGAGGTCATACTCCTGTTCATTTAGACTTGTAAGATTTATGCGTTTATTATTATTATTTTAACCTATCAAAAATATTGTGTAGAGAAATAGACTTTAGAACAATGTTTCTCCTCCAATGTTCACCTAACGTCATGTGAGTACTTCAGCTAAGTATGGAGAGGTAGGAAATTTATTTTAATATGTTCATCACAAAATAAGTTCTCAAATTAACTTTTCCATTTCTTCAGTGGGTTGACTTTGAGTTGGTCCTTTCTAGGAAATCAGTATCATTGCTTGTTGAAAGAGCTACCTCAGAGGACTGGCATTTGCGCTGGGGAATTCCCTTCCATGAGCCTCTGACCCCCTTTATCTTGAGTTGTTACATACCACTCGTTGCTATCTGTTAGTAGTTGTGTCCCCAGACCTGGCTAGAAAAATTAAAAAGAAACAAAACTCTTCTTGTTTATTATTAAGGTTGCCATTCACCTATAATTGTTCTTCTGGTATTTCAGCCTGCCTTTAATGATCTCAAACTTCCCAGAGTGAACTTTTGAATTAGTTCTTTGAAGAAGGCAGAAAAATACATGTTTCTGTAAAACATATTGGAAAGAACCACTTAATACGATTGCTTCTTTGTAAATGAAGTTAATTACCAAACTAGAAAATAGTGACTATATTTTATAAGTGGATTTTGCACAACAAATTTTGTTAACCAAAACACGTATTCATAGTTAAGTATAGTCCTATTACCAGAAGGAAAAACAGAAAAGCCACTGTTTGTATCAGTACTTTTTTTTTCTACTGGTTCCTTGAAAAGTCATAGTTGTTTAACCAAGGTTTAGGTTAGTTTTCTTTCTTTCGCCATTACAATACACTTTGTCTTACTGCGTGCCAAATATTGTTTGGTGATAGATATACTGTGTCATTTACTCTTCAGAGGAATCTGGAGAACAGGAAAGTATAACCTCTAATTTACAAATGAGGAGGAAACGGAAGCTATGGTAATGTGACTAATAAATTATACAATGATTCAAGCTGGGCTTATTTATCTAATTCAAAGTTGTTTATTTTTCTCTTTAAAATGTAGCTTGGACTAATTAAATAGAAACTTTGGTAAATTTATAGAAAGTTAAAATAGTTATGTTTAAACACTTAGTCTTAAAGTTTCAATACATCAACAATTTAACTGTTAAAGACTTTTTCCAATTAAAAGGTCTGTTTATGTTAAACTCCCAATTGTATTATTGTGAATAATAACTTCTACAATGAGTCATTGAAAAAAACAACACTTTTTAAAATATTTTGTATACATACTACAATCCTATACTGGCAAGTTATCACAAATTTTTCAAGTCCAAATAAAAAAGATTACACTCAAAACAAAATTAAATAACACATTGTATTTATTTTAATCAACAAGGAGAAATATTTGGTATTTCAAAAATAAACTGTTCTCAAACCTTTCACTCCACACTACCCAGAATAAATAAAACACAATTTTCTTGGCTTTACAAAAAAAAATTGAAATTGCAGTTTTATAAATCCACAGGTATTGTAATTCTGAGTTAAATCCTGGAAAATTGTAGCCATCAATTGAAAACATGTTATGTTTTAAGAAACTGAAACAGGAAAGGGAAAATATAAAATTCAGTTACATAGTTGTTTTTGTTATTTTCTTCCCTACATTGCTTTCAAAACTAGCAAATAGGATATTCTTAGGGCAACATGAAATTGGAGCTAATGATCTTAATATTTTTGAATGGCCATGCATAAAGCTTAGACAGTTATATAAAAGGAGAGATTATCTTCTAATGGTTGACTATGTATAGCAAATTCCTGAAATTAGAATTATCAGAATTGTAACAGCTGATATGCACATTGTAAGGTAAGATGGACAGATTAAAGATGGCCACGTATTCTTTAACCTTCCTGCCAGCAGGTCCTGTGGCCCTCCCCTTGAATCTGAGAGGTGCTGTGATGGCTTTTTTTTTTTTAGACGGAGTCTCGCTCTGTTGCCCAGGCTGGAGTTCAGTGGCGCGATCTCAGCTCACTGCAAACTCTGCCTCCCGGGTTCACGCCATTCTCCTGCCTCAGCCTCCCGAGTAGCTGGGACTACAGGCGCCCGCCACCACGCCCGGCTAATTTTTTGTACTTTTAGTAGAGACGGGGTTTCACTGTGTTAGCCAGGATGGTCTGGATCTCCTGACCTCGTGATCCGCCCGCCTCCGCCTCCCAATGTGCTGGCTTTTAACAGCAGAATATGGTAGAAGAGATGATAGAAATGGCAGAAGCGCCAGTTTAGGGTCCTAGGTCCTAAGAAATCAGAAGTATTTTGCGCATAATAAGCATTTAATGAATGTTAATTATTAATTTTATTATTGATGTCGCTCTCACTATAACATGAAAAAAGAAACAAACATCCAACTTGCCAGCTCTTTAATTCTTCTTAGGAAATCAGAGTTGGAGCCTAGGGCATTCCACTAAAATTTAGGGCATTTGTTAGGATATGAATAAATGCTTGGAGTGATTGACTTTCTTACTTCTGTTGATTTATAGTTTTTATCCCATTTTGAAAAATTTTAGCCAGTTTTCTTTGCATGTGTTTTCTTCCCCACCCCAAACACACCTCCTTCTTTGAGAAACTTTAATGACAGGTGTATCAGGGTGTATCAGTCCATTTGAAGTCGTTTCACCGCTCACTGATACAATTAGTTGTTTAATACTTTTTCCTTCTGTGTTTTATTTCGAATAAATTTTAACTGCCATGTCCTCAAGGTCACTAATCATTTTTCAGCAATTTCTTATTGGCCATTATTGCCATCTCACATATGAGACATTTTACCTCTGCAAGTTCCATTTGGTCTTCTTGTTTATATCTGTCATGACTATATTTAGCATCTCCTATCTTTCCTCTGGCTTTTGAACATATTGGATATAGTTATTATGACTGCTTTAATATCTTCATATCCTAAGTCTATTATCCGTATTATTTTTGGGTTGCTTTTGATTGGTGGATTTTTTGGAACTCATTATGGGCTGTCTTTTTCTGCTTTTGTTGCATGCCTTTTAATAGTTTATTGAATGGCAAATTTTACCTTTTTTAGCTGCTGGATATTTTTGTAGTCGTATAAATATTCTTAAGCTGTGTTCTGAGATACGGTTCCTTAGAAATAACTTGCTACTTTTTGGTCTTGCTTTTAAACTTTGTTAGTCAGAACTAGAACACTGTTTAGTGTACGGCAAAGTTTTGCCTGAGTAAAACAAAGTTCTGAGTAGTCATCAGAATATGCCTTGAATTATGAGGTTTTATGCACTGACCAGCCATATAATAACTATCCCCAGTCTTGTCTGATCTCCAAAGATTAGTTTTCCTTTAATCCATTTAGGTGGTTCTCTGTCCAGGGGTGGGGATTTTCTCACACACGTACTGATTACCACTCAGTTGATTACTTGAAAAGGACCCTGTGTAGGGCTCCCAGATTCTCTCTCTAACTCTGTTTTTTTGTTGTTGTTTGTTTTTTGTTTGTTTGTTTTATTTTTTTGAGATGGAGTCTTACTCTGTCGCCCAGGCTGGAGTGCAGTGGTGCTATCTCAGCTCACTACAACCTCTGCCTCCCAGGTTCAAGTGATTCTCTAGTCTCAGCCTCCGGAGTAGCTGGGATTACAGGCGCCCACCACGGCATCCGGCTAATTTTTGTATTTTTAGTAGGGATGAGGTTTCACCATGTTGGCCAGGCTGGTCTCGAACTCCTAACCTCAAGTGATCTGCCTGCCTCAGCCTCCGAAGATGTTGGGATTACAGACGTGAGCCACTGCGCCTGGCCTGGAATACATCCCTGAGAATCTTTTTCACTAACCTCCCCAAACTCCCAGTTCAATTTCCTCAATTTAGGGAGACTGCTGGGTTGCACCTGGATTACCCTGGATGTTTTGTAAGCTGCAAATTCTCTCCAGGCTGTAAGCCGGGGACAAAGATAGGGCTAATTTTATTTTATTTTTTTCCCATCTCCCAGGAAATTTTGTCTTTCTTTCCGTAATGTCCAATGTCTTGAAAATCATTCTTGTGTATATTTAGTCTAACGTTTTAATTGTTTCGGGTGGGAGAGTATGTCTAGTCACTGTTACTCCATCTTGGCTTGAAACAGAATTTGAAAACATATTCTTATCACTCAAAATCACAATATGCTAAACATTTCCACTTCTTTTACATGTACATTCATGTACTTAACTCGTTTTCCACAAATTAGGGGAAAATGAGGTTTACATTAGAATAATAGTCCCAGAAATAGTATCTATAAAAAATAAATATTATAATATATTTAACCCATCTATTTAGTACTTTAATTCTTTCTATAAAAAAACATTCAAACCAAATAAGATACCTCTAGAGGCCAGAATGTTATTTTTTTCTAAAAGAATTTCATTCTTTTTCAGAATAGTCTTGTTGGAACAAAGGTTTTCCTTTACATTGCAGCAAAATCTGTACTTCATTCTTCCTTGATTTACTATCTAGTGAAATTTAGAATAAAATATAAATGTTTCAGTACATGTCATCATTTAAAATTATTTAAGAGATTTTTCCTCCAACACGTTTTTTCTTAGTTAACAATTTCAAATGCCTGCAATCGATGACATATGACTGTTTTTTTCTTAGTTAACAATTTCAAATTCCTGCAATCGATGACATGTGACTGGTTTTTTCTTAGTTAACAATTTCAAATTCTTGCAATCGATGACATGTGACTGGTTTTTTCTTAGTTAACAATTTCAAATTCCTGCAATCGATGACATGGGACTGGTTTTTTTCTTAGTTAACAATTTCAAATTCCTGCAATCGATGACATGTGACTGGTTTTTTTGTTCTGTCGCCATTCTCATCTGAACGTACTACTTTTTACTTCAAGTTCTGATATTATTTTGTTGTTATTGCTGCTGTTGTTCTATTGACATGTTTAACCTCCCAAGATTAGAAATTATTCTATTTGTTTTATATTCAATATTGGCTTTTATTTTCCCACGTTTTTCCATTTCTGTGCTCGCCATTACTTACTGCATCTCAGAACGTCTGAATAGGATAATTTTCCTTTGTTTTTGAAGTATTCTCTTTAGAATTTCTTTTAGTGAGAGTCTAAGGATGGTTAACTCTCTCCATTTTAGGTTATCTGAAAAGCCCTTTATTTATCCCACATCCTGGAATGATAATTTAGGCAAACACAAAATTTTAAGTAGACTTCTAGCTTTATTATTCATGTTGAAAAGTAAAGAAAGTATAATTTTCACTCTTGGCAGAAAAGCTATATTTTCTCTCTTGCAATTATGCTGCTCTGCAGTTGGACTTTGATGTCTTTAGATATGAATTTGTTTTTAGTTTTCTTATTTGAGATTCATTTTTGTTTCCTGAATCCAAAGATTCATGACTGTTATCAATTAATGTTTTCTAACATTATCTTCCTCCTTCTTCACTATTTTTCCTAGTATTATAATAAAATATATGCTGAACCATTTTTCCTTCTTTTATTTTAACCATTCGTATTTTAATATCACTCATTGTCTTTCTGTGCTACATTGTCAGTAATTCTTTCAAATCTTCTGAAGTGGGACTTTGCTTTTTAGTTGTACTTAATCTGATGTTCCACCTCTCCATTGGGGCTATAATTATAATCTAATTTTTTTTTTTTTTTTTTTTTTTTGGAGACGGAGTCTCACCCTGTCACCCAGGCTGGATTTTGTGACTTCCCTTTTTAGTTGTACTTAATCTGATGTTCCAACCCCTCCACTGAGGCTATAATTATAATTTAATTTTTTTTTTTTGAGATGGAGTCTCATCCTGTTGCCAGGCTGGAGTGCAGTGGCGCGATCTTGGCTCAGTGCAACCCCCGCCTCCCAGGTTCAAGCGATTCTCTGCCTCAGCCTCCCAAGTAACTGGGATTACAGGTGCCCGCCACCACACCCGGCTAATTTTATATATATATATATATATATATATATATATATATTTTTTTTTTTTTTTTTTTTTTAGTAGAGATGGGGTTTCACCATGTTGGCCAAGCTGGTCTTGACCTCCTGACCTGAGGTGATCCACCCGCCTCGGCCTCCCAAAGTGCTGGGATTACAGGCGTGAGCCACCACGCCTGGCCATAATTTAAATTTTCATGTCTAATCTTTTTCATTTTTTGAGAGCCATGTTTCCCTACTTAATTTTTTTCCTTGTATTCCCCTAAATATTATAAATGTGCTTAGTTTATAGTAAATGTCACATAATTCCAATACCTGAAGCTCTTAAAGAGTTAATTCTGCCGTATGCTGTGTGCAGCTCTTATGCTGCCTTTTGTTTCTCTCATGTGTTTCTCAATTTTTTGTCAGAATCCTGCAAGTTGTAGGAATGAGTTTTTCCAGAAAATTCATTTTCTTCTAGCTGCATCCAGTCCCCAACCCATGCGGACTGTGTCAACAACTTTAGATTTATTTATCTTCTTGACTTATCCTGACTGAAGCAGGAAAAGTAAATTTGAACTCTAAACTCCATAGAGGATGTGAGTGTAACTATGAAATCTCAAATAGCCTTTTTTAAAAATATGCAGAATTCAAACCAAGTCCGACAGCCTTCTCCCCTATTTAAGGTGTCCAAGACCGAAGGGCTTCTCCCCTGTTTCCGGTGTCCACGTCCGACCGGCTTCTCCCCTATTTCCCGTGTCCACAGACTGGCTCTGCTTCTATCGTACTTGTTTACAAAGGGTTGAATCACTCACAGGTCCTGATTGTAATGGAACGAGCTTGTTTACCTCATGGTATTTAAGATCTGCCCCTTGCTCCCAAGATGTTTGTTAAAACAGGACACAGGCCAGGCACAGTGGTGCAGTCTATAGTCCCAGCTATTTAGGAGGTTGAGGAGGGAGTGTCATTGCTTGAGCACAGACCCAGGAGTTCAAGTCCAGTCTGGGCAACAAATCAAGCTTTGTATTTAATCTATCTATTTAATGCTTAATTCTTTCTGTAAGAACATATACAAGCAGTCATTCAACCTATATAAGATACATCTCATAAACCATCTCATTAGGATTAGCTGAACCTATTCTCTTTCTCTGTACAAGGTTAGAATGAGACATGCATTCTCAGCATTTCTCTTTTTGTGATGAAGTCTCCAAAGTCCCTGAAACTGTTTTGGTGAGCATCTTTTCTGAACCCTGGGATGCAGTTCACAGAGGCTGGAGAATTGAATGAATTAATACTGATAGGTGGTCTCTTTAAAATTTCCTAACACTGGGAGGATTACAATTTTTCATGTCAATATTTGTTCTACGGTGTTCAGTTTAAAGAGTGTAATATTTGTCACAGGTAAAGAAAATAGTAATTAGGGAATTCTCCATCCTTTCCAAAAGCGGAATCCTTTACCTCCTACTCAAAAAGTTTCTTCTTTCTCTAACAGAACACGATTAATCTTTATGTTACTTTGTCATTTTGTAAGCCTCAATTCAGATGGAGTGACACACTTATACATCAAACTCTCATTTTCTAGGACAGTCATTCTTATTCTGAAGCCATTTGTGATAAAATATTATTACTTATTTCCAGTCAATTATATATTTTATAAAATATGATAAGGTAAATTATTAGAAAATAATTGTGAGCTGGGAGATCACAGCCAGTTCAATTGCCATGAAGGGTTCTAAACAGTCTCCATTCCTGTACTCATTGTGGCACTGGTTCATGGATCACACTTTGAGTAAAAATGACAGGATACGCAGCTGTCTGACTACATCCTCCCTGGTTATAACAGACTCTAGAGTGTGCTTGCTTTTCATTGCCACTTTTTGCTTGTTTGTTTGTTTTTGAGACAGGTTCTCACTCTGTTGCCCAGGCTGGAGTGCAGTTGTGCAACCACAGCTCACTGCTGCCTGGACCTCCCAGGCTCAAGTGATCCTCCTACCTCAGTCTCCTGAGTAGCTGGGACTACAGGTGCACACCACCACACCGGGCTTAATTTTTGTATTTTTTGTAGAGAAATGGTTTCGCCATGTTTCCCAGGCTGGTCTGGAACTCCCAGGGTCAAGCAATTCTCCCTCCTTGGCCTTTTAAAGTGCTGGAATTACAGGCGTGAGCCCCTGCACCTGGCCCTCAGTGTCACTTTCTTAAGAATATGTCTTTACTTTGAATAGAGATTCATTTAGTCACTTCTTTCATAATACAATTTTCATCAAGGTGATGAAGGTCTAGAGAATTTATCAGCTTTGTAAGTATTCAGAAATTTTAAACCACCATTAACACTGTGCTTGGCCTCCATTCTCTACTGTGATCTGTAACCTATTTCTCTCCCCATTATTTAAGAACTAATGTTTGCTCCTAGAATTTGTAGTGTCTTTCCAACACATTTGTACTCTCTTTTCTGTGTGTGAACAAACACTCTGGTTATAACATCTTCTATCTAACGGATCTCTGTTTCTTTTAAAAAGTTGTGCTAACCTCACTCATCCCATTCCAATATTTAGCTTCATTCAACACTATCTTGATAATGTATTTGAAATTAGATTTACTTCCCTACATTACATATACCACCCTGTGGTAAAGGTCAATGTAACAAAAGTGAACTCAAAGTTATGGTGTATGTGTGTGTTTATTTATAGATTTACGTAAAGTTGAAAGAGAAAAAAGAAATATATTTTTAACTTCTTTCTGAACTTTTTAAAGTGTTATTTTTTTTAATGTTTCATATTATCATGCTTGCTTTCCCCCTTTGAACAGCAAGCATGTACGATATGTGTGTTGTATTCTTTTTCTTCCTTAATCAATTGTTTTCTTGTTAAAGACAGGTATCCTCTTAAAAAACATGTTCTACCCCGCCATGAGATTTGAGCTACTCCTAGACTGATATATACCATGCTCCAAAAATTCTCCCTGCTCTTACTGTTCACAAAGCCAACTGCTATATCTTCAGAGCTTTTTCTTGTTTCTAAAGCCCCAACCGTAGGCATACAGCCATTGATACTATGAAACTCCTGAGGTCTCCAATTATCTATTCAAGTTTTCAGGGAGAGCCCTTCCCCAGCTTTGTCTTGCAAGATGTAAAATGTATTTTTTCTCACACACAGTCCGTGACTACATATCTTTAGTAAATTGTATCCTGTGTTTTATTTTGCCAGTAATGTGTCCTTTTGAATCAGTGTAAGTCAGTAGCATGTGAGACTGATGACTTTCAGCAGACCTCCCATCCCATAGTAGATATATTCTCTGGAAACACAGCCTGCGTTCTGACTATGTCTGCTAATATTTTTTAAATCATCTGGTATAATAGATGGTTGCCAATGGACAAAAATAATTTCTGAATTAGGGCATGATAAAGCAACTCCTGCATTGTAACCTATTTTTATTTTTATTTTTATTTTTTTTTTGAGACAGAGTTTTGCTCTTTTTGCCCAGGCTGGAGTGCAATGGCACGATCTTGGCTCACCACAACCTCCGCCTCCCGGGTTCAAGTGATTCTCCTGCCTCAGCCTCCCAAGTAGCTGGGATTACAGGCATCTGCCACCATGCCCAGCTAATTTTTTGTATTTTTAGTAGAGATGGGGTTTCACCATGTTGGCCAGGATGGTCTTGATCTCTTGACCTCGTGATCCGCCTGCCTCGGCCTCCCAAAGTGCTGGGATTACAGGCGTGAGCCACTGTGCCCAGCCTGTAAGCTATTTTTATATATAACCTGTGCAATAAACTTTTGCACAGTCATGCAATTATCATATATGGCACATATTTTCATCTATATAGTTAGTATATCTGTGTGTGTATATATATATATATTTATGTATAAAATATTCAGAAGTTATATTTTTAATACTAAATAATGATACAATTCATACACTATATTTGTTTTTCTCCTCCAGCATGTTCAGCAGGGAGAATTTTAATTAAACTGAATTTTCAGATTCTATTTTAATTGTACAGATGTCAATTTTTGTATTTAATGACTACAATTTACACACATTGCATAAACCTATGCCAAGTGGGAGTTTGTAAGTCTGGCATTTTTATGTAATCAAACATCAGAGACTTTTGACAGTGTTCATGACAAAGCCTTTAGAAAAATTTTCCATCCTGTACCATTCTGACAAAAATCATGACAATGTACTAATCCTGATATTTTAACAATTTCTAGATAGAAAATTAAAAGCTAATGTTGTCCAGTCTTTTGAAAGTTGATTTTGATTTAGAATCTCTTCATCTTTGAAAAAAAGCCATCTTACTAGCTTGAGAAGGTTGACTTTGCTAACCTCAGCTATCTGCTGCTAGTGAACACCACCCATCTTGAAGGTCGCACACACAAAGAAAACTTTTGGTAAGTGTGCATTTTCGTTTAAAATAAAAAAGATATGGTACTTGAAATTAAGAAAGATTTACGTAATCTATTCGATTACAATAGGTGGCACATGTATATAAAGAGCTTAGTCAAAGGCTAAGTCTGTTTAGTGATATCAGGAAAGGGGCAGAGTATGCTAGTACTATCAAAGTATACTTAGGAAGCTTTAGGGAGGAAACAGCACTTGAGGGCATTGAACTCAAACTTAATTTTATCCTGAATGATCAGACCTACAAATCTGCAAATCTATTCTATACATTCGAGGACCCCAACATGTTGCTGATACTCATGTAATTCAGCATACTTCCAACTCAAGCTAGAATTCCCTGATAGAATGTTGACTTTCACTTTGGAGATCATCTTTGGCAGCAGAATGATCATTTCGGTCTATATTTCTGGTTAAGCAAGTACAGGATATACCAAGCATCACTTTGTATTATGTTTGGCAGGGAATACCATTAGCTGTGAAGAAAGACAGTCCTTAGAAGCAAGCACGCGCACACACATGCCCTTCTCTCACACTTTAAAGGTTCACTTAAAAGACCATATGTTCCTTTTTAAATGTGTGTGTGTGTGTGTGTGTGTGCCCACACAGGTGCACGTGTTACCATTTTACATTTAAAGGCCGGCATCCTCTGTTCCACCAGAGTAAGTCTCTACTCAAAAGTACTTTGGCTAGAGGGAATTTTAAAATTCCATATAGCTGTAGCCTTAACCTTGACTGTCTTTCATTCTCAAATATCTATGCAGTTACATGTGCTGAGTGACTTACAACGAAACGAGAGAAAATTCAGTGACTTGACATTTACAAGTCCCAGATGATTCGTTTATTTATTCACCAGAGTAAATATTTAGGCAGCAGAATTAAATTGGAAAATGTTTATCAAGTTTCAAACCACCTTTCTTTCAATATATAAAACATAAACCCAGAGGCCTAAGCATAGGGAAGTGTACCTACCAATGTGTCCTACAGAAAAGGACATATTTAGATGTCCCAATAGGTTTTCTTTACCCACTAGTTTGTTTTGAAAACTTCTGCCAATATTTTAGGATAGTGCTATTGAAATAACACCTAATAAACCATAACTCACATGCAACTACACTTTGTTAATCATTTTATGTAATCTTACAACACGAGTAGTTCTCTGAATGTATTTTCTCACTCTATTTCAGTCCAAGGATCTACTCTAGTGGCCTCACCTGAATGGCATATATTTCTCGCATTACTTCTAACACTATGTCTGTCTATGTTTGCACACTTGGGAACAGATTAATTCAAAAACTCTCTGACCATAACCTGAAGAGAAACTTTAAAATGATGTCTCAGCATAAAAGCATGATGAAAATAAACAAGGGCATGTTATTCTGGCTTATAACAACATTGTATGAATAAGCTAACTAAAGAATGTCATCTAAAAAAATAAAGTTTCCCATGGTTTTCAGAATGATTTTATTGTCATGAAAAAAGAACACAATTATGCAAATGACCTTTAAAATCCAAGAAGGTAGTGTTATCACATCATCATGATGAACAAAATCATTACAAACTTAGCCTTTGCAATAAAGTCAGAAAGTAAATAATCAGAATTTCCATGTACACATAAAAAATTATATATAGAACATCCTTTCAATCATTTTAAGTGTACAATACAGCAGCATGAATTACATTCACAGTGTTGCTCAAGCATCAGCACTGTATCCAAATGTTTCCTTTACCTCAAGTTTCTTAATGGGCAGAAACTTTACCCATTAGGTAGTAACTCCCTATCCTCCACCACCTGAACCCTCTGCTAACCTCTAATCTACCTTCTGTCTTTACGAATTTGACTATTCTAGATATTTCATATAAGTGGAATCATATAATATTTGCCATTTTGTGTCTGGATTGTTTCACTTAGAATAATGTTTTCAAGATTTATTCATATCATAGCATGCATCAGAACTTCATTTGTTTACTTGACGGAATAATATTCTATTATATGTGTACACCCCATGTTGTTTATCCACTCATGGCTTGAGTTGCTTCTGCCTCTTGGTTACTATGAATAATGCTGCAAGAAATGTGTGTACAAATACCTGCTTGAGCCCCTCTTTTCAGTTCTTTTGGGTATATATCTAGAAGTGGAATGACTGGGTCATATAATAATTCTATGTTGATCTTTCTGAGGGGAACCACTAAATTGTTTTCCACGGTAACTATACCATTTTACATTCTCACGTGGGTTCCAATGTTTCCACATCCTTGCCAAAACTTGTTATTTTCTGTGTTCTTTATTATAGCCATCATAACAGGTGTGAAGTGTTATGCATTGTGGGTTTGATTTGCCTTTCCCTGATCATTAATGATATTAACCATCTTTTTATATTCTTACTGGCCAACATTCAGGAATATTCAATGCACTAAAATAGGACAATTATTTTCTGATGTCCTTATTTAACTGGAGTAAGAAATGTTTTAATGTCAGCCTGAAATATTAGAATACAAACATAGATTTAGAAAATACACTAACTTCACAAAAATTAGCCAGGCATGGTGGTGGGTGCCTGTAATCCCAGCTATTCAGGAGGCTGAAGCAGGAGAATCCCTTGAACCCGGGAGGCGGAGACAGGTGTTGCAGTGAGACTCCGTCAAAAAAAAAAAAAAAAGAAAGAAAGAAACACATTTACTTCCATCTTAAATACATTTTAAAATGTTTCTTACTCAGTGGAATGTGGCCTTAACCCACAAATGTGTACATTTCCACCAAGAATTTTAGATACATCCTTGAACAACAACAATAAAAAAGCTCCCTTCTCACCACTGTCTCTACTTTACGCCCTCCAGACTTAAATGTTCAGTAACAGTGGTAATCATGAAAATCGCAGAAATTTTATTTGTGAACTGCTTCTTCCCTCTGGATATTAATACACTACTTGAGATCAAAAGTAAATGCAGAAATTAAATATGCATTAGATATTTATTTTACTACAGAGATTTAAATTGCCTTTAGATTAAAATATGTTAGTAAGCTAATCTGGGCCAGGCACGGTGGCTCACGCCTGTAATCCCAGCACTTTGGGAGGCCGAGGCGGGTGGATCACGAGGTCAGGAGATTGAGACCATCCTGGCTAACACGGTGAAACCCCGTCTCTACTAAAAATACAAAAAATTAGCCGGGTGTGGTGGCGGACACCTGTAGTCCCAGCTACTCGGGAGGCTGAGGCAGGAGAATGGCGTGAATCCAGGAGGCAGAGCTTGCAGTGAGCCGAGATCGCGCCACTGCACTCCAGCCTGGGCGACAGAGCGAGACTCTGTCTCAAAAAAAAAAAAAAAGAAAAAGAAGCTAATCTGGTGCATCAGTGTTGCACAAATATTGGTATTTTCCCCAAGGAACCATACAAACCTGTGGGATTATAGTTAGAAGGAAGGACATGGCAGAGAGAGAGAGATGAAGATAGATGTGCACCTGCTATGCTCTAGGCCACTGTTTCCCAAACTTGCCTCATAAATATCCTGTAGAACATTTGTTAAAAATACAAATCCCAGGGCCCAACCTCAGAACCACTGAATCAAAATCCCCAGAGGAACACCAACAAATTTGCATTTTTGGCAAGCACAGCAGAAGATTCTTATGATTAGTTTGGGGGACTGAGGAAGGTTGTGAGGTGCTTGTCTAAACTCATCTAATAACTAAATGTATACAATTCCTATGTCACTGATTTGAAAACCAAGGCTCTGAAAGATTATTATGCCGTGAAAAATAGATTCTAGGCTTTTGTTTCAAATCTTACGTTTAGGCACATCTTTGTTTAATACCTAAGTTTAAATACACCACTTCCTTGTAAAATGTTGATATTACTGTGAAGAAAGTATTAAAATATTTGTCTGTTGCTGTGTTCTTTTTGTTTGTTTCTAGTACCAAAATAATAATTTATTTCTACTAGATAAATGGCTGAATCGTTTATCTGTACTGTGGTTTTGATTGATTATATCCATTTGCTTCCAATAGTCTCTTGTTAACAAAGAAAAGTCAATTTAATTCTGTTACATATTCTTTTTCTGTGACTGTCATTCCCTGTTATGCCACAGTTCTGTAAACATTATGTTTCCAATTTTAAAAGAAATTAAATAGGAGAATACCTATTAGATATTTTGCTAGGACTTGGAATATTTCTTTAGCATTTAGATTGACGCTATCTTACAGTGCTCCCAACTACTTCACAAACATTCAATAGTATTAATAGCTAATGTATGCAGATATCTACTGTCTCTGATAGAATCAACTATTTTGGTTACAAAAGTAATACAATTAGGCCGGGTGCAGTGGCTCACGCCTGTAGTCCCAGCGCTTTGGGAGGCCAAGGAGAGCAGATCACGAGGTCAGGAGTTTGAGACCAACCTGACCAACATGATGAAACCCCGTCTCTACTAAAAATACAAAAATTAGCCTGGCGTGGTGGCACGTGTCTGTAATCCCAGCTACTCAGGAGGCTGAGGCAGGAGAATCGCTTGAACCCAGGAGGCAGAGGTTGCAGTGAGCCAAGACTGCGCCACTGCACTCCAGCCTGGGCTACAGAGCAAGACTCTGTCTCAAAAAAAAAAAAAAAGTGATAAAATTTAACTCTAGATGAATTTGAAATGAGCCTGAGGATGCTGTGTTCATGACCACGGATGAGATGGAAGGGGGACTATTTGCGTGAAAGTTCTCTGAGGGGTACTGAACCCCAGTGAAAGAGTCCTTTCCTCTTTTGATTTCTCCTCGCTTTCTACTTTCTGTCTTCCTTCCTGGGAACCTTCCTTCAAATGTCTGATTATGGGCGAAATATGGCTCTTTCAAACATGAAAAGACAAAAGAATAACTATTACTTTCTATATTTCCAAGGTGAAATAAATATTCCAGACTAAGAGCTGCCTCGTTTCATTGCTGCGACCATTGCAAGCTAAGGTCTTCAGAGCCACTTCACTTATTTGCCTTCTCAGCCTTCTCATCTGCTCAGAGGTGGCCTGAGGTTCTGAATTACAGTCTGTTTTCTAAGCATTT
Source organism: Homo sapiens (assembly GCF_000001405.40). Lineage (NCBI taxonomy): Eukaryota > Metazoa > Chordata > Mammalia > Primates > Hominidae > Homo > Homo sapiens. The sequence goes on from NC_000003.12 coordinate 76,958,280, forward strand.
ACCTCCTCCTCCCCATATTTAAACAAATCTAAATTTCCAGAGGGGAAAAAATGAAATAAAAACAGAACAGCCCCTGTTCAGAACACAGTTTGTGATTTTTATCTGTCTGCTCTTCCTCTCCTCAGCTCATGCTTTGGCATCAAATTGCACTGAATGTACACATTTAAAATCCCCAATTGCAATGATGTAACTTTGCTGCAGTAATTCACTCTGTAGTGATTTTGTACTAGTCTCCTATCTCTAGCTTGTGGACTTACATTGCTTGTGAATTCCCAACATCTCAGAGTTTTTTAAGATGGACATATTTTACTACAACCTTCTGAAGTTGCATTTTGTCACAACCTTACCAGGAGGCAATTGCCACTCTCTGGCTTATGCAGTGAGAATGATTTTTAAAGCTGTGTTTTCCATTTCTATCCAGTTAGCGTCATAATACAGTGGTCAGGTTTTGTCCACATGGTCACTTGATGAAGTTTAAATATAAAGCCAATGCGAGAGGCAAAAACAAAACAAAACAAAACAAAAACATCCTTTTTGTCCATCGTGTATTCACATATGTTTTGCAGAAATAGCTGTGGATAAGATGCTTACATTTTTGCTACCTTTTCAATTATTGACGTAATTGATACTCTCTCTTTCTTTAATACAAATTTCTCCCCACCACTTCTCCTAGGTCAGATTTTACAGTTATCTCCATAACAACATTCACAGCTAATAGGAAGATACATCTTCTGAATGGCTAGCAATACAACATTAACTGTTAGAACACAACATTTTTCATGTTGGAAACATCTGGAATTCACAACCAGCCAAGATGTATAAAAATGTCTGTGACTCCTTACAAGTCACCCAAGGCTGAGCTTGCTTGCTTTATTAGAATTCATTTACAAACAACTCTTATTAACCAGCTATGTAGCATAATAAAACTAAGCATTATGTCAACATCAAAAAAACAAAGTTTAATTTACAAGTGAAGTTGCTTATAAAGGTTCAAATCGCCCTTTGTGGAAAAGAGTTTATGGTAGATTTGGGCCATATTACCAACCTATTACTAGTGCACTAACATCTCTATTTACTGGCTGATTATATCCTCTGGCAAAATTCGGAACTGTCTACTACTTTGGTGCAAACTAATCAGTTTTCAAAATTAGTTATTGATCTCAGACCCATTGTAGAGGGCCAATTTAGTGGCTGCTTCATTGAGTACTGAAGTGACACCATTTGTGTGAGTAGCAGAGGAATCAGAGCAAATACAGTGTTCAAAGACATTTCTCAAAGGTAGTTTTTTATTGCAGGGAATTTACAAATACACATTTTCAAGGATGCTAAGTCTCTCTCATTACAGATTAATGATACGAGTGCATCCCAGCCAGTCACATGAACTTACACTTTTTTATGTATACATTTGTTACTCATATCCTAGATTTAAATAAGTAGTAATTTGGAAATCATAAAAAACCTTAAGGAAAATATTGCCCTCTGTTTCTTCAAACTCAATTCTTTATTTGAATTATTTGAAGTTGACTAAAGGGAGTTGTTAGCTTGTAAGAATAAAGTCATTATTCACTCTTAAGCATATGAAAAAATATGACAGAAAAAGTAAACCAGAAATTGAATTCAAAATATTCTGGTGCCTAAATTTCACTTCACATTTCTCATAATTTATCCATCTTTTTTTTTATTTTACTGATTTTTATATATTTTTCTTGAAAATACTTTCTTAATGGCTTGTATTCTATGTTTGGTTTCAAAAACTGTCAGGAAGAATTGAGATTTGATATATTTTCTGAGTATCTCAGAAAAACAAAATTAAACATGAAAATTAGTCAAAAATTGTTTTTGACATTTCTCATCAATTTGACACTCTTAGGACAAAAACCTTAGAGGTTAAGATGCAAAATCTTCACACAAAATCCCAAATAAGATTTGTGTAGATTTAGCTATAGTTATTTTTAAACATAAACCCCTGATAGACAAGACAAGAATTGACAACCACATAGTGACCAGAGCTCAATATTCAGAAGAAAGTTAGAGGTGCTATAATTAAAATGTCTTTTTATATTTCCTATTGCTATGGGTTGTTGATTATTTTCTAATGACCTTGTCTTTCAACAGTACACTGATTATTTTTTTCCTTCTCTTTAAAAATGTATGTGCATATATCTGTATCTATATATATATAGCATGTAAATTAACCTTCAATAAATGCTTTAATTTAAAATGTAATTAAAATGTCCACATTATGTTTCATTTTTAAAGTCTCTAGTTCCAAAAGGTAAGACTATTATAAGTGAGAAAAGAAAAAAAGAAAGGCATTTTTATATATACTTGGAGGTGAAACCTCACACCAAACTGAAGTCAACCTTATTTAACGTTCTTGTGAATTTAGAATGTGTGAATAGCTCTCTAAGATGTAAAAGTGACACATACTCTATTTTATGCATTGTCACAAAATTCCATAATGTAAGAAATTTACTTATTTTCTGAATAATTATATATGAATGCCCAAAAATAAACCACTGTAGCACTATTTGCTCTGTAAAAATATGAAATAATAGCATAATTGTGGGAGCAAGGAAAGTAACAAAGAATACAATATTAAATGTAGACTTATTCAGACCTCCATATTACTAAAATCAAACTCCTTCTATATGATAAAATGTAAATCACTGAATAGACAAGCAGTGGTTTCTCTAAGACAGCAATTTGTGTATCCAGTGGTATTATTGAATGTAAAGTCTTTTATATAAGCACAGTTAATAAATGTGGGAACACTCAATAAGATTTCAATTTGGACCAAAGTTGGGGCCCATTTTCAATCAGATAATTTTTGAAGGGACATAGTTTTTTAACCCTGGCAAATCATCAGAATCTGCCATAAGGTTTGTTGAAAGACAGACCCTGCTCAATCAGAATTTCCATGGATAGTTCAGATCATTTACATTTGCTATGCTAATGTGCCACAGAGAAAAAAAAAAAAAAAAAAAAACACTAGTTTAGATTTCTTAGCACCTCAAAGGAAAATGTAAAAAAAAAAAATCCAATATATAATAGGTAAAATGTTATGCACATCGAAAATTTTCATTTTTTTTTCAGAGAGGGTTCACAGAACTTTTTGTCACACCTACTACTTTTTGTGGATCTAAGATATCACTATCTAAGCCTGTCAACCATAAGCTTACAAATTAACAAAGCACGCTCATGTGTTTCTCCCCACATTAATCTAGAAGGTCAATATGATAATTGTTCCCAGTTTGTTTCAGGGTGGTTAAGTGGAAGTGAACACACAGTGGAAAGAACGTGAGCTATAGATCACACAGACCAGAGTTTGAACCCAGCTTCACCACGTTCTAGTTACATGGCTTGGGTTATTACACTTTCAGAGCCTCAGGTTTCTCATGTAAAAAACAGAACAAACTATTCCCTCCTGCTAAGCTTAAGGTGTACATAACTTAAGTTTCCATAGTCCTCACAAGGCAATCAGTACAAATATACAATTAATTTTATGTAACCTACGGGTCCTTTTTTTATTGGTATTAATGAAATTCAGTTCATGCTATATTTTTCTGAGTTGTATAGATGTGATAATTCAGCGATTCATTCTTTGTCAACATAACTCGATTTAAAATGTGAAATACGCCTGGTGAGATGGCTCACACCTGTGATCCCAATGCTTTGGGAGGCCAAGGCAAGCAGACCACTTGAGGCCAGGATTTCAAGGCTAGAGTGGTCAACATAGCAACACCTTAACTCTACAAACAATTTTAAAAGATTGCCAGGCACGGTGGCTCACACCTGTAATCTCAGCACTTTGGGAGTCCAAGACGGGTGAATTACCTGAGGTCAGGAGTTCAAGACCAGACTGGCCAACATGCCACAACCCTGTCTCTACTAGAAATACAAAAATTAGCTGGGTGTGGTGGCAGGTGCCTGTAATCCAAGCTACTTGGGAGGCTGAGGCAGGAGAATTGCTTGAACACAGGAGGTAGAGGTTGCAGTGAGCTGAGATCATACATTGCACTCCAGCCTTGGCAACAGAGCGAGATTCCATTAAAAAAACAAACAAACAAACAAAACCACTGGCCATGGTGGCTCATGCCACTAATCCTAGCACTTTGGAAGGCTGAGGCAGGCAGATCACCTGAGGTCAGGATTTCGAGACCAGCCTGACCAACATGGAGAAAGCCCGTTTCTACTAAAAATTCAAAATTAACCAGGCATGGTGGCACATGACTGTAATCCCAGCTACTCGAGAGGCTGAGGCAGGAGAATCACTTGAACCTAGGAGGCGGAGGTTGTGGTGAGCCAAGATCGTGCCATTGCACTCTAGCCTGGGCAACAAGAGTGAAACTCGATCTCAGAAAAAAAAAAAAAAAAAAAAGCTAGGCATGGTGACATGCACCTGTGGTACCAACTCTTCAGGAGACTGAGGCAGGAGGATCACTTGAGGCCAAGAGTTCGAGGCTGCAGTGACTATGATCGTGCCACTGCATCCCAGCCTGGGTGACAGAGCAAGACCTTGTCTAAAAAATAAATCAATAAATAATTTTTTAAAGTAAAATGCATTCTCTAGTCCTATTGCTGTCCACAGTCTCTGACTTCTGCAAGGTTCAATCTGTTCTACTTTGTTCTTTAGTCTCCTCAACAACGGTGTCATTAATGTTAAAAATGAGTTTTTAAAATGATTTACTTTTTAATCTAGTAGGAATTACTGTTACAAACCTAGTTCCTAGCGTCGTGTCTAACAGAGTAACTCTAAATAAATGTAAGTCAAAATGAAGGTGGGAACAAATGGAAAAAAAGGAAGAAAAGTTTGTTTAAAATATTAATCTCTGGAAATTGGAGTTAAAACACAATGTTCTGGTCCCTTTAATAAAGATTATTTTGTATATTATCTAAAATGTATATTCTCAGCTAAGTGATCATAAATTATGTAAATAGCAGGATTATATGACCATGGTTATTAGGATCAATTTTCTTCATTTATATATTTTGTCTTCAAAATATTTTGCTTTAATCACTTTCAAATTTCTAGCTAGCTATTTTAAAGAGTTCTGATAGAAAATAATACAGAAATAATTTTAAATGAAAATCTTAGAAAGCATGCAGAACTACAATTGTGCACTTTAAAATTATGCTTATACCATGAGGGGAACTTAGCACTAATGAAGTTCCATGATTTTATAGAGTGATTCTAAAGAAAGAAGTAAAATTTTATGGAATACATGCTTCTTCTCTAGAACTGTTTCTATTCAGATATTTCACAGAAAATTTGGTCAATTATATCATTTGACTTTTTATCTCTATTCCCATATTAGCTCTGTGTAAACTTTTACAGACAGTAAAGCAGTGATTTTATAATAAAAGCGATAAAATTGCCTGAGTAACTTTCTTCTACCCATATTTGTTTACCTTTGTTTATCCAAGTAGCCCACAGAAGGAAAGCTTATAAATCAAAAAGACCTAAATTATTAGAGTGCTACAAAATTTATAAAGGTATATGTAGATTTTAAACTGGCAAACTAAAGTTTTGAGCTGAAATTCTATGAGGAACTGCAAAAAAAAAAAAAGAAAAAAAAGAAAAAAGAAATAAAAAGAAAAAGAAAAAGAAAATGAAAAAGAAAAGAAAGGAAAGCCAAAAGGGGTTTAGTTTCTGTCCCAGTTATTTTTTTCTGTTCCTGTCTCCAGGACCAAATGAACTCAAGGCTAATTACAGAGACAAAATACTAGTCACTTCTCTCAGAGTGAAAAGAAAAGAACAGAAAATGTGATTTAAAGCTCAACTTTAAGCGTGAATAACAGATTAGACAATGTGCCATAAAGGAACTCGTTAAACAGTGAAGTATGACATTTTGGACGGTTCTGAATATTCTTTGGAAATTTTGAGAATCCAAGTTTTTTTCTCATATGTGTGATTATTAAAGGGAAAAATGTGGATAGTACTGGGATTGGAATCACATAGGTTTTAATTCATATTAAGGTTTAAATGTTGAGTCTAATTATTTGATCACCTTTTGGGTATCATCTAGTTCTTAATATACTCCTTTTGTTTTTGTTTTGTTTTGTTTTGTTTTGTTTTTGAGATGGAGTTTTTCTCTTGTTGCCCAAACTAGAGCGCAGTGGCGTGATCTCAGCTCACTGCAACCTCCGCCTCCCTGGTTCAAGTGATTCTCCTGCCTCAGCCTCCAGAGTAGCTGGGATTACAGGCACACGCCACCATGCCCGGCTAATTTTTTGTAGTTTTTAGTAGAGACAGGGTTTTACCATGTTGGCCAGGCTGGTCTCGAACTCCTGACCTCAGGTGATCCACCCTCCTCAGTCTCCAATATACTCCTAATATATCATCTGCATTGCCTAAGTTGTTAGCGAAGTAAAATAATAAAGTTTGATTCAACAACTGATATAGGTCATTCCATCTCTTCGATTGTGTTATTCCTGACTTTACATTCCTAGTATTTATTCTACACTATAATAGCATAGGTTCTAGTATTCCCAAAGGTTTTTGGTGCTCTAGGCAGAACTGCACTGGTTACCACCTAAACTCATGAGCAGCAAGTGGTCCAAACTTACTACTTTTAGTAATTCATAGTCTGAATAATAAACTAGAAATCAACTAGTTATTAGCTTGCCTCTTCAATGACTGAAAAACATTTTCATGAACAATGTTGTAAGTAACAAGTATGAGGATGCCACATCTAAACATTTTTGTTTCTTCAACTGGATTTTGAGCTCCTTTCTTTTGGTATCTTCAAAAGTGCTTCTCTTGCTGAACACAACTCAAGTGCTACAAGTAGATACAAGAGTAGGTGGACATCATCAATGTGTCAGCAAAAGGCTTGAGCTGACAATGTCCTTAGATAAGAGTGGTAGAAGAGAAATGGAAAGGAGAATCTGCTGCTAATTAGGCTAAAGCCGCTCATCTTCTGCATGATAGCTGGAGGTCTCCCTCAGACTCACTGCCAGGCAAATCCAGATATCACAACTTGGATATCTCTGCTGTGGACGGAGAGGAGCTGTGCTTTCGCAAGCTGACCTCTGGAACTGAAATAGGAATGTGGATGTGTAAAGCTACACTCAGGAAATTGGTAGTCTCTGCCTTTCTGACTCTTCCTGCCTTAGCATGTTACTTGGTTCCATAAATGTCTGCAAATGCTTCAGCTCTTATTCCCCAATTGTTGCATACATAGCTGCCCCTGACTAAACAGCAGAACCAGTTCCCTACTGAAGGGAAATTGCGTGTACCTATGCTTGTGCCAGACCAAAGATTGGAGCATTGGAATGGGTATATGCTTCAGAATCCAAATCTTTGTTTCTACACTTAATACATATGCAATGTTAGGCAAGCAAATTAACTTCTCTGTCTTCTAGTTCTCATATATCTATCAAAGGTAAAAAAAAAAAAAAACTTCAGTAAATTGTTATAAGGATTAGAGATGTCTGTAAAGAAACTTCCACAATGGTACTATTCAAAAGGTAGTTGCTATACCATTATTTATTGTGTTTGTGTATATATATATATATATATATATATTTCTTTAATATTAATTATTATTTTTGTGGACACTAGGGAAGAACCACCCATATCTATAAGTTTTCCCTGTTTGCTTTATTTTTAAATGATTTTTTAGCTAGGCATATTTTCTTTTTTTTTTTTTTTTTTGAGACGGAGTTTCACTCTTGTTGCCCAGGCTGGAGTGCAATGGCGCGATCTTGGCTCACCACAACCTCCGCCTTCTGGGTTCAAGTGCTTCTCCTGCCTCAGCCTCCCTCATAGCTGGGACTACAGGCATGTGCCATCATGCCTGGCTAGTTTTGTATTTTTAGTAGAGACGGGGTTTCTCCATGTTGGTCAGGCTGGTCTCGAACTCCCAGCCTCAGGTGATACACCCACCTCGGCCTCCCAAAGTGCTGGGATTACAGGCGTGAGCCACCGTGCCCAGTCCATATTTTCTATCTGACTCATAAAAAGGACTTAAAGTGCAGACACTGATGGTTTATTCACACAAAGCTATAAATGATACATATATTTCTTGAGCCCCTAACATATTCCAGGCACTGTGCTCAGAGATTTACCTGTTATTTCATTTTTTCCACTTTACTGTGAGAAACTGAGTCATAATGTAGTTAAATACAATTTCCCAAAATCATAAGCCAGTAAATGGCAGAGCCAGAGTTTAATACCAAGTCTGCTTTACATCTCTCTACTATAATGGCTCTCCCTCTGTGTAACATTGGAGTCTTAATCATCGGAGTAAAGATGAAGAGAAATGAGAATATGAACGAATGTATAACTTAATGGGATGATAAGAAGGGGAGGAGATTGTGCTTTCATAATAAGAGCATAGTCACATTAGAGTGGGTTCAAGTCCTAAGTTTTCTCCTGCCAACTATGTGACTTCCAGCTAGTTCTTCCACCTCCCTGCAATCATTGCTATTCTCACCTATGAAATGAAGCTAATAATAGAACTTCCATCTTGGGATGCTTGTGTGGATAAAATAGGATAAAATGCCCGGTATACCGTAAGCATTCAAATAATATTCGGTGTGTTTACAATAGGTTCAAAAACAGGAGGTTAATGTATAGCAGAAAAATTTCATCTACATATTACAGTTTTGCTTGAGACATCTTGTGAACAAGACTTTGCTTGAAGAGCAGGGTACCCACATCAGCCAACATTCTTTAATATGGCCAGCAATGCGGAAATGTTACATTAAATCTACAATTTATTAAGCATCTATCGCAGGCCAGAGAGTTCGCTGGGCATATTGTATACAATCCCTCAAATCTCACATCAAACTTGTAAGGTGCTACTATTGAACCTGTTTTACAGACGCAGATACACATGAATGGAAAGGTAAGGTAGCACATCCGGAATTACACATGTACAGTTAGTACACTGGCACAAGCTGATGTTGAGTACTTTGAAGATTGTCTAATTCCAAAATGTGCCTTTTTTTTTTTTTTGAGACGGAATCTCACTCTGTCGTCCAGTTTGTTCACTGCAACCTCCATCCTCCCAAGTTCAAGCGATTTTTCCACCCCAGACTTCCAAGTAGCTGGGATTACAGACATGTGCAACCACGCCCAGCTAATTTTTGTATTCTTGGTAGAGATGGAGTTTCCGCCATGTTGCCCAGGCTGGTCTCGAACTCCTGGCCTCAAATGATCCATCCACCTCCACCTCCCAAAGTGCTAGGATTACAGTCATAAGCCACCGCACCTGGCCAGCTCTTTTTTTTTTTTTTTTTTTTTTTTTTTTTAAACAATGTTATGCTCTGTCACCCAGGCTGGAGTGCAGTGGCAAGATAATAGCTCACTGCAGCCTTGAACTTCTAAACTCAAGGGATCCTCCCATCTCAGCCTCCCAAATAACTGGGACTACAGGCACTCTCTACCACACCTAGCTAATTTTTGTTTGTTTGTTTTGTTTGTTGTTTTTGTTTTTGGAGATGGAGGGTCTTGCCGTATTGCCCAGGCTGGTCTTGCACTCCTGGCCTCAAGTGATTCGCCTGCCTCAGCAACCGAAAGTGTTAGGTTTATAGGCCTGAGCCGTGCCTAGCCTAAAATACACATTTTTTATGGTACTTTCTTCCCTCTTGCTAAGATTGCTTATCTCCGTTTTAGATACTGGATATTTCAGCCACAAGAAATGGATCTCAAAAGTCTTACATTGTTGATGAAGTTAGGGATATGGCCAAGGTTCTTCCATTTCTTGACTTTGGAAGGCTTACATTTTGTGTTTTTGTTTTGTTTGCTTGTTTATATATATATTTTTTGATATTTGGAGTGAATTAGAAGGTGCCCAAGAGAACCTGAATATCTTGAATAAGTTTCTCATTGCACTCAAACACCAAATATCAATTATAAAATGTTTCCAGATCCAAAAATAATTGAGAGGGAATCTATCCATTGGAAATTAATGTAAGATAAATCTCTCTAGAACATATATGAGGCATATTGTTTTATAGATTAGTCTTGCAGCTATACGTTATGTTTATGAAATTTCTAATATCATTTTATGTAACTAAGTGTCCCAGAAACCATCTACAACTTTTTAATTTAATCTTAACATATATCAACATGTAGTTAGTATATGTAACAGATATTAAAATTGTGTGGAGCTCTCACAATGATCTAATCAATCTAATCAAATAATATAAGCTCCTTTTAGGAAATTTACATTAATATAACATGCATATAATCAATAGTTAAGTTATTGTTTATCTTATTTTGTAAGTCTTGTAAATATATGAAATTCAAATAAAATAACAATTATTCTAGTTAAATGCCAATGATTAAGTCAATGGTTCAAACTGTGTTTCCTAGGTGTCCTACAATTTTTTATTTCTTGTTCTACTAGCTTCGTGAAGGTTAAATCTTGAATATTTTGATTTTTAAATTTGAGGCTTGTAGGCTATTATATGCATGTTTTCGTCAGGTTTGTATTGTTTGCCAGAAAACCATCATAAATATTATAATCTCATCAATGATTGATGGATATTTTCAGCTAAATATGTGACATTCTCTGTTGTTATGTAGGTTATACTTTTTTCAACAGAGTTTATATTTTTGGATGTTCCTTCAGACATTTACATTTTTCAAGAGTTGGTATTTCCAATTTAATCACTTTTTAAAAGTTAATTTAGTGACAGCTGCATAACCGGATAATTAGTCTTCATTTTGGTGTACCCAGCATGAATAGCTTTTCATTACTTTATGTTTCCATCTAGGTAATGTGTGTCTTGATACTACTGCACTTGGAAACATACGTTTATTAAATAAAGACTTGGAGTAAGTGAAATACATTTCCTTAACTGTTTATAAGCTGCAGCTATCAACTGGTTCAAGGAGCTTTGACAACAAGTGAAAGTGGCAGAATTCAATAAAGTGGCAGAAAATTTCACCTTATCTATTGCAGATTTTAGAATCAATACAGTAAATGTGTTAATATAAAAAAAGTTAAAAGATTCCTTATGAAAAATAATGAAGCTTTAAAATTTAATGACTAATTGAAATACCAGGCCCCTTTTGTGTGACTATGGCTTCTCTCATTATACTAAATCAGAAATTGAACTGGACTGCAAGGCACAGAGAAAGTCTTTGAGAGACTGATCTTTGTTGCAAGAGACTCTTTAAGCTGCATTGTATCGTTCCTAAGCCTAATTTTATTATTTCTAGGGAATGTGATGTACTCTGTCTGTAAGTACCAAAGAGCCACAAAACCCAAGAAACAGTGCATTTGCTGAATCATATATCAAACTGAGAAGAGATTTGTTAAAAATAATTCTTTTGAAGAATACATTCAGCCTCAATTGTATATCCTCGTCTGGCCACATGCTGGTTTTCTCTCTTGATTTCTACCCCTTTAGCTTTCCCTTTATGTCTGCCTCCTAGTTTTAAAAAGAGCATTCCAGCCTCTGATAATGACTTACAAGCTTTATTATAAATTATTGGTGCTTTGGAGGTATAACAAAGAGGACGATTTTTCTTAAGCTGTGATAAAACCAATCATATCAGAAGAGCTCTGTGTGTGTGTTAGTGTATGTGTGTGTTAGTGTGTGTGTGTGTCTATGTTGGCTAGTTCTAGAATGTTTTTAAAGCAGACAAGTTTTCTTTGAAAATCGTTATATTATTAATTTTTAAGAATATCATTGCAATAAGTGGCATAAGAGTACCTTGCAAATCTCTCCAAAGGGACAAGATAAAGCCAACATGGTTCAAAAGTTCAGAATGCAAAGCTTCAAAGTGTGAGCCTGGAAGAAAGGAAATTCCTCTGGGATCACTATCATTTTCTTACATTCCCACCAATGCTTTGCTGGTTTGTTCTGAAGAACCATTCTCACAGACCCCTCATTACAATTTCTGCTGTGACTGGCCACAGTTACTTGAAACTTGTGTTGAAAGACAAGCTATTTATCCACGTTGTCATTTTGCTGCTCTGTGGCCAGGGGATTAATCGCTTTCTCAAGGGCCTACCTCTACCATTTCCTTTACTTTCGGGAAAGGAGATTTTAAGTAAATACCACTGTATGACCACAGCTTATTCTTCAAATAGAAATGTAATATATCATTTAAAGAAAGAAAATTACCAGGAGATAATTTTAGCCAGAGTTCACTTATTTAATGCATACTTGAGAGGTGACCTCACTTCATGGTCAAATCAAGTCTAAAAGTACCCTTCTGAATACATGAAAAGCTAATGTCTTCATACAAGTGAGCCTTGAGGGCTGGCTAGGTGACAAGCATTTGCCGGCTTCCATTTTCACCAGCTTAAATCTACAAGCTGCAGAAGGGCTACATGGAAAGGGACAGAAGAGTCTTTCCAGGAAACAAAACTGGTTAAGATACACGAGGACTGATGCCTGGTTCAGCCAATGAATCAATGGAATGAATTCAGTATTAGCATTTTAAATGGCTCAGGTAAAATGATAATAAACCAATAGCATCTCACTAAAATATACACATGTAAAAATGGATATTTAGGACCAGATAATTTTCAAAGAATGAATTCATCATATATTAACACTTATGTGTTAATTCCTTTATAATGATTTAATTTTTTAATAAGTTCCTTCTATTAGCTACATAAAGTCACTTATGTCATCCTGTTACCATTCATGGCAAACTTATGAAATACATGTTATTTTCATCTTATGAGCAAGTAAAATTGAGTTGGATAAGAACTAAGGAGCTTCGATTAATATTACATATTTAGCCTATGTGCCAGAATTCAAGTTCATATCTGTCTGATTCTTTATCCATACTTTTCCCATTACACTATGAAGTTCTTCCTTTGACATCCATAAATTAATGTATATTCACTTATTTGTATATAATCACATACAGCAATAAACTACGCTAGAAAAATTGCATTTGAGAAATATGTTATAAAGAACAACAAAAGCCCATTTTTATTCCGAACATAATCTACTGTAATTAATTGCCCAGCATTTTCCCTGGGATATCCCTGCCTCTGACACTATAACTGAAATGTGTCACTTCCATTAATACAGAGAGATGATTGTAACAGGAATACAAATTCTTCTATAGAATAAAAATATACTAAACATTTCCATTTTTTTCTAAATATATAGAATTTGCCAAGGGTTCAACTGGCTAACCCTGTATAAACTACTTATGTACCCAGATTTATTATCAATTTGTGTATAGATGGATTAACATATGTTAGATTTTATATGTCAGATGATGTATTAAAACATGAAGAATAAGCATATGTATTTGCCAGAAATAGACATCTCTACTGTTTCTCTAAAAAAAAAATAAATAAAAAGGGTACACCTGTAAACATACTAATTTGTCTTTAGTGGTCAAAAGAGTGTTTCATCAAGTGTGTGTTGATTGCTTTAGACTTATGGACACATAATAGTTCAGAAGCTCAGATGAAAACCATAACATTTGCATTTTTGCATGTGCTTTACAATTCAAAAGAATGCTATTAATAGCTTAAAGGCAAATTATTGGCCATAACTAGGAGATGCTGGATTCAGTTAAGAACCTATTCACTTGATTCAACTCAACAAATGGTTCTATACTAGACCCATTGCTAAGTCAGGAAGTGTGTGGCAAAGGGAATCCCTATGGCAGGCAGTGCAGAGGTGAGCAGGATCTAACCTGGCAATTAAATCACAAGGATAATTAACCTGTTCTCATAATATCCTTACCAAATTTTATTTTGATCATATCTAAATGGAAGCTCTGACAAACTCACTGTTTTGCATCTGGTACTTAAGTTTCTCAAATAACCATATTGAAGATGGTATTTTTCTTTTTTCAGTCTTTAACACAAGTCCCTTGAGAATTACATCTAACACCTTAACAAATTCTTTAAAGGAAATTGTAGGAACTCTCTTTCTTACTCAGTGAGCTGTAAAACAAAATCATGATGAGTTTCCAGAGTCTCCAAAAAAAAAATCTTACTGCTTGTTGAGGTTCTACTCCTGCAAAGGATTTTGTGTTTGGAACTGAGCCACATTTCCCTAACTGCCATTCAAAAATAATGTTTATTTGGATTGATTTCCTTTGGGGGAATTTGTTGTTAGTTGAAAACATTTTTTTTTTTTAATTTCTTCAATAACCTGGAAAGTACTTTGGTTTGTTAGTTCTTTCTGACTCCTAAGTTTTTTTGAATGCAGAGAAAGGCGTTGATTATATTTTATTGCTAGTAAGAAGCATGGCTGGTGCTCTTTGTACCCATTCATGAACATATGTGCACTTATTTGTATAGATTATATATATAAATATAAGTGATCTTTTTTTCACATTAAGGATGAATCTGTTCATTTGTGGTGGCTCAGACCTGTAATCCCAGTGCTTTGGGAAGCCGAGGTGGAGGACTGCGTGAACCTAGGTGCTTGAGACAAGCCTGAGCAACATAGCAAGACTCTGTCTCTACAAAAAATCAAAGAAAATTAGCCAAGCCTATTGGTGCACACCTGTAGTCCCAGTTACTCTGGAGGCTGAGGTAGGAGGAATACAACAAGCTATGATCCTGCCACTGCACTCCAGTCTGGGCAACAGAGTGAGATCATGTCTCAGAGAAATACATAAATAAATACATACACACATAAATACATAAATACATAAAAATTAAAATAGAAAAAGGATGAATCACTTAGAAAATAGCATTATCAACTGCTAACAAGTCCATAGTTTTGTTTTTGTTTTTCACTTTTCCTTTTCTGAAGATTTTGTAAAGAGCTATTTAGTGCAAGTATATATCAAAGCTGTGTTTGTATTTCACAAGTTAACAGTACAAATATCCAGCTAAAGAACCTCGGCCTGTGGACCCAAGGGGCCTACGTAAACAGAGGCCCCAGAAGGAAGATAAGCTGAGACCCAAGTTCAGCTGTGTCAGAGACTACGATTTGCATCTCCTCAGCTTTGGCTTCCTTTCCTCCTTTATTTATATTTTCATTTGTGCCTAGTCTTTGCCCAGTCCTGGTGGCAAACCCTTAGGCCAAGTCCTAGCAACTCAGTGGGCAACATGCTTCAGTAGTCCACTGAAAATTATCACTTTACCTATTTCTTACTTCAGGTTATTATATATAAA
Organism: Homo sapiens; assembly: GCF_000001405.40. Taxonomy (NCBI): domain Eukaryota; kingdom Metazoa; phylum Chordata; class Mammalia; order Primates; family Hominidae; genus Homo; species Homo sapiens. The sequence continues at coordinate 76,973,351 of NC_000003.12, forward strand.
ATTTTTGCCTTACATCTTACCCTGAGAGAGTATAAGAAGTATAAGAAAATGCTTTGATAAAGGAAATCATTATAAAGTTCAAGTTATAACATTATATTAATAAGAATATCATAGAAAGAATAATTATAATATTCATATCATTATTATTAAACTAAATGAATAATATAATCAACCACTACTGTAATGGAAAGAAAAATCCAACATCTTATACCTTATTATCAATAGCATTGTCTTCATGTATGATGGGCACCATATTTCAGCATGTCACAGATAATTAACACCTTATCTATTAACTACATACACAAGAGACATGGCATGACTTTTTCTGAACGTTAGATTTCTAATTTCAGTGTAATAATGAACATTTACTAAGCTCTGACTATGTATGAGATCTTGTGCTAGAGAAGAAAAAGATAATAAAAGATGAATTAGACATTTTTGCCACCCCATCCCATCCCAAAGGGCTCACCGTCTAGTTCAAAACACAGTAGACAATATCACCTTGTAATGGGGCTTTGACTACATCTGATAAGCTGCCTCTCTGAGTAGATGGGGACACAGGTGGGGATGGGTGATAAACTCAAGAAAAGGGCACACCAAAGTGATGAACATACAATGAGTTATGGCAGGACAAGAGGTTTTGAGTCTCTCTTGACTGAATAACATGTTTTCCTTTTTAATTTTGGTGGTTCTGTTAACAAATCACAGGATTTACATTTCTAGAAGAGTCTTGCAAACAGATTAGTCTTTTCTCATTCATATAGCAAATAAAATTATCTTTTATTTGAAGGACAACAAAGTGTGGCAATCTTGAAAATAGGAAAATTCTAATAAACCGCCTTGATAAACATTACATCTGAAAACATAAAAATTCTAATAAACAGCCTTGATACATATTACATTTGCATGCAAATATTCTGAAGCTATTTTGTTAGCCTTTTAATCCCCCCCTTTTTCTTATTTTTCTTTTCTTTTTAAAACTTGATATTCTATTATTTAGACAAAGGAAAAATGTTTAGTGAATAGCTGGCCAGAAACTGTCATAATCTCAGTAAGTCCCATAAATTAAGCAACTGAATCTTCACAAAATATGCATTATTTTTCATCTGAGTTTGCAGATGAGGAAAGCAACTCGGCCAAGGTCAATTACCTAGCAAGGTGATCACCCAGCCTGAAGGACTGCAACCCAGGTGTTCTGGTTACTATGTTCATGTTTCGCTAAGGCCTTGTAATTTATTTACTTACTTATTCTTTTCTGACACAGCCTCCTACAGTGTTTAAGGAACCTCTCTGATATTGCATTTGCTTTTGCTGACCTTCATTGTAGACTTAAGTGTCTAAATACCTACAAAATTTGTTGCTCGAAATGTGCCTCTTTACTTAGTGTTTGGAACCATCTATTCTTAGAAATGTTTTTGGCCTCTCTTCCCCAGCTGTTGGTAGCCCTTAGAGGGCTTTGTGGGATAGTAATGGTTTATTTCAGTTGGCTAAATCATACCATTCAAAAAAGCAAAAGTAGTAAACAGCTTACAGACTGCTAAGACATGACCTCACTTTCACATCTTCCATAATAGCCCGTCCTCACTCTGTACAAGGATTCCTTTTGAATTAAAAAAAAATTCCATATGATAATAATAATACACTCTATGATATAACAAGAAGATACTAGGAATGCAGACATGCTTTAATATGAATTTGTATCTTATGTTACATGTAAATACGTGTGAAAAACAGTAATATTTATAACGTGGAAAATACATCGTGCTTTAGTTGATGTCATTGTTTATTGTGTACTTGTGTTCTTGGATCTTTGAAACAAATCTCAAGTGATCTTCCTACACAGAAGGCTTCAGACCACATGTTAGAAATGAGGGCTGGGTGTGGTGGCTCACATCTGTAATCCCAGCACTTTGGGAGGCTGAGGCGGGCAGATTACCTGAGGTCAGGAGTTCGAGACCAGCCTGGCCAACATGGCGAAACCCCGTCTCTGCTAAAAATGTAAAAATTAGCCAGGCATGGTGGGAGGTGCCTGTAGTCCCAGCTACTTGGGAGGCTGAGGCAGGAGAATCGCTTGAACCCAGGAGGTGGAGGCTGCAGTGAGCCGAGATCGCGCCATTGCACTCCAGTCTGGGCGACAGAGGGAGACTGCGACTGTGTCTTAAGTAATTTAGATCACTGTTACTTGATCCCTTTTTAGCATCTTTGTGTCCGTTTAACATTCCAGAAAATGGCAACAGTGATTTTAAAGTTGCTTCCTCTGTTTTCCCGAAGCTTTCTTTTCCTAATTAGCTTTTGAAGGAAAGTATAATTCTTCCCCTGAGAAACATAAGTCTTCTAATTTTTATTATTTTTAAATTTTGTCCTTTAATTTTAACCAGTCAATTTATGACTATAACTGTCAAAACACAAATCTTTTTTGACATCCCAGCATAGATTTTAATTGTCAGTGTGCTTAGCATTAAAAAAAAACTTTCCAAACTTTGTTTCTCCAAAACTCTTCTTACAGACATGCTGTAAATTATATACATATATTGATGATTCATATGAAGACATGATTTAGCTGTGACACAGATATAACCAGATCTCAAATATGCAAGATTAATGACCATGGAATAGACATTCCTAAAATGGGCAGATAATTGGACGTACAGAGTCTCGTCTGCCACTGAATTTAAACTCTGAAAATAAACTCAATGTTATCCAATGTCCCATGTTTTGTTGGTGTTTTGGTTAGATAGAGAATAAAAACTGGCAATATGTCGTAAATATCTAAACTGAAGACTCACTTCAGAGAATCTGAAAGATAGAAGTAGAAACTAAAAAATGGAACTAGGCAATTTTATAGATAACATTCACAACAGATGTTGTTTTCCAGGTAAATAAAAGGTCGAACAATATGAAACTAGAGGATTATCTACATTGTTTTGGACACAATACCCCATAGTTAGGTCATTGTTATTTTTAACTCTATGAAATAACCTTTTCAGACTGAATAACATTTTCACATAAGCCCACAGATGCTCATTGTCATCAACGTAATTTTTGTTTGCTTTAATCGCTTAAATGGGAAATGGGAAGTTTTTTACAAACCGTATTTGAATGGCACCGCAATGACCAGCATTTTCTGTTTAATCTTTAGGTTGCATTTTTAGTATGTCCACTGAAAACATTACAGAGAATGGCTGGTAAGTAGCCTCATGTGTGACTCAACTGGTGACATTTTATAACAATTGGTATTCCTGTCTACACAAGGAAACCTCCAGCCCACAGCAGGACACATAATTGTTCCCTTTACATTGATTTCCATTGAGTCACATTGTGCTTTACTACCTTGCAAACTGTTTAAATGAATGATTAGTCTGAAAACATAGTTAATGTTTTAGAATAATTAAGACATGAAAACAAACCAAACACATTCTTATTTTGCACCGTAAATTTCATTGCTAAGAGGAATTTTATATCAGGCAATGCAAACTATGTGATCATCTTGAAACTAGGTGAAAAGTGATTACTGACTTCATATGATATTGCTGAAAATCAAAGCCTAACAAATTATTAAACCTGAATTTAAATTCTGTGCTCATTTTAATCATATATGGTTCGCTTTCACATCAGCATTTGCTGTTGAGTAATACAGTGTCTTTTCTAGACTTTGGTTTATATTTTAATGCTTCCATTTGCTATTCATGTTGGAAATGGCATCCTATGTAAATGCTTTCATGCAAATTTGAAATTGAAGCTAAGTACCAGAAAGGAAAGCAAGAAGTACATGAATTAATAAAAGTTAAACTATCCCAGTTAATCTCATACAAAGAAGCCCTGTGTGGCTCAATAATGTTGGCAGCTCATGATATAAACATTATGTTTCCTCACCAGTTTCATGTTCACTGCCCATTATGAACTGCATTATAACAAACATTTTAAAAGAAAGCTTTACAGAGAGGAAAGTGATTCAATAAGTAACAGTGAACACTTGTGATTTCTGAAAATCCTAATTGAACCAGTGAGAGGGTGAATGGTCAGCAGTTTTTGAAATATCTTTAAAAGGTTATAAATAAATTTTGGGCAAGTAGGTTTTTCCATTATAGGTACATGGAAATTGAAAAATACTTTTCTTTATGGAAAACAATACTAACATGGGTGCTGGTGCAAAGAAAAGCTTTGTAATGGATTATAAGGTACAGGAATAACTTGGTTGAGTATTTAGAAATTTGAAATGGTACTCACTTGGAGAAAGCTTTGGTTCACTGCAGAAGTCATGCAACTAACCTCATGAATTTTGTTGATTCATTATTAAACTTCTGATAAGAGGAAAGCTATAACATTTCTATATTTCAGCAAAAACATTTGACAACACCTTCTGCATTGCTGAGCACTACAGTTACATGGAGTTGTATCTGCCGTACTTTGTTTTGATGTAAAGCATTTGATAGTTACACAGAACTAGGATCTAATTTAGTATTTTCATAAAGATACTGTCTTGGTAAAGATGGGAAAATCATCTGTAAATTTCAGATAATAGTAATATCTCCTCATGACAGAATGAGTATGTGTAAAATAATGAATAAGTTTAACATGGACCTATTTATACTTTGAAGTAATCCTTACAGATTCTTTGCTGATATTCTAAAATGCATGAATTTCTGTGCATTCATGCAAAGCTCAAGATTCCAAACTCAGCATTCTTCTGTTTGCATATGACCTTGCAAGTCTGCATTATATATGTCCCTGACAATATTCTTGGTGATTCCTATAGTTATTTTTTAAACTATGTTAAAAATTAAGGACACTTAGTAAAGCAATTGAAAATGCAAAGCTAAATATAGCAGAGAACCTACTTCAAGGTGGTGAGAGTACATATTCAAGGCTCTGATTTACACTTCTATTTCACATGGTAGACCTATTTATCTTAAGTAACAACTAATTGCAATATATTAGAGGTCACTTTATGCATCGATCTTATAGCCTCACAATGCAAATATTTATATTATTTAAAATAAAGCACTTTTTTCTGTATTTTCCTGTTGAAATACATAGTGCCACCTTTATTTGCGCAGAAGAAAGAATATCAAGAATGCTCTTAATGACCTGAGATTTTTAGGAATATATTTGAGTGTCTTTTAACAATGAATAAATGCGATGGATTCTTCTAAATAGCTCAGTTCAGCTCTCTTTTGCCAGATGAGAACTATATTGCTCAGAAAATCAGGATGAATAACCAGAGAAATCAATATTTTTTGGACTTAAAAATGAAAGCAGTATTATAAAGGACATTCTCCAGGCTCTGAAAAACCAAGTTGTCTATGTCTCAGAGAAATAAAATAGGTAACAGATACTTAACTCAGTTTCGAGAAGAGAAATTGCAACCTTATAATAAATAGTGGAAATAAAATATGGGTTCACCCTGCTGCAGTTCCACACACACATACCCTAAATGCACATATATGAATACGATTTCCCAAGCAAAGACAGAGAAGATATTTCAGACTTATGAGGGCTCTGTTCAGCTGGTTTCTTGTTTTACTTTTTTTTGTGTAAATATAAGGAGTACAAGTGCAGTTTTAGAGTTTTTTTTGTTTGTTTGTTTGTTTTTTAAAAAAAAAAAAAAGAAAAACAGGGTCTTGCCCTGTTGCCAAAGCTGGAGTGCAATGGCACAATCACTGCTCACTGTAGACTCAACATCTTGAGCTGAAATGATCCCCCCATCTCAGCTTCCCAAGCAGCTGGGACTACAGGTGTGCAGCACCACACCTGGATATTTTTTGTGTTTTTTTGTGGAAGTGGGGTTACGCCATGTTGCCCAGGTTGGTCTCGAACTCCTGGGCTGCAGTGGTCTTCCTGCCTCAGCCTCTCAAAGTGCTGGAATTACAGGTGTGAGCTACCACATTTGGCCCAAGTGTAGTTTTTTTTACTTAGATATATTGTATATTGGTGAAGTCTGGGCTTTTAGTGTAACCAGCATGTGAATAATGTTCACTGTACCTGTTAAGTAATTTCTCATCCCTCAGCTCCCTTCCACCCTCCCACTCTTCCAGGTCTCCAGTGTCTATTATTTCACATTGTATGACCATGTGTACACTCATTTAGCTCCCACCTATAAGTGAGTACATGTAGTATTTGACATTTTGTTTCTGAGTTGTTTTACTTAAAATAATGGCCGCCAGTTCCATTCATGTTGCTTCAAAAGACATGATTTCATTTTTCTTTATTGCTGAATGGTATTGGGGTGTATGTGTGTGTGTGGTGTGTGTGTGTGTGTGTGTGCGCAGGTATATGTTTGATATGATTTTTTTTTCCTTTGGGTAGACACTCAGTAGTGGGGTAGTGGGATTGCTGGAATGAATGATAGTTAATTTTGTGCAGAGAAAAGTAACATCTTCCAATTACTTTTCTTACACACACACACACACACACACACACTTACTTTAAGATCTTAGTTTCCCTATGCATTTTGTATTCTTTACTTGATGTTTTCTTTTATTGAGTGTAAACTCACTGTGTAACAATTTGAGGAGATTCCTGGAAACAAGGCCTGGGAATTTTATAAAGTTAAGAACTAAAGAGGACTTTCTGTTCCAAAACCTGATATAGAGACTTGGTTAAAAAAAAAAAAAATGTCTTTGCTGAATTGTCTGCTGAGCTTATAAAGGAAGAAATACTTTGGTGTGTTTGGTGATGATACTAGAAGCATGCACATCTGGTACCATACTGCAGGAAATAACTTACTTTGAATCATGAGAAAGTGGTGAAGCTTAGTAAAATGGCACAGGAAACTCTGCAAATGGAGGACTATCTTATTCCATTGGCCATTCTCGGCTGCTTTTTGTTTATTAAGGCTGCTGTATATAATGTGAAGGCTGAGCTTTACTGCAAAACATTTCCTCGGCCATTGGCGGTTAAACCACAATGGGCCTAAGTAATCAAAAGGCAGAAATAGCACAGCCACTACTCTAGCTACGCTGGCTTCCTAAATCTTTAGAAATAGTGCAAGATGCTAACTTAGGAAGCATCAGCTACTGTATGGTATCAGGGCTGTACTTGACAGGGGGCAGCTGGAGGATGAACGGTTCCATCTTCCCCTTTAATTTTCTATACCAGACTGTGGCCCCAGGTATAGTGAAAGAAATTATGCTAGGAGATTCAAAATAGCATACCACAGATTATATTAATGGGATAACATCAATAACAAAATTTGTTTTAATACAAGTAAAATAAAATATCTTTTCTCTTAATATATTGACAACTTGAACTATGCATTTTGGGAAGTGGGTTTAACTTTATTATTAAAATTAATAATAATCTTGGTAATCTTTTCTTGCTTTTTTTTGGTAACAGCTTTTATTGAGATGTGATAATTCACATGCCAAAAAACTTACCTATTAACATGTATACAAATCAATGTTTTTTATTATATTTGCTATGCAAAATTTACCACAATTGTAGACCATTTTTATTGTATCAAGAAAACCCTTCACCTCCATCCCTAATCCTCTCTCCCTCCCCAGCCTTAGGCAACTAATCATCTACATTTTCTACATATAAATTTGTCTTTTCTGGATATTTTATGTAAATTGATTCATATAATATCATCTTGTCCTTTATCACTGGATTCTTTCACTTAGCATAATGTTTTCAAGGATCACCCATTCTGTTGCATGTATCAGTACTTCATTCGTTTTCGTCGCCTAATAATGTTCCATTGCATGGAAATAACATATTTTGTTTGTCTATGCACCAATTGATGGACATGTAGGTTGTTTGCACATTTAGACTATTATGAACACTGTTGCTATAAACATTTATGTGCAAGATTTTGTGTAAACATATACTTTTATTTCTCTCGTGTATATACCTGAAGAGGATTGCTGGGTCATATAGTAACTATATGTTTTAATCTTTTGAAGAATTGACAGACTATTTTCCAAAGTGGCTATACCATTTCACATAGCTATCAGCAATCAGCATTGTATGGAAGATTCCAATTTCTACATATCCTCCACAGCACTTTTTTACTACAGCTATCATAGTGGTTGTGAAGTGATATCTCATTGTGAATTTGAATTTTCATTTCCCTGATGGCTATAACTTTGAACAACTTTCTATGTGTTTATTGTTCATATGTATATCTTCTTTGGAGGTATATCTCTTCTGATTGGGTGATTTTTGTTTTTATTATTGAGTTAAAATATTTCTTTGTATATTTTAGGTATAAGTTATCAGATTTGCAATAACTTTCTAATATTCTGTGGGTTTTATTTTTACTCTCTTCACAATATCTGTATTTGTCCATTCTTGCATTGCTATAAAGAAATACCTAAGACTGGGTAATTTATAAAGAAAAAAGGTTTAATTGGCTCACTATTCTGTGGGCTTTACAGGAAGCATAGTGCTGACATCAGCTTGGCTTCTGGTGAAACCTCTATGAGCTTAGAATCATGCTGACAGGTGAACGGGGAACAGGGACATCACATGGCAAAAACAGGGGCAAGAGAGAGAGCGAGAGAGTGGATGGGAAGATGCCACACAGTTTTAAATGACCAGCTCTCCCCAGAACAAACTCACTATCTTACAGGCAGCACCAAGCCATGAGGGATGCACCCCCATCATTCAGAAACTTCCCACCAGGTGCCATCTCCAGCATTGGGGATTACATTTCAACATGAGATTTGGGCAGGGATAAATATCCAGATGATATCAGTATTCTTTGAACTAAAAAAAGCCTTTTAATTTTGGTGAAGTCCAATTTCTCTATTTTTTTGTTGCTGCTGCATTTGCTTTTGGTTTCGTATCTAAGAAACTACCACCAAATTCAAGCTCATTAAGATTTACCCCTATGTTTTCTTCTAAGAGTTTTATATTCTTACATTTCAGCCTTTGAACTATTTTGACTTAGTTTTTTATATGGTATGAGTTAAGGTTCCAATTTTGTTCTGTTACATCTACTTATACAGTTGTCTCAGAATGATTTTTTTGAAAAGACAATTCTTTTCTAATCAAATACTATTGCACCATTGTTGAAAATCAATTGACTGCGATGTAGGGTTTATGTCTGGACTCTCAATTATGTTCCATTGATCTGCAATTTTATCCTAATGCCATTTCCACACTGTCTTGATTAGCATACCTTTGTAGTAAATTTTGAAATTGAGAAATGTGAGGTCTCCAGCTTTGTTCTTGTTTTTCAAGATTGTTTTGGCTATTCTGGATCTCTTGAATTTTCATGTGAATGTTAAGATTTACTTGACAGTTTTGCTAAATAAGTACATTTTATATGAAGATATATTACACTGTGAAATAAAATAAAATGAAAGAATTATGGGGCACGGTTGTATCTTATTAATTTATACCTATTTATTTTGTGACTATGTGAAATATCTCAAATATAATTTTTAAATGACTTCTATACATTAAAATACAGTAGAAATTGTATTGAAAATGATATTAGGTGCATCAGTGAATGAATGTGTTTTTGTTTCATTTCACCATGCTTCGTTAGTAGAATTTCTAGCAATCAGTGCCCATTAGACTTATTTTTATTTATGTGAATTAATAATTCATACATGAACAACAAAATATTCAGGATCAATAATTCTTAATTAAAGAAAACTTAGCATAGCTATTTATTCCAACTTGGTGTTTAATTATGAAGTGTAGACCAGGCATGGTGGCTCATGCCTGTAATCACAGCACTTTGGGAGGCCGAGGCGGGCAGATCACGAGGTCAGGAGTTTGAGACCAGCCTGGCCAACATGGTGAAACCCCATCTCTACTAAAAATACAAAAAATTAGCCGGGCGTGGTGGCTCATGCCTGTAATTCCACCTACTCAGGAGGCTGAGGCAGGAGAACTGCTTGAGCCCGGAAGGTGGGGAGGTTGCAGTGAGCCAAGATAGCGCCACTGCACTCCAGGCTGGGTGACAGAGTGAGACTCCGTCTCAAAAAAAAAATTATAAAGTGTACATATTTAATATTTAGAAAAGAAAATAAGCACTACTAGTTCAACAATTGACAAATTTTTTCAAAGATTTGAAAGGCATATGTTGCTTTCTTAACAGACAATATATGATTTAGTAAATACATTTCTCTAAACTAAATAAAGGAATAAAGTGAACGCCAAGGGTAAATTTACATATTAATATAATTAATCCATCTATTTAGTTAGTAATGTCTATATTGATTTCATTCACACCCTTTTTTCCACCCAATATTGGAATAGGAATTTATGTTGGAAGAAATATCTAAAGAACCTACAAGGACAAGAATACTGTTTGTTTGGTTAAATAGATTTGATCAGTTCTTATTTCAAGATTGAAAAAAACTTACAAAGTACCTATTATATGATAGACAATAGAGTGATTTTACATACAAATAATCACATTTGACTCACTCTGTCCAGATAAGGTACGTCCTCCCACTTTTACCATGAGGAAACTGAATTCCTACAAGTTCAAGTGGCTTGACCCAAATCAGCTAAATAACTGGTAAAGCTGGTGTATTAGTCTTTCCTCAGGCTGCTATGGAGAAATACCCAAGACTGGGTAATTTATAAAGGAAGAAGTTTAATTGACTCGCAGTTCTGCGTGGCTAGGGAGGCCTCAGGAAACTTAACAATCATGGCAGAATGCAAAGGAGACGCAGGCACCTTGTTCACAGGGCAGCAGGATGGAGTGAGTGCCAGCAGGGGAAATGCCAGAGGCTTATAAAACCATCAGATATCATGAGACTCACTCACCATCACAAGAACAGCATGGGGGAAACCGCCCCCCGGGATCCAGTTACCTCCACCTGGTCCAGCCCTTTCTCGTGGGGATTCTGGGGATTACAATTCAAAAATGAGATTATGAGATTTTGGGTGGGGCCACAGCCGAACCATATCAGCTGGGATTCACACTTGGGTCAGAAGACTGCAAGCCTGGTTTTCTTTACATTTACCATCTAGTCTCTCTATTCACTAAATTTCTTTCTCCAGCTTTTTCAGCTCTTTACTTACTGTAGCCAAGCCTTTTTCTAAGACCCAGTAGAACAGGACATCAAACCTTTTTGGCACAGGAAGTTTAAGAGAGTTTAGAAAAAGTACAAAAGGAAGAAAATTAGACCCGTGACCTTCACTGAGCCTATTGTTCTCCAAGAGCGCAACCACTGGGGTATCCACACTCTACCACACCTGTAAGTACGATTTGGTTCCAGGGGAGATAGAAGCAGTTACCGAAATCCAGATGAGGGTTAAACCCTTTTACTTTGGGTTTGCCATCCTCCTAGAAAAAGTTTGAAAGATACATGGAAACGTGGTGGGAAGCCCTGGATCTAAAACTAACAATGATACTCATAAAATATGAAGAGGAGGATAAAAGTCTGACTCACATAAGTAGATTATAAGAGAATCAAACAGTATTAGAAAAATTAAAAAAAATGAGAGTAGAGAATTAGAATAGTAAAATGAAGGGACAAAAAGTTTGAACAAATATTTTATACCACTATAATGCATTTATTTGACATAATTACATATACTTTTATTATTAATTTTTCAATGATACACAAAAATATATAGCATATATAGGTTGAAAGTATTTTACAGCAATAAAACCTGAATATCTTTAATATAATTTAGCCCAAACTAAAATAATGAATTCAGAATTATTGTCAAAATAGAATTGATATGAGTAATGTAATAATGTTGACATTAATCAATATAGAATGATGTGAATAATCTTAGTTTGTGTAGAAACACACCTTTTCTCATGTTCTCATTTCTTTTCTCTTTAAGGTTTGACCTCTTGCATAGTCTAGTACACTGAATTTATTAGATCAATAATTTTAACTTGTAATTAATAATCATAATGTTAATTTTATTAAACATTAAAGTGAGCTAAAATATATGTTATACTGAATAACTTTAAAATATGTGCTTTAGGAAAATATTGGCTATGAAATTTATAAAATGAAGATAATCTGGCCGGGCACGGTGGCTCACACCTGTAATCCCAGCACTTTGGGAGGCCAAGGTGGGAAGATCACGAGGTCAGGAGATCGAGACCATCCTGGCTAACACGGTGAAACCCCATCTCTACTAAAAATACAAAAAATTAGCCGGGCGTGGTGGCAGGTGCCTGTAGTCCCAGCTACTCAGGAGGCTGAGGCAGGAGAATGGTGGGAACCCAGGAGGCGGAGCTTGCAGTGAGCCAAGCCATTGCACTCCAGCCTGGGCGACAAAGCGAGACTCCGTCTGAAAAAAAAAAAAAAAAAAAAAAAAAAAAAAGAAGATAATCTATTTTTGCATAAAAAAACGGAGCAGTTCATTTCTCTCTAGGAGGACATAATCAATTTGAACATTGTTAGCAATGGCTAATGTTCTTCAAAATTATTCCATTGCATATTCAACTTCAACTCAACAGGTGGGATATAATTCAAGCAACAGTGAAGGAACAGAGTGGACCTCTTGGCTAGATATAGTTTCAACAATAACATATATGATGCCAGTATTTCCTGAGGATTAATGATCAACTGGAAGAGCTTGTGGTCCTGGGACCATTAACTCCATGTGGTCATTAATTTTGTTGGAAATCCCTTACAAGGACATTTGTAACTTTTACTTCCCCTTTCTTAATAAAATTTTTGGGCAAGATTTTTAAGCAACCTTTTTATTTTTGAAAATGTTATTTTCTTGCCCACTGACTATAAATCTAATCAATAACTCTGATAAGCATTTAAAGCAGATTTATATTTTTGAAACTTCATATGTTATGTGTATTTTGGCACTGTTTCATTTCTTATACCATCACAATAGAAAAGCTGCACTGTTTCTTAATTAATCAAATGGTTCCAAGTACTAAAAGGCAAAATATCTATTTAAATGTCTTGCTATATAGTACGCATTGATCGATACAATTTATAAAAATCTAAGTTACATAATGTAGAATATTTATCTTTAGGGCTGTTTACTATTGATCAAAATTCTGAGGAGTTACCTCTGCTTTAAAAATTTTTATTACTGCTTTTAAGATGTAGGTCAAATTCTAGGTTCTAGAACATAGCTTTGTTTGGAATCTATAAAACATGAGTTTCACCAAAAATATATATATTTTTAGGTAAACACAGGTAACCGTGTCTTAATTTCCTATTACTCATTGCCAGAATGCCCAAGAACATACTAATGTTCTATTATAAATTAAAGTTCTTGACTTTCAGGGGGGAAAGTTATATTATTTTGTAATTATCACCAAAATAACTTAAGAATATTACAATTTTTAAAAAACAGATTCTTTTTTGAAATATTATAAAATTAATCTGTACATGTGCAAAAATAGTAATTATTGCCAACACTAGGAAAATGGAAATGTAATTCATGTATAATCACCACTAGAAAAATATGAAATAAAGTATGGAATTGTGCTTGGTTGTGGTATTTGTATTATAATATGGAACTGACTATGCTATTAGCAAATTTTATATTACATGCGTATACATAATTAACCTTCATCTTTAATTGATATCTATTATTAAAATCGATAGGGAATATAATAAGTAAACCCCTAGGCTGAGACAAGATACAACAAACAGCTAGAAAGACCATGCCAAATTAAGGCACAGTGAATTCCACACTAACTAAAATGAACGTGACATTATAAAAAACGGATGTCACATCTTATTGACAATAAAAGTGCCAAAAGCATGCATATTAGATTAGAGCTCAGCTAATTGGAGGATGTGGGATGTTTGAAGTACAGTAAAAGAAGCAGGCGCTAATCTCTGTCGTGATACGCCACGCCACCACTACTTGAAATTCCGTTGGGCAATATTAATTCTAGCAGAGGTCTGAGCTACTAATAAATGAGGCAAATTGAGTCAATTACTAATTTCATGCTTTTATGATTTGGGGTTTAGCTAGATAATATCTGCAATTTAATACACTGCCCTCTAGAGATCTCGGCCTTTTACAAAGAACATGCTTTCTCAGACCTATTTGCACTGTTCATTTTGTTTCAGTTCCACACTGCCGTGTAGTGGGGGGGAGGGAATCATGCGTCACAGTGTTATTTTCTTTCTTAATGCTCCATGTGCGACTTCCCTTTGATTGAAATCTTCATCAGGGTTTAGAGCTGAATTCCTTGCTTCTAGCAGTATTCACTTGGTCCTATTTCTCTTTTGGGAACAGTAGTCACAAAATATAACTCAAAACCTATGTAGCAATGTATTTTACTGGGATATTGCAAAGGACTTTATGCCATCAATAATTCATGCACTTCTAAAAAATTAGCCTGATCTTCCACGTTTTTAAAAAGGCAGCTTAAAAAAAAGCCAGTGATATTTTATGTTCAAATCAGTAATTTTAAATTTGTTTCTTTAATACCCCCTTTCAAAACGACCCATCAGTTCTCATAGATTTTTTGTACCACCACTGATTACCACACTAATTTGTGGATAAATAAGCATTTCCTTGGGAATAGTTTAAAGTTCTCCAAATAATTAACTTCATTTTGTTTACGAGAATTTTTTTTTGCATGGCAAACACCTAAAAATGAAGTGTATTATTAATATTTTTAAAGTTTAACTCTGTCACGTAAAGATAATGTCAAATTTAAAATTAAGTGATATTAAAATAATCTATAAAGATCATTTGTCATGATATATGCTTTTATTTTTGAAAATTAGACATTTCTTACTGTTAAAATACATGTATATAAGCTAACTTTATTTGGTAATTAAAAGGTAATTACGAGACAAAATAAAATATTATGCAACCAATTTACTGATATGAGCATTACACCATTGTTCATCTTATAACCTGTTAGAAAAGTAGATTTTTAAAATAATCAGTTGATGTACTCATTTTTATTAACCCTAAAGGTAAGGCTTTTTTGCAGTTCCACCAAGGGCCAAATAAAAATATACTGTAAATCATGTCTTCCCAGCTGTGGTTAACCTGATTAGAAAGAGGTCAGTAGGGGAATGGATGGTTGCCAAAAACCCTCTTTGGTCAGGTCTCCACCACCAAAGTGAAGTAGTAAATTGAGAATTGAACAATTAGGTGAATAAGTCAGGCTAAAAAGCACTTTCCAATGAGCTCTATCAATAATTTATATAACTTGTATTGTGGGAGTTTGGGCTGTAATCAAGGTCAGAAATCTAGAAGAGAGTGCTCCTATTTTCTCTATATGTAGAAATGTAGAAGACAGTACTCTTATTTTCTCCATCTGTCAGTCCTTCCTTTGGTTCATCCTCCTTTCATTTCCTTACCTTTTCTTTACCTTTCTCTGAGTTATTTTGATAAGTGTCTTTATTTCCACTTCAATTTGCTGGTGTTGGCCTGACTTTTAATACCACTGTTATTCCCAGTAGATTAATTTTCTTTGTTTCAGTAGAACTGAGACATTAATGCCTCTGATCCTTTGCTCTGAAAACAAAGCCTAAAACAACTTCCTTTCTGAACTGCAGTTTGTGCTTCGAGACATTAAGATCAAGAAGTGAATATGTATTTTCAAAATCGAGTATCAAACTACAGAAGTGTTTACCTCAGCCCTGCCCTGATGCTGCACATTTAAAGACCTACTCCAAAGAGAAGCTTCAAATTGTTCCAATGTGCTATTTAGAAAAATAATTTATATTAAGGTATATAATAAAATATGCTATAAATCACAGTTTGTAGAAGAAACATTTGTCCTGTATTTTCATATGTATTATCTCCCTAAACACCTTCTTAACATGATAATTAAACACTTGCTGAGTATCAATACTTTTGCATTCTTATCTATACTGATCAACAAAATTGGTAGTTTGGTAATAGGGGAAGAAACTCATTTAACATGAAACTGTTAAAATATTAGAAAGGTAAGTTTCATAGAGTAGACAGTAATAGGAAATATTTATGGTGAATGTAATATAAATTTGACATTTGTAAGCACTTTGCATGGGATATTATAGCCACTTACCGATTAGGAAAGTGAGGCTCAGAAAAGCTACATAAACTGATGAATGAAACAGAGCAGACAAGGAATACATTTTGAATCTGTGCAGGCTGATTCTGCTCTTAATCACCCTATTATGGTCTAATGAGCATAAACTATACATAATATGATAATAAAAGTATGTAATTTTCATTTCCCATTATAGTCTCTGTAAGTAGTTTGGGGTGTTTTTTAAACTTCTAAGTTTAAAAAACATTTAAACTTAGAAGACAACATTTGAGATGAAATATTTGTAACTAACCGCCGGGTTCTTAGGATGACATTTGAAAAAAATAAAAAGATAATAGATTATTATGCTAGAGCAACAAAATTTAATTTAAATCATTATACTGTGTTTGGAGAAGGTTTTCTCCTATGTGCTCTAATTTTTCACCCTATTACATTTCCATATTTCAGTAAGACTGGGTATTTATTATAAGAAAACTGATATAAGACTAGAGAGAAATCTGGCAGGATATTTGGGACAAAGCAGTTCAACAAGTTATAATGACAGGTGAAATAAAATTTTCTTATATAGTTTGTCTGTGTGTATGTGTGTGTCCACAGGCCCATACACATGTGGGCATGCATGAACAGGGGCATAGTTGTGTTTCTTTTACACTTAAAAGGTTGATTATTCACTTTTGTTGCTCCTGAATCCTATTATTAGCATTAAACCTAGGGCTTTAATTCATGTTTTAGACCTTGAGATCTAATAGATCTCAGTATGGTAAGATGATTATTTTCCTTTCAAACTCCAGTAACTTGTATTATGAAAGCTATTGAAAAATTATTTTTCTACTCTCTTCTATTCTTTTAAAAATTAAAATAAAATGAAAAACTAAAATGCAGAATTTTAGGGTAGCTATTACAAACTCAGTGGGATTCATCACGATGTATTTTCTTCATCTCTTTCAAAATGACTGTTCTGAAAACCTTAGCTTTTCTTAGCTGGTCTTTCTTCAACTTAACCAGATAGCTTTCCTGCCTACCTATTTCCAGTTAGAACATATGGGCACAGTTACATATTACATATGCAAAATCATTAATAACAAAAACAAAACATATAAAATCACAAAGTTTCTATCATTTAAATTTTTTCATGACTCTAGTTAGGAAATCAACATATTAAAGTTAGTAAATACTAGCTCTACCTAATGTTGACAGTTTTTTAAAAAAACCTTGATATTCAGAATATAATTTGCTGCTATTCACATTACTGAATAACAGCCATTGGAACTGTTACAGTAGATAGCTAGTCAGACATGAGCAGAGCAGGAGAGGGCTCCCTCTGGCCCCCCAACACACGCCAAGAATGTTAGGGACCATCAGGTGATGGTCATGCAGTTGTTAACTATCTCTCTAAAATAGTAATTGGTTGCAGCCAGCGCTAGGGAAAGGAAAGGCAGTCTCCCCATATATAGGAAAAACCTGAAACTGGTGATCAGCAGCTTCCTGATGAGATCTCAGGAGTTGGGTGAATGGGCTCAAGCATGCATATCAAGAGGCAAAACGGTGAGTTTAACTGGTATGTGACCTTCTAGGGACATTCGGCTGGTAAGGGAAGAATATCTCAAGTGAGCATGCATACAGCTCCAGTAAACACACTGAACAGGCTCCCCTCCCAAGTGCTGGCGGGCCAAGCAGGCAGCCCACCCCAACGGAAGAATTAGGGGAGAAGGGTAGCAAGACCCCAGAAGCATGCCAACTTGTAAAACCCAGGTCAGAAGGTCAAACTGGTCACTTGTCTTTCAAGTTGCCCACTTGGCCCTCTTCCAAGTGTACTTAACTTTCTTTTCATTCTGGCTGTAAAGCTTTTTAGTAAACTTTCACGACGGCTCTAAAACTTGACCTGGTCTCTTCTGCCTTATGCTGCTCAGTAAAATTCTCTCTTCTGAGGAGGGAAGAATTGAGCTTGCTGCAGACATGTATGCAGACCCTTATGGATTCGCCACTGGTAAAAAATACTTAGTTATTTTTACCTATAGGTGATGATGGCTAAAGAGTTAAGTCAAACTATTGTGTAATATGCTGTATTGCAACATTCTAAACTACTAAATTATGAGTAATTCACCTAAATGCAATATCATCGCACAGTATGCATTGTTTTCTAGTTTTCACTTTCTGTGTGTAGTCTGAAGTCATTAATACCAATTACAATGAAATGTTGCTCATATATCTACAACCACTATCAGCTCAGATCTCTGTGCTTGTGCAAGGGAGTTGTATAAGTCATGGTTCCACAACGCTGTTGTGTGTTGTTTTGCTTTTTATCACGGGATTCATTAAGTTTTGAGGACTTTCATTACGTTTTGAAGAGATAATAAGTTGATAATTCAAAGAAAAAGTATTCTTTACCATAGAAAATCTAGATAAAGCCCTAATGTTAGATTAACATATTATGCTTTTGATGTGTTGTGCATAGCATGAATATCCTGACATTTATTGATTTGCAATAAGAAACCAAGTGAATACATTGTTAGTGGGAGTAGAAAGGCTTCAACTATCAGAGAAAATAGAGTGTGGCAGAGTTCAAAAACCTCTGAATTTGTGTTTTGCATTCCAGTAAGGCTATTGACCCCAGCTTGGAGGACATATATCCTCAAATGCAGGGTTATCTGAAAAGCCTTTAATCAGATAGTCACTCTGGTATACATATGGGACACTGTAGAAATGTAAAGGAGCTGCCCCTTATAAATTTCTATGACCAAATAGAACTTCTAGTTCTTCAGTGTGGATGCTTGCTTTTGTTCTGAATGTGAAATGTATGCCACCCAGAACATAGACCTTGTTCCAAGAAAATTTACTATCCTGTAGTATAAGCATAACACATTGTTAGAAAAAGAGTCCTTTCTAACAGAGTTACCAAAGAACTATTTATTGTACACTAAAACTAAGTCAGAAAAGGGCAGATAACTGGAGAAAACATGAGACTCATGGCAGCAGTGTGTTTTCATTCTTAGGACATATATCTCCAAATACCCTTGCATTTCCTATCAACCATTCTATAGAAGCTATCTATATCCATGTATTACTATATATATATATATATATATATATATATATATATATATATATAAATTTAGCTTTTGTAAAAAAAAAGTATATGCATATTTAAAGCTCTACTCTTCTAAGTGACAGTTACACATCAGTTACCATTACTGAAATACATCTCTAAAGAAGACTTAATGCCACCCTGGTAAAAATAGCAGTGGGTTATTGAAGATCGCACATTCTGAGTTCTCACTCCGTAATTTCGTGAGAAAAAAAATCATGCACTTGGACCAATTTTTCATGGGAGAGAATTATATGAAATGTTGGCATAACGTCAATTTTTTCCTAAAAATAAGAATTTTTTTTTTCTATATGAAGGGCCTGATGTCCCTGTTGCTGAACAGAAATCTATCTTCCCCTGCCATAGGTAGCATCTGAGTCACAAGAAATGGTATAGCTTGAGGTCTAGTCTTTCAGTTTTTGAGACCCATTTTCTACCACAGTCATTCTAAAACATAAAAAGTCAAAGTTTTACTTTTTTAATTTTTTTTGAGATGGAGTCTCACTCTGTCATCCAGGCTGCAGTGCAGTGGCAAAATCCTGGCTCACTGCAGCCTCCACCTGCCGGGTTCAAGTGATTCTCCTGCCTCAGCCTTCTGAATAACTGGGATTACAGGCACTCACCATCGCGCCTGGACAATTTTTGTGTTTTTAGTAGAGATGATGTTTCACCATGTTTGCCAGGCTGGTCTCAAACTCCTGACCTCAAGTGAGCCACCTGCCTCAGCCTCCCAAAGTGCTGGGATAACAGGCATGAGCCACTGTGCCCAGCCTAAAATCTCGAAAGTTTTTAAGCTAGAAGAAAAAAAGTTTCAAGAAAAATAAAAGCATCCTTGATTTCAAAGCTTCTGACTTACAGTCAATCTCCTGTTGATCAATTTTTGTCTCATCTTCTAAGAAGAGTTACTAGTAACATTTGAGTCTATTATTGTTTAAAAAATAATAAAATGTAAACATCACTCTTAGCAACTCTTGTCTTGAAAAGTGAAGGAATAAAGAGTTTGTGAAATTCAAATGTATCTTAGAGGAAATGATCCCCAAAGTCACATACAAATTATTCAAAATAAATCTTTGTTTGTTCTAGATCACTATCCCCAAAATGTCTTCATTCATATCATAATTTTTTAATATTATTTTGATATAGTGCTTGAAATTCTTCCAAGTAAAGATTGGTTTGGTTAATGGCCTCCTTTAAAAAAACAAATGCAGGTATCTCCCTTGAATCTTGTTAAAAGGCTTTCAGTCACTCATAGGTAAGTGTGAATTGTTTAGTTAGCGTGTTTCCATCCTAACGGCTCTACTCAAACAGGAAGAAGAAAAGGAAAGTTACATACCATACTTTGATGGGAAGGGGTCCTGAGACTTCTTTAGTCCTTAAAATAAGGGACCAAATATGAGAAAACATGAGACCCATGGGAGTTATGTGTTTTCAGTCTTAGGATATTTATCTCCAAATACCCATGCATTTCCTGTCAACCATTCTATAGAAACTATCTATACCCATGTAGTACTATATATTTTTTTAACTTTAGCTTTTGTAAAAAAAAAAAACAAAACATTGTAAGAATAGTTAAAGCTCTACTCTTCTAAATGACAGCTACACATCAGTTACCATTACTGAAATATGTCTCTGAAGAAGACTTAATGCCACCCTGGTAAAAATAGCAGTGGGTTATTGAGGATCACACATTCTGAGTTCTCACTCCGTAATTTGGTGAGAAAAAAAACAAAGATGTGCTTTTTTTGTTTTTTTTTTTTGTTGTTTTAAAGCTGGTAAATGAGTGCACAAGGCTATCTGCATATATTGTTAAATGTTAGCTTTGAACAACCCTGTTCAAGAAAAGGAGAAAATATCTTTCACTTGCTGTGCCATGTATCCAACAACAATCAAAACTAGGAATTTAGACTTGTTCCATTAGTAACATACTTTAGCTACATTAATGATCACATAGGACTTTGTGTACTGGCTTGTGAACTTGATTATTTCTAATGCTGTTTCTACGGGAAAGCACATGTTGAGTCCTCACATACAAACTTTAAACTTTTTACTGCATTGGGAAAGTTGGAAACTGCTTTTATTGGTTACTCTTTTCTTTGCTAATTATAAGTGATTTACTCTGAAATGATTGCAATGAGCAAACAGAATAACAACAGTGTAATAATAATAAAACATTTGTCTTCTAATTTTCTCTGAAATCATAATCAGAAGAATGGTTAATGACTGATTCAGGATAGCAAGTAAGAAATTCTTATTTGTTTTTTTAGCAAATCTTTACTGAAGGCATATTATGCTCCAGATAGTGTGCAAAGCTCTATATACACAGTGCTTAAAAATAGGTGGACAAGATACCTGTTCTTGGAGAAATTACAGTTTTGTGAAATTATATCTTGAGTTCTCCTGGAAAAATGTATGTTAATATTTTGGGCTTACCCTTCCATAAACCACAGATGTGCTAGAATCTTCTGCATTTCACCAACAACTAAATGAAATGTTACAAGAAGCAATATAATAAAAACATATCAAAGTTGGAAAAACCTTATGTTAATATTGTTACTTTTTTCATTAATTTGGAATTAGGAATAATTTGAGCATAGATTTACTTTTTTTTTTCTTTTTTATTATACTTTAAGTTCTAGGGTACATGTGCACAACGTGCAGGTTTGTTACATAGGTATACATGTCCCATGCTGGTTTGCTGCACCCATCAACTTATTATTTACATTAGGTATTTCTCCTAATGCTATCCCTCCCCAAGACCCCCCACCCCCAACAGGCCCCAGTGTGTGATGTCCCCCTTCCTGTGTCCAAGTGTTCTCATTGTTCAATTCCCACCTATGAGTGAGAATATGCGGTGTTTGGTTTTCTGTCTTTGTGATAGTTTGCTGAGAATGATGGTTTCCAGCTTCATCCATGACCCTACAAAGGACATTAACTCATCCTTTTTTATGGCTGCATAGTATTCCATGGTGTATATGTGCCACAATTTTCTTAATCCAGTCTATCATTGATGGACATTTGGGTGGGTTCCAAGTCTTTGCTATTGTGAATAGTGCTGCAATAAACATACGCGTGCATGTGTCTTTACAGCAGCATGTTTTATAATCCTTTGAGTATATACCCAGTAATGGGATGGCTGGGTCAAATGGTATTTCTAGTTCTAGATCACTGAGGAATCGCCACACTGACTTCCACAATGGTTGAACTAGTTTACAGTCCCACCAACAGTGTAAAAGTGTTCCTATTTCTCCACATCCTCTCCAGCACCTGTTGTTTCCTGACTTTTTAATGATCACCATTCTAACTGGTATGAGATGGTATCTCATTGTGGTTTTGATTTGTATTTCTCTGATGGCCAGTGATGATGAGCATTTTTTCATGTGTCTTTTGGCTGCATAAATGTCTTCTTTTGAGAAGTGTCTGTTCATATCGTTTGCCCACTTTTTGATGGGGTTGTTTGTTTTTTTCTTGTAAATTTGTTTGAGTGCATTGTAGATTCTGGGTATTAGCCCTTTGTCAGATGAGTAGATTGCAAACATTTTCTCCCATTCTGTAGGTTGCCTGTTCACTCTGATGGTAGTTTCTTTTGCTGTGCAGAAGCTCTTTAGTTTAATTAGATCCCATCTGTCAATTTTGGCTTTTGTTGCCATTGCTTTTGGTGTTTTAGACATGAAGTCCTTGCCCATGCCTATGTCCTGAATGGTATTGCCTAGGTTTTCTTTTAGGGATTTTATGGTTTTAGGTCTAACATTTAAGTCTTTAATCCATCTTGAATTAATTTTTGTATAAGGTGTAAGGAAGGGATCCAGTTTCAGCTTTCTACATATGGCTAGCCAGTTTTCCCAGCACCATTTATTAAATAGGGAATCCTTTCCCCATTTCTTGTTTTTGTCAGGTGTGTCAAAGATCAGATAGTTGTAGACATGTGGCATTATTTCTGAGGGCTCTGTTCTGTCCCATTGGTCTATATCTCTGTTTTGGTACCAGTACCATGCTGTTTTGGTTACTGTAGCCTTGTAGTATTGTTTGAAGTCAGGTAGCTTGATGCCTCCAGCTTTGTTCTTTTGGCTTAGGACTGACTTGGCAATGTGGGCTCTTTTTTGGTTCCATATGAACTTTAAAGTAGTTTTTTCCAATTCTGTGATGAAAGTCATTGGTAGCTTGATGGGGATGGCATTGAATCTATAAATTACCTTGGACGGTATGGCTATTTTCATGGTATTGATTCTTCCTACCCCTGAGCATGGAATGTTCTTCCATTTGTTTGTATCCTCTTTTTTTCATTGAGCAGTGGTTTTGTCCCATCAGCCATTTTAAATTCAAACTGAACTTCTTTTAATGTCCAGTACATTCTTACCAAGTCGAGTACATTCTTACCAAGTATTTTCATTCTAAACTATGGTGGATTTTGAAAGAGAGTTTAACAAAGTAAACTAGTCCTTCCTTAGTTTATTCTACTAATTGTGCAAAATTATTCTATTTTGGTGGCTTCTGGGTCTGATGTTACTGCATGATTAAGTAAAGCATTGCTGACAGTGTCCCCTATCATTATTAACTGATACACAATCTAATATGTGTCTGCCAGTTTGTCTGCCCCAGTATTACAGATCTGCTTATTGTCTTCTTGTGTATAAGTTAATGAGATGAGTAAAAAGAAGTATTAAGACATAATTAGTGTGTGCTAGATATTTAATTTGTATCCCTTCTTCTGCTTATTCTGAGATAAATTATTTCAGTATTTTAAAATCCCATAGTTATATGCTACTCCATATTTTACAGAAAGTTTTGTTTTAGGTAGTATTAAATAGAAATAATTGTTTTTGTTTTTAGTATGCATGAAAAACACAAATCACAACATTTTAATCTATATTGCTCACTTTAATCAATACTTTTTATATATGTGACCATATGTGTTAAAGCATTTTAAATTGATCTGATAGTAGATGGATATTTGATCTGATAGTAGATGGATAATGTTATACCTTACAATGAATTTCTATTTCTCCTATTATTATATTTCTCCTGTTGAGTGATAGTGCTTATTGAACAGTATAATATGTGAAGTCAGTTGTGGGGTCTAATGTTCTTTTACATTTTTATCAATGACTCTGCTCACTAATTGACAGCATGATCCTTCCGTATGATGCTAAATTAGAAGAGTTCCCTAATATCTTCGAACACATGGGCAAAGTCTGAAATGGTTTTCAAAGATTAGAGAAGAGTTTTATGAAAGCAATGTAATTATTGTGTTACAAGTGAAAAGAAATACCAATAGTGTAAAAAGTAAGAGAAAGACCAGATCAAGAGTGACATGAGAGAGAAGATCGTATAAGTTGAGCTTCTGATGTCTCAGTTTTACATAATGTATCCTCACTGGGCATATCACTTAGTTTTTGCTGCATAAGTATTGACAACAAAACAAAACGATTTTATTTTGCTTACGAAGCTGTGGATCTGCAGTTTGGTTGTTCTGATCTAGGCAGGGCTTGCTGTTGTATTGCAGCAGTTGCCATGTCAGCTGGGAAATGGCCCAAAATGACCTCAGAGGGAGGGCTTAGCTCAGCCCCATATGCTTTCCCATCATCTAGGAAACTAGCCAGAGCTTGTTCACATTTTGGTGCAGGATTCCAACAGGGAGCACAAAAGAACATAAATCCTCTTGAGTCATGGGCTCAGAACAGTTCAACATCACTTGCACTGTATTCTATTGGCCAAAGCAAGCCACAAGACCAGCTCAGAATCCAGGGTGGAGAGAATCTATCTCTTCATGGAAGATTCTACAATGTTCTGTGGTCAGTTTTACAACCTGACACAGTACATAGTTATTATACTGGCCTACATATTAGGGAGCATTGATTGTTGCTTACTTTTGGAGGACAAATTGATTGATACTTGCGTTCATCTATTATAATAGATAATGGAGATAAGGACATATCACAGATACTGAAGATGAGAAGAACATTGAAAAGAAAATAAAAGCTAGATTGTGTAAAACATTAACCCAAGAAAGAGAGGGAGAAAGAGAGAAGTTGAAAGTACTTTCAAGAAATATGGACCAAAAATTTAAAGACAAAGGTCCTAGTCTCAGGTCATATTCACAATGTTTAACATACATACTTTATAGAATTTCAAGAAACTTCCACATACATTTAATCCTTACATGACAAAAATAACATACATGTAATACTCATAATAGTAAGACAAATATTATTACTCAACAATTTATAGCTATGGAAACTGAGGCTCATAACATACCGTGTGTAATAGTTACTTTAAACAAAATGGTATTTCCTTTTAGGGAAAAAGTTATACAGGTAATTGAGTACAAAAACCCTTCACATCGTGATATTCTCAAGTGAGTGCACAACTAGCCTATGACTAATTTTCACGCCTGGGGGAATTTGGTGATTGATGAAGCCTATGTGCTGGCAATTCTCTGGAAAGGTTGAATTAAGTCCACCTTCTCACACACACTGCAGACAGGCTTGCCAAGTATATTGAGGGTGTAAGCCTGATCATAGGAAACATTTTTATTTGCTTAGTAAAACACTTTTTAATGGATCTTAATATTCATATCTACTTACTGAAGCAGACCCAGCAAGGCTTCAACTTAGAAGTATTTAATTAACTATAGCTCAAATTAATATTTATATACAAAATCAATGAAACTACATTAATGTTCATACTGGCTTTCTCCCAAATTAGTCCAAATCCACAGGTCTTCTGTGCTGTGTATTCAGGCTTTCTGCTTGGAGTGATGATGTGCTTACAGAATACATTTTCAATTATCTACTGAGAGAAGAGAAGTTTTCCTTTTTTTTTTAACTGTAAAATGAGTAATGATCTTGAACACCTATTAATAAGTAAATAGATTGTGGAATGAACTCTTGTTTCTTTACTCAGACTCAGGATTAGTACTGTCACCTACAGCCTGGGTGGTTTAGAATCTGACCATAAGTAAGAGAGGGCACTCAAGGTTATTACGAAATAAAAGCGATAACCCCCTTGTAGATAGGTAACTGGGGTTACCTATAAATCCCTTACTCCAGATAATAGTTTTCTTTACCTTGAAGAGAAAAATATCCAACATGCCTGCTGTTATTTACACTGTTTTTTGAACCTATGTCTTTACAACAGAACAGAGTCAAATTCTTTTGGTGTAGGACTCCTTGTTAAAATAACATTACACAGTTTAGAAATGTCAATCATGTTTTATCCCCTGGAGAAACTGTATTCCAGCTAATGGTATTCATTCTAGTCATAATTACAGAAATTTCAGTTCTTGACTAAATACAGAAAAGACCCACAATTTAGCAAGAAATGTGTGTCAAGACTGATAACATGCATGAGGAAGGAGACCTTGGGGTTTGTATAAAATACATTTTTCAAGAGTTGTATGCTTTCTGCCACTGTTGAGGCTCCTAAGGCAGGCCTTATTCCGCCGTGCTGATTTTCATCTTTGTAAGTAGGTACTTTCCAATTTAGTATAGAAACATATATACCTTTGTGTTCTTTGTCTGTTTCATGTGTTGTTTTTCTTAAAAATTGGTAAAGTTGAAGATATGGATAAATTTTCATTGCTTTTGTATCCTCCTGCAACTAGCACAATACATGATATATAGCAGGTGTTCACCACATGCTTCCTGGTAAATTTCTGGCTCTCTGCACTCTTTTGCTCCCAACATTTCCAGAGTTATTTTGTTCCTCCTTTATATTACACTTCAACCTGAGTCGAGATGACCTGATTAATGTCCAGAGAGAAAAGGAAAAAAGAACCAGGTCCTGATTTTGGCCAAAAATACTCCCCAAGACCTATAAGAACATTCCCCTTGGAAATAGACCACTGAGGAAGTTATTTCGCTCATGTGCTGTGATGAGATGTACATGGACTCTATAAACCTGAGTGATTCCCGTATATCTGCACATATACCTGGTAGGTCAGTGAAGGTCTTTGGGTCCTATAAGAATCATTAAAACAGCAAATATTAACTGCTAAGCACCCAATAGATCCACACCCTGCCTCCAGAGCTTCCCCTTTGCCAGCCTCTCAGTCTGGATGCTTCTCCCTCAGTTTATCTCCTTATTCAAGGCCCTGCATCTCCTGTTAAGTTCCAACTAGTCTAAGCATCTGCTACTTATTTCAGGCAGAGTGGTTATTCCTTCTTCTGAACTTTCTCAATATTTATGTTTACAAACACCCATTAGAAACTTATTTATAGGTAGCTGGCATTTTCATGACTTTTTTTCTAAGCATGGCTTCTTCAAATGTCTTAAAAATCCCTGAAGACAGAGATAGTGTCTTACATGTCTTTGTGTGCAAAGTTCCTAAGACAGAGCTTTGAATCTAGCAAGTACTTGGTAAACATTTTGAATGATAATACCTATTGAAGAAAGTTATTTTGAATATAAGAAAGTGGAATGGGGGTAGAAATGCATATATAAACTGATAGTAAAAGAAATAAATAAAAAATACCTTTCACATCTAAAGTGCTTTTTAGTTTAACAGTGTGTTCACAGATGCTACCTCATTTGTTACACACATTTATAAAATCTGAATAATAAAATGCTTTAGATACAGAGGTAATTTCCAAAACATGACATGACATGCTATGAGTCTTAACGCATCCAGTTTAGCACCATATATTTAAGAGCCACGGTGACGTTTTTCAAGTTTACCCAACAGCCATCATTTGCGTGCCTGCTAAATTTCTAGATACAAGCACCAACTCTAAAACGGTGAATGTTGGTTTCACCTAAGAACAAAGAAGCAACAGTATAGTTCCACTTCTTTCTCCCTCTAAAATTATGTTGCATAAATGAAATCTGATACCGTACTTTGAGGAAAATAGGGCAGGAACAGAGCTATTACTTTAAAGCAGACGCATTTTCAAGGAGAAATCCAAATTGGAATGTCAGCTAATGCCAGTAGTATCAGAGTTTTGGCTGCAAAACCATCAGTTTACGGACTTATTAACAGTTCATAAAATGTGTGGCATTCTTCTGGTTCTTGTCACTGGTCAACATATGCTCTAAATTTACAACAGACTGAAACACAATTTCATCGGTATTAAAAATAGTTGTGAGTATCACAATAGAAATATCACAAACCACAGCAGAAATATGATGCTTATTCAAAGAACAGCAGATCTTTTCACATATGGTCAGTGATGGACAACTCTGCCAACACATGAACAGGGGGGTTTGAGAGGGGATTTTGAAGGGGGATTTCTAAATGATGAAAATTGTAACTTCTCCATTTCATAAACATCATCCTGTTTCAAATCTATGATTCTTCTAGACTAGAATTCCAAATGGGCTAATGGTGCCAAGATTCTCTATGTGTGGGCAAGCTCTTCCTCATAATATCAAACTCAAACAGTAATGACATCATGAACATCCTTCTAATCCTTAATAAGCTAACAATTCTAGAACTATACATGAAGTTGTTCTTTTATTTTTGCTCCAAAAAACTTTCTGCTTAATATATTATGTTGCCCATGTGTGTGACCATCTGCTTAGAATGTGAGCTGATCAATGTGAAGGATCCTATCTTCTTTTATGTGTTTCCTCACTATTCACTGATTTTCACAAGGCACCTAGCAAAATAACTAGCCCAAATCAGGAATTAATGAGTAATTTTTAAATAAAAGCATTTTTAAGTTTACTATATTATTGGAGAGAGTATGGTAATATACTTGTAGAAATGTGTGTGAATCTTGTATTACTAATTATCATGCATGAATTTACCTTTTAAAATAAATTTAACCTTTCAGTCACATTAACATTTATAGTACTAAATTTATGAGTGTTCAAATTAATAATTTATTTGTCCCTAGATTATCTCTTTCATGTTCCAGAAATGGCCCTTATAGCCTATATTATGGGACTTGATGACAAATTAATTCTAAATTTATTAATGTTATTAGTGTATATCTTAACTTATACACCACATAAAATGTTTCTTTCTCTAAAAATTTATAATGCTTATATATATTCAAAATTTAAATCTTAAGGATGACTCTGGCTATATTTAAGGGTGTGACTTATATTGATAATACATTATTTTGTATTAAAATATTCTTCATATTTTATCATGATCTATTTTATAATCACAGATCATTTGATATTATAAAATTAATACTTTAGTAAAGTAGCTTAAAAGTATTCAAAAATCCAATAACTATTAGAATAAAAACATAGTCATGATTCTACTTATAGTTTAGTATTAAAAAGTGACATCTTTAGTTCCTAAGAAGCTCTAATACACAAATATAATAATTCATTTAAGCTTTGAAATTTTTAATCTTGTCTAAACACTGGCAAATAATTTCAATTTGGATTTTAGTCTTCAATGATATCTTTTTGTCTCAGTCTCTAAATCTCACCCGTAGATAATTATTAATTTAATTGTGGTTTATGTTACCTTTTTATGTTTTCCTTTTTGATCTGGCACACCCATGAAAGTCAGGGAAATAATACAATAATATTTACTTAGTCTATGTTCAGAATACATATTAAAGAAAGAGGCAAATACCTACTCAAACATTCATGTATAATGACAACATCAAAGCATTCTGATGACTGACCATATGTCTAGAAATACACTGTAATTAAGGCAGATCAGAAATCTCCCTAAGTCTTTCATAGTTTAACCACAAGGAAAAATAAAAGGAGAAAGCAAGCTATCTCTTGAGCGTTTTGATTATATTATTCTCTAGTTTTTATCTCTATACAGTTTCTAATATTTTTCTATACACATTTGTGAATATAGTCAATGCATAATAAATATTCTTTGTTATGTAGCACCTTT
Organism: Homo sapiens; assembly: GCF_000001405.40. NCBI lineage: Eukaryota > Metazoa > Chordata > Mammalia > Primates > Hominidae > Homo > Homo sapiens. The sequence continues at coordinate 77,003,153 of NC_000003.12, forward strand.
GTAGTTCCTTAAACTACTTGGAAGCAATAACCTTCATGAAATAAGAATCAGCACATTACTTTACAGTTCTGAAAGCATACTTGATAATTACTGTCCCTATAGCTGCAGAAAATATGGGAGCAAGACACCTCCATATCCAGGAAGAATTCAGAATAGGCAATAAGATAGGAAATTTCTTTCAGAGGAATACTTTAGTGATATTACCTAGCTCATAGTGCTGTGAGGCTAAAGAAGATAGTACATATAAACTGGTTTGAAAAGTGTGTTGTACATACTCAGTGCTCAACACAAGAACAATTATAATCACCATTAGTCTTTGTTTTTTTCCCATGCCTTTCTTCACGGCCACTTCTCTACTCAGTTTAGACTGACTGCAGGGTAGACTTTCCAGACATGGAGAATTTTTTCTTTGTTCGTTTGTTTTTTGAGACAGAGTCTCACTCTGTCACTCAGGCTGGAGGGCAATGGTGCGATATCGGCTCACTGCAAGCTCCGCCTCCTGGGTTCAAGCGATTCTCCTACCTCAGCCTCCCATTGCAAGCGCCTGCCACCACACCCGGCTAATTTTTGTATTTTTAGTAGAGACAGAGTTTTGCCATGTTGACCAGGCTGGTCTCGAACTCCTGACGTCAGGTGATCCACCTGACTCGGCCAAGTTCTGGGATTACTGGTGTGAGCCACCACGCCCAGCCGACATGGAGGTTCTTTAATCAGATCCAGTGAATATTTTCTGGAAAAGTTGTGAGATGCATGTTTTCTCTCTCTGCCTGGGATTTATCTAGTTGGATGCTCTAATAGAGGCATTTATTATGAACATGGCAGTCTCAGAATATATAATCAAACTTAAAACATGTTTTTATACAGAAATGTATGCTCACTTCTTTGATTTTGTTTCAGGTGATAAATCATCAGTTTTTAAAAACTTTGAAAATCTTAAAGTCTTATCTGAATCAAAGATAATTAACTTTTAGTGCCTTTATAATAAAGGTCTATATCATAAACTCTGGTTATATCAATAACAGAAATATTTTGTTGTCCTGTTAAACTTTTTAGAAATCTCAGGATTTAATGATTATTGACATTAATTAAATCTTCATAGCTCTTTTGGTTGCTTTCTCAAATACAGGAATAGGCTTTGTGGCTTGTAATCCTGCCAACAGTATGAAAAGAAGAAAGAGGTATAAAGAAAATCCATAGGCAACAATGGCTTCCGCTTTTAGTTCTTTGTTGCTTGCTGGCAACTAGTTGAGTAATAGTTCAGGATTGGAAGTAGAAGGAGAGACTGCAACTGAAGCCATGCCTACTCCCACATTTTACTCCCTGTGAAAAGAGAAACCCTGTTAGGTCAGTCACTTGCCTGAAGCTATACAATGTCCATGGTATTTCTAACTTATCCAGGAAAGCAATCTAAACCAAATGTCTAAATTTACTTGAAAGCTGCTTATCATCAAAGTTCCCATTCATGCTTTTGGGACCAAAACGATTATTGAGAGATGTGTAGCAGAGTCAGAAGGAAGCCCCATTACAGCATAGGCATTTCGCTTTCAGTAAAATGTTTCGGTGCTGATATTTGTTTTCTCAAATATTTTTCAGACAGTTTTCTAAAATAATGTCATGATGATGACATAAACCATTCCTTCTATAAAGTTAGACTCCATCCGCCTTAGCACCTTCACCGGGCTTCTCATGCAGTCCCCATCTTAGACATTTCAGACACAGTATTCCCCAGAATTACCACGCCTCGCTAGGTGTCCAAGGAAGAAAATGTGGTCATGGGTTCTTAGTTTCTGTTTCTGATTGGGCCAGTAAAGTCCTTTTCTCATCCCTCTTCTACACTTATCACCAGAGACAGAAACGAAAAACCATGGCTTCGGGGCTGCTAAAAGCCTAAAACAAAACAGAACAGAACAACAACAACAAAATAAGACAGGTTGGACACGCTTGGCAGGCTTTTCCCTTTACCTACGCTTTTCTTCCCACCGCTCAGACCTTGTCAAACCTCTCCCCATTCAAATGGCACCACCACTGAAAAGCTTTTCCTGACTCTATGGCCGCCGCCTTGCTGTGGTGCGCCAGGTGCTGCATTTTAAGTATCTGAAAACACAGTTTGCCTCCAGCTACCTTGGGAGTTTTTTACCCAGGTCTTTACATTTGTAATGACGAGCACCAAGCACAGTTTTTGGAACAGATTTGATCCTATTATCCTATTAATTGCCAATAATGGACCATTTGTTTGGCATATCATTCCTTATATTTGTTGTTCAATATGTTTTATAAAGTAAAATGGGCATATGCTGTAAAGACAGATCATCGTTCAGTTCTAATGCACTAATTTCATTTATGCTTCAAAATGGGCTTTATGTTTTGATAATGAGAAAAGAAAGAAGTTTTATTTAAAGTGGTGGTGTACCTATGGATCTTCTTTTAGGACTAATAAATATTGTACTTTATGGAGTACAGGGAACAAAATAAGAATGATATAAACGACAGTAGAAGGTTGTAAGGAAACAAGGCTAGTAACTGATGGATTGGCCAGTTGAGTTGATTCCACCATGGTAGTGGATTATTTATGATTTCTGAGGAAACCCGACCCACAATGTGAATTTGGTTTCTAAAGCTGCCCTAGTCTCAAAGTTATAAAGAAGATTACGAAGCAAAAAAGGATGCAGTGTTCTAGTCTGAATTGTGTTTACACCAGAATTGGCACTATTCATAAATATTCTGTCTCTTTGTCCTTCAAAGAATATATTGGTTTTCTGAATTGTTGCTTTTTAATGAGTCAATTATTAGACTAAGTGCTTTCTTGGAAAACTAGTTTAATAATAACCTTCTAGTATAAATTATATAAAATCAAGTTAGTCTTATTTGAGCTTTAGATATATTTGCTTATAGACTTTTTTTTTCAGATTCTTTTAGCTACCAGTTAATCTTTACCACATAAAGGGTAAAGACAGTCACTTCTATAGTCATTCACACATCAGTAGTACAAGTAGTCTTTCCTGCCTGTTATGTTTGTTAAGGATTCACTGTACCTTTAAGACTCAGGCATTATCCAACCAGGACCATATATGTGATTAATAGGAATATAGAAATCAAAAATAGACACATATAATGTATATACTGGCCAAATGTTGATAATAGAATTTTAATATTTGTGTGTGTGTGTGTGTGTGTGTGTGTGTGTGTGTGTTCAAGAAAGCTGTCTGATTTAGAAATCCCCTTGAAAAGTTCTGATGTACATGCAGGTTTAGGGGAAACTAAAGGAAAGATAATAGAAGTAAGAGAAAAACCACAGCAAATTAAGGCTTTTCAAAAGTTACTTTAGAAATATATCTGCAAAAGTGACAAGAGGAACAGGAAGAAGGTCATGGAGTGAATGGGAAAAAAAGAAACAGAGAGTTAGATTAACAAAACTACTTGATAGGACTGGTAAAATAGTCTATGGAATGATGTCTAGGAATATACTTTGTAAATGATAAAGCACGCTTGAAATATTTATTATCATTACTCTACACTGGGAGAAATAATGGAATTTAGAGAAATGATTTTGGAGGTCTAAATCCAAGGCCTAAGAGAATAAAAATTTGAAAGAGAAATAAAGAAGTTTAAAGTAATATCATAAAACTGCTATAATGACAAGGCATAAGTGATAAAAAATAGGAAAGAAAATTATAAAAATCAAAAGTTAAAAACTGCTCAATATATTAGGAAGTATAAGGTATTTATTACTTTAAGTTAAAAAAGATAATATACCTCTCTTAGGATGAATGAGGAAAATATATGGTGGTTAAGTAAAAGGTTAAAAATAATTTGTACCTTAAATCTGTTAAAACTTTAAAGCCATAGTCACAAGCAAGATAAGAGTGAATTCATTCCAGGTGCAAACAAAGGAGCCACACATTCTTTAACCAACAGAGAAGACTCTTATGAGAGGAAAGAATACAGGGACAATGCCCAGGAAAACCAGGTGGATAAAAGTGAGAATTGCCTTCTTCCAACTGGCATCAAAGCCTGGGATGAGAAAATACACATCAACTCAAATCCTTTGTTAAAAGCTTTGATTTATAACTGTTCATATTTTATGTAATCATCTTAATGCATTAATTAAAATGTAGGGGATAGTAATTATGAATTCATCACCAACGACAGATACATGCATTTTCTCAGGTTTTGCTTTTATTATATATTTTTTTCCTATTTTATCCCACCAAATCTTCACTGTGTAAGATACTAAAAATATGAACATCCATCCTCATGCCATACATTATTCTAATCACATTTCTCAGAGACTGCCACCCGGGTCTATATATTTACAGATCTTCTTCCTACCCATTTTTTTCTGCATTTCTTCGAAAACACACATACACTTATTTACACAGTTTACTTTTTAAACAAAGTGGGACTTTTACTATAGACGATATTCTGCAATGTGGGTTTCTTAAAGGGATTTTTGTATCTTCAAAATATTTTCATGGCAGTAAATAGCATAGCATCCTATACTATGCATATATGACAGTTTATCCATTTCTGCACCTGTTAATTTTAAGCTTGATTGTTTTCTGTTATTGAAAAGAATCCTGAAGTATCTCTGTACAAACATCTTTGAGCATCTGTGAGATACATTTCTATAAGATACATTCCTACAAGGGAAATCCTTGGGTCTGAGTATGAATGCTTTTAAAAATAATTTTAATTAAAATCATTATCCAAATGGACTTTTTTTATGGTATAATGTTCATATTTACTTGCCAAAGAATTATGTACAATATTGTTATTTTAAATGAATTTCAACACTGCATAATTTAATCCAATTTGATATATACTATTATCAGAATATATAGTTATTGTGAAAATTACATATTTTTAAATTTTTAATGTCACAGCTCATTATTTCCCATCAGGGAACTTTAGATACTATCAGAAAGCTCAAGTCCAAGTTTCTGATGCTTCATGCATACTATATTAAAATTATAAAATCATTATGTTCTAAGAATATTACTCTACGAATTGTTCCCCAGAAAAAAAGAAGTTCGGTTTCTTGAACTTGAAATTTAAAACAAATCAACCCCATTCAAATTAAATTAAATGTGGTCTGTGTAATTGGTGTTACAAAAAAATCAACTGAGACTATATTATAGGAAAGAGAAAACAGTTATCTTCTCATTTAAGAACAAGCATTTGTTTAAAAATGTTGGTTTTTTCTAAGTGAAGTTACTTGTAGCATCCATATATAATTACTTTCATTGCTGCCTATATGTATATGACTGACTCATATTCCAAAGTGATAATAGATAAAAGTGGTAAAATGTACATCGCTTGTAATCAATCACAGATAGGTGAGATGAGGGAGAAATATACGACAATACTAACTCCAGGTTTGTTTCCTTTGTGGGTGGGGAATAGTAATCTTATTGCTTGAGGAACATTTAAGAAGGAGAAAGAATAGATTCCTTTGGACTTTACTTCATATCTGAGAAGGCGATGCAGCATATACGTAGATAACACACAGGGTAGCTGAAAACGCACCTGAAAGATCGGGGTTAGAGATATAGAATTGGAAAACATCTGTCAAGATATGAAAATTAGAGACTTGTTTCAGGTTGGCACGAATCATTTAGGAACAAAACATAGAATACACACTAAATGGAAAACTTAACGGGCCTGAATGAGAACACTTCATGAAAGCAGAGAATTTGTTCTTCTGTTTTGTTCATAACTTTATCCCTAGCATCTGGAATTACATATGATACAAAGCAGAAGCTCAATAACAATTTGCTGAGTAAATGTATAGACTATTGTTTATTTTGTTCCTTCTTTTGGATGTGAACCCATTATAAGATTATGATACAGATATTATAATGAAATCAACAGTCAGGATACTGAAGCATTCTTGCCATGTGGTCAATTTCCTTATCTCTCCAATAAAAATAAATTAATACTTACTTAAAAAGTAAGATTAAATGAGATAATCTGTTTGAAGGATTTAGCCCAGTGACTAACTGATCCTTGAAAAGACGTGACACATAAATTGTAGCTATTCCCATTATCATTCATTTAAACTCTGGACTGATAATTCAGTTTGTGAATATTTACCCTCATTCCACCAATAACTTACTGAAATACTGAGAAAATTGATTGCGGTTTGCAGTTAACTTTTCCCTTTGAGTAAATCACTGGTAACCAGACTACTTACCATAATTTAAATTTAGAGTAAATATTCAAACAATATATTAAATCCAAGTTTTTAACAATTTTTACGAAAATAAAAACTCTAATCCAATATTGTTTACATTTTTTATAATTGGCATTTCTTCTCCACATAAGAATTGTATTTAATGTGCCAAACTATTTTGGAAACAATGTTTAAGTACTCTATGATGTTCATAACATTTTCTCACAGCTGGTCTTCATAATTTTATATGTTGTTTAGTTGCCAAAGCCCAAAATACAAAACCATTATAAGAAAGAATTTATTCCAAAATTATATATTTGTACTGAAAAATATACTATTTAAAAATCACTCTTGGGTCCACAGTGGCTCATGCCCATAATCCCAGCACTTTGGGGAGGGTCGCCTGAGGTCAGGAGTTCAGGACAAGCTTGGCCATCATGGTGAAAACCCATCTCTACTAAAAATACAAAAATTAGCTGGGTGTGGTGGCAGGTTCCTGTCATCTCAGATACTTGGGAGGCAGAGGCAGGAGAATCACTTGAACCTGGGAGGTGGAGGTTGCAGTGAGCTGAAGTCGTGCCACTGCACTCCAGCCTGAGTGACAGAGTGAGACTCTGTCTTAAAAAAAAAAAAAAAAAAAAAAGTCACTCTTATAACCAAGTTAGACCTTGTTTTATAGACATATTTGCCTTTTAGGTTTATTTGGTATAATTTCAGAATTCCATTAACTTAATTGCCATAAATAATCTATACAAGCAAAATCAGAAAGCCTATCCAAAGTATCAGATTTTAGGTTTGGTTTTATGTTGTTTTTGCTGAACTTGGTTGATTTCAGAAACACGGAGGATTGCCCATTCAAAATTCATATTAGTTTGGTGTCAATAAAATTGAAGTATATATGTAGAAATGACTGTCAACCAAGAACTTGATTCCCCTCATTCTCTCTACCTACCACCAGTCCTCAACACCCTCATCTTTTGCCTGGACTGTTACAATAGTTTTATAACCTGCTTTCTGCTTCTCCTCCTGAAGGAAGAGTAATCAATTTAGAAAACACAAAACTAAACTAAAATTAGATCACAACTCTGCTGCTTAACATTCTCCAAAGACATCTCCGCGTTTATAATAAAAGCCACCTCTTTATAAATGACCCATAATTCCACATGTGACCAGGCTAGATCTTCCATTCCAACCTCAGAGCTGATCAGACGCTCCCAAATTATGGGCTCCTTCTCAGTCCTTTGTTTTCTTGCCTGAACACATCAGTCCTGACCCAGTTTCAGGACCTTTACCCGTGGTGTTCCTTCTTCCTCAGATGCCTTTCTTCAGATGGTTCCATGGCTGGCTCCTCTCAGCGCTTGTTTTTCTCCTAGAGGCTTTTTATTGAACTCTTAACTAAAACAACGCTGGAATCCATGCCTCAGTCAGTCTCTATCCTCTGATTTACTTCATGTTCTTCATATTCCTACAGAACCTGAAGGTCTTTTTCTTTCTCTCCTTCCTTCCTTCCTCCCTCCCTCCCTCCCTCTCTCCCTCCCTCCCTACCTTCCTTCCTCCCTCCCTCCCTCTTTCTTCTCCTTCCTTTCTTCCTTCCTTCCTACCCCCTTTCTTCTCTTTCCTTCCTTTCTCCCTCTCCCTCTCTGTATTGCTTTTCCTTCCTTCCATCCTTCTTTCCTTTCTTTCATTTGTTCTTTCTTTCTGTCGGTTCTTTCTTTTCTTTTCTTTCTTTCTTCTTTCTTTCTTTCTTTCTTTCTTTCTTTCTTTTTCTTTCTATCTTTCTTCTTTCTTTCCTTCTTTCTTTCTTTAATTTTTCTTTCCCTCCCTCCCTTCCTCCCTTCCTTCATTCCATCCTTCCTTTCTTCCTTCCTTCCTTCCTTTCCCTGTTTATATACAGAAAGTAAGCCCAATGAATGTAGGAATATAGTGTGTTTTGTTTGCTATCGTATATTTAGTGCCTAGTTCAGGGTCTCCCCTATAGTAGGCCTTCAATAAATACGTCAAATGAATAAATGTCAATTTTTCACATGCAAATTAAAATAAGTATGCATATTAGTAATGTCAAAAGACATGTTTCTGTGTCAAGTATCTTCAGCTTATTACTTAAAATCCATCTCCAAACCTTTCACCCTGCTAAGTGCCATGGAGAAACTGGTCCATTTGGACAGCATCAATAGCTTGGCTTCTGCTTGACTTTGGCCAATGTTAAGCATTTACAAGTGATTATAGGGTAAGGGGAGGGTGAGCTCAGGAGTGTTTCCCAACCAGATTGATCCTAGTTGGCTGCAGCCCTGTAACCCTCTGCAAAAGGCCTCAGACCTATCAGATGAACATCTCTCTACAGCTACCTTTTTCAGGCCTGAGTGGTAAGAATTTCTCCTTCTGACAAGCCCAAGGGTAGTTTTCTTTAAACTTTGCATGAAGTTTTGTTAATTGCCCCTTTGTTATGCTCTACTCAAAATATCATTATAATGTGCTATCTATTTCCTGGTGAGACCTTTATTTTGAAATTTTATGCAAAAGATTTTTCATCCAGGTTTCAAAATCAATGATGAATTCATTCCTCACTTGGTGTCATGATATAATAAGAAAAGAGATATGAGGAGCACCCAACTTAAAACAAATTTATGTAGGCTTGAAATTTTTTGGAAGGTATTATTCTCTTTCTCTAATCTAAAAATGAATATGTATATGTTCATTTGAATATATTTATTTTTATATTCAAATAGCCACTAAGTAAAGCAAGTTACCTAAGTCAAGCAACTTAGGTAATTTGTCCACTAGAAGACCTTGGTCATATATATATGACTATTTGAAGGGCAATGAATACATGAAATGTTTTATTTGATACTTCGGGAATGTGTACAGTTTATACTGTGGTTTTCTGTTCTCTTGGCTCCACTACAGCATACCCTGGAATAACCTGTGGTCCATTTTGAGATATATGACTTTGGAGAAGACAAGCACCAAATAATAGAAATGTACACGTTTGTCTTTGGATCTTACCTCTTTTGTTTACTTTCTATTTCAAGGCTTCATGAAACTTTCAGCCTAAAGATTAATTCCCCTGATAAAAACAAAAGTTCATGCTCATAAATTACAAAAGTTAAATGATTCAATGACACCATCAAACCAATTCGAATAACATATGTGAATTTAATCTCCTGGAAATAGTATGTATGCTTTGTTGTGACTTTAAGAGTCACTTGATGATGAGAATATCAGCTACATGGATAGATAAAAAATAAGATAACCACTGGGTAAGTTACATGGATGGATAGAAAAATAAGATTGCCACTGGGTAAGAAGCTTTTATTGTCAAAATTTGTCTACTGAAATCTTGTAAATCAGTGATTCCCAACTTTGGCTGATTGTCAGAATTGCCCAATACACTTTTAAAAATTCAGGTTGTCAGACCCTGGCACAGAACTACTGAATTCAAATGTCTGGGATTTAGCCTGATAATTTTTATTTCAGCTACCCCAGGTTATCCTGGTGATCAACTGTTGTGAATTACCTTTTGTGGCATCTTACTAAACTCAGTCCAATTATATTTCCCCAAATCTGTAGATTTGTATTAATTTATTTTGCGTTCCCAGATGTGTTACCAATTACATTTCACTGTATGATTTCCGTTTCTTCAATAGCACCACTTTTTGAGAGGAAGAAGTGTTTTAATTTTGATCTTGACTCATTTGTGGGGGAGGAAGTGTTTCTAAGTATGAATTAGAAAATATGGTTGACTCAAGATGTATTCATTTAAGAGAAAGAAATATAAATTTCTATAAAATCCTTTTAGCTTTAAGCATTAGCCAATATTAATGTCTTAATGTAATTTGCAATCACAAGGCATCATATCCTTAATCTAATAAGAATTGAAATATTTTGGAAAGAGAGTAGAAAAATAATGATAAGATAAATTAAATTATAGGTGCACCTTAATTTATAAGATAGATGGTTTCTGAGAGATTGGCTGTTTAGGTAATTTCTATTAACTAAATTATATTTTCCCATTGAGTTGGGTTTATAATGGAAAAGGCATGATTTTGGAGTGAAATACAAAGAAGAATGTGGTTGTGAGGCAAAAAAGAAGGCAAACATAACTTTGATGTAAAATTATTTTAAAACTCATATATTAAATTTAAATTATCAATGTTGATGAAATAATACCTAAATACATCAAAAACAGTGCAACCCAATTCCTAAGCATTTAAGGCTCTGACCGTCATTAAAGGAAATGAATCCTGTAGGTAGAAACAGCCTAGATAATGCTCATTGTTGCTTCCTCCATTGGTGTAATGTGGTATGTCTATATCCCCAGTAAGAATTGCCTTTAAAAAAAAATCCTAAGCTTATAACAAACTTTAATTCTTACTGATGCTGCAATTATTTTTGTTTACTATGAGTATGCAAAACTATTGTGATTGAGGAGGTGTAGTTAGAAATGGTGTTTATAAATGCTAGATTTATTCTCTGCACCTTCAGTAACCTACAACAGTTCCTATCAGTTAACGTGCATTTAGTATTTTGATACACTTTCGTTTCTCCATGTTAACTTCCTTTTAGTGAGGTCTGTACAAATACTTTCAAAATCATTACAGTTGTGTGGAATCTCATTTTCTTCATTTTTCAGGCTGAATTTTAGATGGTATAAACATATAGTCAACAGACTCTAAACTTTAAATGCACTGAATTTTTTTAAAGGCTGCCAAATTGTCCCTGTCTCTTATTCTACATTCGCCACACTAATTTAATTTCCTTTTAGTGAGGTCTGTACAAATACTTTCAAAATCATTACAGTTGTGTGAAATCTCATTTTCTTCATTTTTGAGGCTGAATTTTAGAGCGTATAAACATATAGTCAACAGACTCTAAACTTTAAATGCACTGAATTTTTTTTAAAGGCTGCCAAATTGTCCCTGTCTCTTATTCTACATTCCCACACTACGACCTAATGGATTACTACTTCATTTGACATTCCTCTCTCACAAGCAGCTTAGGTAATTTGTCCACTAGAAGACCCTGGTAAAACTCTGATTAAGCTCACAACAACAGGCAGTGGAATTCAGTCCATCCCCAGCCAGGGCTATGCTTGAATAGAGATCTGACGGAGATACTCATAAGGTGAACTGCGTAACTGTGTGTGACTCCAAAGCGAGCTGCAGCCATGTCACGCCGATCCCAGCAGTTTTCACACTCACTTTCTAAGATGCAAGACCCCTGAGAAAGTGTCATCGGGTTGGAAGTCCTCCTGATCAGTCTCCTGCAGCTCTATTTAAACTGTAAGAGCTGTCTCCTGAATTAAAATGCAAGGTGTTGTATTAGAAAAGACCTGGTTTTGTGAAGGGAATGAACAATCAGGAGTAGTTGGAGACTGAGGGTGGTCAAAGGACCACCTAAATTTCACTCTATTATCAGAGGGAAGAAAAGGAGAGCCAGGTGATGGCCATTTGCAAGAGAGAGAGAGAGAGAGAAAGAAAGCCAGCTTACATGAACAAGCAGAGTTTCATTTAACATCTGCCCTCCTGGTTTTTAGGCTTTTGTTGAATAATGGATCTTTCTCTATTAATTATGTTTTCATTTATTGTATCATGTTTCTATTCTTTAAAAATCATAGATTAAAATTATAACTATCTAATGAATTCTAATGAACTTAGGTTTGAAGACAGATGTTCCTTTCTGAATCATATTGTTCCTACATCTAAAAGTTCAACTTGTAAAAAAAAAAAGTACACATTTAAGAACAAAAAAAGGAAAACATCATTTCTAGCCAGTGTTTCAGGAAAAATCTTGTCATTTCCCTCCAATGCGACTCATCATAAGAGCCCTAAGGAAATAGTGTTTAAAATCAATTAACCAAAAAGGCCAAAATCAATTTAACAAGAGTTAGCTAATGTTTTACTAAAGCAAACTCTCTTTTCTTTAAACATGATTAATATCATTTAAGGGTTGTTATTAGCGGTGTCACTTCTAAAAAGTGTGACCAATTTGTAATGAAAGAGCCTTGTGTACACGAATGGGATTTATGGGAGGCACAGAAATTTAATGTGGTATTAGTGATTACATCTTTTCCTTGCCTTTGATATTTTAAGAGAACACTCCATTTTTACTCTGTCTCCTTGGAATGTCTCCTAAAAGGTCAGTGAAGGATCAAGAAATATTTAACCTATAACCATCCACGATTATAGCAGCTCTATGCAAATTAGATTCTAGGATGACATTTAACAATGTTGGCGTTGGGTAGCATCATAAAAAATCAATGAATTTTAGAGTTAGAAGGGGCTAAACAATATGGGCCAATAATTTTCAAACATTTTAACAGCTTATTTCTCATACAAACCCCAATATATACAAATGCTTTAAAATGCATCTGCTATGACTGAAAAGAAGGGCTATTCAAGCTGGTCCTATTGCTGGGTTCTCCAGCATCACAGTTACCTGCCCCAGCCCCAGGCCCACAATTTGAAGAACAAACAACCGTCTCCTATCTTAACACATTAGAAATCTAAAACATAATGTGTTTAAATCACATGTCTACATTAGCACAGCATATCCCCACATTTGAAATATAACTTGATCTAAATATGGTATTAATGCCATAATCTTTTGTTTTTCCTTCTCACTATCCATGTTCTAATATGTTATTTTTTTTATTTTTATTTTTATTTTTTTTGAGACAGAGCCTTGCTCTGTCGCCCAGGCTGGAGTGCTGTGGAGCAATCTCAGCTCACTGCAAGCTCCGCCTCCCGGGTTCACGCCATTCTCCTGCCTCAGCCTCCCGAGTAGCTGGGACTACAGGCGCCCGCCACCACGCCTGGCTAATTTTTTGTATTTTTAGTAGAGACGGGGTTTCACCGTGTTAGCCAGGATGGTCTCCATCTCCTGACCTCATGATCCGCCGCCTCGGCCTCCCAAAGTGCTGGGATTACAGGCATGAGCCACCGCACCTGGCCCTAATATGTTATTTTGTACGACTGAGTTTCAGAGTTTTGCACTTGAATTAGTTTTGGCAGGTCATGGTGCCACTGTAAATCAGATCCATACATAAATCTATGTCTCTCCATTAAAGAACAAAAACAAAAATGCTCCACTGTTCATTGCAAATACCACATTTTCCCTATCTTCGTATGCATTGAAGACCCCCTGCCACCAAAATCTATATATATTTATCTTTGTAAATCCAGCTTTTGGCAATAACAATGTTAGTAGCAATAGTTACCAGTTCAGTCAGGTAAGCTAGGTTGAATCATACAAAATGCCAGTATTTGAACTCTTTAATCTACAAAAACAGTTTCACATGGTTTAACTTAATGCAATTTCTAGTCCTCTCAATAGCTCTGTAATGCAACCATTATCACCATTCTATAGGTGAGGAACCTGCAGTTCACAGAAGAGCTTTGCCCGAGGCCACACCGCCAGGAGTGTTAGGGGGATCTGGAAGTATACGTCACTAAAATCTCAAGCCTTTTCTCTTGTACCATGCTGCACTAAAAGCTCTGATCATTTGAATATACAATAAGAGCAATTTTGTTCAAAGCATAACTTAGTTCTATATGTACGTGAAAGTCGGAAATACACATCTCAGAATATATTTCTTGATGAAGTAAGCTTCATATATTATAATAATATTTACTAAAGTTATGATCAGATATCAGTAGAATAGGTCATCTGAAACTTTTCTGCCACTTCTAAATGCTTCAACAACATCAGCTGTCAATCTAACTTAATATACTACAGCTCATATGCAAAATAATCTTACCATATGTCCTTATCAACAGGAAGATCTTTATTTTGTCTAGAATTTTGAACTGAAATAAAAGCATATTAAGCCAAAAAATAACAACAAAAGTCTACTAGAATGTAAGAATGTTGTCTTGGCATTTGTATCTAATTTTATAAACTGCAAGGTAGAAAAATAATCAGTCTTTGGGTCTGTGACCTTTCGTCTTTTAAATTCAAAGGAAATGAGTTAAAAACAAAACAACCACAACAAAAAACCTTCTTCTGTAAAAGAAAGACAAAGTAAATAGATAAGGGAAGTAACATTGATTTGTTAAAAGATTATTTGACCCCATCAGAGATAGCTCAAATGACTAACAGGACCCAAGAAATTAAATGTATATTAAGTAGATTGGACATGGTTTTCTTCCACAATTATTCTTGAGCATTAGTTCATGAAAAGTGCACCAGAGCTGCTTAAGTTGAGATAATTTGAGAAAATTTTAGGCTTTAATTACATTTCTCCTTATCACAAGAAAAGACTTCTAGGGCTCTTATGTAAATAATTTCTTTTAAAAAGGGCAAAATTAAAAATAAGACACATCAGGTAGAAACACAAACTCATGAAAGTTTTCATAGTATTTACTATTTTTATAGTTTATTGTTAAATCAATGCTGACTTCACATAATTTTTTAAAGTAATTTTTCTATTTTTTTTTTCTTGACCTGCACCCTAATTTGTAATGAAAAATACTTTGGGCATAAGGTTGCATCATCTAATATTTTGTTTTTGCTTTTTATTTATGTTAACCCATTTATGCCTGAGGTGGTAATTTTTTGAATTTTTGCAATCAGACCTTGGCAATGACCTTGAACAGTAGGATGTAAATAACTCCCACATGCTTGGCGTTCCAATAATGGAACACTAGGCATAAATTGGGTAATAGAATGTGGAAAGCCTATCCCAAATCTCGTGATATCGCCTGCATATAAAAAAGCTTAATAAACATGATGTGTTTAGTAAGACAAAGAAAAGTTGTTCTTTATGAATTCAGAAACAATATATTTATATATACATTTGAGACAGGATCTCACTCTGTCGCCCAGGCTGGAGTGCAGTGGCGCAATCTCAGCTCACCACAAACCCAGCCTCCAAGGATCAAGCAATTCTCCTGCCTCAGCCTCCCAAGTAGCTGGGATTACAGGCACACTTTTGTATTTTTTGGTAGAGATGGGGTTTCACTATGTTGGCCAGACTATTCTTGAACCTGACCTCAAGTGATCTGCCCGCCTCAGCCTCCCACAGTGTTGGGATTACAGGTGTGAGCCACTGTGCCCAGTTAACAATATTCTAAATATATCCTATTTCTAACATGTACACACTCAATATGTTTAAAAGAGGTATTTTAAAAGAATTCTATATTGATAATGAGGTACTTAGGTTTCTTTTCTTACTTTTCACTACAAGGCTATATCCTCTTAACACAGTATTTGAATTCCTTGAACTCTAAAAGTACTAAAATATGTGATGTACAACAGGTTATTAAAATATTTTACATCACTACATATTTTTATCCAGTCATAATATGTCTCAACTATTGTTATAAGGTTTTGGAACCTGTTTGACCTTTTATGATTTTGTTTTATTTGGTTTACTTTCTAGTACTTTCATGAAAGAAAAAATGGTTTGCAAAAATGTTCATTCCCAAGCCAGTCACAAAAAAGACAAATATTGTGTAATTCCACTACCTGAGATTCCTAGAGTAGTAAAATTTATAGAGACCGAAACCAGAATGGTGGTTGACAGAGGCTAAGGAGAGGGAAGATACAAATCCAAATTACTAGGAGTAAGGGTAATCTGGCCGCATTGCCTGTCAACTGATTATCAGAGTTGATTTCACTGCTCTGAATTACCATGAAAAAACAGCCCTCCCTGTCCCTGATCCAAGTACATCCCCGCTCAAGTTGGTGTGGGGCAACAAGAGCATCCTTCCAAATTAGAGCATCTTTCTTCTATGAAGGATTTAGCATGGGTTTCGGGAACCTCAAAGAGGTTAAGATAAATTTCAAATAAGTTATCTTAGTCCACTTGGGCTGATATAACAAAATACCATAAACTGGGTATCTTATAGACAACAGAAGTGTATTTCTCACAGCTCTGGGGGCAGGAAAGTCCAAATTCAACAAACAGGCAGATTCAATGCTTGTTGAGTGCCATTTTTTGGTTCATAAATGGCACTTTCCAGCTGTGTCTTCCATAGTGGAAGGGGCAAGGCAGCTCTGTGTGGCCTCTTTTATAAGGGCATTAATCCCATCCATAAGGCTTCCACCCGCAGGACATCATCATCCCCCAAAAACCCTACTAACTGATAACATCACATTGGGAATTAGGATTTCAACATATGAATTTGGGGGAGACACAAACATGCAAACCATAGCACAACTGCCCAGAAATAAGTATAAGGCAGGAAGAAGAGCTCCTTGGGGCCAAATGACATAAGAAAATTCTTCATGAGCCGATGGGCCTTGAATGGAATGAAAGGGAGAATGTACACACAAGGAATATGTAGGGAATTCCATGAAAGGAAATGTCCCACTGGTGAAACCAGTGTCAGGAAAACTCAAACTACCAGATCTTGATTTTCAGGATTTTATCACTTTTAGTTTAAATAATTTTTGGTGACCCTTTCCTCTGCAAGTATTTGTAACTAAGAAATTTGAAACCATTTGTTTCTAAAATTCTGTGAAAAACTTTTTAAAAAGAAGGCTAAAGAAACAGATTGGTTTCTACAAAATGATGGTTCAACATTGCCTCTTGAAGTTAAAACTTTGGATCCCAGATTCAGATACATTTGAATTTGAACCACAAGTCTCATTTCTTCCTGGTCGACTTGGTTATGGGGCTTAATAATTGTGGGAACCTGGTAGTGAGGTGCCAAAGGATCCTCATGAAGTTTAATTGAGACACTGTATATGATATGCTTAGCAGAGCACATACAGAGCCCAACCATTTATTCTAGTCATTGTAATTTCTGATATATTTTTTAAAACTATTAAAAGGGGACATGGGTTTTTAAAACAGCACAGGAATTATTTAATAAATGAAAACTGAATAGATTTTGAGAAAATACTTTAGAAATTCACCTCACCCTATACTAAAATAGAAAATACATCTTGATTTTACAGTTAAATGTAAAAATAAAGCCACAGACAAAGCAGTAAAAACTCAGCACTGAATAATTTATCAAATATTTGGAAGGAGAGAACTTTTTATATATAAAAGCATTGGAAAATAGAAGTCCTTATTCACAGCTGGTGAGAGTGTAAATGTTTTGTTTTTCTCAGAAACATTTTTGCAATGCATGTTAGAAAACCTTAAAAATGTTCATGCTCTTTGAGTCAGTAAATCGGTCTATTTAAGCAAATGCTTAAATACTAATGAAGCCATAAAAAATTTGCCCAATGACTCTTAGAAAAAAATGTTCATGCCAGTATTGTTCGTATAAGGAAACAAAGAATAATGCTGGAAGTGACCTAAATGTCCAACAATAAGGGGACAGTAAATAAAATGTGGTAGATCCACATTATCTAATATCAACAACCAAATGAAATTGCATTTACCAGTTTAATAACATTAGAAAGCTTTATTTTTCAGCATTAAGTGGAAAAAGGCAGGATACAAAATCATAGTTTCCAACTATAAAGCGCTATGCAGAGAAAATGGGAAGACATTAAAATAATGTGTTTGTTTCTTGAATAGTAAGATATAGTTTATGTACATTATTTTCTTTGTAATTTTTAGCACTTAAATATTTTCTATAACAAACAGTGGGAAAAGATACTAAACAAAGATAATTTGAGAGCTCAGAAAACCACACTCTTTGCCAGGTGTGGTGGCTCATGCCTGAAATCCAGACACTTTGGTAGGCTAAGGTGGAAGGGTTGCTTGAGCTCAGGGGTTCAAGACCAGTCTGGGCAACATAGTGAGACCTCATCTCTATGAAATATTTTTTAAAAAAATTATCTGGGTGTGGTGGCATACACCTGGGTCCTAGGAGGCTGAGGTGAGAGGAATACATGAGCCTGGGAGGTCGAGGTTGCAGTGAGCTATAACTGCACCATTGCACTATAGCCTGGGTGACAGAGCAAGACTGTCTCCAAAAAAAAGAAAGAAAGAAAGAAAAGAATACCCCAAAGTATGGTGCTGTGGCATGCTGAGTACTTTGAACTAAGGGATATTAGAATGCCTTCAGAAGCAAAGTCTCTTCCTGACCTTCTCCTACCCTCCTGTCTCTTGCCCCTCTTTCATTTCCAAGGCAAGACATGAAAACTAGAATTCCTGTTCCAAAGTCATAGAAACTAGAATCTCTCTCCCTCAAAGTACACAAAAAACTTAGAAATATTACGCTAACCCTCCCCTTCCTATCTGGGTAAGAGCTGGCCATAAAAAATTATCTGACCTACCTTGTCTGAAAGTAAGTTATAAGAACCTCATTCCAGAGGAGGTCCTGCCCTATACCCAACAGGAAGGATAGTTACACAGGAAGGCCAAAGTAAAATCTGAACAAATGTATCTTGTTTCAATGTCCCTTCCAAAATTAATGTTCAAATTTAATTGCTGTTGTAATGATACTCAGAAGGTGAGACCTTTTAAGAGGTTCCTGGATCATGATGACCCTGCCCTATGAATGGATTAATGCTGTTATTGTGGGAGTGGATTAGTTATCACAGACGTGGGTTTCTGATAAATCAAATGAATTTAGCCCCCTTCCTCCCTCTGTCTTGTGCACTTGCTTGTCTTCTGCCTTCCACTGTCAGAGGACTAAGCAGGAAGGTCTTCACCAGATGAAGCCCCTTGATCTTGGACTTCCCAGCCTCCAGAAATATGAGAAATACATTTATTTAAAAACTACCCAGAGGCCGGGTGTAGTGGCTCATACCTATAATCCCAACACTTTAGGAGGCAGAAGTGGGAGGATTGTTTGAGCTCAAGAGTTCAAGACCAGCCTGGGCAAAATAATGAAACCTCACCTCTTAAAAACAAACAGACCAGGCATGGTGGCTTATGCCTGTAATCCCAGCACTTTGGGAAGCCGAGGCAGGCAGATCACTTGAGGTCAGGGGTTTGAGACCCGCCTGGCCAACATGGCGAAATCTCGTCTCTACTAAAAATACAAAAGTTAGCTGGAGGTGGTGACAAACGCCTGTAATCCCAGCTACTCAGGAGGGTGAGGTAGGATAATTGCTTGAACCCATGACGCGGAGGTTGCAGTGAGCCGAGGTCATGCCACTGCACTCCAGCCTGGGTGACAGAGTGAGCCTGTGTCTCAAAACAAGCAAACAAACAAGCAAATGAACAAATAAACAAAATCAAATGAAAACCCAAACTGTTGTAGTGTTCCGTTATAGCAACAGAAAATATATTAAGACACTGGCTTTCCCCACCTCAGTTTATTCCTATTAGATCGTATGCTTTCTGTCCAGTCAGAATTCTATAAAGCCATCCATTCTTCATCAAACTTAAACATAAAAATGGACAATTTTCCCTAGGTCTTTGAGTCTTTATTTTGGAAGGGCCTCATGTCACATAAAACTTTGATTAAACAAATTTTTATAGTTTTCCCTTGTTAACATGTCTTTTTCATAGGAGTGTTAGCGTTGACACTCATGATGGGTAAGGAAAGATATCACACCTTTCTGTTCCTAAAATGACATGAGAATTAACATTTTTTTCAATTGCAGTAAAATATATGTAACATAAAATTTACCATTTTAACCATTTTTAAGTTTCCAGTTCAGTGGCATTAAGAATATTCACGTTGTTGTGCGGCCACCACCACCATCCACCTCCGGAATGTTTTTTGTCTTCTGAAACTGAAACCCTGTATCTATTAAACAATAATTCCCATTCTTCCCTCTCCTTAGCCTCTGACAACCACCATTCTAGTTTCAGTCTCTATAAATTTGACTACTCTAGGAATCTCATATATACAATGGACATGGTTTGGCTGTGTCCCCACCCAAATCTCAACTTGAAATGTGTCTCCCAGAATTCCCACATGTTGTGGGAGGGACCCAGGGGGAGGTAATTGAATCATGAGGGCCAGTCTTTCCCTCGCTATTCTCATGATAGTGAAAAGTCTCACGAGATCTGATGGGCTTATCGGGGGTTACTGCTTTTGTCTTCTTCGTTTTTCTCTTGCTGCCACCATGTAAGTAGTGCCTTTCTCCTCCCACCATGATTGTGAGGCCTCCCCAGCCATGTGAAACTGTAAGTTCAATTAAACGTTTTTTTTCTTCCCAGTCTTGGGTATGTTTTTATCAGCAGCATGAAAACGAACTAATACAATGTTTGTCCTTTTGTGACTGGCTCATGAATTAACTTTTTGTAAACCATTTTTTTCTTTCATGAAAGTACTAGAAAGTAAACCAAATGAAATAAAATCATAAAAGTCAAGCAGGCTCCAAAAGCTTATAATAATAGTTGAGACATATTATGATTGGACAAAAGTATGTAGTGATGTAAAATAATTTTAATAACTTTTTGTATGTCACATATTTTAGTACTTTTAGAGTTCAAGGAACTGAAACATTCTGCTAAAAGGATATAGTCTTGTAGTGAAAAGTAAGAAACCTAAGTACCTCCTTATCAACACAGAATTCTTTTAAAATGCCTCTTTCAAACATAAAACTAGACAGAAAAAGTTAAAACCTGCCTATACTAATGAAATTCTCATGCTAAAGTCCAGGCCTCTCATTTTAATGAGTCTGTTAGCCTACGATATCTACAGCTGAAGCAGTTTTTAAAAATGTTCTGATTATAATTAAATCACAAAATAAATATAAAATAGCATAATAAAAAATCCCTATCTATATTTTTGAAAATTCAGAACATATACAGTATGCCTTATAGTTATAAATAGCAACCTTAATTTAAATGCTTCAAGTATAAAAATGTGGTATTAGTATCACATTTTCTTCAGGTCTAATAATTCATATTTTTTGTAGATCGTGTATATATGTGACAAACACATGTGAAGAAAGTCCTGCATAGAAGAAACAGACACATCAACATAGATTTACTTAGCTATCTTACATTCTTAGCATTGCCTCCACAGTGTGGCATTATCGATTGCCTGATTTAAGTTAAGTAGAGAAATGTGTGAACATTTCAGCATAGAACAGGATTGCTTCAAAAATGTTTAGAGGGAATCCATTGGAAGAGGACACAGGATGGGTAAGTTGAAGTGTCAGGGACATCAGGTGGAACATTCTTAGTTGTCATGTTTATTGTTCTGAATATTAGTTTCAATGCAGAAACGAGTCTAACACTGAGCTAACCTGTGTCAGAAATGAAGCAGTAAAATGGATAGCTTGAGACACTGATGGACGGAATCAGCAAAACAGGGAGTCATCTCAGCTACAAAGAGAAATTGTTTGTGTATTCCATGAACATAAGCATATACAATGCTATGATCTGGTGTTTAGGGAGAATGGTGTACTTAATGTTAAAACTAATGTTAGGGATTTGTGGACTCTAACTATACTGAGGGAAATAACCAAGACCTGGGAGACCCGACTCCACACTGAGAGAACTAACTAAGAGTTGGAGATTTGGAGACTCTGTACATACCAGTTGTTCTGGATTCTACTTTGCATAATAATAAACCAAATGAAGAGAGAAAATAAATTTTAATTTTGCTTTTATCACATGAATCTCAGTATGACCATTCTCGAGCATTTTCGAATGTTAACTATTGTTCCAAAAATCTGCATTGTTTTTTGAACTATGGAGTTAATTCCATATTGGAGGGGGAAAAGACACGTTTTGGAGTATACAAATATCGTAAAGTGAAGACACAAGTATTAGTGAAATGACCATTAGCCTGACCTTTTTCTGTTTTGTCTTCTCCTCTTAGCTGTTTTTTTTTGTTTGTTTTTTGTTTTAAAAAAAAAGGACAGAAGGTCTGTTCTTTGGCAGTAAATTAATTTAGTGTGCTTTCTTAAAAAAGGCAGGAGACAAGGAGACAGGGTGGCTAGCTCCTCCCTTTAAAATATGTGGTGGTGAGGTCTAAGGGAAGTCACCCTAAACTTCTAACACAAAATGTTTAAAAATAATGAAAACGTTATTTCTTTCAATTTTTATTATTAGGCATTTAAGGTCAATTAATGTCCTTTGCATTTGAGCTCTTAGTTATTATTTTGGACTTGTCTTTACTAATATGCTTAAGCCTGCTATCAGCTCATAAGACTCTTCCAAAATAGTTTCTATTAGGGTTCTGTTAACCATTTTGAGACTAGAAAACAAAATAGAATAGACTATGTCCCAAGTGGCATCAATAATTAATTTTGTGGAAGCTTTCCAGTTCCCTTGGTGTAACAAATCCAAATATAAATTTATTGCTAAGGGCAAAACTAATGTCCTGCAGTGACTTGGAAATTTGGTTAACATGATAACTAACAAAAGTTTCTAAAAGAATAGACAAATTGCTCCCAAATGAACATAAAGGGGGATGACATAAGGTTAGACAAAAGATTCATGATTTAAGTGAATTTCTTTTGAAATGCAAACAACCTCAAAGAATCTTTACAGCTCTCTTAGGAAAAATCTCCTGGGTGGTATCATTTGTGTTCAGAGGTCTTAGAATGGGCTGGTAGGGTGCTAATGGAAAGTCTTGCTGCTGTGGCATTTGGGGAATTACACGTGCAAATCCCTGGAGCACTTACTGAAGATACCCACATAAATCACTACATCATTCCTTGAGAGGTATTTTCCTTATTGCTGCTTTTAGCTGGATGTTTTGCACCATATTGTTTCTTAAGAGGTACCTGATAAGAAAACAGCCTCAACACTATCAACAGGCAGACACAATTAATTCTGCTACAAGCACCTCAATGTTTCAATTTATGTATTTATTTTAGAAATTGCATTCATTACGATTGCCACCACCATCATTGACAGCCAAAATTAAATGTTTTTAGTAAGAAGGGACACAAAATACAGCAAAGTTTATATGTGCATATGCTTGGTGTTAAGTCAGTCTCTGCCTCTCTGCTTCTTGTTTTAATCATGAGATCCTACTGTAATTTCCTTCAATACTATAGGTTTTTAATGATATAACTCCAACTCCGTGGAATCCTTGTAGACCCCTTAATATCTAGGGATAAATTTTGACCTTTGTGATATACGTATCTGTATTATTAAAAGCTGTGTTATATTAAGGATGCTAGTGTGCTGTTTGAATAAAAATAGAGGATTGTGATATTAGAATAAGGCAGATACCTTATTTCTATGAAATATAGTAGATGAACTAGCTACCAATAACAACCACAACACTCTAGTCATCACTGGCCCCAGAGAACAGCTGCTAACAATGGGACAGCAGTTTCACATAAATACAAGCATGATGGGTTAGACCAGATGTGTCAGTGCAAGACTACCAAAATCATCACCATTTCTTATCATGGCTTTCAAAGTAACTTTATTTCACAGAGTCTGAAACCCAAAGGCATGATTCTTTATCTTCTGCAAAGGGCTCAGACTCAATTATTGATACGAGAGGTGAAATCCTTCGAAATATCTTCTAGCTGAGCAAAATAAGTAACAGAATGTTCCGGAGAGGACTAGGCTTTAGAAGTCACTATTTCATCTGTGTCATTTTACAGATAATGGAACTAAAGTTCAGAAAAGCAAAGTATCTTTATGAGACAGATGATATTCATATCATATCCTGGCATATAACAGCACTCAATAAAAAATTGTTAAGTGAATTGAATGAATTATCATTTTCCCCTCGATTTTATTTATTCCAACCATTGTAACTTCTCGTACCTAGAAGACCAATCTACAAATAGGTACAGACATTTTGACTAAGATAATATATTTCAGTGTTTTTCTTTGGTATAAAAAGCTGCTGTTATTAAAGCAACAGGTTTTTAGAAGGGAGGTTAATGGATTTTTAACTACAAGAATAGAGTCATACTGCAACTTATCAAACATTCAGATAAAAAACTAAATTACATCAGCAGTGAAAAGTCATGTAGCTTGAGCATCAATTCTAATTTAAAAGCATTTCTGGAGACAAGGCAAAATATAATTCTGTTCCTCAGTTGAAGCACTATTATTTTGAGGAAAATTAATGTAGAAGCCTGACAAACAATAATGTTAATAATCCCCTCATATGTCTTTCTGATGACAATGGTGATGACAACATCATATTACAAAACGAAATTTCAGCCTGAGCAAAGTAGGTAAGAAGAATTCACCCGAACCACCTAATGCAGTTAGGCCTCTATTCTAAAGCTAAGGGCCCAAACACTCATTCAAGTGACATCTGCACAGACCTGCCGTTGTGGGTATAAGAGAGGCTGATACTTCCAAAGTTCATCTGAAAGTATACGCAGAAATGATCGGTAAACATTCCAGAGAGCATATATAGCATCAAAAGTAAATTGGGCAATCAATGTAAAACCAAATTCTGAGGAGTAAATTACTACATGGCAATTGCTAGGTTGCTTTATTTAACTCTTTTGGTATTAAATGATGGGAACTGTTAAACAAAATCTTTGCCACATTTATGTCAGTATGGTACTTTATTGAACTACAGTAGTTAGTAGAGTCCTCTGAGCACTGAAAGCCAGCTGTCGGACCGTGGAGGGTCCAATTCAGAACTCTAGTAAGGGTGCTAGCCAAGCACCTGTACTGCTCTCAGATACACACAGTGTGTTTAATTAAGTGTGTGCGTGTGTGCCAGGGGAGGGAGGAATCACGGCTAAGCTGGCTGGAAAGTTCTGTAGTGTGAACTAATGAGGCCAGATTGCATTGTGTCATACAAGACAAAAGTGAAGCGGGTAGAAAGAAATTAGAAAGAAGATTACTCAATAAAAGCTACAAAGCAAAATTTAGAAGCCCAACGACTATTAAATCACATGGCTTTCTCTAGTTTTTGTTTCAGTGAAACCAAGCCTGTGGAATATTCCTCTCTACTTCCTCACTCTCCTGCTTTTCTGTCTTCAGCTTGTTTTTCTTTCATTCTGTTTCATTTCCTTACTCCTCTTCATAACCCACTGTGGCAAATCAACAAGGAATTGCTCATTAAATCCCCTTCTTCAGCAACTGCCAACGTTTTTCTCAAGTTAAAACTGTTCTGCACATGCTCCCTGTTGTCAGAAAACAATGATTAACATTCAATGAGTCCACACAGTATGTAGTGGAAATAAAAGGGACTTTGAGGTGAATCAGGTCCAATGCTCTTGTTTATTTCTGTACTCTTCTGCCGAAGTCACTTCATTTCTCAGAGCCTCAGTTTTCTTCATTCATAATGGATGTCTTTTACTCCATCTCTGATCTGTTTTAGGTCCTCCAAAAACTTAACAAAACTATCTGACATCTAGGCTGGGCATAGTGGCTCATGCCTGTAGTCCCAGCACTTTGGGAGACTGAGGCAGGCGGATCACCTGAGGTAAGGAGTTCAAGACCGGCCTGACCAACATGGTGAAACCCTGTCTCTAATAAAAAAAATACAAAAAACTAACTGGGCATGGTGGTGTGTGCCTGTAATCCCAGCTTCTCGGGAGGCTGGGGCAGGAGAATCGCTTGAACCTGGGAGACGGGGTTGCAGTGAGCCAAGATCGCGTCACTGTACTCCAGCCTGGGTGACAGAGCGAGACTCCGTCTCAAAAAAAAGAAAAAAAATCTGCCATCTCATTTACCTTTTTCCTGGTCCTATGCACACAGGACTTTTCACTTTCCTCCAATTTTGATTCCATGTTGCCATATATATAGCTGAATATTTGTGACATATTCTCTGTACCTTTTATTGTGTGTGTGTGAATATAAGAAAACCACTATATCCTTCTTTCTTTCCAATCCCTGTTGTTCACACTAACTAAGGTTTTGGTACAACACAAGGCACTGAGTATGCGTAGTCTAATTGATCAGCATATCTACTGATGAATTTGGTCCGGGATTTTTGTCTGGATTTCATGTGTTTCTCTGTATAAATATTGCTAGTGATACATTTCAATCTTTATTATGGATGTTGTTTTAGACTGAAAGTAACAGACTGATTGGACTATATTTCTTCAACTTGACTTATGAGGCCCAACATCTTTATTTGTGCATGTGGGCTGTGTGGTGTGTGTGTATGTGTGTGTGTATTTATCAGTACTTATTAATGATTATGAAGACTGTTTGGCTTCTGTCATATCCAATGTACATATGAAAAAGTTCCCAAGATAGATCATATGTTAGGTAATTTGGGGAGCTTTTAAAATTGGAGAGAATTTTCTTTTTTATTTATTTAATTGAATGTAGAAGAAAAATGATGAGGGAAATGGGGTGGTGACATAGAAATTGGAATCTGGCTAATTCTTCTATTTTAAAACAGGAAAGCTGTAAAAAGATGAGCGTTAAGCCTCTCTAAGATGACGTTAAATAAATTAACAGAGGAAACGACTTAAGTCTTCTATTTGCTGCCATAGGCAATTGTGTAAATCTGGTTCTGTGATAACCTTTACTACATTTTGCAAGAGAGATTTTATAATTAACATAAATAAAACCAGGACTGAATATTTTCATTTAACATTTTCACATAGAGACTATAGTTATTTAATATTTCTTCTAAGATGTTCATGGTATAGAATTACTTTTAAATTTTGATATGATCCTTATTATACAAAGAATTAAAAATGTGCTAAAATGTATACAATTAAGTTATAATCAGAAACCACTGGCCATTGCAATAACTATTAACAAAAGACAATATCTAAATTACCAAAGATGTCTTGGTTAAATTAATATACATTTTTAAAGACTACTTTATGAATAAGGTTTCTTTATTAATTTAAATAGGCCTCCTATCCTTGAACTATATAACGAAAAGATTATCATAAAAATGCCATTCAGTTCTTTTTTTTTTTTTGAGACAGAGTCTCGCTCTGTCGCCCAGGCTGGAGTGCAGTGGTGCGATCTCCGCTCACTGCAAGCTCCGCCTCCCAGTTCACGCCTTTCTCCTGCCTCAGCCTCCCGAGAAGCTGGGACTACAGGCGCCCGCCACCACGCCCGGCTAATTTTCTGTATTTTTAGTAGAGACGGGGTTTCACCGTGTTAGCCAGGATTGTCTCGATCTCCTGACCTCGTGATCCGCCTGCCTCGGCCTCCCAGAGTGCTGGGATTACAGGCGTAAGCCACCGCGCCTGGCAAAAGTACCATTCGGTTCTGAACTAAAATAGATTTTTTTAAGTAAACTTTATACATTTAAATTTTCTTTATATTTAGATATACATGTATTTATTTGTGTGTGTGTACATATATAATATGCACTTTTCACTTAAACAGGATTAAAATGCATATTACCATTTTCCAAGAATTCTACTAATTTATCATTAATTCACTTGGCTTTTGGTATGTACAAAGTTTCCTATTTTGAATTCATCAGAACAGGTAATAGCTATATTCATTTCCTAGGATTGTCATAACAAAGTAATACAAATTTAGTGGCTTAAAACAAGCGGACATTTATTCTCACAGTTATAAAGCCTAGACCTCCAGAGTCAAGGTGTTGGCAAGGCCATGCTCTTGAGGAAGGCTCTAGAGAAAAATTGGTTCTCGTTGCATCTGGTGGCCTGATATTCCCCAGCTTGTAGCAATATACTGCCAACTCTTCCATAATCTTCATGTAGCTTATGTATCTCTGTCCAAATTTCCCTCTTTTGATAAGGACACGAATCACTGGATTGGGGCTCATTCTAATCCAGTATGAACTCATCTTCACTGGATTATATCTGCAAAACCCCTATTTTGAAATAACATTCCATTCAGAGATTCTACATGGACATTCATTTGAAGGACCCTATTCAACCCAGTACAGAAGCACACAATGGTCAGTCATTTTGCTTTAGCCGGCAATACCTGTATTGCCCCCATGAATTTACACTATTTCCTCCAAAAGCAAAGGAGTCTGCAAGAGTTGGATATGCATGATAGTAGGTACAGCTGGTAACAAATATTTCCAGCTTTCTCCCACCCTTGAAGGTGGGGCTTGTGTTTTAGTTTGGTAGTGAAGATATAAGAAATTGTGTTATTTGTTCCAGCCAGATTTAACAACCATATTCTGCCTTTTCATTTGTTTGGAAAATGAGTGATTTAGCAGCCTAGGTCCTGGAAAGAGGATGATGTGGAGGAGTTCCCAGCTGATTCCCAATATAACAAGAAATAGCCGTTTTTGTTTGAGATCTTAGAATAGTTTGTATTTGTAGAATATTCATTCTCAATGGGGATGATGGGAAGATGGTTCTTGGGGCAAAAAAACACACTTTTCTCTTTTTTCATATAAAAAACTTCCTTTTTTATATATAATTACATGTATATACAGTGCATAAGCATATACATATGTTTATTACATAATATATAGTATATAAATGATATATGACTATTATATATAATAAATATATATTAAATATATTTAAATATATCTACTATATAATATATTCATTTGTATATTTAATAACATATTTTATATATTATTAAATTAATATATACATATATTAAATTATAAGTATATCACATTATTGATATAAATTAATTATATATTAATTTATTTATATATAAGACACATAATATATAATATATTAAATTTAATGTAATTAATTATAATATAATACATTATAATTATATTATTATATATAATAAATATATATTAGATATGTAGTTTATATGTCATATTGAAATTCCATGGGGAGGTATTAGGCAGAAATGTATAAAAATGCTCCTGTCTTAGTCCATTCAGGCTGCTATAACATGATACCACAAACTGGATGGATTATAAACAACAGCAGTTTATTTTTCACTGTTCTGGAAGCTGGGAAGTTCAAGATCAAGGCACTAGCAGATTCTGTGTCTGGTGAGGGCTCTATTTCTGTTTCATGAGTGGTACCTTCTCACTGTGTCTTCACATGGTGGAAGATACTATTTCTCCAAGGTTTCTTTTATGAGGACACTAGTCCCAATTATGAGGAATCTGCCCTCATCACCGAATTACCTCCCAAAGGCCCTACCTTCTAATACTATCACACTGGGGGTTAAGATTTCATCATGAGAATTTTGAAGCCAGTGGGAGGGACTGCAAAAACATTCAGACCATAGCAGTTTCTTAGAGAAGTGACAATGAAAAAAATGTTGAGAAATCACTGCTGGCGAATACATTAGCCTATCCTGGGTGATTCTGTAGGCTTTGTTGTACTGGATATGAATTACAGCTACAAACTATGACACTTTCAAAGTTACATCATCAATTTGAGCTTTCATTAACTACTGTGAATTATGAGGCTAAACCACCTTCATATGCTTCATGAGAATTTAATAAGACAATTAATTTAAAAGGTATATTGCAGTGCTTGTCATATAGTAATTGTTTTAAAAATTTAGGTATTATTATTCTTTATTTTTATAATATTAACCATAGTTTAATGTCCTGAGAAGAAGTATATTGCAACATAAAGTTTAAATGAATATTTAAACTTTAGGCAACATTCAAAGTGGCTGATTATATTTGTCAGCACAGGTGAAGTCCTAAAACAAAGAATACCAAACTTCGATAATTTGAGACACATTACAAGACATCTGTTGCTCAACTCACAGTGCAAAGCATACAACAGAGAGTGAGATGTTCTGAGTCTGCTTACACACTCATCCTGAAATTCATGCATTTTATCCGATGGCTCAGTGTTTTCTATTTGGCCATCCAAAAAGTGAGGCAACAGCCAGAGCGCCAAGGGGGTAAGGTATAGGTGAGACCTTAGAGGGCAAATCTAGAAGTGCCTGGATTCCATTGGCCAGAACTCAATCACATGATCCAACACAACTGCAAGGAGGGCTGGGGAATTCTGTGTGGAAGAAAGGAAGGAGAGGATTCTTGGGTAACAATCAGCATTTTCTCTGTCATGATAGAGGATTATTAGTACACTCCAATGACCCTAAGTATTGTAAACAATTAAAATGTACACTGGACCAAGTTCTTTAAATGCAACATCCGACTACCTTGTGAGTAGGCACTATTGTTATCTTTGTTTTATAATTAAGGTAATTGTCAACATCGCACTGCAAGTACCAAAATGAGAATGCAGATAGGTACTCAACATCCAATTTCAGAGCTCTATCTCAGTATTCTCTATTGTGTCCTTATTTAGGAAGCCATTCATTACCCCTTCTCTTTGCAGAGATAATTGAGTGGAAATGCTACTTCAGTGTTAGATTAGAGAAGACTAATATTTTCCTGATGACAAGTGAATGGTTTACTTAAGAACACTGTGAAATCTCCTATGAAAATCTTTAAAATAAAACAGGTTTTCATCCTTTTTTGATAGTTTAAACATGACTCAGAATGAGGGCTGGTATCCAGACTACCAGAACTCCTATAAATGTGCCTCTAGCTTTGTGATGAAATGTGTTTTTAATGTGTTTGGTAAAGAAGGGAGAAATAAAATAATAGGTTAAGTTACAACCTGGACCTAAGCCAGTTATAGAGGCAAGCTAAAACAACAACAACAATAAGGAAACAAAATAGCCTCATGCTTATCATGCCACATAATTTCCATTGACATTGTCTATACTAGTCATACCTGAAAGTCTAATATTTGCTCAAAGGCTGAAGAAAACGATTACAGATGAGTAATCTTAGAAAAATGAAAAATTAAGATAAAAATTTGATGAAAATTTTTCACATTGCTAAAAACCAAAAATTAATTTCACATTGATAAAAATCAAAAATTAATTTGTATGGCAAATATATATTAGATGAAGTGTAAATTTATTTACACTTTATATTTCTGATAAATATAAGAAACCAGCCATTGAAACTTTTTTCTTAAATTACGTTAAAACTGAAAGCAATCCAGTGACGTGAGGGGTTCTATAAAATTTGTACCTAGTTGTCAAAAACTTGACTAGCATTTTTCAATATTAAGTATCTGGTCCTTTGGATCCTTTAAATTTGTATTAGTATATAATGAAAAAGCCAAAATTGCTCAGAGAAAAAAAAAATCACTTGTTGCTATCATTCTTTTTTGCTAAGTGAAAGACTAAACAGTAGAAACTGTTTAAGAGAGAGAGCAATGTCTTACTCAAATTGAAATGTTATGATATGAAGTATATGTCATATTATTGCTTTATTTGCAAGTTTTTCTATAAACTTGGGCCAGGGAGATTTTTTTCATTTATTTCACTTTGTCACTTACGGATGACAATGTGTATTTACATCTCTAATTTGAGCAAAATTATATTACTTATACTCCTGGCTGGCATTGTATCTAACAACTTAAGAACTTAGTATTCTTTGTTAAAAAAAAAAAAAAAAAGAAAACAACTTCAGGTACTCCACAAGTAGTCAGAATTTGTTTTATCAGGCAGAAATAAAATAAATTGGATATTGGAAGAAAATCAGAATCTGCTCCCAAACAGATTAGTTCTTCTACAGGATAAAACCATAGACAGTTCAATTAGATTACATGTACCCTTGGATTAATTCCGTGATAGTATTGCAAGGGAGAATAAGCAATTTTTTTCTAATTTGAAGTATCCATTGTGAAACATGCCTCAAAGAGATTCAGTGAGCATACAACTGTAAAAATCCACGGGTATCTATAGGACCCATGGGTATCATTGGCCTTTTCCTAAATCCTTGACAATCTCTTCTTTTTATGAACAACAAAAAATTCTGTTTTGGATTTAAAATAAATTTTTCTATTAGGATTACAGCTATGTATTGCTAAAATTTAATTATACAAATTCCAGATCGGAGCAGATGGACTTGGAATTATTTGGCAAAGAATCAAAGGGATTTTCTTGGGTTCATGAAAGTGTGGTGTAAAATTAGCAAAAAGTGTATTATTTTATGTCATTGAAGTTAAGCCATATACTAAAATAATAACTTGATATCAGTAACAAGAAATGATAAAATAATGGGCAGGAAAAAAATCCTTGCACACACATTAACTCTAGCCTGTTATGGTTAATGACTGAAGTTGTACTTTCAAATAATAAGTGGATTTGCGAGGCTGACTATTCTCATTTGGTAAAATCATTAGCCTAGTATAGATGAGAGGTTATCATCTTTGCTGCCAAAGAACTCCTTTTTAATTTTAGTTTAGGTTTTGCAATTTACTAAGATGGGGCTGAGGGGGTAATGGACCTTCTTGAACTGACACTATGAAGATAAATAAAATCTCATCCATGACCTCTAAGGAACCTCTAAGTGACTTTTAAAATTCAAAATTTTAAGGTATACACAATTAAAGAAATTTGGCCTCAATGTTACATACCACTTACTGTAATATTTGTTTATTCAATAGTTATGTTAATTTGGAAGTATCACCGAACTCTTCGATCAAGATAAATAATGATTTTCCAAATAGATTTTGGACTCTAAAGGAAGAAAGATTTTCTTTCTTGAAAATACGTGATTTTATTCTGCAGAGAAAACTCTTTTAAATGAACTATTACTATATTTTAGTCAACTTAAATTCAGATTTATAACTTCATGTAATATACCAAAAATGCTATTCATAAATAGCTACACAGACAGACTTATATAGAGACAAGTATTGGTGACCACTTCAAAATGAATCGAATCAAATCAGATACTTAGAACATATTTCAGAAGAACAATATTCATTTTATCTTGGCTCCCTCAGATCCTTTCTGGAACAAAGTCAAGTGTAATAAAGAAAAAATCATGTAGGGGCAAATGAGCCGTCTCTCTGTGATCAGGATTTTTAATGCTTCACTTACTTTAGTTGTCCTGTGTCCTTTTGTAGATAATAACACATACGTGTCATTTAATGTGATGTTTCTGTATAGTATAATAAGACAATCTTATATAGAAAAATTCGAGCTGAGCAATGGCTTTAAAGAGGTTCTTAAATTTTGAAGAAAAATTGATTACATATTTCTGTATATTTTGGTACACTGCGGTTTTCTTAAATTGATCAGAGTAATATATTATACTCTTATACTATTTCTGCAATGTGGTAGATGTCTTAAATCAATCTCAAGTTCTTGATAACATAGACTTTGTATTCAGGTCTGGATTTAAAGCAAGATTGTGCCTTTCATTAACTTGGGTTGATTATCTAATCTTCATTTTTCTCATCTGTACAATGGGAATAGTATCAACCACATAAGCCTCTTATAGGAATTTAACAATATGATGAATTTTTAAAAACTAGAAGAATTCCCTGACACGTGGTTAGTGCTCACTACATGGCAGTATATGTTAAAATTACTATCATGGATCAAACCTTTGATTTTTATATATATGCTGCCTTACAATTATAACAAGAGCACGTTGAAAAGAGTAAAAAAGTGGATTAGGGTTTTGCAGTTTTTACCACATCCTTGGGGAATCTGGTATGAAAAAAGAAATATTTAATATGTTACACTCTGCAGATTTCCTTCATATGGTTATTTTATACTTCTGCTGGAATACCAACTCAGAAATTCAATCACAAAGAAGGCCATTGGATAACCTTACCCAAATTAGGGATAATGACAGTTTCTTACAATCTTTAGATGTATTAAAATATATAGGCACATTTTGAATATATAATACCTTTCCAGGTTTTACATAAAAGAAGCCTAGATTTCCATCTACATTTATCTATTCAGCTGCTTGTTTGGAAAAGAAAAAAACAATTTATATTTAGAAAGACATTGAAGCCAGATCCCCATTTGATTTTTCTGTATCTTAAGCTCTCTGATGTGGTGGTCATGGGGCTTCATTGTTCTAAGCCATTGCTGTTTCTTTTTGGCTTAAGGAAAACCTTAATTTTTTTTTTTTTTTGCTAAAGCACTGCTAAAATTTAATTTCCAACTTCTACTAGAAGCTTCAGATTTTAAAGACTTTCCTTTAATTAAACATTTGGAGTGAGAAATCCATTTTTTATATAGGCAGTGCTCACTAAAACTGTCTTAAGTGTAATTGAAATATGCACATTTTTCTAGTATAGATCTTATCATATATCTCAGAAGGTAATGTCTTTGTTCTTTTGGAATTAATGTTGTCCATAACAAATTTCTGTCTGGCGACTCGTTACTGTTGCTAATTTAGTGTGAGATGTTTGGTCATAATCCTAAACTATCATTTGGGATGAGATTGTTATAAAATAATGGTTTTTTAGTCACATTTCATATCAAATGAGACACTGACAGAGCATTCTTTTAAAAAACCAGTTATGAACTTGACTACAAGAAAAGCAGAAAACATGGATTCCAAAATGTTTTGGTGAAGACATTATTCCATAAGGTAGCTAGTGTATGGCAAACAACAACAACCACAACAACAAAAGCCATTTAAAAAATGGCACCAGTCTAAAATCACTGGCTTGCTTTGTCACTTTTAATAGGTAAAGTAGTTAAGAATGCAAAATGTTGATGCTTGGTAAAAAAAATGCCAATATAACCAAAGCGATTTCCCTTATACAAAGCTCTTCTCTGTATGATGTAATTTGTCATACCCTACACAAGGATAACTTTCTATGAATAGGGCAACATTTTCTGCCCTAAAGGACCATGGCAATTGGTGGTAGGCTGATCTCGCCCAATCTATCCCTTCTGTTTCCCACACACACTCTTTCTGCCTCTGAGTGATTTTATAGTTTACTTAAGGAAAGGCATTTACAGATGGTGAGTCTATCAAGTATAAAATAGAATCTATATTTTGCCTGATAAATAAATAGTCATGAGAAAACACTTCTAGTTGAAATCCTCCAATGTCTTCCTTTCTGTGAACCATCTTAAAATTAAGGGTCTTATAAGTCTATATGATGTGTTAATTCCTGCATTATTGTATTAGGAAGACTATTTTCCGAATATCTTAAAAATTTCACCCGCGTAAGGAAATTTGCCCGAGATAAGCTGGTGGTGTGTATTATTTGGAGACATGAGCTAGACATTGTAATCCTGAACTGGGTAAACCAAGCCCAAGTGTTTAAAATGAAAGTTTTCAAGAATTTTAATTACTTTCCTTTTCCAGAGATAAAAGAGATGTTAATAGCGCACTTTTGGATGTTTCTAAACCACAGTGTTATCCAATTTAGACGTATTGGACCTTTGGGGTGGGTTTCTCCTTAACGGTTAAGCCTTTTTTCACGGGGTGCTAAAACAATAGCACATTCAGAATTATTATAGTGAGAATTCAAGTGATTCAACTTTAACAACCGAATGCACTTTTTTCTTCACAAGTAAATACTGTAGATTAAAAGTGTGCAGAAATTACTCTTAATGCTTTACAAGAAGAGTGGTTGTTTTATTCTTTCGCAAGACTATTTCATTACCGTAATTTTCAAGCATGCCGAGGTGTCCTAATGTCTCTTCTAATTGCTTGAATGTCGCTGACCTTTTTTTAAAAGAACACACAGCGCCCATAATATGCAAGGGAGACCTAAGTTAAGTAGCAGCACCAAAACGTATCCACCAAACAAAGGCTCTTCCTCAGACGGCCCCTTCTGGAGAGAACCTTTCCTAATATTTTCCAGTAGGGGGAACTAAAGACTCACCATCCAGCATTTAGCTCGGCTCGGGGACCTGCGTGAGTTCCTATAAGCCGCCTTCTCATCATCTGAACAAGCATCAAACGGCTACCAGCGAGCCTGTGATCACACGTGGGCCCGGCCGCACCGGGGCACCGCCGACACCGGCACCCCTTTGATCTAACGTGACCTTCCTTCATCATCCCCGGTCCTGAATGGCATCCTTTGGTAGTCTTGGTCTTAATTTTCAGAGTTTTGTCGTCTTTGGGCTGAAATTCGGCTTCTTTTTGAGCTTCCATGAGCTCAGCTGGGCTTTCGGCTTTCCACACCCAGAGCCTATGTTTACCGAATTTCCTTCTGGAGGTGCTGGTCCCTGGAGGGTAAAGACTTCGGGGATCCCCCTCCCCCAAGCTCTGTGATCCCCGCTTCCCCGTCCTTAGCATCTTCTGTGGAACTCCCTCGCCCTGCGCGATCGCGCATCAAACTCATCGTGGAGGGGTCAAAAGGCAACTGAGTAACATAAGAGGGGCTGCCTCCCCTTCCTCCTTCCCTTGGGGATGCCGCAGGGGGCCATAGATCTTGGCTAAAATGAGCCGCTGGAGGTTAGAGAATTCTGCCCCCTCCTTTTTCTCCCCCTTGTGCTTTTGAATCATATAGGAAGCATCTACACACAACCTTTCCAGTCCAAAAGGTGCTTCTATTTCCTTTCCTTTCCTTTCCTTCCTCCTACTCGGCTTCTCATCTGGCTAAAAGGTGAAGAGTGAGTGAGTGTGTGATTTTAACGCGTAATGAGGCTGCGCCCTGGGTCCTGGAGGCTGATCTTTTTCAAGAAAGCGCGTGCAGCTCCGGCAGACGGAGGGATGAATAATTAGGAAGGGCTTCCATGAAATCACTCACGGAGAAAATTACCTGCCCATTAAACGGGACGCGGCGAGGAGCAGGAGCCTGGAGCCCACCTATCCCCTCCCGAGGCGGGAAGGAGTGGGCACCCGGGGGCGCGGAGAAGGGGAAGGAGTCGCCCGGTGGCCTCGGCCCTCGGCAGCCGGCGGGGCTCTCCGAATTTGTTCATCTCCGTCCCCCCGGGGACTCTCGGCTCTCCAGGACCCCTCCCCACTCCCCAGCGGGCGGGTGGCCGAGTCCGGAGGTTCAGGGCTCCGCGCGCCCCTCCTCGCCCCCGCCCCTCCCCGGGCCGACTCCAGGCAGCTCTCATTCCTCCCCTCCCCTCCCGCCTCCTCGCCTTCCCTCCTAGAAGTCCTTCCACCCGCGGCAGCTGCCGGAGGAAGCGGACGCTCTGCTGCGAGGCTGCGGGGGCTGGACCCGGGCGAGGGGCCTCAGCGCGCCTGGCGCTGGACTGAGCGCTCCCTTTCTCCGCCGCGCCCGGGCTGGGCTCTCACGCCCGTCTCTGCTCGCGCCCGCAGCCGCCTGGTGCACTATCCTCAGAGGCGGCACCGCGGGGGTGTCTGCAGCCTCGGCCTCCGCCCGGCCCCTCCCTCCCTCCCTCCCTCCCTCGCTCCTTCCCTGCCTCCCTCACCACGTAGGAGTTCGGATTCTCCACCCGAATCGTCCTGATTTCCCTTCTCCTCTCTTTTGGAAACCGGAGAGGTGGAGGGAGGGCAACACCGCTGCAAAGGAGAGGCCCGCCAAGTCTGCCCGCCTGCAAAGTGTTGCTTTGACACATTCTTATTATGGAAGTTAAGTAAAAATATAGACATATTAAAAAATAACTCCGGACGTGGAGCTGCTACGGAGAAGGAAACCGGGGGAAAGAAAACCAGTAGGCAGGCCAATGGTTTTTCGGCAGCGCGCTGGCAAGTTTGTGGAACACTTTCTAGGAATTAGGTCTTTTCCTCCCCCTTCATCATCTTGACTTCTGAAGGAAGAACTTGGCTTTGGATTGCAGTGGAGCCTAAGGAGAGAGGGTTAGACACACTCGAATAATCCCTCTGGCTGGGCTGAATTTGTGGGAATTTAGGAAGCCAGAGTGCTGGAAATACAGCAGCCTTTGAAGTACCCTCTGTTAATTTGGATGGATCTCAGTGTGCCCCGTTCGAGACCTCTCCACCAACCCCTTCTGATCTTGCGATTTGCTCTTCTTGACTTTAATTAGTATCTAGGAAAGTCTAAACTTTGGACCTACCTCTTTTTTTGATACTCATTTTTGTACTTTTGCTCTCTGGGATTGGTTTCTTAAAGAATCTGGATCCTTTTTAATATGTCAAAATGAGTCTGCTGATGTTTACACAACTACTGCTCTGTGGATTTTTATATGTTCGGGTTGATGGTAAGTTAAAAATGCTTTCATCTTTTTTTGCGCCCCCCACCCCCCAATCCCCCAAAACCATTTCTTTTTGAATTTGATGTGGGTTATAAATGAAATGACATTATGTCTGTTAGTCCGTTTTGGCCCGGCACGGGCTCCTTGGGGGCAGAGGTTTTATTTAAGTCTTTTGTTTCTAAACTGCTGTAAGTGGAATGTGTTGGTAGTCACCTATTGTTGTTATTGTTGTAATTTACTTCACTAATTAAGGAGTTGGATAATAAATGATTGGGCTCCCAGTTTTGTTAGAAAAAGAAATATTACAGTCAATCTCCTGCAAGAGCCTAATACTATTGTGCCTGCTCTCTATTTGATGTTTGCTCTTGTGTCTGAACTTTGGCTGAGACATTCAAGTGAAGAAATACAGTAATAGACACTCTAAGGAAGGTTCAGTGGGTTAGGAATTTGAGACTGAGATCAATGTGTATCACCTGTGTGCCAGTGAATGCTCTCCTAGCGTTAAATCGAATGAAGAATTTAGATCCTAGGGAGAAAACTGTCAAAAGTGAGACTGGGCGAGGCTCCACGAAGGGGGAAGCATCAGCTATGGGCTGGCCACAGGAGTAGAACACTTAGCTCAGTCCCCAGTGGGCAAACACAATGGGGACCTTAAACAGGTGCTGGAGGTGTCTCCCTCTAGGTTGAGTCAGTCTGTCAAGCCCACAGCATTCTGCCTCTGATTCTCTTGTCTTTTGTTCCGATTTGGTTTACTGGGATATTTTCACAGGATGTCAATTTCTTGTGCGACTATTGCAAAATCCTTTTTTGTGGTTCTTTTGAATGAAGAGTGGAAATAATCATTAACATGCTTTTTGGTTTGTATTCAAAAGAAAAAAGTTAAAAGAATATTTGCTGTTAACCTTCTAGAGGCTTTAATTTTTATATCGATGGAAACAACTGGTATAAGGGAGTACTAGATATTTTTTTTTTCTAACTGGATTGCAGTACTTTAGGTTTTTAGTTACTTTCTGTACTTGTAAAGAACCTAAAGGGTATTAGTCTAACTGTTTGAGCCATCACAATAGCTTGTTGCCACATAAACTTTCCTCCAGCATTTGCATTGTGGATGAATTCATTATTTGGGACACTGCCTATTTTGGCCCATCTGAGTAGCTAACTTTGTTCCTGGCAGCTACTGCTGCATAGAGCCCAATGTATTGGACTCAAAAAGGAAGGCTTTCTATAAACATGAGGCAATACAGAGGAGTTTACCTACTGTCAAGTGGCTGTTTTCAATCATGGACTACATGAGTACCTTTGCCCCCCAGCGATAGTGAGGGAGGGATGCGTGTGTGTGCACTGCTTCTCTCTTTTACCAGTCTAAGCAGTAGATGTTTAAGATTTAATTATTGTGAATTATACTATGGCAACATCTCTAATTATTTTTCATGCATTTATTTTTCAGTACATTAAAATACGTGTACATTACCGTAACAAAATAGGTTTACCTATTTGTCCCAGGTGTGTTTGATTTTCATGATAAGAAGAATTTGGTATAACTTTTAAAAGAATATGTCCTCATAAATCATGAATTTACATATCTCAACAGAAATGCATGTGTAAACTATACATTAGACTACAAAATTATCACCAAGGGTTTTTTTATATAAGCGTTTTTAAATCAGTGTGTTGCTAGGAGGAATACAATTAAATTGCTCAGTGGAAGTGACAGGAAATCAGAAGAGCTTGGTGTTACAGAATGTAATTAATATACCAGGGTGTTTGGAGATATATGAAACAAATGCAATTAACCAGCTTGCTGGAGCAGCAGTAGTAAGACACCATTTCTGTCTGCCTTCCCTCCCTCCCTCCTTTCATTCCTCCCTCCCTTCTTTCTCTCCGTTTTATTCCTCTCTCCCTTCTTTCCTTCCTTCTCTCCCACACCACCCTTCTCCTGCCCCCAAAGACAACCTAGAACCTTTGTTCTGATTTAACATTGTAGGATAAGGGGGCAGTTTGTGTCTGGGCCACAATTATGCAGCAGAACTCATAGTAATGTAGTGAAAAATGCCAAAATTGAGGAGTTGACACTGAAAAGGCAATATTAAATTTTTGTGTGTGTGAAACTAGTTTTGTATTTAGCATCTGCTGTGTCAAAAGCAAAGGAAACCCTGGACACTCTTACTAAATTAATATGTAAATCATACGTTTGACATTGGATTGCCTTTGGATACTTCAGAATGACAGTTTCTCCACGGGGATGGTTGAAAATTTGGGATGTGGAGAACACTGCCCTCTAGGCTGTTTCAGCACTTTGAGACTCAGTGTTCACATATATAGTGAAGAGGTTGGTTTGTAGGTTCTCTAAGCTTTGTTACTCTTCCAGGATTCTATGATTTCTATTTACTTATTCTTCTTAGAGGTGTGTGCTTATACTCCACATGAATTTCAAATGTACAGAAGCCTGTACCATTTCAAAGATATACTGACCATCCTTGTGCTAGACACAGATATTAATTTTATTCAGTGACAAATGATACATATATTTGCATTGATATTTGCTTGGTGGGTTATTTATATGTGCATTTTTATAGTATATGAAAAATGGTAGCGTTTTGCCACCTCATAGAAGCTATCTGCTAATATTATTTATAATTTTTCAGTATTGTGTCCCTGTAGCAATCCATAGAGAGCAAATATTAAGTTAGTTGAGAAATGTAGATAAACTTTTCTATTTGGGATGTAAATAATGGTTTTCTTATTGATGCAGATTAATCACATCTAGACTTTTCTGTATGATCATATAGGAGAATGTATGTTAAGGTTAGCCTTTGTTTTCCAGCTTTTCTTTATTTTTGAATAAGAATAGGGTTTTGCAGTCATTTATGGGAAATTAATATGAACTATGGCAACACTTTTAAATTACATCTATATGCCATATATTACATCAATCTGATAATTTTATAATACTTGTGAAAAGGTGTTTTAAAATGAGAATGTTTTTCTCATCTTTACCCTTTAACTATTCTTAAATGAAAGTGGCACACATGATATTAGGGGAGATAAATATAGTAAAGATAATGTATGTGCATAGTGCAGATGTAGAATCTCATAGAGGTTTATACATGTTGCTAAAGTGCTCTTTTTCAGTAATGGGCTTATTATCATAGCCATATGTAGTCTATTTCAGAATTTAAATTATATATAAGTAACCTGAAATGTGTTTTTGAAGCTATGCAGTAATACCATGTTTGAATTGGCTTTGTTTGAATAACCTTTGATGCTACGCAACATGTGGACCATAAAAAAAAAGGATTTCTTAGAACATTAAGCAAAAATATTGTAAAAAAAAAAAGTAATGATTATATAAAAAGAGCAGTTCTGGCCATCTCATCCCTGAGCAGCTTGTATAAAATAGCATGTTTGACGATAAAAATATAGATATGTAAGCACATTGTATAAGTTGGGATACATACATAGCAATGAAGGGAGCTGATGTATGTGGGATGTGTGTGTGCCTAGTAATATCTGCTGAAATAGTTCCGGCAGTCTACAGGAGGTACATTTACTTCCCATGTGCAATTTGGTTTTCGAAGAGTATTAGAAAAAAAGATTATCATCTTATTTACTATTTCTCCTTTTTCTCCTTTTTTTCCTCCTTCTCCTCTCCTTCTCTTTCTTCTTCTCATTCATCGTCTCTTTCCTTTTCTTATTCTCCTCCTCTTTTTTTCTTTTTTGGATCTAATGAAAGGAATTAGAGAAACACTTGAAGAGTGAAGAAGATAGGTGAGGGTGTTTCTTGAATGATAATTTAGAAAATCTGCATTTAAAGGAAAAATGTGAATAATATTTTACCTTTAGGTATATCCAACTGGGATTTTGACTTTCTCACTTTTACCCCACAATACTATATATAGCTTTATGCAAAATGTTTTGCACGGATCCTATCATTTTCCAGTTTACACAAGTAAAAGTCGTCATATCTGAGTTCAAGCAAACAGTGGAGATTTATAGAGTGCCATTTTACAGATTTATTTCTAAAGAAAAGTATTGCTGTATTTCTTAAAGGTTCTCCAGGTATAGATCTATCAACCTAAATCAATACATTGGCATAGATATTGCTTTTCTCCTTCTTCTCTTCTTTTTTTTTCCATGTGTGCCTTTATTAGCTGAGCCACTACTTGAGGGTTTAAGGTCTTTGTGAGGGGCTTGGAACACCCAATGTTGGGGGAGGGAGGCGGGCGGTAGGGAAAGTATCTGAAAGGACTTCCTGAGCCAGCTGTAGGCTTTTCTTCTTCTTGTAAAAGAATTACTATATAAAGAATGAAGGAATGATTATAAACTCTTTTTAAAAATAAATACCTATCAACTCTACTGTTTTAGTAGTGTGTTATACAATGATAGAAGCATATAGCATCTAGGGTAGCATGCTTACCCAGAATACTTGACTCAACACAGTGTTGGAGTAACGGAGGCCTCAATCCTTAGTGTTTTCTCCTCCATTTGCAGCCAATCCTTAGGCTCTTTCATCTAATCACATGAGGTTTAAATACATGTTTGGATTGATAATTCTAAAATTGCCCTAATCATTGCATGGAGGGATATAAGATCCATCAGCACAGAACTTGGCTGTTGTATATACTGTTGATCTCCAGTGCTTGCATCAGTGCTTGACATACTCACCTGACTACTTGACGTCTTTGCTTCATGTCCAATGAGAATGTACAAAACTCAAGCCTAAGACAGAATCTTCTCTTTCTAGCCATTCCCATCACAGTAAATGGCTTCCACCATTCATAGGCTTTTTCATGACCCCCAATGAGGAACCATTTTTCACTTGTTCTCACAACTTGTATTCAACTTGTTCTCAGAATTGTGCAACCATCACTACAATCTAACTTTAAAATGTTCTTAATTACCCAAGAAA
Source organism: Homo sapiens (assembly GCF_000001405.40). Classification (NCBI taxonomy): domain Eukaryota; kingdom Metazoa; phylum Chordata; class Mammalia; order Primates; family Hominidae; genus Homo; species Homo sapiens. The sequence continues at coordinate 77,045,750 of NC_000003.12, forward strand.
GAAACTATGTAGCTTGTTCCACCATCCCTCCACCAACCACAAGAAATCACCACTCTACTTCTGCCTCTGTGGATTTGTCTTTTCTGGACATTTTATATATAAATGCAATCATACAATATATGATGTCATTTTGTGACTAGCTTCTTTTCTTTAGCGTAATGTTTTTAAGGGTCATCCGTGTCATAGCATATGCATCAGTACATCATTCTTTTTTATTGCCAAACAATATTCCTTATCATCTATCCTTTGGTTTACTAGTTGATGAACATTTAAGTTATTTCCATTTTTGGCTATTATAGATATTGCTGCTTTGAACATCCACGTACTAACTTTTGTGTGAACATATGTCTTCATTTAACCTGGGATGGAAATGCTGGGTTGTATGTTTAGTCTGTGTTTCACATTTTGAGGAACTGCAAGACTATTTTCCAAAGCAGCTGTGCTACTTTACATTGCCATTAGCAATATATGAAGTAGATATTTTCTTTTAATTGATCATGGAAAGAAAGAGTCGAAGGGCCTTATGAGTTGGGTATGATGTTTTGAAGTGAAACAATTTTATATTATACTAATCTGTCTCAAATCCCCAATAGTCCTGATTTCTAATCCCTTCAGTGGTTGTTGTCTTCTAAGTCTTCCTCAGTTGCCTCGTAAAACTTTACAAAGATAGTACCTCAGTTGAACTTGTCACTTTTAGCAGAGATCTCAGCAATAGTAAATATAAATCATAGAATGATAGCATCTCGGAGCCATTATGAATATTTGCAGCTATATTGCACAACTCTCTTATTGGTTGGGCACATGGAGAACTGAAGCTTAGAGATTTTATGTGCCTTGTCACAGATCCCATTGCTACTTAGTGGTAGAGCAGAAACTAGACTCCAGGGATGCTTCATCTCTGTACCAGGCTTCTGCCTATGAGAGACTGTTTCTGGATTCTTAGCCCTGGAACTCCTTAACAAGAATTCCAGGCTCTTGTTACTGAAAATGACCAGCTATTTTCTGAAGAGTCCATGAGAAAATGAGCTTGAATATGTTTAGGTTATTCCTTTGATTCAACACATGCATATTGACAACATAACTTGCTTGGCTCTGTGAAGAACATGCTGACCTGTGAAAATATTCCCACATTCAAGGAAGTCATGACTTGGTAGGGAAGGTACCAAATGTTCAAGTCACTAGAATAAAAAAAGTAGTGTCTGATAAGTAAGAAGTTTGAAGGTGTACACAGTATAGTCTTGAGAACTCAGAGAAGGAATAGGTGATTTCCAGCTGGTACAATCTGGGAAGGGTCAACACCAAATGGGTCTCTTAACCTGGACCTTAGAGGAAGAGTGGGATTTTGGTGGGCAAAAAGATTGGAAATTGAATTCCAGGAAAAGAAGTAACCAGAAAAATGGCATGAAGATGACAAAGGGGTGCTAAGGAAATGGCAAGAAGTCTAGATTGATTGCAACATAGTTTGCCTGTAAGGAAGAAGGATAAGATGGTTATTGAAAGACTACTGAGCAATCACTACTGAATGAGTATGAACAAGTAATTTAACCTTTTTATGCCTCAGTGTCCTTACCTGTAAAATGGGCATGGTAATAATGTATATCTCATACAGTTATAATGAGAAATAAAATAGTTTTAAAAATATAACGATATATAGGCAGGGCATGGTGGCTCACGCCTGTAATCCCAGCACTTTGGGAGGGTGAGGTGTGTGGATCACCTGAGGTCAGGAGTTCAAGACCAGCCTGGCCAACATGGTGAAACCCCCTCTCTATTTAAAAAAAATACAAAAATTGGCTGAGCATGGTGGCAGGTGCCTGTAATCCCAGCTACTCAGGAGGCTGAGGCAGGAGAATCATTTGAACCCAGGAGGTGGAGGTTGCAGTGCCAAAATTGTGCCATTATACTCCAGCCTAGGCAACGGGCAAAACTCCGTCTCAAAAAAATATATATAATGATATATATAAATAAATAAATATATATATAAAATAAAGATGTATATAAAGATATATATGGGCTGGGCGCGGTGGCTCACGCCTGTAATCCCAGCACTTTGGGAGGCTGAGGCAGGTGGATCACGAGGTCAGGAGGTCGAGACTATCCTGGCTAATACGGCGAAACCCTGTCTCTACTAAAAATACAAAAAAATAATTAGCCGGGTGTGGTGGCGGGCGCCTGTAGTCCCAGCTACTTGGGAGGCTGAGGCAGGAGAATGGCTTGAACCTGGGAGGTGGAACTGGCAGTGAGCCGAGATCGCGCCACTGCACTCCAGCCTCGGCGACAGAGTGAGACTCCGTCTCAAAAAAAAAGATATATATGATGCCATGAACAGTGTACTTTATAAATGCCACTCAAGCATAACTTATTGTTATAATTAGTAGTATTTTTATTAGATTATTATTCCCTGCCTAGTATGAACAAGGAAAATAACTAGAAGAGGACTTTGCTATCAGACTAATTATGGACTACAATTGGGGTGCATGTTAGGACAATTTTAATAAGATTTTTCAGCTGTGAGTCTTCAGGTGACTGATTAAGAATTTTTGTTGCCTCTTAAGGGAACTTATCGGTGGCCTCGCCTACACAGCTGTGACAGTTGTGCTATGACATGTGTGTTTCCATTGCATCATAAGCTGATTACAAAACACATGTGATTCCCAAGTGAAAGGTGCGACGAATGAAGATAGTAAACAAGAGAGGAATCACACAAATGGCAATTTGTTAGCAAGTAGACCATGCTTGTGTAAGCCTGCATTTTGGTTCATGTTGGCTGATTTACATTTCATCCTGGATAATTTTTACCTGGTGCTTTGATATAACGTACTGTGGAGATAAATCTTGTGTAAGACAAACTAAATAAACACTTTGAGAACCGAAGACCTAAGTAAAAATTAACATTTGGTATCCACTCACTAATTCGTTTTCTAGATAGCCCCCTTAGCTTCCCTTCATTTAGTATAAGACATTGAATCTAATAACTTTTTATAATTATCCATTAGTTACATTTGCACAATGAGTAGTTATGCATATCAGAAAGGATAGCCTGAATAAAACAATATCATTACTATTGTGGAAGTGACATACCTTTGGTGACCAGATCTCTGGACTGCACTGTTAGCTTCCCTAGTGGATTGTTAATTGTTCTAATTGCCTTAGAACCTTACCAAAAATGGTTTCATTTGACTGTGTAATTTCCAAGGTCTCCATGAACCTTAGGTTTTATTATCCCAAGTACTTCTGTTTAATGTTCCAACATTTATTGTTATATCTGAGAATTTTTAAAGAAGAAAATTTAGCCTGGGCTCGGCGCAGTGGCTCACCCCTGCAATCCTAACAATTTGGGAGGCTGAAGCTGAAGGATCGCTTGAGCCTAGGTGTTTGAGACCAGCCTGGGCAACATAGTGAAACCCTGTCTCTACAAAAAAGAAAAAAAGTTAGCTGGGCATGGTGGTGTCCACTTGTGGTCTCAGATACTTGGGAGGCTGAGATGAGAGGATTCCTTGAGCCCAGGAGGTTGAGGCTGCAGCGAGCCATGATTACACCACTGCACTTTTGCCTGGGTGACAGAGGCCCCGTCTCCACACACACACTCACACAAATTTAGGCTTGAAAAGAATTATCCAAAACCATAAACATCCATCTTTAAAAACAATAACAGTCTATTGTCTAATATGCATGTAGCATATCTGTGTTTTGGTGTGGGTTCAATGATATGGCTATGGATATGCATGACAGCCAAAATTAACTAGTCTTATGATTCACATCCACTCTCATTCATTAATGACCAGTGGTACTTAGGCTTTCCTTATCAATAAATGGAATTTTAAAAATTTAATACTAAGGAGACAATAGTCTTAGGTCAATGTGCTTAGTTTCTGGCCACTATAACTAGAACCATATGCAACATGGAAATTTTAGCTCAGGAGAGGGGGTTAACAGCCACTTTTTAATTTCTGTTGTAAGGATTGATGTGGGATCTCTTTCCCTAGACTTTGGTTCCAAGCTTTTTGGAAATGAGCTGGAGAACATGGAATATAACTCAACTATCCCACTGAAAGGCTTTTCAAGTTTAAGCAAGGAACACCCAGTTGAAACCAGACTGGAATTTAAGGGATTTGGACCAAACCTCTGCAGCACTTATAACCAATTAAAATGTTCATAAGTGTGATTCAAAAAGGGAGAATTTTGACTTTCCAAAAAACTTGAGTTAAGAGTTATTCATTATAAAGGAAAGTTTATAAGTTTTTATAAATCAAGGTTAGAGTCGTACTTAGAAGTTTTATAATACGTATATTTCCAAATACTAGCAAATGCTAGAATATGATTAAACTTATTTAGATATATCCGATTATTATAAAATATAGATTTCAGGGTTAGAGTAAATTAGGGGAAATTTAGAATGAATCTAGCAACAGGCACTCTTGTATTTTATATCTCTATTATAAAGTAAATTTTAATACGTTGCCAGATAACAGTACAGTTATTGAAAACCAAGCTTATTATTGTTCCATTAAATCAGAGACAGCATTTCACCTTCCTCATCTTAAGCATTTCACCTTCCTCATCTTAAGTATATAACCGTTTGTGTATTCTAAGTACCTTTGAATGCCAGCAACAACAAGCTATTACTCAAACGCCAATTGTTTTAGTGCTTCTTACCCCATCTCTATCATGGGTTAGCGTAGAAACTGAGTAGGAGAAATGTAACCTTTTAAAAAGAAAATGCCATTTCTGTTTCTTTACTACTCTAATAAACTTACTTTCATTTAAAAAAAGAAAAGAAAATGCTAGGTACAACATTCTCAGTCTTTGCTTTTGTGTGTTTTTTTTTTTTGTTGTTTTTTGGTTTTTTTTCCCCATGCAAAATTGACTAAGAAGAGTTACAACATTTAATGTGGTGGTCTCAAAACATTTTTTTTTTTTTGCATTGTAATTGTTTTCGCATAATTTCAAGAGTTAAACAATAATAATGAAAAGATGTTTCAGGCCACACAGCGTGGCTCATGCCTGTAATCTCAGTACTTTGGGAGACTGGGAGGATCTCTTGAGCCCATGAGTTTGAGATCAGCCTGGGCAACATGGTGAAACCCTATCTTTGCAAAAAAAAAGAAAAAAAAAAAAATTAGCTGGGCATGGTGGTGCTCACCTGTAGTCCCAGCTACTTGGGAGGCTGAGGTAGAAGGATTGCTTGTGTCTGCGAGGTCAAGGCTGCAGTGAGCTGTGAGTACACCACTGCATTCCAGCCAGGGTGACAGAGGGAGACCCTGTCTCAAAAAAAAAAAAAAAAATTCATCAAATGGGCATATGAGCCCTGAACTCACAAATCAAGTTGTCATTCAGTTGAGGTTTAAGGCCTCCTTTTCTGCCCAAAACCAGATTTAACTGGGTTATTCCTCACTGGCTATCATGAAACATGTAAATACATTTCATAGCTAAGTATGTTTTTAAGTGTTTCAGTCCCACCTTTCTGATTTGAAAGCCTGAATAATGTCAACTTTTAATACTAAAGTGAAAGAAAAAAGAATCAGAAAATATGTACAACATGTGGGTACAGATTTTGGGCAAATATAGCTCTTACCCCCTTGCCTCCCACCTCCCTGTACACATGGCAATAAGACTATTATGAATAAACTGAGGTGTTTGATGCCTGCCCTCTACTCACAATCCAACAGACAACTTGTATTTTAAGAACCCTTTCCAGGCTGGGAATTCTTATTACACTTTCCTGTTAAACTGTAGCACCTGTGATGTTCATCACTTGGATCTTATGAAACTCTCCAGATTTTTGAGGCTCTCAGTAAATGTGTCTCATCATGGTAAATTTAAATTCCAAGTGTATTCAACATTTCTTTTCAGAAAGCAGTTTTTAAGTTTTGAAGCAGCGGCTACACATGACATGCAAATAAAATGACCAGGCAATTGCTTGTATTGTCTGTCTGTATCAGGATTCAATTCTAAGCTTTCCAAACATGGATCTCTATAGGAGGTTATGCCTAATCTTTGCATTTGAAATGGTCAAGGAGGTGCAAGGATATACCTGGGAGGGGCAATCTCCCTGAACTATAAGGGGAGGGGACGAAAGAGTGTGTTGGAAAAGTGAAAAACTGAACATTTGAATGAAGTCGGTTGGATTAGCATTTGACACTCAACTATACAGCAAGCGGACACGCTGATATTTAGTTCTATGGATTGTTAACATTCACATAAAACAGAATTATTTAGCATTTACTGAACCCTTTTTGATAATCAATTTGGGATCAAATGCAAAAGAACATGTGTCTGCTTTGTATGACCCCAGATTCTTCCGTTTTCTCTTTGAGCAGATGACATGCCTTCTTTACTGACTGATGTTGGTTGCTAGGAGAAGTGCACTGGTTTAGTCCCTTCTTATCCAGCAGTAAAACTAAAGAGTGTATTTAGTAAGAGAAAGAGGCAGAACACAGTACAGGCCATGAATCATGACTTGTCTCCAATATGTCCACTTTGCTCCCATTTTCTTTCCCTTTAAAAACTTTTGTTTTTACCAATGATGCTTTCTTTCAGCCATTATCTATAATCCTTTTGGAGCCTGAGGGGATGAGGGTTGCTAAAGAGAGGCTGTGCTGCTGAGAGTCCACTCAGAGCAATAATAAAAGCCTTGAGAGTTATTCATGGGGCCACATTAGTGAGAATGCCCTACTCAGTGAATAGCATCAGTCAGCTGCCTTTGAGATCGAGTGATTAATACCTTCTGTTTTGAAGGGGGGAAAAGGCAGACAAGAAAGGTCTTCATACTACTTTGGCTATTTTGCAAATTAGATCTTACATATTGTCAAACCTTTTGACAAAGAAATTGCTAAAATGTCAATACCTGCAATAGTCTTTTTTAAAAGCTAGTTTTTCATGAAACTGTTAATTGTGGCTACTGTCAAATACAATTGAAACGGTAATAATATCCCAAATGAACACTGAAAAAAATCAGTTAGCCATTCTTAGATTTTGGCAGTGTTTATGATGACATCAAACTAAGAACGTGATGTTAGTGATCATATTCAGAATGTTATCTAGGCAGATCTATTTGACAACAGCCAAATAGCATTTTTGTTTGTTTGATAAAAGAACTAATTGCAATACTCTTGAGAGTTTACAGAAGCAGCTAATGAGAAAGTGTTAAGGGTGGCAGGTGTTAGTTTCCCATAAGCACTGGGATATAAGGGACAGTCTGTGAATTACAAAGAAGTTGTTATTTATATATGTATGCCTGTATGTTTGTATCTATAGGCTGGTTCAGCATATGGGATTAAAAAGTGGTATTATTATAATCCTCATGACCTCTCCTTTTATCTTTTGATTATATTATGTACATGGCACTGTTCAAATAAAATTGCTCAAGGTTTATTAAACTTGTCAACCATCTGAGTTGCATAGTTAGAAAAGCTTCTGGTTTTGGTGGCCTGAGTGTGGCAGCTAGAAAATCCAAGGGAATGCTTTGCCATACTGTTTTTCAGCATGATTCCAACATTAAGCAGGCTGTTAATATTTAGACAGTAAATTAAGCCATGTCTTTGTTTTTAAAAAGTCATTCTCATTCTATTCTTCATTTTACATTTTAAACTTATTTTTTATATAGCAGCTTAGTCTGGCCCTTCTGTATATACTCATGCTCATTCCAAAGGCTTTACTTTCATCTGAATATGAGAACAAACAACATGTTAAAGACTCTGTGTGATGCTTCCTGTCATCTGTTTTCACTCTGTGGAAGTGAAATATCTTGTTAAGAGGGGGTAATACCCAAAGGCAATCAGAGATAAAAATGTAACGATTTGGTGGGTGATGTCTCAAGATCAGCTTTAAGTGAGGTCTGATTTAACATCTTTATTAGTCATTTAAAAGGGAAATGATAAAGAAATTGTAAATCTCAACATTGGAATACCATCAGAACCTCCCCTCCCTGTCCCTGAAATCACATATAATGATATACAAAAATTTAGGCAGCAGAAAATATTAGTGGAGTAAAAACTAATGCTTTATTTGGTATATAAATGTAAACTAATTCTTCAGGGAAATAATCAGAAATCTAGAAATCTAACTAGAGGGAGAAGCCAGCAAAGCAATAACACTGAAAGGGCCCTGGGGATAAGTACAGGAGTTGGCGCAAGGAGAGAATGTGATTTAGATTAGGAGTGTTATATCCCAGTTTAAAGGTCATGCGATTATAGTGCCCATTTAGGGAGTATTGCATCACTGACTAGGGAGATTCTCTTTCAATGAATGTGGCTTAAGTGCAGTTGAAATACTTCTTTCATTTTGTACTTCATTGCCAGAACATGAGAGAGATTTTGGCAGAATAGAAACAAGGTTAGTACAAAGAGAGATTCTTTAGGAAGATGCTTGTCTACTTAACACTAGAGAAGGATTTTCCATTGGAAAGTTCAAGTAGTTCCTTTTTAGAGTGAATATAGCATCTTCAAAACCAAGACCAAATTCATAAAGCCTTCCAAGAGAAATTTCTACCATCTGTCAGTATACAGCAAAGCCCATGTTTGTGTTTTAGTTCATTTTATATGTACTGTATTACACATATTAGGGCTTAATTAAGGTTGGGTGAATTAAATTGATCTATTAAATTTAATAGACAACTTGTATGCAGAAACCTATACAACGTATGCCATCTGACCCCAGATAAATTCAAGAGTAATATTTTCTGTGGAAGTCAAGGGTCTTCCTTCCAGTAGAAGAAAGTATTGGATGGAGTAGGGAAGCATAGACAATGACTCTTCAGATGAAGTGTGTCGCATTTACCACATTCCTGGTTAATAAGGATGCTAGGTCTGATGATAAAGACTAGAGAAGGTTGTACAAGTGAGATTCTCTGCTTGCTGCACAATTATATGTTGTTCCTTTTCCCTAGTCCTCAGATAGAAATCGCCATTTTTTTTCTCCTGATGTAAGAGAGTGATAGAAATAGAATGGAGCCAGCATCTCAGTAAAACAGAAGTAAAAACAAGTTAAGATGGGCAGTGAGAGGTAATGGAGGCCAATTCCTAGGGCTTCTGATTGGTTTTATTTTGTCAATTTTACATTCCCATCAATGCTGTGGGGCTACTTCATAGCCAACATTTGAAAGCAGATGGGCATCCTGCCGTAATGTCACTGCAGCCAGTGACAGAGAGGCGCCTGCAGTCCACAAAATCTCGCGTGTATGTGTGTGTGTGTGTGTGTGTGTGTGTAAAACTTGGTTAATGTGTCATTCATCAGTAATGAGATTAGAGCCCTCATAATAAAGTCCCTACATGTTAATTGTGGAATTATGGTGCAACAATAAGTAGAGAAACACTCATTCTTTAAAAAAAAAAACTACCAGATACAAAATCTATTCATTTGGAACTCACCCTTCTGTGATTTTTATTCACTACTTTTACAGTTAATTTTTTAAAGATTTTCTTTTATTCAGCTTCCACTGCGTCTTCCCACTAACATCAAACCCTTCTGCATCCAGTATTCATCATTTTGTAACAAAGAGCATATAAATATTATAAGGGATGGTCTTGATATTAGGGGTGTCTATATAAAATCCATTCTACTGGTCTAGTGATTGGGCCAGTAAATTGCATACTGTATTGATAAAAGGGCTTTCATTCTCATAATAGTCTGTGAACTCACTGGGGACTCCTTTTCTGGGGAGTCATGTATAAATGATGAGAACTATACAAAATCTCTTGAGGAGTTTATCATAGAAATAGAGGTGCTGGAAAAGAAAATATGGTAGACTCATACTCCTTTTTGCCTTGATTTTCTAACACGTCATCCTGTCACAGGATTTCTGCATACCTTGATTCCATGTGAGGGTTATAAAGAGTTAGAGAAAAATATACATTTGGAAGACTCATTTACGCATAATATATCCACATATAAACTTCCATGAATTGGATTGGATTATAACTTGTGTGAAATAAATGTAACAAAACCACATTTTTGACCCTGAGGAACTAATCAAAGCCAGAGGCTAACTTTATTACACCCATTCCTGATTGGTTTATTTCTGTAAATTTATATAACTACGAGATGATTTCTTACTTTTTCGCTTCTAATTTTAAGTTTTAAAAGTAAAATTAACCAAAAGAATGTTTATAAGGTGAACTTTGGCCAAATGATGATTGTCATAAAACGTAACTTTTTAAGTAGTTGTGAAATGCAATAAATTGAAAAGATAAATAGAGAAGTTGAACTGTCCTTACAAATGACTGCACAATACCAGCAATGTCTTTTGAGAGAGGATTTAGGACATAGTGTGTAGGTATTTATCTCACACAAAGAGAAAAATTTCCTTCCGTGGGAAAACATTAGATCATAGGAAGGCCTGAAATATCTGAGTTGCAGCTTTGTGAAACCACACTCAGTCTAAACAAGTTACAACAAGATAAAGTCCTCAGAATACGAGGAAGGGATGATGACTACAAAGATCCACCACTGTGTTTCCCAGCTTTTTTCTCTAATGTAGCTAAGACTTTCTTTGATGAAGTCATCCTTTCTTGATCCATTTGTGTAAAAACTTGTCCCCCAACCACCGTTTGTTAAGGGAGGCAGTATTTAGCAAACTTGGTAGAGTTTATAAAGACCTAATTTTGTTGGATGAGATTCACTAGGATTAGACAACAAATTAAAGACAAAATGACATATATTAGTAACTGAAAGATCTTGCTTATTATTAATATCTTAATTCATGCAGTGTTTTTTTTACTTATAAGAAGACACCGTACTGTATAACATTCCATTTGAGATTGTTATGTTGGCAACCTCTTATTTCTTTGAAATTGTGTGGGCAATTCAAAAAAATTAAAGACAGGATAATATAGAGAACTGAGCATTTAGGAAAAAAATTGTATATTTGATGTAAATTTCATAGTTTTAAATCCACAGATAACTCAAAACTCAGACACAAGACATACAATATTTTGGCAATTTGTGTTAAGGCTGTAACTTTTTTTCAAATGTATTATTGCTTAATATTTCTAACATGAAACCTAAGGTGCTTGAATTGAGGCCATGTCGTAATCCAGGGAAGATGTTTTATAAATCAAGGAATTGACATGTAATATACACATATACACAGATGAATATATACATGTCACACATATACAAACATATGTCTATGCACACGTACATACATATAATTTTGTAAAAAAAAAGACCAAGTTCATAGGAATGCCATTTGACCCAGAGATCCCATTACTGGTTATATACCCAAAGGATTATCAATCATGCTGCTATAAAGACACATGCACACGTATGTTTATTGCGGCATTATTCACAATAGCAAAGACTTGGAACCAACCCAAATGTCCATCAGGGATAGACTGGATTAAGAAAATGTGGCAATATACACCATGGAATACTATGCAGCCATAAAAAAGGATGAGTTCATGTCCTTTGTAGGGAAATGGATGAAGCTGGAAACCATTATTCTGAGCAAGCTATTGCAAGGACAGAAAACCAAACACCGCATGTTCTCACTCATAGGTGGGAACTGAACAATGAGAACACTTGGACACAGGGTGGGGAACATCACACACTGGGGCCTGTCATGGGGTGAGGGGAGCGGGGAGAGATAGCATTAGGAGATATACCTAATGTAAATGACGAGTTAATGGGTGCAGCACACCAACATGGCACATGTACACATATGTAACAAACCTGCATGTTGTGCACATGTACCCTAGAACGTAAGGTATATATATTAAAAAAAGACCAAGTTCAAAGGCTTTGGCACATCTGTCTTTTAGTCATTGCATTTTTGTGAGTTAATTACTAATGTGGAAGCTATACCTTTTAGATTCCAGAGGATTTTTTTTTTTTTTTTTTTTGAGATGTAGTCTCGCTCTGTTGCCAGGCTGGAGTGCAGTGGCATGATCTCGGCTCACTGCAACCTCTGCCTCCTTGGTTCAAGTGATTCTCATGCTTCAGCCTCCCGAGTAGCTGGGATTACAGGCACGTGCCACCACACTCAGCTAATTTTTGTATTTTTAGTAGAGACGGGGTTTTACCATGTTGACCAGGATGGTCTCGATCTCCTGACCTCGTGATCCACCCACTTCGACCTCCCAAAGTGTTGGGATTACAGGCGTGAGCCACCGCGTCCTGGCAATATATTTTAAAAAATATGTGGCTGACGGGTTGATAGGTGCATCAAACCACCATGACACATGTATACCTATGTAACAAAGCTGCACGTTCTGCACATGTATCCAGAACTTAAAGTAAAATTAAAAAAAAAGAAAAACATGTGGCTGGATTTTGATTGAACGTTAATGTTATTTGGGGTGTATGTGTTGTTTTTTTCATTAAAAAGGAGAATACTCGGATGTTTTCCTAATTGTTATTAAGAAAATTCTTAGATTATTGGGACAACAAAGTTCTTCAAAGTCTTTCACTAAGCTTCCAAGTATCACCTGAATAAAATAGGTGAATAGAAAACTGAGCTTAGATATTTTTTGCTTGATAGCCATCTAGTTTTATTCAGTTGCCTTGAGACAAAAAATGGAAATTGAAAAGTATAATACACTAATGTTTAGTTACCTGGAAAGTTCCAGCTAAATATAAGTAATATTCACAATAGCCTGCTATTGTAATTTTAAATAAAATATTATTGTGTGCCATCTGGAATAACTTGTACACCTCTTCTGTAACTTTCCAGCTCTTGTGAGGGTTAATAAAGATCTCAAGTGATATTTTCAGAATGCTTCAAAAAGTAATTGAAAAAATGAACCTATGAAATATATCACTAACATATAGTTGCTTTTATTTTTATTTATTTATTTGTTTTTGAGATAGGGTCTCACGCCTCTCACCTAGGCTGGAGTATAGTGGTGCAATCTTGGCTCACTGCGGCCTTGACTTCCTGGGCTCAGGTGGTCCTCTCACTTCAGCTTGAGTAGCTGGGATTATAGGCCTGCACCACCACACTTGGGTAATTTTTTTTTTTTTGTATTTTTTGTAGAGATGGGGTTTCATCATGTTGCCCAGGCTGGTCTCCAACTCCTGGGCTCAAGCGATCCACCCACGTCGACCTCCCAAAGTACTGGGATTACAGAGGCAAGCCGCCACACCTGGCCTTAGTTGCTTTTTAATTGCATGTTGTTTTACTATTTCCAAGTTTTTGACCGTTATTGTTAATTAGTTAGCACACAATCACATGTATATATTAATTCATTAGAATGTATTTACTGAGCATCTGCAATGTGCTGAATACTTGTAACAGTGTGGTGAGTTTTTACTTTGGTGAGAAAGACAAATAATCGTGCTGAATATGTTTATACCTGTGATTGAATTTTTAAGTATTATGAAAGAAAAATATAGGGTGTCATAAGCAGATTATAAAATCTATGAAATTTAGATTTTTGTGCCTGGAGAACTCCCTGGGGAAGTAACAATTATGTTGAGGACTGGAGATAGCTATGTGAAGAGTGAGATCTGAGAAAAGAATTCTAGGTAGAAGGAAGGTCCCGAAGTGGACAGGGATTGGAGTCCCTTTGAAAGCCTGGAAGAAAGTCAAGTGGCTGGTAAAGCTGCAAGCAGTGAAAGGTGGAAGAAGGCTGGGCTGGATGACACAGATTATGTAGGTAATGATAAAAGAAAAAGGTAAGTACATTTAAATTTCAAGCAGTGTATTTGAACATTTAAGGATTCATGATTTGGAGTAGCACTAGCCTATAAGGCGTAAAATTTCATTGAGAAGGGCAAGAGGGGAATCTTTTATAAAGTGTTCACATAAGCAAGACAAAGAAAACAATTTTGGTTACAGTGGAAAGACCCTATTTAAAGGTTAGTTGGTGGTTTCTGATTGTTAGTTTCTAGTTTCAATTTACTATTGATGTTGGGCTTTGATTTATTGATGTGGGAATTTAAATTGCCAGAGACACCCCAGTTTAATAGTTTCCCAATTACAATTTTTTTTAATTGTCTCCTTTTGATCAGCCTCTCATTTATGAGAGATTGACCAAAGTTTGGGCATAAGCATCACTCTCTGTCACTGTCTTGGCTGGGTTGTCTTTATCTCAGTGTAAAACTCATACGTCATGACATCAGGCTCATTGAAGAAAGGTTCTTATTTTTGCTCATCTCATTTTTGTTGCTTTAATCACAGTGAGACCATCTGGCATACCCTTGATGGCTGCACACATACATTTGAGACCCTTCAGAGTATATACTACACCAGGGGGGTTACAGTGGTGACTATCAGGAGAATACTACCAAGAGACTGAAGTATGCTCCTCAGCCAAGGTCATCACAAATCAAACCAACTAGTATTTCTATGGAAATAAAAGAAAAATAAAGACCAATGACTAGAGCAAACTATAAATTCAGTCTCTGAGTCCAGAGGGTAATTAGTCAAGACTTCTAGATTTGAGTTCAAATAATGTTTTCCTGGTTTGCAGTTTGAGTGTCTTTGGTTATAGCATTGGGTGTGTTGGTGAACTCCTGGAGTCATGCACAGATCAGGAATGAGGGTTGTCCTCTGAAATTATGCCAGGCTACCCATTCCAGCTCATGGCATTTCAGGAACAGAGGAGTTCTTGTTCTTAGTAATCCCAAGTTGGAAAAATGGGAGAAAATTGAATTGGAGAAACCTAGAAGAATTCCGCATCTAGTCCATTCTACAGGTGGAAAATAAAACTCGAGAACAATGAACAGAGCTACCTTTATTTCATTGATATTTACCTAATTCACTTGTTCTTAACACTTGTATTTGGATTGCTCATGAAAAATTTCATAAGACACTAAACACAGCTAGCCATTGAAGGAGTTCAATAAATGTCACCTCAAGCTATTCCACTTTGGTATATTGATCACTTTGAGCTAAAGGGACTTGAAAAATAGCAAATGCAGAGAGAGGCTTTCCCTAGACCACCTCCTATTTGCCAAATCCAGATCCACCACAGCAGCTCAAGTGTCATCAGTCACTACCCTACCCCATCATCTTATTTCATTTGTGTTTACAGGTCAGGCAAATATCAAAGTTATCACAGAAGCAAAGAAACTGAAAAGCTAAACATTATTCTTCCCTCTCTGTCTTTTTCTAAATTCTGTAACTAACAGGCACCAAGCAATTTATGTTTACTACATATTTTACTCTTTGGTTGGAGTTATTGACTTAAACATCTAGCAGAGATAATACAAACCCATCTGACCAGCAACCCAGGAAAACCTAACATTTTTTTTTTTTTTAAAGAGACAGGGTCTTGCCCCGTCACCAAGGCTGGAAGACAGTGGTGCAATCATAGCTCAATGCTGCCTCGAACTCCTGGGTTCAAGGGATTCTTCTGCCTCAGACTCCTGAGTAGCTGGGACGACAGGTGCAGGACATTTCCAGCTCATTCTTTTTTAATTTTATAAATTTGTTTAGTAATATCATCCCAAAATATCACATACACATAACATACATATGTTCATACAAAGACATGCATGTACATACAGACGGAAGCAGATAAGTTGTTGATTTAAAAGTCATTTATTAGGAGAAGTCTGAAGGTCAGTCTAAATTGTTGGTTGCCCTGGAGTTGCTATAATTGCAAGGCCATTAATTTGGAAGCCCTTTGTTTCTTACCTTGTTCTAAGATTCTTTACACATGTTCAGCTAACCTAGCTAAACCTATGGCTTATTTCCTTACCTTTTTTAAAATTTTTAACTTTTTTTCCTATGTCTCCAAATAATACCTGGGGAGAATCTTTTTACAAAAAGGGCAGCAAGGGTAGGCTGGGTTTCCTGGAATGCCATAAGAAAAACAAAAGCTCTGAGTGGTTTTTGAAATCAGTAACGGATTCATCTTCCTTCTGTCTGTAGGTCTGGTTGATTGTCCAGTCAGTGTGAGTGGGGAAACAATTCAGGAATGGCTTTCAGAAGATTGTTTTTAGTTTTTTTGAGCTTTTTCTGGCACATATGTGAACCAAATGGGGACTTATCACCATGGATCGTGTCCTCACAATGATACCATTCTGCCTCTTGCATCCATTTTTGAGCTTCCCTTGGTCCTGTCAACATGTCTTTAACAGGATTACTGAGTTCCGGGTGGAACCAATTAACATATAGGGACAAAGCATTTTCTATGCAGGACAGGAATACCGTTTATTATTCATCTGAGCTCAAGACTTTGAGCAAGGAATAACAGTGGTTATAAAGCAGACCTGGTTGATCTGACATCCTTTTGTCAACACTGATCTGGTTCTTTCTTTTTTTTCCCTTTGAGGTGAGCAGGTAAACCAGTGAAAACATTAGTAGATTCAAAGTAGGCAAAGGATAATAGAGAGAAACCGAGAGTTTAGAGGTCTCTACATGTCAGTCAAAACTGCATCCTATGGTTTTGAGGTGTTTGGGATCCCTTTTGATGTATGTGCCCTATAGATGAGCAGTTTTACTTAGGTTAAAACTTTCCCATTGTGGCCACCAAAATTCTACATTATATTTGTTAAGATTCACCCATTTCTCTAGAAAAGCACAGGTTCCAAGATGGAGTCTTAGACTCTCTGGATTTAAATAAACTCATTATTTCTGTCTTCTGGGAACCTTTCCTACCAGAGGTGTTTAAACCCAATTCAGTTTCTGTCTAACCCAGTCAGGCACCTAAAGGCTCCTGACAGAATGCAGTGCAGTTTCTATTAAGACTTCCAAACCTAGTTCAGATTTTTAAAAAATACTCAAATAAACTCAGAGAACAGGACCCAAGTTGTGGAACTCGTGTATCCAAGAGGACTTAGTGGTGATGACCTCCAAATGTATAGGAAGAAGGAGTGAGCAGAAGGGGCACAGCTGGGTACTTATTCCTGTTTACTTAATTTCTCCCAGAGGTCATGATTGTGTGGTAGCCTTTAGGTCACACTTCTGACACCAGAGCTTATGAAAAAACAACTTAAGCATATTTAACTTTTAAAAAGTTTATCTGGGCATCCAGTGGCCCATAAATTGGAGTTCCACCACACTGCAAGGTACTTAGCACTCCACCAGGAGGGTCAAGAGGGGGAACTTCTATAAAGTGTTTACAGAAGCAAGACACACAAAAAAAATGCCAGTTTTGATTGATTTGAGTGGAAAATTCCTAGTGAGAGGTTAGTTGGTGGTTTCTGATTGGTGCAGTTTTAAGTGTCAGTTTGCTATTTACATTGTGAATTAGTTTGTATATGTATGAGTTTAAAGTGCCAGAGCTAATCTAGTCTAATGGCCTCCCAGTTACATTTTTTTTAATAATAAAGATTCTGAATTTTATCCCAAGGATAATAAAAATACATTAGAGGAATATTATACTGCTGTGGGAATTTACAGGCAGCTAAGGCCTACTGGTGTCTCTGAATACTGTAGAGCATCATCAATTTTTAGCTCAGAAGTAAACTGGTGGACTATTAAAGCATATAGGGTGGGAACTGAAAACATCATGAGGGTGGGAGCAGGATCTAGAAGTGGACAGCTTGGGTTGAGTTCAGAGTAAGGTTTCGCCAAGGGCTATGCCCATCTGCCACCCCTAACCAGTTACATGAAATGGCTGGGAGAGGAGTGTACGTGTCTGTTTTCTAAAAGCTCTCTCATGCAATTCTTGATGTGCTTAGATTTGATAATGTGAAGATGGTAAGGAATAAAATAGGAGGAGGTTGCAGAGGAACTGGAAATCAGTAAGACAGGAGCAAAGTGTGTGAAAAGGGGGTGTGTTTAGGGAGATAATTAGGAGTTTCACCAGAAAAATAAAACCATTTCAAGTGTGTGCTGCAAGACAGGGAAGCTGATGGAAGTTTGACAGATCTCCTGACCTCTTCAATTCCCATAATCATGTAACTCTTTCTTCCTTTCTCCTGGATTATAACTTACTTGAATTGTAGTAATTTACATATGTGCTTTATGACTCACACTTACGTTAGGCTACTTCGTGTGAAGAGCTCTTTGCTCTTAACTTGATATTGTTTGTAGTCTGT
This sequence comes from Homo sapiens, assembly GCF_000001405.40. Lineage (NCBI taxonomy): Eukaryota > Metazoa > Chordata > Mammalia > Primates > Hominidae > Homo > Homo sapiens. Next base: position 77,063,681 of record NC_000003.12, read on the forward strand.
AGCAAAGCAACGTATACATAAGGAAGTGTTTAATAAATATTCGTTGAATTCAATCGAGATGGCCCATTTAATTCAGCTCTTCTTTCTCTCTGCCTATTCTAGACTCAGCCAAAACTACTGGTTTCCATTGGTTTTGCTGACTTCATCAATAGAGGGTGCAAATTAAAAATTACTCTACTTATCATCTCCTGAACATATACAATTTATGTGTTCAAAGTTTGATTGGGCAATTGCCTATCTATCCTTGTAAGTTTAAAAGCTATTTCTCATTTAAGAACATTCATAATAAACACTTTGCATTGTACTTGTTAGTGCACATACCTAGATGAAGGGTAAATCTATTTTCTTCATGTTATCTTTAAAGCCTGCAGAAAAATTATATGCTTATGTTGGTATTGTTAAGCTATAATGTCATAAAAGGTAAATGCTTGTGTTCATTGTTTTCACTTATTATGCTTTTTGTTATAAACGTTTGATTTTATTTTTAAAATTACCTTAAAAATGTATTAAATTGTATTGTTTATTCCTTTCAAAGAAAGAAAAGTAAGGTGTAAACATTAGTTTATAAAAGTTTGTAAGACAAAATTCAAGCAAAGGAAAAAATGAGTAGTGAAATATATTTTTATACAAATTGCAATTTTATATTACAAATATTTAAATAAAATTAATACTTGGATGTATCTTTTTTTTTTTTTTTTGAGACAGAGTCTCACTGTGTTACCCAGGCTGGAGTACAGTGGCACAATCTCAGCTCACTGAAACATCCGCCTCCCAGGTTCAAGCGATTCTCCAGCCTCAGCCTCCCAAGTAGCTGGGATTACAGGCATGCACCACCATGCCCAGCTAACTTTTGTATTTTTAGCAGAGACAGGTTTTTGCCATATTGGCCCGGCTGGTCTTGAACTCCTGACCTCAAATGATCTACACTCCTTGGCCTCCCAAAGTGCTGGCATTAAGGTGTGAGCCAACACACCCAGCCTATAAAAACATATTTCATTTCAGAATAAAAAGTGTAGTAGTTTTGAAGAGCTAAAAAATTTGGGACAGATAGATCCTTGAAGCAGAAACCAATCTATTTCATAATGATTTGTGCTTCCTTACTCAAATATTTTGATTTTCTTCTGAGGGAAAAGGGAGAATGAATTATTTTCTATGACAAGATATTTGTAATAATTATACTCTGGTATTCACAGGTATCATTTTTTCATAAGGTTGATGGCCACCAAGGAATATGGAGGTCTTGATAGCTTTAATTCTCAGCTGAAAGCAAAAATGGGTTTTTGGAAACTGATCAGAATTGCATGACTTCCCAGATTTGGAAAGGAGAGGTGCTCACAACATATTTTTATTCAATGATTCTAATGTAAAGTGGATCTGGCCTAATCAAGGGCACTAAGTAAATCAACTAGAAAAAATACATCAGAGGGAACTGCATATAAAATAATAATAATCACAATAATGTTTAGTAATACTATCACAGTCTTTTCCCAAGGAGCTTCAAGCACTTGGCAATTGTCTCATTAATTCTCAGAAGCTCCCTGGGAAAGAGTAGAGCAATAAATCACATATTAAAGAGACGTTTTAAATAACAGAGTCAGTCAGATTCTTAATAAACAGAAGTTGGTCAACAAAAGTTGGAATCCAGTTTTATGGAAATAAATTTTGTCTTTTTCTTAACAAGTAATGAATGACCACCAAAAACTTTCTTCAAAATTAATTGTGAAAAATATCCTATTGTTTCTCTTTGTATTTTTTGTATCTAAACCCAATTACCTGTCATTCTTGTGACCTATTTTCAAAATTCCATTAAAGTCAGCAAGTAACAAGGTTTCTTGCAATCTTTAGTCAGATGTCATTTGAGTATTGGTGATCAAGATTGAGAGTACCTTAAATGAGAAGTTTCAATCAATGGCCATCATCCATGCTATTGATTAAATACTTTGTTACCTTAGTAATGGCCCAAATTTAAACATTTCTTAAAATTGGTTAATTTTAAGGAGCAACTAAAATAGTAAAATAATGTTATTGTTTGCATTAGTAATTAGAAAATTATTGAAATATGAAGTCAAATATATGTTTCTCTTTGAAAATAGTGCCTCATGCTATTATGGGATATACAAATGACCTTACCACTCTGAGGTCAGAGTTCAAATTAAGCCTCAGTCCTAAGTAAATTGAGATGAATGGTTTGGTCTTTGTCCCTAGTGTAAAATAGTCCATATCGCAAAATCAAGATACATCTGTTTTTGCAAAATTGGCGTAATTGGCATTCTCCCAGGACTTTGCTGGCATCGAAGCCGAAGCTATTTCTTACTACAAAGGAAAATGCTTTTCTAGGTCATGGGTTTTTAAAAAAATGTGTATAAAAATGGCTCAGACCATGTCTGTTCACTTGTGACAAGGGTGAATTATGTCTCATCATAATCAATTTGGTGATCGATAACAGCACAGAAACAATCTAGTATGTTTATTAAGTTGGGTGTGATTATGGGAAATCGCAAGATAAACAGATGGAATAATTTTGAAGAGGCCACTTCCTTGTCTTAGTAGTAGTTTTATAAGTACTTTCATTCAATTATATTGAGAAAAATCAAGATTGCCTTTACATTCTAGTTAACTAAATTATTCATTTATGTCAAAACCTTTAACATTTAAATGCATAATTATATTAGATGTCAAAAGACATTGGTAATAATAACTCTGACAACATTAACTGCAGTTGGAAAAAAATTGGCTTCAAAGTCAACTCTTTGTTCTATAGTTTCCTGTATTAATTATAGTCTAATCATATAATTTCTTTAAAAATGTGTTATCAATTAGAAAAATTTTGTTAGACAGCAATCTCTATGTGAAAAAAGTATTTGTATTTGGTATTTCCCAGAAATCATATAACAATGTGAGTACAATCAAAGGACTAACAGTAGGGAAATAAGTTAATGTATAGAGGTATATATGTTAATGTTAAATAGGACAGTACTTTAATTATATAATCTGTATTTCTTAGGGGGAGTGATTGCTTTTATTTTTGGTTTTAAACACTTTTTGATAGTACAAGTAGGCAATCTAAAGAATTTGTAGGGAATGATTGTTTAGTGTTATGTATTGGGAGATTAGATTAAGACATAGTACAGTTACTTAATTATCCTTCTATTTTCTCCAAAGAAAAGAAACAGACAAATCTTTGGTATCCTTGCACTACTTTTAAAAATCAACACCCATTTTTAGTTTGCAAATGTTTGACTCTTCATTTGCTTTTAGTTTAAATATTTTAAGAAAAGATTCTTTTCCCCTCCCCCCTCCACCCCTGCAACACACACATACACTCACACACTCTCACACACACACACTCACACACACACACACACACACACACACACACTGCAAAACAAAAACACAAAACAGCTTGCCTTTGTTGCTAGGCCATAGCACTTTTTCCAAAGATTTCAAAAACTGTCTGTACTTGATTTTTCGTGACTGCATAAGTTGTAGTATTGGATTTATCAAAGCTTCCCTTTGCAAAACATCCTAACTGAAGCCAGAGTCCCTCCAAACATGTAATAATTTATAGTGAGTAGAATTTTAAGGTAATTTATAGTGAGTGAGCACTAGTCTTCCATCAGTTTAAAACTCAACACTCAGTTTTGCTTATTCCCAAACTTTGTATTTACTTTTTACTACTTGCCCCTGATATTTTTATTAACGTCTTTATTTAACAAAAGTTAAGTCAGCAGACAACTGTGAGTACAGAAAAGGAAGCATTTTATCCCTGTATACCGAATTAGAAAGAACTGATATATGTGTCATATATGTGTCTCTAAAATAAGCTGCGCTTGAATTGGATATGCATAACAGACTGAAAAGATAGGGGAAAATATCACAGGATTTTTGTGAGAATAGCATTAAGCAAGGTAACATGTGAAAATAGCTAACACCGTGCTTGATATAGACTCAGTGCTGAATTGAGTGTTTGTTTTTTCTTTTCATAAATTCTTTGATGAAAGTCACATGTTTTCTACTGATATATTGTCTTTAGCCTCAGTGGACCTTAGAAACAGTAGACGCAGACCTTCAGAAAATAGATGAGAAAACCATGGCTGATGTTAAAATAAGAGGCATCAGAGGAATGCGCCCTATATGTACTGTTTTCTTTCAAAGCTACCAGGTTATCCCAATTTTAAAGAGCATGCTGAGGATGTTTCAGAACTTTTTTCTTTTTTATTTTATTGATGAGTACTTTAAAATCATAATTATTAGTTTTTTCTAGAGTATACCTGTTTAAGACATAAACATCAGTTCTAAATCACGTCTAAGTCTTTGCTTTATTTGTGTTTCTCTTTGTGTTATTATTACTTTATTTATTCTTGGTACATTTTTAGTTCTCAAAATGCTTAGAAGTGTATATTTGTAAAATTTTCCAAAAACACACCATTAGTCTTCTGTCATTGTTTTCATAAAGTTGTAACTAAAGGGAAGAGGCTGCCCTTTATTTTTGAGTGCTACTTTTCTCTCACCACTGAGAGTGCACAGGCTTTTGGTTTAATATTTACATCAAGGGGGTAAGCCTTAATTGATATAAGAAAATATATTTTTGTGACAAAAGAAAGCTTTATGTCTTATGTGTTTGAAAGGAAATAAAACTAAGACAACTTTTGCCTACAAGTTTCCTTCTATTGTGTCATGATTTCTCAAGGGAAGTGATAGAAGCCATTTTATTTTGACTCTTTTAAAGGAGAATGAACGAATCACCACCCTATTAAGAATATAATCTTTGTTTAAATGAACATTGCATGGAATAAAGCAGAATCTTTTTTTCCATTGCTGGTTTCTAAAGCCTCTTATCTCTGCCTAACTCTTATCTCTCACTAACTTGCCTGTTAGTCACGTAACAGGCAAGTTCAAAATTCACCCCAAAGTATGATATAAATATATCTTAAAATATAATTCAAACTCATTACTGATTTGTGAGAAAGAATGAATGGCAACAAAAGAGCATGAGGGAGGGCAGAATTGGAAGTAGAATACGTGAATAAAGTAATGTTTTTGTGAACATTAAATTCAACATAATTCCACAGTATAGTGCCCAGCCCACTTCCGCAGGCTAGTATGTTTCTAGGCTTCATTAAATAGAACATATTATCTAAAATAAAGGTGGGCACACTGCAGCCTCTGGACTGCTGCTTGGTTTTGTGATCCGCAAACTATAATAAATTTTTTTACATTTTTAAGTCATTAGTATAAATCAGGAGTAGAATGCTATTTCGTGACTCATAAAATTTTTATTCGGTTGAATTTTCTTGTTCACTAATAAAGTTTTATTTGAGCATGGCCACGCTCAATTGTTTAAGCACAGTCTATGGCTACCTTCTTTCTACCAAGGCAGAATTGAGTAGCTGTGGCAGACGCTGTGTGGCTCACAGAGCCTAAATATTTACAGTCTTGCTCGTTAAGAGAGAGTGTGCTGATCTCTAATTTAAACTATAAGGGCACTACGTGTGCTTAATGTGTGCTCTCAGGCAGTATGCAAAAATGCTAAATTTTAAGAGAGAGAGACCATTGGAATTAAGTGAAAGAGTTCACTTAGGAGAAGGAAGAGGTCTGAATGTGTTTAAGACAAATAAAAATATGAAAAATAGTTGAAAGAATGAGGATGCTTTGTTGGCAAAGAAGTCGATTGGGATCATGATATTCTTCAAATCTTCATAATCATGTGGGAGAATGACTGGACTTGTCATATTTAACACAAAGGAACGAAATTGGAGTTAAGGTCATAGGTGGACATTTTACTGAAATATATATTGATTCAATGAAGAAAATAAAGAATATACTAATAAAATTATACTTTGATGGAATATCTTTGTTCTTGTAAGTCAGTGACTTCTAGTACTTCAGTCATTCATGCATAGACTACTTGAACATTTTGTTGACACATCTGGTGGTGGTTAGATTGAATAACTTTCTTATTCTTTAATTAATTCAGTAAACATGTATTCAGCAGCTCCTTTGTATGAAACACTCTTTTAGGCACTGGGATTAGAGTGGTGAGCAGCACGGACCAGGTGCCTGCTCTTCTTGCACTGTCTTGATAGAGTCCTTGAGGGGGAGAGACAATATGCAAGCAAGAAATCAAGGTGTTGGTAGGGCCACACTTTCTCTGAAGGCTCTAGGGAAGAGCGCTGATATGTGTTGAATTGTGTCCCTCCAAAAATGTTTGTTAAAATCATAACCCCTGGTGCCTCAGAATGTGATCTTATTTGGAAATAAGGTCTTTACAGAGAGAGTAAAATTTTAAAAGGGTCATTATCATGGGCCCAATTTCAATACGACTGGTGTCCTTATAAAAAGGGAGAATTTGGATACGGAGACACAAAGAGAATCCATATGAAGATGATGAGAGGTTGGAATAATGGATTTCTAAGCCAAAGAATGCCACAGATTGCCAGCAAGCCCCCAGAAGCTGGGAGGAGTGGATGGAAGAGATTCTTCCTCCTGTTCAATAGAAGGAACCAACTCTGCCAACATCTTGGATTTGGACTTCGTAGCCTCCAGAAGTGTGAAACAATAAATTTTTGTTGTTTAAGCCACTCAGTTTGTAATAATTGATTACAACAACCCTAGGAAACTAATGCATCTTCCTTGCCTCTTCCAGCTTTGGTGGCTTAGATGTTCATTGGTTTGTGGCAGTATAACTCTATCTCCATCTTCACATGGACTTTTCCACTGTGTGAGTGTGTGTGTGTGCGTGTGTGTGTCTTTTTCTATCTAAGGACATTTTCATTGAACTTAGAACCCACCATAATTCAGTATGATCTCATCTCCATCCTTCCCTTAATTATAGATGTAAAGATCTTATTTCTAAATAAGGTCATACGATGGCATTGTGGATGGGCATGGATTTTGCAGGGGGACACACTATTCAACCCACTATAACTGTTATGCCAAGAGAGTTGTCAGCAAAGGGGGCAGGAGTGATATCAAATGAAGGTAAAGGAGGCATGGAATGGGATAGATAGGGTATTGTGGATCCCAGTTAGCAGTCTGGATTTTGTTCTAAATATAAAGAAAATTTCTTGGCAGGTTTTAAGCTGAGAAGTAGCACAACTTGATTTACATTTCAAAGAGGTATCTCGGGCTATTGCGTAGAGGATGGACTGTGATGGGGAAAGAGTAGAAACAAGGGCAAGCTTTGTGGGTCCTTGTGAGAAGGAGTGAGAGGTGCTCAGTACAAATAAGAAACAGGCCAGGTTTGGAAGACTTGCCGATGGATTCGATATACACCAGGGTGTAATGAATGGTGTCTTACAGACCGGGGAAAAGTCATAAGTGGCTTCTTTATCCATTTTTGTTTACTCATATATTTATATGAGTACCAGCAGACTAAGTCTTTCGGAAGCCGCAGAAGGTTATGCTGTGAAAGGAAAGTCCCTTCTGACTGTTTCTCGCAGTCTCTTTACTTTAAGAACAGCTACTGTTAGCAGTTTTATCTACATCCTTCTGAGGAAATATTTTACATAGAGCATTCTCTTTCTAAGAAGGAATATACCTTCTCCTAAAGTAGGGCTATTCTTCTTCCATAAAATCCAATAAATGAACATGTTTCCAGGCCCGGAAAACTTACATTTTAGAAACACCTGCTCATTCAGTAAAAATATGTCAGTAAAGTCTAAAATAGCATTAAATTAAAATGAAACCGGTAGTTTTATGATACATGTCCTTTACGATTGTTGTATAATGACTACTTGTAAAGTTAGCTAAGACTTCATAGCCTAGGCTCTATGCCTAGAAAATAAGAAAAACACCTTCTTCCCCATTCGCAAAACTCATAAATGAAAAATGAAGTGGATTTTGCCATCCATTGTTTCTCCTGTCACTCCTTTAAGATGAGTGATGCTGTTTTGGAAAGCATGGCTATTAAGCAGCTTGCCTGAGGGTCACGGAGCCTGTTCTGCAGAATCCATTTGAGGGGAAGGCTGGAGTTGGTTGTGTGTGTAGATTCTGTCTTCTGCCAGCCACTGCTGTCTTTGCTGTTCCAGGGTCTTTCTAGGCCATTTAAAACGTGATTAGGAAACCATCAGTTTCCTATGGCAAAGGGATTGCGCATAATCAAGTTTCCTTACTTGCACGAGGCTGAGCCCTGTCCTGTGGAGTCTACCTTCCAAATCAATAACAAATCTATCCACCACTCTCATTCCTCACAAGTAACAGTCATCTTCTAGCTACACTGACATTATTCTAGTCTCTAGAACAGGAGTCTCCAACCCCTGGGCCCCGGACCAGTACCGCTCGTGACTTGTTAGGAACTGGGCCACACAGCAGGATGTGAGCGGTGGGTGAGAGAGTGAAACTTCATCTGTATTTACAGCCTCTCCCCCTCGTTCGCATTACCACCTGAGCTCCGTCTCATGCCAGATCAGCAGTTGCGTTAGATTCTCAAAGGAGCGAGAACCCTGTTTGTGAACTGTGCATTCGAGGGCTCTGGGTTGCGTGCTGCCTATGAGAACCTAATGCCTGATGATCTTTCACTGTCTCCCATCCCCCCAGATGGGACTGTCTACTTACAGGAAAACAAACTCAAGACTGTCACTGATTCTACATTATGGTGAGTTGTATACTTATTTCATTATATATTACAATGTAATAATAATGGAAATAAAGTGCACAGTAAATGTAATGCTCTTGAATCATCCCCAAACCCTCCTCCTGCCGCCCACACTACTCCATGGAAAAAGTGTCACCTGAAAAACCAGTTTCAGGTGCCAAAAGGTGGGGAACTTGTGATCTAGAACTGACCAAGGCCTTTTGCATTTAAAGACTACTTGTGCTGGACACTATGCCAGGAATGTTCTTTTCCACTTCTTACCATGGCTAATTCCATTTGTCTGTCAGGACTATGCTTAAAGAAGGCTTTCTCCTAATAATCAAATTAAGTTCTTCCTGTTATATCCCCCTTGATTGCATTTATCATAATTTCGAAACATATACACAATGGGATAGTAACCTCCTTCAGTCTCTGTTTTGTTTGCAAGTATATACCCAGTGCTGAGCAGGTAGTAGGTGCTCAACATATATTTGTGAATGAATATATTTTCTGTTTAATATGTAGTAGAGAGTATAAACTTCATCACCCTTGGTTTGTGTGCTTTGTGGTTACGTCTTATATTAATCTGTTTTTCTTTAAATTCTAGATTACATTTACATTTATTTACTATAAACATACCAAAATAAAGTTCATTTTGTATTTCAGAAGAACAATTAGGACATCATCATTTAGTTCAATGCAATGAGTAGCAGAAGTCAGAAAGGAAATTATTTTTACAAACATGAACAGAAAATAAATCTGCTAGGCCTTTATGATGTTTATAACATTGTAGCTTTTGAATGGTTTTATGGTTAGGTATTGAGGGAAAGGCTTAATAGATATGAAAACAATTGCCCTTTAAAAATTACAGCAGACAAGTATTTAATCCAAAGGGGGCTAATAAATTGCTCAAGGGAAAAGGGTTGTAATTATCTTTAATCATTCCCATTAAAAATAGTCTTTAACAGGTTGAATGCATTTAACTCAGTGTTCTGAATACCAGGTAAACATTGGCCATTATTTTTCTAATGTTTACTTTGTCATAAGAAATGAGCAGAGTGAGAACACATTTTTATTTGCTAAGAGAAGAAAGCATATTGTTTCTTAAGTCACCTGTAGGGCGAAGTAAATATGCGAGGAAATAGTCTCCATAATTGTTTAAAATTCATTGAAGATTGCTTTTCTGTACAAAAGAGGGGAAAAGATTGTGAGAAGCACATTACAGAAAACAAAGATCAATGGGACAATATGATTAATTTGAAGGTAAAGTAAGGAAGGGCTCTCATTTTTCACCCAGTGCCAATTTGCAGTAAACCTAAGCATTTCATCAAAGGGTTGCTGTTAACCACTTTAAAGCAATCCACTTTCCTGGAACTGGAACCTGGGGCCTTCCTGAGTCCTCCTTGAGCATACAGAGTTGCTGTGATCCATCTTCTCTTCTTTTCTGTCGACATGAATAGTAAGTGATTTCCTCCCTAGTGCATTATGAAGTTGTCTTATTTAATGTTTCTTTCTGGGGACTGCACAGCTTGACCCTCACACTGAAGGTGACCAGATAGAATTGTCCTGTGGGCATGGTGCAATTCTCTACCCTTGAACGTGGAATTATGCAGAGTAGTGAAGCTTTATGCCTAGTTGGTGATCATGACCTGGAAACATACACAAAGAAAGGGATAAATGAAGTTTGTTAACTAGATTACATGTTTTAACTTATTTAAAATGAGCTATTTTGATAAACATTTTGGTTAAAATAGTTTAATAGAAACGTGGAAGTGTTTTACATCACCAGGGAACATCCTGAATGTACAAATGAAGACATTTTCATTAAACAGGTGATGTTAATAATTTATTTTTATCACTAGCACTGTGACTACTTATGAATTATAAATGAAAATTTACATTTAGATTTAGCATACATACTCAAGCGTGTCCTGATTGTTTTCACAAATGTTAGTGGGTGAGGTAATGGCACTTTATGTTTCCACACTGATAGGGCTACCTTTAAACTGTCTCCAGAAGTGTTAACTTGCAGCCTCTCACCTTCCTTTTCTCTAAGGTTCTGTTTAAAATATGTCCCCTTCTGCCTGTGCTATAACTCTAGGACATAAAAGAAGTAGTTAGGAACAGATGATTTTTGATGTGTTGTGTTTCCATGAACACTAATGCAATTAGTACATCCCTGAGAGGGTCTTTGTATTTATCTATTATATTTTGAATGAATCAAGGCACAGTCTTTTCTAACACATTAGGGAATCTATTAGTTCACCTAGTTTGCTGACAGATGTTTCCTTTAGGATGGAAGAAGAACCGATACAGCTAGTTCAATTTAGAAAAAGTTATGTCCTGGGTGAATTCATGACTTTCTATTTTCTCTCCCATTTTTACAATAACCCTTCCTAGAGAAAGCATCACCTTTATTGTTTGATCTCCCCTTCTGTGATGTATATTGCTCACTGAAATATTCAGTATAAATGAATAAGTGATGAATGAATGAATGAATGAATGAATGAAATCCTTTGAAGAAATAATGCCATTTTAGCACAACATAAATGTCTCTAAGGGCAGAATGAGATGACGGTGAGGCAACCTTTTCTTCCAAAACTTCGAGTATTTAAAATGCTACATGTGGATGTTGCCTTGTTTTTGTTTGCATAGTCTTGAAAAGAAAGACCTAAAGATGGCAGGCTTCATATTTTAACTGTTTTCCACTAAATGCTTTTGTTATATTTGTCGTATTACTTAAAATTTTGTAGCTGGAAAGTTGAACACATCAAAACCTGGCTTTTAGAAAATGATTAATAAATCAAAAAGGTGAAGTCACTTTGTGTCTAGTCATTAAAATATATACACATGTACATAAAACGCATCTCTTTATATATCAGCATTATAATTTATATGTTGACATTCCATATTAGCATTATAGAACAACCGACCAGGTTTTTTGGGACTCATATCTTTCCAACTAAGTTCACGTGAGAGTATTTTTTATCGTTGAACCTGTATCTAAAAGTATAGTGTGTGGAGTGCTGTACAGACATAGGGATACTTCAGATGAAAATACTGATGAATTTCAGTCATTGAGGCAATTGGGAACTTCAGTAAGATTTTAATTTGAGAGTAATGTGTTCCCTCTGTCACCGAGGCTAGACACTACCTGTTGAGATTATTTGAGATTCCTGTTCTCAGATATATCAAAGACTTGAAGCGGGGTAGGGTAGGGGAGAGGTGCTCCTAGTAATCACTATGGCAGGGTTGGGCTTTACTGTATGTTTCCTTTACTCAATAAACTCCAGATGAGAATAACTAACAGAAAAAGTAACTTTTTTGCATTTAAATGTTGATATATACAACAAAATATGCTATTTTTTTATATAGGAGGAATGGTTCAAATATACACTACTATTTCTTTCTTTCTCCTTTTTTTTTTTTTTTTTTTTTTTGAGATGGAGTCTTGCTCGTGTCACCCAGGCTGGAGTGCAATGGCACAATCTCTGCTCACTGTAACCTCTGCCTCCCAGGCTCAAGTGATTCTCTTCCTCAGCCTCCCGAGTAGTTGGGATTACAGGTGCCCACCACCATGCCCGGCTAATTTTTGTATTTTTAGTAGAGATGGGGTTTCACCATGTTGGCCAAGGTGGTTTCAAACTCCGGACCTCAAATGATCCACCTGCCTCGGCCTCCCAAAGTGCTGGGATTACAGGCGTGAGCCACCACACCTGGCTTACATACTACATACATACTATTTCTTATGGCATCCTAATGGGACTTAAAATTACTGTTCTTTGCTGAGGTAAGGAAATATTGGGAAAAAAAGAAAAAAAAAGGAAAAACACAAAGGAGATATTAATAGTTTAAAACAGTTTGAAAACCTTGGGCACATTTTATTATCTTATAGTTTTATTTAGAAAGACTTATTGTCTTTCCATAGTTTATTTTTAACTGTATCATAAAGTATATAAATTCTGTATTTTCTCCTGTATTGATGGTTATTGTCCATTTTAGTGTGTTATCTTATGGTTTCTGCTTTGTTCTATGAAGACTCTTTAACTTTTTAGGGATTTAATTAGACTGGCTTTTAAATTATAGCACCTAATTCAAATATTTAAAACTTCTTTGGGGAAGGAACATATTTTAGCATACGTGGTACTAAAGCATTTAACAACAGTTTATGTTTTTTTCTTTTTTCTTAAAGTTTGTGTTTTTAAGCGATATTCTAAAATGTAAATAAAATAAGTAAAATGAGAGGAAAATAAATTTTTTTTCTGTTATTCTCATAATGAGTAAATTTTTCTCTCATTTTAAGCTATGTCTCACCAACCACCTATAAATTATTTCAAACTCAAATTATATGGAATCTTTACAAATGATTGCCTTAAAACTTGAATAAAACTGTTCAAATAAGTATTAGTTATAATTTCTAATAGAAATAATGTAGCACTTTGCATTACAAATAACTAAAGCATAACACACAGATAAATCTATATGAACTTTAATAATTTGCCCTAATTAAAGCTATAAGCTTGGCCTTACAGACAATTTTGAGTTTTCGTGTGTTTTTTTAAAAAATAAGTCAAAATTATAGGTTTTCAGTTTTGCCTTATGGATATAAGCAAACTGATACTGATTAGTGCAGATTTTGTTAAAGCTGCAGAAGCTAAAGTTTTTAAGGAAGGGATTAGATAAAGGGAACCTTCAGAGATGATACTGAAACAGCTCACTTCAACAAACTGGTACTCCTTACTGATAAATGTGCTGTCTCCTGAGCTAAGTCTTAGGCAAAAAAACACAATGATGACATACAGCACGTGTGAAATAGATATTCTTGCCTTTTGAAAAATAGAGTGCAAAAACTTTCAATTATGTTTTGAAAGCCTTGAGTACTGTGGATAATGATAGTTTCCTGTGCATCTATACAAGCTTTTAAAATCTCAGATTCCTCATCTGTAAAACAGAAATCATTACACAAAGCTTGTGGTGAGAATGAAATAAAATAATCTTGGTAAAGCACTGGTGTCTAAAAGTTCAATGAATTATAGCCGTATTAATAATTTCTGTTGTTATTATTGGATATTATTATAGTATCATTGAAAGTGAATTAAACATATACATATACCAGGGTACTGTGCTGGACGTCAGAAATAAGTTAAATATTCCAGAAGAAACAAGATCTTTATAAATAATCAGAATTCTAGGACAATAATGGATAAACGACTTCTGAGTTATTGTATACAAGTGACCGGCAAGCCTTGTCAATTCTAGCTTCAGTTAAAGTGGGTGATTGCTGGGGTGCGTCTTGGCACTGAGGCATAAAAGGTTAGAGGAGAAAAAATCAGCTGGGACTGTGGTAAAATGGAAGCTGGGACCTTGGTCCGTCGTCAACTGGACTCTCCAGTCTTGTAGTCTTGTCCAGATTTTCAAGGGTTTTGTTTTTCAGAGTAGCATGCAGTCCTCTTGACTATTCATATATACACACAGGTATGTTCTTATCCATCAAGGTCTGCTCTTTGCTGTAACAGAGGTGTGGAATAGATAGGAGTCTTGGAGTGTACTGGTGGCTCAGCTGCATAGAGAATCATTCCTGGGTATTCTAGAATCTCTGCCAGTTTCTGTCTCTGCTTTCTCCTTGAGGCCAGGATTGTGAAAGTGGGCTTTTAACCAATACTTTCACAATTTAAAGTCACCTTTTGTGAGCCTCCTTGGCACTCAAGTCTGCCCCCCAGCACACTGGCATCTAGTACACACACACAGTAACTTTGTTTCAGTAATTAATCACATTATTGATATCAGTGAGGTCACTGTTTTCACACAAGAGCCAATTAAAAGTAATTTATTGACTACATTTTATTTCCACTCATATGTATACACCTCAATGCAGCACCTTAAATAATTATATTATTACAACTTACTTTGCCTTTGCTATTGAAAAGGAAAATATCATTGAGAAAATACTGCTTTTTAGCTACTGAGCCGTTTATAAACGTCCAGTTTAAAAACATATTTGAAAACTTACAATGTAAACAAAACACTCCTAGCTTATATGTTTTAGTTGACACATGTTTTCCTGGGATACTTTGTCCCAAACACCTGTCTAAGTATGCTACATATGTGAATTCATTTTCTTCTCATAACAGGGGGTAGGAGATATTATCATCACCATTTTACACCAAGGTTCGGGAGTTAGCAATTTGCCCACAGTTACACAACCCCTGAGACTGGTTCTCAAATTTCAGTCCAGAGTTCATGTTCTTCAGTGGCCCTGCCATACTGTCTTACATTGATATGGTGCTTTGGCATTCAAAAAGTGCGGTTTGCATGTCTGATCTCATTTCATCCTTAACATAGTATGTGGCAGCAGATAGAATTTTCAATCCACTTTACAGATGAAACAACTGAGGCTCAGAGAGACAAAGTGTTCTAGTAGCAAATGTAAAACAGAGTTGGGCCCAAAGGTATTTTGTTTTATTCATTGACTGGTGTGTGTCACTGGCTGTCTTAGGGCTGAAATAGAAATGGATCAGGGCCTCCCACACCCCGCAACTCACCAGTGCTACCAGTTTCCCACAGCCCTTTGATTTCTGCAGCTGGGTTTCTCTAGTTAGTTTGAACACTCAGTGACCTGGCCACTTGTCTTTCATATCTTACTCTTGCCAGAATTGTAGAAATAGGTTCTATATTTAATTATTTTATTGATTGATTGATTGATTGTGAGACAGAGTCTCGCTGTGTCACCCAGGCTGGAGTGCAGTGGTGCGATCTCGGCTCACTGCAACCTCTGCCCCCTGAGCCTCCTGAAGGCTTCTCCCGCCTCAGCCTCCTGAGTAGCTGGGATTACAGGTGCACACCACCATGCCTGGCTAGTTTTTGTATTTTTAGTAGAGATGAAGTTTCACCTTGTTGGTCAGGCTGGTCTCAAACTCCTGACCTCAGGTGATCCACCCACCTCAGCCTCCCAAAGTGCTGGGATTACACGCGTGAGCCACCGCACCCAGCTGCTATATTTAATTATTTAATTCAACTATTAATACTTTGTGTTATACTTTATGAAGGAACTTTGATGTTTCTGTTTCATAATGTTAATGAGACTGACGTTACAGGTATCCTTCATTCCAAGATAGACTACGTTCCAGATTTAATGATTTTCTTGGCTAGCCTTCCGGGTTTTTCCTAACAACAAAGGTCTTCCTGAGGCCAATTCATCATGTGGCTACATTGAATAAGTGAATATTTCTATTTGATGGTGACTTCGAATTTGAGAAAAACCCCACAAAACTTTTAAGTATAATCAAGATCTACTATGTAAGAAGTATGGCCGTAAGTTAATGAAAGCAACCTCGTAAGTCTCATGTGAAAGTAGTTTACCATAGTGTTTGCCTTCATATGTTCTTAGTCCCTTCTTTATTAATTTATTTTTGTTAATTACTGTGTCCTCATAATGATGTTCATTCCACAGGTAGTGCCGTCCAGTTTGCTTATAGGGGAATGTTGAATCTGTGACCTTAATTATGGATCACAGTGGAACTTCTGTGAAAGTGAATGTCAGTGCTAGCCAGGGGCTGTGTTGTTTATATCACGTAGGCTCAAGTGAATAAATTAGCACATAGTTCTGAAATTCAGAAGCTGATTTTAAGAACATATTGATGAACCAAAGTTGTGTCTCAATATGACTTTGTGGTTATTAGGCAAACTCTTTTAATTCCATAGAGGACAGAGGGTAGCTTTTTCCACCATACAGTGTTAAATAATATTCTCGCTCCGTGTTTGTGAACTGAAACAAAAGATAGATTGAATTGTAAAGCTCTCTTGACAAATGAGCACGTTTTACTTTCTTCCTGTATTTTTCTTCTCTTGGCTTTTGTGTCCTGTGCTTTTTCCCAAGCAGTGTTATGCAAATGAACCAATTAATGGTAGATAAAATGGTCTTCCTACCTCGCTGTGTCTGTAACTAGAAGGACAACACCGTAAGTCACGTACCTATTCAGCGGGTTCTATAGGCCACTGTGAGGGTCTGATTAGCTTGACTGTGGAAGACAATCGCAGAGGCATCTGCTTGGTTAATTTTGAGAGCAAATTTACCAGATGGAGGCTGAAGATTTAAGTGATTAGAAGGTAGTAGATTGGAATACAAATTGGATTAAAAGAAATTAGATTGATATAAATCGAATTGAGTCACAACAGTTTGTGTTGTTCGTACCAAGGGCCAGCAGATTATGGGAGAAGCAGATGCTCCAATGAGATAGGAATTGATGTGGCTTTGACAGTCCATCTGCGAAGGTCTGAATATCGAGTACATCCCTAATCTCCCTCTCCATTTATCAATGCCATAATGTTAATTAGTACTTCATTCATTAAGTTACTTACAGGAGAAAAAAATCTCACCCCTATCCCCTCTCTGCTCGAGAATTTGTTATTTTGCCAAGAACTGGAAAGCTCTCTTCAGCTGAGCTAGCTACAGTTGACGGTAAGGGTAGACCTGTGTCCTTTTCCTGATGCATACAACTGCCTGTGGTATGAATGCAGAAAGCTTGAAAACATTTGCTCGTGTGTTTCTCTTCATAAATATATAGTTATTTGGAAGCTTACATTATTGCTTAAGCATTATTCCACTAAAAAGGAGTGGATATATTAATCGGATTACATAATTATGTATATTTTACATTATGGTTTTTATAAGGTATTCGCCGGAGTTGCCTGTTTTGTTTAATGGCTCAAGTATTTGACATTAATATTGAGTGGTATTTTTCCTCCTTGAGGGGAAAGATGAGAAAAATTTTGTTCTCATGATTCTGTGTGTTTATACTCACGTGCATGTTTGTTGTGTGTTTGACATCTATGGGCTAGTTTATTAGATTATGGAAAATTACAGGTTACTGACACTATCAAGTATTTTGATATCCAGTGTTTGCCTCTGATTGTTATAGAAAAAAAGTTAAATGAAATAAAATGAATATAAACACATCACTGTAAATGCTTGTACTTATATTGGGAATTTGATTCTTTACAATCCAAGGGGCATTGACACAAGAGTCTCATTATTACGCCATTGGCCACAGCAGTGAAATTCAGCAGAAGGCAATTCTGTCTTGGATGCCATCCAAAGGAACTGAGCCAGTGGAGATCCAAAGGTGATCTCACCTCTGAGGCAGCTTGAGAGTGTGCACTCTAAGGATAGCCATGAAGAAATGCCCCTGTGTATTCATAACCATCAGGCAAATACAACTTCTGGAGACTAACGTGATGAGCTGGGCAAAAATGGAACATCAAATCCTGTGATGCAAGAAGCATATCATTAAAGGTTGTGCCAAGTCATTCAGAAATAATCATGATACAGGCAAGTGTGGGCTGCCTGCCAGTGTGTGAGCACGAAGAATTTCTATTTTTGTTATGTTGAAGGGAGGCAGTGGCTTGTGCAAAAGTGTGTTAAGTATTGTAACATTCTTAGTTTACTGAAGAAAATTCTATGAGCAATGAGCTCTTCAGGCAATGTGCTTAATGTAGAAGTGCTATATAGCTATAAATGGAGATGTAGACACAGATACATATGGCTGTTCCTTATTCAGGCTGACCTGGAATTCTCCTGCATCCTCCCCAAACTCCAATGCTTGGGTGGTTTTGGTAATCACTCTTAATATTGGCTAAAGAATCCAATACTTTAAAATTCCCCATACCTTCACTTCAGAAGGAGAAATACCCTGCCCTCCAGGAACCAGGACTGAAACTGAGGTCTGTGAGAATCCAGATTCTATGCACACCAACTGCATAGGCCCTATGTTTAAAAACAATGCAGAGCCGGTATTTCTAATTGTATACTAATTGATATAACTTGGTCATAATAAGAGACTGTTTTAAGCTGTATTCCAACAAAATTTAAAAAGGAGAGGGAAAAACACTAACAGATTAGCCTGCAAAGTATAAAGCATAGAGCAGAATCACTTCTTGTAGTAAAGAAAAATTGCTAACATTTGTTATTGCTATTGTGATAGTGATTAAGTGCCATCTAAAAATAATTTAGTATTCAGAGGTCACTCCTTGTTCCTGTTTTGACACTTCAGTTTTCAGCCTAATTGTCAGTTGTCTAATTGGTGGTGGTTGTCTTCATTAAGAAACATCAGTACATCAAGGTAGTGCTCACTGAGCCTGGCAAAGTCATGGATTATGCTCTTAGCCCTGCCTGTGTTTCTGTGACTGATCATTGGGTATTTCATATCTTTTTTAGCCCCTGTGAGGATAACTAAAGAAATTAGTTGGTTGTAAACTAATGATAACAGGGATACAACCTCCCCATTTCCTGATTGTTGATGAACTTTAGACTGTTGATATATTTCTCCTGTGAAACATATCAAAAGATATATTAATTAACAGATATATATATATATGTATATATTTACACTCATATATACAATTTCTTTCAGTGTTTGGTACATTTGATTCAAATGCTACATAGTAACATTCTATATATATATATATACACACACAATAGTGTATTGTATGTACACTCTAGTATGTACAAATGTACTTGTGATGAGTGAATGTGTATTTATGCTACTACACTTAAAACATTTTTTTTTTTGGCTAATCTCACAAGGAATGTCCAGAGATTAAATTGAGGCCCCTATTTAATAGGAGATTCTTTAAAAAATATATACAGTATTTAAATGTACTCACACCAAATGGAAAAAAAATCAGCCAGATTATATCAGTGCCTCCATCATCATTTCGGGATTCATATCTGAGGCAGTTGGCCCATGGACCTGATTTCAATATGGGCAGTTTAGATACATATGTCAGGCACAAGCTACCTCGATGAAATAGAGAACTCTGCATCTCATTTCTCCCCCTGCAGTCAGCGTATTTTTTCAAATTTTCAGTGAACTAAAAAAATGAGAAACACAGCCAAGTTCTAATATAGTAAGTGATGTTCTGGCACCTTTGACCATAAATCAGTGTCACAAAGACCTCATGGCAGCCTGAGTAAATTCTGTCCAAATAAACGCTGAGCCCCAGCGTGGAGGTTCAGAGTTTTGTACTTCATCGTAACACTCATGAGGCAACTTGTATGATTCTGGATGCGTAAGATGAACTTAGGAAAGTCCCAATTTGTAAGTCAATTTGATGAATAAGTAGATTTATTCTGGCCAAGGGAGTATAAAAATTTAGAAAACCCCATAAAAGTTTGAGATTTGCCTGGGCAACCTACTTTGTGTTTGTTTAAAGAAAAGCAATCACTAACTGTTCCAAAATCCGTTTGCATTTTTTCTAGGAATGGAGTGATGAGGAAAGGGAAAGAACATACCTGGAAGAGAGAAACGATGAGGCATTTAGGATAATGATAGTGTGAAATTATGTCGAGAGACACAGATGGTGACTGTGGAAATGAGAGGCAGTCAGTTCCAGACACAAACCTGGAGAAAGAAGGAAGAATCCACAGAAATGTATGCCTAAGCGGTTATGATAGAAATGGAAGAGTTAAACCCCACAACCGGGATTCTGAGCATTAGGGACCTGGAGAAAGATGGAGTTGATGTCAGGAAGGAGAGATGATGAAATATGGGACGAGGAGAGAGGTGAGGGTTTCATTCTTAGATAGATGAACCTTGAGTTGATGACTGAGCATTCAGGTGGTCACCCGAACAAAGCCTAGAACTTTCCTTAGCTGGAGATACTAAACCCACATTTGGCTGTTGTTGTCATAGAGATAATACCTGAACACCATGAGAGGGAATGAGTTCTCTGTGGAATGAGTGAATTATCTTCATTGAAGGGAAGAGTAGACATCTAAGGCATACATACCTTGGGAGCTGTTAACTATTGGGTCAGAAATTATTAGACAATTCACACTTCTAGTTCACTAGTTTACATAAAACTCAAATATTTTTTTCTGTTATTTATAATGGAAATTCGTAACAAAAGTAACCAGTAATAATGTTCTTTTAAAAAAAATTTCAACAGCAGTGAGCGCATCACTAAAACACTAAAATTCAGTTATTATTGCCTCATTTGAAAGTGGGGAAAATTACGTGGAATATTAGGCAAACATCATTAAACTCTTAACATTTGTATACTTTTCATTTTCTTCCAGATTTTCAGTTGCTGGTTGTTTATAAGATCCAACTTATCAGAGTTTGATATATTGAATATTTTATGGTAAAGGCAACTTCCTACATTTTAGAAATACCACCCTGTTCGAAGCTATCATTATTCTGTGTTTCACAAAACTTATCACTTTACATTTTTATACCTCTGCCTGCCAGCATTTTTCTTTCCTTTTAGCATAATCCAGAATAATTCTGTGTTCCACTCTTGTGCTTTGTGACAAGAAAGCATTGCATTTCGAGAGTGGCTGGAAGGAGGTTAATTCCATGTCCACATGGTAATAACCTGGGGAAACCTGGGGATGATCAGTTTCATTTGATCCCTCCTCTGATAAGGCTTCAAAGTAAATGGGCTGAGTGGAAAACAACATTATTCCATAACTTTTCTCTAAGCTGCAGATGTTTTTTGACAGACTCAAGGAATTGAGACTCATATATTTTAGTGAAACATAATTCAAGCAGAAAAAGATCATTTGAAAACGTTTATTGCACTCACATTTGCTGCTCTTCTCCATTCAGCAGAAAAATAAGCTCTTTTTTCTCTGTGCACACAGAATCTTTTAACTGAAAACTACACTCAGTATTTGTGTTGCAGCAGTGATGTTATCTGCTGGTCATTTTGCTCTGAAACAGAAGACATCTCCTGAAAGGAAATTTAAAGTTTTATTAAATGGGTCACTAAAAAGCCATCAATAGATATCATAAATAGACACAAATGAAGAGAAAGTAGATCCCCAAATGAAAAGTATCCTGATCATTAAAGTAACTTATATTCTTTATCTACTAAAATAACTCAAGTTTGCAATCTAAATGTAACCACTTTGCATAGCCTTACTACAGTTGTCACATCAAAACTGTTATGATTGGCCAAATAAAACTGGAGAAAATGTTTTTATTAAAGACGTAAATTTATACTTATTTATTATTTTAATGCATTGCATAAAGTGAAGGCAAAATACAACTCCAAAATTTTCTATAAGATTCTATAATTTTGTAAACAGAGCTTATTCCAAATTTTAGAGCTATTTGCAACTGATAAAACATAGCCTCTTTTTCAAGCTATTTTATGTCACAAATCTTATCTAAGGTGTTTTTGGTGGAGTAAACACTTAACAATTTAGGTGTATATCCTCCAAATACCCCTGAAGAAATATGATGCTGTCACTTCTGTTCAGTTTGGCCAACTGTGAAAATCCATTCATTGTCAGTATGGTACAAAGACAAAGCCATAAGCCCGAGTTGTATTTGGATACCTTTATAAGCCTCCTTTGTTTCCAAGATACAAACTTCAGGAAAGATCTCCAAAAGCCATTGTACAATATTAAATAAGCCAACTCGATTATGGCCATTTCCACCATCCAAGAGGAAATCTTTCTTTTCATCTTTGGGATCAGTATACTCATTTTTGACTTGGGCCTTTTATTTAAAGATACACAATTTCATAAAGGTGTCATTTAGAAATTTCTAGGAAAAGTTATTGCTTTAAAAGGATGAGAATGATTTTGTTTTGACCATCTCTTGAAACTACTGGTAAAAGTGCATTTCAGATAATATTCCCATTCCTGTCATCTCATAAGTCATGTTATTGTGCCCTCAATAAAGTTTATTTAATATCCCTTAGTTATCTCTAAACTTATAATGGAAAAGCAACCAAAAAAATAAATAGATGCTTCCTATGCATTAATCATGGAGTCATTCCAAGATTTTTATAATGAAAAATAAACAGCGTTGGTATATATTTCAGTAAAATAGTTTAGAGGGACACAGAGTTATTAGGCATCAACATTTGCTTTAAAAAGGCCGTTATCTTATAGATCGTGGTTCATTGTTTTTAGGGGGGTTACAGACTCCTTTGAGTTTAGAGACAGAGGTTATACTAATAAAAGAGTTATACATTATAATAATGCTTATACTAGTAGGGAACATTTATTGAGTGCTTGCTGTGTACTCAGCACATGGAAAAATCTCATTCAATCTTCTCAGCAATGTTATTCGACTGATACTGCTATGTTTTATACATAGGGAAGCAAGATGCAGAGAAGGTAAGAAATTTGCCTGAGTTCACACTTCTTTTCGGCATTTGAAAAAGAAATTTCAAGTCAGTCCTACTGACAGATGATTTCTATTAACTACCAAAAATATACTTTATCATTTCTTAAAAACGAACATGCACATATCTGCACAAAATTTTGCATCCGGTGCCTGCAGTACCATCCCTTACCTCCATTCCACATAAACCAATCCATGATTTATGAATCACATTTTTACAAATAATGGAGTAATGCAATGATATTTGCACCTTAGGCCAAATTCTGTAGTAAATGAATGTTGATTAGAAATGAACAAGGCTAAAATCAGTCATTGTGTGCATCCCTTGGACATGATGCAACTAACGCGTTTGGCTCATGAAGGCTATAATTTTTCTGGTCGTGATTTAGCCATTATTCCTTTAAGAAACTATTGGATTGTAATCTTATTTTCCATCTGTCTTTTAAAAATCCTTTCTATACTTATATACCAAAATAAGTTTGTCTGAAATTTCAGGTAGGATCATTGAATCTCAATTTAACTTTATTATGAAATATTTTGGGGTACAGGAAAATTTATCAAGAGTTTCTGACAAATGTATTAACTAAGTATTTAACAAAGCTTAGCACACACATGCATAAAATATCATTGCTGGTGGGAATGGTGTTTTTTAGACATTGACACTGGGTCTTTTGGCATCTTCAGTTACTAAGATTAATGCTACTGCTACAGAATTTTCAGAATATAGAAACAGAAGGAAATATAATAGAAAGTCAAAATGATATCACTCCATTCAGAGTTTATTTAAGTAAAATCCCCTTTTCTGGAGACACACTCATAGTCTTCATTAAATAAATGTCAATGGTTTTTAGAAAATTAAACATTATTAGACAATTTAATGATTTTTGAGATTGTTTCATTGCATCACCTTTTGTAAAGCCAAATGCAATTTCAAACCACATGAAAATATTATAAATATGATAATAACAAGCCAGATTTTAAAGCTGTCTTCCTGGAATAGGGATTGTTTTTGTCATTGAAAGGTAAATCTGCATAAGCCATGAAAACCTCTGATTGGGCAGTAAATCACACTTTAAAGAATACCTTCAACCATGTAAGATGTAGCAAATTGATTTGAAATAGTATTGGATGAATATCCAGGTTAATACATTGGCTCCTCACTGAATTGTTGGAAATGAATTTATAAAGTAGAAGAGTAATTTGTTATTAAGAGGAAAATCCCCCCTAACAGTTTTCTAGAAACCTTCAGATTAGGAGTTTCAAAATTTATCTTCAATATTATATATACATGTGTGTGTATATACAGATATACACACATATATACATGTACACATATATACATATATGTGTGTGTACATATACATATGTGTGTATACATGTATATATACATATATGTATGTATTCATCATGGAGTCATAGGAATGTTGTATATATATACACACACACATATATATAGATGCACACATATATAAAGACACACACACATACATAAGAATATATATATTTCTATTGTATATTCATATATATATTCTTAGTTGTCCACCTGTGGTTCGATTGCCTTCAGCTTCTGACTCTAACTTACACAAACCAAGCCTGCACTCCCTACGGGTGCTGAGGCTCTACCTGTCACTGGGGCCCACTTGCTCAGACAGTCAGTGGCTCAATTTTGATGTGGGCAGCCAGGAAATTGAATAGCATTTTAAAAATGTGATTAAGACTTAGCTGATAAAGGCACTGAATAACATGCGGTAGTGGAGGAAAAAACAGGGGAAAAAGTGTTCTAATTTTCATATTTTTAGCAATTTCTGTTAATGGTAGATAAGTAAAGACCTGAGATACAATTGTGAAATTCAGGTTGAAAGTTTTATGAATCTTTATTACTTACCTTCACCTGAAAGATCAACTCATTCACCCTAATTAAGGAAGGAAATTTTAAAGATCTTTGCTGAATGCTGAAGGTTTTATTTTACATAATTAATTACATATCTATTTATTTGTTACATTTTATTTTATTTTAAGTTCTGGGATACATATGCAGGATGTACAGGTTTGTTACGTAGGTAAATGTGTGCCATGATGATTTGCTGCACCTGTCAATCCATCACTTAGGTATTAACCCCGTAAGCATTAGCTATTTATTCTGATGCTATCACTCCCCACGCTGCCCCTGAGAGACCCCAGTGTGTGGACATATTTATTTTTAAGATACCTATCCAATATAGCCAGTTAGTCTTTGGTTAAAATGATTTGTAGAGCAATGCATTTACTGACAATATGGATAAATTTTATAGAAATTTAGGAATAAATTTCTAAGGTACGTTTTCAGTCTTTTAAATCATTGTTAACTTTTGGAGGGTTTTCTAAGAATTCATGTGATATCCATTGCTTTTGACAGCAGATACAAGACCTACAAAGGCCAACTTTTGTAATCTATACATTTATCAAAAGTATGAACAGTAATCTAAAGTGTGTATTTTTTAAAGTATGTACCCTGTGTTCATAAATTTAAATTGCTACTCATTATGCTTTCTTTTAGATATGTCTGTTAAGATATCATTAATGTGACAGCCATAAAGAGTATGATCATGCTACAGAACAATGAGACTGTAGCAATTTACTCTTCCACTTACCTCAAGTTTGGGATGAATAAATAGTACAAAAAACCAGTTTAGGTAATTGCTTAAGGTGATATAACTAACCATATATTGGTCCAGATAAAAAGCCAAACAAAAAACAACTGAAATCTAGTGCTTGGGATTTTCTAATAATATTTTAGACTTCTAAAATGTGGGTAAGAAGAAAAAGTCATCCTGAAAACAGAGCTTGGACCCACAGCTAAGACAAGTATATCCTTCTAGTTTTGGTTGTGAGAAAGAAACTTCAGTTCTTTAGTACTCTATTTTTCCTCCTCATCTATAAAATAAGGGTTTGTAAAAGGACCTCTGATAGCTTAATCTTCTGTTTTCTGCATCTGGAAAGCAAGGTCACAGAGATGTTGCAGGGTGCTATTTTGTACAACTGGAAACTTTCAGAATCAAGGCTGCCTGTTGAGTTTGACAAACCTCTTTTATCCTTATCAGTTCCCTTTCACACTATAAGCCCTTTAGTTTTAGGACACTGAAAAGTTATTTTGAAATTTTTCTAAGAAATAAGTAGAGTTTCTAGGTCTCAATTTTGATTTTGTTTCAAATTTAGACTTATTAAGATGGCACTGCTGTGCTTCCAGAAGGAATAATAATCTTATAAATTTATTTAGGCCAATGGCAAATTAGGAAGTCTCCTGAGAGAGTTTTAGCAAATTTCAAATGGATAAAATGGACTTCGTGTTTTCCAAATATTGATCTTCTCAGCATATCCTACCACATCACTGGACCTCTAGAAAAAAAAAGTTATCTCATAATACTTTTCTATTCCCTCCTCCCTCATAAGCAAAGTAAGCTGGAATTTAATCATCATGAAGAATTCAAAGATGGAAAAGTTGTTATGGACAGACTTGATGGATTGATGGCATGATTCATTAATTCCATTAAATTGCAAATTACCTTAGCTCACTAATCAATGTAGACAGCATTTGCAGTGGCACTGAGATATGTTTCCTTCAGTGAAGGAAATTTTGAATTGGATATATTTTTGACTAACGATAAATAGTAACAACTAATTCTTTGGAAATCTAGTGTAAAGCTATCAGCCTGGTCCAGCTAAAATGTATCAAGCAATAAAACATTAATGTCAGAATCATCCTCAGCAAAGATAAACTATTGACTATTGTCAATGGGATTATAGAGTTTTATGGGCTAAATTTTGGAAATAAAGTTTAGAGTTGGAGTATTTGTCATGTTTTGCAGAAGGAGAAAAAAATACTACACTGAACGCTTACTGCCCATCCTGGTGATCCATATATATGATTTCTTTTAATCTTCTAAACCACTCTTTTTTTTTTTTTTTTTTTTTTTTTTTTTTTTTTTTTTTTTTTTTTTTGAGACGGAGTTTCGCTCTGTGGCCCAGGCTGGAGTGCAGTGGCGCGATCTCGGCTCATTGCAAGCTCCGTCTCCCGGGTTCACGCCATTCTCCTGCCTCAGTCTCCCGAGTAGCTGGGACGACAGGCGCCACCACCACGCCCGGCTAACTTTTTTTGTATTTTTAGTAGAGACAAGGTTTCACCGTGTTAGCCAGGATGGTCTCGATCTCCTGACCTCGTGATCTGCCCGCCTCGGCCTCCCAAAGTGTTGGGATTACAGGTGTGAGTCACAGCGCCCGGCCTAAACCACTCTTTATAGCATTGATGTCCTGATCTACCTGTTACAAATGAGGCATGAACGTTAACTGATCAATAACCTGTGTTCTTTATTTGTACCACACTGCCTCCTTCCTATTGCGATGTGTCAGGCAACCTTCACCTTTTCGTGTAGTGCTACTGTATCTGTCATATCAGCAGGTGGCTCTGATCACATTCAGAATTGAAGTAATCCTGGAGAATCTTCCTGGGTTAATTCTATTTATATCGTTTTGGGGAACAATATTTTGTTAAAACAGACATAGTTATGGCTAGAACATACTGTTACATACATTTTTAAGAGAGAAAAATGAACACAGCATAGAAATTTTGCTGGAGGAAGTATATTTCACACTCTGTCCCTAATTTGCCGAGAATTTCTTCGGCCCTCAGAAAAATTTAGAACAGCTTGAAATACATTGCTTGGCTTGTGGAGGGACTAATAGCTGATAGGGCTATCCAGTTTGTAAAAGAAAAATAAAACTTGGTTCAAGGAAATACTATACTCCAACTCAATGAGGCAGAGACATTTACTCTGTAACACATGAAATGAAATCAACAAGTATTCTAGGTGCATTTTCCTCCTTTATTATACTACGTGATTGAAATCTCTTCCTGAAAACAAATGTTCTCTGGCACTCACTGCGAATGAGTGGTTACTGACTAAAGAAAACTAAACTTAACCATATTCATGAATTATAATTTATACATCACCTTCAAAAATTTGAAGTGCTAATATACCACTCAACGTTGTAAAATATCAAATATTTTATCAAAAATCATTACAAAATCATTGTTTGAGAGTCTCTGAGAAGCAGAAATAATCCATTATGCAAATTAAGGTGCTTAGAACATTATTCACAGATGCGTCTGCATCTGGCTGACGAACTTGATGATGCTGTGGAATGCTACATCTAGCCAGGTCTAAGTGTGTGATCTTCTGGTAAGCATGGAAAAAATGCAGCTTCTTGGAACCTTTCGCTGGTAATTTCTGATGCACCTTGTTCACTATGGAGACTAAGAATCTGGTGGCCAGGTAAGGTGGCTCATGCCTGTAATCCCAGCACTTCTGGAGGCCGAAGCAGGAGGCTCGCTTGAGGCCAGGGGTTCGAGACCATCCTGGCCAATATGACGAAAATCCGTCTCTACTAATAATACAAAAAATTAGCCAGGTGTGGTGGTGCGTGCCTGTAGTCCCAGCTACCCAGGAGTCTGAGGCACGAGAATCGCTTCAACCTGGGAGACGGAGGTTGCAGTGAGCCAAGATCATACCACTGCCCTCCAGCTTGAGTGACAGAGTGAGTCTCTGACTCAAAATAAATAAATAAATAAATAAATAAATAAATAAATAAATAAATAAAAAGAATCTGTATTTTAAAGAAATATCTTAGTGTTCACTTCGGCAGCACATATACCAAAATTGAAGCAATACAGAGAAGATTAGCATGGTCCCTGGGCCAGGATGACAGGCAAATTCATGAAGAATTAGAAAAAAAAAATCCCAGATGATTCTGATGCAGGCAGTCTGAGAATCAGGCTTTGAAAAACGAGGAAAATGTTTTCTGCTGAAATTATGACTAGCGACATTCATGTGATACATTTTATTGAAATGAACCTTAGAAGAGGTCTTTGGAATTAGCCTAGATGCCATGTGCATTCTTTACTTGGTGCTCCATTCATTTCTAAAGAAGCCTGGCACATTTTGGATTAAAGGTCATGAGTTCTAATTCTGCTTCTCCTATCTATTCAATTATGGACAATTTATGTGACAATTTCACAACTTACTTTCTTGGACAGTAAAAATAAACATTTGGATGTTCATCTTTAGGATCCTCTGAACAATTTTTGTTATCTCTCTTTTATTATAAAAGAGAGAAAGAATATATATAGTTTATATATTATTAATATATATTATTTTAATTAAATAATATATATTTTAATATATATTATTATATATAATATATAAATTTGTATATATTTTAACAATATATATTATTTTAATTAAAACTTGACTGATTGCCCAATTAATAATTGAGATATAAAAAGATACCAGACATGATATCAGTCACAAGCGAAATTAGAATTGTAGATAGTTATTTTCATACATCGCTTAGTATATCTGTTCTAATAGGAATCTTTGAATAATTTCTCATTATATGGGCAATAATAACATTGCTGTCAAACTAATTTTCATTTGAAATCTGTAGAAGAGATATTTATAAATTTATAAATTTATTTATAAAATAAATTTAAATTAAAAATGAACTTTGTAATGGAAAATGATATCAGGTACTCTTGAGCAGGGTGGGCAAACCTTGGTAAATATTTCAAGCTTCACAGGCTATGTAAGTTTTCTTTGTTACCACTTCCTCCTCCTCATCCCCCTTCTCTTCCCTCTCCCCCTCCTCTTCTTTTAAAAACATTGTTAGCTCAGAGCCATACAAAAACTGATGTGAGCAGTGCTTATCAAACGGTATTGTGCATACAAATACCTGATGAAGAGAGGGGAATCTTGTTAAAACGCAGATTCAGATTTCAGATATGCTGGTATGGGCCTAAGATCCTCTATTTCTAATACACCTTTGGATCATGCTTTTGTTGCTAGTTGAGGGGCTCACACTTTAGATGTCCAAAATGTTGAGGTTGAGCTGTTTCATGGCACTTCCTGTGATGAACAACCCCCACTCCCCCTTACTGTTTTGTTCTCAGTCCCCAGTGAGTTTTGCTGACAACTCAGCTTTATTTTTTGACCAAATAATGGAGTTGTTTTAGCCAATAACATAGAATACCCAGTAGTTTAGTGCTCCTTGATAATCTTAAAGGCCCAACATCTTTGGGAATATGATGAAAGCTACACCCCCAACCCCACACCACCACTACTGCCTCCCCCTTAACAATAATACTCATTTCCACACACAGTTTTAAAGATTCCAAAGACTTATGCATTGGGTCCATCGTAAAGACCACTGCTATTGTTATGTAATGTCTGAATTTAAGAAAGCTCAGAATTAATCCCCATATTTTTAATAACATTGTAAAACTTAGATTGTAAAGCTGTATTTTTGTATATCTATGTCTATCTTTCTAATCTATCTTTCTCTCTCTCTCTCTAATCTATCTATCTGGGTGGTGAGACCTTTAAAGTTCACTTTATGTCCTAATTATCTATTGCAGGCCTGATGATTTCATTAGAACCTAAGATTATAAATGAAGAAAACAGTGTTAACTGTTGTTAGGAGTGAGCACAAATTGTTACACACCTTTTATTAAACTTGTTCACAGTGCTCTTTTATCTATCAAATTTTTAAAAATTGCTGGAGATATAATTCATATTCCACAAAATTTACCCAAAGTATAAAATATAATAATCTTTATTACATTCACAGAGTAATGCAACCATCACTGTAATTAATTTTAGAATATTTTCATCATCCCTAAAGAAATCCCATCCCCATTGGCAGCACTTGCCCAGACCCCCTTCATTCCCCACTTCCATACCCCAGCCCTAGGCCAGCATTGATCTACATTCTATGTCCGTGGATTTTCCTTCTCTGGACATGTCATATAAATGGAATCGTACAATATATGGTCCATTGCAACTAGCTCCTTTCACTTATATTTTCAAAGTTCATCTATGTTGTAGCATGTATTATTAATACTTCATTTTTAAGGCTGAATAATATTCCATTATATGGATATGGCACATTTTATTTATCCATTCATCATGGATATTTATGCTGTTGATTCTTTCTTTGTTATCCATTCAGTTGGTAGACATTTGGGTTGTTTCTACTTTTTTGACTATTGTGAATAATACTGCTATGAATATTCATGAGTAAGTTTTGTGTGGATGTATGGTTTCATTCTGGGGTGATATATATCTAGGAGTGAAATTGCTGGGTCGTATGGCAACTACATGTTTGACATTTTGAGGAACTTCCAGATTGTTTTCCAAAGTGACTGTATGATTTAAATTCACACTAGCAATGGATGAGGCTTTCAGTTTTTCCAAACCCTTGACAATACTTGTTATTTTACATTGCTTTGATTATATATGTCCTAGTGGGTGTGAAGTGTATTTCATTGTAGTTTCGATTTGCATTTTTCTAATAGCTAATGATGTTGAGTATCTCTTTATGTGGTTATGGCTATTTGTCTAACTTCTCTGTCAAATTTGTTTAACTACTTATTCTAATCCTTTGCCTATTTTAAAATTTGATTATTTATATTTTTATTGAGTTATGAGTTCTTTATATATTCTAGATACAAATCCATTATTGGGTATATGATTTGCAGATTATTTTTCTGATTCTGTGGGTAGTATTCTTTCAAGCACAAGTATTTAAAAATTTTATAACATCCAGTTTATCTCTTTTTTTCTTTTGTTGCTTATGCTTTTGGTATCATATCCAAGAAGCCATCACCTAATTCAAAATCATAAAAAACTTGCCTCTATAATTTCTTGTAATCATTTCATAGTTTTACTTTTTATATTTAGGTTGTAGATGTTCTTTGATGTTTTTATTAAAGTAGGAGTAAAATTACAAGAAGAGTGTCCTGATATGACAGTACTATAATCTTTATGTAACATAGTTTACATATATTGTAATGATAAATGAGTAAAATTCTTCGTGTGCTCATTGGACATACTGGAGTTTAATTTTATTGCTAAATAGCTTAGCTATTTTTTCACTTTTTCTTTTATAAATCAATTATTTTATATTTTATTTAGTAAGTATTAGCATATTTCAGGTCTTATTCAGCCCTTATCCAGGCCTACTGCCTAATAAGTTAGTGCACAAGTTGATATAGTAAATAGCACCCTAGTAGCTATTTACTTGCTTACTTTTAATAGTAGAACAGTTTTGCAGTAGGGAGAATGTAGGTTACTGTGCATAGGGAGATTCATGGAGAACAAAGGGGCTATCTAAACAGATGATTGTAACCTACTATATGCCTGTTACATGAAAAGTGACATAAAACTCTTGATGTATTTTAAGATCAGAGTCTACAGCTATGTGTCCAGACCTTTACATTGAGAATATGTTTCTGATTTGCAACCTACTTCTATTCAGCCACTCATGTTTAAATACTTTGGGGTCTTTCTTGATTATGAATTTAAAAATTCATTGTTACTTTTGTATTCTGTAAATTCCTCATTGCTTTAAGACCCAGTACTCATGATCTATATCCTTTATTATTGTGATGTATACTGTAATTACCTATCTAGATGCTTTGGATCTCTTTAGTTTTTTTTTTAAAGTTCTGACCTGTGAACAGTAAATTACTCTTTTGCTTTAGATATCTAACACTTGTAATGTATACATTCTTTTTTGGTCTGATGTGATTAAAAAAATAGCAACTTTTAAGAGTTATTCCTCTTCAAAAAAATAAAGTTCATTTAAGACTAAATTAAATTCCCTTTAATACATTAAAACATGTATTTTCAATTAATACTGAGAGTGAACTGAGGTAACATTGACAAGTAAATATTACTGCTATCTGTTGAAGAGAAATGTGCTCATATTAGGTGATTGGTTGGAAAATCTTATATAAGAGCAAACTTTTAAGAAGTGCTTATCTATATAATCATTATGTCCCCATATATGGTGATTCCTCTCAGCATCTCCTTTTTATTTACTTGGAGCAGCTGGTAGAACATTTTCATGAATAATGGTAATTGATACCATATAAATGAAAAATATTCAAAATAACACATTATGCAAAAATTTGATTGTGAAATATCAACAGAGCCTTCTCTTCCTATTTCTTTTCTTTTCTTTTTCTTTTTTTTTTTTTGAGATGGAGTTTTACTCTTGTCACTCGGGCTGGAGTGCAGTGGCACAATCTTGGCTCACTGCAACCTCTGCTTCCTGAGTTCAAACGATTCTCCTGCCTCAGCCTCCCGAGTAGCTGGGATTATAGGTGTCCACCACCCTGCCTGGCAAAGTTTTTACATTTTTAGTAGATATGAGGTTTCACCATGTTGGGCAGGCTGGTCTCGAACTCCTGACCTCAGGTGATCCACCCACCTCGGCCTCCCAAAATACTGGGATTACAGGTGTGAGCCACCGTGCCCGGCCTCTCTTTCGATTTCTTACGCCCCTTATGGCCCCACTTTTATTGCATTCACAGGGAAGTCACTGGTACGATCTATCTTTCTTTGTACTGTGCATGGTGATATACCAAATTCTGTCAAGCATTTTGATATGGTATATTTTTCCTTCTTCTTTTCTACCTAAACCATCATTTCCCAAAGTCAGGTTCTTTTTATTTTTCTCTTGAACTATTTAAGTAAATCACAACTGTCTTCGTGTCTCCGTTGCTATCCCTTATTGATAATACAGACTACAAGTATCTTTCGATTGTACAGACAGTCATGTCACTGCCCCCTTAAAAATCTGTGAGCCGTGTAAAAGAATAGTCATACCCCTGAGCATGGCACAAAGCCTTGTCTCAGGCTCCAAGACTGTCTTAAACCTTTTCTTGCTGTATCAGCTTCCTTCCTGATTATGAAATGTACCATGCACGTAACTGTCATTTCCTTGTCCTTTTGCTGATGGTATCTCTTGGCATGATGCTTTTTTCTTTTAGTTGTCATTTTTCATTCTTTACGGCTCAATCTAAATGTAATTTTTTTCGGGGAAGGGATCTCTTATTATGCTTAATTTAGGGTTAACTTTTACTTTTTTTCTTTCTGCCTATAGTGCATTTCTTATATACCTCTATGCAGCGTATTGCATTTTAACATACGGATTTATACTTGAGCTCTTCAGTCAAACACACCTGAGTTCAAAATCCTGCCTCTGCTGCTTGCCTCATCTACATTTCTGGGCAACTGACATCATTTCCTAAGCTTTTGCCTCATCTGTTAAATGCAGATAATATTTGTACATAATTTACAGGTCTCTTTTTGTGTTAGTCTGATAACATATTGGCAGCACATTAAATGCTATCTATGTGTGTCTTCTAGCTGCTTGCTGACGTGGCTTTCTTCCCCAGTGTATAATAAGCAATCTGAGGACAGGAAATTAGTCTTACTCATCTTAGTACCCATGCTGATCCCAGAAGAACAAGAAAGTCTCTTGTTCTCTTTTACTTTTGCTTGTCATGATTCATGGAACACATTAAACCTAACTCCTTTGAGTTAACATATTAATTTATTGGTATCGCCCTATCCTGCAAAGGAGTTGAGATGACTTATGAGATGCATACACAAAACGAAACATAAAATAATGTTCAGTTGGATAATCGAAGAGTTTAATTTCCCCATCAGGAACCCAAGTGAAACCGAGGGTTTAGATAAGGAAATGTTAAAGCTTGTCTTTATTCCGTCATGTTTTGTAGGATCGCGTCTTCGCCAGGAGGACTTTCCCCCGCGGATTGTGGAGCATCCTTCCGATGTCATCGTCTCTAAGGGCGAGCCCACGACTCTGAACTGCAAGGCGGAGGGCCGGCCAACGCCCACCATTGAGTGGTACAAAGATGGGGAGCGAGTGGAGACTGACAAGGACGATCCCCGGTCCCACAGGATGCTTCTGCCCAGCGGATCCTTATTCTTCTTGCGCATCGTGCACGGGCGCAGGAGTAAACCTGATGAAGGAAGCTACGTTTGTGTTGCGAGGAACTATCTTGGTGAAGCAGTGAGTCGAAATGCGTCTCTGGAAGTGGCATGTAAGTGAACATAATGAACCTCATGTGCACATTTACTTTTATTTATTTCAAGTAAGTTTTGATGTGTTCCCATAGACGCTGAAACCTAAAGAATCAATCAACACACTGCATAATTTTACTTGGTCTTCTTCAGAGAAGTCTGGTCAAGATAGTATCAAGCCAGGGTGTTGTAGTAAGTTTGTTTATATGAAATCAAGATGACCAATATGTTATTATAAGAAAGCAGGCCGGGCGCGGTGGCTCACGCCTGTAATCCCAGCACTTTGGGAGGCGGAGGCGGGCGGATCACGAGGTCAGGAGATCGAGACCATCCTGGGTAACACGGTGAAACCCCGTCTCTACAAAAAATACAAAAAGAAAAAAAAAATTATCCGGGCATGGTGGCGGCGCCTGTAGTCCCAGCTACTCGGGAGGCTGAGGCAGGAGAATGGTGTGAACCCGGGAGGCGGAGCTTGCAGTGAGCCGAGATCGCGCCACTGCACTCCAGCCTGGGCGACAGAGCGAGACTCCGTCTCAAAAAAACAAACAAACAAACAAACAAACAATTATGCCTTAAAATTTTTGCACTCTTCAGCTTCCTTGTTGTCATGTACGTCTTCAAAGATAAGAGAATTGGGAGATTTCAGGATGCTGGAATCTTATGTATATAGCTATATATATTTTCTCCTAAATAATAGCTCATGGGCCTGTGTCTTTCTTTTGGTAAACAAAATTGTACTTTTCTTTCTTTCTTTTTTTTTTTTTTTTTTGAGACAGTGTCTCCCGCTGTCACATAGGCCGGAGTGCAATGGCGCGATCTCTGCTCACTGCAACCTCTGCCTCACGGGCTTAAGCGATTCTCCTGTCTCAGCCTCCCAAGTAGCTGGGATTACAGACACCAGGCCCAGCTAATTTTTGTATTTTTAGTAGAGACGGGGTTTCACCGTGTTGCCCAGGCTGGTCTTGAGCTCATGACCTCAGGTGATCCACTCGCCTACAATTTCTTATGTAGCTATCCCAATGAAGTTTTTCGTTCTCAGGCATCTGCTTCTGATTTACAGTTTGTGCTAAGAAACCTGGAACCCCCGGATGCTGGAAATGTATAACTCCAATAGGAAAAGACTAGGAGAATCCTAAGACCCATATTTTTTATTTTTTGTGAAGTGCCTTGAGCTATGAGCAGTAGGACTTTAGTTAACAATGGGATTTTGTACTGGCCACCAAATAGTTTTATTTTTATAAAATGATACTTCAAAAAGCCCTCAAATTAAATGCAATTTGAAATACACACACAAAAATTCAAGAATGCAAATATCCATACCTGTTCCATTTTTGTTTTGAAATATCTAATTTTGGAAACTTTTCAAACATATTGAAATACCTCAATACCAAATTTTATTGATTTTTTTCCCCCAACAGACCCTTTTATGGTGAATATGACTGGCATTATTCTCCCATTTTCAAGATAAAGAAAATGATGCCCAAAAAGTTTAGGTGACCAAGATTCAGACAATAAATTAATGGGGATGCTAGACCAGGTCCTGAATCTTCTAATTTTTATTTTTAGGGAATTGTGTCATATTTGAAGAAACACTCTAAATGAAATCTGGTCTATTTTAAATATATAAAAATTAAGAAATTTTAATTTTTCATTTTTAAAATTCTATCTACTCAGCAGCAAATAAGGTGTTTAAATCCTTAACAAAATTTTACTTTTCAAAATTAAAGTATATAAAAATTGACCTGTCATTTTGTTGTTTCATCTAAAAGAATTGCTTTCTTTTCTAATTGCGTCATTAATAATGAATCAAACTGTTCTGGTGGGAATATTTTAAACCATGATTTTTGTGTGTGTGTGTAATGTGACAGTAATTTTTTTTATTTTGAAGTAAATGAGCTTTAAGAAATACTTGAATTACTCATGACCTAGAGAGGAAAACAAGAAGGCTTGCAAATTGGATTAGGGAGTGAATAAAATCCCTTTTTCTAATGCCATGTCAACAGTTCATTCCATTTGAGGCATCACAAGGTCAAATAATATTCATTTATATGTTGCTCATCTCTTTCCATTCGCTCATCAGTCTTCTATCTTTCCTTATGTGTTTCATAAAACATATTAATATGGAAATTTGGGTTAAAGCATTGTGATTTTTCACTACCTATTGGTAACTAATATGTATTTTCATAAAATGACAGAGGAACAGCTGTAGAGGAACAACTTCAGATTATGTTAAATTGGCCTTCATATTTTAGAAAACTCAACATAAATACTCATTGTGGTGCATTCACTTAGTTTATTAATAGAAGGCGGATATCCACTGAAAGAGGTGTTAAGGAATAGCAATGAAGACACATTCCAATGTATTCTCAAAGAGCTCACATTCTAGTTGGGATGACAAACATGTAAATAAAGAGTTACTATAATAAATTAAATATACAAACAATAAAGCCTATTATAAAGACATGTAAAAATACTACGCAAATCCGGAGGGAAGACATTTAATTCTTCCTAGATAGGTAAGCTTAAGAAATGATTCTAAGAGGATACATTACTTTCACAGTGATTTAAGGTCATTTAAGAATGTCCCAGGTGGAAATTGAAGTGAAAGACCATCCAGGTAGAAAGAATGGAAGCTTAAATGAACACTGTGTATTCGGAGAACTGCCAGGTGTCTGGATATGAGGTTGAGAGCAGAGTAAATTGGAAAGGTAGGCATGTGCTGAATAAAAATCTAAGCTATTTTGTTATGAGAAAAGAGAATCTTTGAAAGAGAATTGAAGATTGCATTAAAGGTATGATGATTGAAGTCAGAGAGGCATTAAGTAGCTGTCAAATAATTCAGAAAAGAGTTGATGCTAGATTCTGAACTGAACATAGCAGTGAAGATTGAAAGGAGGAAACAGCTTGAAACATATTTAGGAATTATAAACTATGTGACATGATCAATGAGAAGTAGAGGATGATTACTAGATTTGTTTTGTTTTGTTTTGTTTTTGGTTAAGTGACTGGGTATATAGTGCTACCATCCATAGAGGTGAGGGGCAGGTACAGGAGAAATAACTCTAGGGAACAGAACAGTATGGTAAACGTTAGCTGTATTGTTTGACATACCAATGAAATAGTAAGCTTAAAATATCTCAAGTTTCATTAAAGAAACAGCTTCTTCTAGAGTTGAGGGGAGAGGTCTTTCTGAGATAGGTGTTGAAGCCACGGAAGTATATAGAAGTAGATGTGATTTCCAGGCAGGCTGTGTTCAGGGAGCAGTTAATAAGGGCTGAGTCCAATTCCAGTGCTTAGAACAGTAATATTTAGTGGTGGTCAAGGCAAGAAATGCTCATGCAAAAGGATCAGTCTCAGGAGAGGTATCAGAGTGATAGAATATGGGCAGTGAAGTGGCAAGAATAATCAAGGAATACATTAAAAAATAATAAAATTGGGGCCAGGTGTGTTGGTTCACACCTGTAATCCCAGCACTTTGGGAGGCCCAGGTGGGTGGATCACTTGAGGCCAGGAGTTTGAGACCAGCCTGGGCAACATGGTGAAACCCCGACTCTACTAAAAATACAAAACTTAGCCAGGTATGGTGGCTGGCACCTGTAATCCCAACTACTCAGGAGGCTGAGGCAGGAGAATCACTCGAACCCAGGAGGCAGAGGTGGCAGTGAGCTGGGATGGTGCCAATGCACTCCAGACTGGGCGACAGAGTGAAACCCTATCTCAAACAAACAAACCACAAGAGTACTAAACATGGTTGACACGATGCAAATCCCAAATGATGATCAAATAAACAGTACCTGTGGGCTCCAGTGATGGGGACAGAACAGCTGAAGAGCGAGTAGTGGTGGGATGGAAGTAGCAAATGCTGCCGGGTCTTTCCTAGAATGGAGCTCTGAATGGAGCATGGAGAATTAGAGCAGGGTACCTCAACCTCTGCATTACTGACATTTGGGATCAGAAAATTATTTAGTGTGTGTGTGTGTTGCGTGGGTGGGTGGATTGTGCTAGGCATTGTAAGATGTTTAGACATACCTCTGGCGTTTGTTCACAAGGTGCCAATGGGATTCTCCCTAGCCCTGTTGAGACAAACAGTATGTCTCCAGACATTGGAAATATTCCTCAGGAGAGAAAGTCAGTTGAGAACCACTGACCTAGATGTACCTAAGTAGTCAAGAATGTATTGATATGTAGGACATAAACATGTCACAACTTTTATCATAAAATGATTATTGATTAAAAATATGGAATTTTTTTTACTATTTTTTATTCACATTAGTTGTCATTTTTAATTTCAAAAATGTTCGATTCTACTATGATACGAAATGTGGAATGTTATTGATAACCATCTGTCTTGACTGATTTTTTGGAAGTCAGCCAGTTCTTTACCATACTGCATTCATTTTGGTGTTTGTTTTCCTTTAATACATGCTTCACCTTTATGTTCTGGAACAATACAGCAGAGGGAAAAAAATTCAGGACCAATCATTGCAATGAATCACCTCAAATTTGCTTTTATTTTTTTCTTAGTTTGCAAAAAAAAAAAAAAAAAATAGCTATCCAGAAAGTGTTTTTTGAGTCACTTGACCTCAAAAATAATCTCTAGGCAAAAAATGTTTTTTAAATAGTTAGAAAACAGTTGCAGAGTTAATAAGCAAGAGGCCTGGTAGTCAAAAAGCTAATACATAGTTTTCCAATGGGACCACCAGGAGAGCCATGGTGTAGCTGGTGCAGATAAAGTTTCCGTTCTGAACACTGGCGCTCCCTGTTTATGGAGCAGAAGGAGCACAGGGGGTCCTCACAGAGATTGTAGCTGCCTGTGATGCAGCTGAGTCAGTGGCAGCCTCTAGAGATGGCAGCTGTAGCCCCAGGTGGCAAATAGATGACAGCAGCTTGATCTATCGACCAGGGTAAGAGGGGGTTCTGGCCTAAATGAAAATTCATGAAAAATTGATGAAGTCCCCAGATTATTTTTTCCGTTTCCTTTTCTCAGCACTGTGCCAGTGCAGAGAGTAGAGATTAAATGAGGTGCTGAACGCTTTAGTGGCAAGGAGGTTGTGGTTCAAAGGTCAGGGGTCACATAGAAACCAATCTTTTTTTTTTTTTCTTTTTTCTTACTGCTAAAGCAAAACACAAGAAACTTTTCAGATTAGCTGTGATTTACCTTTGCTTTGATAAATAAAATGACTACATGTTCAAAAGTTGGCTTTTGATGCAGTTACAAGAGAGAACAGATGTGATTCATAATTCAAGTATGGAACTGGAAATAGATTGAATTCCATGACTTCAGGATGATTATTTTTTCTTTTTCTCTTATTTTTTGTCTTCTGTATGAAGACTCATGCTGTATGAAAGTCATTTAGAGAAGAAGAAGGTCTTGCATTATTTATAGGGTTACAGATTGCGAGAATAGCAAAGCTATGGAACACTGTCCAAACATAATGCTCCTGTTTGCTTAAATAGAAAATTAAATTGATGGTTTATCTGTACAAAGAAGAGAGGCTACAGAAGTAGACTGACTTTAGTATGAGAGGGCACAGGTGGCACTGAAAATGAAGACAAGGTAAAGAGCTTCCTTGATCTCCTCAAGTTAATAAATATGTAAATGTTTGTTTTTTATTTTATTTTGGCTGTAAATGCATCTTATCTAGGCAAAATACCTTTACACATCATAAAGACACAAGATAAATTAAATTGCAAAAAGATCAATCCATAGAGAGCTTTTTAAAAAAAATGCTTAATTGAGATATATTTAACATACCATATCATTTACTCATTTAATATATACAAGCAATGTTTTTGGTGTATTCATGGGGTTGTGCAATGAACACTATAATCAAATTTAGAACATTTTCCTCAATCCTAAAATAAACTCTATACCCATTAGAACTCAGTTCCCATTCCTGCACCCTCTCACCCCAGCCCTAAGTAAATGCTAATCTACTTTCTATAGCTATACATTTTCCTATTCTGGACATTTCATATGTTAGAATCATACAATATATTGTCTTGTGTGACTATAATAGCATCTTTTCCTTAACATTAATGTTTTCAAGGATCCTGTTTGTTTAGCATGTATTAGTACTTTATTCTTCATTATTGCTCAATAATATTTCATGGTATCAACATAACCACTTTTTATTTATCCATTCATTGTATGATAGACATTTGCATTACTCCCACTTTTTTTCTGCTATGAACAATGTTGCTATGGAAATTTTGATACACATTTTTGTGTGCACATATGGTTTCATTTGGGTATTCTCATAAGTTTATGCCTAAGAGTAGAATTGTCGAGTCATATGGTAACTGTTTAACTTTTTGAAGAATATATATGTAATTATTATTAAGTGTAGATTAAATGATATTTACTGGTGCATTGAAGTAACTGTATCCAACTCACCTCTCAATATGAAACACAGTCATAAAACATTTCTACTGTTTTATCCATATTATTATGTGACTGTTATGTTAGATTTTCTATGTCGTATGTCCATAATTTCAGGTAAGAGTCAACTATTTAAAAATATAGAACAATTAACCATATGGAAACAACGGATGGCCACAAAGTTCCTAATAAATCCTTGTGTAACTTCTACTAGACTGTTTTCAGTTTGGTCCCAATTAAGTTGGATAATCTTACTGTTTGAGTCTTCACTTCATTTTCTGTTCTGTTTGTATTTGTTCTGAAAGCTGGCAATTTGTCTTCTCAGAAGCTGACGTTACCCTTCCTGAGAATAACTGACAGTACTTTCTTCATTCTCGGGTTACTTTCTCTTCCAAATATACTGAGGTTTTTTCTTTCACTTGTCAGGTTCAGACTAAGAAATTAATGAACAATTATACTAGAAGTCAGTTAAGTAAGTCTAAGAGTGGGAAAACAAAGAACTATTATCATTCTCTATCTTTCTTAAAACAAAGAAGCACACAAACAAACATATCAACTTAAATGCAAACTCCGTGGCGATGAGTTGGACTGGAACTAATATTTACAGGTGAGGACCAAAAAGAATATAGGAGCAACTTTCGTTTTTTGTAATTTTCTCCATTTGCATTTCTACAAATGTCAGGTGAGATTTCATATATTTTTGGTGGTGATGGTGGGTGGTAGGGGAGGAGGATACTTACACAGCTGAAAAACGCTCCCTAGCTCCAGGTACTTCACAGGATAATGCTAATATGTTATTTTGGCTGTTTTGTGAGTGTGCCTTTTAATTTTGCCATACTCCATCAAATACTTTCAAATGCAGTCTCTCCTTTGATCTTCACAAATGAAGGTGTGAAATTGCTACACCTGGGGAACGTGTATGAATTTGTGATCTATTTAAGTATGTATAATGCTGTATTTTGATACGAGGTTTATTTCTGTTGATTGAATTAACTGTATTCAAACTCTCTCTCAACAAGTCTCAAGTTGCCATTCACTGACAATTAGCCTGAATTAACTCTGACTCCCAGGAAAGCACATAAATGAAGTGAAGTCATTGTGTCCTCTACTTTTCAAAAATTTATTCCCATAAACAGTATAATTCTGAGTATGATCCTGAGGTCTGCAGTCAAGTAGATCCTATCCATAAAATGACAAGGAAACATATTCATAGTGATACTAAGAGTTCAGGAGATAAAATATGTTGAGGTCTGCTCCGGTTTTCGATCCCAGAAACCCTTTTCATATAAAGTTAAGAAAAATAATTTAGGATTTTGAATTTATTTCTTACTGTAATTTTTTGTTTGTTTGTTTGTTTTGAGATGGAGTCTGGCTCAGTCACCCAGACTGGAGTGCAGCGGTGTGATCTCAGTTCACTGCAGCCTCTGCCTCCCAGGATCAAGC
Source organism: Homo sapiens (assembly GCF_000001405.40). Taxonomy (NCBI): domain Eukaryota; kingdom Metazoa; phylum Chordata; class Mammalia; order Primates; family Hominidae; genus Homo; species Homo sapiens. Next base: position 77,106,146 of record NC_000003.12, read on the forward strand.
GATTCTCCCACCACAGCTTCCCAAGTAGCTGGGACTACAGGCAGGTGCCACCAAACCTGGCTAATTTTTGTATTTTTAGTAGAGATGGGATTTTGCCATGTTGCCCAGGCTGGTCTTGAACTCTTGGCCTCAAGCAATCCTCTCTCATTGGCCTCCCAAAGTGCTGGGATTACAGGTGTGAGCCACCGTGCCCGGCCTCTTACTATAAATTTTTAATTTATTAAATTTCAGCTGGTGTGTAGATGCAAGTTGATTTTACTGAAAATGTAGGTAGGTTGACATTAGCTTAGGAAATATAATTTCGTGCAGTAACTCATATGCTTTTCTCCCAGGATTTGTGTTTCGGCAGAATACAGATTTCCAATTTCCCTTCTTTAGATCTATAATTACTTAAGGAAGGTTACACTTCTTTTAAGCATGAGTCAGTATATATGATAAGGCCTTTACAGAATTATAGAAGTAAAAACAATAGGTGAAGTTTTGTTTAACTATGAAAGTTTTTGCTTTATAGATGTTTCTAACAGTCTATGATTTAGCTGCTAAGGGATGAGGTTCAATAGTATTAAGATATTCTCTCCACTATATACCATTAGAATTGATTTTTCCTCTTAGGAGATTTTCAAAAGCAATTCTGAACCACCCATTTCTGAATTAAAAATACTTATACATTTTTGTCAATTAGATATTCATCCACTTTTTGTCACTGTCTCCCAAAAAATACTCTATGAAAGCATTACTGAGCCCCAGGTTGGGTTGTTTCTCTAAACTATTTGAAGTTTTCTAACATAGTCCTCCTTTGTCTACTAAGACGTCAGTAGTTTAACAACTCTGGATGTCTTAGTCTGTTCAAGCTACTACAAGAAAATACCATAAACTGGGTAGCTTTTTAGGAAAATAAATTTATTTCTCATAGTTCTGGAGCCTATAAGCCTGAGTTCAGAGAGCCAGCATGGCTGGGTTTTGTGAGGCCCCACCTCCTGGTTCATAGACGGCATCCTCACAAGGTGAAAGGCACTAATCCCATTTAGAAGAGCTCTGTCTCATGACCTAATCATCTTCCAAACGCTCCACCTTCAGTGACATCACCTTCAGGGATAAGATTTCAACATGTGAATTTTGGGGGGATATAAACGTTCTGACCACAGCTCTGGCCTTTGGAGAGACTTCAAGCAAGGGTTGTAAGAGAGGCAGGTGTTTGGATGCAATGACAGACAGGGCCTGGAAATTGAGCTTAAATTAACACCCAAGTAGAGAAAAGGCTGTTCTTTCTCACCGATATTGGCAGCCCTACACATTTGTCGGTTCCTCATCTGAGGAGTTAACCAACTGCGAATTAAAAATAATTTTTAAAAACTAACAAAAATATACCAACAAGAAATATTACAAATCATGTGGTATAGCATCTATTTGCATATCATTTACATAGTATTAGGTATTATAAGTAATCAAGAGATGATTTAATATATACAGGAAGATGTGTAGCTATATGTAAATACTATGCCATTTTATAAAATGGACTTGAGCATCCAATTCAGGGGTCTTGAGACCAGTCTCCTCTGGATACCAAGGAACGAATGTGCCTCTTTCTGAGAGCCAGGCCGTTTCCTAGTAATGCAACTATAAAGGCAAGCATCACATTTTTTGTGTGTGATTATCTAACATTTAAGTCTGAACCAAGATTTTGGAATAAACGTTACAGTATCTATATATGGAAATGAAATGTAACTATTTTTTCCATAACATGAGGTATATTTGATATAAACCATTTTATATAAATCTGCCTGCCTCATTTTCTTTCTTCTTGCTTTCTTTGCTTATTCAAATTGAACAAGTACATTATACATATATATGTGTGTGTGTGCATATAAACATACATATATTTTTTTCTTAACATGAGGTATATTTGATATAAACCATTTTATATAAATCCACCTACCTCATTTTCCTTCTTGCTTTCTTTACTTATTCATATTGAATGAGTATATTATACATATATGTGTGTATCCATGTTTATATATACATATGTATACACATATGCATATATATGTATACACATATGCATATATATATGTATACACATATGCATATATATGTATACACATATGCATATATATGTATACACATATGCATATATATATATGTATACACATATGCATATATATATATGTATACACATATGCATATATATATATGTATATATGATGTGATATTAGAGATGTGATCCCACTCACTGTGTTGCCTAGGCTGGTCTGGAACTCCTGGCCCTATGTGACCCCCCCCTACCTTGGCCTCACGAAGTGCTAGGATTACAAGTATGAGCCATCAGGGCCAGAGAATACTTTCTCTTAAATCAATGTTTAAACATCTTTGTTGGGTTTCCTAATCGTTAAGAGTAAAACGGGTTAAAGAGCACCTCTGGTGCTGGGCTGCATATGAGGAGTCTGAGTCGCCTCAGGTGGCAGTGAACCTTCCACCCTGGTGATGTAGGGTAGGGGCCTTCAGACAGGGCATACTGCAGGAGTGAGGAGGGGCCGCAAGTTGCTTCTAGGTGAGTCTGAATGAAAGATGGACTTAGAAAACTGGAAAGAAGTATAAAAGCAAAACCCTGAGGTTGTGCTTGGCCAGATTTCGAGCACAAATAATGTATTAGCTTAATTGGGGAGTAGATGTAGGGTAGTAGAGGGAGATAATTTAAATAGCGAGGTAGAAATTAGTAATGACTAAACGAATTGATGAGCTTTCATGTTATCCTAGAACCCAAGGGAGCACTGTTTGATGTGGGCTTGTTATTTGGAAGTGAGGTGTAAAAGGAGACATGATAAACACAGTGTGGGGTAGATGGGAGCCCAAGAGTGTGGAGGGAGGAAATCTACTGTATGTTCAGGTATAGTAGGATGAGGATTAAGTTGATTAATTAAGTTCAGAATAGGAAAAGAGGAGATAAAATGTTGAAAAAAAAGGTTGATAGAAATTTAAAAAACGCATCTGTAGTTCAAGTGAAGATTTAAATTTAGTTTGCTAGAGTTTTGTACAGTACCTTCTACTGGTCGGTACTCACCTAGGTGTTAGGATACAGATACTTAGAACAAGCTTTGTTTGATGGGTATAGAGTTTCAGCTGGCAAGATGAAAAAGTTCTAGAGATCTGTTACACAACAGTGTGAATATACTTAACACTACTGAACTGTACACTTAAAAATGGCTAAGATGGTATATTTTATGTTGTGCATTTTTTTTGCCACAATTAAAACATGAAAATATTAACAAAACAAATAAACCACCACCACAACAAAAACCAAGGCATGGCTCTTGCCATCAAAGAACATTCAATAGGATGGTCTAGAATGTGGTATATGTGAGAGTGAGGGAGGAGGAGTTGCTCTGGTGTGAAATACAGAGGAGAAGGAGGCTGACTCTGCAAGAGAATGTGGAACAGGTGAAATGATTTTGCTAGGGAGAAAATAATTAATAATAATCTCTGGGGCTTGCTAAGGGCCAGGCTTATTTCTGTGTTTCACACTTATGGCTGATTCAGTTCTCAAAACAAATCTAAAATTTGGGTACTATTATTTTCTCTCTATTGTATTTGAGGTACACAGAAAGGAGAGCTGGGATTTGAACGCTGGCAGCCTAGCTCTCAAGCCTGCTTTCTTAATTACTATGCTAAGCATCCTCACTGATTTACTTGAACAAGCAAACAAAATCATTTGACACTTAAAAGAGTCATTAGCATTGCCTTAGGTATTTTACCCAGAAACAGTTATTCAATTGTATAAATACAATGATGACCCCTGGAATAGGTGAAGTCCAAGAGTAGCATTTTGGCGCAAACAATTCTGTGATTCCTGGGATATGACGGAAAGAAACAACAGAAAGAGTAATCTTTTCTATTTTTTTATTTAGTTACATATTGACATTTGAGAGCTCATTAGTTTATTCCAGTAATTTGATTTTCTCTGTACAGTTCCTAGTTGTCAAATATTAGCATCAAGAAAATCCATCACTTTCAGTTCTCATTGACATGTTTGCAGGCCAAAGCAGCTTGGAGATTAAGAATCCAATTTATAAGACAAGTCATCTATCATTGAATATCCAAAGATAACTTGACTAAGTTTTATAGAAAAAGAAATATGATAATAGCAATGATATCTTACTACTTTAGGATACTTTCTGGAGTTTTTTGAGTCATTAACATATTTATATGCATTATTTCATTGCTATATGTATTTGTGGACATTTGCTGACTTAGATAGTTTCAAAGTTCAATACATAGTATCATTAACATTGGTCTATTTGACTTTCAAATTACTCTTTTTATTTTTTTATATTTAAAAATGAATCAAAGGAGGAAGCATAGCCTTTTCAACCAATGATGCTGAATTAAATATCCACAGGCAAAAATATAAATGAACAGAACCTTGACTTAAACCTTACAAATTATGCAAAAATTAATCTGAAATGGATCATACAGTTAAATGTAAGGCATAAGACTATATATATATAAATATATAAATGTAAATATAAGTATATATGTATATACATATATATATATAGAGAGAGAGAGAGAGAGGCAAGTTCTCACTCTGTCACTCAGGCTGGAGTGCAGTGGCGTGATCACAGCACACTGCAGCCTTGACTTCCCAGACTCAAGTGATCCTTCCACCTCAGTCTTCCCAGTAGCTTGTGCTACAGGCATGTGTCACCAAGCCCAGCCAATTTTTGTACTTTTTGTCGAGATGGGGTTTCACTCTCTTGCCCAGACTGGTCTCAAACTTTTGAGCTCAAGCTATCCAACTGCCTTGGTCTCCCAAAGTGCTGGAACTACAGGTGTGAACCATTGGGCCTGACTTAAAACTATAAAATGTTTAAAAAATAACGAAGGAGAAAATCCTTTGTGTCTAGAATTTGGTGAAGAATAAAGCATTAACCAAAAGACAAAATTAATAAATTTGACTTTATTAAAATTAAAACTTTAATTCTTTTAAAGATCTTGTTTATGGAAAAAAAAGACAAGCTACATACAGGGAGAACATACTTGCAAACCACATATCTGAAAAAAGCATATCTAGAATTTATAAAGATATATCAAAATTCAACATTAAATAAAACTAATAATCTGACATCCTTTTTATTTTAAAATAAGTATACACAGGAAGTATGTCTACTACTAGAGATACTAGTAGTATCTCTCTTAGATCCTGTGAATCTATACTTAGTACAAAATAAAATATTAAAATTAGTTGTCGAGCTATCTTAAGTAGACATTAATAATATACATAAAAATGAATTTGGAACTGAATCGTTCTTTGGAAAGCATTTGAATGTTTGTTTTTCTTAAATATTGATGAATTCATATTTTGAGTGTCCATGATCTGTTAAAAATCTTATTCAAATTCATGTATTTACTGTTTTAAATTTATACATTTAACTTGTGATACATTCTGTGTACAGTTTCATGAATTTATCTTCATATCTTTGATTTTTGTTACATCGCAGTTTTTTAGTTTAAGGATAGATTTTATTTCATTTTCTTTTTTAGGGGAAGGGAAAGAAAAGAGAGGAATGTTTGTTCATGGGAGTTTGGCAAGAATGCCCAAAACATGACTTAATGAGTAGAGTGCATTATGGAGCTGGCAAGAAGTCCCTACTTTAAACGAGGTTAATAAAGAGATGCAATGCGTCTTGATCCTTTGCTGCTAAAATTATGCATGGATTATTGTGAATATTTCTAAGTACCTGTTTAAATTCACCATTACAACTGAAATGTCACTATCGGAGAAAGATCAGCTGGGCGCGGTGGCTCACGCCTGTAGTCTCAGCACTTTGGGAGGCCGAGGTGGGCGGGTCGCTTGAGCCCAGGCGTTCAAGACCAGCCTGGGCAGCACGGTCAAACCCCATCTCTACAAAAAAATACAATAGTTAGCCGGGTGTAGCGGTGCTCACCTGTAGTCCCAGCTAGTCGGGAAGAGCCCAGGAGGCGGAGGTTGCAGTGAGCCGAGATCGCGCCGCCGTCGCATTCCAGCCTGGGTGACAGAGCGAGACTCGTCTCAAAAAAAAAAAAAAAAAAAAAAAAGGAGAAAGATCAAGGAGTTTTGGGGGGTGGAGGGGGGGACGCAGGGGCCGGAGTCTCGCCTTGTCGCCCAGGCTGGAGTGAGGTGGCGCGATCTTGGCTCACTGTAGCCTCCACCTCCCGGATTCAAGCGATTCACCTGCCTCAGCCTCATGAGTAGCTGGGATTACAGGCACCCGCCACCACGCCTGGGTAATTTTTGTATTTTTAGTGGAGACGGGGTTTCACCAGGTTAGCCAGGCTGGTTTCCAACTCCTGATGTGGGCTGATGCGCCCGCCTCGGCCTCCCAAAGTGCTGGGATTACAGGCGTGAGCCACCGCGCCCTGCCGAGAAAGATCAAGGATTTAAGACTATGTCCCAAGAAGGAAAAGCTAAAGGAATAGGAATTATTGTTCCAGGAGCATTAAAGACATCAGTAGATCCTATCGTTCCTACCCGGCACCTCAAGAACTATTCTCCCAAAGAGAGAATACATTTATTCTATTTAACCTTAAGAAAGAAAAGGATCAGTGGATAAAAGTTTCAGCTTTTCCTCGGTGTGCCATACGGTGATTATGCTATATGTGTTCTTTCCTGGGATCTTAAGGAACTGTGGGCCAACCAAAACAACATAACCTAATAAACCTAAATAATAAATAAACCTAAAAAGTTGCATAAAATATGTTTTGATATGGCTTTGCCTTACGTTTTTCCTCAGAGGAAAACTGAATCTCCAGGATAATGAAACAAGGTAACAAGACAGTTCTGATGCCCTTTCAGTTGCAGAATAATTCTCAGCACTTTCCTATACACAAGGAATTCAATAAAGTAGAAATAATTTTCTTAAACTTAGCATTATCACTGTTTTGAAAAGTCCTTGAAAAAATCCCGTTTGTGCATACGTCTTGCACGTCTTATTTCAAAATCCATTGAGATTGTAAGCAATTAAATCAATTGCATTTTGTAGACCAACCCCTCATTTGTAACATGTAATTCCCCAGGACCCATGTGTCCAGATTCAAGAGCAGCTTGATAGAAAGACTGATTTATTTTTATTTTCTTCCTGGGTCTGCTTTGAATATTCTTAAAAGAAGGAGGAAAATGCTGTGTTTAATATTCATACAGGATTTTGTATTAAAAGCAGCTTCTCTCAAAAGCCTGTTGTTAAGAAGGACTACCTATAAAGGGGTCAACTTGTGAAATCCTTCCTAAGTACTTATTTGGTTCTTGGGGATTGATGGATAAGCTGATGGAGTCTAATCTTCAAATGTGTATGTCATTAATAGAGATGTAAGAATCTCAATGTGCTTTGTCTTTTCCTTTCCTGACACATTATAAGGAAAAGCTTTACTAATGAAGTACCCAATGGCAATAACCCATTATATGCTAGAATCTCTCTTTGTATCAGATGACATGCAAATGAACTGTTCTATTTCTGTGGAGAAAGAGAGACAAGGAGCGGTCTAGTTAATCATACTTGAGGACTGCATGGTTGTCTTCTGGGAAATATTATCATGATTCATTCTTATTTAAGGGTCCTCACCCTATGCATAAGAAAATCTCCCATTCATTCCATTTGGGTTTGATGTTAATTATAGGGGCATTAACGGAAGCTTTCTCATAAGAAATGAATATAGGATTAAATCAGAAAATAATAAGGCAACCTTTAGATGAATCAGGTCATGATAGAGCTATACATGTAGAAGCTGGCAGGTTGGAGGAAGTTTAGAGATCCTCAGTCCCTTTGTTGTTTAGATATGGAAACTGAGTCCTGGAGGAGTGAAGTGACTTAACTGAAGTCCCAGCTGATGAGAGGCAGGCATGAGATGACAAACGAAGTAGCCTCTTTCATCGGGCAGCAATGTAGAGAAAGATAATTCTGGGAGTTTAAGAGACCACGTTCTGACCATTTTCTACTATTAACTACTCCTGTGATTTGGGGCAAACCTTTTACCTTCTCTGGATCTGTTTTCTTAAATTTGAGGTGAGACTAGACTAAGCATTTGCCCTCTGGAAAAGGGGAAATCTAAGCAAGCTCCTATAGGAGATTAGTGTGTGATTATTATTCCAGCTTAGTTCATTGGAAAAAAGATATTTCTAAGGTATCATGTATATTTTGTTTTCAAAATTGAAGACACCAGCCTTGGATATCAAATAAATTTAGTAGCACTTTTAAGCTAACCTTTTCCCTAAGCCATGAAAAGACTTTTTTCTTATTCCAGAAAATATTTTATTTTATTTTTATAGCATTTCTTTATGTGTCTTATAGTTGGCAAGTAATTGATAATATTGCTGGTAAAATGAGGCATTTCCTTAATCTTACATGTCTTGAGAAATTAGCTGTTCATGTATCCATGTCTACACAGTCCTCGTTCACCTTGTGACCATGTAATTAAGTCATTTTTCTTTTCCAATCAGCCATTCAGGTCTAAGGCAAATGGTTTTTTGAAAGATTATGCACACCTTGTACCAGTACTTCTGGTCCCTTTAGGTTTAAAGTGTACAAGTAGAGATTCCTAGTATATCAACTAAATTATTTTCTTCCTTTAAAAGAGAAAATAATTTTTTTAAAAAAGCAAAGAAGTAATTTTTTTACTCATATATTTGACTTACACCTTGTATATAAAATGTTTTGTTAGGTGAAATGTATTTTATCTATTTACCAAAACATTTTCACCCAAATAGCATAATTTTACAAGTAGCAGTCATATATTAAACCAACATCACATTTGTCCTCTCTTTGAACCCACATTATCTGAACTACTGTAAAGATCTTTTTCCTGTGAGTGTTTTTATTTTATTCATTTTTTTAAAAATGTTATTTATTTTGTGTTATATTATCTTCCTGGTTATATGTAACATCTTTCCATCTTAGATATGTTGGAAACTCCAGAAAAGTTTTAAAAAATTACCAACAGAAATAAACACCACTTCTTCCATTGTGTTTTAATTTCATTTCTGTCAACTGTATGACTTGAATAGACAATCTGTGGAATGAATTTAGTTTTAGTACTTTAATAAAATAAAATATAAAAATACTACACATGTAAGTAAAGTAATTTAGAGAAATTTCAGAACTAGTTTTTCTATTTTTCAAAGAATATTTAGAAAGCTTAAATAATAGCTTGCACATGTACTCAGAAAATAGGAGTCATCTAAATTGCAAACTTGTTTAATAAGTTCTTCCATATATGAGCGCTATGTCATCTTCAAAGTTTTCATATAATTGGCATAGTGCTAAATATTTTATAACACCTCTGTAAAATAAGTTAAAATATTTTTCTGCCACAAAACATTGTTTTTTTAGCTTTCTAACTCTTGTGATATCTTTGTGAATATTAGCCCTTTCTCTACTTTATAAACCAAGTAACAAATACAATAAGCCTCACATTTTACATAGTAAAAATAAGCGGAATCATCATTACTCCGTGAACTAACCGAACTTTTATAGTCCCTTTAAAAATGTTCATCTGTTGTTTTGTTTGGGAGTTTAAAGATAGTTTATTCTGCATTTAAAGATACTGTTTATTTCAGTACATAGATGCATTTGAAACTAGAAAGCAAATTTAGAATACTTTTGTATTTGTTTGTGATTATCAGTCCAAGATAAAAATGGTTTATCTTATCCAACTAGTCTTTCTTTACCTATACCAGAGTCCTCAGTTGGAGTGACCTTTGGAGTGGCTGGTGTCTTGGGTGATGTAGTTAATGAGATCTAGCGACATCATGACCCTGACCCCTTCGTGGCCCTGACTCCTCTCATCCATCTTCTTAACCCCACAAGGCTGCAAGTCAGTGTGTAGAATCAGGATTAAACAAGTGTGAATAAACAAGTTCAAGAGTTTTCTGCAGGGCTGCCAGTGCATGGCAGTAGCAAAGTAAGACACAGAGAACTTAATACCTGAAATGCTCTTTGTGCACCTCCACGAATCCTGTTGGAGAAATCAGTAATGTTTGTGGTCAGCGTAGTGCGTCTAATCTCCTCAGTTCGCTCCATTCCTGGACAGTGATGGCAGTTGGTCTTTATAATCACATAGCTGTTGGCACATTCAATGAAAGCATGGCTGATCTATCACTTACCCAATGTCACACATTGCTAAAGCTTTTATCTCATTAACTGTGATTAATGTTTGTATGGCATGGGCTTGTCATGTAACTGTTCATATTCAGCAATTGTGAATCCCTTAGTTTACTTGATGACTGAAGGGTATTTCTCGTTTCAGAAGAGAACTTTATCTTAGGGGCCCAGCAGCCTTTTTGCAAGCCACCATTGTCACATGGCTTGAGAACTGTGTGATGTAGCCCTTCCTTGGCTCCTTCTCCATTACTGTCCTTCAGGGTGTTACTTGCCATTAAACTTGGACACTTAGAAAAAAATACAAGAAATGTAGTAGAACTTCAAGGAAGTATTTACCTGTAATTCTTTCGTCTAAACATTGCTTTTCTAATATGATTTCCAATTAAGTCTGTGTTCCCAAAGTCAGATGGAAAGGGGTAGAGATGATGGATGCAGGTATTTTCTTGCCTTTGGCTACGGTTCTTGTCTTTTTCTGTGCTATGCTTGGCAAGTCTTTCGCCTTAGCCCAGGGCAGCCTTTGGTAAGTTGACCAGTCAGTGATTAAACATATTTATTTAGTTCAGTGGGTCAGAGCTATTGCGACAGATAGAAAATTACTGATGGATTATCAATTTCAGCACCTCTGACATCTGGCCTCAGTGTAGTCCATCATCTGAGGACTCATAACACATTTTCTTCAACAATAACATGCTCAGCTACCTGTGTGATCACACAGCTGAATATCGGAAAGATTTTGTTCAGATTTAATAAGACAAAAGTTGCAGAAATCAGACGAGTTCTGCACCTATACTTGAGAATCTAAAAGCACCCAGTGGTTTACACACAAGGCTGGAATAAGAACTGACTTGCACTGTAAATATGCTTTGTTGATTTTTGTGATATTTTTATAACATTTTTACACTTACATTTTGGATTTGATGAAATAGTTACTTGGAATTATTTTGGAAACAATGTGACATATAAAAATAAAAATATTACTTGTTTCAAAATATTCTATTAAAAAATTTAAGGCATTAAAATAATGGTTTTAAATGTTTGGTCTACTACAGTGATAAAATTACCAAAATAAAACCCCAACTCAAATACCTATGATACTAAATCTTTTAAATTATAAACAAGATGTGAAATAAGATTTGCAAAATTTTTGTGTTTATTGTTATTGCTGAATGGTTCTTTTAACCCAAGGGAGTTCTAGTAATAAAGAATAACAACCTTATTGCAAATGCTAATCTAACACAGAAATGTATTCTATTCCTCTGTCCATTTTACTATATCTCAGTATAATTTTCTTCATATCTGTATTTCAAAGTTCTACATAAATTTAAGAATAATCTTGATTCATTTTTCAAATGATTAAGGTTAGCAGTTTGTTTTATGGTAAGTTTATGTCTTTTAAAAACTGGTTATATTTGTTGAGAAATTAATAGATTGTGGCAGAGAATACATTGTAACTTTTATTTTGGCTTTATTCTCATTTGTAAATCTTTCATGTGATTATCCCTAAGGCTTTATACTCCTTGCACCTAATGGCCTACTTTCTGATGAGCCTACATTTAATATTTATGTGTGCTGTCATAAAAATATTTTTGAAGCTAAAAATTATTCTTAATCTTCATATGATGCATTTTCACACATTCTCTTGAATTACTAAACTGATAAGAACTTAGAAATGTTACCTTTGTTCACAAAATAAGGATTGAGCTCTTTGACATTGCAGTTTACATTTATTCACTAATACACCAGTGCTATGTGCCATTAAATTGAAAGGCCCTTTGGAATGTCCAGCTTTTTACAATGTGATATAATGTGGCAATATTACAGGTTATTGTGGGCCATTATTTATTGTCAAAGACTTCCTGATTTGTCTTAGAATTAAGTGAGGTTTCTTCTATAGTTCTGTGGAAACCTTTAGTAGTTGACTATGGCATTTAATTAACCCATCTCTCCTTTGATATCTCAGAGCTGGCTTGGAAAATGTTGGGATGAATTCTAGTCACAGAATATGCTCAGTAATTTAGATTGGGCTGAAAAAACTGCTGTGGATGTTCAAAAAAGACACAATTTAAAAAATGAGGGAGATCAGATTAGAATATGAGTTTGATTTGGAAATTCATTTGAGCAGTTGTAGGGAAGCCATTGTAACATTTTTTCCTTAAAGATTAATCCCTATAACAATTAGAACACTAAACATTTATTGGTTTTAAATTCTTAAATGTGATGCCTAGCACTTATGCTTCCTCAGATGTTTTACACAGTTATTTTAAAATTGGAGATGCTCCCTACGTGCACTCTATTTCGCTTGATGCCCAAGTTTCCTTTTGATTTTACTCTACGCCATTGACTTCTCTCTGAAATGACATGTATTATAAACTATACATGACTTGTCAGGAGCAGGTCAACAGATATTTTTATGTAAAGCAAGCATGCAATAACAGAAAAGTTATATACAGTCACGCATTGCTTAACAACAGGGATATGTTTTAAGAAATGAGACATTAGGCAATTTTTACATTGTGTGAACATCATATCCTGAACTTACACAAACCTAGATGGCATAGTCTACTACACACCTTGACTATAACGTGTAGCCTATTGCTTCTAGCCTATAAACCTGTACAGCATGTTAGTATACTGAATATTGCAGGAAATTTGATATGATTTGGCTCTGTGTCGCCACCCAAATCTCATCTTGAGTTGTCCACTTGGGGAGTAAGGGACCTGGTGGGAGGTGATTGGATCATGGGTGAGGGTTCCTGTGTGCTGCTCTGATGAATGGTAGTGAGTGAGTTCTCACGAGATCTGATCCTTTAAAAGTGTTTAGCACTTCCCCCTTGCTCTCTCTTCTCCTGCCACCTTGTGAAGAAGGTGCTTGCTTCTCTTTGACCTTCTGCCATGATTGTAAGTTTCCTGAGGCCTCCCCAGCCATGCAGAACAGTGAGTCAATTAAACCTCTTTTCTTTATAAATTACCCAGTCTCAGGTAGTTCTTTATAGCAGTGTGAAAACAGACTAATACAAAATTGTAATACAATTGTAAGTATTTGTGCACCTAAACATGTGTAAACGCAGAAAAATTACAATAAAAATACAGTATTATAACCTTACGGGACTATAGTCATATGTGCAGCCTGTTGTTGTTTGAAACATCATTACATGGTGTATGACTGTATATTATTTTAGCATAAAGATTACATGGATCAAACCAGTAGCATGAACACTTGTTCTTCCATCAAAATTAATCAACTTAGAAGAAAATATTTATGAATGTAACTTGATATGGGTCAAAGTTTCTTTAGGTAAAGAAGCACGGAAGTAAAATCTCCAGATGCTTTCACATAGAAACGGATCTTATCTGTTACCTCACAGGGAAACTGAGAAATTAAGCAAAGTAATGCATATGAAAGTACGTCACAAACTATAAAGAGCTGTAACAATGCAAGTATTTTAATGCTGTGTGAGTTTTTTGGTACAGACCAAGAAAGAAAGAAAATACATAGCTATCCATTTTTAGAGGCTCTGGACTGGCAGTCTAAGAGTTGCGGTTTTATGGAATTCACATCGACATGTAATGATTTTTCATGTGAGCACATTGACATTGTCCAGTTTCATATAGTAAAATGTAATTCAGAAAGACACTGAGAACCACAGTTTTAAAGTACTGCCTTCCTTCTAATGTTCTTGTCATTCAAATGTCCTTGAAAGCATTTGAATCAGTAATTTTGAATGACTGTTATGATAGAATGTTTAATAAACCCTATTAAGCATGAATTATTTTCTTCACTTCTCTTACAATACTGGATTAGTGTTTTGAATCATCAACAACCTTGATTTCTATACTGAAATTCCATTTTGTTAGCATCATGATGACCGATAATGATTACAAATGTGTAGAGTAACAATTATTTTAACGTGTAATAGACATTGGCATTTATTCCATGTGTCCGGCATGAACATTTGTCCTACGGGCAAGGTAGTTTGGAGAGATATGGCAAAGAACTAAGTCAATGATGTTGATATAGCAATCTAATAACTTTACTTTGATGACCTAAAAAGATTTAGGCATTGGGAGAATCTGGAAAATTATGAAGCTTCTAAAATGTGTCCTGAAGAGATTCAAAGGAAATCACATTTTTCTCCTGCTCTGGATTGATTCATACTATAATTTACCTCTCATAAAACTGATCATATGTTAATATTAAGTTAATAGTTGTAAGTTGATAGTAAAATTTTAAATGTGGAGTAGCTGCACAAAATATGGAAGAAAAGAATTTGCTTTTATTCTGTGAATTTAAGATTAGCCTGACGTCGTTATGCTCATTTTAGCAGTTGCAAAGATAAAATTCATTGGCATAGCTGGAATTACAGTGATAGGAGTTGGCTTTGAAGAAAAATCAACTTTGCCACCTATTGCCTTGTCTGTATTCAAAATAGTATACATTTTAGCTAAGTTTGAATGTGGACTTAAATAAAAACCAAAACTAAAAGATAAGAAAAAGCAACTGAGCAGCTTTATACTGAGCAGAACAGGGAACTTAAACAGGCATTGGTATTTTGAAATTGATTTACATGTAGCCAGCTTTGTTTACCATACTCCTTACCCTTAGAAACCCAAAATAATTTCTTATTAGTCAGTGTTATGAGCAAATTAATGGTGGAAAGAATGCAGATGTTTTATTATTATTATTATTTTTGAGACGGAGTCTCACTTTGTCACCCAGGCTGGAGTACTGTGGCGCGATCTGGGCTCACTGCAACCTCCACCTCCTGGGTTCAAGCGATTCTCCTGCCTCAGCCTCCCAAGCAGCTGGGATTACAGGCACCTGCCACCATGCGAGGCTAATTTTTGTATTTTTAGTAGAGACGGGGTTTCACCATGTTGGCCAGTCTGGTCTCAAACTCCTGACCTGAGGTGATCCACCTGCTTCGGCCTCCCAAAGTGCTGTGATTAAAGGCGTGAGCCACCGAGCCCAGCCAAAGTATTATTATGCTGACCTGAATACATGCTCAGGTTTTGATATTCTTTTAAAATTCTTTCATATTCTGTCAGCATAATCATTTTAACTAATATCCATTTCACTATGAATTCATGTAAGTCCTTCATTGGTTGAAACTGAGTGGGGAATGGAATATCCTGATTTTAAAATTTTCTGCTTAATGATACCTATTACATTTTTAATTGGCTTCTACTGGAATGGGGAAATACAATTGGATTTTGCATCCAGCAATCTTACTGACCTCTCTTGGGTTCTCTGTGAAATAATTGTTTTATCTGCAAGTAACGAAAATTTCTCCTATTTGAATAAAAGTCTTATTTACTTAAATTAAATAATAAATTAATTAATATTTTCTGCTTAACTACTTAAGCCAGATTTGTTTTGTTTAAGCCACCATGCTCTGTTGAAATTTTTCTTGTAGGTATTGTTTTATATTATATATTAGTGTTGGAATTGCTTGGATGATTAAGATCTCATCAGGGTAATAATTCTAAGTGTCAGTTTTCTCTATATTATAGAATTATGAATATACTATGTTACTCTACAGTGTAAAATTCAGTTTTCATCCACATAAATTGAGCTTTAATTATGTTCTGGAAATTTTCATACACATTTCATCTTCACTGCAAGCCACTGATATTTAGAATTTTATTATTATTATTCTTTTTGAGGAAATTTAATGGCAGGGTAGATTTTTTTAAAAAAATTGCCCAAAGCCTAACAGCTAGCCAGAGGGGATTTTTGAATTTCCATGTGTTAGTTCAATGACCTGGATATTTTTTCCACTTCACACAATATCTAGAGTGTTTAATGTAAGGAAGAATTCTTAGGATTGATCTCTTTGTGAATATAAAGTGCAACGAGACTTTCTGATTATGGGAGTTCAGGATCTTGATTTACTGAGATGTAACTCTCTTGTTCTACACAGATGAAGTAGATAACTATTTTTAAACACTGAAAGGTGTGTGTGTGTGTTTATGTCTAAAGAGAGAGGAAGGTAGTATTAAATATTAATCTGCTCCCCAACTCTAAAAATGTAGACTCTTTGATTTGTGGTCATGAACATATTTTCTTGTTTGATTTCAAATTTCAGTCTAGTGTCCCTTGCCCCTTAGGCTGCAGATGTCAATTTGTGGTCATCCATGCCGATGTGTAAATGAGTAAGTGTTGCCCCGGCAAAGAGCTGAGGTTATAATTTAGCCGTCGCTGCCCCTTTGCTTTTGTGTGGATTAAAATAGCTACTATGTAAAATCTTCATTAATTTTCATATTCGGAGTATATGTAGAAATCCACAAAGTTAGCTAATTTAAAATCAGATTATTATTACACTCATAGTAAACCCATAGAGAATGGCCACTTAAAAGGCTGAAGTCCCGTCAAACACCTTTTTTTAAAGGGATGACAACATAAAAAATGAACCAATGATGCCTCACCTTCTCAGATCTGTTCCACATGTGGTGTTGTGGTAATATTGTGAGCACTGAAGTATTAAAACAGTTTTGTCTTGTGTTCCCTCATTCTGACAGGCCAATGACATAATGTCGACAAGCCATCTCTGATAGATTCAAAATTGAAAGTGAATACACTGCCTCTTTTTCCTAGTTCACACTAATGGTGTTTGAGTCAACGTGCTAATTTCACTGCTTCCAACATACAGTCCTCCCTAGTAAGTCTGGGAATAGCTTGTGAGGGGCTTTTTTTTTCAGGCTGCAAAGAACTGTTTGATCAAAGTCATTACTTTGTTATTAAAGGAGAAGAATGGAGAGGAATCAGCAATAAAAGCAAAGACAAGTTTAGGATCTGAACTCTGAAAAGCAGTTTGCCAATAAAGATATTAACTCTATATGATTTAATATTTCCACAACAATGTTAATCAGTTGATTTTCATAAACATACATGGACTGGGAGTATTAACAATAGTAAAGGAAGAAATTTAGTGTTCTGTGAATTGATTTTTAGTTCTATGCCATATTATACAGTCCTATAAAGGAAGATAATAAGCTATAAAAGGAACCAGACCTTATCACCCAGGCAAATTTTTGTTGGTTTGTTTGTGTTTTTTCTGCAGCAGTTTCCAGGAAATCAAAAGTTTTGCTTCTCTGGCTATATAATTCAAGATGATTCATCAAATTATTGCTTTTACAAAGGTGCAAAAACTTTGAGGAGTTAGAAAATAATTGAGGTTGATTATTGGAGCACTTTGGAAGTATTTTGTTCATTTATTTATTTAATCACTGAAATAGTTACTAGAGCTTTCTGTGAATTTAGCTTGTTTTGGTGTGTATTAAGGTGTGGCCCTTGCCTTTTGACTGCTTGCACACTAATTTGAAAAATTAGACATACACATATGAAACTGTTTAACAATTCTAGAGAGTGGACAAGAAAATGATAAACGTAGGTAAGGGTAGAGGACAGCAGCTTTCATATATATATATGTATCTATATAGATATATAGATAATCTATATGTATCTAGATATATAATCTATATAGATACATATCTATATAGATGCATATGTATCTAGATAGATATATAATCTATCTATATAGATACACATATCTATATACATAGATATATAATCTATCTATATAGATACATAGATACATATATAGATACATATATAGATACACATATCTATGTAGATAGATATATAGATTATCTATATAGATACACTTGTATCTATATAGATAGATATGTAGATAATCTATCTATATAGATATATATGTATCTATATAGATATATATATGTTCACAATGGTGTGTAAAACATACGTGTGTAAAACATTTGAAAAACTGCTTTCTTGCAATAAAATCCTACTGGAAATCCCAGTGCCCAGTGTCTAGATGGGTTAAAGGCAGATATTTTCTGCTCCTTTCGTTCTGGATACTTCAAAGTTCAAATGATTGAAAATTATTTTTGTAGGATCAGGGAGGCTTGAGCCGAATGAAAGATATGAGTTAGAGGAGGTGATGAAGCCTCCTTCTTCAGAAGATGTCTTTTGAATGGAACAAAATTTGAAAAATTGGAAGAGAGGAAAATGGAGCATATCAGAAGGAAATAGCACGGTGAAAGTAGACATTTCAAGCCGGGAAAGAGTAGCGTTTTTGGACTGTGAGAAGACCCATGTGATAGGAGTAGAGTTTATATTACTGATTCATGAGGAGCCTGGGTTAGGAGAAGCCAAGCTAACAGGAGCCACAAATGCCAGGCATAGATATTTCGAAGACCATCCAGGAGTCAGTAGTATGTATATATTCAGGAACCTTTGAAAATGGACATGACACAATGTGATATAACATAAGTTATATAAATGTGGAGTTGTAGGAGTGGGTTACTGTGCAAAATATAATCAGGGTAGGAAAAACTTGAGGGGTCTGTTGTATTCTTGCATTCACTTTTGGTAATAGGTATACTGGCTTCAGAAATAGTAGTGCAGTTACCTTAATTTTAGTCATAAACTAAGTATACAACTTGTTTAGGCAACCATTTTTAGTTCCAATTAAAAGTAACAAATAAAGTATCCATTATAATTTCTTACAGTTTCCAAGGTCTTACCCTCTCTTCCTCCCTCCCTTCTTCCCTTTACCTTTTCTCTCTTCTTACTCTCTATCTTTATTCTCCCTTTCTTTCTTTTTTCCCCCTTTCTTTCCTTTTTCCTCTTCCTTTCCTCTTTCTGTATCTCTTCCTACCATATAATATCCTGGACTTTTACTCATTATAAATACTTAACTCTAATATGATATGATTATATCCTCATATTCCAGTAACATCAGAATTCCAATGGGAAGAATCTAGGCAATTTTAAGATATATAATTTAAATAATGGCATGTCCCTACTTTTGCTCATTTTCCAGGTAGTTTTTAGATACAAGCTTTCTTTGCTATGAAACCTGGAACTATAATAAAATTTAGGCCAGATATTCACACTTAGTGGAAAAACCATATTAACTATAATAGTTGTGGTCTGTCTGCACCACGCCAATCACAGTCACATGAGTGTCTGTGGATTTCTGCTTCTAAGGGTGCTGTTTATATAAACCAGGTGACTATAGTGAAGGAAGAGATTTGCTTTTGAAGCATAAATCACTACAAATTTCAACCTGTCCAGGACTTATATCATCTGTAGGTGTTTGTTTTGTTAATTACTTTGCATTTCATTCAGATGTGGTGCTATTGCTTTAGTATTCTAAGATTAACTCTGCTGAATTTGGGGGTCAAGGTCTCTATCATTTGTTTCACTGATAGGCACACAATATTCTTTCTTCTTAACGACGAAAAGATTGATCAGTGAAAGAAGACAAACGCTGACCAAGCTACACATCGGTATTTATGTCCGCGTGCCTGATCAAAAGTGTGATCTGAGTGAATCTAAACTTTTCAGCATGAGGAAATATGAAAAAAAGTGTCTTAGATATAGAAAAAGTTTGCTTCACCATAATTATAATGCTTTTTCAATACAGGTATTTACCAGTTATTTAGTATATAATAAAGTTGTTGTATATATATAACTTAACTGAAGTATAAGTTGATTAACAGCCAATTTTAGAGTGCAATTTTTAGTAATTCATATCATAAAATAAACTATATACAATTGTCATAAAAATATGGCTATGTTTAGTTCACTTCTACTTCTGAAGTACTATTAGTTGTTTCACTTATATAATTAAAGGAAAACATGTTTGCAGAGTCTAGAGCCTACAAATTCAAAACTGGTTATTATCATTTATTCAGCTCCCAGCGATTGCACACATTTGACCCTAAATGACAAAGTAAATGAAAGCCCTTTTTCAAAGTAATACAATCAGTTCAAAAAATATTGTGCTAATAAAGTTATACATTCTAATTGAAAGATTGATGGCAATCCATTTAGTTGTTACTAGGTTATTTGTGACAGACAGATGCAGAGTAACCTCATTACAGTCAGAATTGTGATGACTTGTAGCTGAGGAGAGGAATAAAGCTTTAAACCATTGTCACAGTCCCTTTCCAAAACGTATTCAAAGATGATTTAAAAGAAAATATATGACCATTAAATAGAAGTTCGAATTGGTTACCTAGGAGTGTTATTATAGAAGCAATGAAGTAATCATCTGTTTGATCCACAATTGGCCTACTTAAAATTCACAAATCAGATTTACAGATTCCAATTTGTGTAAGAGAAAAACAGTGCCAAATACTGGATTAAAAAGATTATCCCTTGTGGTTTGGCATTTTTAGTTCATATTTTTAGTTGTTTTCTTCTTGATCATCAAATATATATCGGCTTATTTTAGACATTTCTGCCCACAATCACCAGTTCATGATAAATTATTCCACAGTATTCATTTGTACGTTGTCCAATAGTTTAAAGTCAGGCTTTCAGCATTAGTACCCAAGGGAACTCTATCAACATTCTGAAGTTATGTAATTGAGAAAAAGAAGGAATATGGGTGGATATATATATATATATTTTTTTTCCTTTGAAAGATGGTGAAGTCTTTGTGGGATATATTTCATGTATATTTGATTTTGAAACTTCTTTTTTTTTTTTTTTTTTTTTTTTGAGATGGAGTCGCACTCTGTCTCCCAGGCTGGAGTGCAGTGGTGCAATCTCGGCTCACTGCAACCTCCGCCTCCCGGGTTCACGCCATTCTCCAGCCTCAGCCTCCCGAGTAGCTGGGACTGCAGGTGCCCGCCACCACGCCCGGCTAATTTTTTTGTATTTTTAGTAGAGACGGGGTTTCACCATGTTAGCCAGGATGGTCTCCATCTCCTGACCTCATGATCCGCCCGCCTTGGCCTCCCAAAGTGCTGGGATTACAGGTGTGAGCCACCACGCCAGGCCGAAACTTCTTTTTTTCTTAATGAAAAACAAGGTAGAAATGTTGACCTACAGGAAGCTCCACCTGCTCCTCATAGTCTTCCTACTGCAATATTTGCATGTATTTCTAAAATTTCTTATGTTCAGGAGCACCTTTTTTGTTTCAAATGTGACAGTCCGGTGCTATGCTTGGCACATAAAACCCGTTTTATTCTGATCACTTCTCATTTGTGGTTTAATCTTGCGCACAGTTGTCCTTGCCTCTCTCCTGTCTCAGCATTTGAGCTTTCTGTTACTCTTGTACATACTGAACTTTTTCTTGTGCTCCTCACTATCACCACCATGTCTTTTATTATAGATATCTTTCACCATGAATCCTTTTATTATAGATTATTTTTCACCATGAATTCTAAAATTCTCTTACATTGACAAAAGTACTCTTTGCAAGAAGACTATTTACCAACTTGAAAGAAGGCTAATTCTATTTTTTTAAGTGAATTTCTCAAAAGAAGATTTTCATTGTGTGGGTAAGTCAGTTAAATATCTATTGGGTATTTCTTATCCGCTAGTAAACTTAAAAAAGGTGTTCTTTCTAAGGTAGTGTCTTTCCATAAAGTTGACATTTTATCTTTCCTAATCAGGAAAATTAAGGCCTCATTCCCTTGTAGGTTGTGTTATCAGTTAAGGCTAAAGTTTTGACTTATCCAAGCAGGTGAATTAAAGAATATGTAATAATAGAGTCTTAACCAACAGAACACCAGTCAGTTGAGAGGTTGTGTGTTGAGGTGAAAGACCAAGGACTGAAATGGGAATGAAGGACCTTCCATTCAATCCTAGTTATAGATCATTTACCAAAGATTACTTACTAGCTATGTAAGGCCTCAGACAAATTATTTAGTGTCTGAGTCACAGTTTTTCGCCTATAATGTTAACCAGCTTTGATGGTTCTAAACTTATAAGGGTGTGGTGATACTTATATTTTATAATTAAACGTGATTTATTCATTTATGATTCATTAAGATAGAAAATGTTTCAAAAATTATACTTACTTCTCATTTATTTAAGCAGGTGATTATGGGAGGACTTCTAGATGCCAGGTGCATATCCAGGTGTTAAGGCTATGTCAGCGAATAAGCTAGAAAAAGGCCTCCTAGAGCTTATATTCTCAGTGCTTACCTATTCAGTGCAGAAGCTTGAAACCTATATGAATGTAAACACAGTAGTCCTTTCCTCATTGCTTTCTAGGGGCGCTATCCTCTCATTAGTCATTTAGGAGACCTCTTGGTTATCAGATCAAAAAAACATGGTATATACTGTACAGTATAAGCTTTGGTACTATCCCTGGTTTCAGATATCCAAGTGGGGGTTTTCGAATGTATCCCTCATGGATAAGAAGGGACTGCTGTACACAAAAATAAAACTACTCAACATTTCACTATTAACAATATGTGGATGACTAATTTTTTGCACGTTTTTGTGTGTACTGTGTTTTGCAATATTTTTTTCAGATTGCTGGTGTAGTCCATCTATTTTGCTTTCTTGTATGAATTACATAAATATTTTCCCATATTATGTTTTTCTTCACCATGATATTTAATGGTGGACCTTTCATCCCATGTTCTGTGCTAATTTTCTTAATTCTTTGTCATTGGATATTTAGGATGTTTCTAGTTTTTCAGGGTTGCATATGAATATATGAACTATGAAGAACATACCGTGATACAAATCCTTGTGCTCAACCTTGGTTATTTCCTTTGAATAAATTCATACAGTAGAATTACCAGTCAGTGAGTATACATAAAAATTTAAACTTCCATCAAAAAATATCTGAAAATTCAGGCTTACTCATTTCTTTTCCTTGGATATTTTCCTTTGCTAATATGATAGGTGAAAATATTATTGCATAATAATTTTACTTTTTATTTCTAGTGAGGCTAAAAGCTGTTGCGTGAGTATTGGCTTAATCTTTCTCTTTTTGTGAATTGCCTATTTATGTTTAAGTGTTTTCTCCTTTTGGAGTGCTCTTTTTAGAAACTTTTACAACTGTCTTTTTTTCTACTAATTATTTCTTTATTTTTAGTAATAATTATTAATTATTACTAATTATGTGTCTTTATTTTTCAACTTTATTAATGTTTACTTGTCAAGTAAAACTTGTATATATTTATGGTGTACAGTGGGATGTTTTGATATATGTACACATTGTGCAATGACTAAATCAAGCTATTAGGTTTATGCAAAAGTAATTGTGGTTTTGGACCATGAATTTTAAATCATTATAACTAGGCTCAAACACATCTTTATTAATCAAAATAGGAACTATTACAATCAACACATTTTTGCCAATGAGAAATAAGTTTGTTTATTCCTGTAGCATAAAAATCTGTGATTGGGGATTTGACGAACTCTTGGAAAGCATTTTCTGCATTCTGCAGGTTGTGGAAGCGTTTTTCCCTGCAAAAAGTTGTCGAGATGCTTGAAGAAGTGATAGTCGGTTGGCGAGAGGACAGGTGAATATGGCAGATGAGGCAAAACTTTGTAGCCCAATTCGTTCAACTTTTGAAGTGTTGGTTGTGCAACGTGCGGTCGGGTGTTGTTGTTGAGAAGAATTGGGCCCTTTCTGTTGACCACTGTCAGGTGCAGGCATTGCAGTTTTTGGTGCATCTCATCGATTTGCTGAGCATACTTCCCAGTTGTAATGGTTTTGCCGGGATTCAGAAAGCTGTTGTAGTTCAGACTGGCAGCAGACCACCAAAGAGTGACCATGACCCTTTTTTTGGTGCAACTTTGGCTTTGAGAAGTGCTTTGGAGCTTCTTCTGGGTCCCACCACTGAGCTTGTTGTCACTGGTTGTCACATAAAATCCACTTTTCATTGCACGTCACCATCAGATTGAGAAATGACTTCTTGTTGCATAGAATAAGAGAAGACAACGCTTCAAAACAACAATTTTTTTTTATTATTGCTCAGATCTTGAGGCAACCACTGTGCAAGCTCTTTTATCTTTCCAATTTGCTTCAACTGTTAAACAACCACAGAATGGTTGACATTGAGTTCTTCGGCAACTTTTCATGTAGTTGTAAGAGGGTCAGCTTCCATGATGACTCTCAAATGGTCATTGTCAACTTCCGATGGCCGGCCACTGCACTCCTCATCTTCAAGCCTCTCGTCTCCTTTGCAAAGCTTCTTGCCTCACCACTGCACTGTACGTTCGTTAGCAGTTCCTGGGCCAAATGCATGGCTGTTGTTGTGAATTGTCTCTGCTTCTTTACGACACATTTTGAACTCGATTAAGAAAGTCACTTGAATTTGCTTTTTGTCTAACTTCATTTCCATAATCTAAAATAAATATAGAATAAACAGCAAGTAATAAGTAATTAGCAAAAAAAAATAAAGTGAGAAATGTGCATTAAAATGATGTATAACATAACCACATTTATTTATGAATGCATTCCAATACTAAACGGCAAATTTTAACAATGCAAAAGCTGCAATTATGTTTGCACCAACCTGATATTTAGCACAGGCATCACCTCACATACGTGTCTTGTTTAATGGTGAAAATATTTAAGATCTGAGCCATTTTCAAGTACATACATTATTATTAACTACAGTCACCATGCTTTATGGAGTTTTTATTGATACGTACTTCAATGCTTGGTATATATGTAACACATTATCCTCTTTCCATGCACCTCTGTGTGTGTGCATAAAGGTTTTTCATTTTCTATGTAGAAAAACTTCAAAGTAATCGCCATGATTTTCTAGTGATTGCTTTAAAATGGAAACATATATGATTTTCCATCATTTATATATGAATTATTTTGATACACTGACAGTATGGTTAGCATTACGTTGTGCAAACTTCTTTCGTTAACTAGTTATGGAAGTGAAATTTTTTTATTTCTGCTGTTTTTTCTTATTAGAGTATTAGAATTTCTTACTGCTTTTTCCTTTGAAATATATATATTATTGGATAAGTTTGGGACACTGCCAGCCAAAAGTGAAAATGGCATTAATGGGACTGAGATGTACAGATCCAGCATATTCTCTATGTGGGTATCATTTCTACCTTTCTAATTCTAATGGCTTGGTGGAACCTTAGGCCTACACTGGATCTTTGGTTGAAAGATGCTCCCCTCCACACATACACACAAACCTTTCCCTCTGAGATATGCTGAAGGCATCTGAATTTTCTTCCTTAGTATTCATATTTTAGAGCAGGCAACCAAAAAGGCTATGTATAGGCAGGTTCTTTTAGCCTTCAGTAGCTTGCTGTTTTGTTGTGTTCTAATGGCATTAGATGTTTCTAGATAAGTCTGTTCTCTCCAGATTTACTCATATCTAGCATGTTTTTCATACAGATTACTTGGCTGTATCCAGGTGGCATGTACGTTTAAGATAGCTGCATTAGTGGTTAAAGAATGCTAAGCAAAAACAAACCAACCAACCAACAAACAAAAATCAATAGTAAAAAGAGATTGGAGATCCTTAGGAGATATTAAACCTGCCAGTAACATAAGGGGAAATATGTAACCTTCAAGAATCCATAAACATGAAAAGTAAGTTGTTGGTAAGCTCTAAACTCAATGAGGGAAGGAACTATGTATTTCTTTACATTAAAAAAACCTATACCACATATGAAAGTGTCTAGCATAGTTATCAATGCTCCATAAAATGTGTTGAATGAGTACAGCATAGTCTCCATTCTCTTTTTATAATTTACTTGTGAGACTAGAGAATTTAGGAAATATTCTTTTGTTTATCAGATTTGACAATTTAATTTTTAAAATAATTAAATTAATTGGAAGAAAATTACTACAACTTTCTGGTAGAGTGTTTATATACGTTTGTGAGTAGCTGTGTTGTTTTAAAAGAGTAATATTCTAAAATAGTGTCATTAAAATAGGGAAAATACATTATTAAGTTATAAAGTGAATTCATTTGAAATCAGTCATTTAAAATATGTTTAAACTGGATTAATTTGGGTGCATGTTTTCCTTTAGAATAGGACCTAATATATTGCCATGGCTCACTCTTAAAATTATGAGAATTAAAAGAAGCTTATTATAATCTTTACCCACAAAATGCATATGATTTATTATAGGGTTGTGATTTTTATCCAACACTCTTGTATTGAATGATGATGTTTAATAATATTGTAATACTGTATGTCAGAAGATTTATTGTAGTTTTGATTTCTCTGAGCCAAGAGACAGAGTACTTGGATGTGTTTTGGTGGTTGTTGACTGATAAGCAATAAAATGATCCTACATAGACCTCAGTGGTAAATGTTTTTCCAACTCTCTCTGATTAATATGGGTTTTTTTTGGTGTAATATGTCAATTTTATCAGATTTAAATTTATCATTAAACTAGCTGGTAGTTTCAGCCCCTGGAAAGGCTATTTTGTCTGAGCTATCATATTTTAAGCAATATTATTTATACCACAAGGAAGGTCCTGATGAAAAAAAGTCATTCTTGATTACCGTTTGATCAACCAAAAATGTCTCTATAACATTAGATGAAATAAATGAACTGTATAGCTGTAGGATTTGAAACTTTCAACTATTGCAAATAGATGAGTAGAAGTTTCCATTCACTAAAGAGTCACTACATCTCTTTTGGCCACTGATTTTTTTTTTTTTAAGTACAAGAGTCTTTATTCTCTAGAGTGTGAAAATGTCTACAATACTGTGAGGCACTGGAAAAATGAAGATTACTAAAGATGAAAAATAATTCATGTAAACCGTGTGTGGTAAGTTTACAATATTTTTGAGTTTAATTCAACAAATATGTTTTGAACATCTTCTACATGTTAGGCAGTGTGCTAGGTTGAAGGTTTACAGAAGTGAATACATCTTAAGAGAGAGATGAGTGGAGAGGAGATGTTTATGGTTGCTCCATATGAAATAGCCAAGCATAGAAGCATGCTGTATAAATGCTCCATGTACAGTTAGCTACGAATAGGAGCATCTAAATAACTTTTAACTTCTTGCTTCTTATAATCTTCAATACGTCTCTGTGCTTATTTATTTATATAGCAAAATGCATCATAGGACATTGTGTGGCAATTATGGTTTATAAGTACAATGTCAAAGTTTTTTGGGGGTCATTGGGAGCAAAAAGCTGTTAGAGATTTGAAAGGCAAACACATATTATGGAATAAAAATTTTCCATTTTTTTGTCAGGTAATATTTTGAGAGGGTAGCGATGAGGCCACTGGGGAGGAAGAGAATTTAACATATATGTGATTTTCAAGGTAGCAAAAGACTCTGGAACCCACATTGTCCCATTTCTATGAATTGCATCATGCCTTTGTTAAAATCACTGTGCTAACAATAAGATTTCACTCAGGGAAATCAAATAACAACTCTATTAAGAACTTTGAAACCATCAAAAGAAATCTTGACATTATATTTATCAAATATTTGAAATCTACGTATAAAACAAATTATGATTAGGAAAGGAATTATGTGGATGTAAAGAACTGTGTATTTTGCAAAAGGCAAAGAAACAGCAATTTAGTACTCTGCTCTATTAAAACACATTCCGTCCTGGGATTCCTTTAGTTTTTATATTTATTCCTAATGAAAATTCACCCTGTAATTTTGCTTGGTATTTTAAAATAACATTACTGAGAAAATTGGACATATTTAGTAGTACATAGGGATAATTTCTAAAATACAACTATAAGTATTTACAAAATATAGTAATTTTTAGTGTCCTACCATATTTGTTTGTTATATATGTTGGGAGAGATGTCATTTTCTTATCTATTTTATTCAGAAGGAAATAAATCTGATGATGCTCATATATTTTCAAAATTCCAAGCAAAATTGTTCAGAAAAAGAGTTGGAAACAACTGAAGTTTATTCTGTTTTATTTCCCAAAATTGTATCATAGAAACATAAAAACAATCTAACCAACATGGAGAAATCCCGTCTCTACTAAAAATACAAAATTAGCCAGGTGCGGTGGCACATGCCTGTAATCCCAACTACTCGAGAGGCTGAGGCAGGAGAATCTCTTGAACCTGGGAGGCAGAGGTTGCAGTGAGCCGAGATCACACCATTGCACTCCAGCCTGGGCAACTAGAGTGAAACTTTGGCTCAAAAAAAAAAGGAAAAGAAACATAAAAACAAGGCTAGGTGATCTTTATGAGAAAATGCTTAAAAGCTATTTCCACAGAGTCTTTTTGGTCTTTTTCTCCATGATAGGTAAGCTTTTAAAAACCGAAAGAATTAAAAAATATACCACACATTTGACTTTTTATTTTTGTAGTACCGATTTTGGTCAAAGCATTCTTGAAAAATTTAAAAACACATTTGCGACTTTTAACCTAGTAATCTATTCTTCTCAGAGAGCATAATAAGAATACCTTGCTTTCCAGGTATCTGGGATTATGGTACCACAAACAGGAAGGAGAAACTGAAGGATAAAGGTTAACTTAGGATTGGGTTTTTTCAAGAAGTTTCCAGTGTTGGCACAGACACAGGCTCTATCTATGCCCCTTTCAATTATAAACCAACAGCTCTGCCGTGAGGATATCGTGAATGTTCACATCTTTACCTGTCAACACTTCTGAAACCCTTTCAGCACCTATGTCTCAGTCTATTCTTGATCAAAGCATGACCTGCTCACTAAAGCTTTCATAAGATAATAATTTAATAAGAAACTCCCAGCCAGAAGACAAAGGAAAAGATTGTGAAGGAGGCCACTGCTAATTTCCCTCCCTACATAATCAAATCAGTACAGCTATCCAGCCAGGACTCATAACCCTTAATAAGTCACTCTACTCGATTAAGAGAAATTGATTTTCCTCTACTGTGGATCATAGTGATTATGATAAATATGGTATCTGCCGTTCACTGCGCTCCCCGGGCCCACCCCCCGTTTGCTGCCAGTGTCCATCTGTTTGCAGGACGGCAGGTAAACGAGCTAGAGAGATGACGCCGTGTCATTAACTGCAGTTGGTATCAGTGCTTTGACAGCTGTGGAATTGAGTGTTTCCGTAGATCAGCCTAGAAGCCCGTATAAGAGGCTTGCGCAGCAATTACACCTCCTGACAACTCTACCAGCAGCCTTCAACATGCAAAACTCCTATGCTGCGATTTTTAATTGGGAATAGGGAAAGAAAACAGATAGGTGGGAATGACTGCAGTTTGAACTCTAGTTTTAGGATATGAAGAGTGATGTATAGAGGCCAAAGAGCCACATGCTACCTTCACTAGATTCTAACTTGATCCTAAAGTTATTTGGAGTCTGTGGTGGGTATGTCTTATTGTGATCTCTGTAATCAAGTCTAGATTTCCAGAGAAATCAATCTCTTTTTAATTTAATTAATTTTTTTTTAGAAACAGGGTTTCTCTCTGTCACCCAGGTTGGAGTGCAGTGATGTGATCTCTGCTCCCTGCAGTCTTGACCTCCCAGGCTCAGGTGATTCTTCCACTTCAGCCTCCTGAAGAGCTGGGATTACAGGCATGTGCCACCATATCCGGCTAATTTTTTTTTTTTTGTATTTTTAGTAGAGAAGGGGTTTCGCTATGTTGCCCAGGCTGCTGTTGGCCTCCTGGAATCCGGCAATCTTCTTGCGTTGGCCTCTCAGAGTGCTGGGATTTACAAGCGTGAGCCACCACACCCAGCCGCAATATCTTAATACACCAATGTTGACTGTAGAATGTTTCTGCCCTTTCTTCTCACTCACCTGAAGAATCTTGAAGCAGTTGGTTTTATTTTAATCATTTTCCATCACTGTACATCATTCAATAGTGCTTGATATTTTAACATCAGTAAACAAACAAACAAACGAACAAAAAACAGGAAAGTAATATATTCTGTCAGAGCAGAATTATTCAATTGCTTAAAGTTTTCATATAAACTTTCCATGTAGCATGTTGAATGTTTGTTTCTATAATTAAAAATACCTAAGATTATTGACTGGGTATCTGAAAGGGATTTTATACAGCACAGTACATAGAGTAGCAATAATAAAGATATATTTTTTACCAGCTTTTGCCTTTGTGAGTATTTTGGGTTTGGGACATGGTTGTACATATTTCCTGTTTATATATTCTACACATAATGTGGTATTACAGAATGACGAATTATAGAAAGATCTGGAATATTATTCTTAACTAAGGAGGCAGTAAGATAATTAAGGAGACATTGAAAGTAGACTTCAGAGTTCTTTTCATAAAATAATAGATTTATTTCTCTTGATTAAGGTTTTTATTTGGCCTAAGTCTGACTTAAGATTTTTATAAATTAGCTTCATCATTAAATACCAATGTACTATTTTTTATGGTATACTAAATTGTTGCTCCATTTGAGAATATTCTAATAGTATTAGGGAAAGTTAGTCTTGTTAATTCATATCTTTTCCTATATATGAATAAGAAAGGGCATAAAATATGCTTTTTTTTTTTTTTTTTTTTTTTTTTTAAGAAATAGGGTTTTGCTCTGTCACACAGACTGGAATGAAGTAGTGCAGCCTCAAACTGTTGGGCTCAAGTAATCCTCCAACCTCAGCGTCCCCAGTAGCTGGGATTACAAGCATGTGCCACTACACCCAATTAATTTTTTTTTTTTTTTTGAGACTGAGTCTCACTGTCACCAGGCTGGAGTGCAGTGGCATGGTCTTGGCTCACTGCAACCTCCATCTCCCTGGTTCAAGTGATTCTCCTGCCTCAGCCTCCTGAGTAGCTGGGACTACAGGTGCATGCCACCATGCCCAGCTAATTTTTGTATTTTTAGTAGAGATAGGGTTTCACTGTGTTAGCCAGGATGGTCTCGATCTCCTGACCTTGTGATCCGCCCGCCTCGGCCTTCCAAAGTGCTGGGATTACAGGCCTGAGCCACCGTGCCTGGCCACACCCAGTTAATTTTTTAAATTATTTTTTGTAGAGACAGGGTGTTATTATGCTACCCAGGCTGGTCTTAAACTCCTAACCTCAAGCAGTCCTCCCACTTTGGCCTCCCAGAGTGCTGGGATTGCGGGTGTGAGCCTCTGCATCCAGCCTCTTTTCTAATTTTAAAGATGAACTGGAGAGTTTCACTTTATTCTCACGACTCTTATTGCAGAGTCTACTCTCCTTTAAAGTAACTTTAGTGTTGTTACTTCTTAGCTTTTCTCAAGAAAATAAAGCCATCACAGTGGAATTTGATGATTATTTTTTTTTGAGACAGGGTTTTGCTCTTGTTGCCCAGGCTGGCGTGCAATGGTGTGATCTCGGCTCACTGCAACCTGCACCTCCCAGGTTCAAGGGATTC
The DNA here is from genome assembly GCF_000001405.40 of Homo sapiens. Taxonomy (NCBI): domain Eukaryota; kingdom Metazoa; phylum Chordata; class Mammalia; order Primates; family Hominidae; genus Homo; species Homo sapiens. The sequence continues at coordinate 77,137,335 of NC_000003.12, forward strand.
CCCTGCCTCAGCCTCCTGAATAGCTGGGATTACAGGCATGCGCCACCACGCCCAGCTAATTTTGTATTTCTAGTAGAGACGGGGTGTCTCCGTGTTGGTCAGGCTGGTCTCGAACTCTCAACCTCAGGTCATCCGCCTGCCTCGGCCTCCCAAAGTGCTGGGATTACAGGCGTGAGCCAGGGCCCCCGGCCGTATATATAACATCTTAAGCACATTTAATTTGTCTTTAATTTGCATTTAACTTTTTGTCCCTTGAGAAATAACAAACAAAATGATGATAAAAGTTGTTAAAACTCTGGCTGTATCCCCACTGATTTCGAGGGACATCCTCCTGTTATCCAGGGGAGTCTAATTGTACAGTCTGTTGAGCCCGGACAAGTCTGTGCTTGAGAGAAACTCCCCAGACGACTGCCTGCCTGTAAGAGACAGTGAGGAAACGCAAGGCAGGAGACACATTTTCTTCAATTTTATCTGCGTAAGCCTGAAACTTTATGCATTGAAATACAGCCAGATATATTCATAATCATCTCTTAGAGCTTGGCCATCCCAGTATCTTCAGTTCTGTGACCCTGACAGGGAAGGTCATTGGTGCAGCCCTTCCAAGCAAATGCAGTTAAATTTAACAGAATTTTTTTTTTCAATATGCCAGACACAGTGGTAAACGTGTAATATAAAGATTGCTCTGACACTCGTTTGAATCTGAACGACTACCAGGAACCTTCCTTCTTATTATCCAAAGCCTTTCTCTTGCAATTCACTCTTTCTTAGCTTTTATAATAAGGGTTGACTACTTGAAAATATGGTTCAATTGTCCTTACCAGCACTATAAGCAATTTTAGTTTCTCACTAGTTTTCATTTGCTTTTCATTTTTTGCAATGAAACCCATCACAGTCTATTGACCTACTACAATTATTAAGTCTATTTTATTTGTGATTATAGTTTGTGAAAATACAATTAATTACTCATATTATCAATGAGAGTACAATGTAGCATAATTTCCACCACACGTTGTTAATTTACCAAACTACTTAAATCTGATTTACGGATTTTTTTCTCGATAGTAGTTTAGATGCCGTGGTACTTTCAAGATGATGAGAGAATCATGAACAGAGAAGTTCCTTTCAAGTGAAAAATGCAGCTGTCGCAGAATCTCTAGTGTATCCAGGTTAGAATATTTAAAACTATGTATTCATATTAGAGAGACATCATGGGATATGATAAGCAGAAAAGAGAGACACTAATTGTGAATAGATAAAAGGATTCACATATGTCTTAAAACTTTCAAATAAAATATGCAGAGTGAGTTTTTAAAACGTTTTTCCTGTTTATCCCTTGTTTAATGTTCCGTTTTAGTTCTAAGTCGATCCTACAACTAATAACAGATATGAAAAGACTTGGAATGATTGTCTCTGTGTTCTTTGTGCCATAATTTAAAGTGGCCAGAAGCAAGCAAGTGGAATAAACAGGACAATTGCAGAGTTTATGGAGGATTAGGCCAATTGCAGGCTTCCACACTTAGGGAGGAGAAAACATCCTCATGAATATGAGATTGGAAGTGTCTAGCTGTGAGAAAAGGAAAAAAAAAATGTCTGACTCTGGCTCTGTGTTGCAAAGCATGAGGGTCTCTGTGCTAGACCATGACTTAGCAACCGCGCTGTTTTTAAAAGTATTTGTGTTGTAAGAATTTATTATATAATTATATTCTATTAAAGGTAGAATAGGAGCAATCTGGCCAGTTCTAATCACTGAATCTATAGTACAATTTGAGTTGAGATGAAACAAAAACAGCAATAGAGGAAAATGTTAAGAGTTTTTAATGTTACTGAGAGTTAATCTGATTATGCTTAAGACTGTGGAGTTGGAGACAAACTGCTTCCAAATTCCCTGATTAAAAAAAATTGAAAAATTTTATTTTATACAAGTAATTTTCTGATGTTGAAAACCTTGTATTATACCTCCAAAATCTGAATGTTTTAACAAAAGGAAAAATCTCCTTCCATGTACTTTATTCCATTAATACACTCCATTCATATTTGAAAATTATTAAATTTTAAATTCAATAGTGGATTGTACTTGGAGCAGTTCATCTAACCAGCCATTTACCTAGGGTGTATTAATACTAAGCAGCCTTGCAGCCACATCTACCAATGTATTAAGAGCCTACTAATAAAAATATGATTTACTGCCTAAAGTTTCTTTTTGCATCCTTCATCACTTGTCTGATTTGGAAGTGTGGTATATAATGCAGATATGAAACCAGCTCAAAGTTAACAGTTCATAGCTGTAAAGATCAGTGCATGCTCACGGCAGAACAATTTTCAGAGTATGTTGGTATTATTACCATTTTGCACTTTCTAATAAAACGTTTTGTTCATGTAGGCTGTATCTTCTGCACTCAGGCTTTAAAAAGACCTTTCATCCCCACTTTCTCTGAAGTTGGACAGCAGCCGCAGTAGCAGCTGCCTCTTTAGTCACTTTGCTTCCCCTCATTTTGATAATTATGGGCAAAGGTCAATCATTTTCCCATCAAGGCAAATCCTGACAACCCCACATGTCAGAGCCTAAGTTATAGATGACATGCTTGTCAACACCAAAACTCAGAGAGTATATCTTTACCTCCTCATGACCAGCTGAAAGTCAAAACCCTACTGCAAACCAGAGGCAGGAGGGGATGAAAGAAGGGTGGCTGTTTGCCCTGACTTTGTCAACTGCAGACATAGTTCCAGGCAGATTTTTGTAATTTTAAACTCTATAAATGAACAATTACATTCCACTTTATACACATGAACTGTGAGCGTCCTGATTGAATGCAAATGCTTCTGTTAACAACATGACCTCGTAGTGCCTTAGACGGAAAGACTTTAGTTTTATTGTGGCGATTGTTCTTAAACCTAGCTGAGTTTTTTAGATTAAGATGAAATGTTTTAAAGCTGGGAGGGGGGACAAATAATGATCTTTTAAAATAATAACTAGATTCTGGGTGAACTAAAAGCCTGGCTAGGACCATTATAGGAATACAGACACTCAATTCAGTTCAGTAAACACTGAAGGGATAAGGAGACAGACATTTTATTTATATCATGAAATTGGATATTAAATTTGCACTGCTCAGATTATGTCAGATATTGATTTAGATTCAATTACATAATACCTCCCAGTATCCCTAGAATCAGCATTCAAAGAAATATGCATTAGTGAGTATGGTGGTAACTGGGTGCTAAAAGCCTAGGCCAAGCAAATCACAGAACTACCTGCAATGGAAAGTTTGTGCTCCAAGGGTCCTAGGGTATTTGAATTTCTGACCATCTATCAACATGTTACCTACATGTACCTTCAATACTCCCAACACTTTGTCCTCCCAGAATATGATATGAGGTTAAAATTTAGCCCAGGGTCCCAATTTAATATCTACTGATGGCGTCCCTTTCTTTATATAATCAAACATTTTTGTAAAATTATTTGGGTAATTTTATTACAAATACTTTTTAGGGGCTTTCTGTTTCAAAGAAACCTATAATAACTCTTCTTTTTCTTCTTGTTAGAACAATAATAAATCCTCCTATACAGTAAATCATTACCTCCTCACTTCTCACTTGTTTAAATCAAAATTTTTATTTACTGCATTCTATGAGTGTCAGATAGTGAGTTACTTACAAGTATGCTGTGATAAATTGGTAATAGGACATTCATTGTCAGGATGAAAGAAAACATTACTTTCCAAGAAAGTTATGACCCAATGTGATAATTTAGGATTACAAAGAAAGTGTATGAAGTATTTCCTGAAATGAACAATGTAATTTGATCTTATAGCAAGTAATATTTATCCCAGATTCTTGAGAATTAAAGTCTGCATAGAAATGTAATGCGTTGTGAGTCTATGATTCTGTGTTGTAGCTGAGCAGTACTTACTCTTTCCTTTATATGCTAAGATGGGATGTACATATAAAGCCCCCCCCCCTTGTAATAGGCTTATAACAGATGTACTCTTTTATAAACAGCCATTATCCTTGGACGTATATCTGTTCAGGCAGAATGACCTACTATTGGTCCCACTCTTGAAGACCATTGCTTTGCTTGTCTTCTGCTCTGGTCCATTGCCTTGTTGCCTACATTCCAGTTGTTCACCTTCCATGATGCCCGTAAGAAGAGAGTCAAAGGCTGACAAATGCACAGGTGTTTTCTCACTTTTCTTACATCCTACCCCCTCTCAGTTATTCATTATGGTAATGGCACTTTGTGATGTGCAATTTCTGGATTTATGACCCATTCTTGATAAGCATGAATCTGGACTGCCTGTGCATCTTTGATAAGGTTCTAGTTGGATAGCAGTGACCTTTCTGGATGTAATTCTGGGAGGAAGATTAAAAAGCAGTCCAGAAAGTGACAGGTTTGGGACAATAACGTATGAATTTGGCTCTGCTGGCAGGCAAGAGATGTAAGCCGTGATAAATTAGAGGCAAACCAAACAAGCTTACTGAATGATTTTTCATTTCTGCTACATCCTTGGGTAAAAGTCTATTGTATGAATTGCACTAATACTGCCATATTCCTCTAGCCGTGTGTTAGACTACTTGTTTACTAATTGCATAAACTGGCAAATTATTCCGTTAATGTAGTTTTACAGTAACCAAAGGCTGCATACTCAATTAAAAATATGGGCACCATTTTGCGTACTTGTGCTGTCTTATACGTTGAACAGTCAGTGAGCATTTGGAAGAGAGTCATCCAAACTCATAAAAACCTCTCTCTCTGTTTCTCTCTCTCTCTCTTTCCTTCCACCCCCTTTCTCATATTTGTATGAAAAGCTATTAGAAATTTCCATATATATACCCAAATCCTGAGGACATCTTTTCCAAGTTTAGAGAGTTAAAGATGGATTATAAAGAGAATCCATTTATCAAGGTAACTTGTTAATACACTGTCCTTAATATTCTTCTGTATTTGATAAAGTCTTAAACTCTTAATATATGTTCCATGTTGAATATATAGCAGAAATACACTTGTATAGATAATTATGTTTATTACGTATTTAAAGGATAAGAACACGTACACTGACGTGCAAGCACATATACCCCTTCAGAGAAAGACAGACAAAGATTTGTTTTCCTCCAAAGTGATACTTCTGAGGAGTGCTAATATATAATAACCTAATCTTAAGGACATGACTATAATAAAGGCTAAAAAGCAGTTTTGTCAGGTGGCTTTGTAAATCTGTCTTCTTTGCTATTGGAGCCTGTTGCTTATACACACATGGAATACAAAATAAATTGTCCACGTAGCAGGCAAATCAATACGCGGTGGTCCCTACCAGGATTAATCATGGGAGGAGTTCCATCACCACTCACACATGGCTGCATTCAGGGTGCACAGGGCCTATTACTTCTGCATCTGTCTTTAAAGGGAGCCCTCTAGAGCTTGCTACAAGGGGAGGAGAAGGCAGCTACCTCTTCTGAGGGCCTGAGGTAGGTCAGACACCAGGCTAGGCATGTGCACATACAGAGTTCTGTTCCAGTCTCAATGCAATGCAGCGACCTGTCGCTAGTAGCCCTGTTTTTACAAGTGAAAAGAGAAGTGTGTTTCCCTGCCCCTTCCTCAGCAGAAAGTCTGGCACTCAGCAGTCACTCTGTCAACGGAAAACAAAATGAATAAGGCCGGGAGAAATGAAGTAACTCACCTAAGATTGTACTAATTGAAAGCCCAGCAAATCCAGATTTGAATAGGACTCTGTGTGTCTTAATACCAGCAAGCAAACCAATAAACAAAAAGCAAACTGCCAGCTGCAGTACCTTATGACAGCTTTGCAATTTACCTACCAGACACCATTTTCTTAAACAGCAGCTTTTTTTTTTTTTTTTTTTTTTTTTTTTTTAGATGGAGTCTGGCTCTGTTGCCCAGGCTGGAGTGCAGTGGTACAATCTTGACAATCTTGGCTCGCTGCAACCTCTGCCTCCCAGGTTCAAGCAATTCTCCTGCCTCAGCCTCCCGAGTAGCTGGGACTGCAGGCATGCACCACCACACCCGGCTAATTTTTTCTATTTTTAGTAGACATTGGGTTTCACCGTGTTGGCCAGGTTGTTCTTGAACTCTTGATCTCAAGTGATCCATCCACCTCAGCCTCCCAAAGTACTGGGATTACAGGTGTCAGCCACTGCGTCCGGCCCCACAGCTTTTTTGAAATATAATTCATGTACCATACAACTCATCCATTTAAAGTGTCAGACATCACTTTAATATTTATATTTTATACTTACTATAAACTCAGTATATATAAAATCATAGTGCCTCTTCTTTTAGCTGTGTTTAATACTTATGGACTGAAGACCTGTTCATTTTTAACCTAAGTAGAGAAAATATAGAGTCGAGAGTATTTTTCTCGCTTGAAATCAGTAGTGCCTATTTTTGCTAAATTTTTTGATTCCTAATTATTGCTATTCTTCCTGCATTTCTCTGACATCCATCATTTCTTGCCCATTTTTTTTTCATATTTTTTAGTATTCTGGTGCCTTCATATTTTTACCATACTGGTGTGTCAGGCATTGGGACTATTCTTAGAAGTTGTTTTGCTACTCTATTCCACTCTGTAAACTTACGGACCATTGAATTGTCCTAAAACATTTACTTTCTCCATGACACGTGCTATTCTTAAAATAAGTTATGTCAGGTTAAATTAAAAAGAAAGGCCTTCAATGACTGTCAGTGTCCTGCATGATCCGATCTTACCTTATTTAGACAACCTTTCCTTTTGTAATTCCTATCAGAAAATGCCTTTTCTGCACAGACCAGCCACTTAATGTCTCACTTACAGTAATGTTTATTTCTAACTTTGTGGCTTATCTGACTTGTTTAACCAGTTTACTCTCCCTTTTATTTCCCTAATTAATATGACCCAGGATGAGAATTAAATAGTATTTCCTTTATCAAGGCTTACTCTCCCACACATTCTCCTAATACCTTTACCTACCTTGCAATCCTGCTGGGCTTGCAATTTGTCCCCCATATTTAACTCTTGGCAGACAGCGGTCCCATATTTTTTTCCTCATGAGTATTTCCTATGTGGACATCTCGACTCTCTAACAATTTTAAATTTCTTGAGAATCTGTTCCGTGCCTGATTTCTCCCTCAGCAGCTTTCTACCCTCTTTGCAGTATGTTCTTCTTAAAATAATACATTTTGATTTGTCTCAACTATATATAAAACGCACATGCATAGGCATATGTACATAGTTTTGTTTGAAAAGAAAAAAGATTTACAATTTATTTAAACTTTGTAAACTTCAAATAAAATATTGGATCAACTACATTAACTCACATTGGAAAGGACTCTACTGATGAAAAATATGACAAATATATGGCACTGGGGTTTTAATGTAAAGTTAGTCACTAATTTTTAGAAAGTAAGCTGACTGGGAGAAGGAGGTGTAGATAAGTAGATTTTCATCAATTCCAAGATACATGCTTTTGTGATAAACTTAAATATAATTTAGTTTTCTATCAGGCCTCAAATACCAGATAGTTGTGGGCCTTGTGAAATAATTTTTTATTAATGCCTTGCCAAGTGGAACATGATGATAAAAATGGATAGTAGCTACTTCTCTCATCATTTTTTTGTCTTATTTTAATCTCTCTAAAGGTAAAAACATATATTATGATAGGAAGTAGTCAGTTGCCCTGGCACATTTATTTTTTTGTCATTTTCTCTTAAGTGTTAGTATTATATACAATGAAGGTACTTAGATTCAAATTGAAATGAATAAAGTTAATTGGCTTTATACCTGGTTTACAGTTCAGAGTCTCTATGATAGATACCTGGAGAGTGACTAGTATAGTTTAGCTGGGTGTGCATGGGCTGAATGGATAATATGAAGATTACATTTTTATGGGAGTCCAACAAAGGAGTTCTAAGTAAAAGTGATCTGTGAGCCTTAAAAAAGTATTAAAATTAAATAAAATGAATATTGATTCCTGAGAAACATGTTTGAAGTTTGAACCTTCTGGCTCTAACAATTATGGTTAACAAAAAAATGTGTATTTATATTTTCAAGGATATTATTGTGATTTCTTGTAGCTAACGTTCTGAAGGAACCGCTGTATTTTAAGTCATGTCTTTTGGCTTGACTTTTTTATATGGCATGAAGTTCTAAATAGCTTTATACAATTAACAGAGGCATTATTTTTAAATGTTAACTAGGCTAGGTTAATATTGTTTAGGCTTTTACGTGTTTTAAAATACTCCCACATACTCTAAAAATTAAGCAAACTATAGAACTATGATGGATCTAGTAAGGGAGCACTTTTCTTGGTTTATCATCATTTTTTTTGCCTCCATCACACATCGACTGAATGAGATAATCGATGGAAAGACTTGAAATAAGTGTGGCATAAACACATCAGTTTATGTGTTTCTAGAAAAGATCTTTTCTGTCACAGCAAATGCCATGGTAAAATTCTTATTTTTTAATTAATATTCCCTCATGTTAACAATCTAACAGCATGCTTATTCATTTGTTCTTCAGTCCAGTGTGGCATTATTGCTGTTTGTTGGTTGAACATTGGCTGTGGTCTGAGACGCCTGGTATCTTGAGTTTCTGAGGTGATGCTGTCATGCTCTTCACCTGCCTGAGGTGGTGATTAGAAAGCACAGTTACAGCCACTGCTCAAGTCATCTGAAAATTTCCTTCCTGCTAAATGTTACAGGGTAGAGGCCATTAGTTCTTCTACAAGCTACAAACTCCCAGCCTGCTGCCATGTCATGAAGCCAGAGAAATCAAAAAGCCACCTACTGACCCTGCCTATTGTCTGGGCTTGTCGTCTTCTGTCAGTAGTGTGCCACAATCAGCGAGATACACATGTACCTCCTGCCTGCTCAGGGTTTGGCCGCCCCCTGCTCCCAGCACCTGTTTGCTTATACATGAGCTTTGCATGTTTGAATTTAAATAGACACAGGAGGGTGGAGAGAGGGAGGAAGGGCGATGCCTCTGTCAGCCGTGGGTCATTACTACAGAGGAGACAAACCCAGCGAGCAGGGAAACTGGGAAGCCTGGTAACGTGGTAGTGGGTGATGAAAGATGAGTATTCTCCATGGAAATCATTTTTTTCCCCTTTTAAAGTTGAATGGGGTGGGTGATTATTAAGACAAGATTAATAATCATTTTGATTATCATATCTATCAATAGATGATTTCTTCAATTACATAGAGAATTATAAATCAGATGATGAATTGTGACCTGGGTCTTTTCCAAAGTTACCTTTCCTTGATCTCTTCCAATGATGTCATTGCAAAAAATTGTCTAATTTATCAAAAAAACAACATGAAATTCAGGTATGCGTACAGGTGTAAAAAGGCCAAGATTTGGCCAGGCATGGTGGCTCACGCTTGTAATCCCAGCACTTTGGGAGGCCGAGGAGGGCAGATCACTGAGATGAGGAGTTCAAGACCAGCCTGGCCAAAATGGTGAAGCCCCATCTCTACTAAAAGCATAAAAAATTAGCCGGGTGTGGTGGCACGCGCCTGCAGTCCCAGCTACTCAGAGATTGAGGCACAAGAATCACTTGAACCCAGGAGGCGGAGGTTGCGGTGAGCCAAAATTACGCCACTGCACTCCAACCTGGGTGACAGAGCGAGACTCTGTCTCAAAAAACAAAAAACAAAACAAAACAAGAAAAATGGCCAAGATTTAGTAAATATGTACACTGGGGACTCATATCTGGGATATATGCAATATGCACCTGTTTATGGTAGAAATTTTTTTACCTAAGAAGAAACAATACTATCATCTTTCTATTTCAACTTGTTTACTAAATTATAATTTTCTTAGGTTTAGCAAATGCTCATTTAGTAATTGTGTCATCCTGCATCTGGGCTTCTAGGCTTTGAATTAGAAAATCTGAGACTGCTTGCTGCCTTTGGTATTTATTAGTTCCATGACCTTCGGTGAGTTCTTTAATCTGCCTGAAGCTCAGTATCTTCATCCACAAAAAGGGAGCACTGGTGCCCACTTGAGGGGGCCCTAAAGGGTGGAAATTTAATGACATGATAATTGTGAGTGCTCTTTTCAAACTGTAATGTGTTATATAAACATCAGATATTGTTACTATTAAGACTGATGTCATATAAGATTAACCATGGTCTCCAAAAGATACAATACTCATAGTTTCATTACTAAATAAACTTTTAAAGTAAAACCAAAATACTTTCAAAAATAAATTGTATTAATTATTACCACCATAATACTGAAAGTTTTATGGAAATATTTCCTCTCTAAAGCACACCGTTGTATGTTAGAATGTTTTCCTGGTGTACTCTTTTACTATGTGTAATTTAAAAAGTAATTCTAGACTATCAAGATAGAATTTTATTATAATATTACTGCTTAATATGACACTTTCTTCTAATTTTATTGTGCCAAGAATTTGTGCAAAAGTTACACAGGCAGATAGTTACCTTCTTTTTTCCTTTGGGTTTTCAATACGTACTCTAACAAAGGAAAGATGAAAGAAATCAGGGAGAAGATCTGGCATTTAGAAACACACACTCCCTCCCACACACACATCCACTCCGAAAAGTTATAAAGGATCTGTTGAATTTGGGGGATACCTTGAAGAACTTCAAGCTGTCACCATTTCACTACCCCATGCGGTTTGAGCAAATGAGCAGCCTTGAACTTTGCACACAGAGACGCGAGGCCTGGGCAGAAGGCAGTGCATCTGCAGGTCCTTGCATGACTAATTTCCTGTCAGCAAGTGATTTTATTATCATTTAAATAAGAATGGATAATAATAGCTGTAAACTTGGCAGATGGCTGAATTGGTAAATTTTAAAGGAGGTAGGTTTGAAATACTTCTGTGCTTCCTCCTTCAATGCCTTCACCCACTCCTTAAGCCCCGTGGCAATCAACTATTTTGGTTACCACTTTTGATTTAACCACTGTGTTCATTCCTATCGATTAAAGGGGCTTTAATAGCACAATATTGTGATGGCTGTTTAAGCAGAGGACATACTGTGTTTCATTGCTTCTTATTTACACTGGGCAAGGGGGAAGCCCAGTTATTGGTAGGTACTTCCCTCTTCTAATCATTTCTGCATGAAACTTTTTTTCTTTCTCTCTTCACTCAACGCTTAAGAGGAAAGGAAAACTACTTGAACTTCTTAGTTCGTATTTCTCATATAAAGTTAAAACAATGTATAAAAAGAACTATTGTGTATTCAGTTCTCATGTTCCCATTCCTTAATCAACACAGGCTTATCAATACAGCAATAAATGAGGACAGTCTGAAGCACAGGAGAGATCACTAATATTGCAGCCAATTTTCTTTCCTAAAAAGTACAGGCGCAAAAATAATTCATATCAGATGAGGTCTTACAAATATTAAACACCATTATGTCAAGCAAATACCGCTAAATATGAAACAAAATATTGACTCTATTACATAATATAGTTATGGTTAACAAAATAAATCTAATAGGGAATTTTAAACTACCAATTTAGCTTAATTAAAAGGTACAATTTCCTCAATCCTGATTAAATAACAGTAAAAGCATAGATTGAATCCACTCCCTCTGAGATTTTTAAAAGAATGTTTGAGAAAGCTTGATGTTGGAGTTATAATTACACAACAGTAATCTGCTTATTCCTTTGACTTAAGGTATTAAGATCGCTACTAACCAAAGTTCATTAATTGAAAGCTTGGAGACAAAGTAAATTTTTTTTTTTTTTTTTTTTTGAGACAGTCTCGCACTGTCACCCAGGCTGGAGTGCGGTGGCATGATCTCAGCTCACTGCAACCTCTGCCCCCTGGGTTCAAGCGATTCTCCTGCCTAGCCTCCTGAGTAGCTGGGACAACAGGTGCACGCCACCACGCCTGGCTAATTTTTTGTATTTTTTAGTAGAGACGGGGTTTCACCATGTTGGCCAGGCTGGTCTTAAACTCCTGACCTCGTGATTTGCTTGCCTCGGGCTCCTAAAGTGCTGGGATTACAGGCATGAGCCACTGCACCCGGCCCAAAGTAAATTTTAATGGTATCTCGCAAACATATGTGTGAAGATAGTAGTATTTAATGTATACTAGCCATGTTAGCTTGGGGAATTAGTATTTATGCATGCCCTTACTAAGCTTTCTTAGCAGGTGTCTTCATGCTTAGAAAAGTCAACTTGCAACCCGTGTGTAAGACAAAACATTTGTCACGAGTTCAGTACTTGTCAAGTGGGATGTACATTCTCAGAGGTCAATAGTGGCTTATAGGAGATTTAGATGTGTCTGTTGGCATTAATCAGCTACACACATCACTCTCATCCAACTCACAGCTTGAACTTCCTTACCTACCAATATCTGTGTTGGCTGCCTGAAAAGCAAACTGTTGAGCAACAGATTTAAGAATAGATGATTGACTTGGTTCCATTCAATCTTGTCCCAGATGTGATCTCTATTAAATATTTTGGTGATTAGGCCTTATTCCTATTTTGCTTTTTTTTTTTCTGCTTTTGTGATTCCATTGTCCATTAGTGTTGTGGTTCTCATTTCCTTTCTCTCTAAATTCTGCATATTTATTTGTTAATGTACTGTATTTAGTGTACTGTTTAGGCGGGATTACAAATAACTTGTGAAATAACAGGAAAATTGATGAAAAAAGAAAGAGCAAAAGACAATGCTTCCTCAGGAAAATGTCACATTGGATGATTATTTTATTTGTTCCTGATTTTTTCCTTTTCTGCAGATACATGATTATATAATTGTTTCAGTTATATGAAACAAAAATTAGATGTGGAGGAAAACTCTAAATAGGGAACTCTAATGTTCTTTTAAAATGAAGAATTTAACGAAAACACTCAAAACTCCCCTGCTGGGCTCAAGCAGGTTGAAATTAATTCAAGACGGCAGATAAAATTTTTAACCAGGCCGAGTGGAGATGACGGATGTGACAGCTCTCAGTTAAAATGTCTTTTAGTGGCGAATGCATGCATATTAGTCAAGGGATGTGACATAGCTGTCCCGGGTGAGAGAAAATGAACCAATGACCATTTGCATTGAGAACAAAAGAAAAATTCTTTATAGCAAAACGTAAAGAAAGACAAGTAACTTGAGGTTTCATATTTATTTGTTCGTGTTTGACAATATTTTTGGTAATCTTTTTACTGCAAGAAAACCTCTGAAAGTTAGCACAAACATATGTTTTTAAGCAGTGATTCTTTTCTTTCTCCTCCATATATCAGAAAATAAATGTTGAGTAAAATGTCTGTGCCCAGGAAAGTCAGGTAAACTATTTTTTTTTCCCTTGCAAAGAACAACAGAAAAGTATCTGTAGATGGTCATACTTCAAAAGTTGTAGAAAAAAAGCCTTACCAACTGAAAACTCAGTTTCAAATTTGCCTACATGAATAAAATATTGGAATGAGAAGCCTTTTTTTTTTTATTATAAGAACACTGGCTCCCTACTTTTCTTCTTTCTAATAATAAGACAATTTGGTTGTGTATTATAAAGCAAAGCAAATAAAACAAAAATGGATGTGATTCTATGACAGAATGTTATAGGGAAGGAAAATTATTTGGAAACTACAATTGGCAGGATTTGACCATGTGAAAGTCAAGTTTAATTAACTTTAGGAACAGATGCTTTCAAGACATAGCAGTTACCAGTTAGAGCTACAAGTATAATTGAGTTTTATAGTATAGGGTTTATTTTTCCAATTAAAATCAAATTGCATTATCATAATTTTGTTATTAGAAGATGTAACACTCTGGCTTAAAAGGGGTACTCAAATGTAGACCTAGATCTTGTCCTCTTTTGATCAAAAGAAAAGAATGGACAAAGATGTATTTTAGTCTCAACATTAAATACAATTTCCACTTTAGAAGGTAGTTGTTACTTCCTTTAATAATGTATCCTCCCCAAAATGGTATATGAGAACATAAAAATTTATTACAACATTAGAGCCAAAAATAGAATACAAATATTTGTATACAAATATTCAGTGATGCTAACTGGATTCAGAAAATGCTACCGAATTAAAATTATAATTTATCTGGGTCTTCAGTGATAAATAGGAATCCCTTACTTAAGGGAGATGAAGTTTATTTAAGGCGAGGTAAATGGAGAAGTAAGTTTTTCTCCTGTATTTTTGGCCTTTTCTTGTCTCTCTTTTCTGGAATTATCAAGCTTTCTCTCATTCAGATGAATGCTTTGTGAATCTTCTCTTTTTGAATCTGCAGTGTAATTCTATGTGGACAGACAGCTTTCTGTTAACATACACTATTTTGACAGACTACAACTTGATTTGCTGTTCAGGCTTTGACTATATTCACATTATGGCTTAAGTATTTTCTTTCATAGTCATTTACCAAGTGCCCAACACATTTTTAAATCAGAGAAAAATACATTTTATTTACTTTCCATGCCGAGCTCAGCAAGAAATGGTATTTTCTCCTATGTCTTGCATTAAAAATTGCATTTGCAAATGGCATATTTAGATGATGTTGAAGAAATTAAGCAATATCAGTTGTACCTTTTCATAGTGTAAACATGTAAAATTTCTTTAAATAGGAAAATACTATTGGTTTTCTTGGAATCGCTCCCATTTAAATTCTATCCTTTAGATTTTTTTCAGTCCAATGCCTTTGCAAATTTCTAGTACACACTTTCTACTACTGTAACTTTAGTACATCCTCAGTTTTACTACATTACTTGAAAACATGCATTTTTAACAATCTCCTGCTCTTTTGCTTTTGATTTTCTGGGCATATTCCTGTTACTCAATGTATTCATTCAGCAGAGTACATTTATGCTACAACTATGGACTACCTGTTCACAGCTGTAGATTATTCAGAATCTTCTTGATACTGATAATATCTTCTTATTTACAGTTTGCTGGTATACTGAGAAAATGCAGTAGAATAACGGAAGTACAATGTAAGCCATATAAATCATTTAAAATTTACTAGGTTCCATAGTAAAGAGGAAAACAAAACAGCTAAAATTAATTTAATACTATATTTAGCCTAATATCCCAAATTTTATATCAATAGGCAATCAGTAAAACATATTAATGAAATATGTTCATTCTTTTTTATTATACTGAATCTTTGAAACCCAGTGCATACTTAATACTTGCAGCACATTTAATTCTAACTAGCCAGATTTTGGTGATCAACAGCCACCGCTGACTGTGGCCACCATACTGGATAGTGCCACTCTAAGACCTTGATACTCAAAGTGCCCCATGAACAGAGAGCATCCACATCACCTGTGAGTATGTTCGTTGTATCAAATCTCAGGCCTTATGCCAGGCCTACTGGATCCAAATCTTCCTTTCAACAAGATCCCGAAGTTACTGGATGCACATTAAAGAAAGAAAATCACTGCATTTCTGGTTTCCCAAATGTATAGAACATTGGTGTTAATATTACTGCCTATGACATAGATTCTTTTCCAAACAGCTTTATTGAGATAAAATTCATATTCCTTATAACTCACCCTTTTAACATGCAAAGCTCAATTTTTTTAGTGTATTCACAATTGTGCAACTATTTCAGTTATCTAACTTGATAATATTTTTCTTACCCCAGAAGAAACACTTCTACCCATGAGCAATCACTCAGCACTTCCTTCTTTGCCCAGTGACTGACAACCACTGATCTACTCTATCTATGGAATTGCCAATTCTGGACATTTTATATAAATGGAATTATTTAAGGTGTGGTCTTTCAGTCTGTCTCGTTTCACTTAGTATAAGTACATTGATCTGTAGTCTTTATTTCTTTTGATGCCTTTGTCTAGTTTTATTAAAGGAGTTTAAAAATGCTTCTTCTTCCAGTTTTTGGAAGAGTTTGTGAAGAATTTGTGTTAAATCTCCTTTAAACGTTTGGTAGACTTTTCCAGTGGTGCTGCCTGGGCCAGAGATTTTCTTGCAGGACGTTGTTTTGGTTATGAATTCAATATCGTTACTGGTTATATGTCTATTCAGATTTTTTTATTTTTTCTTGTTTCATATTTGATGGATTGTATCTTTCTTAGAATATGTTCCATGAATGAAATATGGTCATTAAGTGAATTGAAAAAGGCAAACACTTTTCCTTTACCATTTTCCCATGTATTTTGCAGTCAAGATCATTCTTTGTAATTACCATTGTGACAGTACTACAACCAAAATGAGCCTTTAGAAGTGTGTAATTTCTGAAATTAAATTTATCTTTATGAATTTTCGACCAATGCTGAATAGAGAAAGATATTTTATTTTGCCACAGTTGACTTCCTAGTTCCTGATCACATGCAATAATGAGAGGAAGCCAGACTGGAAAAAGATGTCTCCTTACTAAAATAATGGAAGAAGTAGCCCCCATTCCTTCCTTCGAAATAACAACAACAATTCTACCAACACGCAAAAGGTCAGAGCCACATTTTCATGGTATAAATGACATCTAGGTTAAATCCTTATATTCTGTCTTGGATGAAACTTGATATGATTCAATCCAACCCTCCATCTAATAATGATTCTTTGACATTTCTATTTTATAATCGGGTTATAGCCCTTTAATTTTCTTGAATGTTTACTATAACAAGACAATCACCTCTCATAAACCAATCTACTCTATTATTAGATAAGTCTAAAATTTAGGAGAATCTTTCTTATTTTAAGTAGAAAACTGTCTCCTTTCTATACACATTTAGTTCTGGCTCTGCCAATATGAGCAGGATGGAACAAGCTTACTTCATCTGCTACTTCACAGCCCTTCAGATATCAGAAAAAGCAGTTTCTTCTTAATAGACTGCTAACAGAATTATAATGGGATCAAACTGAAAAAAAAACTTGTGAGAACATAATCTACACTAATAATAATCCCCTAATGCACTTCCACTTGAAAAAATACACATAGTTTAATGTATCTTCTATCAATTTCTAAACATGGGTTTTTCTTTCTTAGTACGAAACTGTTAAAAAGCAATCAATAATAAATAGGTACAGAGGAAAAAAACAGGCAGTGAGGTATGTTTAGCTAAATATGTCCTCAAAGTGTTGATTTTAAAATGGCTTGTTTTTAGACGCTGGTGAGGCTGTGAAGAAAAGGGAACATTTATACATCCTTGGTGGGGATGTAAATTAGTTCACCACTATGGAAAGTAGTTTGGTGGTTTTGGAGGTTTTTCAAATAGCTTAAAACAGAATGACCATTCAAACCAACAATCCCATTTCTGGGTATATATCCAAAAGAAAACAAATCGTCCAACCAAAAGGCGCATGCACTGGCAAGTTCATCACAACAGTATTCACAATAGCAAAGACATGGAATCAACCAAGGTGACCATCGGCGGTGGACTGTATAAAGAAAATGTGGTGCATGTATGCCATGAAATCCTATGAGCCATAAATAAAGAAAATCATATCTTCTGCAGCAACATGGATGCAGCTAGAGGCTTATCTTAAGTGGATCATGGCAGGAACAGAAAACCAAATACTCCATGTTCTGGTTTATAAGTGAGAGCTAAACACTGGGTACTCAGGTACATAAAGATGGCGACAACTGAAACTGGGGACTTATAGATGGGGGAGAGAAAGAGTCAGGGAAGGGTTGAAAAGCTACCTATTGGGTACTAGACTCAGTACCTGAGTGATGGGATTATTTGTACTCCAAACCTAAGCATTACACAGTGTACTCAGTTAACAAACCTGCACGTATACTCCCTGAAACTAAAAGTTCAAAAATAAATATTCATTTTTAAATTTGGGAAAATAAATAAATAAATAAATAAATAAATAAAATGGATTGTTTTTGAGGCAATGAAATTACTGGACGTATGGTCAGTGCTCAGTAAACTTTAGATGACTGTGGTATATAGGAAGGCAGGATAATGGTCCTCAATGATGTCTGAGTCCTAATCCCTGAATATATCTGTGCATATATCAGATTCATAGCAAGGGGGAATTAAATTAGCAGATGGAATTAAAGTTGCTCATCATCTGACTTTAACATAGGGAGATTATCTTGAATCATCCAAGTGGGCTCAGTGAAATCAGAGAGTCCCTAAAATTGAAAGAGTGGAGGGGGATAAGGGATCAGAGTCATCTGATATGAGAAGGACTTCACTTGCTCTAGCTGGTTTCAAAGATAGAAGAAAGTGCCTGCCAACCAGGAAATAAAAGTAACCTTTAGAACCTGGAAAAGGCGAGGGAACAGATAGTCCCACAGAACCTCCAGAAACCCCGTAAACAACATGATCTTAGCCCAGTAAGACTCATGCAGACTTCTACAGGTTTCTATGATAAATGTGTTGTTTAAGCTGGTAAATTGTAGCAATTTGTTACAACAGCAACAGAAAACGAATACACATGATAGTTATTTAACAGAAAACTAACACAGCTACTCTGTTCTGGATTCAGGTCTAATTACTAAAACAGTTCTTTTGAAAGTCACCAGTTATCTCCATGTTATTAAACTCTGCACATTTTCAGTCTTCGTTTGACCCCTCAAAAGCACTTCATGTCGTTAACTATTCCCCCTTTCCTCTTTAAAGTACTTGTTATCTTTGCCTTCCATGGTCTTTCACTTCCTTGCTTTCTTTTTACCTTCTTGACCTCTTTCGTGGTCCCTTTTACAGCTCAGTCCACCTCAGTTAAACATTTTAGAGCCTTCTCCTCTTCTTGCTCAGGAGCTCTCATCTGTGGTCATTGCTTTTATTGCCACTCTTTCTAGAGAGCATGCAAATTTTCATCTTCCTCTGGGCCTCTCTTCTGAGTTGTACCCACATAACCCATTGCCTACCTGAATTGTTTTTTCTTTGTCTTAAAATTTCTTCATCTCAACATCATCCAAACCGAACTTATAACTTTCCTGTCCACTGGGCACCATTCTCCTTCTCCTTTCAAATCCAAGGCACCTTCAGTATTGCTATAAATTTTGTGTCTTTCTGTACTGGTTGAGAAGGGTTGAGATTGGGTAGAAAATGCATGGCAAATGTTGTCAGGTTTGATTTTACTTTAGATCGTGTTAAACAATGTAAGATTGTTTATTTATGCATATGAATCATTTTGTATTTTTCATAATTAAATTGATGTCAATCCCAATTTTATTGAATCCCAAGTATCAGCTGGCTCAGCAGTCACTAAGAACTGTTGTGAATGTGCTATTGTACCTATGACACTGGAAAACCATTATGAGTTAAACCAATTGTCATACATATTAGTTATTTGAAATTCAGTGGGAGGAACATTTTCCTGTGTATTGCAAGTTGCTGTGAGAAATGATCAGTTTTCTTTCAAGGATTTCAGTTGTGTATGTGAAATAAATTCTTAACATTTTTAAGCTCCTGTAATATTGCAGGCATTTTACTTTAGTAAAATAGTAAATAAAATATACTTCATTTAATTTTAACAAATTTCTGCTGGTGATTAGTACTTTTTAATATATTTATTAGAATATTAATTAGAATATATAAAAATATTTATTAGAATATATAAAAATATTCATTAGAATATTCATTAGAATGTATAAAAAATAGAATTAAGCTAGTTAATTATTAAAAAGGCAAGAATTTGAATAGAGTTCTTCTGTTTCTAATGCTTATATTATTTTTATCTATATCGGTTGTTCCCAAAGTTTGGTCCCCACAACAGCAACATCAATATCACTCGGGAACTTGGTAGAAATACAAATTCTTGGACAACCACCCCAAATGTACTTAATCAGAAACTCTGGGATGGAGCCCAGTAATTGGTATTGACCAAACAGGTGATGTCAATGATGAGTCTGCACATTAAATAGGCCCTACAGATGAGTTTGATACACACTAAATGTAGAAAACCATATTGTTATACCACTGATTATATGTCTATAGAGGTGATGCGCCCCTATCTTTCTTATTATTCTCCTTTGACTCACTGATTTTTGCTGCTAAAGCAGAACCAGGAAATAATTCAATGTTTTATTCCAACTTACTAAGAGATCCCATACTTAACAATGAGTATTCCTAAGTATATTAAGGTTAGCATATAATTGAAAGGTTAAAATATCTAAAATTCAATTGAATGTTTTCACTGTAAACTATATTCAGCTTCATTGTCTTCTGCTGAAAGTCTTATTTTACTTCATTATGGCAGCTTAATGATTCTCCAATTCCCATGTTGAATTTCCAAGGAAAGAAACTTATAAAAAGTTTATGCTCGGGGAATTCTTTTGCTTTCTGTGTGGGAGTGGAGCAGTTCTTTACACATCTTCCTTACCTCCATTGAAAAAGACAAGGTAACTGAAGGCTGTTGGAGTCCATGGGGTGAGGACTTGTTAGCAATTAGTAATATGTGAAGAAACTGTCTGTTCCCTATTTTTTGGTATGCTGACCATAAATTGATTTGAGTATTCTTGCTTTACTTTATTGTAGGTTGAAGGGAGCTATTGCTTATGAGGAAATTCATTGTGTTCTAAAGCCAATTCTAAATCAGAGTTTGAGACACTGTTTCTATATTAGAGATTATCTATATTTTATTCTGGAGGGCAAAAATTGCCACTTAGATATTACATGTCAGTGCATATATATTTCTAAATTTCTCAGGGGAGTTGTGGGAGATAAACAATAATAGTACACAGTGAAAGTCCTTGAATACGGCCCTGATTGTCCCTTCTTTTAGCCTAGATGTTCATATTTCAGTTGTTTGATTTAATGAATAGAAAGGGAAACATAATAATTACAACTCAAAATTCTCATATGAAATGAATCTAATCTCATTCAAGTTGTCTAGTCCCTAAACACAGTCAGTAAAAGGATACTTTAGAGCTGTTCTCTTGCAGGCTGAGCCGAGGAGTGAAAATGGTTAACTGAAAACTTTGAAGGATATTTAAGTTGACCATGTGCAGTGCATGTATTGGACACCAGCCAGGACCCAGTAAACCCCCTGTGCCAACATTGGGTAGAACTCATTGATAACCAAAAGCAGTTAGTAGAACCTGTCTCAGTGAGTACGTTGGTCAATACAGGCTTCATGGGAATGGCCCCTGTTATTAATGTTTGAAGACTATGACTTGCCCTTACATGGCTGTGATTTAGAGAACTACCCACTGAAGTCACTGATGTAGTTCAGTGTGTGAAAAACAGACGGCAAACCATATGAGGTAAGTTAATACATGTAACTGGGGATACTGCAGGAAGGAGACAGTTGAATTCTTTGGAGAAAAAGTGGTTTACAAATTGAATACATTAAAAATGAATATTATTACTGGTTTACTCATCACATAAAGAATAGGGCCAGGGGATAAATACCTCTCTAGCTCTTGCAACTCAAGAGATGTTTTTCATATCTTAGATAATAAATACTTGCAGTAGGTTTAGCTCATAACTAAAAGTATGTGCTAAGAGACTCCCCTAGAAGAGTTTGTCTTCCGACATGCTGAATTGCCCTGGGGTTGGTGGCAGCTTAATAAAATATGTGAGTGTTCAGTGCGGAGCTGTTAAGTTATTTATTCCACTTCTGATACTGCATGCATGAACTGCCACTGTTTGATGAATCACTGAAGAGAATGGGAACTGACAAACAACTCTTCCTTTAGCGGCTGATCACA
The DNA here is from genome assembly GCF_000001405.40 of Homo sapiens. Classification (NCBI taxonomy): domain Eukaryota; kingdom Metazoa; phylum Chordata; class Mammalia; order Primates; family Hominidae; genus Homo; species Homo sapiens. Next base: position 77,158,872 of record NC_000003.12, read on the forward strand.
CTGACAGCATCAATAGAAAAACACATCATGGGTTCTAAAATGCCACATTTTCACCGTTTACCCTGAATAAGACATGAAGCTCTTTAAGGAAAGCAGTAGTACGTTATCATTAAGGGCCAGCTGACAGAGAGGCAAGTGTGCTTTGAACTCTCTCAAGTCATCATTCTTAATTTCTTCTCTTCTTAGATGGAAGGCCCACCCACATGGGTTCTGAGCAAGGCAGGGACTGTTGCACCTTTTAAAATCTCATTGATAGATTGGTTTCATCAACACCCATCCTGACTCCTGCCCATCGGGAGAAGCTCCTATTCTCATTAGGGTCCTGTAATGTCTGCAGCTAACATTGTTCTCATGCAAATAGAATGACACAGAAGATCAGTGCCATGAAAATTCAATTTCCCCCAACCATCATTACCCTTTTTCTTTTAGTTATTCCCACTCCAATCTGCAGGAGGTAATGTGTGCAATCTGCTGGTACTGTGCAAGATGATTACTACATTTTAGTGATGAATTTCCCAGCTATTGCACTAGGGGGTGTTTTAGCAGGTTCCCTGATACACCTAATGTAGATGTGGCAGTAGTCCTTGCAGTCCTTACCCAGCTCTTCCATAGTGGATTTCCACAAGGAGTGGATGCCTGGTCAGTAGAACTTGTATTCAATACTGTTCATTCTTTAGTCATCAGTGGCACTTGTGAAAGTAGTGATTTGTTTAATGTTGTCTGAAAAATAAAAATAAAATATATCTCTACCTGTCCAAATTGAAGGATTAAAAGCTCTGTCAAAAGAAATGTAGTAATTTTTGTCTTTAGTCTATGATCAAACTTGGGTAATTTAATAAGGATGTAAAATTCAGGGTAGCTCATATAAACATATTGAAATTATAAAAGTGTGTAAGTTAAATAAAAATCCTGTTTTAGAAAGAACTATGGAGAAGTCCTACTTGTGTGCAGCTGAAAAGTAAGGTAATTACCAAAGTATATTTCAAATTCCTATACTTAATATTATCCTTTATCTTTGAAGTTTCTTCAGCAATGGGATTAAATATGTAAACATTATATTGTCAGTGGTTTATTACGTTTTAGAAGTTCTTTGTTTCTTCTGAAATTATCCCCTTGCCTCTTCATTAGTCTGGAAGTTAGCTGTAAGAAAAAATAAAGGGAGAGAGAATGAAGAAAAAATATATAGATTCACCAGGCATTACAGATTTGTATGTATGCCCCTGTTCACCACAAACACAAAACATGATTATAGTTTCTCTGGCGATTATTAGCCTAATAATAATTGTAAAGGGCAACTATACAAAACACGATTTTCAATGTAATTTTTATAAAACTTATTTATTTCACAAATAAATAGATATAATCTTTCCCAGTGAATAAAATACTTTACATATGGTAGCATTTTACGTACAAAGGTGACTAAAAGAATTCAGAGTTTTAAACATTTATTTGAAAGAAAGAATGATAATTATTTTATAAAGTTTTTTTGGAAAATACTTTTTTCTTACACATGGTGATGATGTATTTGTAGATAAATTGTATTTATGCAATTCCATTCACATGATTTTGAGATATTTTCATTGGATTGATTACTGGCTGAATTAGACATTTTTAAATTACTGAAATGTACCCTCTTAATAATATATCCTTATAATTATGTCAGAGAGGCTGATATAATGAAAAAAGGAGTCAAGTTATTTCTTTACCTGAATTATTCTGTTCTATAAACTGATATATGTAATACATTTCAGTAACTGTGGCGAAACCATTTAGACTGTCTATGGGACACACCATGCAGTTTAGATGTGAGCAGTTGCCTACATGTGGTACAGAAAGTCATATTTGAACTACAGTTTTAGTACCGCTACTTTAAGATAGATTCTGAGCATGTAATTACTGCAGTCTTGGCATGTAATTACCCCGGAGTTACAGTTTATATTGACCTCCAGAAATAATGAGACTGTAATTTTAAAGTAAAACATAGAACTTGAGTGTAAAATTGTATGTTGATTTTGAACTGCTTGCATTGTGAGTTTGTTCTCCTGAAGAATAACTTATTACTATGATAATTATCCCAGTTTCCTATGGATTCAGAATATGTAGAGTGTTATTAAAGCATCCTTTATGACTGAGTGGTTAACTGGTTCCACAGATAGGTAAAAGAAGGAGTACTCCAGTGGTTTGAAAGAAGCTGCTGATTACAAAAGCTCCCTCCCTGTAAGCTTCATGGCCTGCACTTCTCAGAAAGATAGACTCAATGGAGCATGACTGCCTAGGGCATCTGGGTCCCAGGAGGTTTTAGTTGTTTGTTTAGGTGTTGAGAAAAACACATTATGACCGTAATAATAATTATGTGTTTGGAATTGGATTTTTGCATCTGTAACACAAAGTTCCATCTTGCATAAAATGCAACCTCAGCACCATTTTATGCTTAATTTGCATATGAAGCAATATGGGACTATTCAAATATAGGCTTCATTTGACTACGTACCACCAGTGTTAATTTAGTATAGTATTAAATGTCTCTGATGACCACTCTTCAAGCAATGTTTGGACTCTTTATTAAGGACAAATGTGTGTACACACTCTTAGATGATATTAAAACTAAGGTTAAAAGATTTTAAATTATTTTCAGTAGTGTGTCACTTTTAAATACTTTTGCATAACCTGAAGAGAGTAAAGTAGTTGAACATTATTTAGATAGTGATTTCATAGCAATTGGTTTTTTATTTTCTGAAATATAGCCCAGAGATATTTTATTTTTTGCTTATTATAAGAAATCACATTTCAAAATACACAATTCAGTTTGAAAATCAGTAAGTTAGCTTTATTTATTCCCAGGTGTTTTCTGAAAATACGTTTTTTTTTTCTTAGCCTTTCTTAAGGCAAGAAGCAGTCATTCAATTTCCCTTATTCTTTTCTCTCTCCTTCATCTTTCTCCTTTCTTACCCCTTTTTCTGTTGTCATGGTTTTTTACTAAAGCATGTAGTTCTTCTTCTGTACAGAAACATTCCATGTAATCCTCAAATTAATAACTTCATCCAAATTATCTACAAAGTCATGGTTTGACAGTAATGTACCCACAATATTTCTCTAGTGCAAATTCAGCCGTACCAGTAATGTGTTAAAAAGTCATCTTTTTCTAAAGAAGCTATAGATATAATTCATCTCTTCTTGAATTCAATTTGTAAAAATTTGAGAGTTAACTTATCATATTTTAACTTGGAACATTTGCAAACCTTCTTATGTCATAGCTTCTCAGTATTAAAAAAAAAATAGGGCATATGGCAGAAAACCATACTCTGTAAAACACGACAGCTCAGGAGAAAAAAATAAAACAGCTTAAGAACAAATATTATGTCCATACACTAATAACAACATGGTGTATATTTGTACTGTATTTTTTATTTTCACCATTTAATTTGAAATTATTGGATGGTTTAAATATATAATTCTGAATGGTGGATAGATATTAAAATAATATTTAGCTTCATAAGTATTGACCTTACACATTTAGATGTCCTCCAGACAAAGAATGAACATGAAGGTATCGTGCTAGGAAAAGAATTACCGTTGTCTTCTGTGTTTCATTAAAATAGCTTTCAGGCAGATAAACAACTGTTTCCGTACGTAAGATCCAAGAAATACCATTTTATGGATGCCAAGTTCAGCGTCTTAGTGAGTTCTGGAAACTTACATAATGGAAACAGTACACACCTGCCTCTGTGTCACTCTCTCCCTGATTAAAAGTGATATGGCTAAGGACATGAAGAACCATCTCCCTCTTTTATGAATCAAATAACGTATGCTTTATAAATGTTATGTATTTATTCTTTCCTCTAATAAGGCTACACATGGGTTTAAAGCATTGAGGCCTGCGTTAGGGAGATCAGCACTAGAGGTCAGAGACATTCAGAATCCTGCAGTTTAGCATTTAGCAATGTTACTTTCTTTTTTCTTTTCTTTTTTTTCTTTTGAGATGGAGTCTTGCTCTGTCTCCCAGGCTGGAGTTTAGTGGCACAATTTTGGCTTACTGCAACCTTGGCCTCCTGGGTTCAAGCAATTGTCCTGACTCAGCCTCCCAAGTAGCTGGGATCACAAGCATGCGCCACCATGCCCAGCTAATTTTTTTTTTTGTATTTTTAGTAAAGACAGGGTTTCACCACGTTGGCCAGGCTGGTCTCGAACTCCTGACCTCAGGTGATCCGCCTGCCTCTTCCTCCCAGAGTGCTGGGATTACAGGTGTGAGCCACCGTACCTGGCCAAGGGTATTACTTTTGAGTTTTCAATAAAGGCAGTGTTACAGATTTTGCTTCATTTGAATTCTATGCAATGTTTTTGTAGTTCCTGATATCAAAGATGTCTATCAGCTTTTAAAATGTATATAGTTAAAGGATTCCTCTTGCCATCTAAACATGCATCAAGAATAAAGAATCTATACATAGATTTTACAAAAGTTATTTTATGTTACATAAATCATTCAGAAATTTCTATTCATTCATGTAAGGCAGAGGCATAGCTGATTCTGATGGTAGTCCTGCTAATCATTCAACTGCTAACTTACAGAGAGTCCAATAACCCAATGTCATATGTTGTGTTGTTGTGTTGTAAACCATTCATTTCACAATGCTGTGTATTTTTAAACTCTTTAATCACAGAGGTCAACTATAATTGCTGGCATCAATTTAGAGTCCTCCTGCTCTTTTCTTTCATAATGTTCCATTGTCGCATGCTACAGTATTTATAATAATTTGAAATTATAACTGTATGTTCATGTGTTTGATGTCTGTTTTCTCAACCTGACTGACAATTCTATTTGTTTTGTTCACCAACTTACACCTAATATTTGGACATGGTCTGGGACACATACTAAGAGCTCAAGAAAAGTGCACTGAATACTCATGGTTTATAATCTTTGAACTGAATATCTTACTGTTACTTTTTTTAAAAAAAAATCTATATTTCAAACTTATTTCTAGCATAGTCAAAAATGGTTTCTCTCAAAGGATGGATGTATAGCTAGGCAGACATACATACAGATAAAATTGATATATTCATATACACATAGAGTTCTGTTCTTAAGTTGTAATTATGTTTGAATCAACTACATATTTCATCAACTTCCCACTGCATAGAAACAGTCTGATTAGAGGATCCATTCTAATACAGAAACATACATAGATGTGTAGAGATGCTACATGAATGTTGATACTCTGGTTGTGATATTGTGCTATAGGTTTGCAAGATGTAACCATTGGTGGAAACTAGGTAAAGGGTGCAATTTATCTTTGTATTGTTTCTTGTAGCTGGGTACGAATCTACAATTATCTCAAAATAAAAAATAAAAAAGTGGTATGTGGCATTTGTGTAAAAATTGAACCAGACGTAGAAAATGAGGTGTAAAACAACTCTTTTTATTATTACTTTAGCATTAGTGACATTCCATATTTATCATTTGCACATTTAAATAGTAGGGCCAGGCTGGTATAAAGCCTTTTTACCGTCCGGGAGGGAGGTGGGGGGTCAGCCCCCCGCCCGGCCAGCCGCCCCGTCCGGGAGGGAGGTGGGGGGGTCAGCCCCCCGCCTGGCCAGCAGTGCTGTCCGGGAGGGAGGTGGGGGGGTCAGCCCCCCGCCCGGCCAGCCGTGCTGTCCGGGAGGGAGGTGGGGGGGTCAGACCCCCGCCCGGCCAGCCGCCCCGTCCGGGAGGTGAGGGGCGCCTCTGCCCGGCTGCCCCTACTGGGAAGTGAGGAGCCCCTCTGCCCGGCCAGCCGCCCCGTCCGGGAGGGAGGTGGGGGGGTCAGCCCCCCGCCTGGCCAGCCGTGCTGTCCGGGAGGGAGGTGGGGGTGTCAGCCCTCCGCCCGGCCAGCCACCCCGTCCGGGAGGGAAGTGGGGGGGTCAGACCCCCGCCCGGCCAGCCGCCCCGTCCGGGAGGTGAGGGGCGCCTCTGCCCGGCTGCCCCTACTGGGAAGTGAGGAGCCCCTCAGCCCGGCCAGCCACCCCGTCCGGGAGGGAGGTGGGGGGGTCAGCCCCCCGCCCGGCCAGCCGCCCCGTCCGGGAGGGAGGTGGGGGCGGTCAGCCCCCCAACCCGGCCAGCCGCCCCGTCCGGGAGGTGAGGGGCGCCTCTGCCCGGCGGCCCTTACTGGGAGGTGAGGAGCCCCTCTGCCCGGCCACCACCCCGTCTGGGAGGTGTGCCCAACGGCTCATTGAGAACGGGCCAGGATGACAATGGCGGTTTTGTGGAATGGAAAGGGGGGAAAGGCGGGGAAAAGATTGAGAAATCGGATGGTTGCCGTGTCTGTGTGGAAAGAAGTAGACATGGGAGACTTTTCATTTTGTTCTGCACTAAGAAAAATTCTTCTGCCTTGGGATCCTGTTGATCTGTGACCTTACCCCCAACCCTGTGCTCTCTGAAACATGTGCTGTGTCCACTCAGGGTTAAATGGATTAAGGGTGGTGCAAGATGTGCTTTGTTAAACAGATGCTTGAAAGCAGCATGCTCGTTAAGAGTCATCACCAATCCCTAATCTCAAGTAATCAGGGACACAAACACTGCGGAAGGCCGCAGGGTCCTCTGCCTAGGAAAACCAGAGACCTTTGTTCACTTGTTTATCTGCTGACCTTCCCTCCACTATTGTCCCATGACCCTGCCAAATCCCCCTCTGTGAGAAACACCCAAGAATTATCAATAAAAAAATAAATTAAAAAAAAAATCAGTGATAATTTGTTGATATATTCATTAGTTGTCCACATTCCCTAACTCCTATATTTTTGTAAACTTTTAATTGAAGTATAACATATATACAGAAAAGTAACAAGAAGGCTTAAGTATCCAGCTTGATGAATTTTTGCAAACTGAACACATCTGTATCACCAGCACCTGGATTGTGAAATAGACCATGAAAAGCACCACAGAAGCCCTCTCATGCCGTATCTCAATCTTTACCAAGAGAACCTATCTTCTGACTCCATAGAGCTGTCTTCTTTTATCCCCAACTTTTCTATTTTTAAAAATTTCAGTATATAGAAATTTCAAAGAGTAAAGAGTAGCAAGCATTACCCATCACCTAGATGCAATATTTGTTACTATTTTGCTGAAGTCTATCTCTCTCTGTATGTACAACACGTACCATTTGAGTGTGTTATTTGCAGATGGTGATACTTTACCCATAAGTACTCCAGCATGTATCTCCAGCCGGATCAACATGGCAAAACCCACTCTCTACTAAGAATACAAAAATTAGCCAGATGTGGTGGCATGTGCCCGTAGTCCCAGCTGCTTGCGTGGCTGAGGCATAAGAATAGCTCGAACCCAGGAGGCGGAGGTTGTAGTAAGCCAAGATCCTGCCACTGCACTCCAGCTTGGGCAACAGGGAGAAACTCTGTCTCAAAATTTAAAAAAAAGAAAAAAAAGAAAAAAGAAAGAAACATTCTTCTACATAATCACAATATTTTCACACTCAGGAAATTTAATATTGATATAATCTTATTATTTATAAAAATTCCATAACCAGATATCCCCAATTGATTCAATTGCATCTATCATAATGTTTTTGACACAAGATTTAATTCGGGATTATGCATTGCCTTTGGCCCAATATCTGTTTTTCCTTTTCTCTTGTTCTATCTCTTAGTTTGAAAACTTTTTCCAGCCTTTTAAAAAATATTTAATGACACAGAAGTGTTTTTTTTGTTTGTTTGTTTGTTTTAGGCGGAGTCTCACTCTGTCGCCCAGGCTGGGGTGCGGTGGCGCCATCTTGGCTCACTGCAGGCTCCACCTCCCGGGTTCCCGCCATTCTCCTGCCTCAGCCTCCCGAGTAGCTGGGACTACAGGCGCCGCCACCACTCCCGGCTAATTTTTTTTTGTATTTTTAGTAGAGATGGTGTTTCACCGGTTAGCCAGGATGGTCTCGATCTCCTGACCTCGTGATCCGCCTGCATCGGCCTCCCAAAGTGCTGGGATTACAGGCGTGAGCCCCCGCGCCCGGCCGACACAGAGGTTTTTAAGCAGTCCAGGCCAATTGTTTCATAGATAGATGCCTCATACATATTTATGTCTCATAGAAAAAGTTACAAATGTCAACTCATTGCTATTTATGATGTTTCTTTATTCTTTCTTGCACTTACATGGTTCAGCATCTGGCCCGTAGGAGGTACCAAATGGTGATAAGTTCATTATACTATCAGTTTAAAATCTTGTCTACCAGCTCTGTGACAAACTGTACAAATTTGAGTAAGCCTGTTAGCCCCTTTAGACCTAAATATCTCATCTTTGAGTAAATTGACTGGATTATCTTCCATTGATAAAATTGTGTTATTTATTTAAACATTGTATTTGGCCATGTTACCATATTTGAAGTTAGTATTACTACCATGGAATGGAAAATTATATAAATATTTCATCATCTAGTATTCTGAATAGAGTATCAACTAATTGTACAATCTTATGAATGGTTACCAAAGAATTTCAGAACATTCTGTGTAGAAAATATAGTATAAAAAGTCTTTGCAATTGCTCTAATTTAGACTTCCAAGTTGTTAAAACATCTTTTGAAGACCTAGGTGGCCTCACTGCTAGGTATACTCTCTTTATTCACTTTATCTGTTGCATCCTTTATAGCCTACTTGGGAACTTTTTTTCCTTGAGCTCCCAGCATAAGAGAGGCTACTGGGGTGGCAGTTAAACCCATATGTATAATTTTGCCCTGTATTTCATTTCATAAATATATAAGTCTTTTTCTGTATTCTTCAAGACACTGAATTTTCTGCATGATATTTAGGCCTTAACAAGTTATGGTAGTTTAGAAAAAGATATTTAAAAAACATTGTATCTTGTTGTGTACATTAGTACTGTTACAAAGGTTAATACATATTTTTTTAATATGCTGAATTAGCCCTTGGGTCTTCTCACTTAACAATTTTGACAAGGTTTTATGGAAGTTACCCTGACACTTCCATTAGTTATTGGACAACTGGACCTTCTTTTCTAATTGTCTTCCAAAAAAGGGGACATGATGTTTCTCTGCCGCATTAACTTTGTTGTTTCCTGTAAAACTTAGCAGGCAAAAATCTGAGCTTGTAAATGAGAGACTTGTCTTCGTCTTGATCAGAGACATGAAATTTGCAATTTAAATGAGAAAAAATAATGAACTTAATGCATACCTTGAAAGAAGTGTTGTAATGTGCCAATTTGGTTCTCATAAAGTTGATTCTACACATCCCTATGAAGGTATTGATTGTGTCCATGTAGTAAAGCTGAGGGTGCCGTGAACTCCTCAGTGACTTGGCATTTCATCGTTACAGACAATCAGCCTTCCAAGCACTTGGCTTAACATACCTCCAGCCCCTAAATACATGACGAAGTCAGTGGCAGAATGGCTGTGCAAGTAGTCTGGCTCTTAACCTTAATGCTAGCCTTGGTCTTATGAAATCTTGTTATTAAGAAAACCTCATGGCTATATACAGTTAAAAATGAATGTCACTGTGAAATCTCTACTTTTAAGGAGTTATCTGGCCTCCATTGGTAGTATTTGCCTACTCATATTTGTCAAGTTATTCTTTGAAAACTAGCAGGAAGAATAGGAAATAAGAAGTCTGATTTGAAATCTTGGTCTTCCTTTTCTTATTTCCTTTACCCCAGAGACCCAGAAAATGGAGCTAGCTACATTTCTCACACTTACTGTCATAGTTACATGTTTATATTCTATTAGTTGTAATTATTTTTCACCTATCCTCTCATTAGAATGTTATACCTATAGAGCAGATACCATTCCAGTTTTAATTTTTTGCCCCGACTCCTAGTAAGTACGTGACCTATTACAGGGAACTTAAAACAAACAAAAAGTCTGCTGAGTCTGGGATGTTTTAAGGATCGAAGGAACATGTTGGTCCAATTTGCCTTCACAGAGGGTTACCTCTGCTTTCTACCGAATGTGAATTGCTCCCATGTGATTTTGAAGAATTCCAGTCTACCTCAGGGAAGGACCACATGTAATGCCAGAGTCTGCAAACTTGGCAGCTTTTACCCTCTCTCATCTGTGGGATTGTTTTGTCCTGGGTTTAGATAGCTAAGTGTCTGTAAAAAGATTCTTTTTGTCATTAAGGAGCAACAGGAAATGGAGAGCAGCAGTGACTCCATTTCCAGTGTCTAAAGAAGAAGACTTAAGCACAAAGTAAGGACTTTCCCTCTCCACTTGTTTAATATAATGCTCTGATTGCATCCACACGTATGCAAATGGAAACATTCAGATTCCAGCTCCTAAGGACATGTGAATAAATGAAATATGTGTCCGTGTTCTTATTTGCTGAGTGAATTTATGAACAAGTCAATAGGCTGTTACAGATAAAGTGATTATTTAACATTGTGTTAAAAACTTCACTTGGAAACTTGGATTATTTCTTAATATTTATAATTGGCTATCTTAGCCAATTATCTTAGATACCTATGATTAAAATAGCCCTGTTTGAATTTTTGTCTTCAAATTTGTCAAGTTTTAGTAAGCATGTGTCATTATCTACCAGACCACCTCTAAATTAAAATAAAAAGAGATAATCAGAATACTGACTTGCCAAGTTGTTTGTGAATCACACTTACCAGGTACCAGATTTGTAGTTAAACTCCTCCCAGAATTTTTCCATTAGTGTTATAGAAATTTCACATGCTAAATACAATGCAAGTATATACTGTTAAAATTTTCAGAATATCGTTTCTGAAAATTACTTTGCTCCCTGCAAATCCACCCTACTCACCTGTATCATTTGAGTGAAAACTTTTCTGTGTAACTGTGACTGAGCAGTTAAACCAGAAACCTGCTTTAGGTAAGGACTGCCTTGATGTTTGCAATTTTTCCCACTTTTTTCTTTTCCTTTCTTTTTTTATTTTTTCATTTTAAAGATAAAGGTCACTCTAAGAAGGTAGTTCCTGAGTTAAAAGTGTTCCATAGGGTTGGGGATTACAATAGAAACAGACACCGTTCCCCACCAAGGGGGCAGGAGTTGAGCATGAGCCTCCCCACTGTGGTCGTCCTGGGGTCTCTGGGGGGTGGGATGGCATCTGACAGTGATGGGCTTTTCTTGATGGCTTCCTTTCTTTGTACCTAACTCTGGTCCATAAATAGAGCATCACATCATGCTCCCAGACTGACACCGGGGAAGCTTCATAAATCAGCAAGTGAGTGTTCCGGCATGATCCTTTGGCCACTGCCTTCCCTCCAGAGCTGACACCTGTCACCTTTTAAAGAGTGTACATTCTCTGTCACTGTAGCTGATTCCTGTCTTTTCTTTATTCATTCTCATATGCTGCCTAGGTGGTATTATCTGGGTGGCTGCCCATATATTATTTAAATCATTACCAGTATGGCCTAGGTAGGTTTTTAATTATGCCTAAAAACTTGATAGTTCCAGATAGTTATTGGGTATACAACTAAGAATATAATACAAAATGCATTTTATTTTTAAAAGAACATACATATGTGTTTAACAGATCTAATTATATATATATTTATAATCAACAATAGAATATTGCATTTAGGTGGCTTATAAATAATACCTTAAAGCACTTAAAATGATAAGAATTCTTAAGAATCTGTAAGAATCTGAGAGTTAAGGAAAGTGCTTTGAATATCCTTAGACTGTTACCTTTTCCAATAAGTCAGTAAGCATTGGTGATTTGTTAATATTATAAAATACGTATCTTCTCTGTGGCACACGTCACTTTATTGGAGAAACATATGTGACTCAACTCAACTGTTATCTGGTCCTATTTTGCCCTAATTATGGTTTCTATTTAAATGGCATTATAGAATCGCTTAGCTTTTAAAGAGGGGCAGTGGAAAAGATCTGTAAAACTTCAGCAAGTCTATAATCTACATGAGCAGAAATTTACCTCTCTTAAATGTCTACATATTAATGACATTAAAAATAAAATAATCGACCCATGTTGGGGATTTCTGTGCTTTCCCCAAATGAATGTTTAAAATTTTATTTTGAATTCTATTAAAGTGAATAATGACCACAAGGTGTTTGTAATTGGGGAGATAGTAAGTGCAAAATACAAGCAGAGGGTGCTTAAAAAGAACAAAAAAAGTCTGTTTCTTATTGATTGGCCTGTGGTGGGATAAATGTGTGGCTTCTGCCTTTAATGGAAGCTGATTGTTCAGGGATGTGCCGGTGAGACTGGTCGATTCTTGAGCTGTTGTTTACTGGGAAGGACAATATGAATTTTCTAGAGGGATGATTGGTGGGATGTCAAGGCTGTCACCCTTTTCTCCTCGTCACTGACAGACAGCCCGGTGACAATTACCAGTGATGGGACATTGCCTGCACTGGCATATACACTAGAGGATATAACTGGCAAACAACAAGAGAGGAAAGCACTCCTGGAAAAAAGATATAATCAGCAGTTGTCAGGACTGGTTACATATCTGATGTCTGCATAACAGGGCCAAGGCACATTAGCTTTACCACTGGGGTAACATGCAGCCTGCTTCGTCCTGCTTAGAAAACTGATCTTAGAAATTTTGGGAAGTTTAGAGGATAACAAGAATTGTTGGCATTCTTTCTACTTGACAGTTAATATAAGAAAAAAAGTATTTTACTTATTTTTTCTAATTAAAATAAACTTTGGGAAATTCAAATGGACTGGAAAGTAGATATTTGTATTCTTTACAGAAATAGTTATATTTGTGGTATGTTTCCTCATGAGTTAACTTTTATGACTTTTCTTGCCAGGCTTCTGTTATTGGCAAAAGTCCAAATGGACACTAATAAGTTGTGTTGTACAGGTATCAGAATGAGAGACTCAATTCCATAATTTTGCCAGAGAAGCATCATTTAAATGGTGGAGTATGTTCTATGCTAGGTAGGTAGTACACAGACATATCCACCAGATTTTCTATAAAGATTCTTCTGTCAGTCTCATGCTGTCTATTTCCTTCCGTTCCATTGCTTCGGAATTTCAAATAAGTTTAAAGAAAAAGATCAGCATTTCCAAAGCCTACCTTAATGTGTAGAGAAACTAATACCTAAATTAGACCACCTGGAATAAAAGAGCCGTCAAGTAGCTGTATTTATTTCTCAGCAAGAGACTATTCTTTGTGTTAATTTACAAATGTAACTTATTTAATTAATCATGTTTAGGCTAATCACCTCTTAGAGTCAATGTATTCTGCTGGAAGTTTACTGTTTGGAAAAATTCACAATAAGTATAGTTTTATACAGTCAAATTTACATATTTTTGTTCTGTAGGAATTAGTCATCTCTTTCCACCCAGGGTTTTCTTAACATCAAAATGAAAATGTCTCCGCATGCTCAGGTAAGAAGATTTTTGTCAGTTTCCCACCAAAATATGGACTGGGAACACCTTGTAAGCTTCTACTCAAATGCCTAATGAGGATTACTTTTTTCATAATTGGTCACTGTAGAGATGAAAATAATTGGCTACCTAATGTTGGTTATCTCCTATCTGTGTGGCATCCATGACTTACATCAGATGTATTTCTTTTTTTGTGAGAATTATTTTCTTAAATGTCTTTTCTGATTTTTTTTTAAAAATGTGTTAATTACAGAATTTGGCAAACATTATAAAGTGCAAATAACGGTATGAAAATCATGCATTATTCTACCATTCAGAGGAGTGCATTGTTAACATTTTAGTATTTTTTCCATTTGGCTTTTGTTTGAAGATTTTAACTGTTTACATTTGTGTATGTTCTGTTGAGTGTTTTCAGTGATGCCATTTTTCATCTTGAATCAATATATAGACAAGTAGTGTGATTTTGGTAGTGTCCTTTTATTTTAAATAAGTAGGTTTTAATACTGCTGAGTGATTACATATGGAGGTTATTTCTGGTTGGGCTTATAAGATTCCATATAAAAGTTATAATTAATTTCCTTCCTTAAACCAAGGGCTAATTGATTTTCCATTGCACTCATTAAAAATAGATACTTAGCTTTTCAGAAGATTGTCTCAGAAACCCAAGGCAGGGCCCAGGCCCTCTGGGATGCCATCAACTGACCATTCCATCAGTCCTAGAATTGTGACCCTCCTACTTGTCAGAACTGAAGTATTTATCCCATTTCCCAGCAGATAAACATTTGCAAGGCAAATAATAAATTAGCCATTAATCAGAAGAATGTTTGCATTCGATGAACTCTGAATGGAGTGGAGATGTCAGGTAGATAGACAAGGTAAATCAACATGGCAGAATCAATCACAAGGAAGAGCCAGCCATAATTTAGAAAGCATTGACCCAAATATTTAACGACTTTGGAAGGTAAGAACATTTTGTAAAGGAAGAAAGCTATTTAGAAAAAGGTGTGGGTAGATTTTAATAATAGATAGCAATTAAGTTTTAAACATTTAAGGCTTCAGCCTAATGATAGACATTTGGAAGTTTGATTTGAAAAAAGAGACACTGTCAAATATTTATTTTTAAAGGCCCGTGTGTTCAAATAATTTTTTCTTTCCCAGGAGTGCTCTCATGAAATGTACCCACATTATAATTTTTTTTCAAAAAAACAATTTAGCAAGTATATTGTTTTAAAAGCAAGAAGTGACCTTGTTATGTTGGTGTTCTTTGATTCCTAATTGTGTTTGCCCCTTCATGTGTATGATGCAAAGACTTTCAGATTGAGAGTCTGAAAGTCCCATGTGTTGAGCTTTGCTTGGCCACTTAATAATCATGTGGTCCTGGGGAAGTAACTTAACCTTTTATGACCCGCAATTTCCTCATTTGTAAAATAGGTCTTGGCACCATTCATTTTTTTACGTAGAAGACATATGTGTGTTGTATAAATTTATTCTAAGGCATTATTCATATTTTAAAATTCTTAAAAAAATCAGTTATTGTTACATATCTTGTTCTCATGTCTAATCAGTTAGTGCATATCTTGTTTCTGAAAATGTTATACCTAAAGGGATTAAAAGGCTCAGTGGTTATAAAAAACAATATTATTTCTCCTAATTCTCATGAGGTTAGAAACTACAACCTTTGTTTTCTTAGAACTGACCATCAGGGAAATTGCTTTTGACTCCAAACACCTACCATCTGGCATATCCTATCTTCTCATTATAATATGTGATGCCTAAATTTGTGAGACATCCTGGACTCTCCACATGTGTGTTTTTCATTTCTTGACCCCAACGTAGAAGAAAGGATGGAAGTAAATGGAATAAACATAATTCTCACCGTTGCTTTCCTAGTTCTTCATTTCTCACCTACTCACTTTCTTCCCATGAGTACAATTCTATCCCCCAGTTAGGTTGTGCAGATGAGGTATCTTTTCAAGTAATGACACCTTTAAACCAAAACATTAACTGAGTCCTGGGTGTCCCCCTCCCCATAGCTTTGCTTGACTAAGAAAATTCTTCTAATCCGAAATTTTAAATGAAAACATGTAATGTTGATTAACATTGCCTGAAGCACAGAGTACGATTAAAATGTTTTGAGATTTTAGAATATATAAATCACTCATGCAAAAAAAAAAGAGTTTTCTTTATACAATCTAGAAACAATTATATTAGCCCGTATTAATAGGCTTCAAATGAAAAACATTGAAGCCAATACATTTCAACTGGGTGTTCATGCTACTTGCTGTGGGGTTTTTTAAAAATTTATTTCTAGTTAATACCCCTTATCCCCATGCCATCTTTGTCTTTCTGTCTTAGCAGGTAACTTTAACCTAAATTTCCTGAAGAAATAGGAAGTTATTGTATGTGAATTATTTATTGCTTACCTCAAAATTTCTCCAAATCTTCATTTATCATTTCCTATTTCTGTTCTGATACTCATGTCTGTGACTAACAAACCTATCTGCTTATGTTTATGATTTTCATTTACTCCAGTCGAAACCTGTCAAATAGCTACTTTTTCAGTCTCATTCTTTATTAATTCTTCCTTACAATATAAGCATACCCAGTTCTCCTCCATCTTAAACACAGGAGAGTATAGATAAAAAGAAAAATTCTATAAGATTTCATGGAGAAAAGGAATTATGTTTAGCTTTGGATTTCAAAAAGGCTTCATAAAAGAAATGGCATTTAAAAATATCCTGAAACACTAATATTATAAAGCCTGTTTTAACATAAATACTACTTACTGTCACCATACGGTTTTTGTTTTTAAAGTTGCTCACTTCTAATACCTGAGGCTACAATAAGGCACATAATCTTCCTAACAGTTTCAATTTATAACTCATATTTTTCATGACAACCCTGTCAGGTAAGTTGTATTACTATTCTCATTCTGCCGATGTGGAAACTGAGTCAAAGAAAGATTAAACAACCTACCTGAAACTATATATTTAGTAGTAATTGTTAGAACCAGAGTTTGTACCTGGTTGGCTCCAGGTTCTGTGCCTGGCCACTATTCTTATTGCTTCTCCACATAGTACTTGCATATATGATTAACCATGAAGCTGTTGGCTTTAGAAGTCTTGCAAATCCATTTTCAGAATTAGTTTGGGTTTTTGGGTTTTTTCGGGGTTTTATAGAGCATCAATAGGGAAATAGCATGAAATAGGAACAGAAATGTAGATTGGAATGATAATGTAGAGGTCCTTAAATTCTAGACTGAAGAATTCTGACTTAATTTAATTGGCACACGATGAGGAATCGCTCAAAATTTTGAACATGAAGTGATATTGTTGGATCTACGTGTTAGCAACAGTGGACAGTTGGAGGCAGGAAGTGTGTGAAATGGATAATCATTTAGAAGCTATTGCAACCGTGTGGGTGAGAAACCAGGAAGCCTAAATCAGGAAGGTGACTGGAAAGGAGATACATTTGTGAGAATGGTTTAGGTAGCATTTACAGGATTGGCCAAGCTGGGATAGTCATAGATCAAGGCAAGCAGGGAGAGAGGTGACTCCAAGATTTTAAATCATAACTTAGAAGATAAGGAGCTGCTATCTGAACACTGATCAAATCAGCCTGAATATTTATTAATAATTTGGGAAATATCTGCCTTGGTACATGTTGACTTTGATATATTAATGGAAATTTCAGATAACGTTTTGGAAACGTCATTCTGTAAGTAGGGAGAAAAATCAGAGACAGAAGTATAATTTTGGAAGTATCTAGCCAAAGGAAGTTGAAACCATTTGAGTAGATGGAATAATGAAAGAATGAAGTATGGAAGCTGAGGTGGAGAAAGCCTGAAAAATTAGTCTGTGGTAGGACCTCCATTAAATCAGCAAATAGCAGGAACAGAAAGAATGAGCTGGGTAAGAAGAGCTCCAAAAGATTGAGGGAGAACTAGAATAAGGAAGAATCATAAACAATAAAAGGAAAGGGAATTCTAAGAAGCAAGAGAGGGTCAAAATTCATTTACTTCAGAGCTAATTGAGAAAAAAAAGGTGTTTAATTCATCCAAAATCTCTAAAGAAAACCTTCTGTTGGCCATTATTACAGATAACCTTTAACAATGATAAATGTACAGTAACTACTTACATATGAATGAGTCAGTGAAAATACTCGGACGGATTTTTCCCTTTCGGTGCATTCAGGGTCTGTGTGGAAGAATTAATGCTTTCAGAATATTTGTTTGTAAACACACCATCTCTAAAGAAAATTTTAGGGTTTCTATTGATTTTTTGATCAGGTGTTCACATATGTTTAAAATTATAATGGAAGTCAATAGATAAACGTGACTTGGTGTACAATATTTACCTATACATGGCATTCTAGAAGCATATATCATTAGAAAGATCACAACATAGTTTGTTCCATTTTATGAATTGATTCTTATTTATCTCTGCTGCCAAAAACTTGTGGATCTCACTAGAGCCACACATGCTTAAACTTAAAAAACAAAAATATTTTAGATTAGTGAAATCCAAAATTTACATTTTACATTTTTTAGGAATAAACTGCATTATATTAAAACTGTATCACTGGTTTGCTTGCTAGATCAGAATAAATTTTGATCCAGAAGTCTGTGACCTCTTGTTTGGATCAAGGGTTGTTTCTTATATAAAACTTACAAGTTCAATACTGAGACTGAACAAAGCCAGGAAACAAAAATATAAATTTGATATGGTCTGTTTGTAGAAAAGACAATAAAAATGTTGAGTACTTATTTACAAAGCATGTCTTCAAATTTTTCTTTAAAGAATCTGTAGGTAATCTGTATTGTGGATTCATTAAGTTTTTGACTTAAAAAAATGGAAAAAACACAAAAGTAGGAAAAAGAGATTTCTAAAAGGTTATTGTTACCACTGGTTACTTGTAAACCTACAGTTCACTTTGCACTAAAACTTTGGATATGTCTCATTGATTAGAATTTTATAATATAAAAATGCAGCCAAAATATTTTGAGTTTTGCATTTTAACAAAATTTCAAGTCCAAAACCTCTGAAGATGTTTTTTCTCATTGAACTAGGCAAGTCGGAAACATACTCTTAATCCTGTCAATGGTTCTGAGAGCCTCTCTGCTTTAAATATATGATAATACTTTGTTTCATGTCATCTTATTATTGGTAGTACAGTCATCCCTCAGCATCTGTGAGAGATTGCTTCCAGGACCTCCAGGGGATATCAACATCCATGGAGGCTCAAGTCTCTTCTTTAAAAAAAGACTTTAAAAGTACTGTTTGCATACAATCTTGTGCATCCTCCTTCATACTTTAAATTATTTCTAAATCACTTATAATATCTAATGTAATATAAATGCTATGTAACTGGTTGTTATACTATATTTTTTTATTTGTATTACCTTTAATTGTTGTATGGCTATTCTTAAATTTTTTGCCAAATATTTTTATCTGAGCTTGATTGAATCCACAGATGGGGGCCATTGGATATGGAGAGCCAACTGTGGTTTACAGTCTAGTTTTCTATTTTTCTAGTTAAATATATAAGTAGAAAATTAAATTTTTAATCAATAGGCAAAAGAGAGCAAGGCCATATACTTTACAAAGACCATGAATGATTTGTGAAGTAGATCTCTTTCCCCCTTCATGTTTTCCAATAAGTCAACACAAATCTCTCTTCCATTTATAATTATGTACGTATATGTGCTAAATAAATATTATGCTTCCCATTCATACTTCTGCAACTCCTTCATTATTTTCTATTTCCTTCATTCAGCTAATATTTTTCTGAATATTTATGTGTCTAGAAGTGTTTAGGTTCAAAGAGAGAGCAGTAGACAATAAAGACAAAGCCCTGTCTCTACTGAACTTCCTGGGGAAAGAGCTCGATTGAAGGCAAATCTATAAACAACATAAAATTTAAGATTAAGTAGACAGTAAAGACAACATCACAGAAGATAAGGGGTAGAACATGCTGTTGAGGTATGGGCGCGCTACAAGGTAGGATAGATGAAGACAATGGAGAAGAGCAATGTGTTGCATACTATTTCCATGCCATATAATCCAGATTTATCTTACCCCTCCATTGATCGTTTTGCCCTGTAGATCTGAAGTTTCCAATGCACAAAGATACAGTGGCAGAATACCTCAAATCTCTCTCAAATCTCTGCCATTTAGAACTTTTTGTTGATGCCTAGATGGTTGGCTTTGTTTCTTAAAGGGAAAAAGTACTCTTTCAGTGTGTTTGCTCTCAACTCATGCTCAACAGCAATGATCTCAAATCTCCAACACTTGCTCATCAAAAAATATATGCTCGCGAATAGATTTCAGTGCTTCAGATTAATGAAAAAATACCCATCCTTACTAAACAGGTGAGAATGCAAGCTCAAGAGAGCCAGCAAAGAGAACATTTTAAAAAATGTTAGGCACTAATAACACTTTGAATAAGTGTCATTTTTTGAAATAAATTTTATACCCCCCACAGTGTGTATATAATTATATATTGCCATGTACATATTTTAAAAAATAATTTACATAGGACATATTTGACTCAGATTGCACTTAAATATTCTCTTAAATATACTCCTGAAGACATTCTTATTTTTAGTGCTTTACAGAAATATTTTGAAAATAGGAAGGCTACTATTAGTAAGAGCAAATTGAATTTGAGTTTGATTTGTTAAGAAATACTTACGCTGTTCTCTCTAGTCTTAGTGTGGTTTCAGCATTAGTCTTACTCGAGGCAGTTGAATACTGATATGATTGCAGATAACTTGGCAATCTGCTAATGGTTCCAGGAGGTTCATTTTGATGTATTTAGTGAATCTTAGGTAGGTAGGTATGTACTAACATATCATAGTATGTGGTACTTACTATATATATTCCTCTTATTTACAGCTAGCTACAAAATATTGCTTAGAAACACTGAAAATGAAAGGCTATTTTTTTTTAAAAATCTGTCTTTTCCTAATAAAAATTCAAGAGCTTTAATATTTAGTAACTGCCTTTAGGTTTAGTTTGTCAGTGCCCTTCACGCGCTTAATAATAGGCTTCAAAACTCCTGGTCACTTGCTAATAACTCTTCACTTCTCGGGAGATTGAATTGCTATAGGCCAGTTTTCCTAATAAGCCTGCAAAAAAAAAAAAGTTAAATTGAAGACTCATGTACGTATTTCCTTTTCAGCTATTTTTTATACATTGCCATGCAAATATATTTCATTTTTTCATATAGCTCATGAATGTGCATGAATACATACATATGCACTTAACAAGAATTTTGTTTTGAAAAAAAATACTGTGGTATATGAGAAAAATTGTAATATTTTAAATGAAGATATTAGTACCAGAGAAATAGCTAATCAAATGTAAGAGGCAAGAAAAAAAAGGCCACACATTAAACTTGTGCATCATCAAGATTTAAAAAATTAATAACATTAAAAACAGTTGGTTAACATTCTTTTCTTTTGCTATCTATGTCCCGTTTCTTTTAAACCTTGAATGTAACATATAACATTTAATCTCCTATAAAATTGTAATTATTTTCCACCAAAACACAAATGAGTAAACATAAACAAAACAGAAACAAAGATTGGCCTTTATGGAGGAATTACATGTGACTACAAGAAGAGATTTTAAACAACTGCTAGGGTGCGGTTAAACTGTCTCTTACAAGTTGCGGTTCTGGATGTACTCTGTTAAGGAGATAGTTTCATGAACAGGAGCCCGTTTGTAATTAGATAAGGAAAACTGACAGCAGCAGTTGAGTTAGTGGCTCCCATGGAATGACAGGTATTGACTGAACCCTGGGCTGTGTTTGAGATGGGGAGGGAGTCGATAAAAGCATCAGGGCTTGTTTGGAGTAACACTGCCAGCAATGCTTTAATTTGCCGCCTGGAAAAGAGCCACAGACATTCTTCCCCCATGTTTAGTGTTGATGAGATCTAACACTTACATTTAATCTTCTGTTTACCACTAAAAACACTTGTAAGTGGTATATGGCACCACAAAGAGGAAATAGAACAGGGAAGCACATTTTGTATAAATTCTATGTTGCAGCCCAAGTCTAGAAAAAAACACCTCATTTGAATCATTGAATCAAGTGTGGAAGGAAAAGTTTAACAACAACAAAAAATCAGTTTAGAACAAATGTTTTAACTGATTTTGAAGAAGAGATAGGGAGTAGAAAATGTTTCTAAACTACCTTTTGAATTCTCTCTCTCTCTCTCTCTCTCTCTCTCTATATATATATATATGTATTTTTTTTTTTTTTTTTTTGAGACAGAGTCTCACTGTGTCGCCCTGGCTAGAGTGCAGTGGGATGATCTCGGCTCACTGCAACCTTCACCTCCTGGGTTCAAGCGATTCTCCTGCCTCAGTCTCCCAAGTAGCTGGGACTACACAAATTCTTTATCTATTTTTCTATATACCATATTGGTTTAATGAAAAAAAGACTGTAAATGGAAAAGCTGTGATGTTCATAGACACATTAGGGATGTATTATTATCTCTACATAATTTAAAGATTCAATTTTGTACTCTGTTTAAAAGCAAATGTATTCTTATTAAATACTTCCCAGATATTTTTGAAATGTCTTACATAAAAACATATGTATATATAAATTCTATGATAAAATATTAATGTATAGTTTTATATGTGGTATACACTTTGACCCATAATATCTACCCATAAAAATCCACAAAAGCACCCAGATTTTAATACTGACCATTAGAGAACTCAAGCAAAATGATTTTTGAAAAAGAGTTACTTCTGGACCAGATCCAACCTAGCTGCATTTAACTTGCTGCCAAACTCAACAGACACCATTATAAAATTTGCACCTACTTATTATTACAAATTCAAGTAATCCCCTAACTGTGACCTTCAGTGCCTAATTAAATAAGGGCAGCATTTAAAAATACTAGATGACTTCAATCTTACTTAGTTGCCAGTGCTTAATGCTTCCCACCTGTTGTAACACAGAAAATGCCCAAGGTAGACTGCAATGCCTTTGGTTTTGCCAGGAAATTTCAAAAGCTTAGGGTTTTGTAGTGAATCCACACTAAACTCCTGTTAGGCTCAATTAGATGATGTACTGAGATTATCTGACTTGTTGTGGAGATAATTACTGTACCAGGGATGAGAGGCCACCCATGCTTCCAGGGGAAGCTCATTGAGGAGGCTCTTTCCCTATTTCCATATATATTCCAAAGCTGTGTGTGTCTGTGGAAAATGAATTCACCAGTGACTGAGAATACGGCTCTGAATTTATTAAAATAGGACTTGCTGTGCTGAAAGAATTTTATTTCGGTATATAATTTTAAGCATGGAAAATTAAAGAAAATCAAGAGATAAGTATAATAGCTAGTACTGTCTCACACACGCCTAGGATCCCTTAGATGTGTAAAATGTATCCCCCCTTCTAAAGTTTCTGCAGAAATTAAAGAGCAGAGGAATTAGGATTTAACCAAATAAAATGTTTCGCTTGAAAATGCATTAATGAATACTGTAACTAAAAGAAAATGATGCTCAATATTCTTGCTTTTAGTGTTTTTCAGAATGTATCAATAATGTTGGATCGCATTATTTTAGTATATGTAAATTTTCAAATATTTAATTATAGTGAAAATATTTTAAAATGCGAAGTCTCATATCAATTACGTAACATATTTTTGCACCAAGTCCAATAAACTTGATTCAGTCAGCCATTACATAAGTAGGGACAACTGTTAACATCTCTCTTACTGGTACAATGATTGATTGTAGTTAGGATAACCCTGAGTACTTCACGTTTCACAAAATCAGTATGATTTTAGCTATATCTATCCTACTGTTATGAAAGTTTTTAGTCACCTTCTGATATTTTGTAGATGGTTATTTCTTTGTATACAGTTGTTTCATGCATAGAGCTTCATTTTATTTCTTTGCAAAGAAATATTTAATTTATATTTGTCAGCTTTTGTAACCATGATTAACAAGACTAATTGAGATTAAAGTACTGCCTATCAAAAAATTTCCAACAGTTGGGACTGAATATTTGGGCAATTCATATGAATTTATATTTATGGTGGTGGAAAAAGCCAAATAATTCAGAATTTACTTGTTCATTCAACAACTAATGTTTGAGAACCATACTTGGGGTTAAGCTGGGACAACAAAAGTATACACAAGTTCCTTTCTTAAAGGATCGCTTGTCTAGGAGGAGAGAAAGACATGTAAATAAATGATTGTAGAGTACAGTGTGATCAGCACAGTAATAGAGGCATGTGCAAGCTTGAACAGTTATTCTGAAGGAGGGAGCAATTAATTCTGTCTGAGATGGGACAGGGGAAGGATTGAATTCGAGCCCGTTCTTTTGAATAATACATGAAAGAGCACTAGTCCATCCTCCTAAATTGAGTAGTTTAGCCAAAGAGAGCTGCCAACCTATCGATCAACTGATGAGAAGACAGAACTTAGACCTAGCAGGCCTAAATGAATAGTGAGCTGACACAAGCAGGTATCAGTGCCATTTGTAGCTTTATCCCTGAAACTGCAATGAGTTGGTGCTCTCAACAATCTCTCCATAGAGACTCTGTGTTCCCACAGCTGAAGAAACTTTATACAAAGGTGTTAAGTAAAGACTGTGGAGAGATGCAGGTAACTAGGTGGATAAATGGTATTATATGAGACCTCCTGAATGCAAAAACTTTTCATAAAATACAAGTCACCAAATCTCTTTGAATGAAAATTTTATTTAAGCATTTCTGTATGTTTGGTAAGGTATTCTCCCTATCTTAGGGAATAGAAGGAATAAACAAAATGAAACAAACAAACAAAAAACCTTTACTTGATTTTGTTCTCTGCCTCAGGTCATTATAATCTACCCGGTCAGGCTCCAGACTGTCTCTGTAATTTCATACTCTGTAATTCACTGATGCTGGCTCCTGTTTTATCACTAAGCCATTAAGCTTTCTCAAAAATAAAACAAAAAACAAAAAATTGTATTTGTTCTAGCCTCCAAAGCTGAAACGTTCTTTCCTTTATCTTCTCCCCCATAAGCTTTAAAAATTTCAGGAAATCTAGAATTCCACATTCTCCAATGTTGCTGTAGGGATTACCTTCTCAACTGGACATATGCCTGGGTGGTCTATAATACTTATGGGCTGAGTTATTTCCTCACAAACTTCGAATGTTAAAATTCTAAACCCTAGTGTCTCAGAATGTAACTGGATTTGGAGACAGGGTCTTTAGAGAAGTAATTAAGTTAAAATGAGGTCATCAGGGTGGGCCCTAGACTAATGCAACGGGTGCCCTCATAAGCAGAAGAAATTAGAACACAAACACACACAGTGGAAAGACCATGTAAGGTCATAGGAATAAGATGGCCATCAAGGGCAGAGGCCTTAGAAAGAACCAACCCTGCTGACCCCTTGATCTTGAACTTCTAGGATCCAGAATTGTGAAACAATATATTTCTTTTGTGTCGGCCACCCAGAATGTGGTATTGTGTTATGGCATCCCCAGCCAACTACTACAATAGAGATGACAGGTATTGTTTGTGTATTTCATCAGTTCATTAGCATTGATGTTTTGTTCCAACTGGAGTTTCTTAATCACCTCTTGTGAACATCATACAGATTACTGTTCCCAGAGTAAGCACCAATACATTGCTGTTGAATTGATTAACTTTCTTTTCATGTTTTCAAATGATATGCCACAATTCACAAGTTGATTTGCACTGTGCTGCTTATCACATTAGCACACAGCGTCAATTTTTCTGCTGTCTTTAACCACCATATATTTCACATTAGGTTGCATATGAGCTTAGTATCTTTTCCCTTCTGATCCTGGACATCATTAGATACCATGAAACAACTGAACCTCCAGGATAAAAATATTTATAGCTCTGCTCATTGAATGAAGAGGAGCATGTTTATAAGATGGTTTTAATGAATGAAGGCTCTGGAGGTTTTCTTACTGCTGGACAACATAACCTGAATCTCCAGAGCTGGTTTTCACTAATTACAAAGTGTATGCGTTTTCTCCTTATAAATCTTGCATCAGCTTTATTTTTAAATTCTGAGATTTGTGAAATACTGGGTCTTTTAAATCAAAAATGCAAAACTAGAAATACAGTCATTCATTTACCAAAAAATTTTGAAGCAGCTATGCGTGAAGCACTGTGGGAGATAGAAAGATGAATTAGAAGTGGACTTTGCCATTAATAACTTTACATTATGATAAAGGGAATATTATATGCAAAAAAGGAATTATGAGTGAGTGGAAAAATATATGATCCAGAAGTGATGCAGACAGAATGTGAAGAGGTCAAAGGATCACTTCTGTTTATGGGAACCAAATAATGACTTCTGGAAAGTTGGTGATTGATTTTAGCATGCCTAAAACAGAGGATGGGGTTTGGGTTTGCACATCAGGGAGATAGAAGAGAGAAAATTTCAGGATGGTGGGACAATGTGAGCAAAAGGTAAGAAAATATATGTATTTTCAATCCTTATCTGGATTTAAAGAAAACATTGAAATAAGTTTGCTTAACATTAGTTAATCCTTCAGTGTTAGCTTTAAGAAATTATAGGAAGTAAAAATACATCTACTGTTTCTGAGTATGGGTTTCACATGAAAATGTGCTGCGTCTTTTATGTATACAATGAATTATGAAGAAAAGCTTTGGATAATATTTCAGGACCTATAATTGGACAAGTAAGACTGAGATGATATAATGCTTATTTTTGCATCCTCAGATTCTAGCATCATAGATGGCATGTAGTAGCTTACAGAACTTCTTGATGAATTCGTTGTAATTTCAGCTTGAAATAGCTAAGTAGCCATAGAAATAGAGTATAATGCATGGAGCAGATATCTGAAAACAGATTTGGCAAAATTTGACAAGTCTCTGGGTTCAGCGCTGCCATAAACAGAATTGTCAAATATGATTTTAAGGCTTGAAGCTGGGATGAGAGGTAGAATGATAGTTCCATCAAAAATGAGGACAGGAGTCAGTTTATTGAAAGATAATGACTTCATTTGGTGATCTGCTGTTGGAAATATAGGATAGTGGATAGGCATCTTAGATTCAGATATAGATAAAGTGGAGAATTATCTCTTTGGAATGGTTGTTACAGACAGATTACTGAAGGGGAAAGTATAGAGAGTCAAAGGTGATGCTGAAGAGCAGGTTTTTAGTGAATGAGTATTTTTGAAGGAGAGAAGAAACGGAAGCATAGAAGGAAAGAAGGCAGTAGTCAGACAAATAGAAGGTACATCAAAACGTCAGTAACAAAACCACAATGTAATACCACGTTAGTCCTGCAAGAATGGCCATAATCAAAAAATCAAAAAGTAATAGATGTTGGTGTGGATGCAGTGAACAGGGAACATTGCTGGTGGGAATGTAAACTAGTACACCCATTATGGAAAACAGTGTGGAGAGTCCTTAAAGAACTAAAAGTAGAACCACCATTTGATCCGGTGATCTCACTACTGGGTGTCTACCCAGAGGAAAAGAAGTGATTATATGAAAAAGATAACTGCATGCACATGTGTATAGCAGCACACTTCACAATTACAGAAAGGTGCAACCTACCCAAATGCCCATCAATCAACGAGTGAATAAATAAACTGTGATACACACATATATATATATGTATATATATGATGGA
Source organism: Homo sapiens (assembly GCF_000001405.40). Classification (NCBI taxonomy): domain Eukaryota; kingdom Metazoa; phylum Chordata; class Mammalia; order Primates; family Hominidae; genus Homo; species Homo sapiens. The sequence goes on from NC_000003.12 coordinate 77,185,835, forward strand.
ATACTAGTCAGCCATAAAAAGGAATGAATTAATAGCATTTGCAGCAACCTGGATGAGATTGGAGATTATTGTTCTAAGTGAAGTAGCTCAGGAGCGGAAAACCAGACATCGTATGTTCTCACTCACAAGTGGTTGCTAAGCTATGAGGATGCAAAGGCATAAGAATGACACAATGGACTTTGGGAATTTAGGGGGAAAGGATGGAAAGGGGATGAAGGATAAAAGACTACAAATTGGGTGCAGTGTGTACTGCTCGGGTGATGGGTGCACCCAAATCTCACCATCACCGTGAAATAACTTGCTCATGTAACCGAACACCATCTCTTCCCAAATAACCTATGGAAATAAGTTTTTTTTTTTAAGTCAGTGTCATAGGAATAGGAGGTTAGAAGTAGACAAAAATGTTTAATGTCATGGGGAGATTAAAATGAAGTTAGTGGGGAAAGACCTTTGGTTTTGAAGACCAGAAGCTTTACTGGTGATCTTGTAAAGAGCAAATTCTATAGATTAATAACTTTAGATTCTAACTGGTAACAGAGTTAAGAAATAAATGAGAGATTATTAATAAAGTAGGAGGTGATGGTTTACAGGATCAGCAAGATGAGAAGAAAGGCCCTTTGGAATCAAGGGAGAGCATGCAGGCAAGGCTGAGGAATTGAAGTAATAATAGAAAGCTAGTCAGTGAAGCAGTACTTTAGTCAAATGCAAAAGAGATTATACGGAGCACAGAGGGCAGTCTAGGACTTTTACAAAACTAAGGATGTTGATTTTTCCCCCATATTGAGAGAATTGCTTTTAATAGTCATCTCTTTAAGTGTGTTAACAATCCTTGAAGGCTGATATTAATAATTTCATTTTAGACATCAAAACTGAGATTTTTTTTTGAGAGTAAGCAATGTGATTCCAAAGATATAACCTGGCTTTAAAACCTGCAGCCTTTCTACTATTACCATCTTGTTTTTTAATGTTTGTCCTGACTGATTAGCTAATTTTAAAAATGCTTTAACTTCCTTTGATTAGGCAATATTATTTATAGATTGAACTGGCTTGCTGAATTGTTACATGTTACGTAATGTAATATGAACCATGTCAATGTCAGCTGATTATAACTCACACTTGCGGTATTCAAGAGGCAGGAAGTGAAAGCTATAAGTTTTCTGTAATCATTGTCACAAATGTAATCGCAGCTATTGTTTCTTCTGTAAGATTCTCATTGAAGTAAATGAAAATGAAGACAAATGAAAACGAAGACATCAATAAGACTGATCCTTCATTGTAAAAAGCTAAAACAGGAAAGCAGTATCAGGATTAAATAAGACATCTATATTAAAATATTTCTTCTATGAAGTGGATAGGTTAGAAGAATATGAAATTATTATTAGATCCTCTTAAGCTAACTTATCTATCTAGATTAACTTGAAACTGGCCATTCAGCAAAGTGCAAACTATTAATAACACATTCAGGTTAAAATGAAATATACCTAAGATTTGTTTTTGCCATTCTTAGGCATCCAAAAGTTCTGATTGGTATCCCAAAGGCCCAACATCCCAATTGTACCAAAACTTTGAATACAGTTCAAAATAAGTACACTTAAAATTAGCAAAGTCTATGTCAAAACAGTAAAATATCCTTATATTTATGATGATTGCTTTTTATCTCTATAGTTGTTTTTGGTCTCGTTTTTACAGGCAGGTGAATATAATGACTTGTTGCACTTATAAAATACTTCAGTCCCACTGCAGAATCTGTGGATCATCCTTACAGTCGCTGCCTCATGAGCAATGCTACATATTAGTATTTTTTGAAAAGACTTTAGGCAATCTCTTCAATTTTATTTATTTTGGCACTTGGAATCTCTCTTCATATTAAATTGTAGAAAAAGCAGCTCTGTAATTATTTTCAGTCCCCAAAAGTTCAGTCTTTTCAAGAATAAAAAAGTGTATTATGTTTAAAATGAATGTATAGAAGTATAATTAGTATATTTGTATTTTCTTTCATCATAGACCATTGAAATAAGTAGCAGAAAATGACTTTGCTTTTTTACTTTAAAACTCAGTAAGGGATGAAAGTTGGTAGGTAATAAAACATATTAAATGTAATCAAGAATACTGACTGTCTAAATGTACGCTATAAATAAAATTATTTCCAACCTCTCTATTACCATAAACTATTAGAATAGTATTTTCAAAGAAGGTGAATGAGTAAGACCATAATTTTTGTAACATTAAACATAAGAAGTCCTAGATCTATTATGTCTTGCTTATGTATCAATTATCTTTGATATTATGTGGATTCTTCTTCTGAATTATCAGTGTTACTAAAAAAAAGAAAGAGACAGAAAGATTTGAAATGAAGTAGGCTTATTTACTTATATATTATTTGCTCTGAAGGGTAAAAGCCAACTAAATGGACTTACAAACATACGGAAAAATTAATGTATAGGATATTTTTCCAACCAAAGGATTAAATAATATGAAAGAGAAACACTAATATTAGTCAAACAGAGCTACCTTTACCCTAGAGAGTTATTAAAGTCTAGATGTGTTTTATATGCAAAATGGCCTGTCAGGATTATGGAAAAAAATTCTGACACCTGCTTCTCATCAGTGCCCCAGAAACAAAGGTGAAGAAATGGGTTTCTGAGCATGGGACTGCATTGCTTCCTGGGTTTGTCTTAAAAATACATGTGTTTTTATGTGGCATTTTCATACTTATGTATGAGTCTTTCATTCGTTTAAGGCAGAAAAAGTGCCAGTAAAAGTAAATGTCTAGTGCTAAAACAAAATACACCCTTTTCAGGATAAAACTGGCAACAAGCATTTTATTATGTTGTAAGAGAACATTTTTACTGTTTTCTCATATACTGTTACATCTCTCTACATTCTGTGTTCACCAAAAATTTAAAAATCACTAGTCCTGAAATTATGAAAATCGGCCACTAGAATATTTGACTAATATATTTTTAGAATTATAGTCTTACATAGAGCCAAATAGCAGACTAGAATAAAAGGGATTATTTTAATATATTTTCAAACAATGCTTGGTAGGAAATGATAACATTTCTAGTTCAAGATCAAATATTTGAAACTTGAAGCCAGATTACTTTTGTAATCTTGTGTGTGTGTGTGTGTGTGAGAGAGAGAGAGAGAGAGAGAGAGAAAGAGAGAGACTTGGCTTTCTGATTCAAAATACAGAACTTTTTCTTATATAAAATACGTGTTTAAGTAGACATACTGTGTCAGACACTATTAAAAAATGACTGAGATTATTCCAGCTGAATTAGAACCCTTCTCACAGATTATCACAGTGATTTGGCCCCCGATGAAATTTCTGAGAATTTTATACTTGTGATGTAACAAATTTTGTAAATGATTATTGTACTACTTTGTTTTGGTTTGAAATTTTAAACTCTTACAACTAGGTATGATAGGGTTAACATGTGGAACATCTTGAAGATTATATGGAAACTGAAGAAGTTACAGGTTTGCTGAGACAAGAACACTGAAGATAAGATTTGTAACACTCCCTCTTAGAAATGACCATGGAAAGATGATAAATGATATTTACCTCATATGTCATGATAACTGTTTTTTAAAGAAGATATCTGTGCCCTCTGTTATCAGGGGTATGGGAACATGCATCACTTACAAACACTCAATCACCGTGACATAAAGAAATAGCAAACCTTGAACATGTCAGAACAGTGCCTGTTCAATCTACTTCTGTTTCTTGAACACCGAGTTTATTCTCAATATTGTATCCCCAAAACAAGTGGTCTTTAGAATATGATGTTTACTTTCTGGTGAGACTTTTGTGAAACATGTAAGCGGGTATATGAGTATACACAGTATGTAACAATTTAATAAAAATATATTTTAGAGGCAAAAACTATTTCGATAGAACAGCAATGTATCTGTAGTTGTATCTTTACTTAAACTGTTAATATTTATTGAATGCTTTCTATATGCCAGATGCTTTGCTAAGAGCTCATATTAAACACAGGCTGGTACTGTTTTTACTCCCATTTTACAGATACAAAAACTGAGGCATAAAGAGATTAAGGAGTTCAAGGTTTCCCAGATGTAGTTCTACCTTAAGTATAATTTACCACATTATTTGAATTTTCTGATACTAAATTCAATTGGCTTAGGTTACTGGTGTTAGCACTCTTGTCCGTGATCTTTATAAAGTATACACTTTTCATCTCCATGAAAAAGAGGAAGTAGTTTGGGTTGATTTAACATTGACTTTGAAATGACGTATTTGTTCTTCTGTAGTAATATAGTATTTTTCTGGGGGAAAATTTGACCCTTGTTTCTAAAGAATGCATGAAATTTCTGCAAAGATCCTATCTATATTAAACATGGGTTGTATTCCAAACATTTATGAAAGACTAGTGTACAAGTAAAATTGGATAGTTATCTCAAAGTTACTAGAAAATTCTAGCTGTGCTCAGAAAAAGTCTTGTTTTGTAGGTATTTGCAACTTTTTCAGAGTTGCATTATCTGTGTGTAAAATATAAACAAGAATTCTGACCTCTATTCTTAACTGTTGCACCAGATGTTTCTCAAAATAAACGATATTGTCTGAGTGCTCTATAAACAGATTCCAACCTGAATGCCTCCTTTTAGCGTCCCTCCCAATTTAACACATAAATATGAACTCTATTTTCTTTTCAGACAAAACCTGTATAGTGTAACTTTTTTTACGAGAAAACAGTGAAATGTAGCATTATAATCTGTGAAAAACAAGCAGGATCTTGGCAGGCAGAGTCTAGCAAGGAAGTCTTGTGTTTTGGCTGAACATACTCTGGACTTTTATCTTGGCTAAAGCTTTTTTTAAAAGAACATGCCTTAAAATAATTTGTTTCTGCTGCTCTATGCTAGATTTTGAAGAGTTTTATTTAGTGCCTGGACTCCTGGTCTATGAGGAATGTGAAGTCTGTATACAAAACCATTATACTGATGACACTTTAAGGAACTTCTAAGATGGTAGTAAATTTGTGTTCTTTATATAAATTATAGAATGATGTACAAGAATGGTTAGGTAACCTTTTTAAAAGGTGAATAGTCCTGCTGGCAAGAAACATAAATATGAACCTCAGAAAAAAATGCATCACAGAAGTCCATTTTTAAATAGGTGCTCCTGGAAATATTTCAAATGTTGTAAGCAAAAAATCAAAACACAGAACTTCAGGAAGATAAAAACGAATTAACAACCTTGCTTTTTGACTATAGACTCCCATTAAATGCTAAATAAACACATTATACATGTGTGGGATATTTATCTAAGTTCTTATGGTCAGTTAATAGTAATAGAATACACTGTAATACTAGCTACATGTATTAATGACTTACTGGGTGACAGACATTTTGCTTCGAGTATATTATTTCATTTAATCCTGAAATAACCCTAATCGGTATTGTAAGTTTACCATGAAAACAGATTAATGTGAGCACCTTAATTTTTTGACCTGTTGTGCCACTGGTTAGTCCAGTAGAGAGCCATAAATTGAGCAGAGAGCCTTAATTGCTCAGGGACTCGGTGATAGGCCTAAATAGTCATGAGGGATTTCACTAGATCATTCAACTCTTTAAAATTGTGGCCTAAGACAGATAGGAACTGTGATCTCTAGGGATAAGAGGCTAATACATTAAACTTGTATACCATCTTGCTTTTGGCATTTACCATTTCGCCCTTGTATTCCATTTTATCTAATAAAATTCAAGGCACTTGGAGTTTTTTAAACGTGGATATTGCTGAAAGTTTCATCTAACTGGGCAAAGGCTACAAGTTATGATTTAGTTGTTAATTAGACTTAAAGAACAAAGCTAATGCTGTTCCATTTAGTGAGAAAGGCCTCTGAGGACCTGAGAACTGACCAATATTGGTTCTCCTGCTGGGAAAACACTATGCATAAACAAGTCCCCAGGGCTTCATTACTGGGCCTTTTACACAAACACAAAATGCATCTTAGTTTATTTGAAAATCCTTACAATGAAGCTTTATTGCATATCTATAAATTTTTCACGTTGACATGTCAAAGACTTGTAAAAGTATACTGGCGAGAGAACGATAAACATTATAAATAACACTTTCCCTTTAAATGTAAGATGATTGTAGATAGTACACAGCATGGTCATAAAATGAATACAGTTCTGTTTGGGGAAGCAATTGTGGGAATGAGTAGTAATGTCTAAACAGGATGGCAAACTCTTTATTGAGAAAGTAAGCAATGTAACATTATTTAGCGAAGTTGGATATGCAATTTTTGAAGATTAGGAGACAAGGTATGTCATTTTATTTGGTGATTTTATTAAAAGACAGTTCAAAAATAAATTTTAAATGTCAATATATTCTCAATGATATTATTCTATCTTTGCAAGTATTTTTAGTGTTCTGCCTTATGTGTATGTTTTAATATGCTGAACATGATTCTTTATTTAAAAAAAGGGAAAGTACATTTTCCTAAGAATTTAAAATGTAATTCCTTCATTTCATAAAGTCCGTGGGTCATACTACTACAAATTTCTCTACTTTGCCATGTTTTTTATACATATTTCTTAGGACCAATTCCTATAGAATAAGTATAACTTTAAATGTTGAATGTAGCTATTCAAGTTTGGTCATCATTGGAATGTTAGTATTTCTATTTATCTACCAACTAATTTGAACCACTGAGTAAACATTCTTAGCTAAAAATTGTTTCAGTTATTTTCTACTGGTCATGCAGATATCAAATGTGGGGCTCTAAACTCAGTTATTTCTCATTAAATTTGGAAAATCTTTTCCATTTTATGAACAAACACAATTCCTTTTTTTTTTTTTTTTTTTTTGAGACAGAGTCTCACCCAGGTTGGAGTGCAGTGGTGCAATCTTGGCTCACTGCAACCTCTGCCTCCTGGGTTCAAGCAACTCTGGTGCCTCAGCCCCCCAAGTAGCTGGGACTATGGGACTGTGCCACCTCACCTGGCTTATTTTTGTATTTTTGTATTTTAAGTAGAGATGGGGCTTCACCATGTTGGCCAGGCTGGTCTCAAACTCCTGGCCTCAAGTGATCCACCTGCCTCAGTCTCCAAAAGTGCTGGGATTACAGGCATGAGCCACCAAGCCCGGCCCACATTTCCATTTTTAATATATACTGTGCTTTACAAATATTATAATATGTTTTAAAATATGTTCACAGAAGCACCTGGTCTGTGAATGGCATGCCAGCATTAAAAAAAATAAGCATTCTTTGAATATATATTTAGTTTTTTAATGTGGTAGGAAAATCAAAGCCAGAGGGAGTAGAAACAAAATTTGTGATTTTCTAAATACTTCTTGGCTGCAGGGAAGAAACCACGTCCCAGGCGAAGTCCTACCTAATTTGATGATAAAATTACATGGAAGGGATTCTTGTTGGCATGAGGACCTACCAAGATGGTCAACAGATAATTCAAAAAAAAAAAAAATTTAGAGATAAGGTCTTGTTCTGTTGTCCAGACCAGGTTGTAGTGCAGTGGCTCTATCATAGCTCACTGCAGCTTTGAACACCTGGGCTCAAGCGATCCTCCTACCTCAGCCTCCTGAGTAGCTGGGAATACAATAGTACACCACCATGCCCAGCTAAGTTTTTTTTTTTTTTAAAGACAGGGTCTTGCTATGTTGCCTAGGCTGGTCTCAGACTTCTATCTAACCTCAAGTGATTCCAACAGATAACTTTTGATGAATGTGAGAACCTTTGTAATCTTCTATGTACTTACATTAACCAAGTAATTTCACAGACAAATTTCCTTCTTTTTGCTAATTGGGCCATGACCTTGGAGTAGCAAAGGGTGAGGACAGGTCATGACCTAATCAGCACAGGGAAATAAAATTATATCATCCCTCTGGTTTAAGAATTTGCACCATAGGGAATTGCTCTTTGAACAAGTTCTTGTTCTGACTGATGCAAAACCCCTGATGTTTCTTAAAATTTATACAAATTTTTCCAGTTTCCATAAAACTGGAAGAAAAAAAAGAATAAAGTGAAGCCTACCCCCTCCTTTTTGAAGTTCTGCATACTAAGTATAGTGCTACTAGGAATTATTTATTTGACAAATAAGTATTCATCTGTTTTTTAATGTGAAAATCAGGAACTATATTTTCAGATATTTAGATTAATTTTATATTCTGTTTTGTTTTTCCCACACAACTGTCAAAATCAAAAGCAAATAAAAGCAAAGTAACATGTTGTGTGAGATGACAGTTGATGACAGACACCAATGGGCATGAATATTGATTCAAATATTTTGTTTTTATTATTTCACATCCAACCCAGAAACATTTGTATAATAAGCTAGTTCTTATAGTTACAGTTGACAGTAGGATCAGTGGCAGCTTAATCCAATCAATCAATTTACAGACTTGCTCCAGATTCTCTGGGGGTCTCTCCACTGAAGATCTCTTCTTGTCATTGGCCCCATTCCTGCTAATTAATGCCTAGTTGTCCTGTGGTCCCTGGACCTACTGTTCTTTACGTAAGTTCACTTATGCCAAACTTAACATGGCTATTAGTTACCTTTGGCAGCTCCTTTCTTTGGCTGTTACTTAATCTCACTTCCATACTTTCTGGTTACTTCAGACTCCTTCTTACATTAAAATCTTCTGATTACATATACTAGATTTGTATTTAAGATTTATTTTAGTGACTGCAGAAAAATGAGTTCATTTATTCAACTCAACAAGTTGAATTCATTACTTGAATTCATTACTGGGAATTCATTAATTGACATATGTATATTCATTGGGTAAATCTTGTTTATAAATCTCTTTTTACCAATTTGAAAAAGAACTCTAAAATTTTCTGGAATCAGTGTTAGGTTAACTGTGATTATTAGTTTATTCTGTCTTTGACCTGTTTTATTGTTTAAAACTTTGCCTGAAATGATTGATTTTTGGCCATTAGGACAAAATAGAAAATATAAAATTGCATTATTGGGTTATTAGAAATATGGCATTGGATGAAGGAATAGTTATAGTATAAAGCTTGATTTGTAATATTTTATTTCTATCACAAATGCATTTTTATAGTAATCATTGTATTAGTATAAATATTTAATTTCCATTGTTGGAAATTAAATATTACATGGCTCTTGGAAGAAAGAATTTCATAATATAGGGGCAATGTAATTAGGATTTTGCATGTTGGAAATGGCAGTAAAATCTATCAATATATTCCCTTTTATAAATCTCAACCCATGAGAGAAATGTGGTGTTGCTTCCTTTCAGTGCCTAACCACCCCTTCAAATATGTTTTTCTCCTAGTTTCATTACATTCAGGTAAATAGGACGCTATACAGAGTATAAATCTAATATTCTTTTTTCCCCGTTAAATTTGCCATATGAGCAATTTGTCATTGCATCTTTTTATATTATATCTGACTTGTTTACAAAATGTAGAACATTTTATTATCTTGATTTTTACATGTCCAATACTTTGGTGAAATGGAGAATTACAGGAAGTCAATCAATGAAATATTAAGCAGTTATAAACAGAATGATGTAAACATTTTTCAAAGGAAATTTTATTTAAGTTAGGTTTATATAGCTTTTTCTCTTTCAAATGAAGGTAAATGCACTGATGAGCAGTTCAAGAAAAAAAATCTAAACTGACAGTAAAATTGCAAATGAAATTAAGGAAAAAGGAACAGATAACACAAAATAATTTTAAAGATTCTCTTCTTTTTAACAATTGGACATTTAAAGTTCCTGGAAGTATAGTTCACAGCAAACATTTTAAATCTGTCTTATCTATATTAATAAAACATTCTAGGCTTGCTTTATAAGAAAACTTTTTAGAACGAAATATAAGCAGTTTTAGACTTCCAGATATAGCTTATAATAATTGTCTGTACTTGCCTTGCAAAATTATATTACAAGAAGAAGCACACTTGTTATAGAAGTGCTGAATTGTATGGAACCTAAATCTGTCAAGTTACCTGTCTTTCAGGTCCGTCTCCCCACCTACCAGACCTCATTATATTATCCCGAAAAGAACACGATCTCTTTAAGGCTAGGCAAGTATTGCGCTGATGAGCCAGGGACTGCCCACCAATTGGCAGGCCCATTGGGTGATAAATGTCCAAGGACCTCTAGGCTGACGACACATTTTTCATCATTAATCCAGCCTATTGTAACCAGGGCCACTCACATTGATTCGGACTAGGGGGCATCATCTGCTGTTAAGAGGGTGATGACTCGCTAAAAATGAAGGCCTGAAACTAATCAAATATATTTAGAGCCTTCCCTGGCAACTTGCTGGGAGAGCAGCAGTAGACAGCTAATAGGGGAGCCCCAGACAGGTAGCGCGGTGCTCACCATGCTTTGTATGGGAATGTGAGAAATCCATTTGGAAGCCTGTTGTGTAATTCCAGCTATTATACATTGTAGTACGAATGTCTGTAGGATTAGTCCAATACTACGGTATTTGAATGTTGCATTAAAAATGTAGTTGAGAAATACCCTGCTTTTTTTTTTTTTTTTTAACCTGGAACTCAATTACAAAGAACAGAGAATTCGCAAACCCAGATCTCTTTGGAATTGCTAAATTGTTTTTGTGTTTTTGAAAGTTTGCAACAGATGGTTTGAGACATATGCTTAATATTTATTTTACTGAAGTTGCAAAATTTGATGAGGAGGGCATCTTTTTTTTTTCCATTTGCAGAACTCAACAAATAGTTATGTTTTGCTCTTTTATACTTTTTAAAACCTAATTAATGTGTACTTAATCAGAATATACTTAAATACATTGTGGCAGTTCAAGGGCATATGTACATGTTATTTATTGATTTTTATTATTAATTCATGCATATATATTCATTTTAGATAAATCTTTATTATTTTAATTTGCATTAATAAAAAATGGCTTGAGTTAAGTCATAGGTGGAGTTGCAAACTTGTTTGCCTTAGGCAAATGTAGAAAAATATGTTCTTTATTTCCTGCTTACACCTGATTAAGCAAAATCAGGTACAAGTAGGAAATAGATTTAACTGATTAGACTCGTTCAATGGAAAATTTCACTTATATATTGAGCCTAATATATCAAAAAAGGGCAAAATATGAGAACAATTTGGCTTAATTAAAAAAAAGGAGACCTAATGAAATTGCTTTTGATAAAGAAGAAGGTAGAGAAAAAAAAAACAAGAAAAAGAAAAAGTAAAATGAATAATGCAGACCCTCCAATTGTTCAAGCAGTCCTAATGTTCTACACAGGAAACCACTATCTTCTAAAATATTTTATGGAATCATGAAAAAATATTTCTGCTGGGTGGGAAGGCTTCCGTGTGATTTCTCTTGAAGAAAGTCTTCAATCCCATTTTGAAATCTCAATTCCTCCAAATTCCAAAGCTGAAATTTCACACCTTTCATGTTTGCAAGTTTTAATGAGAATTATATGTATACTTAGGTATCAACTGCTTCTAGTGTTGGATGAGCTTAGGTGGAAAGCTTCATTAATGAGCAATAGACAACCTCACTGAATCTACTTCGCAATGAATATTCAGTCTGGAGTTCATCTTAACTGGGTCCATGAGGCACACTGCCAAAAAGCAACTTGCTATTAAGCATCAGGTAGGAGCAGAAAAGAGACTGGGTAAAATAATTACGTTCTTTAAAAAACAAGTTTGATTATGGAATCTATTTAGGTCCTGTTGGTTCTAGTGAAGTTGAGTCAGGGCTAGTAAGAAAATGTCTGGAAAAAGAGGAACTGATTTGAACACTGCTGACCTTTATGCTTCTGCCATCAGAAAGGGGGTGAGACTTCAACAGCCAATGCAAAGGAAGCTGAGAAAAAATCAATTTAGCTTTCTCTGCTAGACAGAATAAAGGTCTCTAAAGATATCCATGTTCTAATTCCCAGAAACCGTGAACTGTTATTTTATGGCTCAAAAGGGATTGTACAGATTTGATTTAATTAGGGCCTTGAAATGGGAGGTTATCTCAGGTTATCTGGGTGTGGCCAGTCTAGTTACATGCACCTAGAATGTGGAGAACCTTCCCCTTTTGTATTCAAAGGGAGATGTAATTATGGAAGGCAGGTCAGAGAGATACAACATTGCTCTCTTTGAAGATGGGGGTGAGGGGGAATGAGCTAAGTCTATTTGTGTATTTGTACTCCAGGCCCTAGCTAGAATGCCAGCTTCACAGGGGCCAGAATTTTGTCCTATTCACATTTGTATCACTGGCACCCAGTACAGTGCCTGACACATAGTAGGTGCTTCATAAATATTTGATTGAATAAGTGAACTAGTGAACAAATGAATCGATTACTACGGGCACAGTTTTTCAAATTTTGATAACCCATAAGCATAAAGAAATTGCATGATCTCCTTGTTACTTACATTCTTTATTTATAAATAATGTCTATTCATCATACATTAAAGCAAGGGGTGATTGATAGAGAATAGCAGGAAGGCCTGGTCAGGGTGGTCAGCACTGAGAAGGAAACATTTAAGTTGAAACTCAAGGATGAGAAAGACTCAGTCTTATAAAGACCTAGGGGAAGGAAATTTTAGACAGCAAAAACCACCTGCTTAAACTTCCTGAGATGAAAAAGCAGTTGGCTGATTTAAAGCAATGAAAGAAGGTCCGGTGGCTGGAGAGCAGTGAACAAAGGCTAGAGTTAACTAATGGGAGGTTAGAAGGTCATTGTGGCAATGTCCCAATAGTGGGACACTTGAGGACCAAAGGAATGAGTTCAGATTGTACATGGCTTTTTCAGCCGGGCCCCAAAATATTTCTTAGAAAGACATTTTATTTACGGCCAGGCGCAGTAGCTCATGCCCGTAATCCCAGCAGTTTGGGAGGCCCAGGTGGGCGGATCATCTGAGGTCAGGAATTCTAGACTAGCCTAGCCAATATGGTGAAACCCTGTCTCTATTAAAGATACAAAAAAATTAGCCAGACATGGTGCTGTGTGCCTGCAATCCCAGCTACTCGGGAGGCTGAGGCAGGAGAATCGCTTGAACCCGGGAGGTGGAGGTTGCAGTGAGCTGAGATTGCACCATTGCACTCCAGCCTGGGCAACAGGGCGAGACTCTGTCCTAAAAAAAAAGAAAAAAGAAAAAAGAAAGACATTTTATTTTACCAAGTATTTTGTAAAAATATGCTCTATGTTAATGTCCTTGGCATTCAATGGTCCCTACCCTCAAAGATTCCAGACTCAAGGGAGACAAGTGTGTAAACAGATAAATAAAATACAGGGTGATACATACAAATGACATTGTAACCAACAGCAATGATTCCCAGCAGGATAATATTCAGTGGAAGATAAAGTGTTTGCTCCTCTGGTGAAAGATATTTTATCATCTCATGCAAGATTCCTTCCTGGATTTTTATCTCTTTGAGGCAGTACCCACTCCTTCACTTTTTCATGCAATTGTTTTCCCTCTTATTTTGCCATACCTTGGAGTTTTTATCTAACAAGTCTTAAATCATCATTGCCTGTTTCCCTTGGAAACCAAGGAGAACCTGGTTGAACACCAGTTGGGGAAATAGGGATGTTGCCTGAGCTTGCAGATGGTAGGAGCAGACACAGTCAGCCACCAGTCTTTAAATGACGGTGGTCAGGAGGTGACCAGGGAGCCACCACAAGCATATTCAGAGAAAAATCATATAGGCAAGTTCAGCTGTTTTTATTACAGGTTGAAAGTCAGTGATTTCTTAGCCAAAATGGTTGATGTCTTGTTCTTTAGCTGATTCATCTATTCATAGCGGACACTCAGTGACTGAGGCTGTTTTTATTCTGATGGACTCAGTCACCATTTTTTTTTTTTTTTTTTTTTTGTGACAGATTCTCACTGTCTCCTCAGGTCTGAGTGCAGTGGTACAATTACGGCCCACTGCACCTCAGCCTCCTGTGCTCAAGCAATCCTCCCACCTCAGCCTCCTGAGTAGGTGGGACAACACGCTTGTGCCACCGTACCTCGCTAATTTTTTTTTTTGTTGTTTATAGAGATGATGACCCCACTATGTTGCCAAGGCTGGTCTTGAACTCCTGTGCTCAAGTGATCCTCCTGTCTCAGCCTCCCAAAGTGTTGGGATTACAGGCATGAGCCACTGCACCTGGCCTAATTAGTTATTCTTTATATTCCATTGAAATATACTCTTAGAGATATTGTAATGGAAATATTCTTATTACATATTATTGCATGCAACAAGTAAGTGAATAAAAGAGCAGGATTTTATTTATATAAATTTAAAAATTATACACTTTTAGATGTATAAGTATGTATAAAAACGACATTAGAAGGAGACACACAAAGCTATCTACTATTTGAAAGAAGATTGCATTTGGAAGGTGTTATGAATGACTTTCCTTCTAACAATGTTTTTCCAACATTTTAAAATGTAGTAGTAAAGAAATATATGCTAATAATTTGTGTGTATGTATATCCTAACTAACATATTTTATATATATATATATATATATATATATATATATATATATATATATATATATATATTTTAGTTTCTATAGGTAAAGGGAATAAAGCAGGAAACATTTGAAAGATTCCAAATCTGGTTACTTTTGGTAGGTGTCGTTATTATTAAATCAATTTTAGAGCCACGAAGAAAAACACAATAAATGCAACTTTTAAAAATTTCAAAAATTAAATGGGTATCACCCCCTCATCAGTCATACAAAAGTTTTCCAAAAACAATATTTATATTGTGTTATGTGCAGGCTGAGGGTCCCATGAACAGTTCTTTTGTCTTGCATAAAGACGATGCTCCTAGTCTACAGGCAGACCAGCTGTTCTTTCCATTGTAAAGCTTTATCAGAAGGGCTATAGTTCAGCTCCTTTCTTAGTCACCATATGACTTTGGACAATGAAAATGAAAACAATCACAATGAGAATGTTCTTAAAAGGAGAAATACCTAAAAGCCATTTTATTTTCTGAGATGGTATATGGTGTGTTAGTTACCAGTAACTGGAGGGCTGATATGGTTAAGCACATTGTGTCTGAATAACATACCAACTGGCAAGCGAGGGTTACCACAGACACCATAGGCCAGGCACACCTTTTGCCCACCAAGGCCTCAAATTCCAGGCAATGCATAAGTACACAGTAGCACAAGTCTTTTGGCTGAAAGGATTATATATAATTCGAATGCAATTATTAAACTTGCTACCTCTGTCATTGCTCCTGTTCTTTCTAGTTATCATATATGAAGCTCCTACTAGGTGTTCATCATTATCACTGACCTAACTAGTGAAGCTATATGACTTCATTATTCTTATAACAACTTTGTAGGGTAAGATAGTATTAACCTCCTTATGCTCAGTGTGGAAAACCAAAGCTACAGAGATTTTATGTAACTTGCTCAAGGTCACACTGCTCATAAAATAGAACAACCTGGAGTTGAACCCAGAACTTTCTAGATTTTGTGCTCTTTCTACAACTTCACATTCTTTTTCTTTTTAGTGAGGGAATACCTGACCATTTCGCCACTAAGAAGTTTTATAAATGTTATAGGATAATGTAAGTGGAAAATCTTTCCAGAAAGCAGCAAACTCCATTGCAGCGATTTGTGCTTAACTGGGAACTTGAGCACATAATAACAATTACAGTTTAATTTTTCTTATTTTTTAAGTTATATTTATGATGTTACTCTTTGTGCCTCTAAATTGATTTAATAACAAGGCCGCTGAACCTTTGAAGACCAAGGAACATGATAAAATATTTTAGAAACTCATATATTTTTACATTTGAAGATATAATATCAATTTTTCATATTTAAGTTTTACATAAAAGTATGTTGGTCTGTTTCCTTTCACTGTATGTGACATTGCAATAGGGCATTTATTTCTGTGTGTCTTAGCATGTGCATATTGAACTGAACTTGTGCATATTCATTGTATTTGTTGCCTAAAATTTATATAATAGCTGGATCTTGATTTTGAAGTCATGGGTATTATTTCCATGAGGGGAAAAAACACAAAAAACTAGACTTGTATTCTAAAATCTACAGTAAGAAACGGTGAGATATAACTGCCAACAACCAGCTTCCTAAATATTGTTTATCTTTAGATTTTTGCCTTGATCTTCAAGGACAAAACAAGTTATGGGTGGCCTAATGGGTTTTACTAACTTAAAAATTGTACATTTAGATTACTCACAAATTCCTAGGATTAAAACAAATTATATATACAAGCTATTTAGAGCTAATTGAGGAGTGTGTATGTTTCTCAATCTACATTTTTAATTAAAGCAATAGCTTTAATTCCTGCATGCCTAGATAGGTATGCACATTTTAGAAGTCAAAGAAAGAGTCAAGAATAGTATCAACGATCAGAGGGAAGCCATCCAACTGTGAAACTACTGGTCATTGAGTTTTTTCTGAGTTTTAACCATATGTGTTAATAGCATTTGTTATACAAAATGTTGATCATTGTGACTGTACAAAATGGTATCAACACATTTTCTGCAGTGCACAACACTTCTACCTCATGATACTTTATTCTAATTTGCTTTATCTGATTACATCTACATTTTAGAGTGATAGAGAAATGCTGAATGGTTTGAAGAAAGTCAAATTAATGATACTTCTGGAGGGGTGATATAGTAACAACTACTAGTGTTTTTAATATACATCTGTCATCCTTTTCATTAAAACTTAGGGAAATGAGCTGGGAGGAGGTTGTTCTGAAATATAGTTATTTCTGTCCTTGTAACTTCATCATTTGCTTTAAAAATTATTATTCATAGATAATTTGTTTTTTCTTAGCATGAGTAATGAAATCTAAGAAATCTAAGACAGCCCTCAACTTATTACTTGACTCCCCGACTTCATTCTTTTCCATCTTCCTTCCTCTATTCTCTCTTTCCCCATTCCCTTCCCTCCTTCCTTCTTCCTCACATTCTTCTTCTCTTTCTTTCTTCTTTATTTCCTTCATTCATCAAATATTTATTATAGTGCCTATCAGGTGCCTCCCTGGGTGATGGTAGCAGCTTCATGAAATGAAATTTTTCACCTTCTCAAGATCACATGACCAAGTTTAAGGCAAAGGCCTTAGGACAGAAAATACTCATCCAGGACAGTTTCTAGCAGAGCTGTGGTTCCGAACTTTTCCAGCAGAGATGCCCTTATCCACAGTGTATTTTAGCATGTAGGAAAACATAATCTCAGCCACTCACAGGAATGTAGCTGGATTGGTTGGCAGCAGAGAGCTTTCAATATCAAGTCATGGTGTAAAGTCAGTTGGGATTTGAAGGGAGGTATGTCTCCCTATCATGACGTTTTGTTTTATGTCCAGCGAATCAATAAAACAAGTAATTTATTGTTCCAGTTCCAAATATGCTTAAAGAATAAAAGCACTGCACATAAATGTGCTACCCTAATTGTGTGAAGGATTTATGTGATTTGTAAAATATTTTTTGCTAGATCACTTTATCCACACTTCTGATTGTGTTGACTAACAAAATTAAGTAATCTTTGATGCAAACATGTCTTGAGGGTGATTGATCACACTCAGTTCTTGGGGGTGGGGTACTGTTACGGCATATTGAGAATTTGCAAATAATCTTAGGTTAAGCATCTGTTTTTTTCTTAGACTGCTTACTGTGTAAAAATAAATCAGGTTTTATATCTTTGGGAAGGAAAACCTGAATAAGGAAGATTGATGTGTAACCGAGTTATCGGAAGCCAATGATGGTGCTGAAATTTAAAATGTCAGTTTTACAGTGTTTGAATATAGTTTCTCTGTAAAAGTTACTGAATCAGACTTGTCTTTTTCAAGAAACCAAATGCCAATTTATTATTCACATAGATTTCATTTTTTCGTCCCTTATACTACTTCACATTTTTATTGAAAGAGGCTTCGAGGCTTCTCTTTACAAGACATTTTGATAATGATTGTGTTGATAGTGGCGGCTGAAACTGCCGCTGTTGGAATTGATTTAGCAGTATTTTCTCATTCAGTTTTTGCTGCAACTCTATGAGACAGGAACTTTATTCACACCGATTTTGCAGATAAGCAAACTGAAGTACAAGTGAATTATGGATGTCTTCAAGGCCACACAGCTTCCAAAACTTATGCCCTTAATTATGATGCAAAGTTGCCTCTCTGCATGGAAAAAGTAACTTTAATAAAAGTAAGGCCTCTCTTTTGGCAACTATCTCTTTTAGGATAAAATACAGCCCACAATTTGGCCTGGCCTTAACCTCATGAACACAACTTACAGAGGAGATAAATGTGCTTTATAGTAGAAAGTAAATAAGAATGACTCACCATCTTGGTTATGTAAAATATATTGAGGTCTATTTTGAGTTAGGGCTCCCAGCAAAACCTGGTTTAATTCTTCAGTATCCTAGGAGGAACTAGAGATGTAGGTTCAGCAACCCAGCACAACTCCATTTTTACCTCTGAACCTGCTTCCTCACAATCAATAGTAATTCCCTGATCATAACATGGCATTCAGTGCATGCAACTAAAATATGTTACTTTTTTTTTAGCAAAATATGCTACTTTTATTTTGTTCACATTATCCAAACTGTAAGAATTTTTACTTTAAATAAATTATATTTGATGCTTAATTGATAGATGATAAAGAATTAAGGTTCAGCTTTTTTTGTCCCTCAACAAATATGTGAAATCATTTTTATGATGCATTTATGGCAAGAGTTTTGTAGCTTTAAGTGCCATGTTTTTTTGTTAGGCTTTTATAATTTTAAAAATCTATATGTTTAAGTTTGTATTTTGAAACTTTTTAGACTTCTAGGCCTCCCTTCATTTCTAATAAACATAGAAAAATAGTTAATAATTTTTCTAGAATATGCAATTTTCATCCTTCCTTTTAGAGGTCCAATTGACTATCCAGTGGGCCACCTGACAGCATGTTTTATAATTTAGTGTTTTCTCTCGAATTGTAAATGTGTCCACCACAACAAAAACATACGCTTCAAGACAGATTATCCATGTTGTTTTGTTGAAAGGTGTAATACTGCCCAATTAAATTAACTAAAATTTAGGTAGGGAGATAGGAATGGGTCAAGATTCGTATCAGCAGTTCAACTGAAACGCGACAGTCCACTGATTCCCCTTGCGGGGCCTGTGACAGGGGTGTAGCTCCCCTGTTCAGTTGCTGCGGCTGCTCAGACCCCTGACGGGAGGGGAGCACAGACCGGCAGGTGCAGGAGCCGGGCGGGGCAAGTGCTCTGGGCTGCAGCCCCGTGGTAGGTAGTATCTAGGAGTGGATGCCTGGGGCTCCAGTGTTGCAATGCTCTTTTAGCCTTTCTGTCCGCAGACAGCTTAAGTGTTAACCAGCTCAGTGGAACCATTACCTTTTCACCAGGGCAGAGGGCTAGTGTGACAGCTTTCTGTATCCTGAATTCTTGTCCAGTGTCCCAGAAGGATCGGGTCACACATGGGCTTGAAGGATGAATTTATTGAGTGGCGGAGGTAGCTCTCAGTGGGGAGCTGGGCGGGGGCAATGGACTGGGAAGATGATCCTCCCCTAAAGTTTGGCTGTCCAGCGGCCAAACTCCTCTCTGAGCACCCCCAGCAGAACTCAGCTTTGTGTTCACACTCCTTCTCTTCTCTCTCTTTCTCTGCCGTGCCGTTCTGCTGTTCATCTGCTTGTCTCTCCATCTCCTTGCCTCCTTCTCTGCTCCTGGAGCCTGGGGTTGGGAGTTTATGTGGGTACAGGATGGGGGGACATGGCAGGCCAAAAGGCAACTTTTTGGGCTTGAAAACAGAAATGCCTATTCCCCCTAAGGGCAGCAGGTATCCAGACTTGAGGGTGGGGCCTTTGCATGGGAACCTTCCTCTTCTACCGTATTTCCCTGTCTCCTCTCCATATCACATGCACATGTAGTCTTAAACCAGCTTAATAAGTTGCACTATTGTAGAAACAATTTTACTTTTTTAATGTATGGGCAAAAATAATACTGCCGATTATATTTCAAAGATAAGGAACTCACTTTGAGTGAAGATAAGGCAAATATTGAAATATATAGAAAGGTTCTCACTTGAAACATGCGTAAGATCAGGGTTACAGGGAATAAGAATGTGTTAGTTTCCTAGGGTGACTGTAACAATTTACTACGAAATGAGTGGCTTAAAACAACAGAAATGCATTATCTTACAGTTTTGGGGGACTGGAAATTTGAAATCAAGGGACACACTCCCTCTGAATGCCCTGAGGAAGGATCCTTCTTTGTGTCTCCATTTTCTGGTGCCCTCAGGCATTCCTTGGTTGGGCTGCGTAACTCCGGTCTCTGCCTTCTCTTCACATGCTGTCTTCGCTTTTTTTCTGTCTTAACATGGTGCTCTTCCTGCATCTCTCTCTCTCTCTCTGTTTTTTTCTTATTTTATTTTATTTTGAGACAGAATTTTGCTCTTGTTGCTCAGGCTAGAGTGCAATGGCGCGATCTCAGCTCACTGCAACCTCCACCTCCCGGGTTCAAGCGATTGTCCTGCCTCAGCCTCCCAACTAGTTGGGATTACAGGTGCCCGCCACCAAGCCTGGCTAATTTTTGCATTTTTGGTGGAGACGGGTTTTTACCACACTGGCCAGGCTGGTCTCGAATTCCTGACCTTGTGATCCGCCTGCTGTGGCCTCCTATAGTGCTGGGATGACAGGGTGAGCCACCGTGCCCAGACCTTTCTTACTATAAGACTCCAGTCTTATTGTATTAAAGAACCACCTACCCAAGTATGACTTCATCTTAACTTGATTATGCCTGCAAAGACTCTATACCGAACGTGGTCACATTTATAGGTACTGGGATTTAGAATTTCAATATATCTTTTTGAGGAACACAGTCTCACTCATAAAGAAGATAATATATATTTTTAAAATTTTTATATTATTTCTTTTTGGAATAAGGTAATTTTAATGCTAGCCTTTTTTGCATGAAATTAATTTAGTAGTACTCTCATCAGAAAATAATTACTTGGCATTTTTAAGTTTTTGATGGACATTCTAAATAACGTTGCAATATTCTTGAATTGATAGAGAATTCAAGAATTCTGTAATCCATTGATGAAACCATTCAAGAATTCCAGAATCCATTGATGAAAGAAGAAAAACATAGACAAACAGCTCAAACCAAGGCTATGCATTATGTGGGACCAGCTCGTTAATGGTACACAGTATTTTTTCTGCTTTCATTAATGGATTGGTGATTTCAAGGACACTAACTAACCTTTGCATCATAAACATTTTGTACCTATAAACTACAAATAAAGAATATAGTTTAAACAATCGTATGCAAATATGGGCATAATATTAATTGAATTGATTTATTTGGCAACGCAAACTATAGTTATAAATAATATAAAGACTATTTTTATTTATGTTTTGTTTTTCTCACTTACCACTTATCTGCTTCTCTAATCGTCTCTCTTATAAGAGATCTAAAATTTTGAAGGAGTTTGGGATATGGGAGCATTTAACTGGACAATTATTTCTTTTTCTATCTATTTTAGTTAGAATCATTCTAAAATAGGATAAACTTTATATGATACCAAAAATCCATTCGGACAGTCACATTTTTCATAGTAAGCGTCAATTTAAACTAACTCTTCTATATGACATAAGTCAGAATTAAAGTTTTGATCTGAATTATGTATTTAGATGCTTAAATGCCTCTCATTAACTTAAGGTTTTTGCTAATGCTTCTATCTTTTGTTCACTTAGCCATCATTTTATCTTTAAAATATGCATAGGAATGTACATAAGTGGAGTCATAACATCATTTTTAGATAAAAGTTAAAAATGAGACTGTAATTCATTTTTAACATATTTGTATGTTGTGGCTGTACAAAATCCAAAAGTATTTTCACTCTCCAATGGGGATGATGTGCAGCTCCCAAAATGGAAATAGAGGTAACGTTCCAGTGATCATAAAAGGACAGTCATAAGCTTTTAGTGTGCAGCAGTTTTAAGACTATCCTCAGTTAATGTGAGGCAATTGCAGATTCACTGCATCTGAGTTTAAACCTCTCACTACTTTGAGTGAAGTCTATTAATGATATGCCTTCCATGCAGCTGACATTTTAAGATCCTTGCTGCTTTTCAAAACGCGTGGGCACTAAAGATGTCTTCTTGCTCTTGAGAATTGATTTCATACACAACAGGAGCTTGTGATGGATTCGCTCCCACTGTGGGAATTGTCCGTGAGTATCCGAGGGCAGGAATTGGCTCAGATAAAGGATCTATCCTGAGCGCTCTCCTGTAAAGAGTAAGATGTGCGCATTAGAACTAGCTGATGCCGAGTTTAATTCCCAGTCTCTTTTGTGATTCTAAACCATTTGACAAGCCTCTGCCTAGTGTGAGCAGATTGATCAGGAAATTTATTCATTTCATGACCTTGTCTACTCATTTATAGCTCTTAAAAAAGTACCTCACCTGGAACTCAAAGCTCCCTAAGAATTTAAAAGTTATGAATATATTTCTTTCATCTATAAAACTACATTTTGCTTTGGATAAAATATCTAGCATTTGAGGAGAATTTCATGTTAGCGCAATTGATTAGGCTCTATGTTACATAGATACATCATAAATTGCTTTTATAATAAATTTATGTTTTCTTTTGTTTTAAAGGACATGGGGATTGAGTTGCAACCAATAGATACAGTTACACAAGCCGGCATGGTCAATAGCATGTGGATAGCTGATAACAAACAGTACTAGAATTGTCAGTGTGTTTTCATTGACTCCTGACCTGTTAAAACTTAGCTCCTGAAGACCCATTAGACTGGACAAAATATACCCATTTGAATGGACAGAACTAACAGGCAGATACTATTATTATAAAGCCATAAATGAGCAATCAGTCTCATATGTGTTTGAAGATAGACTATAGATTATGGTTCTATGCCTTATGATACAATTACTGGGTTATTTGTGTAATTTGAAATTTGGGTTTTAAGAAAACCATATTTTCTTATTTCTTGAGGAGAAGAAAGAAAACCGATATGGTTGGTCATAGTAGGTAATGAGAAAAATGGCAGAAGATGAGTTCAGAGAGAAAGGCATGTCCAGATGACATTGGGCTGTGTAGGTTAAAACCTTAGTACTTGGACTTCATTTTATCTGCCAAAAGAACCACTGGAGTGCTTTAAATAATAACCTGATATGTTTCATATATTTTTGAGAGATCATTATGGCTTATGTATTACAAAAAATTCTGCTTCATTTCTGACAATTTATAAAATGATTTCAAGAAACAGATCTCACATGTGATTCTTTGAAAAGCAGGCACGATCTTCTAAAGTAAATAAAGATTTTTGTACAGATATTCATCTATTATCTATTAAAAACTTTATTCCAGAATTATCTGGTAATGTTAATTTCACACAGCCAATATAAACAGTAATGAAGAAAATGGAACTCAGTTATTTTTGTTTCATGATCTATGAATCTAAGACCAAATAAATTATAAAAAATAACTATTCATTTGCCTTAGATAATCAAAAAACATCTCTGTTGCTGATTATCAAAATATTTATATTACAAAAAGGTTAATGGATTAGTGTCACATAAAAACATCTTAACTGAAGGCAAAATTGCATAACAGTATTTTACTTTTGCAATGCCATCTAATTTTCAATACGTTCAAGGTAAAAAAAAGCAATAAAATGGAAATGGCAATAAACATAATTCATTAGGCACACACTCCACTTTATGAGATGATGCAATGAATGTCATTAGACAATCAATTTCTTCCCTGGTTGGTCATTTAATGGTAGAACCAGTGGGCCGATTATAACGTGGGTATGCCATATTGACAACCGAGGCAAATTAATATAGTGGAAAGGACACTCGTTTGAGATTTAGGAAGCCTTGATCAGCCTATTCAACTAAAGAGTTGCACAAAAACCATGTTTGTGGAGTTAGTTTCCTAATCTACAAAATTAGAGGATTGAAGTAGATAGTAGATCCAAAATGCTGGTCCAAGGATGAATGTCAGGCTGGCCTTATCAGAATTATTAGGATAACTTTTAAATACAATTGATTCCCAGATTCTTCACTCAGAAATACTTACTTATTGTGTCCAGAGTGGGGTCTGGACAGAGATTTGTAAAAATCACCCAGGTGATTCTAATGTGTGGGGATCTTTTACAACAGATGGAATGTATGACCCCAAAACATCTTTCTTTTTGAAAGAAAAATCTTTGAATTCTGTGTTTCTCTAGGCTGTTTCCAAGAATCTTTACATTATAAATTAGGCTACATTACATTTGTGGATTTGGTACTAAAGCTCAAGATTTTTTTCTTCTGCTTTGGAGGTAAGCTTATGCTTTTTCTATAGTTAGCAGCATCCTGCACAGACATTTGTACAAATATCTCAATTTTCCTTCTTCATTGTGGAAAATTGAGACATTTGTACAAATATCTCAATTTTCCTCCTTCATTGCAGAAAATGGCCTAAAAATTTGCATGCATTTTAGCCTAGCCATTTTCTTCTAGTAATTATTCCTAAATTATGTTCAAAAATGTATGCATAATTAATGTTCTTCAACATATTTTGTAATAGTAATTAATTTAAAACATTACAAATATCTACAAACAAGACATAGGTTAAAAAGAATTTTATGATAATAATATAATATTGTTAAAAATTGTCATATAACAATACAATATACCCTACAGGACTTAAAATTTCTGTTCTAGAACAATATTTATTGACATAAAAAGTATTCACCATATATTGCTCGGTAAAGAAACATCAAATGGTATTCCCCTATGTTTCTAAAGATGAAAAATAAAATCTCACAAATAATTTTTTTATTATACTTTAAGTTTTAGGGTACATGTGCACAACGTGCAGGTTTGTTACATATGTATACATGTGCCATGTTGGTGTGCTGCACCCATTAACTGGTCATTTAACATTAGGTATATCTCCTAATGCTATCCCTCCCCCTTCCCCCCACCCCACAACAGGCCCCAGTGTGTGATGTTCCCCTTCCTGTGTCCATGAGTTCTCATTGTTCAATTCCCACCTATGAGTGAGAACACGTGGTGTTTGGTTGTCTGATCTTGTGATAGTTTACTGAGAATGATGATTTCCAGCCTCATCCATGTCCCTACAAAGGACATGAACTTATCATTTTTTATGGCTGCATAGTATTCCATGGTGTATATGTGCCACATTTTCTTAATCCAGTCTATCATTGTTGGACATTTGGGTTGGTTCCAAGTCTTTGCTATCGTGAATAGTGCCGCAATAAACATATGTGTGTGTGTGTCTTTATAGCAGCATGTTTTGTAATCCTTTGGGTATATACCCAGTAATGGGATGGCTGGGTCAAATGGTATTTCTAGTTCTAGATCCCTGAGGAATCGCCACACTGACTTCCACAATGGTTGAACTAGTTTACAGTCCCACCAACAGTGTAAAAGTGTTCCTATTTCTCCACATCCTCTCTAGCACCTGTTGTTGCCTGACTTTTTAATGATCACCATTCTAACTGGTGTGCGATGGTATCTCATTGTGGTTTTGCTTTGCATTTCTGTGATGGCCAGTGATGATGAGCATTTTTTCATGTGTCTTTTGGCTGCATAAATGTCTTCTTTTGAGAAGTGTCTCTTCATATCCTTTGCCCACTTTTTGATGGGGTTGTTTCTTTCTTGTAAATTTGTTTGAGTTCATTGTAGATTCTGGATATTAGCCCTTTGTCAGATGAGTAGATTGCAAAATTTTTCTCCCATTCTGTTCACTCTGATGGTAGTTCCTTTTGCTGTGCAGAAGCTCTTTAGTTTAATTAGATCCCATTTGTCAATTTTGGCTTTTGTTACCATTGCTTTTGGTGTTTTAGACATGAAGTCCTTGCCCATGCCTATGTCCTGAATGGTAATGCCTAGGTTTTCTTCTAGGGTTTTTATGGTTTTAGGTCTAACATTTAAGTCTTTAATCCCTCTTGAATTAATTTTTGTATAAAGTGTAAGGAAGGGATCCAGTTTCAGCTTTCTACATATGGCTACCCAGTTTCCCCAGCACCATTTATTAAATAGGGAATCCTTTCCCCATTGCTTGTTTTTGTCAGGTTTGTCAAAGATCAGATAGTTGTAGATATGTGGCATTATTTCTGAGGGCTCTGTTCTGTTCCATTGGTCTATAACTCTGTTTTGGTACCAGTACCATGCTGTTTTGGTTACTGTAGCCTTGTAGTATAGTTTGATGTCAGGTAGCGTGATGCCTCCAGCTTTGTTCTTTTGGCTTAGGATTGACTTGGCACTGCAGGCTCTTTTTTGGTTCCATATGAGCTTGAAAGTAGTTTTTTCCAATTCTGTGAAGAAAGTCATTGGTAGCTTGATGGGGATGGCATTGAATCTGTAAATTACCTTGGGCAGTATGGCCATTTTCACGACATTGATTCTTCCTACCCATGAGCATGGAATGTTCTTCCATTTGTTTGTATCGTCTTTTATTTCACTGAGCAGTGCTTTGTAGTTCTCTTTGAAGAGGTCCTTCACATCCCTTGTAAGTTGGATTCCTAAGTATTTTATTCTCTTTGAAGCAATTGTGAATGGGAGTTCACTCATGATTTGGCTCTCTGTTTGTCTCTTATTGGTGTATAAGAATGCTTGTGATTTTTGGACATTGATTTTGTATCCTGAGACTTTGCTGAAGTTGCCTACCAGCTTAAGGAGATTTGGGGCTGAGACGATGGGGTTTTCTAGATATACAATCATGTCATCTGCAAACAGGGACAATTTGATTTCCTCTTTTCCTAATCAAATCCCCTTTATTTCCTTCTCCTGCCTGATTGCCCTGGCCAGAACTTCCAACACTATGTTGAATAGGAGTGGTGAGAGAGGGCATCCTGTCTTGTGCCAGTTTTCAAAGGGAATGCTTCCAGTTTTTGCCCATTCAGTATGATATTGGCTGTGGGTTTGTCATAAATAGCTCTTATTATTTTGAGATACATCCCATCAATACCTGATTTATTGAGAGTTTTTAGCATGAAGTGTTGTTGAATTTTGTCAAAGGCCTTTTCTGCATCTATTGAGATAATCATATGTTTTTTGTCTTTGGTTCTGTTTGTATGCTGGATTACGTTTATTGATTTGCATATGTTGAACCAGCCTTGCATCCCAGGGATGAAGCCCACTTGATCATGGTGGATAAGCTTTTTGATGTGCTGCTGGATTCAGTTGGCCAGTATTTTGTTGAGGATTTTTGCATCAATGTTCATCAGGGATATTGGTCTAAAATTCTCTTTTTTTTGTTGTGTCTCTGCCGGGCTTTGGTATCAGGATAATGCTGGCCTCATAAAATAAGTTAGAGATGATTCCCTCTTTTTCTGTTGATTGGAATAGTTTCAGAAGGAATGGTACCAGCTCCTCCTTGTACCTCTGGTAGAATTTGGCTGTGAATCCATCTGGTTCTGGACTTTTTTTTTGGTTGTTAAGCTATTAATTATTGCTTCAATTTCAGAGCCTGTTATTGGTCTATTCAGAGATTCAACTTCTTCCTGGTTTAGTCTTGGGAGGGCGTATGTGTCCAGGAATTTATACATTTCTTCTAGATTTTCTAGTTTATTTGCATAGAGTTGTTTGTAGTATTCTCTGATGGTAGTTTGTATTTCTATGGGATCGGTGGTGATATCCCCTTTATCATTTTTTATTGCATCTATTTGATTCTTCTCTCTTTTCTTTTTTATTAGTCCTGCTAGCGGTCTATCAATTTTGTTGATTATTTCAAAAAACCAACTCCTGGATTCATTGATTTTTTGAAGGGTTTTTTGTGTCTCTATTCCCTTCAGTTCTGCTCTGATCTTAGTTATTTCTTGCCTTCTGCTAGCTTTTGAATGTGTTTGCTCTTGCTTCTCTAGTTCTTTTCATTGTGATTTTAGGGTGTCAATTTTAGATCTTTCCTGCTTTCTCTTGTGGGCATTTAGTGCTATAAATTTCCCTCTACACACTGCTTTGAATGTGTCCCAGAGATTCTGGTATGTTGTGTCTTTGTTCTCGTTGGTTTCAAAGAACATCTTTATTTCTGCCTTCATTTCATTATGTACCCAGTAGTCATTCAGGAGCAGGTTGTTTGGTTTCCATGTAGTTGAGCGGTTTTGAGTAAGTTTCTTAATCCTGAGTTCTAGTTTGATTGCACTGTGGTCTGAGAGACAGTTTGTTATCATTTCTGTTTTTTTACATTTGCTGAGGAGTGCTTTACTTCCAACTATGTGGTCAATTTTGGAATAGGTGTGGTGTGGTGCTGAAAAGAATGTATATTCTGTTGATTTTGGGTGGAGAGTTCTGTAGATGTCTATTAAGTCTGCTTGGTGCAGAGCTGAGTTCAGTTTCTGGATATCCTTGTTAACTTTCTGTCTCGTTTATCTGTCTAATGTTGACAGTGGGGTGTTAAAGTCTCCCATTATTATTGTGTGGGATTCTAAGTCTCTTTGTAGGTCTCTAAGGACTTCCTTTACGAGTCTGGGTGCTCCTGTATTGGGTGCATATATATTTAGGACAGTTAGCTCTTCTTGTTGAATTGATCCCTTTCCCATTATGTAATGGCCTTCTTTGTCTCTTTTGATCTTTGTTGGTTTAAAGTCTGTTTAAGCAGAGACTAGGATTGCAACCCCTGCCTTTTTTTGTTTTCCATTTGCTTGGTGGATCTTCCTCCATCCTTTTATTTTGAGCCTATTTGTGTCGCTGCACATGAGATCAGTTTCCTGAATACAGCACACTGATGGGTCTTGACTCTTTATCGAATTTGCCAGTCTGTGCCTTTTATTTGGAGCATTTAGCCCCTTTACATTTAAGGTTAGTATTGTTATGTGTGAATTTGAACCTGTCATTATGATGTTAGCTGGTTATTTTGCTCATTAGTTGATGCAGTTTCTTCCTAGCCTCAATGGTCTTTACAATTTGGCATGTTTTTGCAGTGGCTGGTACCAGTTATTCCTTTCCATGTTTAGTGCTTCCTTCAGGAGCTCTTTTAGGGCAGGCCTGGTGGTGACAAAATCTCTCAGCATTTGCTCGTCTGTAAAGTATTTTATTCCTCCTTCACTTATGAAGCTTAGTTTGGCTGGATATGAAAGTCTGGGTTGAAAATTCTTTTCTTTAAGAATGTTGAATATTGGCCCCCACTCTCTTCTGGCTTGTAGAGTGTCTGCCGAGAGATCAGCTGTTAGTCTGATGGGCTTCCCTTTGTGGGTAACCCGACCTTTCTCTCTGGCTGCCCTTAACATTTTTTCCTTCATTTCAACTTTGGTGAATCTGACAATTATGTGTCTTGGAGTTGCTCTTCTCAAGGAGTATCTTTGTGGCGTTCTCTGTATTTCCTGAATTTGAATGTTGGCCTGCCTTGCTGGGTTGGGGAAGTTCTCCTGGATAATATCCTGCAGAGTGTTTTCCAACTTGGTTCCATTCTCCCCGTCACTTTCAGGTACACCAATTAAACATAGATTTGGTCTTTTCACATAGTCCCATATTTCTTGGAGGCTTTGTTCATTTCTTTTTATTCTTTTTTCTCTAAACTTCTCTTCTTGCTTCATTTCATTCATTTGGTCTTCCATCACTGATACCCTTTCTTCCAGTTGATCGCATTGGCTACTGAGGCTTGTGCATTCATCATGTAGTTCTCGTGCCGTGGATTTCAGCTCCATCAGGTCCTTTAAGGACTTCTCTGCACTGGTTATTCTAGTTAGCCATTTGTCTAATTTTTTTTCAAGGTTTTTAACTTCTTTGCCATGGGTTTACACTTCCTCCTTTAGCTCAGAGTATTTGATCATCTGAAGCCTTCCTCTCTCAACTCGTCAAAGTCATTCTCTGTCCAGCTTTGTTCCATTGCTGGTGAGGAGCTGCGTTCCTTTGGAGGAGGAGAGGTGCTCTGATTTTTAGAGTTTCCAGTTTTTCTGCTCTGTTTTTTTCCCCATCTTTGTGGTTTTATCTACCATTGGTCTTTGATGATGGTGACGTACAGATGGGGTTTTGGTGTGGATGTCCTTTCTGTTTGTTAGTTTTTCTTCTAACAGTCAGGACCCTCAGCTGCAGGTCTGTTGGAGTTTGCTGGAGGTCCACTCCAGACCCTGTTTGCCTAGGTATCAGCAGCGGAGGCTGCAGAACAGCAGATATTGGTGAACAGCAAATGTTGCTGCCTGATCGTTCCTCTGGAACTTTTGTTTCAGAGGAGTACCCAGCCGTGTGAGGTGTCAGTCTGCCACTACTGGGGGGTGCCTCCCAGTTAGGCTACTCGGGGGTCAGGGACCCACTTGAGGAGGCAGTCTATCTGTTCTCAGATCTCCAGCTGCATGCTGGGAGAACGACTACTCTCTTCAAAGCTGTCAGACAGGGACATTTAAGTCTGCAGAGGTTTCTGCTGCCTTTTGTCTGTGCCCTGTCCCCAGAGGTGGGGTCTACAGAGGCACACAGGCCTCCTTGAGCTACAGTGGGCTCCACGCAGTTCGAACTTCCTGGCCGCTTTGTTTACCTACTCAAGCCTCGGCAATGGCGGGCGCCCCTCCCCCAGCCTCACTGCCGCCTTGCAGTTTGACCTCAGACTGCTGTGCTAGCAATGAGCAAGACTCCGTGGGCATAGGACCCTCTGAGCCAGGCACAAGATATAATCTCCTGGTGCGCCGTTTACTAAGACCATTGGAAAAATGCAGTATTAGGGTGGGAGTGACCCAATTTTCCAGGTGCCATCTGTCACCCCTTTCTCTGACTAGGAAAGGGAACTCCCTGACCCCTTGTGCTTCCTGGGTGAGGCGATGCCTCGCCCTGCTTCAGCTCATGCTCAGTGCACTGCACTCACTGTCCTGCACCCACTGTCCGACATTCCCCAGTGAGATGAACCCGGTACCTCAGTTGGAAATGCAGAAATCACTCGTCTTCTGCGTCACTCATGCTCAGAGCTGTAGACTGGAGCTGTTCCTATTCGGCCATCTTGGCTCCACCCCACAAATAATTTTTTTAAACAACCTAATGCAAAAGTAATTTAATATTAAGCTACTTCTATCTCTAAAGAGGTGGAATTACAAAATATTATTTTGTTTTTATTTAGAATGCCATATTTTTTTCAAAATATATATTTATTGCTTATATTACTGTATTTAAAAAAAATCACTCTTATCAAGTGTGTCAGATAGATTAGGGAGACCAGGGCATAAAGCCACTTTTATTCTTCTCAACCTGAAAATGTAAAGATCCATTTCAAGACACCAAGTAATTGATGTTAGAGCTTCAAGGGACAGGACAGAGCTTGTCAAGGGAAAATTAGAGTGGTAAAGCTGACACCCATACATGCAAGGCCCTTAATCTTTCTTTCTTTCTTTCTTTCTTTTTTCTCCTTCCTTCCTTCCTTCTTCTTTTCTTTTCTTTCCTTTTTTTCTTTTCTTTTCTGGAGTCTCACTCTGTTGCCCAGGCTGGAGTGCAGTGGTGCGATCTCAGCTCACTGCAACCTCTGCCTCCTGGGTTCAAACAATTCTCCTACCTCAGCCTCCCAAGTAGCTAAGACCACAGGTGCACATCACCACGCCTGGCTACTTTTTGTATTTTTAGTAGAGATGGGGTTTCACCATGTTGGCTAGGCTAGTCTCAAACTCCTGGCCTCAGGTGATCTACCTGCCTCGGCCTCCCAAAGTGCTGGGATTACAGGCATGGGCCACCATGCCTGGCCGATTTTTCTACTGTCAACTTGAAAATAAGCATACTTAATGTCAGCATGGACCTGATTTAGCCATGTAACATTTGGCTGCTGAAAAAGCATGATGATGTGTTTTTTGCTCCTGGTCATCTTCTGTCAATAGTTCTTTATTTTGTCCTAGTTTCATGTTGTAATTAATGGAATTATATTTGAAGAGCTCAAAATGAAATGCTTAATTATATTCAGCTGCA
This sequence comes from Homo sapiens, assembly GCF_000001405.40. Taxonomy (NCBI): domain Eukaryota; kingdom Metazoa; phylum Chordata; class Mammalia; order Primates; family Hominidae; genus Homo; species Homo sapiens. Next base: position 77,217,661 of record NC_000003.12, read on the forward strand.
ATTACAGTGATTAATTGATCCAAACTTATTAGCATGACACCTAAAGGAAACCAGTTATATAAAAATTGTAGGAGGCAATACTTTGAGTATGACACTCATGTGAGCTAGCTATCTAGATTAATTCTATTTTATTAAATTGTCTAAGTTTTACAGCTTCTGGAATTCATATTGGAAACCCAGGGTCTAGACTAAACTGTTATTTCATAAACAAGGACAAAAGAACCGAAAAAAGTAAATGAAATATTACAGACAGGAGTAGTTCTCCCTCAAATGAGATTATCTCATTATTTTGAAATTATTTATATGTTTCCCAGTTTGGATACATTGTCAGCTCCTGATTATCCATGCCAAAGATAGCTTTAAATCTCCAAAAAGAGATTTTATCAAATCTATATGCATTTCCCAAATCCCAAGAAAATTATGAGTCATAGTTTAGAGCATAGACATCCTGTTTCAGTTAATGCTTTGTAGGGTCTAATCATCATGTATGGATGTGTTCAATCCCCTTGCTCTGGATGCTTTCACTGGACTGGGTATTAAAAAGCAAATTCTTCAAACTCTGTACTTCCACCATGCCTGCCCACCTCATTTCTTTAATATGCCAACCTCCTTCTCATACTAATGTATTTTGTACATTTCTGCCTGGAATTTTTCTCGATCCTTAGGCTTTTCTTGTTTAATTCCTACCATCCTTCATAGCTCAGCTGAAATTATACTTTTTTTTTTTTTTTTGAAATGGAGTCTCACTCTGTAACCTAAGCTTGAGTGCAGTGGCGTGATCTTGGCTCACGCAAACTCCACCTCCTGGGTTCAAGCAGTTCTCTGCCTCAGCCTCTCAAGTAGCTGGTATTACAGGCACCCACAAGCATGCCTGGCTAATTTTTGTATTTTTTAGTAGAGATGGGGTTTTACCATCTTGGCCAGGCTGGTCTTGAACTCTTGACCTTTTGATCCACCCACCTTGGCCTTCCAAAGTGCTGGGATTACAGGAGTGAGCTACCGTGCCCGGCCTGAAATTATACTTTCCTGTAGAGGAAGTATAATTAGGTTATCATGTCACCCTCTTCTTTTCCATTATAAGTATTCTGCAGTCGTAGTGACACATTTATTTGTGACTGACTAATGCGTCTGACTTTTCCTTTACAATGGAAGTGCTACAGTATCAAGAGCTGCACATTTTCATTGACACTCTACATCCAGAATCCAACACAGAACACAGCACATTGAAAGTATTTTATTAAATGTTCTTGAATGAGTGGAATTTTCATTTTTCTAATATCTTTTAGCAGTATGTTTGATCGATTTTTGTTTGTTGTTTGTTTGTTGAGATGGAGTCTTGCTCTTGTCTCCCGGGCTGGATTGCAGTGGTGCAATCTCCGCTCACTGCAACCTTTGCCTTCTGGGTTCAAGTGATTCTCCTGCCTCAGCCTCCTGAGTAGCTGGGATTACAGGTGCCTACCAGCACGCCCCGCTAATTTTTGTATTTTTAGTAGAGATGGGGGTTTCACCATGTTGGCAAGGCTGGTCTCGAACTCAGCACCTCAAGTCATCTGCCCGCCTCAGCCTCCCACAGTGCTGAGATTACAGACAGGCGTGAGCCACCGCACTGGGCCTCGACTTCTTTTTAGATAGAGTGCCCATTGTTGCTCCTTTTCATCCATCTAGTAGTTCTCCTTCTTTTGCAATTTGGTTAAATGATTATAACCAAACTTATTAAGCTTTATTTTATGTGTAAAATTTTGAGAGAATCATCTTGACTGTGTGTATGTGTGTGTATATATATATATATATATATATATGTATCTGTGTATATATATATATATAATCTGTATATATATATATATATATATATATCTGTGTGTGTGTATATATATATATGTCACCTGAGTGCTTTCTTTTGGGGGTAAAGTATTTGACTGAGACACTAAAGATTTGAATTGTTGTTCTGCATTTTACTATTGACCATGGGCCTTAAGGAAGTCATTTAGCTCCTGTTAGCATCAGTTTGCTGATTTGTAAAATGGTTAAACAGTAGTATTTGCCGTCTACAAGTCACAAAGCTATTGTGAAGATCAAATCACATATGACATTCAAAAATGCTTTGCAAATGTTAGCCCTTTACTAATTTCAGTCCATATCAAAAATCCACATTGTGTAGAAAATTTGTAGATCTTTGAAATTACATAATCTTAAAAATATTTGTGAAATACGAGATGTAGATCTGAATTTCTTTAAGACAAAGTTCTTTAGTAATATGGAAACAATGACATATCCAAGCAGAAGCATAGATGGCAATAGAATTTGTTCAGAACATGGCTTCAGAAAACATACTAATAGTTCTGTTTTTTTGTTTGTCTTGTTTTGCTTTGAGATGGAGTCTCACTCTGTTGCCCAGGCTGGAGTGCAGTGGTGCGATCTCAGCTCACTGCAACCTCCGCCTCTTGGGTTCAAGTGATTCTCCTGCCTCAGCCTCCCAAGTAGCTCGGACTACAGGCACGTGCCACCACGCCTGGCTAATTTTTGTAATTTTTAGTACAGATAGGGTTTCACCATATTGTCCAGGCTGGTCTCGAACTCCTGACCTCATGATCCGCCCACCTTGGCCTCCCAAAGTGCTGAGATTACAGGCATGAGCCACTGCGCCTGGCCGAGAAAACATACTATAGCTTTTCACAGACAAATTGGCAACTTCTCCATACATAAAAATTACATTTTAACTGCAAATGAAAATATAGACATACTAAGAGTAGGTAAAAAATTGATTATTAATTTAAAATTAATCATTTTAACTCAATGCTTTACATATATTAAAAAGTATTCATTTATATATGTCATTTTTTATACGAATAAAATATTTAAATATTATAATCTCTATTATTTTAATATAGTTCAATTAGATTCCTTGTGGAAATTATAAATGATTCTCTAAAAAAATAAAGTCATTATTCTGTCAAGATGATTAAATGGACATTTTCCTAATCTTCTAGTTGAACCATTGAGTCTTCCAGTGATGTATACTTAAAATCATGTAAGTTATAAATAAACTTTCATGGTAGGTGTAACTAACTTCATCTGACTCATGAAGAGAGATTAGTATCTCTTTTATCATTTAGACGTTAATGAACTTTCAGTCCTACGCAGCAAAGTTACCCATTCATCTTTTTGAAAAAAAGATGAATTATTGTTGAACTCACCTCCTAAGTATTGCTATGTTGTATAATAGTAGAAATAATAGTAGAATAATAGTAGAAACCATACTTTTTCTATTATAAAAAAATAGAGGAAATAGATTGGAAAATATAATCTGAATGAAGTCAAAGTTAGCATTGAGTGTTAAATACCATTGTCAGTGTCCTTTACATATGTAATGGTAAAGCTTTCCAATGCATCTTGGGTTGCGTGAGCTAAATACTTTTGGCAAGGAAAACATCAGTTATATGAACACTGCAGACCCACATAGGCCTGGTGTACAGCTTTGTCTTTCCATGGCTCTAGTGGTTCATACCTCTGCTGCACTTGTTCTTGACTGGGCACCCTCTGCCAGTGCTGTGTGAGCTCCCCAATTCCTTGCTGTCCTTATGTGGTTCCGTAAGCTGACATTTCATCATTCAGACCAAGTAGATAGAAGGTGTTGCTTACTCTTTTAAAATGAGTTGTATAGGATTACATTGTTTTATTTGATAACCTTTTGGTAAATACAGCAGAAATACAACTTCAGCCAGTTTAAATTAAAAAGAGGCTTTTGTTTTAAAGCTAGTAAGGGTGACACTGATCGAATGTGAAAGAAGGAAGCAGAGGCTAATATTGGGATTCAGGCTCAATCCAGTCTTTTGTGTATCTCATATCTACACCTCCCACAAATATTTGTTGTCCGCCCCCTCTTCTCTCTCTCTCTGTTTTGGTCTCTCCCTAGATTGATCTTCTTATATATCTTCTTGTCATGCATCTTACCTAGTGTTCCCCAAATGAAAATAACTCAATGACTATTCTACGTCAAGTGCCCATCCATTCACCAGTTCACCAAGATATGTAAAAACTTGGCAGTTTGGAAAAGATCTATAAAATAACAATTCCCAAAAGAAGGGGATTTCTGTGAAGATACACAATAGTTGTCCAAAAAAATATGCTATATATTTGTTTTAAAAAATTGATAGCCCAATGGACTTTTTCTTTTTTCTTTTCTTTTTCTTTTTCTTTTTTTTTTTTTTTTTGAGACAGAGTCTTGCTCTGTCACCAGTCTGTACTGCAGTGGCACGATCTCGGCTCACTACAACCTCCGCCTCCCAGATTCAAGCCATTCTCTTACCTCAGCCTCCAGAGTAGCTGGGACTATAGCCACCCGCCACTACTCCCAGCTAATTTTTGCGTTTTTAGTAGAGATGGAGTTTCACCATGTTGGCCAGGAGGCTCTCGATCTCTTGACCTTGTGATCCACCCACCTCGGCCTCCCAAAGTGCTGGGATTACAGGCATGAGCCACCGTGCCCGGCCCAATGGACTCTCAATACACTATCTTACTTTACCCTCCTGTCCAAAAGCACTAGGTGGAAAAGAGATGTTACATTTATTTTTAAAAGTTGAGATATAGATCATATCCAAAACCTGCTATAGAAATATACTACATTGTCAATATGAATAATTAGGTATAGAGAATGGCACCTGCTTAAAATCCTTTAATCTCACTGATTTGGTGTGTGTTGTTTCCCCAGTGGGTTACATGTTACCGATAACCTGTCAGAATTTGAATATCGCAGAGGATTTTCAAAGTCAGAAGAACTGAGTAATAAGGAGATGAAAGACTTTTTCAGAAGACTTTTTTTTAAATGGAAACTTATTTTTAAATATAGAGGAATGTAAGAACTTGCAAGTAAGAGTGAATTGGTTTGCAAAGTAGATTCTGTTTTCCCTTCATGTGAGCTTTATTGGTTTATATTCTCTTCAAATTTTCTTCATGTCATTTGGAAACAACTGCTGTTCAAAAACTATATCTTCATATGCAAGCATTTACTATAAAACTTTTCTTTAATGTGTTTAAAGCATTTCTTTTTCACTTAAACATTTTTCCTTTATTTTAAGCTAGTGATAAGACAGAATGGTGATATGTCCATTTGCTTCATTTGATATGCACATTTGTTCTATGGGAAAATGTGGTCTACTCCTAATTTCATTTTCGTTTCCTAAATAAGAAGACCCATTAAAAAGCAGACATCTGGTGTACAAAGCACTTAAAGCTGTAGCTCCCAAGGAGTGCTTTCTTCCCTCTTTAAATATGCATGAACTGTTGTTTTGGTAATCCACTTCACCCTGTCAAAATAGAATCAAATAGAATATATGTGTGACCTCTTCCCCTTCTATCCTGGGAAAATGAGTTTCAAGATCACTGAGGTGTACAGTATTCCGAAGCCTTCACTTTCCGTTTTATTCACCCTGAAAGCTCTTACAGTTACAGAAGCTTAAAGTTTAGCTGAAATCTACTTTAATAATAGCTACACTGTTTTAGTTATGAAGAATGACTCTATGAACTTTAAATATTTGAATCATAAAGAATGAATGTAGACTTTCAAAAAATAGGCTTTGAAAGGAGTTTAAGAATATCTGTACCTTCATTGATTTTTTTATATCAGTTAGAGCTCAAGGTTTTTAATACAGTTACCTCAAAAATTCTGTGTGCAAAATAGTTACATTTAACGGATATTGAAACTAAATATGGTTAACTTATTTTCCTAGGAGAAGAGAACAACTAAAACAGGCGCAATAAACATTTTTCTTTTTCAGTTGATGCACATTTAATGTCAGTTTGCTTCCTTGAAATTTAGACCCACATTCCCCAAGATTGAGTCCTGTAGAATATTAACTTTCCATATTCACCTACTCTGTTCCATGCAAAAGGATGACATGATCAAATGGTACATACCTTGCTTTCTCCTATAGATTCATAATTGAAATTTGGATATTATACTTTCTAACAATGCTTTTAGTAAATATATCTGTGCTAGCTTGGTTCACCCAATTTGCCTAAGTATATTTAACACCTAAACATTAAAGAAAAATCACTTTTGAAATCTGTGACCTAGATTATGTTTATGTGCAGATTATATCAGAAAATAGTACAAAACTTTATGAAGACAAGAGAAGTATCTCATTTTTTCTTCCTTCTGGTTTGGATTGTTTATTTTAATAAAATTATATCAGTCTGATTTGGTTAGCTTGGAATATTGTTTTGTTATTGTTCTATAAGTAGCTGCATTATCCATAATAGTTCATATATATCTTATTTGTGTGTGTCATCCTCAATACTGTTCAAATATTTTAAGGGAGACAAATGGATACTTTTGCTTTTAGAATCTATTTACAAGTTTTATTCTTCTAAATTTCAGTAAATGAGTCTGTGCCACTTCTATGTTTTAAGGTATTTTTGGATTTAGAGTACTTCTAACCAATGATCATGAAAGTAGTAGTCTATTAATTTTAAATCATATTTTCTAACATTGTCTATTAATGTGTTTTTGACAAATGTGATGCCTATGAGAAGACAGCTTCTTCACTAGAGGAAAGTAAAAGGAGTTTTTGAACCTTGATCCAAATCTCTGAATTTATTTACCATGTTGTCCCAATCGAAAGGCATTGAACATAGTTTTTCACAAGCCACAAATGTTTGAGTATCAGAGCTGAAAGATTGCCTAACTAAGTAAAATACAGTATTTACAGGATGCTTGGGGAAAAGATATCTGGCTAATTTAAAATTATGCCAGTGATATTCTTTGCTTATCCATTTGTGACAAATCCTTATCAGCCTTAGAAAATGCACATAATAAAGTACAGAGAACAACATTTGCTTATTCTTTAAACTTATAGTCTTGTAATGCTGCAGTGCTATCACAACGGGTATTAATGATCGTTGTATTTATTGTATATTTGAGTTAAATCCATATTAATCCTAGGGTTTATCTTAAAATTGTGTGTGTTTCTTTGTTTGTTTGTTTGATTTATTTGGAAGGTGTTTTTTGTTTTTGTTTTATTTTAGAACTAAACTCCTCAAATGACTTTATTTACTAGCTTGAGGTGTCTTTCTCCTAAAACAACAGAAAAAGTCATGATGAAGGGCTGGGCAGAAGAATCTTGATAGTTTGAATTTCAAAGCTACACAGATTATAGATAAGATATACTTTATGTTATTAGACATTTATTTTTCCCTAGATAAGACCGCTGATAGTGGATGATAAGACTGATGAATAATATTTGATTAGTCAAGTTTCCATCAAATATAGGAAAAGTTTTAAATTGTAGCTATAGGTTTAACATAAATAGCCAAATTTATCATTATATGATTTTTTTACTTTTATTGTGAAAATTTTTAAACATAGAGTATTAGAAAAAAGTAGCATAATGATTGATACATAATCATGAGCTAGATATAATCATAAGTAATATTTTCCCACAATTTTTATCTATCCCTCCTGTTCTTTACTGTGAAGTACATTAAAGCATTCATTTCACTGCTATATACTTCATTGTTCACAAAATATATACAGACCTCTTCCCACAAAATTATTAAAATTTATTGTAGGCACTTTGTTTTTTAAGTGGGAGATAAAAAATAATTGGAATTACTATGCTCATGTTGTTTCATTGTACTGAAAGCAAAAATGGATTTTTTTCAAAGATATTTCCTCCCATTTTACTTTTATTAATAGATTCTAATTCCGTCAACTTTGCGTAATATAGAATGATGAAAAAGCCCCTTTTCATTCCTTCTGATAGCTTTTGGATTCCATTGCTCAGAGAAAGCTTGTCTTCAACAATATGCTGGAATTGTGTGAAGTCTTGTTATTTTTTTTTCTCCCTGTTCTTCAAAGTACAATTTCTTGAATGTACCTGCAGCCGTGCATTATCAGGCAACCTATTTTATAAATTCCATAATAAATTAAATAAGCACCTCTGTGGGTCATTTTTGATTAACCTGATTTAAAATAAAATGATTTACTAAAGATTTAGAGGGAGGAAATACTATGTGCTTCTAAATCAATTCTATGCATATTCACTGTCAAACAATTGCATGTAATAGTGTATTAAATACACTTAATAGTGTAAAAAAAGACTCACTGCAATTGAATTAACACTTGCAAGCTTATAATAATGTTTAAAAGCCACAAACATTGAAGTAAAATTCATTTTTATCCAGAAATAGAATTTGTACATATGACTTCCTGCTATGGAGATTTTATCACAGGAAGATGTTCAAGATGTTTAATTTAGGACAGCATTTCTTCTAAGTTCAGATTATAAGGAGGAGCATTTTAATTAGAATAGTATCATGAGACTCATGTAAGCATATGATATTACACATCGGTATTTTCCCTATAGTCTGGAACATTACTGGAATGAAAATTTAGAGATGCATTTTTACTTCTCCAGCACATGCAAGAAATAATACAACATGAATCCTTTTTTATTTTAGGAATGTTATACCCACAAAACATTGAAGTATGTTTTAAGTTAAGCAAACAACAAGTTTTGACCAAGAAAATTAGAAAATTAAGGTTTTCTTAGAAAACAAACAAAATTATGGCAAGAAATTACTGTCCTAGTAAAATAAGATGACCCTATATGGACCGTTGTACGTGAATATTTATGTCCTTTTTTTTTTCAGTTTCACGTATATTCTTTAATGAACACGAGAATACAGTTTTAGTTTTCATTTGATGGCAGTTTTCTTCACTCTCCATTTCTTCACCACCTCCTCCTATTTTCTTCCCCTTTTTTCTGCTATTCCTCCACTCTTCATTACACCTACATGGCTTAGAGTTGCTGGTAGATTTTGGTGCCCATGCTAAAATTTGAACAGAAGGAACAGTATAAAGATGAGCTGAAGTAAATCTTGAACACCTACTATTTTGCCTTCTTATATCATCTCAATTGACAAAGTCAAGATTGCAGACTGCCTTGACTTATGATGGGGTTATGTCCTGATAAACTCAAGGTAAGCTGGAAATATTGTAAGTCAAAAAGGCATTTAATATACCTAACCTACCCAACATCATAGCTTAGTCTATCTTAAACATGCTCAGAACACTTCCATTAGCCTGCAGTTGGGCAAAATCATCTCACACAAAGCCTACAATAAAGTGTTAAATATCTCATAAAATTTACCAAATACTGTACTGGAAAGTGAAAACCAGAACGGTTGTACAGGTGCTCAAATACAGTTGCTACTGAATATGTATTACTTTTGCACCATTGTGAAGTCAAAAAATCATAAGTCGGTGACTGTGCTCGGTTAAAAAGTAGTGGTTGCTGACCAACTTCATTTTTCTTTAACAGCTTCAATTGTGATGTCAAAGTAAATGTAACTTTTTTCAACAAATTTTTGTCCTTTAATACAACAAAAATGTTGCATCTTAAAAGCATTTTTTAATGAAAAGAATTTTAGGCTTACAATTTTCTTGTAACAGTGGAAAATATAGGCTCTGATTTTCTTTTTTTTGTAGTGCACAAAGGTACCTTTTCTTAGTAGTTAAGTTGTTTTAACTACCTCAAAATATAAGTTAAAAAATAAAAGCAAGAAACATGGGCTAAAAATGATATTGCAGGTGGTCATAAACCGCAGTTAAAACATATGTCTTTAAAATATTCACATAAGATTCAGACATAGCATTATACAACTTTTTCATTTTGCCTTTTACCTCCAATTCCATTTAGAACAATTAAGAAAAATACCTTCAACTATATTATTTTTATGGCATAAATGAATTTGAACAAGATATTTCAAAAGGTAAATATTGAAAAAACTCTACTGCAATGCATTTTGACTCCTAAAATAGGATTGTGATAAAATAATTAAATTTTGATATTTTAATGCACTTGAAGAAACACCCAGCACAGCCCATTTCTAAGGAAAGAACAAGTTAAGGATAACATAAAATGAAGTTGACTTTTTGTAAAGGTGATCTTTTCACTTTTAAAACAGCACTCAATGATTCTGCCAGAGACAGTGTCTACAAGTGAAAACTTGTTTGTATGTGATGGGTTTGACTGACAGGTTGGATCAAGTTGAGGTGGGGAATTGGGGTGGACAAAGGAGAGGAAACAGGTTATGCTATTCACTCAAGTCAATCAAATAACCTGATTGTTCTTTCAACTGCCTTACTCTGTCATTGACTGTCAAGTCAGTCAAAATAGTGAAACTAGTTTTCGCATGTATGCAGAGATTTATTTTATGACGCTATTACCTCACCCTTGTAAACACAGACATAACAAATATCTAAGTCCACATGTTGAAAATTATACACAAATATTGCAGATGTTTATGGGTGCAGAGGTATGTAGAAGAGAAAACATGCTGAACTTAAAGCCAACACTGTAATTTCCTAATGTTTGACTTCCTATTTGACAGAGACTGATATAATTGATCAAGCATACACTAAGATGCTTCTTTAGAGAAACATTCAGCAGTATTTTTCTGTATTATAGTATCCAAACTAGTAATATTTACAGGAATTTTATTTTTATTTTTGTTTCTTTTTTTGAGACAGAGGTTTGCTGTATCACCCAGGCTGGAGTGCAGTGGCATGATCACAGCTTAATGCAGCCTTGAACTCCCGGGCTCAAGGGATCCTCCCACCTCAGCCTCTGGAGTAGCTGGGACTACAGGCAAACACAAACACACAGCTAATTTTTCTATTTATTACAGGAATATTACAGAGAGTTTGCATTAAATAGCTCAGAAAACAAACAGATATTGTATTACATGCACAAACACACACACACACACACACACCCTTTTTTTTTAATTTCAAAAATTACTTTGCCCACTTTTTGATGTGGTTGTTTGTTTTTTTCTTGTAAATTTGTTTCAGTTCCCTGTTGAACAATGAGAACATATGGGCAGAGGGAGGGGAACATCACACACTGGGACCTGTCCACCTGTCCCAGGGTTGGGGAAAGGGGAGGGGTAGCATTAGGAGAAATACCTAATGTAGATGACCCGTTGATGGGTGCAGCAAACCAACATGGCACATGTATACCTATGTAACAAACCTGCACGTTCTGCACATGTATCCCAGAACTTAAGTATAATAATAAAAAAAAAACTTGCAAGATTAAAAAGAAAATCTTAACAAAATCCAAAAACACTAAAGTGAGTCAATAAGAAGACCCAATTATGTCTGATCTCTTGAAGTTACTCTGCTGAAATGCTCAAGTCCAGGTTAACCTCATCAATCTAAATGGATTAGCTTAATTCATTTAAACTTAGAAATAGTTGAACTACTCATTTTTAGGTCTCATGCAATTTACCTGTGTGACTCAACATCAAATCTGTCTGCTAGGTTCATTTGGCATGTTTTGTCCCTAAGATATCTGCCAAACCAATGCAATCAACCTCTCAGAAGCTTTTTTCATATTTAAGAACTGCTTTTAATTTCTAAGCCTTCGCCATGGTTTCTGTCATGTATTTCTCACAAATGACAGCTACTGATATGGCAGCAGCTATTGGTTATTGGGAGGGAGATGGGACTCAATGTTATATAGCTATGTATCGTTTTGAGATTATTATATGTACATTACCTAATTCTCTCTTCAGAAACATCCCGAGAGTATTATTACTACTATTACTATACTCCCCAGAGTAGTATTAATACTATACTATTAATAACAGTGTACTATAATGCTAATATTATTACTATACTATGAACAGATAAATCAGTGGAGGCTTAAGGACATTAAAGGAATGGACCACATTGCGCCAGGTGTGGTGGCTCATGCCTGTAATCTTAGCACTTTGGGAGGCCGAGGCAGGTGGATCACCTGAGGATAAAATTATTCTTTTATTCTACTAAAAATTAAAAAAAAATATAGCCAGGTGTGGTGGTGGGCTCTTGTAATTCCAGCCACTTGGGAGGCTGAGGCAGGAGGATCGCTTGAACCCAGGAGGTAGAGGTTGCAGTGAGCTGAGATTGTGCCACTGCACCCCAGCCCAGGCAACAGAGTAAGGGTAAGACTGTCTCCAAAAAAAAAAAAAGAGAGAGAATGGACCAAATTGGACTAGCTCATCATGGTGACAGAATAGGAAGGGGAGACCAGTGCTTGCTGCAGTCTGGGGCACCGCCATTCTCTCCCTGTGCTGCCAATTTTTCTTCCTTCTAGGTGATATTTATTTCAACCCGTTGAAATCAAGAGGTTATTATTTTTACTGACAATTTATTATTGAGATTCCCTCCATGAAGAAAGATCAAGTTTTTACTTCAAAGGGATGGTAAAAAAATAAAAATTGTTTAACCATCCTTGTCTTAGGCTTGATGGTGAAAGTATAAATTAAAGTAAACTACTGTTTTATCTGGTGAATAAAAAGCTTGAGCTTTATTAAGTGATTTTCTCTTGGTATTGGGAAGTGTATCTTTTACTCTAGGGTTGTTACTTGAATCACCCATGCTAGACAGTTTTTTTTTTTGAGACAGAATCTCTCTGTCACCCAGGCTGGAGTGCAGTGGCATAAGCTCATCTCACTGCAGCCTGGATCTCCTATACTCAAGGGATCCTCCCACTTCAGCCTCCTGAGGAGCTGGGACTAAAGGCATGCACCACCTGGCTAATTTTGTTTCCTTTTTGTAGAGACAGGGTCTCACTATGTTGCCCAGATTGATCTCTAACTCCAGAGCTCAAGGGATCCTCCTCCCTTGGCCTCCTAAATTGCTGGGATTACAGACGTGAGCCACCACACCTGGCTTACATAGCTTTTTTTAAATACAAGAGCAACAACAATAATATAAACGAAAGTTATTCTTCAAACGTAACATTAACCTAGATTTATTTGAAGCTGAAAGTGAATGCAATTGGGTGTGCCAAAGGCAATGTGGGAAAAACAATTAATTCCTTTTTGTTAGAATTGGACATATGTATTCGCACCAAATGGAACCATTGTTAGGGCATATTACTTTTCTATTAGTTTACTTTTCTATTAGAATCATTCAAGCAAATCTCAAAGTTTTTATCTGAAAATTGTTTTGTTTCAAATTTCTTTAATGAAAATACTGTAAGGTTGGCTTCCACATTAACTACACGGAAACTAAAGTTACTAGAAAAGACAGGTTAGTTATTAAATTGAGAAAGACATTGAACACTTGATGGTAAGGAATTATGCAAACAAGATCCGGGTTTTCCTAAAATTAGACTTTTTTAATGCAAAATTACTCTTTTGCGATCTTTTTATGAAAATAATTAACTTAGCCTTTAGCGTATCTAGATTTTGATTTTATGCATTATTTTTAGCAAGTTTCTAAGATACTACCTTCATAGGCAAATTGATTTTTAGTTAAAAAAGAAAACAATTTGTGTGATTGAACATGTGCTTGGAAGTTAGTAAAAAGAAAAATATTGCTTTATTTAGAACTGGGATCTACTTTCTCACTAGTTAAGAATCCTTCTAGGCCCATTGCGGTAGCTTACACCTGTAATTCCAGCACTTTGGGAGGCCGAGGTGGGCGGATCATTTGAGTCCAGGAGTTCGAGACCCACCTGACCCATGGTGAAACTTCATCTCTACAAAAAATACAAAAATTAACCAGTTGTGGTGGTGGGCACCTGTAATTCCAGCTACTCTGGAGGCTGAGACACAAGAATCGCTTGAACCTGGGAGGAAGAGGCTGCAGTGAGCCAAGATCACGCCACTGTACTCCAGCCTGGGCAGCAGTGAGTGAGACTCCATCCAAAAAAAAAAAAAAAAAAAAAAGACACTAAGCTAAAAGACACTAAGCTAAAATAAAAGCCTCATATTATCTTAAAAAGTGGGGAAGGATACACACTTAGGACCCCTGATGAGGTCCCCTTATCCTTTATTGGGTGCTTTAATTATATGCCTTACTTTATTCTTTGAGTTTTTAAAACCTCACCTCCTACTTTACTAAGAAAATAGAGGTGGCCACGCTGGAATCTTTTTTCACCTGTAAGTTCTTAATACATTACATTATTATTTTTTTTCCTTAAAATCTCAGGACAGACTTGACTCTACTGTTTTACCCCGCCGAAAATCCCGAATTGGTGTTTCTATTTCTCATCCTGTCAGCCTTCTCTGGAGTGTTATTTTGTCGTTTTTGACTTTGATACCTCTATTTGTTTTCTCTCCACGGATTCTTTGTCTCCACTCACAATCTTTGATCAGCAAAAAGTAGATTATTCCAGTCTTTTAAATTTTAAGAATCTGGCCTCTATCCTTGAGGCTCTACTGAAACCACTCTCTCCAACGTCCTTTAATGTTTTACCCAGTCCTTGTTTTCTGTAGCTTTCAAATTATTGACTATCCTGTCATCTTTGGATATTTTTCTTTCTTTGAATTCAGTAATATTATACACTCTAGGTTCTCTTCCTATCATCAACTTTGCTGTATTGTTTCTTCTTGCCGAAATTCCATTTCTTTTCATCGCTATTTATTACATACCTGCTATGAGTCGAGTACTTTTAGTGAAGCTGGGGATACAAAAGTGACTAAGAAAATGTCCTGCTATTATAAAGTTGCATTCTGGTGAAAGAGAAATAAAGTCAATTAGGAAACATAAATAATATAATTTAAGTTGGTGGTTAAATTCTATGGGAAAGTATTATAAATTAATGGAGTAGGTGGCCAGGGAGAGCTATTTAGCTGGAGTGGTCAGGAATTTCCTTTCTTGGTGAGTGGCATTTAAATGGAGACCCTTTTGGCCTCTCTTAGAGGCTGTTCTATAAAGTCCTGAGTAGAGAAACTAGTGGAAGAAAACAGAACCAGTGGAAAGAGTGAGAGACAAGAATGGTGAATCTGATAAAAATGGATTCTTTGATTTGTAGGAGAATGGTTTGAGGACATGGGAAATGAAAAGGTGGAGACCATGAGTTAACTGTTTCTAAAAGCAGGCTCTGATATGCTTGAGATATGCGATATTAAAAATGCGGATATTGTGACACATTTGTATGCTACATGGAATTACCCAGGATTGAGGGAGGCATTACCTGTGCAGAAAGGGATGGTAATTGTTGGAGTGAACTCCAGCAATGTTGGTGCTCTTGGTATTTTGTTGGTTGTTTTTGTCAATAATGTGATGGTGATGGTCTAACTTGTACTTTGGTAAGTTATATGTATGTCTATGTCTTTCAGTAGATTAAAATTAAAATATTTCTTACTCTTCTTTGTCCTGCCCATGATTGCCTTTTCTAACATCTAGTGCAGTGCTCAAAAGTGTCTGTAGATTTTGGTTGCCTCATCATTTTCAAAATGTTTCTGGGTTTAAGCCTAAAATTATATATGATTTCATTTAATGTGAACAATGGCCTTCAAATTACCAATACCAGTTGCATCTGAGGCATATTGAAGAGCTTTAAATCCAAGTTATTGTGTATGAAACTAGTGCTTACAATATAAGCAGGTGGAATACATTTAGTCTACTTATATGGAAAAGCTAAAGGGGAAAAAAGTCCACAACCGAGTCATATAATAGTTTTTAACCTAACTTCCTGGTCAGTTTTCAGCTCTGCATAGCTACTCTGATTGATTGTTGCCCCATCAACTAATATGTTTGAAAATTCAAAGTGAATAATACCATGAACAATTCAGTAATATCAATAAGGTGAAGCCTGATTGTATTATTTTTGGAATATGATTAAAATAATGCAAAAGAAATAATCCTTGCCCCCCCCTCCACTTTTTTTATTTTTGTCTTCAGCAGTTCTGTGGTTTACAGGTAGCACATCTGAAGCTGTTATGCACTGGTAAAACCAATGTGGATTACAAGAATACACTATTAGGCCCTGGTGACAGGAGACAAAAGCAACATCTGCTTCCTAGGCTTTCTGTGTTACAGAAGAGAAGGCCTGCCCATCACTATATGTAAAATCACTGTATTATCCAGTGCCTGGAATACTCATATTAGGATCTAGAAGCTAGTTGGGATTTAATTGTATTTCAAATTTTAGTATAATACTAGTATAATACTTTTATATCAGTATCCCATGTTAACTGTATATGCACTTTATTATTTTAATATTTAATAATTGAAATCAAGTCTTATGTATTTATGTAAATTTTTATATGTTACATTCATATACTGATGTTTATATCAATTTAGAAAAGAAAATGTGAGCAATTAATTCTTATTAATTACCTTATATCTGGTTTTCGCTCAAGAAAATAATACTTAAATGAAATGAAATTTATTTGCTTCTAATGTCTACATAAAAGACAAAATATCCACTAGTGAATCCACACAGCATACAAATATATATGTTAAAATTTGCACAACTTAAAAATATGCATACTGTATTTGTGTTTCTGTTTTCTAAAATAAAAACCTTGGGATTTATAAATATTCCTGAAGAAATTCCTTGTATTTCCTAGCTGAATTAGTTCTGAGTTTGGCATTTGCTCTTTACAGCCTAACCAGGGAGTGGACCATTAGTTTTCCTGGAGCTTTGGGACTTTGGGTTTTTGCCTTTGGAAATTAAATATGTAATATTGCTTTGTCTGGGCTGGCTTAGGACAGGATCCTCCCTTCATTCCAGGGCAACGTCAAAATTCACAGAAGAGCAACAGTTCATATTGTCTATTGAAATCAAATCTGATTCTTCCCCCTCCCATCTCCCACGCCTGCCCTTGGGATTGTGACATCATTACCATCTCAAGAACCCCTAGGGTTGTTTTCCCTGTTAAAATGAAGTGAGATTAGGGTTCTAGGAGAGAGCAGTCAAATATTTGAGCACTAATCATGCCTGGATGTCTTTTACTAATTTTCAGGCAGTGGAATTCTTTTGGTTTCAAGATTACACCACAGTCGTTTAATGTAAATGTGGACAGAAAAGAATACAATTAGGTGAATCGCACAGACAATCTGCTTTTTTTTCAGCAATCCTTGAAATGAAAGATGCATATATTAGAAGGTTATCTGGCATATGAAAGGGACATTTATCCCCCAAGGAGAGAAGGAAACTACTTAAAAGAAATAAGGTTTTATTAATATTTTTCAATTAAATGTTGCACTTTCTTTATCCTTTTGTAATTTTCATGTTGACCTATGTAAGTGCTTTGTTCATGTAGCATTCACTCTTTCTTGGCAAGTCATCAGATGGAGCAAGTTTATTGAAAAAGAAACAGAATTAAAAATTCAATGACAAAAATTCAAATAGTGTCTGTTTAGAGCTTATCTTCTTAATGTTAGGGCTTTTATGGTTATTGGTTGGGGACTTTTGGGAGTGTTTCTTAATGCTCAGGTGGGTGATGCCAGTATCAAGGGAAGCAATGGCGTTACTTTAATTCCAAGGGTTTTGATGATTGCATTATGTTTAAGCATTGTGAAGATATATATATAATTTTAGCGTACAAAAGTGAAGCAGTTTTGTGATTGAATTATTTAAATTAGAAAAGACAGAATAGCACAATCATACAAAATGAAAGGTGCTTTCTTTATATCTTCTCCCAAAATATGGTTAATGGAAAAACAATTACTTTTTATTATATTTTGGTCAATTTTGTAATCTATGGTGATAAACAATATTCGATAACCTTTATTAAAATACATATTTGGGAGAATATCATACATAGAATTATGACTAATCATGAAAGGCTGAACAGCATTCAATGCTATTGTTTTTAAATCTATAAAATGAAGAATTGCTGCCTGACCTGCAAGATTTCATCCAGCTCTAAAATCTTATGCATTCTATAATATGAGAGGAGAATATTTTTTTTTTTTTTTGAGACGGAGTTTCGCTCTGTCGCCCAGGCTGGAGTGCAGTGGCGCGATCTCGACTCACTGCAAGCTCTGCCTCCCGGGTTCACGCCAGAGAGGAGAATATTTTAATGATGTCAACAGAATTTACCTAAACATAAAATATGAATGTGAACCTATTATACCTTTATACATTCCTTTTTAATGAATTACTCAAAATTGTGATATCATATATCAGCAAAATAATAAATTCAACTATATATTAAAGAGAAAGTCTCAGATATTTCAGAATACTTATTTAAAAATATTTCTACCATGCTTTCTGCCAAAAATGAAATGTAATTCAAAAGCATCCATTGGAAAAATTAAACCTCTTTCTGCCAGAATAATCTAGTGTTAGCATTTCATGCCTTCTTAAAAACAGATTTTATTTTTCAAATCAGTTTGAAGTTTACAGTGAAATTGAGAAGGTATAGAGATTTCCCATATCCTCTTCCCCCTAGACATACATAGGCCCCCTCACTATCAACATCCCACACTGACGTGGTACATTTGTTACAACTGATGGACTTACATTGACAAATCATTTTCACCCAAAGTCCACAGCTGATGTTAGGGTGTTGACCAAAAGAGTCAAACTCTGTAAAATATTTGAAGAGATTTATTCTGAGCCAAATATGAGTGACCAATGACCTGTGACACAGCCCTCAGGAGACCCTGAGAACATGTGTCCAAGGTGGTCAGGGCACTGTCTAGTTTTATACATTTTAGAAAAACATGAGACATTAATCAAATACCTGTAAGACGTACATTGGCAGTTCTGTCTGGAAAGTAGGGGCAACTTAAACGTTTTCTAATTGGCAACTGGCTGAAAGAGCTAAGCTATTATCTAGAGACCTGGAATCAGTTGAAAGAAATGCCTGGGTTACCATGATAAGATAAGAGTTGTAGAGACCAAAGTTTTATCAGGCAGATAAACCCTCTAGGTTGCAGGCTTCACAGAGAACAGACGGTAAATGTTCATCGGACTTAAGGTCTGTGCCAGTGCTAATGCTGGTCAGCTTTTCCTGAAATCTGAAAGAGAGGAGGGAATGATGACGCATGTCCAACTCTCGCTTCCCATCATGGCCTGAGCCAGTTTTTCAGGGTAACGTTGGAATGCCCTGGCCAAGAGAAGGGGTCCAACCAGATGGTTGGGGGTCCTTAAAATTTTATTTTTGGTTTACATGGGTACACTATTGGTTGGTAGGCATTCTATGGACTTGGATAAATGCATAATGATATTTATTTACTCTTCTGGTATCATACAGAATAATTCCACTGTCCTAAAAATTCTGTTCTCCATCTATTATCCATCCTTTCCACTAACCCTTGCCCCCTGAAAACCACTGATCTTTTTTAACTGTCTCCATAGTTTTATCTTTTCCACAATGTCAGACAGTATGGAATCATATAGGGTAGCCTTTTCAGATTGACTTCTTCAGTAATATACATTTAAGTTTATTCCATATTTCATTGTGGCTTGATAACCATTCCTTTGAGACAAGGTATTGCTTTGTTGCCTAGATTGCCTAGGCTGGAGTGCAGTGGTGCAGTCACAGCTCACAGCAGCCTCAACCTCCTGGGCTCAAGCAATCCCCCAACTCCAGACACTGGAGTAGCTAGGACTACAGGCACATGCCACCATGCCCAGTGCTTTTTAAATTTTGTATAGAGTCACTGTCTCATCACTTTGGCCAGGCTCTTCTCCAATTCCTGACCTCAAGCAATTCTCCTGCCTTAGACTCCCAAAGTGCTGGGCTTATAGGAGTGACCATCATGCCTGGCCACTTGACCTTTCTTTTTTTTTTTTTTTTTTCATTTTTCTTTTGTGTTTTTGAGAGTGTCTTGCTCTGTCTTCCAGGGTGGATGGCAGTGGTGTGACCACAGCTCACTGCAGTCTCAACTTCCCAGCCTCAAGCAACCTCCCATCTCAGTCCCCCAAGTAGCAGGGACCATACTGTACGCCACCATACCTAGCTTTTCTTTTCTTTTTTTTTCTTTTTCCTGTTTTTGTTTTGTTTTGTTTTGTGTGTGTGTGTGTGTGTGTGTGTGTGTGTGTGGTGGTGATAAGGTCTCACTATCTTGCCCAAGCTGATCTTGAACTCGTGATCTCCAATGATCCTCCCACCTTGGGCTCCCAAAATGTTGAGATTATAGGCATGAACCACTGCACCTGGTGATAGCTCCTTTTTAAGTGCTGAATAATATTACATTGGATGTAACACAAGTCCATATAGTGTATCTATCTATTCACCTATTGACATGTCAGTTACTTCGTAGTTTTGGCAACATTATGAATAAAGCTGCTATAAACATCTGTGTGCAGTTTTGTTGTTGTTGTTGCTTTTCAGCTCCTTTAGGTAAATGCCAAACAGTGGAATTTCTACATTGCATCATAAAAGTATGTTTAGTTTTGAAAGGAACTGCCAGACTGCCTTTCCAAGTGGCTGTACCATTTTATCTTCTCCCCAACAGTGAATGACAGTTCCTGTTGATCCACATCCTTGTCAGCATTTGGTGGTGGTGTTGTTCTGTATTTTGCCCAGTCTAATAGATGTGCAACGGTATCTCATTGTTTTGATTTGCATTTACCTGACGACATATGATATGGAGCATCTTTTCATATGCTTATTTGCCATGTACACATCTTCTTTGATAAGATGTTTGTGAAAGTCTCTGACACAATTTCTAATCAGATTTTTTTTTGCTGTTGAGATTTTAGGGTTCTTTATATACTTGCATAACAGTCCTTTATCTAGTAGATCTTTTACAAATATTTTCTCTCAGCCCGTGTTTGTCTATTCATTCGCTAGACATCTATCATGTAGCATATAGTTTTTATTTTAACAAAGTCCATTTTATCAATTTTTTATTTCCTAGATCTTGCCTTTGATGCCATATCTAAAAAGTCATTGACAAATCCAAATTCATCTAGATTTTCTCTTGTGCCGTTTTCTGGAAGTTTTATATTTTTATGTTTTACATTTAGGTCTGTAATTAATTTTGAGGTAACTTTTCTGAAGGAAATCTGGTGTTAGCATTCCATGCCTTTTTGATACCATTTATCCCTGAAAATAAAGTCTACATCATTATTATTTTCCATTTTGCCAATTTGATTGGGAATTCTTATGATTTAAAATTTTCTTAATAGCTTTCTATTAAAATAGATTTGAATGAAAAAATATTTCTATGAGGAACATTTACATTTCTAAATATTTGTTTTAATATAACTCCAAGTATATTTTAAATCTAATTTTCTTTTTTAGAAACAGAGTTCATTTAGTAGGCTAAAGCTACTTTCCTAATACTATGGTAATATTTAATTTTTTTATAAATATAATTTGTATGAGTTTGGGCCTTTTTAGGCAAACAGACCACCTTGGTCCTCTACATATACTTTCTCCCAGTGTATATTCAGTATCCGCTATGTACATGGCATCATAGTGACGTAGATGTTTACACTGGAGCAATTCTGTTTTCTCCTCTACTTGCAGATAGAGGAGGTGGCAGATATCTTGAGCAATTATCATTCATTTCCTTGTGTCTCTAAGGATGCACAATCATCCCTTGGTTCCAGGACCGCCCACCTCCCCAAGAATACCAAAATCTGCAGATGCTCAAGTCCTGCAGTCAGCCCTGTGGAATCCACAGACACAAAAAGTCAGTCCCCCATGTCCTTGGGATCCTCATCCCTCTGTGTCTGGAATTGGTGGGTTCTTGGTCTCGCTGACTTCAAGAATGAAGCCACGGACCCTCACGGTGAGTGTTACAGTTCTTAAAGGTGGTGTGTCCGCAGTTTGTTCCTTCTGATGGTAGGACGTGTTCGGAGTTTCTTCCTTCTGTTGGGTTCGTGGTCTCGCTGACTTCAGGAGTGAAGCTGCAGACCTTTGCCGTGAGTGTTGCAGCTCTTAAGGCAGCGCGTCTAGAGTTGTTCGTTCCTCCCGTCCAGAGTTGTTCATTCCTCCCGGTGGGCTTGTGGTCTCCCTGGCCTCAGGAGTGAAGCTGCAGACCTTTGCAGTGAGTGTTACAACTCATAAAGGCAGTGCGGACCCAAAGGGTGAGCAGCAGCAAGATTTATTGCAAAGGGTGAAAGAACAAAGCTTCCACACTGTGGAAAGGGACCCCAGCGCCTTCCCACTGCTGGCTCAGGCAGCCTACTTTTATTCCCTTATCTGACCCCACCCACATCTTGCTGACTGGCCCATTTTACAGAGAGCTGATTGGTCCATTTTGACAGGGTGCCGATTGGTGCGTTTACAATCCCTGAGCTAGACACAGAGTGCTGATTGGTGTATTTACAATCCTCTAGCTAGATGTAAAAGTTCTCCAAGTCCCCACTAGATTACCTAGACGCAGAGCACTGATTGGTGCGTTTACAAACCTTGAGCTAGACACAGGGTGCTGACTGGTGTGTTTACAAACCTTGAGCTAGACACAGAGTGCTGATTGGTGCATTTACAATCCTTTAGCTAGATGTAAAAGTTCTCCAAGTCCTCACCAGATTAGCTAGATACGGAGGGCTGATTGGTGCATCCAGGAATCCCAAGCTAGACACAGAGTGCTGATTGGTGCATATACAATCCTCTAGCTAGAGATAAAAGTTCTCCAAGTCCCCACCTGACTCAGGAGCCCAGTTGGCTTTGCCTAGTGGATCCCATGCCAGGGCCATAGGCGGAGCTGCCAGCCAGTCCCATGCTGCGCTCCTGCACTCCTCAACCCTTGGGAGGTCGATGGGACTGGGGGCCATGGAGCATGGGGCGGCGCCCGTCGGGGAGGCTCGGGCCACGCAGGAGCCCACCACAGTGGCACTCGGGCATGGCAGGCTGCAGGTCCTGAGCCCTGCCCCGCAGGGAGGCAGCTGAGACCCGGCAAGAATTCGAGTGTGGCGCGGGTGGGCTGGCAGTGCTGGGGGACCCGGCGCTCCCTCTGCAGCTGCTGGCCCAGGTGCTAAGCCCCTCACTGCCCGGAGCCGTCAGTGCCAGTCGCCCGCTCCGAGTGGGCCCGCCGAGCCCACGCCCACCCGGAACTCACGCTGGCCTGCGATTGCCGCACACAGCCCGGGTTCCTGCCCGCGCCTCTCCCTCCACACCTCCCTGCAAGCAGAGGGAGCCGGCTCCAGCCTCGGCCAGCCCAGAGAGGGGCTCCCACACTGCAGCAGCGGGCTGAAGGGCTCCTCAAGCGTGGCCAGAGCGGACACCGTGGCCGAGGAGGCACTGAGAGTGAGCAAGGGCCACCAGCACGTTGTCACCTCTCACCTCGAATACTGTATTTTTGACCCACTGTTAGCTGAATCCAGTGATGTGGAACCCATGGATATGGAGAGCCAACTGTATAGTTATTTGATTAAATTTATACTTCTTTACTGCCTTTCAGAAAAGTTGACATTTCTGCTGAAAAGAAGCTGCTAATCTTTACCCAGATAGAACAGAGAAAATCAGAGTTGAAGGGACATGTTTAGGGAAACTTGTACAATCTAACTTTATAAAGCAGCCCAAGTGTCACATGAAAGTGAAAACACACAATGAAAATGAGCATCAGCCTCCAGTAATTCTAAATTTTATCTACAAGTGTATTCACAACTTACTTTTTGTTATTTTTTCTGATGATTAGCCAAAGGTCAGGGATGATTGGCAGGTACAACAGTTCAAATAGAAGTAGTTCACAAACTGCCTGTAAGCCTTTCTTGATAAACAGTTTTGATGAATTAGTAAATAAAGTGTTTTATTTTATACAGAAATCTCTGTACTTTTTCATATTTGATCATTTGTGCGTCCAGTGACATATTGTAGACATATACATTCACTGAACTTATTACTGGTTGCCAAGATAGTAATAGCAAAATCTCAAAAGCTGCATGACAGGAATTATTCAAATAGTTCTATATACTGATAAATCAAGGTTTAACTATACAACACCCTCTAGTCCAATGAAAGTAGAAATTACCTGTGAAAATTACAATTTATTTTGAATGTTCACAAATAATCTTATCTTTTTATTTGTAAGTTTGACTCAAACTATAAACTACACAAATAAAAAAGTAAAATAATTATAGTAAGTAGCCAAATTTTATTCTAGTTTTCTTGTTTCATTCAAATTCAGTTTGTGCTCCTTAATGATAACACTATTGTCAATAAAACTTTACACTTTAAGTGACTTTCCACAGTTTTCCCATCTGATAAGAATGGTACTGATAAATAAAAAACAACATGCACTATCCATCTTACTTTCATAGACTAGAGATAAATCATTATGAACCCCAATTGGCAGAGGAGAAAATTCGGGTGCAGACAAGTTAAGTCAGGTGGCAGATTCACACAGGAAATAAATAGTGGCTATGCTCGTATAAAAACATCAATCTTCTGACCTCTAATTCAGGGCTTTTCCAGCACTGCAGTATGATTAATCAATACCAGGAAGCAAACTAAGTATCAAGAAAAGATCATCCATTTGTATCAGTCTTTCCTTTATGTGGTTGGAATCTAAAACACCAAGTGCATAAAGGAATCAAAAGTCGGAAGCTTTGACCATTTGTGAACAATCTTTTCTGTATTATTAACAGGTCTGATGATAAACACAGACATTTACTAGGCCCAAATTGTGAAAAACTTTGTAGACATTTTGCTAATATGCGGGAAATAAGCTCTTTCTTTTAGCAACTTACTTTGATTTTCTTTTATTTTTATGCTGCTAAGAAAGCACTCAGATGCATGCTGAAATATGTATTACCTTATGGATTGCAGCTGGCAGGGACTATTAGTGTTAAAGATTCACACATTTGAAGTAAGATTGGATACATTTATATTTGTGTCAGGAAAAAAATAATAATAGAATTTAAGAATTTAAAATGTAACCAAAAGGCAGAATCATGGCTTTTGGCTGAAGAGATTAGCAGCATTCTTCTCTGTTCCCTTTTTTTCTGAAGCTTAGTTTTCTAGCTAAGTTTTGGCAAACAAAATTCTTTTCTGTGGTATGTATTCTATTTTAACATCTTCCACTGAAAAGAAAAGATAATGATATAAATAAAGCAATTTAAATCAAGTCTAAGGTATAGGAAGGTATTTAAGAAAGAAGCAAACATTCTCTAGATGTTGTTATCCAAAATATATTCTCTTTTGCAGTTTACTGAAATAATTTCTTCAGTGTGTGGGAATTTCCTTTGCATCCAGCTTTACTATAGAGATGACATCACACCAACAGTGACACGACTTGTTTACAAGAGGGTGGTATAAACAGCAAATGTTCTTCCTTAAAACAGATTTCTTGTTGAACTTCAACAGAAAAAGAAGCGTAAATGTAGAAGGAAGAACAGGAGATAGTCTTTAACATGTAGGGTAAAATCTAAGGTAGAGGAGAGAGCAGCTGATAATGTTTTTATGTGTTTGCTACTTTATTAGGAAGTCTACTTCCTTCTTTTCCATATCTAGTAGAGTCTTCAAGTTGTACATTGTCTTTATATTAATATATAATGGCCTATTGTACTATGTCTTAATAGTTTCATATCTTCCCTGGTTTACATGAATTAAATGAGAGCGGTAACATCAGAAAAGGAAAGAGAGAGAGAGTGAATATGTGTGTGTGTGCATGTGTGCGTGCGTGTTTGTGTATGTGTTTCTGTGTCTATGAGAGAGAGAGAGAAAAGACAGACAATGAAAATGAAAATAAATATCTTCTCCAACCTATCTTAGCCAACTTTCTGATCTAGGATGTTAGGACAGTCACTCACTGAAGGAATTTTAGTTATAGCAAAGCGTCATCCATCTTTTTCAACTGTGTTAACTTTAATTTCCCATAAATAATAATAGTTTGCAGAATACATCTCAGATTGTACCTGACCATATTGCAAAATAATAATTTGCTTCTTGTGTAAGAATCATTATTTAAGACTAAATAAAACTAGGTATAAGTAAAATAAATTAAATTCAGCCCTTTGAATAATCATTTAGATCATGACTGCTAACTGTAGTCTAGTACTAATTAAAGACCTACATGGTTATTTTTCTTAGAACGTGAGAAGTCTTAGGAGCAACTGTTTGAACACCCTGATCTGGAGGGAGGAGTCCTTACCAGGAGATTTCTGGAGCTGGGTGTGGAGGGTAGTTCAGTTTCCACACATTAGCCCATAAGAGAAAATCATCTGGGTAAAATAGGGTGACTATTCTGGACACGGTCATGGCTTTGCTACTATAGTCCCCTCCATTTTTCTTGGGAGATGCATTGGTGCTTCGCAAAGCTGTGCAGTCATTGAAGGTGCTCAGCACTGGTTTTTGTCATTAAAATACTTGAGCTTGAAACCCAGCACTGTCAATTTAGTGAGCGCGGCCTTACACAAAGTTATCTAATTTCTCTAAGTTTCAGTGTTATGATCTATGACACAGGTTAGTAATCCCTCCTTTATAGGAATGTTTAACATTAAATAATGCATTAAAAGCACTTTAGATACTATTAATCTCAAGGCAAATGTCATGTTATGTGGTATGGGGCATATAAGTTTCCCTGGCATTCTCAAAACCTGAACCCTACACTCCAGCTCAAAGCTCCTTATAGACAAGGACCATATTATGAAATTCTGTTGTGTTTTTCATAGTATAGGATGTACACATTGTGGGATTTCAAAATTGGATTGCTTCTTGGTATCAAGTATCCAAATTGCTCAGAGCCATAGTAGTAAAACAATGGAGAAACAGTAGTGACTGTATCATTATAATATACGTAAGTGTTCATGTTAGTTTGCTTAACATTTATTGAATTCCTGATACATAAAAGGCCTCAGGCTAAATTTTGTCAATTATATAAAAGTACCTTTTCCTCAATAAAGGCAACTTACTGGAAGAATCATGTTTTAGTGGGGGAAATTAACATATAGGCTTTATAAACAAATGAATTAAGTGCTAAAGAGATGAACAAGACACATATTGTAAGATATCAGAAGGAGAAATGATAGGGGAAGACAGTAGTTGTCAGGAAAACATGGTAAAAATACAACTGTTGGACTTAGGAAGGATTTCAGTAGTTTAAGAGACAAAAAGATAGGAAAACGTTTAGCATGCGCAAAGTCAAAGTCAGGGATCCATAAATATCATTGGGTGTGTAATGAATTGTTAGTAGTTGGATGGGGGATGCTAAAATATAAAGTGAGAGATCCTTCATATATTTTCGTTTCCTACCCTTAGTTCCAGATATTGATAGAGATATTTTAGAAAATCCCAACTTAAGGCCAGGCGCGGTGGCTCATGCCTGTAATCCCAGCAGTTTGGGAGGCCGAGGTGGGAGGATCACAAGGTCAGGAGATCGAGACCATCCTGGCCAATATGGTGAAACCCCATCTCTACTAAAATACAGAAAATTAGCCAGATGTGGTGGTGCGCACCTGCAGTCCCAGCTACTCGGGAGGCTGAGGCAGGGGAATCGCTTGAACCTGGGAGGCGGAGCTTGCAGTGAGCCGAGATCCTGCCATTGCACTCCAGCCTGGGTGACAGAGTGAAACTTAGTCTCAAAAAAAAAAAAAAGAAAAAAAGAAAGAAAAGAAAAGAAAATCCCAACTGAAGTATATGTGAACAAATGAACAGCTTTTTTTTTTTATCAAAAAAGCAAAGGTCTTTGAAATAATTTTATTCAGATTTTGCTCACAAATATTATATTTCCATTTTTATTTAAAATTATGAGGATGATGGCTAAAAGTAAAATGAACCAAGTTTTGTGCATGCTGCATTTTAACAAGTTGGGTGTCTCATTGGAATGCACTGCCTTCTTGTTCCACATTTATTTTTGGAATTTAATAAGGCGCCTGTCATATCTGCCTCAAGGCTAAAAAACATCATGGGGGAGAAATCCAAAGTACTGTCATGTTTGAGTGACATGGAGCCAATTTTATTTTATTTCCTTTTCATGGGGGGTGGCTCAAATTAGCCAGGCTCACTTCTGAAAACGCATTGCTACATCATCTGTTCTAAAGGCCTTGTGCTGGTTAACGGGTAATGACATTGCCCAGTGACATTTGTTAGGTAGATTTGACTCAGAAAACCAGGGGAGGATTTTCATTAAAAAATTAATTCTGTGCATTTTACTGCAAAGCTCATTCTCATGATAGATTCTGGTACAGTGCCACATATCTCCAGAATTGGGTCTGGTTACGTGAGAAACTTTGGAAGGTAATAACTTCTTTATTTCTTCTTTGTGCTCCCAGAGCACATAATTAACGTACTGACTCATTTAGCTCAACTCTCCAAAGGATGAAGCTGTGTGGATACAAGGGAGATTCAGAGAAACTGGCAAACAAGTATGGTTTCTGATTCTCATTCGAGTGAGGGAAAAACTCTGCCATTTTCTTCTTCTTTCTTTTAAGTTGATGTTTAGTACAATGTGACTGTGTTTAGCAGAACATAATATGTTAGGATTACAATGGAACCATCATATTTTTAGGAAGTTTAAGTGAGACTTGGGATAGATGTCACAGAATGATGTTGCCATGGCTGAGTTAGTCATAAAATTAGAAATCACAGTAAGCTGAAGGATGTCTGAGGCATAAAAATAAACCATGTACCATGTAATGGGTGTGTTATTGTAATAACTAAGATAAGCATTTCAAATGTTTTACTGATTAAATCAGAATTAAGTCCTGTGTTTTTTAGTAGTGACTATCAGGAAGTAGATTGTTTAAATAACATGAACTTAAAACATGTAAACATAGTAATTTTTATGTTAAAAATATATAGTGTAGACAAAATCAATAATTTGTAGCTAGAAAGCTCTTTCTACCTTCATTTAGGACTTCCTGCCTCATGGGTAAATGGAAAAGGAATAGTAAATCTAAGCAACTTTTTCATGAGTTTATACCTTCTTAGGCACAAAGAGAAATCTGTGATCTCTTCCCTGTATCCTAGAAGACCTCTGCGACAGGAGTGAGAATTGAATTTGGTTACAAACTACTGAGAGTGTATGTGTATGTGTGTGTGTGTGTGTGTGTGTGTGTGTGTGTTTTGCATGTTGGCTAAGTATGGAGGAAGGGAATCATTGTAGGAAAATTTAATCCTGAGATTTTGTGGCTACACTCACTTTAAACCCAAATATGTGGGTTGGATCAATCCTTGGTTATATATGGGAGATCACTTAGTGGTCAGGCCAGGTCTAAACCATTAGGTATTGAGCCACTATGGAGCAAACAAAGAGAAACATGAGACTTCAAAATGAGCCCACCCCCATGTTAAACGTGCTCTACACTTCAGCATGCTCCAGGGACTGTGAATCAGAAAAAGTCAACTGCATTTTGAAGTGTCGGCACGTAACATTTTCTTTTCCTTTGTTATGGAATTCCAAAACTATACTGTACAGATTACCTAATATATTCTGAAAGCTATCAAGCAAGCAATGTAACACTTTTTTTGTGGACAATGATTTTAATTAAATAAATGCCATTTCTTGGAGACAATTTACCTCTTGAGTATAGCTGGTCTTCATCTTATTTTACACAAGCTATCTCTTGGGGGCATAAATTTCCAGGCAAGGAAACAGGAAAATTTATTGGCTATTTGATTTACATGTTTATTGGGCTCTCCAAAGGCTTTACTATTTAACTGGTCATTGAAAGTAGAACAGGGGTGGGGTGGATTATATTCAATTTAATGGAAGATTTAGGTAAAGTCTTTTGAAGGAAAAAATATGGGTCAACTTTTAAAATATTTCACTTTCAGTAAACAATTGTATCTATTATTTTAGTGGCTATCTACCAAGAGCTGAATCATTCTGTACAGACTGAATTCTTTAGTCCATGTCTCGAGTTTTAAGTTTTCCATGCTAAGAAGTGCTTTAACTTAAATGTGTCAATAATGATGCTGCTGTGGAATTGTGTCATACTATTCCCACGAGCAGCCCAGAATAGCTCCCAGGCTTGGAGTCTAATCTTTATTCCTGGAGGTGGCAAGAGTAGGTTGTCATGGAGCTAGTGGAGAAATCAGCAGACTCTATTTATGTGGCGAGGGAGAGGATACAGTCTTTCTTCTGTAAAATTTTAGAATGAGGCTGTTCCGCAAGGACATTAGTCTGAGTGCTTTAAAAAAAGAGCGTGTACTCTACACGTGGAGGCTCAATAAAGTTTGTTTACAGTGCTGAGAGTGATTCCATATTCACATCCCAAATATAAGGCCAGTTGCCATCCTTCAATTATTCTCTCACAAATACAGTGGCTCCTCCTCTCTTCAGTAAGAGTAATTGTATCAGTTAGAGAATATTTCCTTTACTACCAGGAATTCTGAGAATTAGAATCCTCTTCCTTGACGGAAAGGCACTAGATTGACAATTTTGCAAATGCACGTGCTCTCTTTTTGCTTTAGGTTATCATTCTTGCGGACCATTTCCCTTAGTATCTCGAAGCGTCTGACTGACAGGGTTTGAATCCCAGATCTGCCACTTACTTACTAATCCTTTGAAACTAAGCAAGTAAAAGAATGTTATTAAATTCATAATACTGATAGGAACAGGATGCAGGGAGATCCTGGGCAGAAGACAGTGGGTCTCTGGCGAGGGCCCCACCCTCAAGCTGAAAAGCCTGGAACCATGGCCAAAAGTAAGAGCTTGCATCCCTGTTTTCCTGCTCGAATGTTGCCTTTCCACCCACAGCCCCACCCCACCCCCGTCCTGTGCCTGTAAAAACCCCAGAGCTCAGCCAGCAGAGAGGAGAAGCAGCTGAATGTCAGAGACTGGGATGGATGTTGGAGAGAAGTGGTTTGACTTCAGAGGGACAGCTTAACGGTGTAGCTTCGGAGAGGAGTCCGGTGGGGATGGCCCGACTCTAGAGGAAGATCACCTTCTTGCTCCATCCCCTCTTCACCTCCCCTTTCTGCTGAGAGCCACTTTCACTGGCAATGAAATCCCCTGCATTTACCATCTCCAGTTAGTTCATGCAACCTCATTCCTTCTGGATGCCAGATAAGAACTCGGGTGCCACGAGTGTGGGTGCAAAAACTGTCACACTGACCCTCCGCTGAGCTGTTAACACTGAAAAACTGTCACACTGACCCTCCACTGAGCTGTTAACACTGAAAAACTGTCACACTGACCCTCCGCTGAGCTGCTAACACTGAAGCCATCTGCAGATGGCAAAGCTCAAAGGGTTTTGTCATACTCCGTCTGGGGCTTCAGGGGTCGCGAGCACCCCCCTGGAGGCTGTCGCGGGGCCCACATGGAGTTTTGCTCCTGCCAGCACCCAAAGGTGCTCACCCCAGCTCCTGCGCTCGCTCACCTGCGCCCCCTCCCTTGAGGAGTGGAAGTGAGACCAACCGAGTGAGTCCAGCGCGAAAGCAGCCAGCGAGGTCCAGGGCCTGTGAGGTCCAGGGCCTGTGCGCTCCAGTTCCCGCCCACGAAGGGGGCAGGAAATAGCTGCTTCAACATCACTTGCTCTTTTTTTTTTTTTTTTTTGAAGGAAGAATTCGTAAAATAAGTTTGGAGATCACTTGAACATAAATATTTTGGAATATGAGCCCACTCATAAATGTGAAAGTCATTACTTTTATTTTTTAAGACAGGGTGTCAGTCTGTTACCCAGGCTGGAGTGCAGTGGCTCAGTCTCAGCTCACTGCAACCTCCACCGCCCGGGTTCAAGCGATCCTCCTGCCTCAGCCTCCCGAGTAGCTGGGACTAACTTCTGTGTTTTTAGTAGAGAAGGGGTTTCTCCATGTTGGCCAGGCTGGTCTCAAACTCCCGACCTCAGGTGATCCACCAGCCTCTGCTCCCAAAGTTCTGGGATTACAGGCGTGAGCCACCGCCCCTGCCCACATTTTTGTTTTAATTTGGGTTTTTGTCACAGTGAGAACTGGAAAAAAACAAAAACAACAAAACAAAACAGAAAAACCTCTGCTGAATTACCTGTAAACGACCTTATGATAAAATATTCTGTTTTGTCTTCTCTGTATATATATTTTTTACAATTGCTTTAGTTTCAGATAATATTCTGTACAATTTGTAATTTAGAGATAAATAATCAAATATTCATACATATATGAAGCATTAAAGAAAAATTTCAAAAACTCTGAAACGTCATGGCATCCAGTAAGAACAAAGTTTCTGTAGGAATTTGCATAGAAAAAGGCAGCTGGACTTAACATAGCATCTCACGGCACCTTTAAGAGGTCCTTAGCTATAGCAGCCAGCCCTATCTTCATATTGCAAGAGATAATTAGTTTCAGCTGAATACTCCCATCCATCACTTTAAAATGAGATATTGACTCAAATTTTAGAAGTTACAACTTTTTTTTTATTTAAAAATGTTATAGTTGCCCAAGTACTTAAACATACAAAACTTAAACCTAGTTATATATTTGCTAACTTAATTTACATTTAAGTAATGTAAAACAAATATCAGTCAGAAATCAGAGTGTTTCTTTTAAAACAATTGTCTTACACCAATCAAATTTGAATATAGCTACTATATTTTATTATTATTATTATTATATAGGACCCATATGCATAAATACTGAAAACTAAGACCTGGCTATAAAGTTACTAAGTGTTAGATTTAATGGGTTTTTTTTTTCCTGATTTTCCATATGTATAAAAGTTTTACTTGAAGAACTCTGCATTTAAGGAAGCATCCAAAGTAATTTTTTTCTATAAAAACACAGAAAAACTGTGTTATAGCATACCAGTAATGCACAAGGAGAAAGTCATATTACAGAATTAAAATATTGCTATTACATAAAAAATGCTATAAGATTACTTTAAAACCTCCTACCTAGATTGCTTCAACTGCAATTCAGAATAACATATTAATTTAAATCTAGAAAGGCCTAGAACTGAATTCTGTCTCAGCTTTTGATTGATTCAGTTTTCATTCTTGGTCAAGTTATTTAATATTGCTGAATTTTAGCTCTCCTCATCTGTAAAATGGAGACCCTAAGGCTACCTGGTAAGATCATTTTGAGGATTCCGTCTGGTATTGTGAAAGATGCCTGGTCTGTGCTATTCCATACTGGGCCTCCAACAGATGTTTAGCCTTTTTCCCATTGTCTCCATAGTTTCATAAATGGAAATGCCTTTTCCCTTCCCCTTTAATATCCAGCCTCCTTCACACCTTCTCCTGCTGGCGAGACGTTGTTAGGTTCCATATATCCAGCCAGTCAAAGTCTGTGTGTGCCATGACTGAGTTGTACACATAAAATAGCAGCTGAGGCAGACACGGTCTTTTTTTCCCCGGAATCACACATCCATGTGTTAACTGACTGTCTTAGTCTCTTGTGTTTTGCTAAAGCAGAATACCTGAGACTAAGTAATTTACAATGAAGAGAAATTGATTTGGCTCGCAGTTCTGGAGTTTGGAAAGAGGAGATGCATCTGGTGTTGGCCTTCTTGCTGCAGCATTCCCTGGCAAAAAGGTGGGAGGGCAAACAAGCTCACATGAGAGATGGAGGGTAAGGGGGCTGAACTCATCTTTTTATCAGGAACTGACTCCCACTATAACTAAGTCACTCCATCATAATAGCATTAATCCATTCATGAGGGCGGAGTCTTCATGACTTAATCTCTTCTGAAAGATCCTACTTCCCAACAGTGTTGTAGTGGAGATTAAGTTTCTATAACATAAACTTTGGGGGTCATTCAAACATTTCACCCCTGGCTCTCCAGGGTTGCAGTCTCATGTCTGCAGCTTTCTCAGGCTGCAGTTGCAATCTAGTGGCCCTGCAGTTCCAGGAGCTCAGGGGCTGCTCCACTCTCAAGGCTTCACTAGGCATTGCCTTAGTAGGGAATCTCTGTGATGAACCCACCCCTGTGGCAAGTCTCTGCCTGGGCCCCCAGGCTGTCTGATACGTCCTTGGAAATCTTAGTGGAGATTGTGGCCATTAAACCGTGGCCCCACAGCTCTTCCATTTTAGGGACCTGCAGATTTAATATGATGTGGACATCGCCAAGGTTTTCAGCTTGTATCTTCTAGAGCCATGGGTCAAGCCACACACACCTGGACTCGCTTGAATTACAAGTGTGGTGGCCAAAGGGTGCTGTTTTGGAATTCAGGGAGCAGAGTTCTAGGGCAGTGCAGGGCAGTGAATGCTGTGGTCTTGCAGGCACCTCTCTCAAAACGTTGCTCTCAACGCCCTAGCTTGCTTAGAAGATCTCAGAATTGCCTGATAAGATACGGTCATTATCTCTTTATCCTGATGAAGAGAATCTGGCTTTCTTCTGTCCATGTTAATTACTTTAGGAAAGGGTTGCTTAGCCACACCCTTAGTGATATGGATTTGTTGCGTCCCGACCCGAATCTCACCTTGAATTGTAGCTCCCATAATTGTTGTTAGGAGGGACCTAGGGGGAGATGATTGAATCACGGGGGCGGTCTCCCCCATACTGTTCTTGTGTTAGTGAATAAGTCTCACGAGATCTGATGGTTTTACAAGGGGTTTCCACTTTCACTTGACTCTCTGTCTGTCTGCCACCATGTAAGATGTGCTTTCGCCGTCCACCCTGATTGTGCGGGCTCCCCAGCTGAGTGGAACTGCGAGTCCGTTAAACCTTTTTCTTTATGAATTACCCAGTCTCAGGTATGTCTTCATCAGTAGCACGAAAATGGACTGACAGACTTTTTTATTATTTACATGGCCAGCCTGGAAAATTTCAAAATCTATCCATTTTGCTTCCAATTATAAATTTTATCTTTAAATTATTTTTTCTTCCCTAATTTTATTGTAAGCAGTCAAAAGAAGCCATGTAGCACTTTGAACACTGTGCTACTTAGATATTTCCTCAGCCAGATATCCTAGTACATTGCTCATCAGTTTTGCCTTTCAGTCTTACGACGTGAACATTATTCTGTCAAATTTTTGCAACTGTATAATAAGGATTTCCTTTACTCCATTCTCCAACACTTTCTTCCTCATTTTTGTCTGAGATCTCATCAGAATGGCCTTGAATATTCATATTTCCAGCAACATTCTGATCATAACCACTTAAGTAATCCCTTACAAAATTTAGGCTTTCCCTATATCTCTTATCTTCTTATGAGAAGAGACCACTCTTTTTTAAATAAACAAACAAAAACAATTACTGACTCAGCAACAAGATGTGTGCATAGCTTATTCATGAATCAATTCATTCCTTTTAAATGACACTTGATGCATTTGAAAGAGCATTTTATATATCATTATTAAATTAGAAATAGAACCAGGCGCAGTGGCTCACACCTGTAATCCCAGCACTTTGGGAGGCCGAGGCGGGCAGATCATGAGGTCAGGAGATGGAGACCATCCTGGCTAACACGGTGAAACCCCATCTCTACTAAAAATACAAAAAAATTAGCTGGGCGTGGTGGCGGGCGCCTGTAGTCCCAGCTACTCCGGAGGCTGAGGCAGGAGAATGGCGTGAATCCGGGAGGCAGAGCTTGCAGTGAGCCGAGATCGCGCCCCTGCACTCCAGCCTGGGCAGCAGAGCAAGACTCCATCTCAAAAAAAAAAAAAAAAAAAAAAAAATATATATATATATATATATGAAAAATAAACAGACGGTTTTAATAAATGAATTCCAACCTGTTTAGAAAGAGTACTCTATTTGATAAAATAATATTAAATTAATTTGTATGGCTAGCTGTACTAATTTCAAATTATGCTCTTTTGGAAAAAAATATGGATGTCCCAAAGTTAACATTACAGGTATTTGTGGGGCATTTTAAGATCTAAGTTAAAGAGAACTAGGAAGTGTTCTAAGTAAATTTCTGAGACACCACAGGGTAAGGGTTCTCAGCTAGCATGTCTCGTGTTACTTCAGATGGCTGTCAGATGCTCATATCTGATTCTGTAAAAAGTGGATTATCTCTGAAGTCATGGTTTCAACGTGCAAATTTTGATTTTACTGAGAATATTTAAAAGATAATTGTGGTTCCTAAGAGACTTTTAAAAAATGGATTTAGAAATTAACTGTAAAAGTTCAAGGAAGCCAAGCAAGCATTTCTATGAGTTGAATTATGTATTTAAATATACTTGTGTGGAAGGGGTATGTAAAGTCAGATCAGCTAGAGAAAAATGACTTCTCAAGAAGTTATTCACATAAAGACCTATGTGACATAACCTGCAAAGTTTAATATTCACTAAAAGCTCTATTCCAAAAATAATATTAAATTTTATCATCTTTTAAAAAAATTAAATCTGGTATTCTTAATCTATTATGAGGTGTCTGTCCCAATGTGAAACAAAGTTTTCCCTAGGTGGGAGGACTCTACATCTGCTTGGGCAATGGAAATCATATGATTTGAGTGATGGGCCTGGATGAGTTTAAAATCATGAAAAGCACAATTATTTTCTTCTTTGTCAATGAGAAATACCAATAAATGTCATCAGAGAGGCAATGGCATATTCTTGTGTTCTAAATATTTGGGTCATTTCCATAAAAAGGCTGCAGTTTTCAGAGACAAATGTGAATCCTGAACTCTAGAACCAGATCATATTCATACCACTAGAAATAGAGGTAAAGAAATGACCTAGAATTATGAATATAAACTGATATTATTTACGAACCTCTAATCTGTAATATTTGAAATATTTTGTTCAAAATAATAAAGAAAAAGGGTATATCTTGGACATAATTTTTCTTATGCTATTCTGTTTTTATACTTTGCTTGAGCACTGTAAGGAGACTTTGGCAAAGTAGTCAGCATTTAATTCATTTGAAAAGGTAATGAAAATATTTTTGTTTTTCCTTTAAAGATATATAGCCTGGGCAACTTAGCGAGACCCTATCTCTACAAAAATAAATAAATATGTAAATTAGCCAGGTATGGTGGTGCACCTGTGGTCTTAGCTACTCGCTGAGGTCTGACAATGGCTTGAGCCCAGGAGCAGTTAGAGGCTGCAGTGAACTGTGATTGCCACTCCACTAGAGCCTGAGTGACAGAGACCCTATCTCAAAAAGAAAGAAAAAATAGTTTTCTGCTCTTCTAGTGAATAGTGATTTCCACATTAAGTCAATGTATTCATTTTTTAATTGAATCAATACAAAGCCTAATTTGTCTAATGCAGTAGATATTTTCCAGAGAGTAAACAGAGGAAGCAGCTTTACAATATATTAAGCAATTAAAATACTTCTTTTTTTTTTTTTACTTTTTGAGAGAATGATGATTTTGGACCCCTCTCCTATGGTGGAAACTTAACATCTGAAAACTGAAGTACAAAATATTCTTTTTTTAGGGTCTTACATGATGTTGAAGTTGAATACCTTTCGGAACTATTAGAGAGGTGGAGAAAATTGTTCCACTTTTTAAAATTTGGTTTTATTATAAGTTGTGTTTATTCTTAATAATCTTTAGTTTGTTGTCAAACAAGATTGAGAAGTTAAAGCGATTCTGATATCACATTTGTTAAAGGCCCACTCTGTTCTAGGCACTTATTTCACTTACTTTTATTTAACCATTATTTCCATATTGAACCAGCATTTTCTCTTGACATAAGGGGAAACTGAGAGTCAAAGGGGTTAAGTGTCTTGCTCCGAGTCACCCATCAAAAAGTGGCAGAATAAAAACAAGGTCAGATCTTCTGACACAAGGTCTAATGACTTTTCCATTCAACTTCAATTGCCAGTTTTGTGTGTAATAGGGGCAGGTTCCTCTATCTGTCTTTTCTGAGAGGGAAACGTATTCCGAAATGTAAAGTTTAAACTGTGCTGTTAAAAGGAAGAACTAGAGAAGGTGAGACTTTCCACTAAGATTCCAAAGATATAGGAAAGTAAATTTTAGATTAACACTGGGGAGACTGGATTTTCTTTTGGTAAAGGGACAGAGAAATGTAAGGTTACCCAGTGAAATATGAACTCAGAGGAACAAAAATCTATTTGGAGGTTTTGAAATCAAATTAAGTTACATGAGTCCAAAATGTTGAGCAAGCCTTTCTTAAAGGCACCTGTAAATGTAAAGAAAAAAGTTGGTAAAGTGAAAATGATAAGAATTCATAAAATCAGCATTCTGTAAAGTGCGTGAAGTTTTAAAACCAATTCAACTATGAGT
Source organism: Homo sapiens (assembly GCF_000001405.40). Classification (NCBI taxonomy): domain Eukaryota; kingdom Metazoa; phylum Chordata; class Mammalia; order Primates; family Hominidae; genus Homo; species Homo sapiens. Next base: position 77,255,355 of record NC_000003.12, read on the forward strand.
AGATGTCATGTAGGCAGGGAATATAGTAAAGCCCCATTCTTTGGAGTTGCTAACCATGTGACCACAAATCTCCACTGCCACCTTGTGGTGGTATGTATATTTCAGAGACAGGCTCTGAAGAAAATTGACCTCTGAAGTGCTGAGAGGTAAAATAAAAGGTGTCTGGTGGTAACCAACCTCCCACTTTCTGAACTCAGGAACCAGACAGATTTGGGGAACACAGGATCCCTCTTTTGGAGTTACTATCCAAATTCCTACCATAGCAATTTAGGAGATACCATAGATTTGGAGAGCAGGGCTATTATACAGACATCACAAGGGTGAAAACCTTGAGCAAGAGTAGGAACTGAATTTTCTTTCAGATTCTTTTGTGTTCATGGTGGAGGAAGATATTCTATTTTCAAGAGGATCCTAAATATCCAATGCAGTTTTCATCTAGAAAAAATTTTAATCTATTCTGTATAAAGCAATGAGGTAACATTCTCGTCAAAGGAAATCCTATGGGTATGTGAGAATGGAAGGCTTCCAGTCACTTCTTTACATTTAGTTGCATTCATAAACGTGACCAATGGTGTTTCTGTCTAGAGCTTAATGGGTTACTTCCGCTTATACACCAGTTGTGCTTTCAACTCTGAGCATGACATCAGGAAATGTGTTTGATTCCAAAATGATCAATTACAGAAGCATGTGATAGCTAATGTGCCTGTAAACTCATTAACCGAATGAAGCCACCTAATTGTCAACAGTTCAACAGAATTTTGTCTGCAGGTTATTTGTTTTTAGGTGTCAGTGGTATTCCTGTTTTAATTTCGCCAGCAGAAGTGGGATTAATAGATCAAAATAGTATTACAGCACATGACAATAGATGACAAGCAAAGACAAATCTAAAATTATTCTGATTGATCATTCTATAAATGTAATAAAACATCAGTACTTAAGTGTAGTCATCATTTATTTTATTTTTTATAGTGCTCAAAAATATTTATAATGTATCTGTGCTAAAAACAAGTCTCTACCAACTGCATAACATGTAATTTGAGCAAATTATTTAACCTCTTCCCTTTTATGCACAATGAAGATAACATTAACATCATTAAGAATAAATGGGTAATAAAAGTAAATCATGGGACATTCTCAATAACTGTGTGTGTGTATGTGTGCATGTGAAAACTATAAACAAAAAAAAATCTCTTTTATTCAGCAGAAACATCTTGACATCTTATATCTTAATAAACCTGCAAGTTAAATAAGAGGAGGGCTTAAGCATTAGTACAAAAAACTATTATACAGTGCTTTATTTGTGGAGAATATTGATGGAGAAAGGAGGAAAGAGGAAAAGCCTATTCCCAAGAGAGGCTTCTGCGAAGAGCAGAGCATGAAACCAAGGCTCTCGAGGAACACCAAAACAAACAAACTCTGGCAGTGTCTGAGTAAGCCAGCCGTCTTTCTCTCAATAATTTTTATTGTGCACCCAGTGATTTCTCAGGCAATTTTTAGAGCCTTTTGGAAAGTGGTCTCCAAATTATGCACTAATACAACACTGCTAATGAAAGCCCTCATTGCAACTCATTAGCTCTCACTTTTTTTTGCTAATCCACAAATTCTGTCCTATGTGGTGGACACCTGGCAGTACACCCCTCAGCCCCATATCTCAGCAGAGATGTAATTGCCAAGGCCTGGAGCGAGGTTTCATATTACCTAGACGTGTGGCTTATGCAAGCTCTTCCATGAGACTGTCTGTTGTCAATAATTAAGAGCTATCAAAACACTTGGCTAATTTACACTTGATAATCTGAAATGAGGGCCCCTGTGATCACCAGCTTCTGTCTTATTATTTAAATACACATAGTATAAAAAAAGCAGAATGGGGCCAAAGCAAGCCGTATCAGGGAAAAGACCGGCTTTCCAGCAAACAAGATATAGCCCAGTGGTTGTAAGCAAGTACAGCACAAGGCTGAACAAACATGGCCCAGTGAGTGCTTTTTATGGCTGAGAAGCTTCACAGAGCAGGTGGGATTGTAGAGGATCTTTTGAACACTGAGATGTGGGGACCTGGCAAAGTTTAATTGGCAAGCTGTTGTAGTCAAATGCAGAGACCATGAAAATGGGCATGCGTTATGGACATGAGTAGGGAGCTCGCATGGTATTTCAAAAAGAGTGATTGCTAGAAATAATAGGAAATAACTATGTATGAACAGAAAAGAAATAAAACCATTAATTTTTAGGAAGTGCAAATAGTCAAAATAAAGAAGGGCAGTGCAGTCTGTATGTAAACAGTGAAAAACCCTTTGCACAGTTGTACTTGGGTTTTCAGCAACATTAGCTTAGCATAGGAATGACTGCGTAACTAATCTCATTATTTGTTCAGAATTCAGGGCATTTCTGATTTTCTAATTCCAACTTACAAGATAAGAGATAAGTGGCGTAATTGAAGATGTTGTTACCAGTATTTTTGGTTCGTATTATGGGTTAAATTCAGCAATACATACTGAGAAAAAATAATGTGTAATAACAAGGAACAAAACCTTTTGATAATAATATGTCAGGATATGTCATTTTAACCTATCTGATAAGGAAAGTGCTTTGTTATAATGCCATTTAAACCTTTTTTAGCTAAAATGTCTTGACTAGAATTTGGGGAAAAATAACTTACATTAAACTCTGCTATACTGGAAGTGTATGAAAAAGAGTATTGATTTTATAACCTGTTGGTGAGACACATTTCCTTGTGAATGAAAATACAGTGGGCTGTAAAGTTTGAAGTAAAGTGTCAACGTGTCAGAGTAAGGGCCACATGCCGTGAAAAATGTGTATAAGAGATTTGAAAGGCGCATGTAGTTCAGATTCACTTGTATAAAGTTCGAGTGAAAGTGTAGCTGGAAATTTTAGGTCAACACTCAAGTTAAAAGCAAGATTACTGCTGGCTTAAGTTATAACCAAAATAATGAGAAAATATACTAAATAACCTGTGAGAGAGGGAAATATGAGTGCTATAAAAGTTTAAGTCTGTTACTTTTTACCTAATTGTATATTCCTCCCCAATATTTTTAAGTTTAGAAATTGAGAAATTATACTCATTTTTGTCAGAGGAAGAGATAGTTTTAAAAGTCCAGGTAAGATTAGCTGGCCATGGTGGTACACACCTGTAATCCCAGCTGCTCAGGAGGCTGAGGAACAAGAATCGTTTGAACCCGGGAGGTTAAGACTTCAGTGAGCCGAGATCGCACCACTGCACTCCAGCCTGGGTGACAGACGGAGACTTTGTCTTAAAAAAAAAAAAAAGGAAGAAAAAAAAAGTCCAATTAAGAATTTCATGCCTTTCAACACTTCCTTTTGCTGATCCTCTTCTTTTAAATTCCACCTCATCTTCAAAGTCTAGCATCAAGGCCTCCTTAATGACCTTCTAGCTATGAATAAGCTAAATATCTCTTCTCAACTTCCAAATACCATTCTTTGGGAATTTATCTATGTACAAGAAGGTTGTCTTGGGGACAAAATTTCTTTTAATTCATGGATGCTTTGCAAGGAGTTTCCTTACATACAAATCCTTCTTGATTGGATGGTGCTGGATTCTGTCTTTGCTTCTTTCTATATTCTCCCACTTCACATTCCAGCTCTGCTGAACAGTTGACTGATCTCTGCACAGTCAGTTCTCTTTTCCTGGATTGTCTTTTCCTGCACGTCTCCTTGGCTAATTTCTTCTAAGCCTTCAGCTTTCATTTAAGATCTCACTTCCTGATACTCTCCTCGTATTCACATCCAATTTAACGACTCTGCGCTCTGTTCTCAGAAAATTACCTTCTGCTATTAAGATTAGTATTTCACACACCTGTTATTGCCTGCTTTCTTGTCTGTCTCCTTGAACAGAATTTCTTCTCTCTCTGAGATGAGAATCATAAGATTCATGGTCAGTGCTAAAAAAAATTAAGAATGCATGTAAGAATTAGCGTTCATAGAATGTAAGCACCATAGAAGTTGCGAATTTGTTTTGCGTGTCTCTATATCTCTGGTGCTTGGAACCATGCCTGGCCCACAGTATATCTTCAATAAAATAGTGGTTGAATGAATCAGTGAATAAAGAAATAAAAATATTATGTATTTTAAAAAGAAAACAATAGGTTACTAAGAGGTTGTGTTATAAATAATGATTACAGCTGAACGAAAGTACTAAAAATGTAAATGATGACAAAATGATAGATGAGAGTAAATAGAACTTAGTATTTGGAAGTAAAATAAAGAGCAGGAACAAAAAAGGATGATTGCTTACTAGCTGCTGTTCTTAGACAAATAAACCCTTATTCTCTGAAAGTTTACCTTAGCATTTCAGCAGCTGACAATAATAAAAAGGAGTAAGAGGTATGAAAAATTACATGTCGTTTTACAATCACTTCCGTGCTTTGTCTGTTTGCTCCATTGTGATGGTTCAGATGGTTCCATTTGACCCCAACCTCTAGCTGTTCCAACCTCAGAACCAATATTTATTGCCACATATGGGCTGCGCATGGCAGCTGCAAAATCCAGATGCCAAGCTTTGGAATGTATTTTTACGGCAGCACCATCTGGGGCTCTGGCCAGCCTTCTTTATTGTCTCTTGAATGTTTACACTAATAGCTTTGCTGGGCTGTGGCACTACCTGTGGGACACGCTGAGGGTCAGGCCGTTTATGAGCTCATCTTGTCATTCTAGTTAGAATTTCCCTTTAAATGTCTCTCACCTGCTATCAACTTATTCCTTTTAATGTATCTACAATGTCTGATGAAAGTAATAAAACAGGTGGTCATCGAGACTAGGAAAGAAAAGGACTGTTTTCACAGCGGTGGGTCCATGTTATTCATGGGTTCTCAGCAGCCCATTTGTGAGTTTTGGGGGGAAATAAAATACTTTTTCAATTTACTGAATATATTATTTTGCTTATATTTCATTGAAATAGAAGATATACATTATTATAGCCCTTAACCCAACTTACTGGAGTAGCATATTGATCTCTAAGGGAGGTGATAATACTCCACAGCACAAATGAACAGTATTTTAATTCCTAGGGAAACTTAAAAAAATAGTTTATTTTTAGCAATCAATGAGTTGAGTTATTTGAAGATTCACCTGCAACTTAGGATGGATAAATGACTATTTGTGATCCTTAGAACCATGATTTAGGGAATTCCTCAAAGGTGATTCAAGCAGATTCATGGTTTTGAATTGTGAGGAACCCGTCATTCTAAAGGAACTAATGCAACACGAAGATTCAGCTCAAGTAATAATTTAGCGTGTTATATCCAGCAAAGGGAATCAGCTCTGAGAGTTTAAATGACTTATCCAAGGTCCCACAAGCGGTAGATCCAGAGTCAAAGTGAAGATGAAGTTTGTCCAATTATTCGATGACAGTAGGACTTGTCAGGAGAGTCAATCCTGATCATCGAGCCCCCGAAATGATGAAATGACCTGAATGATTGTGCGACGTCCCTATTTGCTTTCACGGCCCCGACACTCGTTCTGCCCCAGTGGGTAACCTCACCTTTTGGGGGTGGCTTTGTGGGTGGAGGCTGTGGAGCAGGACTGCAGTCAGACAAGGAACATGAAGGAAACTGCGTTTGTGTGACCTCTTGGAAGCCTCCTCCTGGTAGCTGGGCTTCCTGGGATTGTCACAGAGAGACTGCCATCTCAGAAGTAGTGACAAAATTAGGCATTCCCAGGCTCACGGTTTCTAATCAATCAGCCTGTCACGTATCTGAGGAGATATTTCAGAGTGAAGATAGCGTATGGGAAAGCAATTTCCTTGGACTTCTGCCTCTGAGTTCTATGTCTGGAGTAGAAATGAGGTGCTTAGTGTTAAACAAAGCCAAGTAGGGAGACAGTGATGTGACTCTTATGCATGCCTGGACCAAAATGGCAAATGTGTGCCTGGGGAAGCCACAGGAGGCTCCCAGAAGCAGCCTTCCAGGTTCTGCAGACACTTAAGAAAACAGCCACAATTAGGTCCAAGGGAAGGGTGATATTCTCTCCAAAGACACTTTAAATAAGAAAGAGCTGTTAAAGCTTTCCTGTAGGCTGAGGATAGACCTTTTAAAATGATATTTAGTCTCAGGAAAAAAGAAGACATATTGTTATAATGTGTTGTCAGTTCTCTAAGGAAATGGCATAAAAAGGAGATTTTATTGTGGCTTAATCCTTTGTTCTGGAGAATCTGCGCTTTTATATACAGTATATATTTTAATGAAAACCATGACAAGATTACTATTCATAAATCAGCAGTGAAATACTAAGGACATAGATGCTCACAGCTGCATGCATGTGTGCAGGAGGTGAGGGGGGTGGTGCATGTATTTTTTCAAATGGGTTCATTACCACAATTGGAAGAAAATCAATGCAACTATGGCAAAACCTCATTGCTTTGTTGCCAAAGGATTTCTGATTTCATTTTTTTTTTTTTTTTTGTAAGACAGGGTCTTGCTGTCACTCAGGCTGGAGTTCAGTGGCATAATCATACCTCACTGCAGCCTCAAACCCCTGGGCTCAAGCAATCTTCCCACCTTGGCCTCCCAAAACATTGGGATTACAGGCATGAGCCACCATACCTGGCTTGATTTCATTCTTTGTGTGAAGGAGATAGGAGAAGGGCTTTCAGCACTCTGAAGTATCCTTAAATTGATTGATGTATTCTCAAACTCTCTGAAAAATAGTGGCTTCAAGTTGCCCGCCTCATAATTTTTGCCACTTCAAATTTGTACATTCTATTTCTGGTTGGAAAATAAATACTTCACAAAACTATTATAGTTGGACACAAATATATCAACAACTCCATCATTTCATACAATAGCTGGAGGATATCTTTGAGATGAAGGTCAAGCAAACATTCTCAAGTAAAGCCATAGGTTATATGTGGTGGGTAATGTCCAGTGATTGGAAACACATCAGAGGAGCTACTATTTTGTCTTTGTTTGGAAATCTGTTTTGCAGATTGAAAAATGACAGCATCGTGATACATAAATTACTAGAGACTTACAAGGAATTAAGAAAGTAAGTAGTAAGATAAATGATCAATTGGAACCCAATTTTTCTTGCATGAAGTACTCACAAATGAGTACTTGTGCTGATAGGTGTACTGGGAGTTGTGTATTCACAATGAGAAAGCATAAGTGTCTTTGGATGGGCCTTAGCTATACATCCTTGTAAGTAATATATTACAACTGAAGAAATCCCTGAGGTACATCTGGCAGGGCCCCAGCTTCAAGTTGAACCTGAAGTAGAGAGTGAGCTTACAACTCTTGCGCATGAGTGCACACACACACTCGCACTCCAAAAATATATGCCAAAAAAAGCTTCCCAGAAAAAAATAATTTAAAAAAATCCCTGAAAGCTACTGGAAAGTCATACATATGTTAAATTTGGTCATTTAGCATCATAAATTGAAGTTGGAATATCATGAAATAGGCAGATCTGATCCTCCCACATTCCCCAGCATTTACAGGAAGTCTGAGACAGCAGAGGTTGGATGGCGATGATGGTGATGATGGTGATGAGTATGATGAATGTGATGATGAAGGTGACAGCTAACCTTTATTGAGTTTTGCTATAAACTAAATGCCACTCTAAATACTTTAATTCATAAAATTCTCACAACAGTTTATTTTACATCTGAGAACACTGAGACACAATGCTTAGATTGTCTGAGTAACACAGTAACTAAATGCAAGATTCTGTTTTCTACGTTGTAGTGAAATACCATCGATCTCAGTGGAACAAGTTGCAAAGTAATTTGTAGAACCATTAAGTCAATTAGGGAATTTAAAATTCTGAACTATGGTGGTAGAAAAAAAGCCACATTTCAAATAGACATGACTTCAGAGAGGCAAAGCTAAAATTTAAGCCATTTACTTGCCAGTTTTTATTTTTATTTTAATATTTTTAAGTTTTATTTTAAGTTCAGGGAAAATGTGCAGGTTTGTTACATAGGTAAACTTGTGTCATGAGAGTTTGTTGTACAGATTATTTCATCACCCAAATATTAGGCCTAGTACCCATTAGTAATTTTTCCTGATCCTCTTCTTCCTCCCACCGTCCATTATCTGATAGGCCTCAGTGTGTGTTCTTCCCCTCCATGTGTCCATGGGTCCATATCATTTAGCTCCCACTTAGGAGTGAGAACATGTGGTATTTGGTTTTCTGTTCCTGTGTTAGTTTGCTAATGATAAGAGCCTCCAGCTCCATCCATGTCCCTACAAAGGATATAATCGCGTTCTTTTATGGCTGCATAGTATTCCATGGTGTATATGCACCCCATTTTCTTTATCTAGTCTATCACTGATGGGCATTTATGTGGATTCCATGTCTTTGCTGTTGTGAATTGAGTTGCAGTGAACATGAGTGAATGTGTCTTTATAATAGAATAATTTATATTCCTTTGGGTGTATACCCAGTAATGGGATTGCTGGTCAAATGTTATTTCTGTCTTTAAAGTTAGAATTTCTTAACTTTACTATGAACCACTCAAAATACTTGAATTTGCACATGTGCATGCACACACACACACATAGTTAGTGTTACTTAATCTAAGCATTGTGTCTTGGTGTTCTCAGATGTAAAATAAACTGTTGTGAGAATTTAATGAATTAATTATTTAGAGTGGCACTTGGTTCATAGCGAAACTCAATAAAGGTTAGCTATCACCTTCATCATCACATTCATCATATTCACCACCATCATCATCACCATCATCGTTATCAAGTTACCAACCTCATCTGCCAATTTTTAACCCCACTGCCATAGATGCCACTCTAAATACTTTGTAATTTTTAAATTCAGTGCTTTTAACAAATGGAAAAAACAGCCGTGATTTTCTTCTAAAAGATTTTTAAACAAAAATTATATAAGTAGTTATAAAAACAGGAGATTGTTCATAAATCTTGATCTAGGTAAAAACTTAAAAAGACCCAGAGAAATTTCACTTTTCACCTTTGTTGGTCTTATTTTTTTAACAACTCCTGACTTTGTTCATTGTTCGCCGAATCCATCTCGGCTTCTTTGATTTCACACCACACTGGTTTTGTGCGATTGCCATTTCACATGAACATCTGGATTTTTTTTCTCCTGTGCTTGTGCACATTTGGAGAAAGATAGTAATTTTCATCCAAATTTATTCTACTTTACTCAGCCATCAGAGGAATGTTAACTGTACATGTTCATAATGTTTTTTTTTAATTCTAAAAAAGATCTATGTCTGCCAGGAAGAGAAATATCCTTTAGTTTGTCAACTGGATCCTTCTAGAGGAGTCAATAGTATTTTTGTTTTTGATATGATCTTCCATCACCATTCACAGACTTCTAGAATCACAGCTTCATATGCTGGTTAATTCTACCATATAGATACATATATAGTAAGATGGAGGCATTTCTCTCGAGTTCCTTTAACACTCTCTGTTTCTTTGATATTCTTCTTAGTCATTGCTGCACTTCTGACAAGTCTGAATAGAGAGTTGTCTTTTTGTTAATTGTTGAATAGATGAAGAGTATAGTTAAGATATTATATTTCAACATTTTTAAAAGCTATAATGCGGCCTGTTCCTTTAGGTGTATCACTATAGAAAAATCTCTTTATTCTTGTTCCTTTAGAAATACCTTGAACAATTAGAAAATTTCCTGGATTGATGATTGCCCATTTTGCTACTTAAACACTAAATTTGGTCACATGATCTGATGGAATTGGAATATGGTATCATTAAATATCTGTTGCAACTCAGAAACCAATTTCTTCTAATGTGCTCCTCCAAGGGCTTCATTTACATTGCCTGATTCATCCTTACATCCCTATGACATAAAAGAAGGGCAGGTATCACATTATCCCCATTTTCCAATTGAGGCATCTGCGACCAGAAAATGGAGGCACTTGCCTATAGTTACACACTATGTCAGAGGCAGGAGTAGGCAAAGATACTACTTTTGTTCACTGCCAATCCACCCTTCTTTTCATTAGTCACTAGCCTCCTTATTTCGTAAGGTGTAGGCCATTAGAAGATTGATCTTGTGGGGAAAATAACATCTGTTTTAAAACTCAATGCCTTTTACAAGTTTATATGCCTTGATATAATTTTAATAGGTGCATCATTGCCTGCTTTTCTTTATGAGAGATGATATAAATATGAAAAAATACACTTGCAGAAATGAAATGAAAATAATAAATAAAGCCCTCTTCCATTTCCATTATTCTAAGTCATGCTCCTTGAGACTTCAATCTCAATATGATGTTAATAGAACCATTAGATATGATTCATATCATACATAAGACATTCCTATTGACAATTTCATCTTGACCAAGGGTCAATGGATCCATTACAATGCAAATCTTACTGTATACTTTCCATCTAAATCAAAAGAATTTGGTCTTGTGTCCATTCTAATATGTTTCATGAAGTAGAATCCAATCTCAGACATGAAGTACACATCTGTTTCTCATACTAAATCATGCCTGTTCCTATTTGCTCTCAATTTAAAAGATAATTAATTACGTTTTACATCAATAGACTACTTTGGAGTATTTAAAGAAATGCATAGGGTTTATGGGAATCCAAGTTTGCCTGTTTAATACATACCAACCTGCAAGAAAAATTCCTTCATGGATGTGCATCTCTTAATTTTGGGGGGTGCATGTAAAGCTATTCTACGTATTTGGTAAGATATGCAGAATCAGGACATGTTCCAAAAGATTACCTAACCCAGTCTTGTAAAGTACAAGAACACACTGAGGTTTCAATCAGTTTTTCAGATAAGCTGAAGAATGTCTCACTAGGCACAGGATTTTTTTTAAAAAACTTTCGCTTTTCCCCATGCTATTTATTTCTACTTTTTTTTTTTTTAATCTTCATCTCTTATTCCTGCACTCTTGGGCATCTTTCAGAATCCTTCTCTATTCAGTGCTCTAAGTAGCTTATAAATTGCAATCTAACCTTGATATGGACAATCATTGAGCCCATTTCTGGCCACCTTTAAGTTTCAGGGCTCTCCTGATCACCTGTTATCTCTTCCCTTTCCTTGTCCGTATTATTTTCCTTCTAGAACTGTACTACTGCTTCTCTCTATTTGTGCACCACAACAGAAAGACCTGCTGCTGATGAGGGCTTCCTGTTACAGATGAGGTTAAAGTAGCTGAGGAATAGCTGAACAAGACCTTACGTAAAGGCCTTTTCTCCCCTAGGGTTCCATGACATTGCATCCATACTCTGGTCTCACCATGCTCCTCCATCTTCCTTTCTTCTTTCTTGGAACGTTGGGTAGTGATGAACTTTGGACCAGGAAGACTTCTGTATAAATCCCTGATCTACTAATTCTTGCGGTGTGATCTTGGGCAAATCCTTTAATCTTGTCTAATCCTTAGTTTTGTCATCCATAAAATAATGATAATAATTATCCACATTGGAAGATTGTTGTGAGAAGGAAATTAAGTGATTTATGTAAGGGTCACAATGCCTGACTCAAAGTAGGTATTTAAGCATGTTGTTGCCTTGCTCCCTCTTTACTCTCTCTTTTTTTCCCATTTCTCTCCAAAATATTCGATTTTGTGAAACAAAAAATGTTGATTTTTTCAAGCTTTCCATTATCCAATTACATAGCTACCAACTGATGAGCTGTTCCAATATTTATTTCTTTTCAAAGCGCTTTACTTCTTGTGGGTTATCGACAGCTAGACATATTTTTTCCTCTTTCAGTTATGAAAGATATTCTCAGACTCACAAAGCTTTAAATTTTATTCAAGACATTGAAACATAAAAGTTCAGGGATTATTCAATGATGTTAACTATTGAATGTACACAAAAATGATCTTACTTGCAATCTAGTTTGTATGCTGTTTCAAACATGCCCAGGACTCCCAAGTTCAAAGGTTCTCTCTACACGTAAGCGGTAGTCAAAAATATTAGTTGTTTTATTGCGGACAGCCTTAATTTATATAAATGGAAAACATCTAAAACTGCAAAGTACAATAGTCCAGAAAGTTTTCATTAGCAATCCAGTTCTTGGACATCACAGGGAAACTCGGCAGAAAGAAATGATAAGTTAATTGTTGAAATGTTTCATATTCCCAGGTTCAGTTTCTTACAGGTATTCGCACCTGCCTCACCTGCACCTCTGTTACTCTCTGTGACATGTTCCACCACCCTGGACAAGACAAATGTATATTTGAAAGAATAAGGGTGCTTGTTAGTGGGTAGGTGTGATTATGGGAGGCAATTCTAGTGAGGAAAAGATGGGTTGGCGTATGGGGCAGCAGTGAAGAAAAATAAATAAAACAGTTTATTTGTAGTGGGACTGATCCCTCTTGCTCATGCATTAGTGCTTGGCTACAGGAGAGTAGTAATTTATTGATGCAGATGGCTATGTAAAGTGCATGCAATTTGTGAGGGGGCTTGACCCTTGACTGATGGGCCATATGTTGTAAAGCCCTAGGGGCGTCATTTGCCTCCGCTCTCTTCCTCTCTCTGTCTCTGCACCTATGGTCCTTATTCAATCACCACATATTGAACTATAGACTTACCAACTCCCCCAATAAATCTCCAACTAATGGCTCACAAAGGCCATAACTTAACCCTTTCTACACAACAGAGCACATTATTTTGCATCATGATCACACTCAGTGAAATAAAAGATAAATATTATATGACCTGCCTAGAATAGAAAGCAAATTGTTGTAAAATGCTGTTCCCTGCTGGGTATTCACTGCATTTGGATGTAGTAGGGTTGCTTTGAGCTTGCTGAATTCTATCGTTATATTCTGCCATGTTATAATTACAGCTTACTGTTATAACATAATTCTTAAACACTGTTAATACACCACACTAGAGAAACATTTAATGTTTTTTAATTAGCTTCTTTTGTCTGAGTCTTCTTTTTTCCCTAGTAAAATATGGAACATATGCTCAATGAAAAAATGCATATATTTTTATTCTCATGTAGAAGCAAGTTTTTATAAAATATATTAGGGCATTTGTATGGAATAACAGAAAAAAAGTACAGTGTACGTTTTAAATACTCACTGTGCTCTGAATTTTCTATAGGACCCATTCCAGCAGAAAGACTTAATGAAATTATTCATTCTCCACTGAAGCACTGGGATTTCCTTATAATGTGGGCTGTCTGAGTCCTAAATGCCACCTGAAAAAGAGTTTAGGACACCAAGACTAGAAAAAAGTCATTGCTGCTTATCTATTAACTTCATTTTTTCCCATCCAATAGTAAAACTGAATAAATGATACTAATCAGTAATGTGCACATCAGTACAATTTCTCTAATATTAGGAATACCAGTCAGTTGCCTTATGCTTATTCCCATCACTTGGATAAGGGAGCAGAAGGTGTCTTCCTTGGAATCTTGAGACAACATCACTGCAAGCAAGAAGCAGACATCTATTGCTAAACTAAAGTTGAATTTTTGTATCTACTCCTTTTCCCCTTTTCTGGGCATGGCTCTTGGTAGATTTAGCAGCAATTTAGAGAGCCTGGGGGAGTGTAGGAAGACCACAGGTTTCACCAGTGCATAGCCCATCTGTAGAAATAGTTGTCAGAGCTGAGTATCTCTAGTTATATTCTATGTTTGTAATAATTAGCTTCCCAGAAAACAATTTGTCTTTTAGATAGCTTGCTAGTACAGTGTTCACAGCTTGTGTGTGATATGTTTTATATAATATCTCTGAGCATCTTAATTCAGTAGGAATATAATGTTTGATTTCTACCAGATCAGGTTTCATATCCTGTGTTGGTATAAAAAATAGGTTTCATAATTTTTTTTTCCTAATGCATAATTTCCTTACACTATAGTGAAAATCCAGCTTTCTGAACCAATTAAAAGAAAGATGAAATTTCATGTACACATATGCTGTGTCAAAATGTTCATTTATGAGTCACTAGTCTTATCAACATGGATAACTGATGTAGAAAAAATATTCAAATATACAGAAAAGAAGAAGTCATTGTCTTCTGTCCTAAACCCAGTAGACCTAACACATACAATGCAGGCAGAAAGGAAATCAGCATAAATAAACCATGCATTCCCAATTGAATCTCAATAATTTAAACATAAATCCTTTAGGCTTTGGTACCTTTTTTCCACATGGGCTTTTCTTTTGGATTTGGCGTTCCTAGCATCATTTAGAATTCATCTGCGAGCCACAAGTAAATAGAGTTTCCATAAACCTTGAATAAACAATCCCCTTTGAGGTTATATTCCATAATTTAAGGAATTCCAATGAAAACATGGTTGGTAAGGAGTTTTCCAAGATGTGTGTGTATCAATATATTTGCCTATAAAAAGGAACCAACATGTTAAAGCATAAATTACCAACTTTCCCGCATATACCATATGCACAAGGGAGGGACATCTATAATATATGTATTTCTGAGATTGACAACAAGAAAGGATGAATTGCTAATATTCTGCTTACCATGTATTCAAAAAGTCTCCATAGTTTTCAGAAAATGTGGTGAGAAAAACTTTTCTCTCTTCTGATGTATTTTCTCTCTAATTATAATTTGGCATCTAGAATGTGTTGTTTCTTTTAAAAATAAACTAAACTGCATAGCAAACTATATTGATTTTAAAAGCCCTCTAATTAAAATAGCAACTTAACAGCAAATGACCATGAAGTATTTAAAATAAAAAATGATGATGTAAATTGAATGTGTCAACTAAAGTTGGTACAAATGAAGATTAAGAGAATAGTTACCTTCATTTACTCTATGTTTCATATTATGCCTTATCCCAGTTCTTCAGTTAGTTAATATAGCTATAATGAGTTCATACTCCTTAGAAGCAGCCAACAGAGAAGCTTTTCTTTAAGAACATTCTAAATGGTTCAAATCAATACCATTTCCTAAATAAAAACTTTCTTGGCTCAGATTTAAAACACCTATGGCTGTTGGCTTATTCTTTATGCTAGCCCAACAAAATGCCACGTAATCTTGTAAGTAAGACTCTGCCACATTCTGATATCAACATTGTCAATGAGAAAACTCTGTGTATATACATTCAGAAACATTCAATTATAATTCGCCTCTTAAAGTCATATAACTATCTGGTATTACATTGAGTTATCACTGAACATATTAATTAAAATGCCTCAGTATTGAACTCAGTGGTTCAAACTGTTTGTGTAACCCAAAAACCCTTAATCATTGACATTTGAAGATTGCTGTTGGTTTTTTTAACTAATAGGACAAAATTTATTTTTAGTACAAAAATAAGATATAAGAATAGTTACTTAGGATTGAAATGGCATGTTAAATACTAAAGGAAAATTGGAATTTGTTTTGTTTTTTAGAATGGTTTCTGGCCAGGTGCAGTAGCTCACACCTGTAATCCCAGCACTTTGGGAGGCCAAGGTGGGCAGATCATGAGCTCAGGAGTTCGAGACCAGCCTGGCCAACATGGTGAAACCCCGTCTCTACTAAAAACACAAAAAGTAGCTGTGCATGGTGGCTTGCGCCTGTAGTCCCAGCTACTCGGGAGGCTGAGGCAGCAGAATCACTTGAACCTGGAAGGCGGAGCTTGCAGTGAGCCAAGTCTGTGCCATTGTGCTTCAGCCTGGGCGACAGAGCAATACTCTGTCTTTTTAAAAAAAAAAAAAAACGGTTTCTATGTCATTGTTGAAAGTGATAATAATTTTTATGTATATGATTTTATGAGAAATAATATTTTACCAATGCACATATAGGGTACATTTTTATATTTTTTATTCATGAGGATTTCCACATTTTTTGTGCAAACACTATATGTTATCATTATTTTGTATCTTCTATGTAATATATACAATAAATCAACAAATATTTATTGAACACCTACTCCGTGCTAGGTGTTAGAATGATAACATTGAATAATATTATCTCCTCTGCCTTGAAGAACTTTCAGTGTAAGCTACCATAATATTTACCTGAGGATTTTTCATGTTTTTCTAACAGTTTATAAAATTCCTATATTTGGAGGCTCTCCAGAAACAGACGGAAAGGGACTAGTGAAATTATAGTTGAAAGGTACAGTGTATTTTGGGGGACAAATATTTATGTTATTGTATTTGTTTTCTATGATATTTTTAAAACATGGCACTATTCCCCTGACAGAAGTGAATTTGCCAAGCATTAGCCTAGGGTGTTTAGAAGTAACAGCTGAAGGATTAAGGAAACATCAGCATTGAGTGGGAGGAATTCAGCATAAAGTGTGATTAGAGCCTCCACAGTCTGCTATTCTTAGCTATTCATTCCCTGCAAAATCACATCAGTAATTTTCAGTGACATTTTTAATTGTCCCTGTACAAAAGATAATAAAGTAGAAGAAAATAAAATCAAAAGTGAGAAAATTCAAGTACTACTAAGATGTACCCTGGTGTTTGTTGGTTGTGGGTGCCCTAAATTACGTATTAACAGAGAACTGCCTTGTAGTAAAATTTGATGCCCCCATGGGCCCTGACTTTACCTTTATCATGTAGTTTCATCATTTCAAGGATCTTTCCTTATGGTTAACCCCTTTTCATCTTCTGAACAGGTTCTTACAGCCAGAGGGTTCGCGTGCTATTTTTAGCGTGCTTCTTTGAGTGGTGGATAGTGGTTGGGAATTTCTTTGCCTGCTGCATGAATACACTTCCCTGCAGAGTGTACAAAGAAGCACTTAATTTCGAGCTTTTCATTTTGGTTAGTGACACTGCAAACATAGCACAGGTGGCTATAATTTTACACCATGTGAGTAAAAATACTATTTTTCTTTCCCCGTCAACCTTCTTGTCTGATCGTCTTAAACCCATAAGATGGGGAATTACAGAAACTGATATTTTAAATTGATGAACTAGTTTAAGATACTCTTTGAAAAGGAATCCAAACTTGCTATGTAATCTGTATTAGTCTGTTCTCACACTGCTATAAAGAAATACCTGAGATTGGGTAATTCATAAAGAAAAGAGGTTTAACTGTCTCACAGTTCCACAAGCTGTAGAGGCAGCATGGCTGAGGAGGCCTCAGGAAACTTACAGTCGTGGCAGAAGGTGAAGGGGAAGCAGACATGTCTTACATGGCAGGAGCAGGAGGAAGAGAAGGGCGGGGGGGAGGTGTCACACCCTTTTAACCAACCAGATTTCATGAGGACTCACTATCACAAGAACAGCAAGGGGGAAATACGCCCCCATGTTGCAATCACCTCCCACCAGGCCCCACCTCAAACACAAACACTGGGGATTACAATTTATCATGAGATTTGAGTGGGAACACAAATCCAAACCATATCATAAGCAAAATGTAAAATTGTTAAGGATGGGGAAAGATTTATAAATGTAGGGTTCAAGTTAGTGTAAAAGCGATAGCATTGTCCACCAGTGACTGTTACTGGGCCTGTATCTTTATCATAGTGGATCATAGTTCCATTATTGTAATTATGCCATAGTTTTGTAAAAACCTTTATCTGTTATTTGAGATATAAAATGTTGCTATCTGGCAATTTTTAGGTTGTAGTCTCATCTTTTAGGTTAGAAAGTATCCTTATTTTATAAAAAATCTCTCTCTATATATATTTAGATTAATCTTCTATTAAGGACTAGATATTCATGTTCAAACATTAGGTTTTCCTGATAATCCACTTTTTAGATAATCTCAGTTTTTATTTTAGATTTAGGGGCACACATTACAGGTTTGTTACAGGGGTTTACTGCATGACAATGAAGTTTGGGTATGAATGATCCCATTACTCAGGTAGTGAGCATAGTACCCAATACGTAGTTTTTCAGACCGTTTCCCTTCCTTTTTCCCCCGTCTAGTAGCCCCCACTGTCCATTGTTCTTATTTTTGTTTCCATGTGTGCACAATATTTACTTTCCACGTATAAGAAAATGTGGCACATATACACTATGGGATATGTGCAGCTGTAGAAAAAGAACAAAATGCATATATGCAGCAACATAGATGTGCTGCAGGCCATTACCCTAAGCAAATTGAGGCAGGAACAGAAAACTAAATGCCACATGTTCTCACTTAGAAGGTATCTTTGAATGGCGTTGTCAGACAAACTCAAGCATGGATCCTTGCTGAAGTACCAGAATCTTGACTGGTTATGGTTCAAAAACAACTGAATAGTATTCACGGATCTGAGTCTTAGATACAAAAAATGAAAGTAATCTAGCCGTTTTATTTAGCTGGTACTGAAGTGTAGATGATGTATTGCATAAAATTATAGCAAGTCATACAATTTCCCTTGGCTAGTTGGTCATTCCCTTTCTCTTTATGGTTTCTATTCTTGTACAGATTTCTAACTAGTGATACAGAACAATAACTTGGATGACTTAAAAACATTATGCTAAATAAAAGAAGACAGACTCAAATGACTATATGCTTAATGGTTTGCTTCATATAAACTTTTTGAAGAGGTAAAACTGGATTGTTGGAAAGTTGATCAGTGCTTTGCAGGGGCCAGGGTTGGGGAGGGAATTAACTGCAAAGACCAGAGGGAACTTTTTGGTGTGGTGACGATGGTCTGCATCACCATCGTGTCATGAATGTCAAGACTCATCCAATCTTTTCTAAACTTTATTAATTTTTTGCCTGAAAATTATATCCAACAAAAGATGTTAGAATTCCACTTTGGTGTGAATCTAACCTAGACAAGTTGATACTTTTTCCTGTTTTTTTTTCCCATAAGTTAAAGCTATACTGAGTTTATTAATGAAGTTATTAATAAAATTATTTATAACCCTAATATATTCCTGGTTCTAGCTGACTTTACCTGTAGTTACTAGGTATTTGAATAGAGTCAATTGAAGTATAAATTTTAAACCAAAACTAAACACTTTTTTCCCAAGAAACATTCGTCACACAGGTGCATATAAAATACATGCTTACATCTGAATTTGCATATAAAGTGTTGTAGGAAAATTAGAAAGCATATGGTCTTTTCTTCTTTTTCATTGTCTAAGAAGCACTAAAGCCAAATAACTTGGCATGATTCTTCCAGTTTTACTCTTTTTAAATAGCTTTATTGTCAGGCAGATGGGGAGTGCTAGCCACTTATTAAAATTACACTTGTACATATCGTAAGAATGTTTTATATTTATTCATGAATATAAAATTTTTAGAATTGGCATTTAAAACCAAAAAAAACCTGTCATAGAGTTGAGTAACAACTTTATTTGTCACTTTGAAACCACTTTGAAATATCTTGCAGCATGGACGGTTGCCTAATTAATATTCCAAGATTCAGGTTCTCTTTAATGATGTTTTTAAAAGCTCTCCATCTTAGGAAGCCAAAGATAATCATAGAGTAGAGATTGAATTACATGGAAAGAATGAACTTTAAGATGTGGCATCTCTTCCAAGTTGTATTAGGAAAATATATATGGGAAAACATTATCGTATACTTTGTAATAGGTACTTTCCCGCCCTCTGTGAAGAGTTTAAAAATCAGTACTTACACTGGATAGTTTTCAAGCATCATTTTGTGAGTGAATAATCTGAGCCAAAGAGATGTAACATAGTCCATGAACACCAGACAGTTAAAAGATTCTTCTACTTTAGAGGTTTTTTAAAGACTGATTTAAAATTAAAAAACAGATATCTATTTATTCATCACAATTTTGTGCTACAAATTTGAAGAAGTAGAGGATAACATTCTTTTGGGTACTTAATGAATATTTTTCAAATAAATATCTGAATTACTAATACATCTCTTAGATTCATATTGCAGCTAGAGAAATAACTGCATCATTTGCTGAAGAACATTTGAAAATGTAGAATTTCTTATTTGACACATGAAAATATATTACATAATTTAATATATCAATGAAGACAGGTAAATACATAGATAACTACATATATAGATACAAACCAGAATATGCAGGTAATTGACTTTGAAAATTTGTCCTGAAGACAAAACTTTTAGACAGTTTTGAGGAGATACTATGTGATAAGGCAAATTTTATAAAACTGAAGTCAAAACTAAACCTTCTGTCATTCAAAACTATCATATGTCAAAACGTTTTTAGGTAGAACTTTAATAGAACTTTAGCATCTTATAATGTCATATCCCTGATAAACTTGAGTGTATGCAGAGAATCTGCCAAAATTTAATGAGCACATGTCTGAACAACCATTACTTTGTGGCTAAAGATATTTCTTTCCAATTTCTCTCCCCAGTATGGTTACTCTGCCTCTTTAATTTATCCTTTTAATATGTGCAGCAAGTGAAGAAATAGAAAGCTTGGGGGAAAATGAACTGCTATAAAAATGCAAGTATCTCCAGGGTTTTTCTACATTCTCTTTTCTTTATCCCTCTTTATTTCTGTTTTATCAAATAAAATCTTTTTCTCCTCATAGTTGCAGTATCCAAATTGTGTTTTTTAACACGTGTATCAAATGGATAAAGTTTAATAGTATAAATTGCCAAACAAAATTGGCATAAGAGTTTCTCCAGGACCACAGTTTGGTGTACAATATGATACCAAATATATCCTAAAAATTATTTTCTCTTAATTTAGTTATAGATGAAATGCCAGGTGTTGTATTGCAAGGGTGATTAAAATCAACTTAGCTCCTTGGAATCTTTACCTTTGTCTACATAAAGCTGTTAAAGGAAACTGGAACCCGCTTTTTCTCAGTGATGACATCCAATTGTTTTCCCTTATATATAGGGCTATGAAAGTATGCTATGAGTTTAGCAAACCTATCTTTGCAATGTGTATGTGTTATGTAGCTTGGATTTGTTTCAAAATCTGTAGAGAGGCTGCAAAATTTGTAACCACCTTATAGAAAAGTCAGGTGTACTCCCTTCCACTGCCCTTCACATTTTCATTGTATCCATGCTTTCCTTTGCATGTTCCTCTAAGATAAGAGTTAATAAGTTGTAAAAACAAACAAACAAAAAAAAAAAACAAAAGAAAAAATGTCTCTGATACCTTAGCATAGTGTTTCTGAACCACTTTCCATTACTGCCCCTTAAAGGAGTCTTTTCAACAATTTTTCCTAATTGCTATTCCCTTGAAATGTTACTACTACAGATAAACTGTACATCTGTTTATATACTGTATTTGTGTTTTAATACATAAAATACTTGATTTTTGGCTCACTCCCCTGAATCTATTTTTGCCCCCTTAAGGTTAGCATTGCCTCCCTTGAGAATGCAGGCTGTGGCAGTATTAGATTGTCCACTCTAGTCAGGTAGGACACATTGTCATGTGCTGTTCTGTATGTTCCCTCTTTTGACTTCCCCTTAGAAATGCTTTAATAATTACATTATTCAAAGGCATAGCCAGCCATGGTGGCACTCACCTTTGGTTCCAGCTACTCGGGAGGCTTAGGCAGGGGGATCACTTGGGCTCAGGAGTTCAAGACCAGCCTGGGCAACTGGAGTCTGTTCTCACGTGGCTAATAAAAACATACCCAAGATTGGGTAATGTATAAAGGAAAGAGGTTTAATGGACCCACAGTTCCACATGGCTGGGGAGACCTCACAATCATGGCAGAAGTCGAATGAGGAGCAAAGTCACATATTACATGGTGGCAGGCAAGAGATCTTGTGCAGGGGAACTTGTATTTATAAAACCATCAGATCTCATAAGACGCATTTACTACCACCAGAATAGTATGGGGAAAACTGCCCTCGTGATTGAATTATCTTCACCTGGCCCTGCCCTTGACTCATGGGGATTATTGCAATTCAAGGTGAGATATGGGTGCGGACACAGTCAAACCATATCAGCAACATAGTGAAAACCTTGTATTTTAAAAAGAAAAAGAGAGAGAGAGAGAAATAAAAATGCACCCTTCCTTCCTTCCTTTCTTCCTTCTTTCCTTCTTTCCTTCTTTCTTTCTTTCTTTCTTTCTTTCTTTCTTTCTTTCTTTCTTTCTTTCTTTCTTCTTTCTTTCTTTCTTGTCTTTCTTTCTTTCTTTCTTTCTTGTCTTTCTGTCTTTCTTTTAGAGTTCATTGCATTTTTTGTCTTCAACTATTATTTTAAGTTCAGGTGTACATGTGCAGGATGTGCAGGTTTGTTCCATAGGTAAATGTGTGCCATGGTGGTTTGCTGCACAGATCCACCCATCACCTAGGTATTAAGCCCAGCAGTCATTAGCTATTCTTCCAGATGATGTCACTCCCACCACCCTCCCAACTACAGGCCCCAGTGTGTGTTGTTTCCCCACTATGTGTCCATGTGTTCTCATCGTTCATCTCTCACTTATAAGTGAGAACGTGTAGTGTTTGGTTTTCTGTTCCTGTGTTAGTTTGCTGAGGATAACAACTTCCAGCTCCATTTATGTCCCTGCAAAGGACATGATCTTGTTCCTTTTTATGGCTGCATAGTATTCCATGGTGTATATGTACCACATTTTCTTTATCCGGTCTGTCACTGTGGACATTTGGGTTGATTCCATGTCTCTGCTGTTGTGAATAGTGCTGCAATGAGCATACATGTACATATATCTTTTTGCTAGAATGATTTATATTCCTTTGGGTATATACCCAGTAATGGGATTGCCGGGTCAAACAGGATTGTCTTTCTGGTTCTAGATCCCTGAGGAATTGCCACACCATCTTCCACAATGCTGGAAATAATTTACGTTACCACCAACAGTGTAAAAACATTTCTTTTTCTCTGCAAACTCACCAGCATCTGTTGTTTCTTAACTTTTTAATAATCACCATTCTGACTGGCATGAGATAGTATCTCATTGTGGTTTTGATTTGCAAGGAAATGCAGTTTTCTTTGTCTATTTCAGAAAGAGCACAGGGGATGGGAAAAGATGAGAATAAGCTAGCCCCCTCCTCTCTAAAGAGAGAATTTATATTTTGGTTCTTATAGATGACATTCTTAGAATTAATATATATTCCATGAATGAGAAGCCATGTAAATCTACTTAAACAGCCATGCTAAAGGATTAAGGTTGTTTGCCATTATCATCTCCAGTAGCTCCCATAGACTTCCACTATGTTAATGACAAATAATATGTGTATCCTCCATTCAATCTCTACTCTGGCCTTCCTGATAACACTGTAACTCATATCTTTCCAAACCCTATAAATAGATGCATATTTAGGGGTTATGTCCTGGACTGAGGTACAGTGTTGCTAGAAAATAAATATAACACAAAACACATAAACCAATTTTATGAATTAGGCTAATTTATGCAAGATGATGATATGTGAATGATGAGAAATTATGAATTATTATTACATATATTAAATGCTTATTAGAATCCAGGTACAGTGTTAAAAACTTTCCATAGATTTTCTAATTTTTATCCTCACAATAAACCTATAGATACTTTTGTTATTTTTACTTTATAGATAAGAAAAATAATATCCAAAGTGCATTTTAAATACTGGTTTAAATAGCTAATTTTATTGATGGTTATAATGCGAGAAGAGATTATAAAAATCAGAGTTGACTAATTTTTGCTTCACTTTTTTATGGTGGCTTTCTGTCTTGCCAGTTGTGGAGATAGTAGCAATAAGTACAAAAATAAAATAGCCACCAGGAGGAAAAAAGACAAACAAAAATATGACTTAAATTCAAACTCAGACTCTAAAATTGGCTGTTTTGAAACTAACAATTGTTCTAATCGTAATCATGGTAACAGCTGGCATTAGTTAACCGCTTACTAAATCATCATCACCTTCACAGCAGCATTTTCATTTTACTGAAGAGGAGACAAAGGGTTAGAGATGCTAATCATATTCCTTAGATTCTAGACCTCGATATTTTATTAGTGATGGTCTGGATTATTTGTTGTTGTGAGATGTGTTAAGGGTAATTAAATAGCCTTCTAAGAAAACTGAAAACGTCTCTTTTTTTCACGTAAACAATTATCACAATATAAAATGAGTAGAATGTGCCATTTTTTTAAACGCCTAAATTTTTAGAATCGTATATATTTTCTGAATATAATTGCCCATGACCATAAATTTTTTTAACTCTTTTGAGTTTAATACAGTGTACCTTTTCTTTTGAAAATTTTCAGTAACTTAATGACGGCATTGCTTATACGGGAAACATTATGCAAATGACTCACAATGAAGTCTGTGAGTTTAGTTAAGCTTGAGAAAAAGTTTGTAATTAACAAATTAGCATTTGAAAAAGACATTTGAATATGCATAGTAGAAAATTCCACTTAACTTGTGGGGTGTGTTCATAATGATTATTTCAGAATTCATGCATATGCATCTTTTAACATGCAAATATTTTAAACCTTAGTGGACTAGTCCAGATCTGGCTCATTTCTGTTGTGGTTGTTGTTTTAGTTAAATGTTGAAAATTGTAAATAAGGCATCATGAATACACATACTAACATGTGGAGTCCTCTTTACTTCTCTTTGATATAGTCTTTTTAATTATTAAAGACACAATATTAAATACTTTCTATTTATTATTACTTCACTGTGGATAAAAATAACATTAAGAAAAAAAAATCTTGGTATCTGACTTTTCCTACCAAAGTGTATAATGTGTACTAGAATGCTATAGTCAGGACTTCATTTACCTTTATGTTCAATTGTGCTGTTAGAAATTAGAGTTTGATGTCTCACATACACACACAGACATTACATTATTCATAAAAAGTGGCAAGAATACCTTGTGATTACTTTTAAACCTCTCTTATATAATATATTGGCTTCATTGTAAAGTATATTTTCTTAACAATTTTTTAGGTAGGTCATAACCCTCCTCTGTTTAAAAAACTCTACCAGTTCTTGATTAATTATCAGATATGATCTCAGACCTTTAGTTCAGCATTGAGGACTGTTCTCCAATACAAAGCACCTCTCTCACCTACATCTCTTCACATGTTCCATTCTAATCTGGCCTCGATTCTAATTCTTATGCTTTCTATAAATGCATGATCGCTAACCCATCTAAATGTTTAGACAAACCGCTTTTCTGCCGTTATACCTTACTCACCTTACTTAGGCTACATGATATTTTCCCTTGATGAATTCCTACAGTATTTATAGTTCAACTATTATGTTCCCTGCAAAATGGTTATGTGGAAAGTTATAGCTAATTTAAATCTAGGGTTGATAAATATGTGAATTCTTTGCCTTTCTAGATAGAGAAATTATGTCTTGTTTTGGTTTGGCCAACCTCCTAAAATCCAATAGGCAACTGAGGACAGAAGATTGGGCTTGACTTGGCTTACACAGAGGATGGGCATCTGTTTCTAATGAACTCGTAATTTATGCCCCATCTTGTAGCCAAAAGGAATTAATAGACCTACAGACATAAAAAATGAATAAACTATTTTTTCCACACTAGTTTGTCCATAACACGACACTAGAAAATAAGGTCATTACATGGTCTCATGAAACCCCTGCCAATCCTATGACTTGATGTATTTTAGGTTCTTTCACTTTGCTTTATGTATTTGTTGTGACTCTTTGACAATATCTGATGTTTAACTTTGCCTTCAGAAATTTGCCATGGTTCAACTTCCTTTCAGTGCTCCTGCCTTCCTTTTCAGTTTATTGATAGTTTCCCTTGCCCTAGACACTCATGTGGACACTGATTACACAAAACCAATCAAAATCGACATTGGAAAAGCAAAATAATTAAGAATTAAAATCAGCCAGTTCCTGACACTAGCTCCAAGGACTAGACAGGTGACACCTGAACAGAGTGGAAAATAGTTGTTGGGAAGTATTCCAGGCACAAGGAACAGAATATGCAAGGGCATTCAATAATCAATGTCTCTGAGGACATCAAGTGGAATATAAAACTAGCTGTATTATCAGATATCAGAAAGGCCTTATGAGCCACGCTTACACTTTGCAACATACTAGAAAAAAAGTCATTCAAAGGTTGTATAATCAATCCTAGCTGAAGATGCTTGCAATTGTTCATTTTCCTATAAACATGTATGGACAGTGGATAAATCCCAAATTTTTACTCTGAAGCTTGTGTTGTCCAGATTAGATTTGCTGTTTACCTTAGTTTTATTTCCTGACCAATTTTCAATCCTTCTTTCGTTACCTCCCAGACACTTGCTTTTTAAAAAACTATATTTTTACAAAAACAAAAGGACAAAAGGTTTTTCTAGACAGTGTTAGTGCATTCAATACAGAAAGTTTCCAGTTAGACAAGAATTTTACTGTCTCTATATGAAGACTTCACTTTGCACTAAATATAAGAAAAAATATAAGGAAGAAGAAATGTAAGAAAAAAAAAAACCACCAGAAATAGTCTTAGAAATGCGTATGTTTGTACATTCATCCCTCAGTATCTGTGAGGAATTTGTTCCAGGACCTCCCATGGATGCTCAAGTCTCTGATATAAAATAACATATTATTTGCCTATCACCTATGTGCATCCTTCTATATACTTTAAATCAGATGTCCCCAACATTTTAGGCACCAGGGACTGGTTGTGTGGAAGATGATATTTCCATGGATGGTGCAGGGGAAGGAAGGATGGTTTCAGGATGAAACTGTTTCACCTCGGTCATCAGGTGTTCAAGCAGTAGATTCTCATAAGGAGCAGGCAACCTAGATTCCTCACATACGCAGTTCACAATAGGGTAAGCACTTCTATGAGAATCTAATGCCGCTGCTGATCTGACAGGAGGCGGAGCTCAGGCGGTAATGCTCGCTCCCTCCTGCTGTGCAGCCCGTTTCCTACCAGGCCACAGACCAGTATGAGTCCCTGGCCCCGGGGCTGTGGACCCCTGCTTGAAATCATCTCTGGATTACTTTTAATATTTACTACAATGTAAATGCTATGTAAATAGTTAATACTGTATTGCTTAGGGAATCATGACAAGGAAAAAATGTCTCTACATGTTCAGTGCAGACATAATCAACCATTTTTTTCTAAATACTTTTGATGCAGTTTGCAGATATGGAGGGTTAATTTAATTTTGCAAGCTCTTATAATCAACTATTGGGATTCATCATTATTTTCAGGGTTTTTCTCCTCCTTTTATGACTGAATTTATTTTTTTAAATAACTGAATTACTGCATAAAATATAATTATTTTCATAACTTATAAGGATGTATAGACTGTAATTAGGCTGTTGTATGGTAGCTGACAGGTACTGCTGATGAAATTTTACTAAGTGACCAGAATAATAAAATTTATTACACAGGTTACTTCCTTTAGAGGTTCTACTTTTTGGTCTTCAATATCTAACATGCTTTCTTTATTATTAATATAAATATAAAATAGATCTTAATGGTAGGGACAGATTTCTCTCTGTAAATAGAAGTACAAATTTTGTATGAAAAGTTGAAGAGAAATAAATATAATATTCCCAAATCTATCCACAACCATTCATACTTGATAAAATGTAAGTTTACTGTAAAATGAATGAATTATTGATGTACTTAGCAAAACATTATATCTGCACAAAGTCATAAATTAAACAAACTCTAATACATTTTATGATAAGCATAATTTGACCTGAGTCCTTGTTAGCCTCAAAGCATAATATAATGATCAGAAAAATTGGGGGTCTAATCAATTAATTTGAAAATCTGCAATGAGATTATTATTTATCTAGAGTGAACGCTTTACTAGCATACAAATAAAGTTTTTATAAATGAAATAGAATAAATATCTAATTATTGGAACTTTTCCATTAAATAACTGATGGCATAAAGAGGCTTCTGCTTTTAAAAAAAAAAAAAATATTTGCTGATATAAACCTGAGAATTTAAATGTCAATTATGGCAAAAATATTTTCTGTACAACTTTGTTGTTTTTTAAAACATTATTAATGTAACAGCTACTACATCTTATTATTTTCATCCATTCTGCAAATCTGGTGAATCTATTTAGTCTACATCTAGAACAACTAGAAAAATATGTATAATATATGTATCTAAAAGGGAAATGAAGATGCATGAAAATATCTAATTGTGTAAATACTGTTAAGCTAGAGAATTAAAGATGATAACCCCTTTTCACCATTCAGCCAAGCGTGAAGGAGCAAAAGAGATTCAAAACTTCATTAATTGCTCTCACACAACGTTACAGGCCACCTGCACTTCAAAGAATTTACATTGGAGCAGATGGATTGCTGAATGCGATATCAAAGAATTTCAGAATGTTTGTTTTAAAAATAACCTGGATTCTAAGGCAAGCACCAGCAAAGCATACAATTTACAAAGATGACAAAGCTTTTCTTATTAAAACTTCTAAAACGTATAAGTGAAGGCACATTTTTATCTCTAAAATAAGAGTATACATACCAACTACTCTTTAAAATGATCAAAGTTACATATTTAAATATATAAATGAAATATATTCATGCATTATTTGAGGCTTTTGAACATACCTAACTGGTTTCCTTTAGTAACTCCTAGATCAGTGAAATCTAGCTTTTTCCCAGTATAAGTTTTCACATCTCTCTGATTATTCAATCTTTTGAATAAAGATGGTCCATATGGAAAATGAGATTTTTAAAAAAGTTTAAGAGTAACTTTTTTTGCAGAAACTCCTTTCACTTGTCATTTGATTCTGACTTGAGCTCGGTACTTTGATTGATAGGTCCTACTCGCAATGCACTGACAGAATCCACATTGGAATAGCTAGTTAAGATGAATCAGAGCTAATCTAAATGCATCTTGGATCAGATTATGCTTTACTTTTGGAACATATTGTAATTTTTGTATTTTACAGAAGTTTCTATAGCTTTACCCACAAATTAAGTTTTACTTGGAATTTGCATCACAATATTTTCATTCTTTAAATATTGATGTATCAGGGGTCAGAAAACAACAACAGCTAGAGGGCTGAATCTGACCTTGTACCTGTTTTTGGGAAATAAGATTTTATTTTAGCACAGTCATACCCATTCAATTACTTATTGTCTGTGGCTGCTTTTGTGCTACAACAATAGAGCTGAGTAGTCACAATAGACAGTATGGCTTACCAAGCCCTAAGTGAGATATTTACTATTTGCCTCTTCACAGGAGAAATTTACTAACCCTGATGTGCTAGCACATGTTATAACCTTGGGTAAGTTTTCTTAAGCTCTCTGAGCATTAGGTTCCTCATCTGTAATATAAAGACACCGATGGTGTCTACCCAGATGTCCCTGCGTGTGGTAATAATAATGGTACCTAGCCGTGATGATTAAATGGGATAATATAAGCTGTTAGGAAAAGGCCTCGTTCACAATAGGTCTGATACAAATGTCACCCAACATCAACATCACTGTCATTTTCTCAGGAATAATGCTAGGTCATGGAGACTGAGAAGAGGGTTTCAAACTACATTACTGTAGTCTGTTCATCTTCACTAGTCAAACAATAAAGTGGGTAGCATGGTTTTGTATTATGATCATAGAATTTGAAGGTGGAAGCCCTGGGTATGATGACAATTTGCCTTCTTCTTTGCTGTTTAATAAGACCTGCAGTGAGTAATGTAAACACTCTAATCCTCTCTTTCTTACCTGTAAAATTATAATAATATTATTAATAATAATATCATCCCCCAATAGGCTGTATATTGTAAAGGGCCAATTAAATTAGAAATATGAAGTAGGGTAACTTGTAAGGTTGCAATACAAATCAAAGGTTTCACTGCCTCATTAACCGTACCTCACTTCCATGCTTTGAACTTTGGGGTAATGAATATGTGTAATTATTTAGCTAAGAGGGCTCAAGATTAACGCTTTTGTGTCGAGTGTTGCCACACACATCAACATGGATGATCTTACAGGCTAATGAGGGAAAGAAGCCAGAAGCCGAAGGCCACAGACAGTATTATCCCCTTTATATAAAGTTCTACACCTAGAAAATTAATCTTTGGTGATAGAAAAGAGAATCAGTTACCTTTCAGGGTGTGTGGAAGGGGCATAGGGTATTAATGGTAGAGATTGTAGGAGGCAGGTGATGTTACCGGTCTTCTTGTGGGTATAGGTTACAGGGCTATGTTCACTTTCTACGACTTCATTGGCCAGAACACTTATGATTTGTACATTTCACTGTAGGTGTAAAATGCTTACAAGAAGAACGAAATATTAAAACAAAAAAAGAGAAAATGAAAGAAAACAACAAAAGTGTTAAGTCCATCCACTGATCCTGCTTTCAGAGCCATAAAAAAACCGTCTGCTATACAATCTATTTACCTCGTCCTCTCACTTACACCAATCTTTCTTTCCACAGCACCATAAAATCTACCTACATACATGTAAGAAAATGGGACTCTCCTTTAGCCAGCCTTGTCTCCTATACCACCTTGAATACGTGATGTTTGACAGAAATGACGTTTTATTTTTCTCTTTATATAAATCCTATGATCTCCACTTTTACCCAAAGCCTTTTTTAAACTAAAGCATTATGACCTTAATGAGACTCATAGATCACGTTCACTCTCTATCTTACATGTATCATTGCGCTATTCTCCAAAGTTCTGTTTGAATTTTATTTTATATCACTCCTTTTCCTAAACTATGCACATGCTCATGAAGACAAGGCAAAACAAAAAGAAAAAATAAACAAATGAACAAACAAAAAATCCACAGGTCTTAATAGAGAGATAGGTTTGAGTAGCAAGAAAATATAGTTTAGAAAATAAATGTTATTTATTTTTGAAAAGATAATGCCCTATATAATACCAAATGCCCTATATAAATACCAATGCCCTATATAAAACCAAAAAGTATAAAAGCTATGAAGAGAAAATCAAGTCTCTATTTTACCCTAACCTTTAGGAAACCCATTCCCTTCTCAGAGGTAACACATGTTGCTGTTATTTTGTGCAAACTTTCATTATATCTGTGAATAATCTGCGCATATGCATATAGCAGTGTGTTTTACAAAAATGGAAGCTTGTTGTAGACATTACCTTATACTCTATTTCCATAAGTGAATCATGTATCTTGAACATCTTCCATGTTAATAAATATTGAGTTTAAAATACCCCCAAAAGTAATGGAAGCCTAGAAACACAAAATTATGGAGCTTTTTTTTTTTTTTTTTTTGAGCTTGAGTCTCGCTCTATCACCAGGCTGGAGTATATTGGCGTGATCTCTGCTCACTGCAACCTCCACCTCCCAAGTTCGAACGATTCTTTTGCCTCAGCCTTCCGAGTAGCTGGGACTACAGGCACATGCCACCATGCCCAGCTAATTTTTGTATTTTTAGTAGGATGGGGTTTCACCATGTTGGCCAGGCTGGTCTCGAATTCCTGACCTCAAGTGATCCGACCGCCTTGGCCTCCCAAACTGCTGGGATTACAGGCGTGAGTCACTGCACCAGGCCTATGGAGCAGTTTTTTAAAAGAACTTTGCAAATATTATAAAATTGCCTTCTTTACATCATCCATGTAGAATATTCCTTATAACCACTTTTGTCAGTCTGAGAGCGCTTTTTGTTTTATCTATGTCTGTTAAACCATATGCTGAAACTGTTTTCTGCTTTCTTCATGAGGCTTTCCCTTATCCTTCACAGAACTATATTGAATAAATATTTAGTCTATTACTCTTGAAGTCTACACTGAAAAATACTTGAAACATTACTACTTTTCCTTATTTGTTTGTGGCATTCTGGCCACGAGTTTGTATAAATTATGTTTCAGAACTTTGGGCTTTGCCAGATGTTGAGTAATACGCTGCTAAGATGTAAGTACAAATGGTTTCACTCCTGACTCCTTTGTACAAGTGAAAGACAACTTGGAATTCTAAACAGATTAGAAATGGAGGTTGCCATTCGTTTGAGCTCTCTTAGAAAAGAAGGCTCTCTTTGACAAATCCCTCTGCTTATTAGACAAAGTGCAAAAAGCATTACATCTGGAGTTCATAAGCCATTGTTTTATGGAATTGATCCATCATACAATCCCTTACGCTCTTGAAATAAACCCATGAGAATTTAAGATGCTATATGCACACTTACTAACACATTCACTCATACATACACACCCCTCTATGCACACATGCTACCATTAGAGACTTGTGCCCTTGCAAAAAAATCTTATAGCGTAGAATTGCAACATGCTTTTTAAATTGATAGTTATTTTTTTTTAACATCGTTTATCTTTCAAAAGACTTCTGAATTCAGCTACAGGAATTATTCTTATTCCTCGAAACTTATAACCCCCTATTCTTTGTACTCAAAATGTTTTGTAATACAACATTTTTTTTCCATTAAAAAGAGCAAAAGTAAAGCTACAATTATTTTTGAAACACACCATCCCCAGATACTTCTGAATTTATTTTCCTTCCTCAAATCTTGAAGCACGTATTATTTCTTTCACATCTTTAGACCGTTAAAACTCAATTGTTCATTCTGTGAGAAGAAAACTTAAGGAAACATTCAGCAAGTAGCTTTATATGTGGGAGATGGATTTTTAGAGGATTTTAGGTGTTTGAGAAGAGTTTCTCATAGATTCTGTTGCTTTCAGAATTCCTCAGGATGCCATTCTAAAGGATGACTGCAATTCAGATCAGCGAAGTGCTTTGATGTCTTATTTTTTCTTTTGCAGATTGTACTCCACATGTTCAGAAAGCCTTTCCCTAGAGTATAATTTAATGTAATTGACAGTCATTGTTCCTCGAAAGTTTGAATTAAATTAACCTGAGCCTGAATGAAACTGGTAAAATAACCACGTACAGATTTCATTTTATTTTCCTTTAGGATCAGTGACAATATTATGTATAAAATTG
This sequence comes from Homo sapiens, assembly GCF_000001405.40. Taxonomy (NCBI): domain Eukaryota; kingdom Metazoa; phylum Chordata; class Mammalia; order Primates; family Hominidae; genus Homo; species Homo sapiens. The sequence continues at coordinate 77,287,956 of NC_000003.12, forward strand.
GCAGTTGGCTATTAGATCTTCATTGAATCACCCTAGATTTGATTAAAAGTAGATATTTCAGTGTACAGTAATTTAGGTTCATGAAAAACTCTTAGGTTTCTCATTTAGTTATTGGGTTTATTGAGGAACAGGGTATTTTATGTGTGTAATGATGAATTTTGTTCTTTCTCTTTTTCCACTGAGATCAAATACAGACTGCAAAATTGACCGAGCATGAAATTGTTTTTAGAAATTGTGGGAGCTAGTTTCGATGGCAAGAATCAGAGGAACCGTTGTTAGTGAAAATGTGTTTGGAAAGGATGATGGTAGTGGGTAGGAGAGAATAGAGGTAGAGAGGTGTTAACATAAGGCAAAAACATTAAACTGACAAACACTTCTCTGTAGAGTAGTTGATGTGTTAAGCCAGCACACTTAAAAGCATACAAGTTTTTGGATAGAAAAGTCTTCATTGTTCTGACTGTTTTTCTGGACATGTAGCTGGAAAGGAGACTCAAATCTTCATATGGATTTTGTGTCTTATGGTCACTGACACTGCAAAGCAATTAGCCTTCATGATGGCTGTGCTTATGCAATACTAATTAACATGCCTGTTGTGCTGTTTTCCCTGTTTGACCATGTGACAGCCCACAGGTCTGACACTCTCTGTGAACCAACAGCTGAGGAAATTTCCAACATGGCAGATTTTTTTTACAAAACACACCCAAACAAAAATGGAATCACACTTTTCCTGAACAACTGCATTAACAGAATGTGTTACAACGGATCTACAATTAGAGGATTGCATTCATATGTACTGGGGAAAAAAAAGGAGACGAGACCCTACTCAAGCATACGGATACAAATTGATTATACCTGGGTCCAGAATTTCAAAGTGTGATAACACTGTATTATAGTATCATGGAGAATATAATTTACCAGTACAATCACATCTAGTAAAATTATCATTGAAAGTTAGAAGTAAAGTTGTCAATATATTTACGGCACCATGTGAGACCTCTATATTGAAGGGCTAATTTAGTAAATTTGTATGTGTTATGACTTTAAGAGTTTGGGCATTGGTGAGTTTTGTTTCTGTGTGTTTGTTCCTGTTGTGAGTGGGACTGGAATACTATGATTAACAAAATCATATACAGGCACTTGATATGTGGATTGTACAGTCTAGTGGGTGAAGTTGGTTGAAGTTTATTTATAGGCTCTACAAATAAATATAAAATTAGCACTGATGTGAGGGGAGGTGCTTGATACTCTGAGATTGTTAATAGCAGTTTTTAGCCAGATTGTAAATTGAGGTAAGTTCCTTTGGAAGTGACAATTGAGAAAGACATAAAGTAAAATTGACGGTTAAATGGGTAAGCTGAGGCTAGAGCACCAAAGACATAAAGTAAAATTGACGGTTAAACGGGTAAGCTGAGACTAGATCACCCCAGACATAAAGTAAAATTGACGTTTAAACGGGGACACTGAGGCTAGATCACCCCAGAAATTAAGTAAAATTGATGGTTAAATGGGAAGTTGAGGCTAGAGCACTAAAGATATAAAGTAAAATTGACGGTTCAATGGGTAAGCTGAGGCTAGATCACCCCAGACATAAAGTAAAATTGACAGTTAAACGGGTAAGCTGAGGCTAGATCACCAAAGACATAAAGTAAAATTGACGGTTAAACGGGTAAGCTGAGGCTAGATCACCAAAGACATAAAGTAAAATTAATGGTTAAATGGGAAGTTGAGGCTAGAACACTAAAGACATAAAGTAAAATTGACGGTTAAACGGGTAAGCTGAGGCTAGATCACTGAAGACATAAAGTAAAATTGATGGTTAAATGGGTAAGCTGAGGCTAGATCACCAAAGACATAAAGTAAAATTGACAGTTAAACAGGTAAGCTGAGGCTAGGTCACCAAAGACATAAAGTAAAATTAATGGTAAAACGGGAAGTTGAGCCTAGATCCCTAAAGACATAAAGTAAAATTGATGGTTAAACGGGTAAGCTGAGGCTAGATCACCCCAGACATTAAGTAAAATTGATGGTTAAACGGGTAAACTGAGGCTAGATCCCTAAAGACATAAAGTAAAATTGACGATTAAATGGGTAAGCTGAGGCTAGATCACCAAAGACATAAAGTAAAATTGACGGTTAAACGGATAAGCTGAGGCTAGATCACCAAAGACATAAAGTAAAATTGATGGTTAAACGGGTAAGCTGAGGCTAGATCACCCAAGACACAAAGTAAAATTGATGGTTAAACGGGTAATCTGAGGCTAGATCACCCCAGACATAAAGTAAAATTGATGGTTAAACGGGAAGTTGAGGCTAGAACAGTAAAGACATAAAGTAAAATTGATGGTTAAATGGGTAAGCTGAGGCTAGATCACCCCAGACATAAAGTAAAATTGATGGTTAAACGGGTAAGCTGAGGCTAGATCACTAAAGACATAAAGTAAAATTGACGGTTAAACGGGTAAGCTGAGGCTAGATCACCCCAGACATAAAGTAGAATTGATGTTTAAATGGGTAAGCTGAGGCTAGAGCACTAAAGACATAAAGTAAAATTGACGGTTAAACGGGTAATCTGAGGCTAGATCACCCCAGACATGAAGTAAAATTGATGGTTAAACGAGTAAGCTGAGGCTAGATCACCCCAGACGTAAAGTAAAATTGACGGGTAAACGGGTAAGCTGAGGCTAGATCACCCAAGACACAAAGTAAAATTGATGGTTAAACGGGTAATCTGAGGCTAGATCACCCCAGACATAAAGTAAAATTGATGGTTAAACGGGAAGTTGAGGCTAGAACAGTAAAGACATAAAGTAAAATTGATGGTTAAATGGGTAAGCTGAGGCTAGATCACCCCAGACATAAAGTAAAATTGATGGTTAAACGGGTAAGCTGAGGCTAGATCACTAAAGACATAAAGTAAAATTGACGGTTAAACGGGTAAGCTGAGGCTAGATCACCCCAGACATAAAGTAGAATTGATGTTTAAATGGGTAAGCTGAGGCTAGAGCACTAAAGACATAAAGTAAAATTGACGGTTAAACGGGTAAGCTGAGGCTAGATCACCCCAGACATGAAGTAAAATTGATGGTTAAACGAGTAAGCTGAGGCTAGATCACCCCAGACGTAAAGTAAAATTGACGGGTAAACGGGTAAGCTGAGGCTAGATCACCCCAGACATAAAGTAAAACTGATGGTTAAACGGGAAGTTGAGGCTAGAACAGTAAAGACATAAAGTAAAATTGATGGTTAAATGGGTAAGCTGAGGCTAGAGCACTAAAGACATAAAGTAAAATTGACGGTTAAACGGGTAAGCTGAGGCTAGATCACCCCAGACATAAAGCAAAATTGACGGTTAACCGGGAAGGCTGAGGCTAGATCACCCCAGACGTAAAGTAAAATTGACGGTTAAATGGGTAAGCTGAGGCTACATCACCCCAGACATAAAGTAAAATTGATAGTTAAACGGGTAAGCTGAGGCTAGATCACCCCAGACATGAAGTAAAATTGATGGTTAAACGGGTAGGCTGAGGCTAGATCACCCCAGACATAAAGTAAAATTGATGGTTAAAAGGGTAGGCTGAGGCTAGATCACCCCAGACATAAAGTAAAATTGATGGTTAAACGGGAAGGTGAGGCTAGAGCAGTAAAGACATAAAGTAAAATTGACGGTTAAATGGGTAAGCTGAGGCTAGATCACCCCAGACATAAAGTAAAATTGATGGTTAAATGGGTAAGCTGAGGCTAGATCACTAAAGACATAAAGTAAAATTGACAGTTAAACGGGTAAGCTGAGGCTAGATCACCCAGACATAAAGTAAAATTGAAGATTAAACGGGAAGTTGAGGCTAGAACAGTAAAGGCATAAAGTAAAATTGATGGTTAAACGGGTAAGCTGAGGCTAGATCACCCCAGACATAAAGTAAAATTGATGGATAAACGGGTAAGCTGAGGCTAGATCACCCCAGACGTGAAGTAAAATTGACGGCTAAAAGTGTAAGCTGAGACTAGATCACCCCAGACATAAAGTAAAATTGATGGTTAAACGGGTAAGCTGAGGCTAGATCACCCCAGAAATAAAGTAAAATTGACGGCTTAACGGGTAAGCTGAGACTAGTTCACCCCAGACATAAAGTAAAATTGACGGTTAAACGGGTAAGCTGAGGCTAGATCACCCCAGACATAAAGTAAAATTGATGGTTAAACGGGTAAGCTGAGGCTAGATCACGCCAGACATAAAGTAAAATTGATGGTTAAACGGGTAAGCTGAGGCTAGATCACCCCAGATGTAAAGCAAAATTGACGGCCAAACGGGTAAGCTGAGGCTAGATCACCCAGACATAAAGTAAAATTGATGGTTAAATAGGAAGTTGAGGCTGGAACAGTAAAGACATAAAGTAAAATTGACGGTTAAATGGGTAAGCTGAGGCTAGATCACCAAAGACATAAAGTAAAATTGACGGTTAAACGGATAAGCTGAGGCTAGATCACCAAAGACATAAAGAAAAATTGATGCTTAAACGGGTAAACTGAGGCTAGAGCACTAAAGACATAAAGTAAAATTGATGGTTAAATGGGTAAGCTGAGGCTAGATCACCCAAGACATAAAGTAAAATTGATGGTTAAATGGGTAAGCTGAGGCCAGATCACCCCAGACATAAAGTAAAATTGATGGTTAAACAGGAAGTTGAGGCTAGAACAGTAAAGACATAAAGTAAAATTGACGGTTAAACGGGTAAGCTGAGGCTAGATCACCCCAGACATAAAGTAAAATTGATGGTTAAACGGGAAGTTGAGGCTAGAGCACTAAAGACATAAAGTAAATTTGACGGTTAAACAGGTAAGCTGAGGCTAGATCACCCCAGATATAAAGTAAAACTGACGGTTAAACGGGTAAGCTGAGGCTAGATCACTAAAGACATAAAGTAAAATTGACGATTAAACGGTAAGCTGAGGCTAGATCACCAAAGACATAAAGTAAAATTGACGATTAAACGGTAAGCTGAGGCTAGATCACCAAAGACATTAAGTAAAATTGACGGTTAAACGGGTAAGCTGAGGCTAGATCACCAAAGACATAAAGTAAAATTGATGGTTAAATGGGTAAGCTGAGGCTAGAGCACTAAAGACATAAAGTAAAATTGGCGGTTAAACGGGTAAGCTGAGGCTAGATCACCCCAGACATAAAGTAAAATTGATGGTTAAATGGGAAGTTGAGGCTAGAACAGTAAAGACATAAAGTAAAATTGACGGTTAAACGGGTAAGCTGAGGCTAGATCACCCCAGACATAAAGTAAAATTGACGGTTATACAGGTAAGCTGAGGCTAGATCACCAAAGACATAAAGTAAAATTGATGGTTAAACGGGAAGTTGAGGCTAGAACAGTAAAGACATAAAGTAAAATTGACGATTAAACGGGTAAGCTGAGGCTAGATCACCCCAGACATAAAGTAAAATTGATGGTTAAACGGGTAAGCTGAGGCTAGATCACTAAAGACATAAAGTAAAATTGACGGTTAAATGGGTAAGCTGAGGCTAGATCACCCCAGACATAAAGTAGAATTGATGTTTAAATGGGTAAGCTGAGGCTAGAGCACTAAAGACATAAAGTAAAATTGACGGGTAAACGGGTAAGCTGAGGCTAGATCACCCCAGACACAAAGTAAAATTGACGGTTAAACGGGTAAGCTGAGGCTAGATCACCCAGACATAAAGTAAAATTGATGGTTAAATGGGAAGTTGAGGCTAGAACAGTAAAGACATAAAGTAAAATTGATGGTTAAACGGGTAAGCTGAGGCTAGATCACCCCAGACATAAAGTAAAATTGATGGTTAAACGGGAAGTTGAGGCTAGAACAGTAAAGACATAAAGTAGAATTGATGGTTAAACGGGTAGGCTGAGGCTAGATCACCCCAGATGTAAAGTAAAATTGACGGCTAAACGAGTAAGCTGCAGCTAGATCACCCCAGACATAAAGTAAAATTGATGGTTAAACGGGTAAGCTGAGGCTAGATCACCCCAGACATAAAGTAAAATTGACGGTTAAACGGGTACACTGAGGCTAGATCACCCAGACATAAAGTAAAATTGAAGATTAAATGGGAAGTTGAGGCTAGAACAGTAAAGACATAAAGTAAAATTGATGGTTAAACGGGTAAGCTGAGGCTAGATCACCCCAGACATAAAGTAAAATTGATGGTTAAACGGGTAAGCTGAGGCTAGATCACCCCAGATGTGAAGTAAAATTGACGGCTAAAAGGGTAAGCTGAGACTAGATCACCCCGGACATAAAGTAAAATTGATGGTTAAACGGGAAGTTGAGGCTAGAGCACTAAAGACATAAAGTAAAATTGACGGTTAAACGGGTAAGCTGAGGCTAGATCACCAAAGACATAAAGTAAAATTGATGGTTAAACGGGTAAGCTGAGGCTAGGTCACCAAAGACATAAAGTAAAATTAATGGTAAAACGGGAAGTTGAGCCTAGATCCCTAAAGACATAAAGTAAAATTGACGGGTAAACGGGTAAGCTGAGGCTAGATCACCCCAGACATTAAGTAAAATTGATGGTTAAACGGGTAAACTGAGGCTAGATCCCTAAAGACATAAAGTAAAATTGACGGTTAAACAGGTAAGCTGAGGCTAGATCATCAAAGACATAAAGTAAAATTGACGGTTAAACGGGTAAGCTGAGGCTAGATCACCCCAGACATAAAGTAAAATTGATGGTTAAACGGGTAAGCTGAGGCTAGATCACCAAAGACATGAAGTAAAATTGATGGTTAAACGGGTAAGCTGAGGCTAGATCACCCCAGACACAAAGTAAAATTGACGGTTAAACGGGTAAGCTGAGGCTAGATCACCCCAGACATAAAGTAAAATTAATGGTTAAACGGGAAGTTGAGGCTAGAACAGTAAAGACATAAAGTAAAATTGACAGTTAAACAGGTAAGCTGAGGCTAGATCACCCCAGACATAAAGTAAAATTGATGGTTAAACGAGTAAGCTGAGGCTAGATCACCAAAGACATAAAGTAAAATTGACGGTTAAACGGATAAGCTGAGGCTAGATCACCAAAGACTTAAAGAAAAATTGATGCTTAAACGGGTAAACTGAGGCTAGAGCACTAAAGACATAAAGTAAATTTGACGGTTAAAAAGGTAAGCTGAGGCTAGGTCACCCCAGATATAAAGTAAAATTGACGGTTAAACGGGTAAGCTGAGGCTAGATCACTAAAGACATAAAGTAAAATTGACGATTAAACGGTAAGCTGAGGCTAGATCACCAAAGACATAAAGTAAAATTGACGATTAAACGGTAAGCTGAGGCTAGATCACCAAAGACATTAAGTAAAATTGACGGCTAAACGGGTAAGCTGAGGCTAGATCACCAAAGACATAAAGTAAAATTGATGGTTAAATGGGTAAGCTGAGGCTAGAGCACTAAAGACATAAAGTAAAATTGATGGTTAAATGGGAAGTTGAGGCTAGAACAGTAAAGACATAAAGTAAAATTGACGGTTAAATGGGTAAGCTGAGGCTAGATCACCCCAGACATAAAGTAAATTGACGGTTAAATGGGTAAGCTGAGGCTAGATCACCAAAGTCATAAAGTAAAATTGACTGTTAAACGGGTAAGCTGAGGCTAGATCACCCCACACATAAAGTAAAATTGACGGTTAAACGGGTAAGCTGAGGCTAGATCACCCCAGACATAAAGTAAAATTGATGGTTAAACGGGAAGTTGAGGCTAGATCACTAAAGACATAAAGTGAAATTGACGGTTAAACGGGTAAGCTGAGGCTAGATCACCCCAGACATAAAGTAAAATTGATGTTTAAATGGGTAAGCTGAGGCTAGAGCACTAAAGACATAAAGTAAAATTGACGGGTAAACGGGTAAGCTGAGGCTAGATCACCCCAGACACAAAGTAAAATTGACGGTTAAACGGGTAAGCTGAGGCTAGATCACCCAGGCATAAAGTAAAATTGATGGTTAAACGGGTAAGCTGAGGCTAGATCACTCCAGGCATAAAGTAAAATTGATGGTTAAACGGGAAGTTGAGGCTAGAACAGTAAAGACATAAAGTAGAATTGATGGTTAAACGGGTAAGCTGAGGCTAGATCACCCCAGATATGAAGTAAAATTGATGGTTAAACGGGTAGGCTGAGTCTAGATCACCCCAGATGTAAAGTAAAATTGACGGCTAAACGAGTAAGCTGAGGCTAGATCACCCCAGACATAAAGTAAAATTGATGGTTAAACGGGAAGTTGAGGCTAGAACAGTAAAGACATAAAGTAGAATTGATGGTTAAACGGGTAAGCTGAGGCTAGATCACCCCAGACATAAAGTAAAATTGATGGTTAAACGGGCAAGCTGAGGCTAGATCACCCCAGACATAAAGTAAAATTGACGGTTAAACGGGTACACTGAGGCTAGATCACCAAAGACATAAAGTAAAATTGACGGCTAAACCGTCAAACTGAGGCTAGGGCACGAAGTCACACACTGCTGCACATTGGACTTGCCTCAGATGTTGGTTTTTTGTTTGTCTTGTTTTCTTTTGTTTTGCTTCTGTTCTCTTTTTTTCCTAAATTACTGATACCCGAGTCCCATGTCTAGAGTCTAATTTAATTGTTCAGTGTATTCCCTGGACATTGAGACCTTTAGAGTATCCCCAGGTGATTGTGATGCATAGCAATGTTTGAGAACAATTGCTCAGAATATTCTAGGCCGATGGAAAAGGCCTTGTGGTAAGATGAATCATGGCAAAATCTTAAGAAGGCTGAAAGGTTACTTGCTGCTCCTGCAGGACAAAAGAGGAGGGACCTGGGAGAGAGGCGTGTGCAACATGAGACTGAATAGCTGGCCAAGAAGAAGCTTCTAGGCCATTATACCGGTTTGGTGCTTTGCTGATTAGCAGCAAGAAGCCATTCAAGTCTTTCAGTGGACATGTCTTTCCACCACCTCGTGTGAAAAATATGGAAGTGTTGACTGCTTTTCTCGCATACTTTGACTTATTCGTCTGTATGTACCTTTAAATGGACAGGATTTTTTGAAATTAAGTTGTTCATGGAGAAACTAAAAATTTTTTTTTTTTAGTCTGGAGTTATCACAAAGTTGGAAAATGTATTTTAAAAATCTACGATGGTCCATAGTCATTAGATCAGTCTTCAATTCTGGGTCTTCCAGCCACCACAGGTGGATCTGAGATGAGTTGTACTGCAGTGGGCTTTCAACTTGGGCTACATGTGACAGTGACCTAGGGACATTTTTACAACTACTGATGTTCAGGCTCAAGTTAGTCAATTTACGAGTGATAGTTAAGCATAATTTTTGAGGTTCCTTAGGTGGTTCTAACATTTAGCCAGAGTTAATAACAACTCACCTGCTGGATAAATCTTTTTGGATTTAATTAAATTTGGGCATATTGATCTTAGACATGAACTAGAGTCTCTTGATTTTTGAAAACGAGGGGAAGTTAAAATGAACACCTTGAGGTATTTGCTTAAGTGCACTCCCTTCACAGAATAGAGATGAGTCCTTTACAGGCAGATCTGGTTAAAGGAAACTCCCTCCGGAATGCTGGGTGATGGACGAAATGAGGGAAACCTTGCCTCCTCTGGAAGCTTGCCATTGGCTACATCAGATTTTACATGTTGCGTTTTCAAAAGTCAGTCTCTCGGATCTAACTTTAAAGATATGTACTTCTAACAGTTGGTTCTGATTATTTCCCCACAGTTGTGTCAAGTCCACACAGTTGTATCAATGCTTCTGCTTTTCTAGACGCTAGTTAACACTCAGAGGTTTTACATTTAACGGAAGAAGAAATTGACAAACAAAGGAAGTAAAGGAAGTTTATGTGGAATAGAAAGGGAAGGAAACAGACCTTGAACATGTGTAGAAAGGAGGAAACAGACTTTGTCCGGGATAGAAGGCCCATTGACATGAGGAGGCATGCTAACAGAGGTCAGAAAGAGTAGAAAGAGTCGTTGGACATGGGCCAAGAAGGTTCAACACCAGGTAGCAGCTGAATGAGTCCATCAGTGGATGGGCTACCTAAGCGGGTAGGGCATTGTGCTTGTGGGTTATTCTGCAAATCCTCCTCAGCCAACAATGAGTGTCATTGGATCCATCAAAGGATTCAGTGAAAATGAAGCTTTTTTGGGTGAAGAATTCCAAGGAAATTCTGAAGGTTGTGACTTAGATGAAGAAAAATTCTCAGCATGAATTGAATAATATTCACACGAAGTCTGAAAGTTAAAACTTAGAATAAGTACTGAAACCACACCAACTAACACCAGGAAACGCAGAGGGCCATTTACTAATAACTCTTAGGAGTTCAAGCATGGAAAATGATTTTCTAAAGGTCAAACTTAGAAGATTATGCCTTTCACCTCCATGAAGTTTCATAGCTGGAAAGGAACTCCAATCCCAACCCCTCATTTAACAAATGAGAAAATTGAAGTGAAATGATTTGCCAAACTAAGGAATTCTTGAGAGCAATGCCTAGAGTCCAGACTCTCTCACTCATGAGTCTTTTGTATTCTTAGTCTGTCATGCTGCCTTCAGACCAGGGCAAAATATGAGACTGAACTGAAGTGGGAGAAGGTTTACTTCAGTCATGGGAAACCACCATTAAGGGTTATTTGTTGCTGGGAAAGTACACTGTTGTAATAGCTGCACTGTAACAATCACAGCTGACTAACAGCAAGTTATCCTCAGCAGAGCCGTGAACAGAAAACTTTGGTTGGGCTTCAGGAGATGAGTTTAAATTATTCTCTGTTACAGACAAATTTGTTATTCATTCCTTCATTCATCTGTGCCTCCTGTGTGCATGGGAGTGTGCTTGGCACTGTAGAATAGATAAAGCAATAGACCCTGCCCTGAAAGTTCTTATAGTCAGTATGGAAGATAAGATATACGTGTACAGAATTATAATAAAACACTGACTGACAAAAGTGTCGTGAGATCTGGAACAAATCAGTAGCCAGGACATTTCAGAAGATAGAGGGGCTATTTTTATCTTCTAGGGCAAACAGAATTGCCAGAGTCAAGATTATTTCATGAAAAAGGTAGAATTTAAATTAGACATTGAATGATAAGTAAGATGTGCATGATGAGGAACAGGAAGAAAGCATTTTAGAAAGAGGGAAAAAGAGAAGCATGAATGAAAAAAATTAGTGCTTTTTAACAGGATGTGAAACATTTTTTAAAATATAAGTTGAGATGGCAAGTTGGAATTAGATTCTAAAATATTAGTCTACATATGTTTAAACTGACATTTAAATTGAGGACAGAAGAATGGAATAGATAGGTGTGGTATCAGGATGTGTTTTGGTAAAAGCAACTTAAGAGAGAGCGAAGACTAGTCTGGAGATAAGAAGGACTGAAAGCCTAGAGATATATTAGTTTGTTCTCACGCTGCTATGAAGAAATACCTGAGACTGGGTAACTTATAAAGGAAAGAGGTTTAATTGACTCACAGTTGAACGGGGCTGGAGAGGCTTCAGGAAACTTACAATCGTGATGGAAGGAGAAGCAAACACGTCCTTCTTCACGTGGCAGCAGGAAGGAAAAGTGCTGAGCAAAGGGGAAAAAGCCCCTTATAAAACCATCAGATTCCCTGAGAACTCACTCACTATCATGAGAACAGCATAGGAGTAACTGCCCCCATGATTCCATTACCTCCCACTGGTTCTCTTCCATGATACGTGGGGATTATGGGAACTATAATTCAACATGAGATTTGGGTGGGGGACACATCAGGAGACTTCTTAGATTATGATTGCAAAATCTCAGGTCAGACTAATTGAAAATAGGAATCAGAGGAACAACGATAATAATACAGATTACAACAGAGAGGGACGATAGAGTGGTGAGTGGCAGGCAATGTCTGCCAACTGGATAAAAGTAAGAGAATGGAAATGGAGACCCCAAGTTGGTTTCAAAGATTCTAAGCCTGGGTAACAGGAGGGAAGACAGAGTCATGAAAATCAATATGGGATTCAAATGTTTCCGTGTCACTCATCATATTCTCATAGTTTGGAAAAAAATACCTCACTCTTTCTCCCAAAAATATTTAAATCTGCCATACATATTATATATTGTATATGTACAACAGGTCCATAAATGCAAATTTTGTAACTTTAATCACTTTTGCAGGTTAGCATAGATTTACAGCAAAAGGGAAATTGACATAGAATTAAATAAATTGTGCAGTAGGGAAATGAATTTTTTTTTTTTTTTTTTTACTGCTCTTTCTCAAACTCTAGACTCTGCCTAGAGTTTTACCATTTGCTATGCTGCCTCACATATTCCAAAAATTATTCTAAGAAAGAGTTATTTGGAGAGTTGATTTAGTTTATAGAGCAGCTACTCAGAATTGAAAATAATCAATAGTACCTTAAGATTCAGGCTCTAACTGGATATTTAGGCAAGAACCCAAACAGACAGTTACTCCTATAACGACATTGAGTAAAATGTAGAGAGCATGAATGTAGCAGCCCAACCCATCTGTTCTTTTTTTCTAATTTTGAAGAGGTTATTTTTATATCAGTCTTTGGAATTTTTAGTTCTGTCTCTGCTATGCTACATAAATACTGATGCTAACAGACTAAATTTAAAAAAAAAATAAATTGTTGATAAGAGGAAGAGGAAATTGCGAGATATAAACCTAGCCATTTTCCCATTTAGGTGGTATTTCCTTACTTTTTAAATAAACTCTATGACTTTTACTTTCTCACTATCTCCTCTCTGCATCAGTTTTCTTATTAAAGTCTCAACATTTCTGATAATGAATGTCTCTAGAATTTCTTTACAGGAGACATTTAGGGGCAGCTACCTAAAACAGGAGAGTTGGGGGGCTTATTTTAAACCTAAACTGAAATAATAGACTATTTATTTATTTATTTATTTATTTATTTATTTATTTATTTATTTGGCAGAGTCTCACTCTGTCACCCAGGCTGGAGTGCAGTGGCATGATCTTGGCCACTAACATCCACCTCTTGGGTTCAAGCAATTCTCCTGCCTCAGCCTCCCGAGTAGCTGGGATTACAGGCATACACCACTATGTCCAGCTAACTTTTGTATTTTTAGTAGAGACAGGGTTTCACCATGTTGGCCAGGCTGGTCTCGAACTCCCGACCTCAGTTGATCCACCCACCTTGGTCTCTCGAAGTGCTGGGATTACAGGCATGAACCACTGTGTCCGGCCTAATAGACATATTTTTAAATTGAAAATATATATTACTGATTTTAAAAAATAAAGATTTCTAAGATGATTTTATTCAGGCTTTACATAAGATTTTTAAAGAGTCCAATTTCCTAATATTATTACTAATATTATTATCAGAATAATTATTCTGGGGGAGACTGGTGTTAAAACAGTTCCCACCATAGCTGATAATATAATAAATTGCATTGGCTAAGTGTAATTTATGAAACAATGTACAGTGGAGGCTCCTAACTACTTATATGAAGACTCCAATCACTTCTGAAATTGCATATGCATGTATTACACCAAAATTATAGAATAATATAAATATACAGCAGTCTATATATTTATTCAATTATCAATTCATTCACTTATCAAATATTTAAAATGTTCCTATCATACATATAGGTGTGGATATCTAAATTCGCACATGAGCAAAGCAAAATTAAATGGCCTATGCCATTCATCTGAAAAGTTAGGCATAAACACTCCACTGAAAAATCCCTTTTTCTAAGCCCTCTTTGTTCTCATCATAGTTAAAATGATACCTTCTTTTTACTTTAGAAACTAACGTTCAAATATTGTAACTCTTTTACTAAATTCACGGTGTAGTGGTTAAATGTATCACTCTGGGGTTAAGCTCCCCAATTTTGTTACATACTTGCTGTGTGTCCTCAGAGAAATTACTTGACCTTGCTGAGCTTCAATTTCCTTTTTTTTTTTCTTTTTTAAGTTATTTCTTTCTTTTTTAAGAAACAGGGTCTTACTCTGTCACCCAGAGTGGAGTGCAGTGGCACAGTCATGGCTCACTGCAGCCTTGACCTCCTGGGCTCAAGCAATCCTCCTGCCTCAGCCTCCCAAGTAGCTGGGACTACTGGTGTGCATCACCACACCTGACTAACTAAAGAACTTTTTTTTTCCATAGAAACTAAGTAAAGACATTTTTTTTTTTCCATAGAAATAGCATCTAGCCATGTTGCCCAGGCTGGTCTCAAACTACTGGCCTTAAATGATCCTCCTGCCTTGGCCTCCCAAAGTGCTGGGATTACAGGTTTGAGCCACCAAACCTGACCTGAGTCTGTTTTCTCAATAATAAAAAAAAAGATATTAATCGTACCTATCTCATAGGGTGGTTGTAAAGATTGAACTAATGAATACATATAAACTACTTAGAACAGTGTCTTGTTTGTGGTGCGCCCTTAATGCAAGTTTAGTATTCTTCTGACTGAAGCCTTATTTGTCTTCATTAGGTCTTCCACAGGCTTACTTTCCTTGTCTCCCATAATCACCCCTAAACAATTATGGGCCATACTAGCTCAGCAAATAAGATCATTAAACCAATAATTGTACCTGTGTGTATTTCTGTATAATTAATATGCGTTCTTGGCTAGAAATTCTTAAAGGTTATACTGATGTGGACACCAAATCTAAGTGATAATGCCAAATTTCCAGATTTCTTATTTAACATGTTCCAGCTCACTCGATTATTATAAGAGGTTTTAAAGTCAACTGTAATTTCAGGTATCTATTGGAAAATACAATAAATATCCTCTAAATGATAAAAAGATAGAATAATGCATTAATATAGCTGAAATATAGACTTGGAAGGCAACAACAGCAGCTGGCTATGACCTTTTTATTGAGAAAGTGACCCAGAAAATGGCCGAGGAAATTTCATCATTTATTTCCCACTTCTGAACCAAAGTCTCAGATGCCTTTAAATCCCCATAGGATAAAGTTGGCTTTAGGTTGTATATAAAATACAAATTGAGTAAGGGAATATTTTTTCTTTACTGCTCAGATGTTTTATCAGCTTTGAATAGAAAAACACACTAATATTTATTTCCTTAATATGTGCACATCAGCTTTAATTATAATCAATCCTTCCATAGACGGATTTCATGGGATTTAATGTGCTACCAAATGCAAAGATAGAACTTGCTAATTCTCTACAATTACACATTTATTTCTGGGCATGTGGGTATAACCGCACCTCCATGCCATGTTCTTTCTATATTGCTACAAAGCACTATGGATTAAATTGTAGGTATGGAGTACCATATTAATTTGGAAGTTTGAATGTCTAGAATATTTTATATTTAAGTACAGATCACACAGAGTGGACACTCCCTAGTTAAGTTGTTGAATGGTTGAAACAGGTCAAGATAAATGAAGCCGTACGATAAACTATGGAAGACAAAAATAACCTGTCTGTAAATTTGATTTTGGGGCTAAGGTAGGTTTCTTTTGATATCACATTTATTCCTGTGTGAAATATAAGTATTCTGTGTTCATAACAGAGTGAAAATGTATACATTTATTCAAATGACTAATATTAAGAGCATCTACTGTGTGGACTTATGAAATAATATATATTTATTGCATTCACAATGCTTATATTTGAGTAGAGAATAAAGACAAGGCAATTAAAATATAGGGGTATCTTATAACTGAGTTTGTACACTTTGACCATATTTTGTACATAATGGGTGGTGGTGGTTGTGTTAATTAATCCAATTGTATTCATCATTACACAATGTGTGTGTATATATATACATAAAAATAAAATCATCATGTTGTACATCTTGAATATATTCAATCTTTATTTGACAATGAAATATTTTATATACATATATATACATATATATATGCAAGTGCTAGGGATAAGCAGAAATGTATCTGGGGACATGGAAGGTGGCTCTGTAGGATTACTAAACATTTTGAGAAAAATCACATTTCAACTTCACCTTTGTAAGAGGTTGTGCTGGGCTTCCTTTCCAAATGAAATGCGGTGTGACAGAAAATAGACTCATGTAGCTCTCTTTAGTGGGATAGCTTTCTTTCTCAACATCAACTAACACATCTCCTAGGTGTCCTTAAAGTTTCAACCTATAAATATTCTACCTCATTAAGCATAAGGACCAGCCATGGACATATGCCGCTAGTGTCCACTTTCCTTCAGAGATTTAGGGTGATGAGAAGATAAAGGGTCTGCTTACCAGATGGAGCTTGTCAGATTAGCAATTGGAGCAGAGTAAATATCGCTGTCATATTGTTGTTTTGAAGCACAAAGAACCCCTTTTGTATAACGCATGTGCATATTTAATAGTTTAAAACAAAAAAAGCTCAGCAGAAGGTTGGCTGGTCGTTGTACCTCTAGCAGAGTGGCCATTGCCTGAAGGCACGGTGCTGTTTTCCTCATAATAGGGAACATTAGCAACCAGTGGCTTGAGAAAGGCAGAGTCAAATATGTCTCTTGGGGCCCAGTCGGCCACATGAAGTGAG
This sequence comes from Homo sapiens, assembly GCF_000001405.40. Taxonomy (NCBI): domain Eukaryota; kingdom Metazoa; phylum Chordata; class Mammalia; order Primates; family Hominidae; genus Homo; species Homo sapiens. The sequence continues at coordinate 77,304,454 of NC_000003.12, forward strand.
AGCCGTTAGACGCAGCAATGAGATTACTGCTCCAGAAAGGGTTTGCCACATATATTACTGCAGAGGCTTTTCAGGGCTGCCAGCGCACTCAACTTACAAATGTCAAACATGATTTAAAAGGTTATTATACTATCAAGAGGGAAGGAGAATGATTTTCCATCACTGAAATTTCTATTTCATTCTGTGGCACATACCGCATCTCACGAAGGCCAATATTGCTAAATAACCTGCTTTTATCTTTAATAAGTGTTTTATGGACCTTAAATTGGAAGAACCATTTCCACTTTATTTGTATTAGAAAATTTGATCTTTTCTGGTTGAATAACAGCATGAGAGATACAGTGTGTGTATCTGTGTATTGTGCTTAGCAGATTGTTCTTTGAGGGGAGTAAATTTGTCTGTGACGTGTCAGTTAGGGAGAGCGTACATACGTAAGCTGTAGTTTTGATAAATGCATTTGTAAGTCTGCAGTATTTTAAGCTAAAAATGACCAGGTGCAGTTCTCTGTACTGCATTACTTATTTCTCTTTGGGCTTTATTGTGACTGGTATTTAAAACAACCTGCTTTCAACCTCTCTGACCCCTTTGGGAATATTTATTTGCTCAATAAGGACTCTATTTGTTGGCCTCAATGAGTTAATTTAAGTACAATTGTATTTGAAAAGTTGCTCAATAAAAGCAGAAGACGATTTTTCTTTTATTTTAGGGAGATTTTCACTCTTGTTTTGTAACATTTGAAAAATAAATAATCTTCAAGTGTGGCTGTTAAAATGTGCAATAAACACCTTATTGTCAATGTGGAATTTTTAAACATTGCCTTTGCAGTCATAAAAGAGGCCAAAACAAGGGATTTCAACTGCCCTTTTGGTAGCATTCTTCACTCTATTTCCTAGCAAATCACTGATGGCTTTTTCTGAGGGTGAGACTGTAAAACTGAAGGTTGCCTACATTTCCAGGTCCCAGAATGTGCCATGCACAGCAATACATCAGCAATCTAAGCTGACACATTTGAGGATGGTGTTCTCAGGTGGGATGTAAAAAGGACAGAAGGATACAGTCTATGGTGTTGAGATATTGTCTGTTCCCCCTTTATCTGAGACTCTGAAGCATTAAATTAAAATCTGTGAATTCGCCCATGTTCACATGGGCATTGTCAAAATTAAATTAAAGCTTATGGAAGGAAACCTTCTCAGCCTGAAGAGTAGCACCTTTCCTCCAAGTTCTGCACCGATTTTGTCATTTGCCAAAGTGCAAGTCACAACAAAAGGAAAAGAAAACAAACCAAAAAAATCTTTGAATTTTGAAAAATAATCAGACTTCTTTCATGGGACAATAGCACTAAAAATTTAAATTTATTCGACGTTCTCCAGATGGAGTATGAAATTAGCTTTCTAACATTTGAACAAGAGTGAACCTGAATATCTACATAAGGATTAATATGTATGTCTGTCTGTGCCCTTTTATTCTTTTGAAGACTTTCTGTAATATATACTGATTTCAGGTAGCTTCTTTATTGTTATATAAACAAAAATAACAAATCTAGAGACACAAAAATATTTCCAGTTTAGGAAATAATTAGAACATTCTATTTTTCCCCCTTCTTTTAAAAAGTAACAATAGAAAGAAAAATCACTTAAATATTGAATGATAATAAATATGTTTTATCTTAGTTTTGAAATTTGATGAAATAGTAAATTCATTATAATAATGTATTCATATATTCAGTAACCAATGACATATTTATGTAAGTCTTGAATGTTTTAATAATCCTATTTAAAAATTTTGAAACATTATTTTTTCTAATTGGATTAAAAACTCCCTTTTACAAATCTCTCACATGGTTTCTTGTAATTGAAAACTCTTATAGTACATATGAAATACAATTCTATTAATAAAATATGCATTCATATACACCTTTTTAAAGCATTCAATTATTTGGGCAAAGCAACGCAAATGTATAAACTCAAAGATATAAACTATGATGGTTAATTTGATGAAATATATCTCACATTAAACTGTAAAATGAAACAAAAGTGTTTCTTCTATAGTAAAATCTTAGCTTCTCTTAAAATAAACACACATTTTTAAAAATCCTGTGTGACCCTGTCTTAAAGAGGTAAGTTCACTAATAGACCAGTGAACTATTTTCTAGAAACCAAATTCAATTTTGAATTAAAATCATGGTCTAAAAAGATGGAGACATATACCACATAGCATAAGTTTCTAAAACTTATGTCAGTCCATATATGGGAGAAAGTTATCTTTCTACTATGATTCTACAATAAAAATATTCATTTATATCTCACAACTTAGTAAATAAATCAGAGGAATGTTTAATCTTAGAATGGCTGCAGTGAACTGGACAATCATTCACCCCAACATTTTTTTCTAGAATTCTTAAATTGAAAATTAAATGTCATGCTAATAGTGTTTCGCTTCCTTTAGAAACAAAATCATTGTTTACAAAAGGCACTCTCTTTGCATCTGACAATACGCAATTTCATTTTTCATTCTAGTTATCCTTAAAAAATTTAATAATGCATTCTTGCCACCTCTTTCCCAATGCCAAAATAGATACCTTGTCACCTTAAAATATTTCACAGAACAATTACAGCCTTTAACATGCAGAACATAGCTGTCTGAGAAATAGGGCACTTTCTGGTGCTTGTGATATATAAACTTCATTGGATAAGAAATCAAGTGCCTCCTACATGCATCCTGGCCTCGTTAATTTATGTTGATGGCTGGTATGAAAAAGATAGGGAGGTGGCAAACTGGTGAGTTGTCTCTGACCAAAAAGAATTATTTATTTTGTTGGAACAATGTAACCTAACACTAATATTACTTTTTATTTAATATTGGAAAATTATACATTAGATAATGTTTTCTAGAAATTAAGCTAGCTATTTTAAAGTAGAGTTTACCATCTTGGCTAAGGGATTGCAAACATAAAAGCATACAGGGGTGAAGTGAATCAAGTCAAAGTGAATGGCTGCAGTGAACTGGACAATCTAAGCTATCACCAAGGACATGTTTCTTTCAACAGTCTACTGACAGCCTTCCCCAGGGCTCCCATTGCTGGCTTCTTCACGAAGGCCTGCCATTCTTTATACTACTTATCAGGCTTTTTGAAAAAGCAGGGGTGGGGGCAAGGTGCGGTAGCTCACACCTGTAATCCCAGCACTTTGGGAGGCTGAGGCTGGTGGATCAATTGAGGTCAGGAGTTCAATACCAGCCTGGCCAACATAGCAAAACACCATCTCTACTGAAAATAGAAAAATTAGCTGAGCATGGTGGCGGGCGCCTGTAATCCCAGCTACTCGGGAGGCTAAGGCGGGAGAATCACTTGAACCCCTGAGGTGGTGGTTGCAGTGAGCTAAGATCACACCAGCTACTCAGGAGGCCAAGGCAGGAGAATCGCTGGAACCCATAAAGCGGTGGTTGCAGTGGGCTGAGATCGCACCACTGCACTCCAGCCTGAGCAACAGAATGAAACTTGTCTCAAAAAAAGAAAAAAAAAGTAGGAGTAGGGATGTTTTTGTCAAATCTAGGAAATGTGAAATTTCTTCTAGAAACCACCTGAATTATATTAAAAATATTGACAATATATGAGTTTTTACCTTGATGAAAGGAGATATTTCTTTTTTTTTTTTTTTACTAAATTGCTTTTATACAAAGTCTACAAATTAAATCTGCATATAAGGAGAGTTAAATTTAAATATTAATTTTAAGATTTTTGGAAAATGCGGCAATCGTTCTTTTCATGTGAGAGATAACAAGTCTAAGCCAGATATTTAGTCATGTTCTATGTAGGCAGGAAGATCTCATCTGGATTCCCTGGCCTTCTTGGCATTCTGACTCACAATGTCTTCATCAGTTTTCTAGTGATAGATGAATAAAAGCATAATAAAAGATAAACCAAGGGCATCGTCAGGTGTTCAGGGGAGCCTAGGCATTAGTCTAGGTGGGAGAAAGAACCTAGACTTCCTAAGTGGCCTGGGACTCCCAACGTTGTGTCAGTGACGCTGGATATATCCAAATAGACTGATAGGAGAGCCCTGGCAGGAGAAACAGAGGAGCATGGATGCTGGATACTAGACATCAATACTAAAATATATGTTGAAAAATTTAAATAGTACCAGTTCTGAACATTCTTGTGGTTTCATAACTTTATAGAGCTATGATATATACTAAAGATAATCGCCACTTATCATCTTCAGTGAAACGAGTGGGGCCAGGGATTTTCATAGCTTTCCAAAATCTAAAATGCCTCTATTGTGCACAGAATTTGTAGGTTACTTGGACATACTGTATTTCTCTCAGATTCTAACTAATTCTTAGAGAATTGTATTTCTCTCAGATTCTAACTTGTACTTAGAGAAGTTAAATAACTGACTATATAGATACATGTATAGAAAATGGTTGATCTGGGATTTAATCCAAGGTCAAGATTAAGACTTAACCAAGATTCAGTCTTGATCCAAAACTTTTAGTCCAATATTTTCTCGACCATAAATCAAGAGGTTAAATGAACATTGGATTCTAATTCTGACTCTACTAATGATGGGCATAGGTACCCATATTATAGGGCTGAGATTCGGCTATTTATTGTTTTTTTTTTTTTTTGCTTTATTTTGTTTTGTTTTAATCCCAAGTAATTTCAATTTATAGCTAGGATTGAGAACCACTGGCTTAAAATCTAAGAAAACTTAATTTATTTTCCTTTTCCTTTACTTTCATATATATTCTAATAAATGCCAGTTGTTACTAAGCTTTACATATATATACTCACAATACATAAATACGTAAATACATAATTCACAGAAATAAGTTTATGTGCTTAATTATCCATCTCAAAAGCAGATTTAGAGGATTTAGGAGAAATGCAGCATGTGATACCAATTACAAGAAGAAATGGGAAATATTCTTTTGTAGTTGGTTGTTCCTAAATTCTGGTGTTTTCATCTGGAGGGACTGAAGAGAACTTCTATCCATTGATTATCTATGATGTGCCTTCATGCTTATGGAGAGATTTATTCATTCAGATTCTCCTGGAAGAAGCCACTGTGTGATAATGAAAGTCTCATAATTAGGGTTGCCAAGTTTAGTACATAAAAATACTTGTATTAAATGTGTTTATCTGGTAACACTACTACTAAGAGCTTGGCTCTCAAATTCATCTCTGGTCCAGGTTTTTAGCTCTCTTCCCAGATGAGTCATGGCAACTGCCCTGTCTGCAAAGGCAAAACATCATCCTTCTCTTCTTTAGAGACACTGACCTAGCTGAAATGTTTCTCTGGACAATCCAAGAGGAATCAAACATTTACATCAGCAAGAACCACATTTGTGTCTGTGATACTGTTGAAGGGTCCATAGAGAGATAACTGATTTTTAAAGCAGTGGTACTTGTAAAACAGCAACAGTAAGGCTTAAAATAAATTAATGCCAAAAGTGATTTCCTTCATTCCTTAATGTAAAATCTTCCTGCATGTAATTCATAGTAACTGAAAATGGAAAGTAAGTGGTAGTTAGACAGTAGCTCTTTTTTCCATTAAAAAAGTTTAAAAGCTTCAAGTTTGTTTTCTATGTACGGTCTAACATGGCCATGCAGATATTCTTCATTCAAAGTTAGATCCCCTCCTAGGGTTTCAGTGACTGAAAGAGGAAAATTTCCTCTTATTTTACGTTTCCTTTAATGGATCACGTATCAAATTTTATGTACACATAAACTCAAATTAAGAGCCCGTTTATTGCGAAATTGTCCTTAAAAAGCTAAATCTAACATTGGTAAAATTTAGTCCCTATTTGTAGCCTGATGGTATCTAAAAAAAAGTTTTGGGTAAAAGTAAATCTCTACACCTTCAAATTGAATGTTGCAGCCAATTGAGAACCTATGAGAAATTAAATTGAGAAAGATGTTTTTGAAGACCCATTTCGGGAGAAATGAATTCCTGTGTCTTGAGAACTCTAAAGCAGATAAGAAAGCAAGGCAATGGATCTAATTCTGTTTGGAGCATAAAATTCCTGAAATTGAGGATATATAAGAAAAGATTGATCTTGTGTCTATTTGTCTTGAAGTTCAGTTCAAATCTGGTTCTGGAGAAAAAGAAAGATATTAATTTCCAGACAGAGCAATTGTGTCTTTCAGAAAAATTGTGCATTTCTTCCCAATTGAGATGTCTCAAAATTAAATGGTATGGTGCAAAGCTTCATTATCTTGTTTCTCTTAAGATTCAAGCCTTTTTTTTCAGAACAGTTATCCAATATCCTAATAGATGAAACATAATTTAGAACAACCCTGTATTATAAGACCCAGATTTACCAATACAATATCTATTTAAATATAGAATTACTATTTAATATAGAATTCAGTGTGGATAGTAGTTTTGAGCTTTAAGTGAAAAAAAAAAAATAAAAGAACAGAAACTCCATAATGGATTAGGTCTAATACAGCCTTTTGGTCATGAGTGAAGAGGCTAATGTAATATGAGCACTCATGAGTAATCAGATGTCTTCTGATGAGTGAATTGAAATGTCATAGCAGAAGTAATCCACTATACATTTTATTATGAATTTTTGTGGGTAGGTTTAAATTTATTTTCTGGCTCATTTAATTTATTTAATCAAAACAAAATCTAAGATGCATGGAAAAATCAATTTTGGTAATAAGAGATTTACCCCAATATATTTATTCATTTCTAATGTTTTCTTTTTCTCATTAGTTGACTGGGTTATAATTTTTGCTTGTCATTCTTTATAGCTTTGTTTCTGGTTTTTGCTAAAGGCCACAAAACTACATACATCAGGTATTTCCAATAATATTGTACTATTGTATGTGCACCGGAAATATCCCGGTGCTTTCGGTAGCTCCAATCAAATATGTCTTATACATGATTTGTCAGATTCCACAGATAAACTGTATATTTGCAAAACTGGATTTTAGAAGATTTAGTCAATTAGAAATATATGTGGCTATGTAATTGGCTTCTATTGTTTTGCTCTTAACTCATCTAAGATCTAATGCTAAGTTCATCATATCATCATGATCTTTGGTGAGAATGTAATTGCTGAAAATGTTTTGAAACCACTGGGTCAGTGATTAAGAACGAAAGGGATTCAGCGTTAAATCAAAGTTCCCATACGACAGTCATCTTGATTCACAGGAAATGGGGATTGAACTGGGTTCACTTGAAAAGTACTGAACCTCTTAACTTCTCAGGGTTCTTGTTGTATGTTAGTAGGATATGCTTTAATGTGGATCACTAATCTCTTTTTCATAATCATTTGTTTCTAATAAACAACTGTCTCATTCTTTCGTCTTTTCATACATCACTCAAAACAAATGACTCAGGGCCGGGCGCAGTGGGTCACGCCTGTAATCCCAACACTTTGAGAGGCCGAGGTGGGCAGATCACTTGAGGTCAGGAGTTGGAGACTAGACAGACCAACAAGATGAAACCCCGTCTCTACTAAAAATATAAAGATAGCTGGATGTGACGGTGCATACCTGTAATCCCAGCTACTGGGGAGGCTGAGGCAGGAGAACTGCTTGAACCTGGGAGGCGGAGGTTGCAGTGAGCTGAGATCACCCCATTGCACTCCAGCCTCGGCGACACAGCGAGATTACATCTCAAAAAAGAAAAAAAAATGATTCAGAAAATTTTAAAATTTTTTAAGTTTTTATCCTTCTTGAGCATATATATGTGACAGCCAGGGGAATTCCAGATGTTTTTCAGCTTATTTTTATGTCTGACACCAGATACTACATAAATAAAAACAGTTAGAAGTTTTGTTTATTGAGTATTTTTGTGATTACATATCTAGACAACTTTCAAAACAACCAGTCAGTGGTTTCAAGTATGCTTTCATCTCCATCTTGTATCATATCATTCATATATTGTTGGCAAATGATGAGTTTTACCTGTATTATTTGGAAGCATTTTATGAAGCCAGTTTTAGAAGTTCATTTAAAGAAACAGAAAAGCTCATATGCCTGTCTCTAACCAAGGACACAAGAGCAAGTGAATGAGGGTGTTTTAATTTTTATTTTTTGTCTTACTTTTCAATTCACACATAAACCAATATGGAAGTAGTACTATCTAATGTGGAAGATAGAAACCTATATATTTTTAAATATTTTTGAGTGAGTGTGACTAGACAAGTCAGATAGTTTATCATTTTCATTCTTAGGCCATAAAGATCCCTCTGGCAAACTGAAGAGTTTAATGACTACATATTTTCTTAAACTTTAACTGTCTTGAGTGAAGGGTACACATAGTTTGCACTATTGGTGAGTGAAAATGTCTACCTTAAGCAAAGAGAAAACAGTCCTCCTCTGCCATGAGAGTGAATAGAGACATACATGTCAGAATTCAATATGGCAGCTACTCATGGAAATTATTCAGCACACACATTTTAAAAACTCAGAAATCTTAATTATCACCAAATCTAAAAAATCTGTGTCCTTTATTTACCTTTTCTGTTGGCTTTTAGACTCATGCTTAATTTCATAGCTGACAGTGCAAAGCTTATCTTCATTTCTTAAAATTTCTAATTGGAACCCAGCAGTTGCATCCATAAAAGAAAATATTTCTTATGTGGAAATGGTGTAGCCTACTCCACTTTCCATCAGATAAAGATTAGGTTAAACATTAAAGGAACAAGATAAAGCATAGGTGTGCATTTGCTATTTCAAGTACCAATTTCTATTTTATCACTCAGGATGGGTTAGAGATTCTGTGTTAATAAACAGTCCCAAAAGTTCAGTGGTTTTTCCATTTAATTTTTTAATTGATACATAACAATTGTACATATTTGTGAGGTATATAATGATGTTTTGATACATATAATATGCAGTAATCATATCAGGGTAATTAGCATATCTATCATTTCAAACATTAATCATTTCTTTGTGTTGGGAATATTCCGTATGGTCCTTCTAACTATCTGAAATTATATATTATATTATTGTTAACTATAGTCATCTTGTAGTGGTATAGAATACTAGAACTTATTCCTCATGTCTAGCTGTAATTCTGTATTCTTTCACAAATCTCTTCCTATCCCTGCTTTCCCCAACCATTCCCAGTCTCTAGATCAGTATTTTTTTTGTTTTGCTTTGTTTTGTGTTTTTTGGTTTGTTTGTTTTTAAGATGGAGTTTCGCTCTTGTTGCCCAGGCTGGAGTGCATGGCGTGATCTCGGCTCACTGCAACCTCCGCCTCTTCGTTTCAAGCAATTCTCCTACCTCAACCTCCCGAGTAGTTAGGATTACAGGCATGCGCCACCACGCCCAGCTAATTTTGTATTTTTAGTAGAGATGGGGTTTCTCCACATTGATCACGCTGGTCTCGAACTCCCGACCTCAGGTGATCTGCCTACCTCGGCCTCCCAAAGTGCTGGGATTACAGGTGTGAGCCACCGCCCCTGGCCAGGATCAGTGTTTTTAAAAGCAATTTATTTTTAAAAAAGGTCTAAGGTCTACCAGTCCTTGGGCTACATGCCTATTTCATGTTGGCTGGGGCCTTGCTCTGGCATAAGTATTGACTTTCCTTCAGTATCCAGGGTGAAGGAATGTTGACACTCTGGTGATAGTGGCTGAGGGAAAGGAGAGTTCTGGAAGCTTTTGTATCAACATAAATCCCTCAGCCCGTAGTAATGCATGCCATATTCTGTTACAACTCATAGGCCACAACAAGTCACATGCCACACATAACCACAAAGAAGTCAGAAGGCAATCTAGCTATGTTTCTGGAAGGAGGGGACCACCACAAACATTCGGCAAGCACCAATAATGATTATCCATATACTACCTGCAAATCTAAAACCCCAATTTAGGTTCCATTGCTACCAATCTTACTTAGTCTACATGCTGACTTAACTCCATATTTTAAGTATTGACTTTTTAAAGAATTGCATCCAGCATTTGGCCTTATTCTTTAAGCAGAGTTATCTTTTATGTGTTATTGATGTGTTTTTCTTTTAAGGTGTTTTGTCTTAAGTCAAAACAAACTCTAGTGAATATGTCATTAGTTACTAAGCCTAATAATTATAACATTGATTCAACAGGATTAAAATTTATGCATGAGATTCTGCTATCAGGTTTTTCAGGGAGATGTTCTGTGACTCCAAGACTTACAGTTTCTGTGTTTTGCATGTCATTTTACAAATATACCAGAGAATAGACTGTGAGTCATAGAATTCTAACATCATAGGGTTGACAGGGAAGTGTTAAAAAATATATCATCTATTTCTTATATTTTGACAAGATTGTACACAAGGCATTATATATCAAGCCATTGAGGATGGGAGGGCAGACAGAGAAAATTATTTCCCAAAATTGTTTCATTCAATTCATCATAGAGCAAGGTTGTCCCATATAACTGCTGTAGGGAATGTGGGTAGGGTTTGTCTTGTGAAAAATAAACTTATTTTTGGCCTTCTTTTTGCTTAAATTTCAGTAGCATGTTTTCTCTTTACAACAATTTTCAAATGAATCTACTTGGAAGTTTCGTATTTATCTCATTAGCAAAATTAGTATTGTGTAAGTTCATAAATATTCTGAATAATAATAAAAATGAAAATAAAACAATGTGGTATAGGGAGAAGAAAGCTGGATCACATTACTGTGATCCCTGAAGTGCCTTAATGTCTTCAAAGCCTCAGTTTCCTTCTCCGTACAATGGAGGAAACAAAATAAACCTTTTGCAAATTAATAATATGAACTTGGAACTACACAAAGGTCTTATTTGCAGAACAGTCTTAGAATAACTACATAAATAGAAGCATGGTAAGTGTAACTGTACATAAACAAGCACACAATTTTAAATGGAAATTAAATTTTATTATTCAGACCACATTGATTTTATCTGATCAATCTACTCTCACATATTTGAGTTACAAGGTCTGAGGGTGAATGGTATTGTGTGATGAATTCCAACAAGTCTGGGCTTTACTTAATCAAATTTTACAGCATTGGACCAAACAGTAAATGCTGGTGAAGTTGATTCCTTTGTCTCTCCTTAACTTTGAGACACTTAATCAAATAAAATCATAAAATTTAAAAGCTAGAAGTGACTTTGAATTCATATCCTCTAATCCTTTCACTCACATTTTTTAAAACTGGGCTGTTATCAGTTAGGAATTTTATTCAACTGCTAGTGAAAGATTTTTGAAAGTTAATGCTGTATACAAATTATAAATATATACCTCCAATGTTTTTGCAAGTTTCTTGGCCTTCCCTACGTAATTGGCTACATGGATGGCAAGGTTTGCACAGCGTCTTATTTTTAGAATAATAAGAGTGACATTCAACAAAGAAAGCTGATTTAAAAAAGAAAGAAAAGAATGATAAAAGGCAAAAGGGTAAGTGGCTGATAAGTTTGTCTCGTCTTAAAAAGAGCCAGGGTTTTTTGCTTGTAACTTATTGCCCAGCATTTTTTTTTTGAGGTTTCAATATTTTATTCAAGTTTCTGTAAGTGATGTTAATTACAGCATTTGAAGGGGAGGATATAATTCCACACAAAATGGAAGACTTTAAAATGTACCCATTAAACTGCTAAAAAACAAATTGAGTGATGAGAATACAAAAGAAGTCCAATTTAGATTCTGAGTGTTGTCACCATGTGATTACAATCACGCAGACTCTTCCAAGCTTATAGCTGGAGCTCCTGGAAGCTATTTCTTACTCTGGTGCAAGGACAAAAAAACACAATACAGGAAGGAATAAGTCCTGAATTATTGGCTTCATCACATCCACCTTCTCCACCCCAAAATGGCACGGAAGAAACAGTGACCACACCCTGCAGACCATTTGGTGTAAAAGAGGTGACGACGATGAACTGCGGTGGGAACAGGTCATGAAGATCTGTATAAAAAAGTCTCATTCAGATGAGTTTGTAACACTGTCAAGCAGTGAGCCTCTCATCAGTTAGGGTTAGGAAACCAAGGTTCGATTCTCAGGAAATCACAGTTTCATTAATTTACTCAATATGAATTTACAAAGTGCCTACATATTACCAGCTACCACTTGAAGGCATTTCTAGATAAAAAAGAAACTTGGCATCTCACAGGGGCTACCGAGTTCCCCCCAAGTCTACTACTGAAAGGATCTTTTTTGGAAATGGGTTTCTTCTGTACCTCTGAAAGGGTAACATCTTAAAGCAGAATCATCTTTAACCTTGAGGTCTAACATATTTAGCAATACTTGCATCCCAGTCATACAATATTAAAAGGTACACTAAATTCTGAAGGTAGCTATGCTGCAAAATAGTTTAAATTAAACAATTGTATGGTATTCATTCATGCTTGAAATTTCAGTCCTAGACCAAGCTTGTGGCCACCAGCCTTGACGTTCTTGCCATCCAGGAGAGCTGACAGTGTCAGTTTGATACCTGGCTGCAGGGTCTGAGTGTATCCTAAACCTATCAGGCTGGAGTTGTTCACTTTAGTGGAGAAGCAGGCATGAGGGTCAGTCTGATACTTGGCTGCTGTTCCGAAGCGCGTGTTACTGTTTCCTGCTGTCCAGACGAGATTGACAGCGGTCTCCAACTTCTTGTTCACCTTCTGGTAAATGGAGCCGCCAAACTCTGTCCCGTCATTCACAGTAGTGTGAAGCTGGAATTCATCAGTCCTGTAGCCAACTGCAAAGTTGCTCTGGGTCACTCAGGAAGGACTTTGCAGTCTCAAAACGCATCTGGTACCCAGCCAGCCAGCCCTGTAACCCGGCACTAGAGCACCCCGGATGGAAGGCCCAGCAGTGTGGAAATCCACGTCACAGCCCAGGTTAATGTGCTCCCACTTGCACCCTGTCTTGATTTTAGCATTTTTTTTTTCCCAGTGTTAGGTGACGAGGATGAATGCAAGGTCAGCCTCAGGCCACGTGCAAGCTGACCGTCCACGCTCATCTCGGTGCCTAGTGTATTGTCGGGGTTCCATTTCTCCGTAGACCTCGAGCCATAGTCAGTCCATCGGTACCTGGTTTCCAGACTGCCCGTCACTTTGGTGGTCTCAGTGTTGGCTGAGCCTGAGCTTGTAAACTCCGATCCATCCTCAGATTTCGTTTTCAAATCAAGCTTTATTAAGCCAATCCATAGCCCTTGGTGAAGACATCCCTAGCAGATTTGCCAAGATCGGCATACGTGGGTGGCACAGCCGTCTTCTGCTCAAAGGTGGCGGCGGGCTCTGCGGGGGCTGCTGGTTGCTGCTGGGGGGCTGCTGGGGGGGCTGCTGGGGGGCTACTAGGGGGCTGCTAGGGGTGCTGCTGGGGGGCTGCTAGGGGGGCTGCTGGGGGGGCTGCTGGGGGGCTGCTGGGGGGCTGCTAGGGGCGCTGCTGGGGGGCTGCTAGGGGGGCTGCTGGGGGGGCTGCTGGGGGGCTGCTGGGGGGCTGCTAGGGGGCTGCTGGGGGGCTGCTGGGGGGGCTGCTGGGGGGCTGCTGGGGGGCTGCTAGGGGCGCTGCTGGGGGGCTGCTAGGGGGGCTGCGGCGCCAAGGCAGGGAGTTGCCCAACATTTTAATATAAGGCTCCACATTGCGAAGAAGGTGGGGTGATTTATTTTATTTTATGTTATTTATTTATTTTATTTTATTTCATTTTATTTTAATTTTATTATTTTTTTGAGACAGGGTCTTGCTCTGTCGCCCAGGCTGGAGTATAGTGGCATAGTCTCGGCTCACTGCAACCTCCGCCTCCCGAGTTCAAGCGATTATCGTGTCTCAGTCTCCTGAGTAGCTAGAATCACAGGCACCTGCTATTTTTGTATTTTTAGTAGAGATGGGGTTTCGCCATGTTGGCCCGGCTGGTCTTGAACTGCTGACCTCGGGCGATCCGCCCACCTCAGTCTCCCAAAGTACTGGGATTACAGGCGTGAGCCACCACGCCCAGCTAGTAATGTAGTTTTATGACTGATCACCTTATGTACTCTTCCAATTCTCAACTTCTATTAATAAAAAATAAAAGAATATAGATAATGCATTAGAAACATCTGCTGCAGGGAACTGTTTTACCATTACAGATAACGTTATGAATACAAGTATTTCTGTTATTTATATTTGCCATTATGTCTGTTCTGGAATATTATCAAACCAGAATTATAACTAGCAAGAGACTATATAAATTAAAATCACACATTTTAAAGTAAAACTGAAGTTGGTTCAAACTAGGACTCCACCACTTGAGCAAACTACTTAGCACAAATTACTTAAACCTCGATGTTCTCATCTATAAAATAAGGGGTTTACAAGGTCAACTACTAAATTAGATAATACATGTAAAGTGAAATGCCTAAATACAATGCCTAGGATACAGTAATTGCCCTGTAAGTTGTAAGTGCTACCATGAACCAGCCAATGATCTCTACTACATACTATGATTGAGAAATTAAAGATGGTTGAAATTTTATATAAATCGATGTCAAGGTAATATTATTTATGAAGTTATTGTACTTCAGGTCATCATGATTGCTTTAGTGCATTTGAGACTCTTTTCTTAGATGACAATGGTTCTAATCCATCTTCTATCAAAGTCTCTATTTCTCCATTTAAATCTGGCAGATCCGTCTTCTAGAGACATGACCAAGTCAATGATTTTGATTAGTCTGTGCTCCTTACCCAATATTACAATACCTGGAAAGTAATTATGTTTCTATTTTTCATTTTAATCTGCTCTTACCATATTGACAATATGGGCAATGGCTAAGTCCATTATGAGTTTAATTGCTTTATGTGCCAGGTGTTCGGAAGTTCATTCTTTGAATCTAATGAAAGTAAAAGATAAAGTCACAGAACTCTGGTTCATTTTATGCATACATTATTCTAACTTTGGATAAAGAATTAATCATTCTTTTACATCCTGTATTGTTTAATGTCTCCCTTGCCCAGAAATAAGGATTTTTATCACAGTGACTTCAGTCACTGATGAGGCATACATACAGAAATCTCCTGTTAAGTAAGATTAGAATTTGTCTTTGGGCCTTTTTAAAGTTTCTGCAAACTGATAACCCAATTGCTCATGCTGATTGACAGAACAACATTGAATATCTAAGTAGTCTAGGCCTTTGTCTGGTCATTAGAATTTGTCCTTTTGAGGACCATTGGCTGGAAACTTTATACTACAATTGAGTGTGCTATGAGTAAGACAGCTTCAATTGAAGCCTCTGAAGAGGAAAGGAAAATAACAAAGAAGACGCTTTTGTATCTTTTTCCATTATCAATAACGTCAATATAGAACATGCCTTTTTTCATATGAAACTTCAATATGAACTTATTCAAATGACACTCTGGCTATGTCATAATGTCTGCATTCTCCAGGTATATATGAAACAGATTTTAATGGATGTTGGGTGGCTTCCATTCACCCTTTCATATTTGAAAATGCACTTAGAAACTCTGTTGAGAAAGTTGCTTATGCTATTGGTCCTCCTTTTCTGTTGTTGTTCAGTCTGCCCCCAAGTGGTAGAGAGCCTAAAAACCCAAAAAGATAACAACGTGGTCAATCCATGACTTATCAGCTGCAATTGTATGCCTGATTGATTTTTGTTGCTATACAACAGCTGAACAATTCGAAATTTATCACATGGAATATGAATTCACCTGTTCAAATCATGGTAGTATAATAATTCTTGAAATTGCAGCTGCATATTTTAATTCATTACACCAAGTAAATAAACTTCAAGACATTCAGCCACCATTCATGAAATAGATTTCTAAAGGCTTATGTGGGGATCATTTTCTTTCTCTTACCCTCTACCCTCTTGTTTTAAAACTCCTCTCCCCACCATGGCCTTATACTGGAAGACATTTTTACTCTTGATTTCTAGCAATTGCTGGCTGGTATTGTTGAGTTTTAATATTTCAGTGTGATTCAGAGCTCTGACCATTTTCAAGTTCTTAGGAGCCCTCTCTTGTCTCATTTTTAAACATGGCCTTTGGGGAATGACAGTGATTGTGACAGATGGTAAAGGAATAAGATTGCACTTTGGCGCTGCTTCTGTCTTTGCCTCTTGATCTTTTCCCACTTTCTCAAGGCAAATTATAGATTTCCTTTTGCCTCTAGAGGGACGCAAATTGCAGTTGCCAGTTATATGGTTCTTTGTTTCTCTTTCTAGCTCTTAAAAAAAAAAAGAAGGGCTCTTATTTAATTAAACATTGTCATTACATTTATTGTTGATGAAAGGTACTGATTTGTATGTTGGCCAAATATCTGACCAGACAAGGGAGAGGACTTGTTGAACTACAGGCAAAAAAAGAAAAAGAAAAAAGAAAAAAAACTTTTGTTGCGTTTGAAGGTAGCTTCCCTCTAGTGGCAAAAACTGGTACTTCACTTGTAGACTACAAGCGATTTAAAAAAATATATTTTTTGTTATCTCTTTTTAAAACATTATCTGATATGTGTAATGTACATATCACACATTTTAATGAATGTGGCTTGCAACTAAAATCGAGTTTCCTAAAAAGTTTAGAAATCTTTTCAGTTACCAAATTCATAATCTTAGGTATGCAAAGTAGGCAAGGTACTTTACTGTCCATTTTGTTCTTCAGTAATCCCACACATACAACACACAATTCCAGATGAAAGGATTCTAGTTGACTAAGAAGATAGTTAATAAAGGGGTTTTAGATTTTTTTCATAATTTATTGGGTCGGAGTTAACTCAAGCGGTTACCTCCTCATGCCGGACTTTCTATCTGTCCATAATTTATCAAAGGAGTGTGAAGGAATTATAAAGTATCGCATAAATTTGGGTGGTGGGCATATTGCTGTACTTCTCTGTGTATTAGAAATATTTTAGGCTGGGCACAGTGGCTCATGCCTTTAAACCCAGCACTTTAAGAGGTCAAGGTGGGAGGATTACTTGAGCCTGGGAGTTCAAGATCCGCCTGGGCAACACAGGGAGACCCCATCTCCACAAAATATTAAGAAATTAGCCGAGCATGATGGCACACACCTGTGGTTCCAGCTGCTTGGGCGGTTGAGATAGGAAGATCACTTGAGCCCAGGAGTTCGAAGCTGCAGTGAGCTGTGATTATGCCACTTCACTCTCCAGCCTGAGTGACAGAGAGAGAGACCCTGTCTCAAAAGAAGAAAAAAAGAAAAAAGAAAAGTTTGATACTGGAAAAATTTTAGAGAGAGGCGATAGAATCACTAGATAGTTAAAATTTAAGTATTAGAATTTAAAGGGCACTAGAGATTAGTTGAGTGTTACAGTTTTAACTTGAACTTATTCGTTCACATTCATGTAACCACTACAAAAGGATTTAAGCAATGCCAAGAATGAGCTATAATTTAGACAATGTGCAGGAAATACAAGGACAACTAAGACGGGCAAGCGGCAAGTGAACCGAGAACTGTGCAAAGAGATGAGTACTAATGGAAATATGTACAACAAACTAAGAGAGTACACCAAGGACAAAGTGGCCCTTTGTTTGAGACGGATGAAAGGACAGTTAAGTACAGAAGATAAGTGTAAATGATCAAGAGTTTGGGCACAGTGCACGGGTATTTTCCATGCACATAGCACCATGGGAAGTGGTTCTGAGCAATCAGGAGATAACAGGGCTTCAAGTATGGAAGGCTTAAATGGAGAGAGCTGAGGGAGACTTGTTGTTAATAACTTTGCTAGAGCAAGTCCTAAGCAGGCACTGTTTTATACCATAATAAATAATCAAATGAGAGAATATGAGGTTTGGTTCCCCAGGCTCCACACGTGACTATGAATAATCTTATAAATAATAGACTTATTCACAAAACACAAGATAGTCTAGAATAACCGAATGAAATGATGTTTTTGTGCTTCTTTGACTTCCTACCAAACATAGTGTTCCTTGGAAGGAATTATGTTTGACACTGTATTGTATGACTGGAAAAAAATCTATAATGAAGAGGTGCTCACATATGAAGTAGCACTGAGAAAGTTCGCTTCAACAGAGGTCTGGTGATGGGAGAATTAAGCATAATCAAAAGTTCTAGTTGCATTCTGAAGTCAATTTCAAGTTGTCAGTCCTAATTGGGAGTGGGGTTTGTCTAACATAATGCTTAAGACATTTTTTGGTGGCAAAATTTCTCAATTTAAAGGAACATGATACAAGCTCAGAAAAAATGCAGCAAATTGATGACTAAGACCTAGGTAATCTGTAAGTAAGGAAATGGGATGTCAGGAGAGAAATTGACATTTGTTTAGATAATATCCACACTTGGTTGGATGGACTATATTTTATAGATATTTTCATTCTTGAATATTTTAGTTTCTAAGATCTTTATTATGAAACAAGAACATAGGTCTAATATATATGTTATATGTTTATTTATATATAATATATTATATTATACATATGTATTATAATATATTATGTAATATATTATATTATACATATGTATTATAATATATTATGTAATATATTATATTATACATATGTATTATAATATATTATGTAATATATTATATTATACATATATTATGTATTATAATATATTATATATTATGGATAATATAATATATTATATTATATTATGGATAATATAATATATTATATTATATTATGGATAATATAATATATTATATTATATTATGGATAATATAATATATTATATTATATTATGGATAATATAATATATTATATTATATTATGGATAATATAATATATTATGTATGTTAATACTATGTAACATATATATTACAATTATAAAAAAAGTGTATGTAATTACTTGTATCAAATAGTGTTTTATCTGACTCCCTCCATGTCCATAAACATATTTCCCACACTGACTATCACCCATGTTCCCTCCTACCTTTACATACTCAAGGATTTCCAACTGCCCAGGACTATGACCTTCATGTCCCAAGCACATTAACCCTCCTTTGGCAATACTCACCTGCTGTTGACTTTTCATACTTGCTCTCCTGAGTTGAGACTTAATTGTATCTCTCAAGACCCTGATATCAGGTATAAGATGAGATCAAGTTTATAATCTAAGAAGCTCCTCCATGCTAATAGAATAACACATTTGCATTTTGACCTGTTCTTTCTTCCAAAATTAATCAAGAAAAAGAGCTTTTCTGTAGAACATGGGCTATTTGAGAAAATGTGTATCAAATGAGTTTGTCATCATTTAATCACACCAAGTGCATGCCTTTGGACTCTATTTGTGTATAGAGCTAAACCAATATTTGATAAATGTTTGCAATACTGATAACAAATTTCTTAGATAAATGGGCAATGTTATTCTTGTCTTTTAAAGATGAAACTCCTGAAAATGATTACAAAGCCCATTGCTTCATCACACACAGACACATCCACACAAACACACCATACACACACACACAATTTTCAAGCTTTGAAAGGCTCATGTGTAAGACAAAGGGTATTTTCAGTAGGCTTGGAAATCACTTGGCATTTTTGAGATTTGCCAAACAGCTTGAGATATTTAAAAATATTTTTGTTCAACCAAATTCCAAACATGTTTTTCTGAGTACTTTTTTTAGGTCAATTTTTATAACCATGTGTAATTTCAAGAAAATTTAACCCATATGTTTGTTTCTGTTAGTGTATATTCAGATTGATTTATAACACAGATGTAAGTATTTCTCTTAACACTGGTATATGAAGAGGGTGAGAGGGTCTCCCAATTTGCTGCTTGGGACAGTCCACAGTGAGACTTTAGATTAATGGTCACAGACTATAACCCAGTTCTAATCTCAACACAGTCTCCATGATAAAAGTCACAGGGGACTGGCTATAAGTGTCAGCAAAAGATCAGATCCAGTTACTGCAGTATGTTGATGAATATGTGTGTTCCTAGCATGGACTCAAAAGATGGAACTCTGACTGATGACTGTACAGCACTGTGAGAATGAAGCCCTTAAGTGCTACTAAAAGGTCTTTACCAACTGTGATGAAAAACTGCATCTGTGAGTAATGCTACTTACTGGCAAAATAGGACTGTGACCTGCCAACATATTCCATTATTTTTTGTGGCATCGAGTATAAAAGTAGACCCGTTGTCCAGTTGTAGGGAAAGTAGAAACACAAGTCAAAATACTACCATACTTCATAGGCCGGGCGCCGTGGCTCACGCCTGTAATCCCAGCACTTTGGGAGGCCGAGGCGGGCGGATCACGAGGTCAGGAGATCGAGACTATCCTGGCTAACACGGTGAAACCCCATCTCTACTAAAAATACAAAAAAATTAGCCGGGTGCAGTGGTGAGCGCCTGTAGTCCCCCAGCTACTCGGGAGGCTGAGGCAGGAGAATGGCGTGAACCTGGGAGGCGGAGCTTGCAGTGAGCCGAGATCGCGCCACTGCACTCCAGCCTAGGCGACAGAGAGAGACTCCGTCTCAAAAAGAAAAAAAAAAAAAAAAAGCTACCATACTTTACAGGGATAGCAAAAATGAATTTTTAAACTAGCGCGTGTTTCCTGTAATTCTTAAAATTAAACAGAAATAGAAAAACTCTAACAAGAACCTCAGATTCAGCCAATGTGCCACCTTAGAAGTGATATTCTCTCCATAGCCAAGATGCTGTAGGTAGGAATGAATAATAACAGGATGTCAGAGTAAGTGCCAAGTGGAAGGAAATTAAAGTATAGTTATGATGTAAGGGGGCAGACATAGGTAATTTTAAAAACAACAATATTTTAGAAATAAGAAATGATTCATAAGTATTGCTTGTGAATGCAAACCAAAAGTCAGATACCACATGCATAATGAAGTGTGACTCTATCCAAATACTTACAACATTTTCAGGGAAAAAAATATATTCTCTGATCCTGAATGTTGTGCCTACAGAGGAAAGAAAATGAACCTGTTTACTAGAGGGAGAAATCTCAGTGACTGAAGAAGTCAAACAACTTTTTGAACTCTGAGAGCCACCTTAGCTGTTCTGCTTCAGGGTTTTGGGCAACATAACATCTTTATGAATGTTACCTTATAGAACGTTAGTTATACCAGAGCAGACGCAACTGGGGATTTGACAACTCTGCCACACTTTGACTGGACTGACATTTCCTTAGCAGTAACAAGCTGCTGCTGTCTGGTGCCATGGGGGCCCTGGGCTTGATTTAGTAGCACTGACATTGACTGCTTGTTATTTCATATCTTAGAGCTGTCAGGAGGCAACTGATGTCAGCATAAAATTATTTGATAGCTCTGCATCTTGGGCAAAATGTGAATCTATTGATGTTATAAAATGGCCATCAAATTCTTGGAATTAGGGGGTGGAGATAATGGAGAAAGAAAACTCACCTGGTTTATTGTTAAGTAATCTTTTGTTTAAAATTTGGTTCACATAAATATGAACTGTAACTATCTATTAGGCACATACTGGTTGTACTCATTAAACTACATGCTCATCCAATTCTAACAGTTTCAGAGGATAAATAGTATTATTTTGATCCTCATTTGACAGTACAGATTATACTCCTGGAAGATGGAAAAGCTGGGACGCAAATGCAAACAATCTGGTTCCAAGATCCGTGCTTTCACCTTGAGTTACATGGTTTTTCCCATGGAATTGAAGATCCTAGATTCATAGAATTCTTTCCTTGAGCTGCCATTGATTTTTTTCTTTAGTTTTAATTTTAGAAAACATTTGCTCATTTTATTGAGGGAAAATAGCAATTAGCACCTTGTGTGATCTGATAAATACTCACTGAATGAAAAATGGAACTTTTTATCATCCTCATAGCTTTTCTGGAGTAACCGTGTATCCAATGGAATGATTCCAGTCGTAAATGGAGTTGGTCAAAGACTAATTCTCTCATTACAATACTTACTTTAACACAGTATTTGAGAACACTTTGAAAATGTGAGGAGTAGTGAGTAAATGTGGGGAATTTTGTGATTAATAATCTCAGTAGTAAAGACTATTAGAAGCTCAGAAGCTCTCACAAAATATGCAAGAAATACTTATCAAATTTATGAATTGTATCTCAGTTTACCACTCTGTTGATCAAATCACTTATTTTTAAACATAGTGATCTTCAAATATAGCCATTTCTAAGGAATGCATTTGCTTCTTTCTGAAAATCACCTGACAACCCCAAATCATTTCCATTTATATTTTGTATATCCATTGATCTTGTTTTGTGTTGTTTAAAAGTATAATCTTTTATGTTTTTTGATTAACTTGAACAATGACAGATCACAATTTAATTTCTAGAATGTGTCTTTGTATGTGAATGCGTTTCTTTTTTTCAAACAAATCACAAAGGTCTGGGGGAATTGTGATTCTCTAATTCGAGCTCAGTATATACCAGTTGAAAGCATTTAGTTGTGATTAAAACAGATTGAAGGAGATAATCCCTCTGAGAAAGCAGCTTCAAATAGCTTAGCAGCGCTTCTTCAGGGATAAGAACTAACACAACACAAGCTAATTCCTCCAAAGTCTCCCTGGTGGAGCTGTGGACGTACCTTTCATTTGTTGTTTTTCTTCCTTACTGCGTTCTATTTGAATTCCTCTTAAATATGAATTCTGCTTTAATAACACTTTACTCATTTTGTTTTCCAAGAACCAACATTTAACCTTTTGTGTTAACTGATACAGGGAGATACACTTCATATAATATTAATAAATGAAGAGTGTGCAGGCAGTTCTCAATTTACAATTGAATGATATTATAAAAGTTCATAGGTAAGTCATAGACAATTTAGAACTCGGGATAGAATTTATCATAGAAATGTTGTTCTATATAAAATTTGGTTTCTTGGTTAACCCTTCAAAGCCTATTGAACTCTCAATGTAGCCGAATATACCTTATGTAACTAGTACAAGTTCTGCATAGCGGCAGTTCTATGAGAATACTTCTAACCAATGTTCTGGATTCAATATCGGGAAGAAAAAACGCCTTTTCCTTGGGAGTGCCTTCAAATTTATTTCGTTCACAGTGTATGTCATTTCGAGGGTCGGAGAAACTGACAGGTCTGTATCTTCTGGGAGTAGTGTGCTGGAGATGGGAGAAAGAGAAAGAACTAGATAAATAACAAATTGTAGGGTGAGATTTTCTTCATTTTCCTATTCGCTTGGATATGCTGTAACTCCATTTTACAATTTAAGACCATGCCCTTGAAAACCGGACCCATTATTGGAGAAGGGATGAGTAAAGTGCATATATGGACCCCAACTATTAAAGGCTAAGAAAAGAAAAATGGAAGCAAATGCCCAATGACAATAGGCAAAGAAGTTATGACTCCTTCAGCCAAGCCCAACTGAAGATAGAAGTGGTACAGATCTCATGTTCCTGGATATTAGACACATATGGAGCAATGAAATTTCAAAAACTATGTTGACCCTTAACTATCTGTATTAAAAAACATTGAAGATTTAATGGCCAGGTGTCGTGGCTCATGCCTGTAATCCCAGCACTTTGGGAGGCCGAGGTGGGTCGATCACCTGAGGTCAGGAGTTTGAGACTAGCCTGGACAACAATGGCGAAACCCCGTCTCTACTAAAAATACAAAAAATAGCCAGGCATGGTGATATGCACCTGTAATTCCAGCTACTTGGGAGGCTGAGGCATGAGAATCGCTTGAACCTGGGAGACGGAGACAGAGGCAGAGGTTGCAGTGAGTGGAGATCGCACCACTGCCTTCCAGCCTGGGTGACAGTGTGAGACCGTATCTCAAAAAAAAAAAAAAAAAAGAAAAGAAAAAAAAAGGAACATTAGAAATGTTCCTGTTTACTCACCCGCTTTTCCTTCCCCACTTCCCCCACACCCCTCTGCCCCCATCACTTCCTCTTCCCTCCCAAAATTGCTTTAAGGATTTTCCTTTCTGCTGCGCCCATGATGCAGTGATGGTGAGCCACACAGTACATTACTGTAAGTCCCTGTTGAGTTGAGGAATTAACCAAATGCTACCACAGAGTTTATTAATAAAGTTTAGGCCAAATTGTGAACGGAATTATATTTTAAGACACAGAACACAGTTTGCTATGTAAAGTTTTGTAAGCTGGAGCAACAATGCAGAAACTAATATTCTGTGAAGAGTTCCTAGCAAGCCAGAATTAATTGACTACCAGCGTCTAACCAAACCTAAAGTTCTAATCTAGCTTTTATATACAGATCACCTGCCAGCACTTCATCATTTTGTATATGCTGTTTGCTATGCTATTATTTGGTGATTGATCTGCTGTTTAACTTATAGTAATGATGATGGCCTGGCGTTAACAATAATGGCATATGTTAAAAATGTAAGAGAGCATCTCAGCAATAAAAGAGATAGATATAGTTCAGAACCTTTTCACATTGCATTGCCCCTGTTAATGTTTCACAACACTTTATACTCTGAAAAAATAAAAATAAAAAAAGGAAGTGGCATAAAAATAGCATGTAAAGTGTTATTCCCACATGCTGTTCTTGGTCTTTGGCATGCCTGTTATCCCCACATTCTCCAAAAATGACAAGAATGCATCCCATCTGATACATCCTGTGAAAAATTTAAGAGCATATTTGAAAACACAAAATACTGTTTTCATAAACTGCTGAAATCTGTGATAGTTTGGCAGTAATCACAGGAACAATGCTGGAACACAACTTTTAATTTTTTCTTTTCCTTGCGTTCTCTTGTCAAACTCAGTGAACTTCCCTGTTCTGTATTGCTTTCTGATGTGTTGATCCAAGTCTCCCTAAAACCCACATGCTAATTCCTGAACAGAGTTTAACACTTGACTTTTCCCCATTAATTAATAGTCCAGTGTTGATATCGATGTAGTCTTTCTTTTGTGGATAAAAAGAAGCAATCTGAAGCTAATTTAGCATTGGGAAAAGTAGTAACACAGCTTTTAAGAAAAAGAGGAATGAAGCAATGGGCAAAACCAGCTGTAAGATCTTCTAGACGGATACGTGTGGCTACAGTTCTATCAAGGCAAGAATTGGCAGAACTTTGGAAACTTCTGTTTCTATTTTTATTCTTTTATACTCCTTCAGAATTTAAGAGTCACTCCTTGTCTCCATGACAAAACATAACAAATGCTGTTTGTTCTAGTGTTTAGGCTAATGACATAACGTGTTAACCCTTGGTTACACAGAATAACCTTCACATTAAGAGTAATCCTGCACCATTTATGAAACATAAGCATCACACCTGGCAGCTTTTTGTCAATAAGCATATTTAAAAGAAATTCCAAAACAAAGAGTTCAGTGTAGTGACAGTGATACTATAGTGACTTCTTCAGCCATGTTTTGCTGGATAATTAATTCTCCTTAATTCTGATTCTCTCCTGCCCTGTGCCTCACATTGGGTCTATACTTCCCACAGTGCTTAGGAGATGTGCATTCATCCAATTTGTACAGTCAGTCTAAGGATTCAGGCAGACTACATAATTCGTTAGAATACACTGACTGTGTTGACCAGATTATAACCTGTCTCTGCTTTTGGTGTTATGTGAGGGCGGCACAATGACAGAAACAATGGTAGCTAATACCTATGTATGCTTACTGTATTTGGCACAGATTATCTCATTTAGTTCTCACAGTCCCAAGCTTGGAGTTATAAAGGAAGAATTCTTGGAGATGATGGAAGCTCAATAAAGCCAAAAAACATGAACTTCACCATTAGACAGACTCAAACTAAGTTAGTAATATTTCTACTTTTCCTTTTTTTCTTTTTTAATATAAATTAAACCATTTACTCCTCTCCTCTACCCTAAAGTCCAAATGTAATATATATTAAGGGATATGATTTGTCCTGATTTGGTGTCCATACAAATTCTCTGTGTCAGAGAATAACCTAGAACTTGGTATGCTTTATGATTAATAATCTTTCAATATGTTGTTAAAGATTTTATTTATACTTGTGGCTGGGCACAGTAGCTCATGCCTGTAATCCCAGCACTTTGGGAGGCTGAAGCAGGTGGATCACTTGAGGCCAGGAATTTGAGACCAGTCTGGCCAACATGGCAAAACCTTGTTTCTACTAAAAATACAAAAATTAGTCTGGTGTGGTGGCACATGCCGGTAATCTTAGCTACTCAGGAGGCTGACGCAGGAGGATTGCTTGAATCTGGGAGGTGGAGGTTGCTTTCAGCTAAGATCACACCACTGCACTCCAGCCTGGGCAACAGAGTGATTTATTTAATCTTTATTTTCTCCAAAAAGAAAATAAAGATTATACTTATACTTGAGTAGCAGTCAGTTATAAATGAGCTGAGAGGGTGAAGTAAAGAAGCCTGTATAGACAAATGAACAGAGACAGACTTTTGTGATGCGTCTTTAAGGGATTATTAGAAGATCATTTTGGAGTGGACAACTCAAGAAAGAAAACTTTGGTGGGAGGTTTTACAAGGTCTTCAAGGCAGGCAAAGAAATGTGGGTTTTGATCTGACCACATTATATGCACTTTGCTTATTTATCGTTGAGGTATATTACTGAACACTGTCTTATCCTATTTCAGTAATAATCTTTGTTTATTTGGTAAAGTATTATTTTTTTAAGGGTTAGCAATTCTAAGTTCCACCATGAAGCAGTCAAGTGAAATTGTTTCTCAGTATTTGATTGACTTGATTCATCCATTTTCAAAGAAAAGGTAAATCATATAGTATTCTGTATGATGTAGACTGTGTCACTCAGAGTGAAAAAGTTACCTTTGTCTTCTACCATTTGAGAATGTGCTGTTGAATTTGCGAAGAAAAGAGCCCTGAGGCATTAATCATACACATTCTCCAATCTAGATTTCAAAATGTTCAGTAGATGTTTAGGGTATGACAGAAGAATATTAAGCCCGTTAATACGGTAATTACAGTGTTTCTTGCTTCCTTGTACCCTGAACTGATTAATACATAAACAGGACTCAAAATATAAACTTTATGTTTAGTGAAAGTGCCAATATCTATGTCTGAATTCATCAATGCCATCTTAGGAACCAGGCAATATCTGTTCACTGCCTAGTGCCTTAGGGAGACTGTTTAATGAGGAGATGTGAAGCCTTTTACAGTTTATTGTTGATGACATTTTGAGGACACTTGCAGTGGGGTAGACTGAAAAACAATAAAGCTGGGTATTTTCTTGGATATGGTTTATGTGCCCCAGAGTGTTGTATCAGATTTTATCAGTAATCAAATTTCTACTTGATAGCAAAAACAAAAACAAAACCTTTTTAGAAACTTAATTTCATATATTGAAGGCAAAGAAAAAAATACTTGCAAATCTGATATCTGAATTTTCTTAAGATTCAAAGAATTTCAATTTTTCTACTTATTCAGTTGAATTAAAGGTTACTACCACTGTTTTTACAAGCTTGAAAGGCCTATTTATTTACTTATTTATTTATTTATTTATATATTTTGAGATGGAGTCTCCCTCTGTCACCTAGGCTGGAGTGCAGTGGCGCGATATGTCGGCTCACTGCAACCTCCATCATCCAGGTTCAAGCGATTCTCCTGCCTCAGCCTCCCGAGTAGCTGGGATTACAGGCACGTGCCACCACGCCCAGCTAATTTTTGTATTTTTAGTAGAGACGGGGTTTCACCATGTTGGTCAGGCTGGTCTCAAACTCCTGACCTCAGGTGACCCACCTGCCTCGGCCTCCCAAAGTGCTGGGATTACAGGCGTGAGCCAACGCCCCCGGCCTGAAATGCCTATTTTTTAGGTTAGATATGGTAGTGTTATAACTGTTGATATCCTTTGTAGTCTGTACTTAAAAACTCTGAAATGGCTTGAGGCAGTTCCACAGCAAAAATTCCATATGAATGTCTATTCAGATAACGATTCTTATATTGTGTACTATATTAATATACGTAATGTATTTTTATGTCTATTGCCTAATACTTTCAAAATGAAAAGAAATGGAACAATATATTTTTCTCTTGCCTTTGTTTTCATTGGAACCTTTTGTGACCACCTTGTACTTATTAACATCTGAGACTATGGCACAACGCTGTGGTGAAATGTGAGCCATCAGTCCAGGTGGGCTGGTGTTCGTGTGTCTTCATGATCGGGTCTGGTCCTCAGCTCTGTAGGTACATTTTACAGAGGTAGTATTATGGGGTGTGTGGTTAAAAGCTCTGGAAATGCACTTTGTAGACTTGAATCCGACCCCATCAATTTCTTAGTGTGTATAGTTATGTAACTCATAGTTATGTATGTAATCTCAGTATGTTGCATAACTTAGTGTGACGCAGTTATATAAGTTATGCACATAACATAGCATAAATAACTACATAACATACATACTTGATATAACATACATAACTGTTATGTACATAATGTATATTTAGTACATAAAAGTTACATAATAGACATATTTGTGTAATTAGGCATTAATTCCAAAAGATGTAGTACATGTTTGTACCTGCTTGGGTTATCATTATAATAAAAACAGATAATGTTTGTAAATACTTTAGCTCTAATGTATAACACAAAATTAATAGCCAGTATTAGTTGCTGCTGTTAATATTAATGTTAGTACTGTGTAATCATCTGAAAAGTGCTTGCTCAATACCAGGTTAAAAACAGAGAGCGCTAGAGCGACTTATTACAAATTTACCCAGGTAATAGAAAACCCGGATGCGCTTCCTCACTCTAAGCAGAAAATGTGTCTGTGATGATTTGCCCTTCTGGAACCATTTCCAGTTGGTATTAAGTGAAATCTACTAAATTTTGTATCCTGGGTTTCTCTTCTCTATACTTTGTGCAGATACCTCTGTCTCCCTAAAAAGAATTATTTGACCAGATACAATGCATATGATTATGGTTATTCTAGCTTAAGCCAGTTTATTATAATAGATTTAGTTGAAGCTTGGTTATATTCTGGCGTCAGTAGTTTTATTAACCATGAAGAGGTTATAGCTTTAGATTTGTTGATTCAACCATGCATTCTTAAGATGATGTCGCAGACACCTTAATTAAACCTGGGTGTTCCTAAATTTCCTCAGACATTACTTTCACCATATTTCTAACATTACACTTAGAAGGGAAGCTTTCTGCTTCTATGTAGTCGAAATGGTAAAGAATCCTAGATTTTCGTTTTATTAGATTGATTAGAACAGAATGCAAGTATAGAAGCTTTTAAGTGAAAAGATCTATGTGAATAAAAATATATGCCTATATTTTTGTTACAAACCAGTGATTTAAATTTTAATGCATATGTTTATGTAGAGAAGTATGTTTGCTATTATAATAAACAATAAAAAGCCATTGCTCATGTGACTCATGAAAGCAAACCTGGCAATGACTTTTTCTCATATGTCTGCAGCCTACCATCACATATGCCTAAATTTTTACGAATGTGTGTCCAGTATATTGTTATAACCATCTGCAATCAAATGTGTTATGCAAAACAAATACTTAATTGGTATAACTAATTCTTTGATTCAATAATGAAGATCATCACATTATGTTATTTAGAGTAATTACTTATAGCTTAGGTTGGGATGGACACTTTTCAGGAAGAAAATGTATACTTTGTTTCTCTTTTTTCTGAAATAGGGATGGAAAGGGTATTAACTAGCATTAAAAAGGGCGAAGCAACAAGCTTCCCTGATTGGAGTGTAGGTCCCAAGCATTTTACTGATAAATTCATTCAGATTGAGTAAGCTCTTTAAGCTCTTTCTTTCTTTCTTTTTTAAGTTAAAGTCATACTCTAACACCTATTCTCCTGCCCACAACTATACCTTTGAGTAAATGTTCTTAAAACTAACAGGTACTTCTCTCCTAATGCCTAAATGAACTCAACCACCATGGAGAAGTGATAGTTTTGATTGGTAGATACAAAGTGATCATTTCAGCATTGTATTAAGCTGTACGTGGATTAGGTAGTAGCCAAAGAAACAGGGTGGCCAGAGATTTTGAGGGAACAAAGGCAGAACAGAAAGTGAGAAGAGGCCAAAACAATACATCAGTCGTGTAAATCTGCCTTGGGCACTGCTGACCTATATAAAGCTGAATATCATCTTCAGTGACATCTTCGGTGTACCTGTCCTGGATTGCCTGTGCTTGGCTTCGGGCACTAATTTTCTTTCCTCATACAATCCAATCCATTAAACGTCTGCTATAGTTTTTCTGGCCTGAAGAGAAATTTTGTTTGTTTGCTTGTTTGTTTCGGCCTAGTTCCAGGCCCAGGATAAGATGAAGCAAACACTGCTTTCATTCATTCATACATCACATATATGCTTCTCTTCAACCTTCTCTTCCTTGCTCTCTGACATACACAGGTACTTCTAAAGCTCTGGGATATCCCTTACCATATAGCAAACTTCCTGGCAGGAGCAGAGGCAATAGCTCTCTAGTAGTGCTTGGGGTAGTGACAGATACTTTCAAGACTGACAGAAAAAAGAAAACACAAGCTCTTTTTCAGGAACTGTATATATATATATAGTGGGTCTTAGTGAGATACAAATCTGCCACTAAGGTACCACTTATTAGGCCTTATAATTGAGATTTACTTGTGGACCTGAAAACTCTGCACAGTCCATAAGAGAATTTCCTGTATTCCCTGCATAGTAGGAGCAAGACGATTATCTATTGTAAGGTTATCTATATTATTCCATTTGACATTTTTAAGTCTATTGAAGTAAGTGAGAAATGTGGACCTTTGCAAAGATACTGATTGCCCAAACTAAAAGAAGTTAAAACTTGAAGTGGTAATTTAGTGTTCTCTTCAAAGGTTGTTTAAGTACACACATTATTAATATACACTTAGTTTATGCTTTTGACATAGCAGATCAGACTTTACACCTGGAAAAATTGTAAAGACAAAGGTTAAGTTTGGGCATGGTGGCTCACCCCTGTAATCCCGGCACTTAGGGAGATTCTTTGAGGACAGGAGTCCGAGACCAGCCTGATCAACATGGTGAAACCTTGTCTCTACTAAAAATACAGAAATTAGCCGGGCACGCTGATGCATACTTGTAATCCCAGCTACTCCGGAGGCTGAGGCACGAGAATCGCTTGAACCCGGGAGGTGGAGGTTGCAGTGAACCAATATCACATCACCGCACTCCAGCCTGGGTGACAGAGGGAAACTCCGTCTCAAAACACGAACAAACAAAAAAAGCAGAGATCAAAAAATATCTGTATGTTCATCTATAGCCATAGCTGTACCTATGTTCTTTAACTTAATTATACAACAAACATGATAGTATTTAGTTTGCCAAAATGTAAATATTTTCCACTTCTATTCACTCACCTAGGCTGGCTTCTTTACAATAGACCCCAAGCCCATTCATAATTGACCTATCCCCTACTTGGGTCTGCATATGATCATAAATAACAGCTCTCGCTACGAGTCATTATTAAACAGGAAGCATTCCAAGTGTTAGGTTATTCTCTGATTCGGAGTAGCCATCAAGAAAAAGGAAGAAACATAGAAAATAATTTATAGTGATTTATGGAATGGCAACTGAGCCTAACTGTATGTTAGATAAGGCAACTTTGATTTTAAAGAGCTGACACTACGATAGAAGAGAGAGATATCCACCAAAGATAAGCAATGCAACCTTGTTAACTGCTAACTGAGTCAGTTAATGATGTCCTAATGGTTTGATGGGGAGAAAAACCTCAGAAATTAAATGTTGAAATTGTCATAATGGAGGTATATGCAAGGTACTGTAAGAACAAAAGAGAAGCCTTATGAACAGCCTTTTAAAAGTAGAATGGACTATAAAGTTCCAGTAACTCTGTCTGAGAAAGTCAAGAATGGCCTCATAGTGCTGGCTTTGGAGATAGGATAATCAATGGGCAGAAATATGCCTGGTGAAGAAAAAAGGAGATAAACCAAGGGTTCTACTTGCACAAATGCAGTTTTTGGAGGGCCCCTTTGGACTTTGTAGGTGAATAAAGAGCCAGGCTTTTGGGTGCATGGTGTACAGAGTATCACATCATGGAAGGTGAGACTGAATAGTCAGACAGAAGGCAGAGTGAAAAGGACCTCTCAGGTTCAGCAAAAGATTGTAACATTTATCCAACAAGCAACACGAAGTCAAGAGGGGCCTGTTTGTCTACTAGCCTTCTTTGTACCTCCCTCTCCTTCCCTTTGGAACTTCCTTATTTCATTTTTCTGTTCATCTTCCTTTTTTCTCCTCCTCCTTCTGCTCCTCCTCTTCTTCCTTTTAACCCATCTCTTTCTCCTCTTCCTCTTTCTTTTTTTTTTTCTTTTGCTTATAAATGAAGGATGATCCTTTCAATAGTAGTGTGGTGGATGGACTAGGATTGGGAAAGATGATTAGTGTATTGAATAATTAGAAATTTTAGTAATACATTATGAGGGAACTAATGAGGGCCTTCCATAAGAAAGTAGCTGATAAAAGCAGATACAACCTTGTATGGCAAAGACAGGCAAAATCTCTGGTTCCCTGCCTAAGCCTGGTGTACCACACCAACGCCTGACACCAAACAGGCAGACTGTGAAGTTTTATTATTTGCAAACAAACACTTGTGAATAATGCGTAGCTTCTATTTTGTGATGCTGAATGAATTGGTGATGCCTTTCCCAAGGCCAAAAACAAAGCTTGTGTAAAATAGTAGTGAGGAAAAAAGGAAGACAAGTTCCACTTTTGTTTTGCTAAATTCGGTATATGTCTCCAGGATAAAATAATGTCTGTATTCAACAAATATCTGGAAATAAATACGAGTTCTAGAATAAGGGAAAGAAGGAAAAACCATCTACAAGAGATGAAGTTTCATTGCAATTTTTATAGGACAGATGATGTAAAGGGTTGGTTTTCTGTTAGGAAGAAATTAATTGTTCACTTTCTGAATGAACATCGGCAATTTCTAGCTGTTAGAAAGTGAAGTCATATTTCTAAAGAGGCACTGTCACAGAGATACATTTGGAAGCCTTCAAATATCTTTTTGTTCTTTTAAAATTAGCATTTTGGCTTTTCCATTCATAAGGCAGCCAGTGATCAGAAAGTAATTTCTTTCTTCTTTGGAAAGAAAACCTTTGCCCTAAGAAAAATGGCATCTCTTCCTCAAGATTAGCCCCCAAAATATTAAACTTGGGGTAAAGCAGCCAATTCTGTTCATGGTTATGACCAAAAAAGAAAATGGAGAGTTTATTTTCTTAAAGGCTGCTCAAGTTCAAAAATTTGTGTTTGATCCCTCAAAATTCATTTCATGTTGAATATGTTACCTGAACTTAAGTTGAGTTTACAATATTTTTCAAAAAATACTATAACAACAAAACATTTATTTTGATATAAAATTATGTTTCTTATATTGTTACTTTATTTTATTTGAACCTAATAGTTAACTCGCAAATTGCATATCTTGCTCAAAAATAAGCTATTTCTTTAGGCCTACATAAAACATTAAATGAGAACACGACAAAACTAACTGATTCTGGGATTACATAAACATCCCCTAATCTTAATATTAAATTCATTTCTTTTAGGAATACATTGCAAAAATTAGGGAAGAAAGGTTTTGAATTACTTTCCAGTATGAAATAGTAAGGTCTTTTAAATGTATGGATAATCAGTAAAATCATTTTATTAGTCATGTTTCTGCTTCCTTGGCAGAAAACATTCCAGCTTGACTCCACAAACCAGCATAACCAAGTTTGTTATAGTAAATAATTAATCTGTACGTATTGGTTGATGTTTCATTTCAGCATCCTTGAAACATTCCATGGAACTTTCATATTTCCAATAAACAACTTCAATCAGTAATAATATGCTTGGGTAAAACAAAGAAAATGTGGTTATTTCTTTCCAATTATAAAGCTAAGTTTTAGAAAACAGACATCAGAGAAGGGGTACCACAGATCTATTTTTAATATTCAATACAAGTTAGAGCTCATATTTTATTTTGGTCCAGGATTAAGAAAAAAATTTGTTTGGAGATAGTATTTTACTTCAGCATTTCCACATTGAGTCTTTTCTATTTCTCATTGTTTGTGATGCTTTTAAATCAAGGGCACTTTGTTTTTTAGCTCACATCTGCTCCCCCCTTGTTCTGGTCAGACTTTCAACACGTAGTTGCTCTGAGATTGTTCAGGAGATCTCAGACAGGATCACCACGACCTTACCTGAGAGTGGTCAAAAAAGGAGCAGATGCGTGTTGTGAAGATTAAGCTTATGTTTATCTGACAAATGACCTTAAAGATAAAACGCAGAAAGCAAAACTCACAAATGTGGTTGATGCAGAGCAACGAGACAATGTTGTGGCAATTATTTTTAAATAACTTATTAAACTTTATAAAATGAAAAGATTTTTTTAATGGCAAACATAGGTCTTTAAGGAACCACAGAGTGCAGTTATTGAATTAAAATATTGACGTGAACATATTTTTCAAATATGCTTCAAATGGTAAGTATCTGCCATCACAAATATTCAATGTTTTTAAAAATGCTAATATATTTAGGTATAGGTCAAGAAAATTACTAGGATTAGGTATTTGCTACTAGCAAAGCAATGCCATTTTTCCTAGCTATTGCTTTTTCTATTGAGTAAATTATTGAAATAATTGTTTGAGTTTATATTTTACTCATAGTTGAGGCTAGAATAGTAACGCCAGTGTATTGATAGAGTTGATTTGTTTTTGAATTATAGATCTGATAATAGAAACAGCCCTAGAGGTGAGTCCCTGATGACATCTCAAAATGGTTGTTTAATTTTCCATATTAGAGGAGTATTATGATAGAACAACAAACAGAGCTGCTTTCAGACAAGAAACATTTCATTTAAATTATTTTCTTTTTAGTTAATTTCTAATATATTTCTAATATACTTACCTTATTTTACAGGAGATGCGGACATTAAGAAAGCTTTTCTTTATTTTTTGCCAAATGATAAAAAAATTAACACTCTTTTTTTAATCATAGATATATATATTCCGTATGGTTGAAGTAGACACATTGAGGATTAGAGTTAGAAGTTATTTGCACTTAGCCAGGCAAATATTGACTGTAATTAAATGAGCAAAGATAATTTGAATGTACAGATAATTTCAACCAAAGAAGATGCCAAACTGGTCAGGTGATAAAGAAAAGTGTGGTGAGCTTGAAAGTTCCAAATATTTTTCACCATCTTCTTCATATAAGAACACATTTTCAGACTTGAAGTTCAGCTTTCTCAAAAATATTTGAAATACTGTTGATGTGCTGAACAGGAAATTTCGATGCAACTTGCATCTGTGGACAACATCAGTGTCCCTAAAAATGCAAGAAATGATCTTGGTCAGTATAGCCTTAAATAATCCATTTAATGAAAGAAAAGTTGTTTTGTTTGGTTTTCTCAATCTTTGGGTAGCCTTTTAAAATCATATCATTTTCAGATCTCCAAAAAGCCATTATTATCATGTCCCTTTCATAGAACTAAAACATACATCTACAGGGAATGATGACCTTCTCATGAATTAGTGGCTTTAGGCATTATAATATATATTTTAAAAAAAAAGAGTTGGAGTGGCTAGCAAAAAACATGCAGACATTTCATAGGATTTTTTTCCCCTTTCCACTTCAATGCATTTATTTGAAAACTGCTTATTTGCCTGAATTTGCCCTGCTGGCAAAATTTTTCTACCAGATAGCTACTTTTTATTGTTGATGCACATCATGAATAGCAGCTTTATTTGATGGCAAATGAGATGCCCCAAGTTGCAAGCTTTCCATAAACATATCTGAATTGTTCAATTTCCTTCTCATTGTATAATTTCCACCCTGGCCCTTTGCCTGCTGATATTCCGATAAAGATTTCATTCAAGTAATTTTCAAAACTGTCCTATGTTCTTTGCTATCATAAGTGGTAAGATTGCTCAATTCGTATTAGCTATAACACAAGTGCTGCACAGGTTTTTTATCAGATATTTCTAAAATCATTTCTTTGTCATGAATGGTAACGAGAATAATAAAATAATGCCTCCAGTTGGGTTTGCAAACACTGGTGGTTTACTAGCAATAGAATTAGTAGTAATATGAACGTGAAAAGTCACTTTTCTAAAGAACATATCTTAATGAATTATTTTGTTTCTTTTTCTTTCATGTCTCCTAACATGGATTTGAAAATTATGATTGCTGAATGATTCCAAATGACTTGGGCCTTTGTTTCTCAAATAGGTAAGTGATTCTTGTTCTTTGGTGTTCTTAGGAGTCCGTGGTTGTATTTTAAAATAAATATTCATTGCCAGTTTGCACTGTTGAATTTTCTGGCAAAATAGGGTAAAAATTGAACATAAGACAAATCATCATTTTCAGAAATATAATTCAGATCTTTTTCATTAGTTGGCACAGGAAACAGACTAACAAGAAGACCCAGTTTGAGTTGTACGTATTCATAGGAGCCATATGTTCAAAATCATTTAAGTCCTTTTTGCTGGCTAGCTTTTGTATTTTAAAGCAGCTTGGTCATATTTTGCCCATGAAGTTCTAGGTCACACTAGACTAGTTACTAATCATAATACTGTATGAATTACCCAGGTATAAGAAAGCATTTCATATGGCAGCCAGTAATGGCTTGATACAGAATAATTAGCTAACAATTTTCCTGATCTCAAAGATACTAGGCTGAAAAAAAGTTTAGCTTTAGGTTCTGTAGTATCGTCACTTGTAGAGCTGGGATCAACAAGCTAGTCTATGGGCCAAATCTGACCAACTATGAGTTAAGAATATTCTTTACATTTTTAATGGCTGACAAAAAATCAAAAGAAAAATAATATTTCATAATGTGTGAAAATAATGTGAAATTCAAATTTTGGTGTTCAAAAGTATTGTTGGAACGTAGCCATGCTTATCACTTTACATATTCTCTATTGCTGTTTTCATACCACAATTCTATGGCCCATGAATCCTAAAACATTTACATTCTGGCCCTTAACAGAA
This sequence comes from Homo sapiens, assembly GCF_000001405.40. Lineage (NCBI taxonomy): Eukaryota > Metazoa > Chordata > Mammalia > Primates > Hominidae > Homo > Homo sapiens. The sequence continues at coordinate 77,341,194 of NC_000003.12, forward strand.
CAAGTTTGCCGATTCCATTGTTTGAGTACTAGCATATAAGAGGTTAATTCCCCGAACCTCTTACTTTGGAGATTCTATTAGAGCAGAGGTGAAATCATTATATATCTGACCTTTTCTTAGTCACAAGGGAATCCACCATATCTAAAATGACCAGGTCAGAACAAATGGAAGAGCAAATCTTGACTGTAGATTTAAGTTTTCCTGAAATAGTCTTTTACATAGTTATATTTCTCATACATTTTAAGCCCTACAACATTCAACCCATTAAGTCTAATGTATTTTACTGCCAGCAAGTCTTTGAGCTTGCCCACAGATATTCAGAGTCCCATAGTTGATGGGAACTGGGGAAGTGGCATTTTGTGGCTAGTGAAGCAGCAACATGTTGTATAATGAAAAGAAATATCCTCAAACTTTTCAATAGTTCTCAAGGCTCTGTTTCACCAAAGAGAATACTAACATTCTATAGAGACTGCCTGTTCTGAATTACATTTGACAGTGTTGGAAAAGTGTAATACTCATCACTGTAATCCAGCTTAGCATCTAAAACAACACAAGTAAGTACAGTTGTGCTTTGTGGAATAGATTTTGCAGAATTTTTCAGAGGCCATGTGGAACATGAGTGGTTATATGCATATTCTAATTAAAAAAAAAACTTTAAAAATAATTATAAATATATTGTAGTTCTTTTCATGTTGGCATTTATCAGAAATAGATGCATTTGTAGTTTGAGAAAGAAAGAAATAAAAGAGAACAAAGAAAGCATATTCTTGGAATATTGCAAGAGAGAGCAATGTAGAAATTGCTGGATATTAAGAATATGCATTAACTTCTAGGTTTAGGCCACTGGGAAATAAAGCTTCCGTGCGTGTATTTGATGTATAATGACAGGCACAAAGAAAAAGGCAAACATACTATAGATATTCTAGTATGGTACAATTATACAGTATGTGTTCTAACCCTTTTCATGAAAATTTGACATTACTGCACCTCAGATAGAAGCAGCAGGAATCACCAGGGAAAGAACAGCTGGATGCTTTATTAGGTTTTATGTTGTACATAAGGAGACCATGTTTTCCATTGTCAGTGTGTAAAAGAAAATGAAAGCTCTGGGCATCATTAAAGTCTCGAAAGCGTAAGATGTGTCAGCTCCATTCTCTCAACACCTGGATTGAAAGTGCAGTGTGGGGTCACCGTAAAACAAAAACAGACCGTCTTCTCTGGTTGGAATTGCAAGAGTTGATTTTTAGAAATAAAATAATTCATAATTGTTGTAGAGAGAATTCTTCCTTTATAACTAGAGAGTTGCATGTATGAACATAAACTTATATGTCTACCTGAAGACATTTTCTATAAACTGCGTCTGAATATCTTTTTCCTGCACCTTAAGGGGTGCTAGGAGGCTTCTTGGAGTCAGAGAGCTAGAAGACTCCCCATTTGCTGCCACTGTGGTATTGTCCTTTTGATGAACATTTCTCCCTGGCTTTTCATTTGCCTCCTTTTGTGGAACCATTTTTGTTGGCATCCCCCACCCAACACACACATTATATTCTCATTGTGTCCCTTGTTGCAAGTACCTTTATGTTGGAGACCGTTTTACCTTATACCTTTATGTAATCCACAAAGCTTAGCACTGTGTTCCTCTTATTGTGGTTTAAAGTGCTGTATTAGTTGGCTCAGGCTAGTGTAACAGAATACCACAGGCTGGATGGCGTAAGCCATGGAAATCTATTTCCTCACCGTCCTGGAGGCCGCAAGCCTGAGATTGAGGTACAGGCACGGTCAGGTTCTGGTAGGGTCTGTCTTCCTGGCTTGCAGATAGCTCCTTTTCTCTCTGTCTTCACATGACAAAGGGGATAGGTAGATGGAGAGAGAGAGAGAGAGAGAGAGAGAGAGAACTTTCTTATAAGACCACAATCTTATTGGATAAGGATGCTGCTCTTATGACCTCATTTAGCCTTAATTATTGCCTAAAGATCCTATACAGTCACATTGGGGGTTAGGGCTTTAACATATAAATTTTGAGAGAATATAGTTCAGTCCAGAGCAAGTACCTTTGACACAAATTGAGTTACATAAGCAGAAGAGAGGACTGAATTTTTCTCTTCATGAAAATTTAAGAGCTCTTTGCCTATAGGCTTTGGCCACTTCTGTTTTCTCCAAGAGTTGCTCATATTAAATCTAGTAAATAATAAAAATGCGTTTCAAATATTAAAAGATGTTCTATGTTCTGGCGCTAATCTCTACTCTTAATTATCTTAAAAAACGTACAAGAAATTTACTATTGATTTTATTAATCGCTCATGAACCCACTTATTTACGTATTTAACATTGATAGGTTGCCCAACCATATGCAGGGGGATACAGACTAAGGGGCTTAGGATCTAAAGAATGTCCTGACAACATTGTACCCTTTAGGAACTCCTAGCTGGCAAGAAAGACAGTCTCAGAGCAATGTGTCAAGTGCTTAATATAATTTGCTCTTGACATACAAATGAAGCAGTGCCCACAATCTTTAGTAAATTAGAGACTTCTCAATAATGATAGCATCTGATCATGAGATTGAGTTTGACAGTTGAAGAAATAAAGGGAGTAAACAAACACCAGGCAAAAAGAATGGCAAGTACAAACCAAACACATGGGTGAATGAGAGAGCTTTACTGCAGTCTGCAAACCATTTATGCTGAACAAAATGAAGAAAATACAATGCTCTTAAATTTTGTTTGTTTGTTTGTTGAGCTCCTACTATGTGTCAGGTTCCAGGTTATATGAGTCAGCATAGAATGGAAAACAACAATAAGCTCCCTGTTCTTGAGCCAATTTTCAAAGGTGAGGAGATAATTAATAAATGATTAGTAAATAAGTGATCAAGAACTGTAAATGCAAAGAAGAATATAAACATGACCTTGATATAGCAGGATGGGCTACCGTGAGCCTCCTTTTATGGTCAGAGAGGTCCTCCTGAGAAGATGGTGAGAAGGAGATGTTTGATGTAAAATTGGAATGACAAAAAAGAGTCAGCCATGTGAAGATCCAGGTATACAGAACAGCTTCTTTCATATATCAAAAATATTTTTTTCTTAAAATATATGACATATTAACCTTACTTTAAAATATGCAAGAGGAAAAGTGGGAGGATGCAATGGACTGAACATTTGTGTCCCACAAAATTCATGTGTTGAAATCCTAATCCCCAAGGTGATGGTGTTAGGAGGTAGAGCCTTTGGCAAGTGATTAGGCCATGAGGGCAGAGCCCTCATGAATGGGATTAGTGTCCTTATAAAAGAGGCCCAAGAAAGCTCTCTAGTCCCTTCTACCAGGTGAGGACACAGCAGAAACATGCCATCTGTGGGCCAGACAGTGGGCTCTTGCCATACTCCAAATTTGCCAGTGACTTGATTTGGATTTCCCAGCCACCAGAAGGTATAAGAGATGAATTTCTGTTGTTTATAATCTACCCAGTATAGGGTGTTTTTTTGTTATAGCAGCCCAAATGGACTGAAACAGAAGATAAAAAATAGTAAGATCAGCAGTGGTAGAGCAGTAAGACATTGAATGGTTGTTAAAGATAGGTGATGAGTACTTAGGAATCTGTGAGAATTTTCTCTCATTTTATGTACCTTTGAAAATAATAATATTAAAAGTTTTTTTGGTCTCAAATGTTTTCTCCATGAACATACTGTTTCTTCTTGATATATTCCTTATTTATTACACTAATATAAAGAACATTATGATAAATAATTCTTGAAGGGAATTGCATTCCTTATCTACTTCAGCATGACAAATTACCCCAAAGCTTAGAGGCTCAAAACAACAATAAGCATGTATTAGCCCTTACAGTTTATGTGGGTCAATAATTTGTGGTTTTAGCTTGGGAAACACCCTTAAAAAAAACCGTAAAAACTCTTATGAGATTTGAGTTAAGATGTCAGCCAAAACTACAGTTATCGAAACTGGCTTGACTAGGTGAAGGATTTGCATCAAAGGTGGTTGACTCAGAATTGACTAGTTGATGATGTTGGTTGGTGGCAGGAGGCCTTAGCTCCTCCCTGCTGGGTGTCCCCACAGGGTTGCTTGTATGTCCTTAAAATATGGTGTCTGGCTTTTTCTGAAGCAATCCAAGAGAAGGTAGAAACATGGCAGACTTGGAAATCACACACCCTTACCACACATGATTGTATTGGTCATAGATGTCAGCCCCATTCAAGGTGAGAGGGGTCTACATGAGGACATGAATACCAGGAGATGGAGATAATTGGTGGACATATTGAAGGCTAGCTGCCACAGGGAGAAACAGTATATTTGGTATTAAACAAATAATCTTGACATCATGCTCACTGAATTGATGCCCCCTCCCCAAAATAAATCCCTCATTAATTTGTTGTTTTCAACTCATAACTCACACAACTATCTTTAAACCTCTGTATCTATATTTAGTTTGTAGGGTACACACTTATATAATGATGTCTTTCTTCTGATTAGGCACTTAAATTAGCTGTATTTAATGGAATAATGATATTAAATAACTTTGTAAATCAAAAGGTGAAAATATATGCCTAGAATAAATTATCAAGACTTTGTCCAGTATAATGAGTGGTGATTATTTTCCAGTATACTCTTCAATTTATTACTGTAATAATCTTTTAAACCCATTAACAGTCAATTTGCTCTGTGATATTAAAATGTTAGCCACATTATTTGCCTGTTAATGTAGGTTAAATGTTAATTATGCTGTTGTATGGCGGCTAAGATGGTACATCCAGAAATTACACATAATATTGGTTGGTTCTTTGGCCGTCATACACTAATGTGCTTCATTATTATTGTGCTAATTTTAGTAATTTTAGTACAAACTACATAATACTCTGTGTTACTAAAACAGAACTACCCATGATATATTGCTTGCAACCAAACATTAGGCAATTTTGGCCCCATCATTTAGGAGTAGTTTACATGACTAAACAAGTAATGATTCTGTAACTCTCAAACTTGCATTTAGTGTATTTAGAATGAATTGCTTAGTATATTTTAAATATTTGTAGATCAAAATGTAATCCCTTTTAAAACAAATGTAAGTCATGCTTTTTAAGCTAAATGTACATTTAAACTTCATTAGTGTAGTGATTATAAATACAGCTATGATTATTCCTCCAGTTGTACTAATAATAGAATGGCATATCAACCTTCTCCCTGGGTCCAGTTTTATTACTCCTCATTCTACTCTTACAACTATTTTAAAATAATACTTAGCAGTATTTTGAGAAATAGGGTTTGTTTTAGTAAACTATCACTGTGTAACTTGCTGTCACAAACTTAGTGGCTTAAAACCACACTCATTTATTATTTTACATTTCTGTAGGTAAGAAGTTTAGGCTCAGCTACCTTTCTGCAGTAGGTTCACATTCCCGGAATCAAGGTGTTGGCCTTTCTAGAAATTCTACGGATGAATCTGCTTTTTAGCTCATCCAGGTTGTTGCAGGAATTCAGTGTTCTACAGTTGCAGGACTGAGATTCCCATCTTCTTGGTAGCTGTGGGCTGGGGTTAGTTCTCACCTTCTAGTGGCTGCCTGCATTCCTCATCGGATACCCACTTCCTCCATTTTCAAAGCCGGCAAAACGATCAAGTCCTTTTCAATCTTCGAATCTCTCTTAATCCCTTTCTCCTTTGTCCTTTCTCCCTTCTGGCAGAGAAGTTTCTCTCTTCTTAAGGGCCCATGTTATTAGATTGGGCCTACCTGTATAATTCAAGGAAATCTTCTTATTTTAAGGTCAGCTGGTAAGTAACCTTAATTCCAACTGCAGAGTCCCTTCACAGTAGTACCTGAGGGAGTAAATGTGGGAAAGAAATCTCCCAGCGATATCTTTGGAATTCTGCTTTCCACAGTGTTGTTGTTTGATTAGAAATTTAGAGTAATGTAACCTGAGAGAGCCCACTCAGGAGAAGTTCCATTTAAGTTTAGTTCTCAGTGACACAAGGAATCATGGAAAGATCTGGAGAAAACCAGAAAAAGACCATGCTAATTGCAAGTACACCATAAAGCTGTAAGGTTCATATTTGATTTATTCAAAGGTTCATAAAGCAAAATAGATACCACTACTAACCAAAACAATACGAATTAAATACCTCGCGTTCCAGACCTGAAATATTATAATATATATAAATAAATAAGCAGACATCATAATTTGCGCTTCCATGTTCTTAAAACATTTTTGTAGCAATTTTCCCTCTTTCCTTCCCTCTTACCGTATAATTCCCATCAGCATAGGACTATAATGTTTATTTCTGCCAGAAAAAAATAGAAGAATCTATAGTGTGTCATATCTCCCCTTATCTCTCCCTATCTATATTTTCTGCTCATAATTTGTATTTTTTTCTTAAGCCACGTCTAAAATTCAGCTCCTTTTCCCCCAAATATTCTATGCAAACTGCCCTTACGACCCACGGTGACTTTCACATTACTAATTATGATGGCCTTGTTAGAGTATTGATCTAAATAGACCCCAAATTAGGATTTGACACAGATGGTCACACTGTCATCATTGATATACTTTCTTCACTAGGCTTCCAGAACAATCAGCCTTGCATTGTTTTTCTCCTGTCTGCCTGGAAGCTCCTTCTCTCATGTATGTGTTAATTTCACCTTCTTGCCCAAATCCTTTTCTTTAGAGTGCTCCAGCTCAGGGTTTTTAGACCTCATTTTCTATCTTAAAGTACTTTCTAGGTGATCTCATCATTTCTCATGGATTTCACTACCGTCTCTAGCTTTACTCCTAAGAGTTCTACTTTTCTTCCTAAAAACTGCTCCACCCACACTTTTCTGCTCAACTAAGCCCAGGATTTTTGATTTTATACACCTTTTTTTCCTCTAATCCCTTTCCTGTGGTGAGAAAAGCTTTTACCAGACAGGGGTCCTGATCCAGATCCCAAGAGAGGGTTCTTGGATCTTGAGCAAGAACGAATTCAGGGAGAGTCCATACAGTGAAGTGAAAACAAGTTTATTAAGAAAGTAAAGGCTTTTAAAGAACGGCTACTCCACAGACAGGGCAGCCCCAAGGTCAGCTGGTTGCCCATTTTTATGGTTATTTCTTGATTATATGCTAAACAAGGGGTGGATTATTCATCCTCCCCTTTTTAGACCATGTAGGGTAACTTCCTGATGTTGCCACAGCATCTGTAAACTTTCATGGCGCTGGTGCGAGTATAACAGTGAGAACCACCAGAGGTCACTCTCATCACCATCTTGGTTTTGATGGGTTGGGACTGCCTTCTTTACCACAAGCTGTTTTATCAGCAAGGTCCTTCTGACCTTGGGTCGACCTCCTATCTCATCCTGTGACTTAGAATGACTAACTGTATGGGAATACAGCCCGGTAAGTTTCAGCCTTATTTTGCCCAGCTCCTATTCAAGATGGAGTTGCTCTTGTTCACACGCCTCTGACAAAGCTATTTGTTCTATTTTCAGAATATGTCCAGATTGCGTTCATTTCCTTTGCCACTGCCTAAAGTCAAGCAAGCACTATCTGTCACCTGAATTATGGCAAACCCCTCCTAACAAGTCTCCCTAATCCTGCCCTTGCCTTCAGGTATCAGTGCCCACCACAGCTCTGACCTCTCTCCTGTTAGTCTCTCCCCAGGGCTAAGTCCTCATTATCTTCCTTGCTTTTTCTTACAGATGCATCACCTGTTGGCTCTGCTTCATTATCTTTTCCAACAGATATTCATTTGTCTGGCTCTCTCACTTTCTTCACTTCTTCTCCCGAAAAGCTTCTTCTCGGAGAGGCCTTTCTTTACATTGCAATCCCCGCCTGCACCTGAGGTTTTGTATTCCTGTTTCCTGCCTTGCTTCTTCTTCTCACTTACCTAACATCAGCCTAGCCTCTAAATTCTGTGTGAGAAGGTATTTTTGTCTGCTTTTTTCTCACTGCCAGTGCTAGATGAGAGCCTTGAATATAATAGGTGGTCAATAAATAATACTGAGAAAAAAAGAATAAAACATGAAAGTACATTGATAGATGGTATGTTTTGGTGCTGGCTATAACATTTTGAGGTAGATAGTACAGGTATTATTTTCTTTATTTTCCAAATGAAGGCAATTATACATCTTGCCCAGGGTCACAAAACTAGTTAAGTATCAAAGATTAAACCAAAACTCAATTCTCTTGACTCCTAACCCGGTTTCCATTCCACTACAATAGGTGCTAAAAATACAATGTTGTCTGTTCTTGGGAGCTACAGTACAGCATCCCTCAAGAACCTGGAAATAAAGAAATAAGATTGCCTTCTGAGAGTCACACTATGAAATCGACGTGTAATGAGTCACTTACCTTAAAGAGCTAGAAATGCTTTTAAGCCAAAGGGACCATTACTGATTAAATGGTTTAACATTTCCAAAGAAAGAACATTTTAATAAGAAAAGGCAGACATAGAGGCACTTCAAGAGGATACTCCAAAGCGAAAGTTGGGCACGTGAATCCTAGGGGCTGGAGTCTAAGCCAGTGAATTATGAGAATTCCAGAACTTCCTGGGTTCACAGATACATCAGACTCTGTTAGTTAATGACAATAAACATTGGATTCATCTGACCAACTCACTTTTTTTCAGAGAGGCCTTTCTTTGTCACCCCACTTTATATTGCAATCGTGATCACAAAACAGCCTTATGATTAATAATTAATTTTCCATGCAGCTCTGCCTGTCTATAGAAGAAAAATCCCTTCTAATATGTACTTCCAGCAGTCTGGTCCCGATGTTAGTTATTTCTTATTGAAAGTTAGTTGACCTTCTGATTGCAGTATGGCTTTTGTAAAGCTTACTTTTGGAAGAAAAGACATCCTGATTTCACTGACACCTGTACGTCCCTGCGATTGGTACATTAAAAAAAAATATATATATGTACACACACACATTCATATATATATAATATATATATATACATATGCCGTGTGCAGTGGCTCATGCCTGTAATCTCAGCACTTTGGGAGACTGAGGCAGGAGGATCGCTTGAGCCCAGGAGTTCAAGACCAGCCTGGGCAACATAGCTATTAACCCAGGTAATTTTGGGAGGCTGAGGTGGGAGGATTGCTTGAGCCCAGGAGGTTGAGGCTGCAGTGAGCCGTGATAGTGTCTCTGCACTCCAGCTTGGGTGACAATGTGGGACCCTGTCTTGAAGTAAATATACACTGAATTGTGATTTTATGTATCAATCTCCCTTACTTGGTTAATTGAATGTGAGTCTCTTCTGCACCTCCCTCACTTCCACTGAATATGGAGATGCTCTTAACATTTCAGTGTGAAACAAAATCAACCACTCCAGAACTTCCTAGTATCATTCTGTACTCGAAGTGCTGCACAAAAGCAGGCTCTGAAGGAGGCTCCTAAATTAGAGACGAAGGACAGACTTTTTTTTCTTGTATAGAGTCTTAACAGAAGGTGTCAGGTGAAATTCAGCATTTTAGGGAATAGTGGGTCAAGGATAATTCTGGGTTTTCATAGAAGGAAGGAATCCTCTTGCAGAGTAGCTGCCATTGTTTTGGCAACTTAGATTTTTATCAAGAGGCAATGGGAGGGGCACTTGTCGTTAAGGTCACTTGCAAGAGGAAGCCCAGAGGAACAGCTACACGGAACTGGACACAAGAGAGGCCCAGAAGAGGAGTCTCAGTCTTTGGTTGTCTCTCAACAGAAGCAAATTAGGTTTCTAAATCAGCCAGCCAGAGAACTAAACACACACTTGGTGGCTTTCTGATTTATCAAGCACAGCTGGTCACAAATTATTTTTAATGCTTGCATGTATGCATTTCTATATGTGTCAATAAGTTATGCTTTGGTGGTTTCTCCCTTTTAAAGTCTTGAATAATAGTTAACAAAGCACTCAGGGAAAATATTTTATTTCTAGCAAGAAAGCTTCCTTCCTTCCTATTTGTTTGTTTTACTCCTGACTTGTCTTTTTAAATTATTTCACCTTGGAAGATAAATCTTAGGGAAGTTTATTGTGACAACCTCAAAATTCTGTTGTACTATAGTCAGATCTCGAATAAATAATTAATTTTAGGGAAAAAAAAGAGCGACATAAACATATCAAAACATACTGGCATTGTGATGGCATAAGAACACCTGAATTTAAGTCTGAGAGTTAACAATTCCTCTTTAACATCAAGATATCACTCAGTTACCACAGAAATGAAAAATGAGCCATTGAAGGTGAATAGACAATGAGTGGCATGACTTTTATGTTGGGCAGGAAACAAATTATGATGGCAGGTGAAGATATTGATCATGAGAATGAGAAAGGGTAGCTCCAAGCCCAGGAACTGGGATCGGCAAAAATGAAGGAAAAAACTGAGATAAAGGGTTCCTTGGTTGAGAATCGTAAGGTGCCTCACTACAGTCACCAGGTATATTTTCCCTTAACAAAGTGGCAGAGTCATCTACGTTGAAATACAAGGAGGTACCTCCTTAGACATCAAGAAGGTCTCATTTATCAGCAAGTAGAATGGAGGATCATTGTCATAATTAACCAGGTTCTCTAATCAGCCTAAAGCTGTTGAGAGTGAATTAGGAAGCACTTGTTATATTAACATTCTAAGTGGAAAGAGCACAACAATATAATCTGGGGTCTCCAACAATAAGAGTCGCAGGTTTTTTTGTCCTTGCGATAGGACAAAAAACCAAACACCTCATGTTCTCACTCATAGGTGAGAAGTGAACAATGAGAACACATGGACACAGGAAGGGGAACATCATACTCTGGGGACTGTTGTGGAGTGGGGGCAGGGGGGAGGGTGAGCATTAGGAGATATACCTAATGCTAAATGACGAGTTAATGGGTGCAGCACATCAACATGGAACATGCATACATATGTAACAAACCTGCACATTGTGCACATGTACCCTAGAACTTAAAGTATAATAATAATAAAATTAAAAAAAAAAAGAGTCGCAGGTATCAGCATTTTACTCTAGCATTCTAGAGGACCTTATTTTAAACTCGGTGCAAACCACTACAGAAACACATAATGAATGATTTATGCTCTCTCTTTTTTTTTCTGAAAAAAAAATAAAAATAAAAAAAGGCCTAGGATTTGAACATGTAGGCAGGAGTGACTATAGAAGTGTTGTCAAAACTCTTGACTCCAGGAGTAATGACAAGGGCTTCTTTACAATTCGTGCATCATTCTATTTCGTGGAAGATATTCTCATGCAGGTGGTCTGACATCCTGTGTCTATACACAGCAGCATCAGCCCAGAGAGAGACATCAGTTTTTACACAAAACAGCGATATTTTTTTTTCCCAGAGTCTAAAGTCAATGACATCCTGATGGGAGAATTGCAAGGCTACGACATGCTTTTCTTGTTCATTTGGTAAGCCATGAAGAAATTAGAACATGATTTTTTTTTTCCAATAGAAGAAAACTATGACACAGAATGAATAGTCTCAAAAAAGTTCAAAACTTTTGTTTTGTAAAAAATGGTCATATTATTGTCTTCATCTTAGTTTTTTGCCTTCACCTTATTTTTCGGAGTGTTCAACCTTAGCAACATCAAAGTCATCAACTGAAAAGTCACCAGTGGGAATGAAGTCTTTCTATTGAGTTGATCTTCTGTTAGTTCACTGTAGACCCCAGATGTGGGAAGTTACTTCTCTCTGTGACAAGACGGCTAGAGAGAGCATTCAGGAAAATGCAGATGGCGAGTATTTCTTGATTTAAACAGCTCATTTCACATGGTCCATCACATAATCCTTTTAAATAAAGTAGTTTGTCTCAATAGACTTATTAATCTTATTGGTCATGTGCTACCTGTGTTTGATTGAATCTCAGTGTTTACAACTTATCCACAGAATTATTTTTAGAATTGTTCTTTTAAATTCTATGATGAAGGAATAAATTCTTAATGGCTTAAACTTTTTCATAGTTTAAAAATTTATTTTTAAAAATGTTACTCTTACAACCAACCCCCTTTATGAACCTGGTGCTCAAATGAATATTGTAACTTTGTAGTCTCTCTAAGAAGTTTTCAAAGCTGTACATTGAACCAGATGATATATTTCTGCGATGTGGGCCACCCAAACATTTGGGGTGCTGTCAATAGTGTAAAAGATTTGAGCAATTACTGCTACTTCTAAAAAGGTGAATTATATCACCGTTCCTTGTTTTAGATAAAGCATAGTTGGAATTTCTTGACATGATTGAGGACCAAGGAGAGCTTTGGTCAAATCTATTTTATTTGAATCAAGATAGGGAGTTCTGAAACAAAAATGTTCAAAGGATAAACGTACTTGGTATCTAATTAGTCAGTATGCCTCAAAATAGTTCTTGCATACCTAGGGAACCTTTTTTTTTGAGATGGAGTCTCTCTCTGTTGCCCAGGTTGGAGCACAGTGGCATGACCTTGGCTCACTGCAACCTCCGCCTCCTGGGTTCAGGCAATTCTCCTGCCTCAGCCTCCCGAGTAGCTGGGACTATAGGCATGCACCACCATGCCCGGCTAATTTTTGTACTTTTAGTAGAGATGGGGTTTCACCATGTTGGCCAGGCTGGTCTCAAACTCCTGGCCTCAAGTGATCTGCCTGCCTTGGCCTCCCAAAGTGCTGGGATTATAGGTGTGAGCCACAGCACCTGGCCGGGAACCTTTAGAAAAAAAATTAGTAATTATTAATACTGCTCAGAACATGCAATGGAAAATATTGATGTAGATCTTCTGAAATCTCTTCTTGGATTAAACTCTAAGAATAGAAAATGTGTAAATGAATTACATTAATTACCGCTTCTTCCCACCACTGCTCCTTCAACTCCATACCCTGAATTGTTTTTACTGAATTGCACTTTGAAATTATGCCCTTGGGCCACATTGAGGATCTTTAGAAAAAAACAGCCCTGAGAAACTCATTACTTTATTTACTGTAAGATGTTGTTTGAGGATGTTGTTCTCTGCCTTGCCATTTGGACACCTTTTGAGAACCCCCAGAAGAGATAGATCTCAAAGGGCAATACCAGGAATAGTCTTCTATTTCCTGAACAAGTAGTTGTTGGTCTCATGGACACTGACAATTACAATTTTTTTTTCTTTTCCAGTTTACACTGGAGTCCAGATAATACAGATCAACCTAGAGCACATCTCTACCCTTAGTACAGAATATTGCAGAATTTTTTCTCCTGGTCTCACTGCAGTTTCATTTCATTGTTCCTTTGTTAATTTTCCTTTGCCTTGATGCACTTGTTGACTTAATTTTATTTCGCGGCATGAATTTGCATCATGAATTTGCATCTAAAGTCTGGAAAAAGAGTGTAAACAACCAAATTGCCTTTATAATGTGAGTGAGACCAAGGCACCTCTGGGAAACCAAAGGCCTAGTCTTAGATGAAGAATTTGGGGAAAGATTGTCAACTGAAATGTCCATATTTTCATGAAGTCTCTCAGTGTGGAAGTTCAGTAGAATTAAGGTGTTATCTGAATCAGAATCCCTGGAAACAACACCTGAGCATAGGTATTTTTTTGAATTATAACATGTAAAATTAAAAGATGGCATTTCTGGCATGGAAAAGAGCAAGTTCAAATGACCTGAAAAGGGAAAAAGCTTGGCATGGTTTGGAAAGAGTGAAAAGTCACACATGGCTGGGACAGAACGAGTGAAAGGGAAAGGTTTGGGAGATAAAGTTGAGAAGTAGACAGGCCAGATGTCAGGCAGAGCCTTACAAACCATAATAAGACGTTGCATCCCATTTCAAACACGCTAGAAATACCGAAGGTTTCTTTGTTAAGTCAAGTTTGTTGAAGTAGAATTGATATACAGTAAAATTTACTTTTTTAGCATAAAGTTCTGTGGGTTTTGATAAGCACATGGAGTCAGGTAAGCATCTCTACAACCAAAACACAAAACATTTCTCTCACTCCAAAGAGTTCTATCACATACCTTTATGATCAACCCTTCCTCCCATCCCCATACCCTAGGAGCTCTATCACATACCTTTATGATCAACCCTTCCTCCCATCCCCTTACCCCAGGAGCTCTATCACATACCTTTATGATCAACCCTTCTTCCCATCTGCATACCCTAGGAGTTTGGCTCTGCTTTCTCTTGTATAGTTTTGCCTTTTCCAGAATATCTTATAAATTAGATCATACAATCTGTAGCCCTCTGAGTCTGGCTTCTTGCACTTAGCAAAATGCATTTGCTATTCATTCATGCTAGTGTGTGTACACCAAGAGTTTTGAGTGGGGGAATGATACAAACTGCTTTGAGTTTTATAGAAATAACTCCTTTGCTGTGGTAATTGTGGGAGTGGGGTTGTGAAGAGGTGATTGTAGCAGGTGAAATTAAGGGAGAGGATAGGTCACAGCAGGAAGGTGCTGAGATGCGGATTCAGGAAATATGGTGAAGGCTTATCTATCATGAGTGCTAGTGATGCAGATATGAGTAGGACAGATAATTTTCTACTTAGGAAAAATAATTTCAAAACATTTAATACTAAAAAACAATGAAAGTACTAAAAGGATTCATAGGAAAGTTTAATATAATTTTAGATTGAAGAAAAACTTATTCATCAAAACAAAACATAACAAAACGTGGAGAAAAATTACAATATGAAAAAGTTAAATTTGCATAAGGTGAAGGACACCATAATCAAAACTGTAAAAGTAGTGTCAGCCAGGGAGAAACATTAATAGCATATATAACCAAGTATTGATGTACACACTGTATAATGAGCAGCTATCAATCTCTGAGACAGATAATCCAAAAAAAAAAAAATGGGTAAAGTGGAGAAGACAATTAACTGAAGAAATATAGATGTCCAATATACATATAAAAATATGCTTATTCTCGTTACTTTTTGATTCAGCAATTCCACATCTGGCAATCCATTCTATGGTAATACTTATGTATGTGGGCATAGATTGTTTTGCATCAATAGGGAAATAAATATGTAAATGTTGGTTTATTGGCATAATAAAATATTATGCAACCATTAAGAAGAATGAGCTAGATCTGTATTAAAAGAATGAGCTAGATCTCAGTTAAAAGAGTGAGCTAGATCATGGAAAGTTCTATGTTAAATGAAAAAGTTACAAAACAATTTGTTCAGCATGATTCTACTGATAGCTAAATAAAAAGAAAAGCACATTAGTGACTATGTGTGCATGAGAGAGAGAGAGGGAGAATGAAAGAGAGAGACAGAAAGAAAGAAGGGAAGGAGAGACAGAGAGAGAGTAAGAGAGACTAAATTCAGAGAAAAACAACTGTATGCACATCAAATGGCCAACAGGTTAATAGCAGTTCATATTCACAGAGGATCTTAGAATTGGGTTGGGTATGTAGACGAAAAGAAATACATTTTTCTTACCCATCCCTGGGTTCATGACTGAGGCCTCTATAACAAAAGGCAGATTAATAGAAAAACTTGCAAATTGATTTAGCATAAGTTTTACATGATATGAGAACTTTTGAAATGAAAACGCAATTTATATATTGTTTTGGGGAAATACCCATTAGTAAACGGTTAAAATATGCAAGGAATGATACCATACAGTCTCAGGAAAGTGGTTAATTCAGGGGGAGATGGCAAAGTTGGGCTTCGTTTCTATAATTTTTGACTATTAAAAAATATAAAGTATATATGACACGATATTTAATGTTTGGTGATCTAGATGATTGAAATATGTGGACATATTATTTTCTGTTTCCTGATGGTTTGAAGTTTTTGTTATTAAAAATACAGAGAATATTTTGCTTAGATGATGACTAAAGAAGACATTATGGAGTAACATGAGGAAATATATTAAATATTGCCTAAAATAGGGGAAGGAAGAAGTGTTTAGTTTGGAACAGGGTGCTACCGTTGTGACCTTTCTTGGATTATTATAATACAAACAGTAACTTGCATCTGTTGAGAAGTTATTGTGTACCAGATACTTTGCAAGGGCCTTTCGTGTATTTTATCATTTAATCCTCACAACAGCTGTTAGGTGATGCTATGGCTTGAGTGTGTCACCCAAAGTTCATGTGATGGAAACTTAATCCCCAATGCAACAGTGTTGAGAGGTAGGACCTTTATGAGATGCTTCTCATTTCTCTAGCAAAAGACTCTGCCCTCTGAATGGATTAATACAGTTATTGCAGGAGTGGGTTCCTTATCTCATGGGAGTTAAGTTCCTGATGAAAGGATGAGTTCGGCTGGCCCCTTTCCCTCTCTCCCTCTGTCCTGAGTATTCTCTCTCCCTGTCATGCCTTCCACCGTGTTATGATGCAGCAAGAAGGTCCACAACAGACGCAGCCCTTCTATCCTGGACTTTCCAGCTACCAGAAGTGTAAGAAATAAATTTCTGATTTTTATACATTACCCAGTCTCAGGTATTCTATCATAGCAACACAAAGCAGACTAAGACAGCCTGTATCATAGATGTAGAAAATGGACATAGATTGGTTTTGAATCTTATTCATGGTCACCCAGCAGTTAAGTGACAGAATCAAGATTTTAACCAAAGCCTTCTGACTCCCTTAAAAGCTTGTAACTCCAAACTTCCATGTTCTGTAATAAATAGCATTTTTCTGTTGAGAAAGGAAATGTGGAAGAGACTGGTCCTAGCCTTAAATCAGTTGGGTTATTAGGAAATAAAGTAGGGAAATGGAAAGTAAAGTTTAAGGGATAGAAGAAAAAAGGTTTGGGCTAAAAACTACCTTTCCCTATGGAAATAAAATGACTAGAGAATTAAACCTTGAAAGATCCATAAGGATTGGTGTAAAATTCTTGTCTTTTCACTTTTGAACTGGTAGTTCAAGCATAAGAAAGAAACAGTGTCTTCTCAGGAAGATCCTGTTTAAAATGTGTTCCTCGTTGGAAATGCTAAAGGGTACACAGGTTTATTGGTTTGCAAGGGCTGTTGTAACCAAATGCTACAACCTGGGTATTTGGTTACAACCAACACAGAGTTTTTGTTGCAAACTGTCATAAATTGTCAGAATAATTCTGGAGTCTAGAAGTTTGAAATCAAAATGTCAGCAGGGCCATGTTCTCTTGGAGACTCTAGGTAGACTCTTTCCATGCCTTTTCCTAGCTTCTGGTGGTGGCTGTCAATCCTTGTCCCTCAACTTGCCGGGGTTAGAACTCCAGTTCCTTCCTCTGTTCTCTCATTCTTTCTTTGTTTCTTTCCATTGACTTTTTATAACAACACTGCTTAGATTAGATTGAGTGCACCTTACTCCGATGTGACATCATCATAACTAATTTTATCTGCGACAAACTTATTTCCAAATAAAGTCACATTCTGAGCTACTGAGAATTAGGACTTCAACATGTCTTTCTGTGGGACACAATTCAACCCATAACAACAGGAAAAACACAATAAGGCAATCATTATAAGTTTTATGTTTCATTCTTGAACTTGGTAGATATTGAGCATTTAAAATAAATTAAAATATGTTAAATGTATAAATAACTATGAGTATATATCCACGTGCATCTACGCAGGCCATGTTTTATTTCTAAATAGTACATCATTTAAGTGTTTAGCAATTTGTATTATGTACTGAGATTTTATATCTAGATAACAATGTATTTAGAAAGAGATTTTTAAATATCACCCCAATAAAGAAACCAGTGGAAGAAAACTGTATTAAGTTTCCTCCAATTCCTTATTTAGAAGAGCATATAGTATTCAAGTCAAATAAGTTGTTGAATAAATGACCTTTTGGTAAGGTAAATTATTATAGTAGGTCTGCAAGATGAGCACAGTCATTGTAGGAAAATCTGTTGCTGAGTATGCTTTGTGTTCTTTTTCATTTAGTTGTTCTGTTTGGTTTTGCTTTATTTTCTTCTCTGACTGAAAGCCTTAACAGAAACAAAAGTGTTTCTCTCATGTGAAATGATTAGCTCTCTTTCTCACCCTGACTTCCTGTCCCGACTTGAATAGAAAGCAATGCATGAGTATCTAAATAGGAATCAAATGTTCTTTGACAAAGATGCAAAAGAAACAAGAAAACAACTGGATTTTATTCGTTTCTCAGGGACACGTTCACTGAACTGCAAAAGCCAAAACACCTGGGAAAATCTGCCTAGGCAGGCAGGGCTGTGACCAGTAATGGAAAATGCATCTCTGTGTGGGCTTAGAGGGCTGGGAACTATCATAGACTGTGGCTGGAGTGTGATCAAGTAAGATTCAAAAGAGAGAGATTATTTCAGAACCATATAGCATAAAACTGAAACGCAGAGAACAGATAAATGTATGTGTCTGTCCTTTTAGGCAGAAAGCATCCGTTTTGAAAAAACATTTACCTGTGCTGATTTGAAGATTTCAATATGTGCCTTTCCAGAGTACTTGCAATCATCATTGTGTAGTGAGCCTTCAAAAATGAAGGCTTGCTGAAGAACACCATTACCTGTGAGTCTGAGTGTGTTGTGGGTTGGGTCATCCACCAGAGCAGATAGGGTAGAGAGGGCATCTGTAGACCACTAAGTAAAAGAAAACATCTGAAATACCACCTTCTTTATTCAGCCCTTTGGTTTGTTTGTTTGAAATGAGGTCTCGCCCTTTCACTCAGGTTGGAGTGCAGTGGCTTGATAACAGCTCAGTGCAGCCTCAAACTCCTGGGCTCAAGTGATCCTCTCACCTCAGCCTCCCAAGTAGCTGGGACTGCAGACACATGCCACCACACTCACCAAATATTTTTATCGTTTATTTTCTGTAGAGACTGGGTTTGACTCTCTTGCCCAGAGTGATGTTGAACTCCTGGGCTCAAGTGATCTACCAAAGTGATCCAGCCTTTCAGTGCCAGGATTTCAGGCATGAGCCACTGTGCCCAACCTCAGCCCTCTAATCAAAGAAATAGTAAGCTGCATAGATGCCAAGTGTAGAAGTTGAAGTACTAAATCTCTGCTGTGTTCCAGCATTGCTAGGGATGAAATCCCCTAAGTTTATTTAGCACTTAAAATAATACTCTCTAGTATCCAAGGGCCTGACCACTTCTTTATCAGTCACCACATGCAGGAAGCAGTGTCAGGGCCGGCGGGGAGTGCTTAAATATTCTATTTGCAAATGCTCTAAGTTGCAACAGTTAGAATGTAATGCAACCCCCCCCCCAAATTTAGAAGCCCAGGAGGGATTTATTCTACCCATAAGTAGCAATGAATTTGACACTTGAAGAAAGTTATTGTGTATAAATCAAAAATTCAGTGATTATAAATTTTGAATTTTTGTTTGAGATGAAGGGTGGAGAGGAAAGGTGGGAGTAGGTAAAAATAAATCCATCGAGGTAATTGAAGTCAATGAACTTTGTCAGTCAGTATCTATTATCATAAAATGCTATAACTGTCACCTTGGGCTTATACAGATAATGAGGACTATCTGTGTTTTACCAATAAATTTCTTTGTGTTGGTTTAGCACAAGCCTTATACAAGCACTGAAAATGCTAGGAGTAATTTTTTTTCTTTTCCAGTTGACTTTTTTTTTTTTAACAAAACTGTAACATGTGGTTTGCAATTAGCTTTAATTTCAAACTAAACATATTTTAAGAAGCCAAGTAGTTTTTATGCATACAAAGTTTCAGGATTCCTCTCCTCTCTGACTTTTTAAGCAAATTGCTGTGTCTGGGCCCCATCTCCACATTTTCACAACTTAATTCTTAGCACTTTCATCTGACCACATTCTATATTTTGGGAAGCATCCAAAGGTTTTCTTAGGGACTTGAGGTGGGTGCTAAAATATTTTTGTTTGCATTTTTTTTTTCTGGCTACATTAGTTTCTTGTTGGTAGTGAGTGATTTTTCTTAATTTGGTGATTTTCTTATATTAAGATTATGACTTTTTAAATTGCATAGGCAAAAATTATTAGTTTAAAATTCCAGATCTCTTCATTTCTATCAGGCATATCTATTGGTAATTTTATCAATGTTTATGCTCATGCCTAGTTAGTACTTCAATTAGCAAATTAATTGTACTTTTCATAAAATACCTTTTTAAAGTAAGGTTGCCAGATTAAATGCAGTTTGCCCAGTTAAATTTGAAGTTCAGATAAACAACAAATAGTTTTGTTCCAGTTAAATTTGAATTTCAGATAAGAGCAAATCGTTTTGTTTTGTTTTCAGACATACTTTTTCACATAGTAAGTACCTATACAAAAAAGTATTTGTTATTCATCTGAAATCCAAATTTCACTATTTTTTTCTTTGTTATTTATTTGTATATTTATTTTATTTTTGTCTGGAAATCCTACTATAAAGAAAGAAGTATAGGAAAATTTATTGGTTAAAAACATGTTATATATCAAGCTATCTGTCTTAGTTGGTTCAGGTTGCTATAAGAAAGACCTTAGGCTGAGTAATTTAGACAGAATCTATTTCTCACAGTTCTGGGTGCTGGGACCTCCAAGATCAAGGTGCCAGCAGATTCAGTGTCTGGTGAGGGTCTCTCCTTCAAAGTTGGCACCTTCTATATTTCCTCACATAGTGGAAAGGAGGGTCAAGCTGCCCTGGGCCTCTTTTATAAGGACACCCATTCCATTTATGAGGATGGAGCTCTTATGACGTAAACACCCTTGGCCCCGACCTCTTAGTACTATAGCAGTGGGGATTAAGTTTCCAACTGGAATTTTGGAGGGACATGAACATTCAGACTGTAGTATTATCTCTAAAAATGTGTGTAATTGACTCAGTTACATTTCAATGATTAGAGAGGGAAGGGTAAATCCAAATTTAAGATCTTGTTAACTTTGATTCATTAATTCATTTTACAAATGTTCACCGAATGCCTAAAATGTCAGGTCCTAAGGGATGAGCAAAACAAACTTAATTCTTGCCTTAATGATATTTATAACTTAACGGAGAAGAACATTAACCAAATAATCTCACAAATACATGGTAAACTGTAATAAATACAATAATGGGGAAGGATGACATTCATACATATAGGGGAATGTGTTGGAAAGGGAAAGTCAGGCAAGATTTCCCTGAAGAAGTGAAATTTGAATTGTTAAAGAAAACAATCAGTCAATGATACTTGTTAAAGCACAGTGAGGCTGACTTTAGTCAGGTCTATTGCAATAGACATAGGGACCATGAAAATGGGATTTTGCAATGGGGGAGAGAAATTGAACGAAACTCCAAATATAGCATGCACAAGTGGGAATTTATAGCCAAGAAGTAGAGTGGGGGTCAGTGGATGGAAAATTGCTAAGAGGAAGCATCTGGAGTAAGAAAGATTCAAACTAAACCAACCAAACATGAATCTTGCTGAAGACAGAACAGAGTGATTAGGTATCATCTGGGGGATGGTGGAGGATGAAGAACCTGCTCATATATTGAGAGTGATCAGGTATCTGTGGTGGAGGATTCTTGCTAAACTGACTTAGCAGGGTTCTTGCTAAAACTGGATTTTACAAGGAAGCACACAGGAGAGCTTAGGAGAAGGAGGCTGACTGAATTTTGGTTAAGCAAAGGATAATTGTCAGAACTAAAACTAAAGCCCCAGTGGGACTAAATTAGGCAAAGAAGAGTGTATCAGTCTGTTCTCACACTGCTAATTAAGACATACCCAAGACTGGGTAATTTATAAAGGAAAGAGGATTAATTGACTCCCAGTTCACATGGCTAGGGAGGCCTCACAATCATGGTGGAAGGCAAATAAGGAGCAAAGTCACATCTTACATGGTGGCAGGCAAGGCGGTGCGTTGAGAGGAACTCCTTTTTATAAAACCATCAGATCTTGTGAGACTTATTCATTATCAGGAGAACAGCACAGGAAAAAGATGCCCCCAAGATTCAATTACCTCCCACCGGGTCCCTCCCACAACATGTGGGAATTGCAGGAGCTACAATTCAAGATGAGATTTGGGTGGGGACACAGTCAAACCATATCAAACAGGTAGAGGAAAGGAAGTGAATTTATACATAGATGAGGCATCAAGAACAAAAGAATTGAAAGTATGTGTCAGGTTGAACCCAGTGAGCATAGAAAGTGTTACTAAAAATTCTGCAAAGGAAGTCTAACCAGATCAAGCATGACTCAGCAAGCTATTTCAATTTTGATACTAAAACTCAATGGAAAGATCTACCAAGGTTTTAAAAGACTAGTAAGATTTGCATTTGAAAAGATGAATCTAGCTGCTCAAAAGCAAGAAGATTATTGTTGAAGGCACCATTTATAAACCATTTCCTGGTGGCCTGTATATTCTTGTAGCAAAAAGAAAATGATAGCTCAATGTATATCAGATATTGGCAAACTTTTTCCATAAGGGGTCAGATAGTAAATGTTTCAGGATTTGCAGGCCATACGATCTCTGTTGCAAGTTAATAACAGAAAGGTATAACAAATTAATCAAAGATTTATGTGACCCAAGAGCCTTCAAAAATGAAGACCCAAAGATGTAGGGAAAGCTATCTGTTTTTCTGCTAAGTTTAGCGTAGAATGGACAGCCGTCTAGAAATGCGACTGGACAAAAGGATATGATTTGCTGACAATAGACTGAGAGTGTGGCAAACCGAGCCAGGCTGTCCAGACACTTCTTGGTCTCTCTGTGTAACATTTCTTCCTCCCTGGTATAGGGCACAGCCCCACTGGAATGAGGGTCTTCAAGGAAGAAGGGAGAAGGGAGAGAGTAACCTTTCAGAAGTTTTATGACTTGCTGTGGGAAGAGAGGGATTCAAGTGTCTATGACCTGCCTTGGAGAAGACGAATTTTATTTCCTATGAACTCACTATGGGGGAGAAAGGGGAGCAGAAGACAGGGGGCTGGGAGAAGGGCAGACAGAGGCTTTGCTTTGAGGGCTTCTAATTTCCTTTAGTTCAAAGTCCTTGGGATGCCAAAGCATTATATTTTGGAGTATTCTCTTCTAAGCCACAACAAACTAAAAAAATGAAAATCATTTTATCTTAATACAAGGTATATGAGGCAATTGAAGCCAGCAGGGGCTGACATCTTCTATAATGCTTAATTGCTAAAGTCTTTCCAGTGCTTCTCCATTCTGGGTAGATCTTAAATTATCTTCACTTTTCTTCCCTGCTATATGTCTTATTTTCTGATATATTTGTTTATCTACTGGTGATTATCAGCTCTGCTCCCTATCACCACTTGTTGAACTATATTCTCCATGATTTTTAATATTATCTAGTGTGGTGCCTCCCAGGCAATGTTCATGACCTCACAAATGGGTCACTTGTTAGCCTTGGGGCACCAGGGCAGAGTTTGATGAGGCTTTGGATGGGCTGGCCACAGTGATCATATATAGCTAAAAGTGGCCTCTTTCATTATTCTTGACAGTATGAGTGTATTACTATTTTCTCTCTATGCCTTGACTTGGAAAAATTTGGAAAACCCTGATCAACTGTAACGGAAAGAGTCAGTAACAGGCATATCAGAGGTTCTCTGGTTAAGGAAGTAGATATTGAAAAGAGAACCATTTTGGGGTCAGAACACTGGTTCTCATATACCAGCTGATATAACCTTGGGCAAATAGTTTCTCTAAGCTCAACTGACTAATTTGTAAAAAGAGAATAATAGTAGTTGAACATAAGAAGTAACTGTTATGCTTTTTTTGAGAGTATTTAATTAGATAATACTTTTAACTTCTAGCATGGTGTTGAGAGGAAAACTTTCTCTGTCCCAACTTAGGTGTGTGTGATGGGAGAGGAGAATGTGAATCAATTGACAACAGATAGATTAATAGGAGAAAAGTTTTAATTCATATGCATGCAGGAGGCAGGAGCAGTGAGTAACCTTGCTGAATAGCCAAGGATAAGCAGTATACCTAGTTAATGTCAGGAGTTCGAGACCAGCCTGGCCAACATGGTGAAAACCTGTCTCCACTAAAAATACAAAAATTAGCAAGGCATGGTGGTGCATGCCTGTAATCCTAGCTACTCAGGAGGCTGAGGCAGGAGAATTGCTTGAACCCAGGAGGAGGAGGTTGCAGTGAGCTGAGATTGCACCACTGCACTCCAGCCTGCTGGGTGACAGAGTGAGACTCCATCTCAGGAAAAAAAAAAAAAAAAAGAAAGAAAAAGAAGAGGTTCTAAGACTTCAGTGGGAAAGTATGGAAGGTTCTACTGTTTTTTGTTTGTTTGTTTTCATCCTGATGCTAATGGAGTTTTCTTCTTGACTGAAAGCTCCACTGAAGGAGGGTTTATGGCAGCTGAATTTGTACATCCTTGTGTTAAGGATCTGTCTTCTCTCAAGCAGGAAACACCCTCAGAGGGGAGTTACTGACAGCTATTTTTTTGGGAGGCTCTGCTTGAATTTAGATAAGAATTTTTTTTCTTGTTGCTGCAGTTAGTTCAGATGTTTTCAGTTTAAAGTAACATTTACACCAGTCTGGTAGATTATTGGTCCCTTCAGAAGCGATAGTATACCCTTGTCTAAGTCACTGTTCTATTCCTACAACTAGACTCAAAAGAATTGTCTTACCTTAGAAAGATTCATCACTTTGTGTAACACTCACTTTGTGTACCACCAGTTAAGTTCAGCAGAAGACTTAGGTGTAGAAAGGTATTTCAGATTTCTTGGCAAACCGTTCACATAGCTGGTAACAAAGTGCATCATGAATTGTGAATCACTTTCACATTTTTGTGCTGATAAGAGGACCTCTCATGGTATAGCCCAGAGTAAACTAACATGCATGACGTGATTTATTCTAACCAACCCGATGAAATGCAGATGTGAATGGAAGCTCTAGGCAAAATATTACATGGTGTATTTCACTGAAGAGGAGAAAAATGTATTGACTAGCAAAATTTTAAATATCTGAAACCCAAGGTGGTGGTAAGGACTAGAAAAATTATTTTGATTGCAGAAAAATGTTTTTTTCTCCATTTCTTTTTAAAGAAAAATTCAGCATCAAAAGCAGATATCGCAGGAATCAGTCCTAATGATTATATTCTCCTATTGTTATAACAACTGAAATGAGAACACAACCTAAATGAATTTTTCTGTTGAGTTTGTAAAAAGAAGTACATGTTACATTAAATTCACTCATCCATGCATGGATCTTTAGAAAGAAATAGTTTGAAAAAATTTCAAGTCTTTTAGAGAATGTGACTAATCTGGTCTGGGTATTTCTGGTCAGGGTGCATCTTCTCTGCTACAGACAATTCTTGTGTCTACTCAAAATCCATGTGTTGAAACCTATTCCTCAATTTGATAGTATTAGGAGGTGGGACTTTCGGGAAATGATTATAAGAGTGAGGCTCTCATGAAGGGAATTAGTGCCCTTAGAAAGGAGGGCCCAGAGAGATTCTCTGTGCCATCAGCCATATGAGGACTCTGAGAAGACGGCCTGTAGGAACCAGAAAGCAGGCCCTCTCCAGACACCAAATCTGCCTGCACATTGATCTTGGATTTGCTAGCCTCTCAAATTGTGAAAAATAAATTTCTAGGGTTCATAAGTGTCTCAGTCTGTTTATGTTGCTATAAAGGTATGCCTGAGGCTGAGTAATTTATAAATAAAAAAATTTGATTTGGCTCATAGTTCTGAAGGCTGTACAAGAAGCATGATGCCAACATTTGCCTCTGATAAGGGCATCAGTCTGCTTCCACTTATGGCAGAAGGCAATGGGGAACCAGTGTAGAGGTCACATGGCCAGAGAGGAAGTGAGAGTGAGAGAGAGAAAGAGACAGAGAGAGAGATACAGAGAGATACAGAGAGAGAAAGAGAGGAGGGAGGTGCCAGGCTCTTTTTAACTACTAGTTCTTTCAGGAATTAATAGTGAGAACTCTCACAGCACCCCCCCGACACTCACAGTCCCCTGGAATTAATCTGTGCATGAAGGGACCACCTCCATTAGGCCCCACTTCAAACACTGGGGATCAGATTTCAACAGGAAATTTGAAGAGGATAAACATTCAAATTGTAGCAATACATTGCACTGTAAGTTGTATTGTGTTATGACAGCTCAAACAGATTTAGACACTCACTTTGAAACCCTTTGCCTGAACCTTTTGTGTCATAATCCTGCTGCTACTGTTGATGTTGTACACATACCACTCATTGGAACTGCAAGACCACCAGGTTACCGTATGATCATATTTTTATGTGAATATATATATTAAAAACCTTTAAGCCAGAGATATGCACATAACTCTTATTGAAATTATGATTAAGCAAAGTGAAAAGGTGATAGTCCTAAGTATCCTTTTTCTAAGGAAATGATTAGAGTATTGCTTTACAGCTGTTGACTTTGCAAGTGTCCTTGGAGTACGGCATTCCTTCCACTCTCCCCTTCCCAACCCCCGACCCAGTAGTTAATGGTGGGCTTCTAGTACACACGCTGAGAATCATCTCCCACTTTGGAAATGATGATAACTCAGAATGGATCATAACCGGACTCGCGATAGTTTTCATAGACAGGTAATAAAAAGAAGACATTCAACATGAAAAATTAAAGGTGTTACGAAGATGCCAAGAGATATATTCTTCATTTTATTGTAGAATTATCAGAAGGAGATGAAGAGTTCCAACCTTTAAGAGCAGGCAACAGTAATTTTCCGTGGTTCTGTGGGACACCTTATGCTTAGCAATGAAAGTGTGTAATAAACTCTCTGGATGAAATATTACCGCTAGCTTCCAGAACTTTATTCTGTTTATCCTCTCCATGGGATTCTGCTATAATGTTAACTCTTAGAATGCTAAGATTTGCCAATGTCTGACACTTCCAGTTCATCAGTTGTGGTTCTTTATGTGAATATTTGACTAGAGAGCTTCAGAATGTTATAACATTCTTTAATGGAAAGGGAAAATTAGTTTTCGGATGTGAGTTTCGTTTTATGGAAAACTAAATTTTCTTCCATCTAAGAATTTTAACTTATGAAATTATAGGAGACAAGAAGTATGTTTTTTATAAATAGTGGAGTGTTTCTAGTGTCATCTGCCTTGTCTGAATTTTCACATCAAGTAAACATTTTCTTAGAGCATTTATGAATCATGAAACAGTGTTTGTCTATTAAACAGATTCTGGTCATAAGTTTTTCAAGGGCTTAATTTATAATTCTCTCCAGCACCTTGATTCTTTATGCTTTGTCTGTATTAAATTTCCATCATCTTTTTCCTTTTTTCTTATTGAAATTATTTGGGGGTCAAATACATTCATTTTTTTGTTATTTTAATAAAGAAAACCGAAGCTATGCATCCAAGAGCACATAAGAAATTTATTATTCATGAATATACATTTATATGTGCAAATGTATGTATAATAGACTTAATACGTGCTTGTATCATTGAAAAACTTTGTTACTAACAGGCTTTGGGAATCATGTCTGTGACATGAAGTTGAAACAAGACAAAAAAACTTGAGCACCAAATTTGCTCATTGGTGGTTTAGCAACTGTGTAGAATTTCAAGGATTATGTCCTCATTAGCTGATACTGCTCTAGATGTACTATATTTAATGTTATACTTTTCTGAATATACTAATGTTCAAAAAAGAATACAATTAAAATATTAGTTAATATGCCCACTTCAGGTGCAAACACATTTTACATGTGTCTCCGCACAATTCCTTGTTTATGTGTGCATTTTAATGGTTTATTTAGATCTTATGTTCTGTATCTTTTGTGATATTCTCAGTACATTTAGCTACTTAAATTTGAAATGTGAAAATTATTCTTTCCTTCCTAAATTGATCTCTAATATGATAGAAAATTTTTAGTGCTTACTATAAACGTCAAAGTTGGGTATTTATCTTTTATTTGACAAAATTCATATATATGAATACATGCATAGTATAACCTTTAGTCAGTGAACACCCATAAAGTCACCTTACTTGAGTTAATTAATTCGAAAATTATGCATTCACTACTTACGGGGGTGTTAAAATTTTATCTTGCGGTGGGGTTGCAAACTCTCACTGCAAATCCCTTAAACATTGGCAAATTACAGTTTCACATATAAGAGATAGAACTAGTATCCTGTTCATTCAAGAAAAGCCAGTTAGAGCAATGTTGTCTAAGGTGGCCTCTTGATCGTGGCCAAAGCTGTCCTGGGACTAGAGTGAAGCAGGTGAAGTGCCCGGGGTGTGCTTCACACTCTTCAGTCTCCCAAGTGCCCATCCTGTTCTTGAACAACCCTGAAAGTTGTTCAAGTGAGGTGCCTTGGGGGCAAAATTTAATGAAGTCCTCACTCTCAGGATCATGCATCTGTCCCCTGAATTTTGTACTTGCTACACAATTGTCTAGGTCCTGGACTGTAGCAGGTTTCACAAAAATGTGTACAGGGTGCCCCTCCTGTGTCACTGAGCTGCAGCCAGAGGCAGTGTATGCATGCAGAAATGAATGACAGTCTCTTGGAAACCAAGCGATAATCTTGTATAATGTTGAGTGATGCTAGCAGGTATGTGGATGTAGGCCATAACTGAGCACTTCTGAGGCAAGTTGCATACTTACCTGAAAGTGCGGACCCTTTTTTGGTAGCTGCATTTTTGTAATTATTGGATCCCATAGAACCATGCTCACTTGTGAGAAATAAGGGGATAATTTGTGCTCCCAATTAAAGTTTTTTGGACTCTTGATGTTGATTCCCTGCAAGAGGATACTGGAACTTGCATTGGAGAGGCTGAGTTAGGGTTTTATGGATAGACTTAAGCCAAAGGCAATATGAAATTGTCCAAATGGTGTAGGGTTCTCTTTGTCCCAAGAGTTATATTCTTGCAAGGAGTTATTCACTGGCCTATGTGTGAATGAAAATATGGCCATCTATAGTTAATGTATTGGGCTTTAGTGTTAGGAGACAGTGATATTTGAAAAGTCATCCACACATAGTGAAACCATTAATAATCAAGATCTAATGAATAAACTCAGCCATCTGCAGAGCCTCCTAAAACACTGTGTTTAAATACATTGTAGATGCAACAAGAGTGATGCAAGTCAGATTTAGAAGACCAGGCTGTTTTCCAGAAAGCTGTAATGCTCTGAAATGTATTGTAATGTTTCTGAAATAATGGTTGGATTGTTATAACAAAAGTGTGATGGTTTGAAAAAGGCACAAAAAGGGGAACGAAAATTTAAAATTGCTAGTGCATATCCAGGAACTGGTATGGGTTGTGGTTCTTGATCTAGATAAGTGCTTTGCTCTCCTTAGATAGTTCTAGCCTTTGTATATCAAAGGTAATAGTCATACTACATTGCTTGAAACGGAATTCACATTTTGATACATCTCACCTTACATTGGAGTCTCCTTAGTAGCGTAAATGAACCTGATCATCTCTCAGTATATTGATGAATACAATTCCTGTACATGCTAAAATGAGGGCTCCGATTTTGACTTGGTGTTGAAGTCCCTTCTTAGTTGCCACTCTCTCTCATTCTTTTTCTGGTGCTGCAGCTTTTTGCTGCCTCCTTCTTCCCTGGGCTTGTGGCAGCAGGTCGAGTGTATTGGGTTATCCAGTGGGCTGATTCCAATTTAGATCCTGTGGAAGACTGTGCTTTAGAGGAGGGATCAGCAAACCACGGCCACATGCCAGGTCTGGCCCACTGCCATTTTTTGGTATGACTCGTGAGCTAAGAATGGTTTTTCCGGTTTTAAATAACTGAATAAAACTTTAAAGAAGAATAATATTGTAGGACACATGAAAACTTGATGAAAGGCAAGTGTCAGTGTCCACAAAGTTTTATCAGAACACAGCCACACTCACTTATTTTTTGTACTACCACAGTGGAGGTGAGCAGAGACAGAGTTGATAACAAGAGACCGCATTACCCACAAATCGTAAAATATTTACTCTCTAGACTTTTACAGATCTCTGCCCTAGATAGTCCAGGGAAATGAGCTGAAAGTTTCCATAAAAGCTCTGACGTCTTTGCAGTTGTCGTATAGTTCGGTCTTCAAGGGGTGGAAAGTTGTGTTGTGGAAGTGCATCCTGGAAAAAGAGCGGATATGAGAAGGAAAGCAAAGGGAATGAAGGTGGTGATATTATTTTTTTCTGGTTTATATTGACAATCTTGAAACTGAATCAAGAATCAAACTTCTAAATTCAGATTCATTTAACAATTCTTAAAAATGCTTTATGTTCCAGGGATCAAGGTTGGTGATTTATGAGAAAACAAGAACACTAGCCCATTCACAAAAGTCATCTCAAAACATAATTATGCACTTTTCTGAATGATTGCTTAACTGTTTCAATTAGTATGTCTCCTCTACAAGTAGTGCTCTTTATAGGGTAAATTTAAAATCTCTACATTCAAAGTCTTTATCCTCTTTCTATGTTTCTTCTCTCTTCTCCGTTCTCCTGCCTCCCTTCTCCCTTTACATCTCTATCTACACTAGGTGTGAAACACTGGACAAGTTACTTAAGTTCTCATTTACTCTCATTATAAATGAGAACTTACATACTAGGGCCTTACTTACATACAAGGGCTATTTTAGAAACGTTAAATAAGAGGATCTGTAGTACTCAGCATACACATAAGTAACACAGGCAAATTTTGATTCTTATAATGTGAGTTTTCTTATGAAACTAAGAAGAAAGTGATTCAGAAGTGCTACATTAATAAGAAAAAATAGAAGTTCAAAATACATTTACTGTTCTATAGCTACATAACACTTTATTCTTGTGAAAGTTTAAGAATGACCTGCTAAGTATTTCAGTTATCAAACCTAATATATGCTGGGCCATTTGGGTCATGATTTTTATCCGGGACCAGGCATGTGTTACCGTTAAACACTTTCATTCATCATTTACTAGCTAACAGCTAAACAAAACTAGTTGTGTAATGCGAAATCACTAAATTGCTGCAGTAGTCACTTGTAATGAATAACAGAATATTACACTGCCAATAATTACAGGTGATTAATATTTTCTGGTCAGTTTCCATTCCAGGATTTGAGTTATGTGGATAACTGGAACATTCCACCTTTTATGAGTGACAAAATCTTAATCCACATCAAGAGTTCTGTATTGTCCTGTGAATATCTAAAGCTAAAGAAAGAATTTAGAGACTGTAAACTACATTGAAGGAGATTTTAAAAAGGGGGAGAAAGGGAAAGAGAAGGAAGGAGGGAGAGAGTGAAGATGTGAGAGAGTAAAGGCAGGGGAAAGGAGGGAGGGAGCAAGAAAAGAAAAAGGAAAAGCATTATTAAAAAGTGTCCGGTTTAGGCATAGTCAATTCTTATATCAGGAAGAGGATATTAAACGGAAAAGAGATGCATAAATCAATATCGTCTCTATTTTGAGGGCTATTAAAATAATCCTTAAGTTTCTTTCCATTTCTGACTTTGATGCTAAGATTGCTCTCCAAATATTATATTTTTCATTATATTCTATGCCATTTATAGTTTGTAGGAGAGAAGGAAATAAATGATGAGGTCCCATACTAAAGCTGAAAATTTTTAATCTCTCAGACAACAGATAATCATGTCACCGTGCATAAAACATAACCATCAGTAGTAAATGTATAAAACTGAGTTGCTTAAAGTCATAGAATAATTGCTTCTACCAACTTTGTAAGAAAGAGTATACTATTTTTGCATAAAATGTAAATTAAAGTTGAAATATTATCTGTGTTGAATGGAAGTATACAATTCTTTCTCGGTACAGGGAATCAGTAGAGCCTTACAGGAGGATCTTCCATGTTGCTTTTAGTTTGGGTGAAAACTGTTATCACTGGATTTGCATTAAATGAAGTTCCTTCCTCTTAAGATAGGATGATTGGCAGGGATTAAGGCTTTATTACTACAAGATTTCTAAGCCAAGCTTCTCTTTTTCATGAATAATACCTACCCCCTTATTTATTCATGGTATTTTTGACAGCTGACAGTTCAGGAAGTATATGTGCTTCTGTATTAACTATTAAAGCTCTCTGTTTACATATGGGTGGAGATGGCTGGTACATTTCCACTTACTCCACCAGGTATGTTAAAATCATAAGTGAGGAAAAAATTATATAATAAAATAAATTTTATAATAAAATAATTAAAATTATTATAAAATAATTAAAATATAATATTTTAAAATTATTATAAAAGTTATAAAATTATTATAAAAATTATTATAAAATTATTATTAAAATTATATAAAATATTATATTTTAAAATTATTATATAATAAAATAATTAAAATATTACAATAAAATAAAGCAAGACATGTGGAAGTATTAGAGGGAAATATCCAGAGATTATCAAGCCATATTTAGTTGCACCTTTTCTCGTGGTATTCCATTTCAGTGATTTTAAAAAATATATCAATGATGAGTCAACTAGATACAAATGTTATTACTTCTGGAATTCACTTTGGCCTTGTTGAACTGAAATAGTTCTATGTAAATGTATATCTGTCTGTCTATCTAATTTGCTTAGTTTTACTTCTATAATACAAGATTTGACCTTTATTTTTCCATTTATTAATATCATATTTCCATGGTAGGTCTTCCTAGAGTATAAAGAAATCAAGTTTCTCAAAAATAATAGTGTTAATATCAAAATTGCGAGTGAGTACAAAGAGCATCATGCCAAGTGAATGGCTTATCTCCAGAAAAGCTGCGTCCTGGTGAAAAGGGGAACTGAGCAAAATGCACATTTTGATTGTGTGTATCAGATAAATTATAGCTGCCAGCAATCCTCTCTATAGGGAGAAAATTCACAGGATGGGTTTATCCAAAGGAAGGAAAAAGGGTCATCTCCCCTACCTTGCTCTTGTCTGAGCCTGCAGTTGCTGTTTTCATTCACTCCCACAGGGGTGATTATAGAGCAGCCTCAACACCAAAGCAGGCAAAAAAAAAAAAAAAAAATGTTGGCGGGGCGCGATGGCTCGTGCCTGTAATCCTAGCACTTTGGGAGGGAGAGGCGGGGAGGATCACCTGAGGTCAGGAGTTCAAGACCAGCCTGGACATGGTGAAACCCCATCACTACTAAAAATAAAAAAATTGGCCAGGTGTGGTGGCGGGTGCCTGTAATCCCAGCTACTGGGGATGCTGAGGCAGGAGAATTGCTGGAACCTGGGAGGCGGAGCTTGCAGTGAGCTGAGATCGCACCACTGCACTCCAGCCCAGGCCGACAACAGCGAGACTCCATCAAAAAAAAAAAAAAAAAAAAAAAAAAAAAAAAAAGCTGGACTAAAGAAAAAAACAAACTACAACCTGAATACAGTCTTTAAAATTATTAGGCCAGTCTTAGTTTTTTTGGTGTTTTCAACAAAAATATCCTGAACCATTAAATCTGGGTTTGAGTCAAGAATGAAATAATAAGTTGAAGTGACTAGACTAAGTTCAGTGAAGGAAAGGAATTGAGAGATTTTTCTTAGGAAATAGATAACTGTTGACAAGTAAATAGTTATTAAAAATATATGTCACTGCAGTGTCAGCCACTTATTTATTTTTAATTAAGGATCTGTTGACCTTTTTGGCCTTAAATAATTGTGTTAAATAGAAAATATTGCCATTTAAACTTCTGTGTAGATTACTGTTAACTATAATTTAGGAATATGCTTCCTTAAAGTTTTTGTAAGTTTATTTTCTGGATCATTTCTCAATGACTTGATTCTTAATTTGGTCTAAGTGCTATTTTCTGATGCTTTTATAGAGTTTACCATGTTGGTTTAAAATATACTTTGCTGCCAGTTTACTAAGAGAGTAGCTGAGATGTACTGACTGAATTACTCTTAGTTGCTTGTATCCTAATTATAGAATTCTTTACTAATCCAAAAGTAATTCAGCAAAAATACTTGACTCAGTAAATTCTTATTTTAATCCTTGTATTTTACTATAAAAAGATATTTTAAAATATTT
Source organism: Homo sapiens (assembly GCF_000001405.40). Lineage (NCBI taxonomy): Eukaryota > Metazoa > Chordata > Mammalia > Primates > Hominidae > Homo > Homo sapiens. Next base: position 77,374,882 of record NC_000003.12, read on the forward strand.
CTTTGAGACAGACTTTTCTTTCAGTACAATAAGATATATGAATGGTGCTGGGCATGCTGGCTCATACCTGTAATCCCGGCGCTTTGGAAGGCTGAAGTGAGAGGATTGCTTGAGGCCAGGAGTTTGAGGTCAGCCTGGGCAACATAGCAAGACCCTGTCTCTACAAAAAGTTTTTGAAAAATGAGCCAGGTATGGTTGCAACTGCCTGTAGCCCTAGCAATTCAGGAAGCCAAGGTGGGAGGATCATTTGAGGCCAGGAGTTCAAGGTTCCAGTGAGCTATGATTGTGCTACTGTACCCCAGCCTGGGAAACAGAGCAAGACCTTGTCTCTAACAAAGATATATGAATGGAATTAAAATGTTTTCTTGGAGCCTCTTGTCATTGATTTAGAAAGTCTATTTAACCTCTGTTCGGTTCCCAATGACAATAGAATGTCTTTCTTTTCTCATTTATTTTTTCTGTCGTATCATGCAGCTCTCACAGAAATAAAGACAGAACATTAAACAGGTGTACCTTTTAAATTCTAAGATTGTAATTTTATTATTGAATAGAACTTCACTTTTAGTGCTTTCCAAATGATGGTGCCTATTTGATTTCCTTTAAATTCTTCTCTTTACACATGACGATTTCACTTGTGTTGACTAGTAATCTTTGGTTTAACCCTTCCGCACTTTTTGTTAAGTCTAAAGTTTAACCCTTTAGACTTTCTTTACTATGAAACTATCTAAACTAGAAACATACTAGGGTTCAAGTTAAGATAATGAAGAGTCATCTGGTATTAATGGGAAACAGGAGTATGTAAAACCCGAGGTTCTCAACTGTTTTCTTCCTTTCATTCTAGGACAAACATTGATGTGTGAGATATCCCCATGCATTTGAGAACCTTTGCATAGACTGTACTGCAGCCCTACCCCTTTCCCACAACTGTTCACTGCTCACACTTTCTCACCCTTCAGCACACACATAGAAAAAATAGTACTGAAGTGCTCAGTAGTAGTTAAGAGTGAAATTACCGATGATTTCAGTACTGCATTTTAGCCAGAAAAGTCTAAGGTAGGCCTAGGAAGCCAATTCAGACCAAGAGATCCCTTTCTCAAGTAGGTCATGTTTGTGCCTTGAGTTTCTATGGCTCTTTGGCATCCATTGTGAGCGAGATGGACACAGTCCAGGAAATATCCCTAAGGAATAGCTACTGGTAGCAGATCCCATTATCAATACAGTTGTACTATAAAAGGCAAAGGCAAATGAACATTACAATAGGCATTTAACTTTCTTTTTTTTTTTTTTTTTTTTGACAGAGTCTCATTCTGTCACCCAGGCTGGAGTGCACCAGTACAATCTCTGCTCACTGCAACCTCCGCCTCCCAGGTTCAAGCGATTCTCCTGCCTCAGCCTCCTGAGTAGCAGGTATTACAGGCCTGCACCAGTACACCTGGCTAATTTTTTTTGTATTTTTAGTAGAGACAGGGTTTCACCATGTTAGACAATCTGGTCTCGAACTCCTGACCTCAAGTGATCCACCCACCTCAGCCTCCCAAAGTGCTGTGATTACAGACGTGAGCCACCGCACCCAGCTTAACTTTCATTTTTTAAAAATTTATGTCAACAAGCTAAAATTCCTCTTGATTTTGCATTACAGTTAAAATATCACAAGGTATCATTGAAGAAGTTTAGGTGCTCAGTTCCTAAAGGCCCTTATAAAGTCACTTTCCTAGAAGCCGTTCCCTTTTCTCCCTAGGTTGGTTGCATATCCTTCTTGTATATGCTTAGAAAGTCCAGCATTTAACATGCCTAGATCTTGCTGAATGTTAATTACCTGCATATTTTAAGCATCTTTTACCCCTGCATCCTCCATTAGACCGCAAGTCCATTGACAGTATGTACTCAACACTAGCAGAGGGCTGGGCTCAAGTTCTGAAACATGTGTGACTTTGGATATCATAATATCCAATGACCACCCACTTGCCATTTCTACCCTTTCTATTATTCAATTGGTATAATTCTGACTAGCAGAAGTATTTTAATTCAAATACCATCATTTTCTGAAAATAATCATGCTACATCTATGACAAAGTGTCACCTAAAATTATTTCCTCATTCTCATTAAGTAGAAATTCCTAGGCCAGGTTTATTTATTTGTAAATCTCATAAGTTTGGATTTAACAGTTCTTGTTTATTAAAATCAATTATGTGGTGATTTGTGAGTTTGACCAAAAGCTGATTTCCCTACTTTATTTTAGAAATTTATATCTTCAGTCTATACTGTTTTTATATTTGGATATAAAATAAATTTACATTATTCAAAAACATAAAATTCAAAAGTATAAAGGAATAAAATTCAAAATTCAAATATAAATGAATAAGCAATAAAAATTATCTTGTTCCCCTAGCCCATCCATTGCTCTTTCCAATGGCAACTGATGTTGTAGTTTCTTGGTTATTCCTCCTAAAATATTTTGTGAAATACACCAACAAATTCATATACTGTGTAAAAGGTACATTAGTTTATTCCCTTTGAAAAACAAATATTGATATACTATACAATTTTTTGTCCTTGAAATTTTTATATAACATATTACAGTGATCTTAATCCATACAAGAGAACATCCTCATTCACTTTATAACTAGATAAGCATTCTATTACATCTTGTATACAAGTTGAGTTTTGTTCGTTGTGTTTCATTTATGGGATACAAATCCAGCAGGAATTTACACACAAGTCAATAATGTCCCCAAGACCATATGAAAGATATGAGACCTCGATCCTTGGCAGGACTGACTGTCCATTGTACCATGTTGTTAAAGTGACTGAAGGTTATTGACTTACTGCAATAGGAGTTAGATATCTGATTTAGTTGAGTATATCCATTTCAAAAGGAAAACCCAGGACTTTTGGTGTTTAATCATTTTGTGAACCTTACCTTAACCCTTTCCCATTAGATTGGACATAAACAATGCTTAATATCAGTGACTAATGGTATTAGTTCTTCAGCCTGGCGGCCAAACAGAGCAGTTCAGAACTAATCAGCAAGATACAATCAGATAGATGCCAGAGGTGAGGGATAATTTTTATTTTCTCTGTTCTGACTCTCTGGAGTTTCCTCTTTGCAGTAATTTAGGTCATGTCTATATTTACTGGATGAAAGATTTATCTGTTGAATTCTTTAAATGGTGGCACCAACTAAATCTAGTTCTTTGCAACAGACTTTAGAAAGATTAATATGTTCTATGCTTTCTAAAAAAGGTAGTATAGATAAGACTTGTCCCTTTTTATTTGAAGTTAGAATGAAAGTAACATTTTTGAAAATTACCATTGTCTTATTGAAACTCAATAGGTAAGTATCGTTCTCCCTAACTTGAAGGTTCAGCTAATATTTTGTTGAGAACTTGCACTTTGCCAGGTACTATTTTAAGAGCCCTACCTGTATTAACTCTTTGAGTTCCTATAAGGTAGGTGATGATGTTATCCCCATTTTATAGAATGGGGGAACTGAGAAGCAGAGAACTTAAGGACTTGCTCAAGAAAACAGCAGAACTAAGATATTGTAAAGCCAGAATTAGAAGCAAATAAATAACAACAAACAGGACATTTGGCTCCAGTGTCATTACTTTCTATGGCTAAATTTATGCGACTTCTCAGAGGAAACTCTAGTTCCAGAAGCTCAAAGTCATGTACCTGCAAAGTGGTAAAGCCAGGATTTGAACCCAAATCTGACATCAAACTCTGTAGTTTTATTCACTGTATAAATAGAGAGATATGATTAAATATATGTATTGATATATAAATATAGGTAAATATATTTGAAATAGGCTATGTGATTTTGAAGTGGGTGAATTTTCTCTTGTGCCGTCTCTGAACCGGTGTTAGATTTCTTGAACTGTTTTATGATTCCATGCTATGGTTAACTATGCAATTACTTCTGCATAGATGCCCGAAAAAATCTTTACTTAAGATCCATTCAATTCGTGTTTCTTCGGTAAAGTCTTCCCTGGCCATGCTTTCCCCAACCCGGCATGCGTAACAAGTCAAGATTATCAGTCACTCCTTGATGTCACTTCTGTGTCTTCTTTTTTTTTTTTTTGGAGATGGAGTTTCGCTCTTGTTGCCCAGGCTGGAGTGCAATGGCGTGATCTCGGCTCGCTGCAACCTCTGCCTCCCAGGTTCAAGCGATTCTCCTGTCTCAGCCTCTCGAGTAGCTGGGATTACAGGCACATGCCACCACGCCCAGCTAAGTTTTGTATTTTTAGTAGAGACGGGTTTTCACCATGTTGGTCAGGTTTGTCTCGAACTCCTGACCTAGTGATCCACCTGCCTCGGCCTCCCCAAGTGCTGGGATTACAGGCGTGAGCCACAACGCCCAGCAACTTCTGTATCTTTTTACATAACTTAGTTAAGGTACTTACCAATACATGCATGCCTTTTGTTAATCTGCAATACCTTTATATAAAATATGGTGACTTAATTTTGTATCCAAAGTATGTTACATGCTATCTGACTCCTGGTATGCACTCAATTAAAAAATGTAGGAAGTCTCTGTGAATGTATTCTGGTTCGAGGGTTGCCTGATTAAAAAAAAAAATTAAAAGTCAATGACTCTGACACCATCCTACATTTGTCTAACTTAATACGTCAGTAGCTGTAATGAATTAGAGCTCTATAACTTGAAGAAATGTGATATTGTTTGATAAAGTAAATATAGAATAAAATCTTTGTACGTCGTTTGTTCAGATGAACATTTTAAAAATAATAAATGACGTTTATCCTTTGTCCCCATGTGTGAATCAAGTCTGTGATATCTCTAAACTCTGGTACTCTGAAATATCTCTTCCTGACCTGCTACTTCACTTCAATACACTCCTTCACTCCCGCAGAGCTTGCTCTTAGCTTCAGCAGGATCTCTTCCTGTTCCATCCAGATGCCCTTTCCTAGCCTTGGTGCTCCCACTCATCTTCTAAATGACAGCCAGCTCAGACTCCATTCACCTTTCTAGTTCCCCCGAGAGAGTCTCAATCCCATGTCAACTCAGTTGTTAGCTTTCACCCTGCACCTCTCAGCTCACTGCATACAGGCGGAGCATCTGTCTTTTTATCCCCAGGGAGAAGCAAAGGTATTTGGATTGCCCTAAAACACTCAGGGAGGACTTAACGGATAGTCACTTCTAAAGCACTCTTTCTGTTCCAACCCTTTCACTGTGTGCCTCTGTGCAGTAGAGAAGTGAGTCTACTAATATTAATGTGTGAAACAAGGAACACTTATCAAAGTAGCTGCCATCAGTGAGCCACCTGAAGTGGAATTTTATTTGTCTTGTACTCAGCACCAAAGCAGAATATCTTGCTTTTTTTGGAAGAAATCAAAATAACACAGATTTTACTTTGGAAGATGAAACACACTAGCATGTCTCATCTGTTCCTTCTTGATGATCTGTCCTCCTGGAAGTATGACAGTGTTGACGTAGATGTACTGAGTTCATGGAACACAAGCCTATTATCGTTCCTCTCTGTCATATGGAAAGAGGAGAACTGAGAGATTGAGAAAAAAGTTAAAACACAGAGGACCCAAGTGTAACGTCATGTTAAAACATTTTTGAAATTATGCAAAGAGAAATAACTATCAAAGGAGAAGAATGAAAATCAATGAGTAACAATTAAAAGACGGGATTTTTTTTAGAATTCAAAAATTAATAGAATTGGTAGTGCTTTATTTTCTTATACAACATTTATTTAGTGATATCTAAACGTTCTTTGGCTAAAGTGCACCTTCTTTTTTTCTCCCTCTTCCCTCCCTCCCTCTCTCCCTCCTTCCCTCCCTCCCTCCTTCCCTCCCTTCCTTCCTTCCTTCCCTCCTTCCTTCCATCATCACAGGTGTGAGTGTTACAGAGATTATCTCAATGGTTAATCTGTATAAAGATGAATATTTCCTTTATTTCTCTCCGCTGATTAGCGCTGTCTCAAATGGCAAATGTTTTAAACCCTGATCTTTTGATGCACTTCCTGCAGCCTCACCCCACCCCCAAACTCAAAGAGAGTAAAATCACAGTGTTCCTTTCTCTTTCTCCCCGTGAAACTGGCAAATCCCCACCACTACCCTTGCTACCCCACCCATCACCATTCATTTCTAAAGCAGACATTTAGAATAATCAGGACAGCATTTTGGCAGGGCGCAGTGGCTCACGCCTGTAATCCCAGCACTTTGGGAGGCCTAGGCGGGGGGATCACGAGGTCAGGAGATCAAGACCATCCTGGCTAACACGGTGAAACCCCGTCTCTACTAAAAATACAAAAAATTAGCTGGACGTGGTGGCACCTGCCTGTTGTCCCAGCTACTCCGGAGGCTGAGGCAGGAGAATTGCTTGAACCCGGGAGGCGGAGGTTGCAATGAGCCGAGATCACGCCACTGCACCCCAGCCTGGGTGACAGAGGGAGACTCCATCTAAAACAAACAAACAAACAAACAAAGACAGGATTCTTACACTTCCTGTTTCCATAGAATCTATAGAAGGTCTAAAGTACCTAGGATGCCGTATTAGTCCACAAAGCCATGATCAGATTTCCAGTCTCTTGAGCCTAGCTTAGATCTTCAGAGGCACAATGCAAGACGGTTTTTAACAGAGAAAATGTGCATGAAGGACCTTTTAAATTATAGCTTCTAAACTTTCAGCATCCCTTCAATGATTTCATACTCTGACTATTTTTGCATCTTCCTGACATTTGCAGTTCCCTTGAGGCATATATTACAGTACACACACTACCCATGGTTAGATAATCACAAGTTTAGATATTTGTGAATGTTTCAGCTGTGAAGAAGAAAAATGACTTCAGGCAAGGGTACTTGTGAACATCATCATTGAAAATCTCAGAAAATTCCATTTGCATATATCCACATATGTGAGCACTTGGTTGATTCTCCTCCTTTACTTTTGCTACTATTTTGTTTTGCTTTAGGTCTTCCTTTCTTTTCATTTATTTTTAAACCAGAGTACATTTATCCTGGACATTTTCTGATGTTTATGGGGGGTGAGGGGCTATGTGAAACTTGATGCCAATTGACATGAAATCTATTTTTCTGAAGAGAAATTTGAGGTATCTAGGAGAATGCATTTTCAATCCCTTCTCACCATTAACGTGTATTAAATGCCCAAGCTAAGTTTGTCCTTGATGTTTGCAGAGAACCTAAAATCTCTGGAGAAATCAGATATTTTAGGGTCATACCAACAAAGGAACACATGAAAATGAAGGTTACTCAGAAACAAGCTTTTTAAAGCTGAGGCATAAATGGCAGAGCTGCCCATTGAGTAAAATGTTCTGCACCGTAAGAGTGAACCGGAAATGGATAGAAAAATAAATTAACATTTAAAATTATACTTTGTGTTTAAGAATTGAGAAAATTTGATAGGCCCTGTAAAAAACACCATTAGAATGAGAACATTCTAAATTACATCGTTGAAATAGTAGAAAACACATGTCCTTTTTTTTTTTTTTTTAAAAAGTCTTTTTTTAGGTGTTTTAAGTAATTCTCTTTTTCTTTTTCTTCTTCTTTTTTGTAATTTCAATAGCTTTTGGGGTACAAGTTGTTTTTGGTTAAATGGTTGAATTGTGTAGCGGCGAATCCTGAGATTTTAGAGCACCTGTCATCTGAGTAGTGTACGTTGAACCCAGTATGTAGTTTTTCTCCTTCACCCCCTTCCCAACCTCTTTCTTCTGAGTCTCCAAAATCCATTTTACCACTCCACTCTGTCTGCCTTTGCATCCCCATAGCTTACCTCCCACTTACAAGTGAGAACATACAGTGTTTGGTTTTTCATTTCTGAGTTACTTCACTTCAAAGAATGGCTTCCGCCTCCATCCATTTGCTGCAAAAGACGCTACTTTGTTCTTTCTTATGGCTGAGTAGTATTCCATGGTGCATATATACCACATTTTCTTTATCCACTCATTAGTCAATAGGCATTTAGGTTGCTTCCATATCTTTGGATTTGTAAATTGTGCTGCAATAAACATATGTGTGCAGGTGTCAAAAAAGATCTATTTGTAATGTTTCATTCCTAGTTGCCAACATGCCAACAAAATACTTTTTTTTAATGACAGAGAACTTAAAATTGATGTTGAATTTCTGTTTTTCTTTTGTTACTTTTTACAAGTATCTGCAAGTTTCTTGCTGCTAGGAAGCATAAAATAGAAACTATTTGCATATGCATTTAAAATAACTTCTGACTTATATCTTATTTTCATTAATAAACTTCAGCTACTTCACTGGAAATAATTTTATTACCACCTTGTATATAGTTGATAAGAAATGAGACTCTAGAACCTCATTAGCATGTTTCCTTAGACACATAATTTAACCTCAATTTTCTCATCTGTAAAATGAAAATAATAATTGTGCTTTAACTCAAAAGCCAAAGTTTAGACACATACTGCACTGTAATAGGCATGATGTTCAATAATGAAATAGCTATTATTATTATTTTGCTATAGAGAAAGATATATAAGTAACATTAAAATTTGGAAACAAGTTTTCCATATTTTCCTATTAATTAAAATATTTATTTTTCTCTTTTATTGTTTTATATATTTTATGCTTTTATGGTCATTGCAGGAATGGAAGTTTAAGGCTCAAACTTGCAATAAGTAGAGCCAGTTTTAATTATTTATGCTGCTGATACTCAAAGTTTAGTTGAAATTTTAACTAGTTTTTGGTTTGTTTAAACTAATTCAAAGTTTAGTTGAAATTTAACTATTTTTTGGTTTGTTTAAGTCCCTAAAGGTAGATATATTGATTTTAACCTAAAAGCTGTTAACTTAGGATTCTACACTTTGCCATGGAGGAAAAGAGGTTGACTAAGTGCCTCCTTTGAGAAACTTAAGATTTAATTAACATTTTTCCTTTCCCTCTGCTTCATCCATACTTCCTTTCAACAAAAGAGATTTTTCATCCTTTATGTACTTTCTAATATTCCATAGAGGTTTATCACTTTAGTTTTCATAAACTTGCAAAGATGATCTCAAATAAACGGCTTCAAAAATAGGACATTAACTGTATGTGTTTAAGGAGGGAAGAGATTGTAGTTAGAATACTTAACTAAATGAGTTCTATCAAACATTGGAGAAGTACTTTAGAAAGAGTTTACTAATTGACAAATGTAAAATATGCCGCCCTGAAAATTTTCAGATGTAGTATGGTGTAAAATATGTTCACAAATAAACCTAAAAAGCATGGTGAGTTTTTTCATATATACTCTTTAAACATTTGGTCATGACAAATCTATGTGATGTTTGGGTGGAGACTAGTGCTCAATTATTTCCCAGAATGCTAAAATCTAAATGTATGCCAACCGAAAGTCTTTAAATCAGATGTTTATTACTTAAAACTGAAATAGGTTAACCTTTCCTAGATGCTCTGATTAAGCTTAGTCCTCAATGACTGATGTACACTGGCTTACACTAAAGTTATTAACCTAAGAATCTTCCCAGCAAGTCCATCTCTTTCTTGATATTATGATCTGTGAAGTTTGAACAAATGTTGTTTTTCTTCAATGTTATTTATCTTTAAAAAAAGTCCAGGAGTAGAAAGTATTCCTGATACTCGATAAACCAGTCCTCTCTGAACAAGGAAATAAATACCTCTCTCCAACTTTTAGAAACAATTGAATGACAGCCTTCTAGTCTCCTATTACTGAGAAGATTATGTGTGGCTTTAAGACACAAATTGTACCTTATTAGTCTATATGGCCCTCTACCCAGTACTTTGCCTGAAATATAAGTGATACTCAATGAACGTCATTTTAACAAATAAGATAATAAATTAATGAGCAGATATAGACCTTTTTAAAACTCATATGACATTTTGCCTGCTCCTTATAGAGTCACAAAGTATATATAAATAAGATGTAATTAGAATTTGTGTTAATGAGAATTTAAAATATTGTGATATAGAAAATGGCTGTAGACTTTATTTACAGACAAGATACTATAAATTTCCCTTCCCCCATTGTTACCTCTAAAAATTTCCATGATTTCAAAGCTGTTGAGTTCATTGAACTGTTAATTCTTCCTCGGAGGCAGTGCAATCTCTGCAAAACAAAAACACTCTGGCTCTGTGGTTTACAATAAACTTCAAATATGAAGGGTTTTTTGTTTGTTTGTTTTGTTTTTGTTTCTGTTTTTGTTTTAGACGGAGTCTCTCTGTTGCCCAGGCTGGAGTGCAGTGGCATGATCTTGGCTCACTGCAACCTCCGCCTCCGGAGTTCAAATAATTGTCCTGCCTCAGCCTCCTGAGTAGCTGGGATTACTGGTGCGCACAACCACACCTGGCTAATTGTTTATATTTTTGGTAGAGAGGAGGTTTCATTATGTTGGCCAGGCTGGTCTCAAACTCCTGACTTCTTGATCCGCCCACCTCGGCTTCCCAAAGTGCTGGGATTACAGGCGTGAGCCACCGCACCTGGCCCAAATATGGAGTTTATTTGCTTGTTTTAAAATATTTATTAGAGAATAATGTGAGTAATTTTAGTCAGTAATGTGCAGTTATTTTAAAATTCAAAATTATTATCATTTAAAATCTTTTCAATATCCCATTGTAATGGTACCCAAGCGACATTTTTGTGTGGTAGTGTATAGATCTAGAACATTTATCTGAAGATAAATAACTTTGAAACAGAGTTTAACAATGATTCAAAGCTTGGGAAAAGCCTAAACATTCATCCTGATATATCCGAGGAAGTCCTTCCTCTAGAAATCTTTTACACCTATTCCTATGGAAAACTTAGCTTGAATTATACAAGTTTTTCATTCTGTGAGGTCTTTGGGATGAATTCCTCAAGTGAAATGAGACACCTCCATTGATAACCCTCTCAGTTACATGAAGTTCCTGCCGCACAGTAAGACATTGTATGTTTTCCTGCCTTAAGTAAAGACACTTTGTTGCAGAATTTAGGTAACTTACTCAAAACCCTCAGACACGTGAGTGACAGAGCCTAGAACACAGTTATCCTAACACTCGATCCAGGAATGTTTCTATCACATCACTTCTAATCCTAAATCTAAAAGTGAAATCTAACAATAGCAACCACCACAAGAAAGAGAAATAAAAACATGAAATATTGTCATGTAAGTCAATTTGTAATGATATTTATGTTTTACTATTCTAATAATAACTAATGCATATTGAGTATTTCCTAATGAAGGTAAAATGCAGGTAATATGCTTAACAGTACATCCACTGCGTACTGTGCTAAGTATTTTACCTGCATTTTATTACTTTATCTTTATGGGAACCATCAGAAGTGCATATTAATATTATCTCATTTTACAAGTGATAAAAATAGGACTTTAAAAAGTTCAATAACTTTCCTAGCTATTAGATGTCCTGACTAGATCTGACTTCAGAGCTTGTTCTTATAACCCATCTATGATTCCAATTTACAGTATCTTCAGGACTAAAGTAAATTGTTAATGTTTAACACTTTAAAAAAAGATACCAGTGGAACACTTGATTTTCTAAAGCACACAGAGAATTTTCTTTTAGCACGTTAGGTATAGAATGTAATACATTTAACTGTAATTCAGACTGTGAAAATTAAATTATAGAAACCTTGTAGCAGCATTTCTTTGAGTGTTACATCAGGTACATTTCAGTTAATATTTGAGGATTACAAGATATTTTATTAAAATATGTTTTTCTAACTGTTAAAACTCAGAGTTAATTATTTTTTCAGCCAGGTAATTTTTTTTTTTTTTTTTGAAATAGAGCCTCGCTCCGTCACCCAGGCTGAAGTGCAATGGTGTGATCTTGTCTCACTGCAACCTCTGCCTCCCAGGTTAAAGTGATTCTCGTGCCTCGGCCTCCGGAGTAGCTGGGATTACAGGCGCCCACCACCACACTAGGCTAATTTTTGTATTTTTGGTAGAGACAAGGTTTCACCAGGTTGGCCAGGCTGGTCTCTAACTTCTGACCTCAGATGACCCACCTGCCTTGGCCTCCCAAAGTGCTGGGATTATAGGCATGAACCACTGCGCCCAGCCGATAATTTTTTTATAAATTAGTTCTGCTTGATCAAACAGGAAAAGCTTGAAGGTCAGAGTTTGAAGTATTTCTGACTTATTTATGAAAATGAGAGAAAAAGAATGCTCTTGTCTTGATGAAAGCCTTATTAAGCCGCTCACATTCCCAAATTTGGGATGTTAGAGTGAAATCTTCAGCCTCGGCCCCATTCATGAAAAATCTTGGAAGCAAGTAGTGATTTCTCAAACTGTGATGCCACCCATTTTTACACCAAATATCAGTGTTTCTGGGACTATCATGCCCCTGGTGGGTGTGTGATTTAGAATGCTAATGAGCGTTGGCAGACCACCGTAGCTCCTGCTGTAATCCTCACACTTTGGGAAGCTGAGGCAGGAGGATTGCCTCAGGCCAGGAGTTCAAGAACAACCTGGCCAACATAGGGAAACCCCGTCTCTCAAAAAAAAAAAAAAAATGAAAAAAAGAAAGAAAGAGAAGAAAAAAAGAACATCTAATGAAATCCTAGGAGAAACCTAGGTCGAATCAAGCACCATGTTGGGTCCAGTTGGTCTTAGGTCGCTTGACCTACACCCTGGATTTTCAGGGTCTTATCAGTCCCTAGCTTCTGCAGCTATTTGAAGTTTCCTTTTGATAGTCATGTGAAACTGCTGCCTGAAATTTTCTGATCTCCTGCGATCACCCTGTATTATTTCTGTCTCAAAAGGAAAATAAAGCTTGAGACCCCAATTCACTCTACCAAAAGAAAAAAAAAAAAGCTGAAAGCTGAGTCGTACAAGAATCCGCCTTTCCTTTTGTTCCTAAGCAGATAGCTACAGGCAGAAGGTTAAATATCCCCACAGGTAGCTACTCTATGTTCATCTTATCTTATGTAAAGTGTCAGTTTACTGAGCTCCAGAAAAATACATAATTGACTATTGCCCTAGCTGCTCCTTTTGTTCTGCACCTTGTAGATTCAGTAATGTGGCCATACCATTCTTCATTCACCTCCATCCTGCTTTTCCCCTTCAAATATCGAAGCCGTCTAAATCATCCTTAGAGAAAGGCTCAGACTTCTCTTTTAGGCATTGTCCTTAACCTTGGCAAAATAAACTTCCAAATTGATCAAGAAAAAAGAAAAAAAAATGAGTTTCGCTTGTCCCACCATTTACCCCTGCCGAGTGGTCAGATATTTGTAGCAAATTTAGTTATACTCTCTTAATATCTATAAGCAATCCAAACTCCATTCTCATAGATTCACACATACACACACACACACACACACACACACACACAAGCAGTTTTTTTGTAAAGGTACTATTTTGTTAAAATGTGAAAGGATGCAGGGTTATCTTTTCAATGTATATTCAACAAATGAAAAGATTTTTGGCACCAGGCATGGTGGCTCACACCTATAGTCCCAATTACTCAGGAGGCTGGGGCTGGACAATCACTTAAGCCCAAGGAGATGGAAGCTACAGTAAGCCCTAGTCATATCATTGCATTCTAGCCTAGGCAACAGAGTGAAACCTTGTCTCTAAAAACAAACAAACAAACAAATGAAAAACTATGTTGGGATCTTCCCTTTTGTTCTTCTCGCTCCTTCTCTTCTTTCCCCACCTCTTTATTTCTCTACTTTCTTCTTTTTTAAAGTTTGTTTTTGGCATTTCTCAAATTATTTTAAAAATTAAAGGCATCCTTATTGTAATTTTCTAATGTTTTTAATTTTTATTCTGTGTTGTATATATTTAAGGTGATACAACATGATATTTTTATGACTTCTCTCACAATTAATATCAAGTTCCAGTTTGTGGTGTGAAGGAATGATGTGTTTCAAGTATTTTATCATGGATCTTCAATTTGTGGCCTTTTACTACCATAGTAAATTGACTGTAAATTAGAAAGGAACCTTAATACACCAATAAAATCTATAAAAAATTTGTCTGAAAGAGCCATGTCTCTAAAGACAATTTTTAAATAGAGACAAGATGTAGCATTTTAATACATAGAATGTAAAGTAAATTCAGAGTTTACGTCAGAGGGGTTTTTCTGATTTATTTATTTATCTATTTTGTTGTTGTTGTTGAGACAGAGTTTCACTCTTGTTGCCCAGGCTGGAGTGCAATAGCACAATCTTGGCTCACCTCAACCTTCACTTACTGGGTTCAAGCGATTCTCCTGCCTCAGCCTCCCGAGTAGCTGGGATTACAGCCGCCCGCCACCATGCCTGGTTAATTTTGTGTTTTTAGTAGAGACAGGGTTTTACCATGTTGGTCATGCTGGTCTTGAACTCCGGACCTCAGGTGATCCAACCACCTTGGCCTCCCAAAGTGCTGGGATTACACGTGTGAGCCACCACGCCAGGCCTTATTTATTTTTTTAACCCACTTTCTTCCTCCATAGATGTATGGTGATGATAGAGTGCCCACTTGCTGACTGTGCCTATGTGTATTTAAATAATTTAAAATTTAAAAAAAAATCCAGTTCCTCATTTGTACTAGCCACATTTTAACTGTTCAGTAGCCCCATGCGGGCTTGTGGCTACTTTATTAGGCACCACAGACATAAAAGATTTCCATGATCATGCAGTGTTCTATTGGACAGTGCCACACAACATACTTTGGTATTTAACCAGGAAAGTCAGCAGTATTGCAGAACTGTGTGGGTTCAAGCCAATGTTGTTTAAGGGTCAACAGTATTTATATTTTATATTTATATATTTCTTACATTTATATTTACTTTATCTTCTTTCCTTTTTTTCTTCTTCTTCCCTTTTTCCTTCCTCCCTTCTTTCCTTCATGTCTTTTCTTCATGTCTTTCTCCCTTTTTTATTTTTAATTTCTTTGTAATTTCTCTTTTTGACCGAGTTCATTAACTTTTTTTTAAAAAAAAGAACTATTTCAGCAAGACCATGACATTGGCTCACCCACTTTGTATTCATTTAGGAGTGTGTCTGTTTTCTCACCCCCACCTGGTATGGTTGCTAAATCCAGATGAGGATAAAGAGCACAGATGTTCTCCTCCACTGTGTGGAAGCCTAGGCTACACTCTTGCCTTATACTTGATCATGTCAAACGCATTCACTAGAAAGGGATACAAAGAAGATTCTAAGATTGTGATTTTACCTATAAGTGTATTTAAACAGCAGCAACCTATGTCCAGAAGAGAGGAAACAGATTTTCCAAATATCAGTCTTGGGCCTGGGTCATTATGGGGAAGTGGGATCAATGAGATGAAGGTGGTAAGATCCATGTCCTTAAGGCCAGTCCTTCCGCCCCTTCTTCCACCTTAACCACGCAGCTTAGATTGCAACCCAGATTCCTATTTTACTCGACCTGTAGGTAACCTGTAAATTGGTTACTCTCCTCCTGGAAAATCTAAAGTTGTTATATGAGAAAAAGTTCCAGTCAAGTACTCTGGTGTTTTTCTTGATGTATGGCATCTTACACAGTTTGGCTGTGTCCCCAACCAAATCTCATCTTGAACTGTAGCTTCCACAATTCCCACGTGTCATGGGAGGCACCTAGCAGAAGGTAATTGAATCACGGGGATGGGTCTTTCCCATGTTGCTCTTGTGATAGTGAATAAGTCTGATGAGATCTGATGGGTTTATAGAGGGAAGTTTCCCTACATAATCTCTCTCGCCTGCCACCATATAAGGTATCCCTTGCTCTTCTGCCATAACTGTGAGGACTCCCCAGCCATATGGAGCTATGAGTCCATTAAACCTCTTTCCTTTCTAAATTACCCAGTCTCTGGTAAGTCTTTATTAGCAGCGTGATAACAGATAATAAAGCAACTATGATCAAAATGTAATATGAAAAAAATGAACATTATATTTTTAAATAGCATGTGTGCCACTTACATTTTAAAAACATTCAGTGATCGAGATTATCCATTATTCCTGTAAACCCTGCACTCATTATACACAGTGTCTGAAGTGTTAATAGTTCTTATTGGAATCATTGCCCTGCTGAGTTCCCAACATCCCAACAATTCAGCACATCTCACCAGTCTCTTTCTCTCTTTCAGCTTGCAGGTAAGCGAATGAAAGTTTTCCCTCCCTTCCCTATGCCTTCTGGATGTGTTTCAGTCCCTTTGAATTTCAGACCTGCCTTCATTTTAGACACTCTTCTGAGTGCTGAATGCCACAGTTTGAAGTTCACTGCATCCCCCTCAAAAGGCATTAATTCCACTCCCAGGTTCTTTCTCTCTGTTGGACACCAAGGGTCTATGATTTTGGAGGAGAATATTTTATTATATTAATGTATTTACAATGCCAAGTATTGTACAAGTTTAGAAAGGAAGAAGAAGACAAAACACTTTCCTAAAAAATTGCTTATAACCTGCAGTATTCAAAGTCAAGTTTTCATTAGAAACCTTTGAAATTTGCATTATAGTATAATTTATAAACATCAAAACAAAAAGCTTTTTTAAGAAATTTTTTTGAGACAGGGTCTCACTCTGTAGCCCAGGCTGGAGTACAGTGACACAATCACGGCTCACTGCAGCCTCAACCTCCCCACCTCAAGCTGTCGTCCCAACTCAACCCCCAAGTAGCTTGGACTACAGGTGCACACCTGTAGTCCACCTGTAGTCCAGCAAGGGACGTCTTACATGGCAACAGGCAAGAGAGAGCTTGTGTAGGGGAACTCTCCTTTATAAAACCATCAGACATGGTTTTATAGCATGGCAAAGACCTGCCCCCATGATTCAATTAACTCCCACTGAGTCTCTCTCTTATGACACATGGAAATTATGGGAGCTACAATTCAAAATAAGATTTGGGTGGGGACACAGCCAAACCGTGTAAGATGCCATACCTCATGAAAAACACCAGATAATTTTTTTGTTGGAATTTTAGTAGAGACGAGGCCTCATTATGTTGCCCAGGCTGGTCTTGAACTCCTGATCTCACATGATCCTCCCAGCTCGGCCTTTCCAAAGTGCTGGCATTATAAGCATGAGCCACCATTCCTGGCCGAAAGCATTCTTTTTTTGTAAAGTGATGTACTTTAGATGGTTTGGATCCTCTCTTTTACTGTCATCTATTTTCCACATGCTTTCTAATCCCTTGAGACTTAATATTTAAAAATCCTAATTTTAGCCAGGCCATGCATAACAGATCTGTGGAAGAAACTGCATTGTGAAATAAGACCTGTCAAAGCAACAATATTTAAGGGCAGCTTTGATGTCAAATTGAAGGCTGGCATTTTAGTTTGGAAGTATATTCATCTATTCTTTGACTTCATAAATTATATTTAGACTACTAGTGGCTACAATAATGAAATTACTGTGGATTGTAAACATGAGGTATTGCTACTGTGGTCTACCATGTATCCTTAATCGACTCAGTTTTTAAATTGCTAAAATTCAACCTATTTGACTCTGTCAGAAGAGCTTTAATGTTCTTCATTTGTGCAAACTTTGTTTCTGTCACCCTTGACAAATCCTAATAGGGATTAATTTAGTTACGGGTGACAGGATAAGCTGCAACGGCAACCCTGCATTCTGCCATGGATCCAAACTAGTTGTGAGCTCTGTTTTTCTTGCTGCAGGCAGAAAGTTTGCTGAATCTACAATGGACACCACAATGCCTGACTCTCGTTTCCATCTCTTACTTGTTCTTGTTTAACATAACCTCGTTCTTGTGTGGCCCAATTTAAAATTATATATTGTGGAGGTATTTGCAATTGCAGTAATAAATATGTGTTCTACACTTTTTTAATCACTTGCCAGTCTGCATTAGCCTTTTAATTATTAATAAAGTGAAATCCATTGATTTCCTCCAGTTGTTCGAACATGAGTCTGACCTAATCCTGCCTCAGGCTTGAGGGGTTCTGAGATGAACAGCAAATCCTTGAGCTAAACATTAATTTTGTGGGATTTAAACATAGTACTATTTTTTTATTCCTAACAGAAGCTATTTCTTTGTCTTTTTTCTTCTGAATTTGCAGAAGTATTATGAACTTTGGTCTGTTCCGTGTTATACATACGAAACAAATCTTGAACAAAACAAGTTTGTGATGCCACTAAAATTTGACCTTTCTTATTATTTTGTGCTGATATTAGAAGTTTTATCATTGATGCTCATAAAATTGTAGGTTCAGAAGACTGTAATCACATTTTAAATTTAAGTTGAGCACCAGTCATTACTACATCATTTTTGTCTTTCTGTGTTAGGAAGAGCTCTGTTTTCCTGGTTATATTTTAAACCATATTTAAGAATAAATTTGCATTTATTGAAAATTTTCTTAATGAAATCTCATTTTCTATTTTCTTTGTTTATTGATATAATATCAATTAACATATTTTTATTCTGTCTGCCTATAGAAATTGAATAATGTATCAATTTCTCTTCTCAATGTCCTTTTACCTGCAAAGGTGTGGTAAGCAGGATGAAAGGTTGCTTTTGAACAGAAATTTATATTTGGTCTGATTTACCTATTTTCTTTTGGAAAAACACAGTTTAGAGCTTTAGCAGCTGGTGAACAGCATTAACTAAAACTTCCGGAAGACAAAGCATCATAAGTATAAATGGTCTATCTCATTGTATATGCTAAAATGTTGTTTTTCAAGGACAGAAGAAAAGTTACCTATGATAACAGTACCACAAAATGACTAGCACAGAGTAAGTTACTTATATATGTGAATGAATTAACTATTATATTTTATATATAGTTAATAGTATAGTATAATTATAATATATAGTAATATATAATATATTTATACTGAACATCAAACAATGTTTAATTATAACAACTACTTTGCAAAGACAACTTCACATAGTTCAGGATATTCATATTTATATAAAGTTTATTAAAGTTATTACATTCTGCACAGGCTGATCCCCAAGTCATATATTATTAGTCAACAGTCATTATTTGCTATTCATATACTAGCTGTTGAATATTTAACTCAATCAATGTGGTTGTTTCTTACAATGAAATCTGGAGTTCTTTTCTTACTTAAAAAAGATTGCAGAATATTATATATATGGTAATTTATTAAAATATAAACTAGACTTTATCAAACTTAGAGTTAATTGTAATATTTACAATTGGAAGCTGAGAAATGGAAGATTACAAGTGCTTATTTGACCAAACAGTGGCAACAGATTTTGTTTTTATGTGTGCGGCCTCTCCTTATAGAGTGAACCCTCATAACTGCTTCTAATCCCAAATCTCAGGGAATTTGTTTCCAACACCATAACAGTCTTTCAAAAGCAACGGTGATTATAGTAACTTCAAAGCGGCAAGCATCTGTACTTTAAGAAGGGCCAGTGGAAGCTAGCATCCATCTTCCATAAAAAAGCAATCGTGCTTTTCCCTGCTGCCACTTAGAAGAGCTTCCTTGGGGACCTTGTTAGATGCTTTCATGTGAAGACCATTTGACCCATTTCTGATTAGTGTGCAGGTTTTCATGGCAGTGGCTTCTGGGAGGGAGATGCCGTTGGCTGGTCGCCTCCCTATTCTTGAAGTGAAAAGAAAACTCTCAGTGGAATATATTAAGGATAATAAAGGGAAGAAAAAATTCCAGTTAAAAGACTGGTGAAGTATTGAACTACTATTAAAAAAAACTAATGAAAACGTATTTCTATACTGACTGTTAAGAAGAAAGCAGAGCCAGTATCACAGTTCCTTGTTTTGTGCTCAGATGAGTTTTGCGTCTTCATTTCTCTTTCTTGCAATATTTCAGAAATATGTAGTTTGAGAATGCAAAGAATAAATGACTTTAGCTCATTTCACCTTTATTTTGTCAGTTTTCTTTTACCTGAATCATCATGTCTACATTTAAAATAACAGTAAACAAGTCTTTATAAGTAACAGGAAAGATAACCAAGAATGCCTGCATTGTTAATGCTGTAATAATTGTCATCATAGCTTTTTTAGCCTCATTTACCTTACCTATCTTCACTCCACCAAATTCACTGTTTCATATGATATTCATATCAGCAATACTGTTGGTATCAAGATATCGACAAGCTTCTAACCGTACTACATTATTTTTTAACTTTAATGCCAATTCTTCACTAATAACTATTATTCAATATAGAATTATTTTAAGATCCTGCTTGCCTAAATAGGCCCAGTATTTCTCCATTTCTCATATTAACAGAGTGTTTACATTCACAGACTCAAACTATGAAGGAAATGATTCCTTAGTAGTTTCTCTTGCTATTTGAATTTTATTTGTATAGATGCATAACGGAAGAGTTCAGAGCGTAATGCAGTATTTGCTATTTTCTACCCTCCCTCCTCCATATAGGATTGCCACAGTCTAATTTCCTATTATGATAGATTGATTTTAATGTAGTAGATTGCAAACACTGTGTTCAAGCATTCTTATTTTTAATTTCTCCTGCTTCATCCCTTTAAAAACCACAGCTGTTACTAGGATAACAAAAATAATGTTGAATAACTGCTTACTTTTCCGCTTTCCCGGAGGGGTGGGGGAACAGCAGGTAGCATAGCCTCATCCCCAAACAGATGTTACTTTATTAAAAATTGAGTGTTTTGGAGGGAGTAGAAGGAGATTTATGCTTTAGGAGAGCAGTGAAATTAGAAGGAGTCAGAATATGATATGGACCAATTCAGCTTTTAAATTCAAGCTTTGCTTGTATTTTATTGATAGCATTTTAATTGAATTGTATTTTAGATGTGTTTGGATTAATCGAATGCCCAAGGTCCAGCCTGATATTAAGTAATTGCTATCATAATTAGTCAACTCAACAAGTTTTTCTAGACTCTTCATATAAAATTGCACTGGATAAGTTCTGTAGTAGATCTAAATGTAATCGTGTATGATACAATTCTTCTTTTATGAGAGTTTAACTGATAATAACACTTTACTAAATTATTTATTACCAGAATTTTTAAGGGAATTTAATATGCGATGCATGATACATTGCTCTTTATTTAAATGTATTTCACTATACATTTGTTGGATTACATTTTGCATAGCGTCTTGTATACTTCTTTAAGGCATGAATGAGCCATAGCTTTGAAAGTCCTTTTGTTTTGTTAGAGAATTCAGACCTGCCCCCCTTTTTTTTTAACTTAATTGTGGAAGCATTCTGAAATTTCAACTGCTAGGAAATCGTTCTGCAATAACTTAATCTTTTTGATATCCAAATAACCAATAAAATTATATATTTTCAAATGAGTTTTTAAAATTATATCCAAGAAACTTAAAAAAAAAAAGAAAAGCACTAGCCATTCTCACTTGCATCCATCCATCCCTGAGTTAAAATTCTGAGGATTATTATCTCACCTCCTATTTGGACCTGCTTTCTAGGTTACTATTTGTTTCTATATACAAGATTAAGATAAATTATGGTAATATGCATATTTCCAATGCCATTGAAACAAAGGATTTATAATTTGTAGAAAAACTAGAAAAATCAGTCAAAATTTCAAAACTAGGCAGTCTGTAATACACTTCAAATAAATTTATTTCTTTCTGTATTTTTCAGTTGTTTCTCTTTGAAATAATCAAATTATTAAAAGCATTCTAATCACCTTGCAATCACAATGTAGAGACAAAAGAGTGAATACGTGAAACACTGATCTTCACAATTATTGTGAACTTAAGCTGTCGTACTCTTGTAGTTACTGTGACCATCAGCAACTGAGGACAATTATGCAGAATCATTAAATTTTAGTTATAGTACTTAATTAAACACTTGCAATTTTTTGAAGGTGTTGGTATCTATTAAGTTTTTTGTTTCTACAATGCTAAATATCTTCTAGACATAATCATCATATTAGACCCTGTCATGGTTAGATTGCTGTTATTAAATGTCTCAGTCATGAAAGTCTGTCAACTGCCAATGAGGATGGAGAGTTCAAATCTTGCAATTAGTCAGTCAGCAAAAGTACATTCAGTTGTTTTTCTTAATCTTGTCAGTGTCATTTTATATCATTAGGTAAACCAAGAAAAGGAAGGCACTTATGTGGGCAATTTATTCCGTGATACTATGAACCTATAAGTAGAACAATTATTGTTTTTCATTTGTGAGGTTAATAGAAACTTCATCCTTTGAGGTCCATAGTAAAAGCGAATGCATTCAGAAAACTATGACACGTTTAGATTAAATATAAATATATGTTAAAATTTTCAGATTACAAATACTTAAAGGATATTTAAAGGTGTCACATCTGAATTTCAGGAAACTGTGTGAGTATTACACATATCATTAGATTATCCAGTTTTTCCAAGCAAATATTCAGTGTTATTGTAGAAATAAGTCAAGTTTCTGGGGAAAAAATTGCTCTCTCACCCAAAAGAAAGTCCGTCTGTTCATATTCGGGAACTGTAGGTAACTAAAAGTCTTAGTCAGTGAGACTGATCATGGCTTGTTCATTTGTTGCACCCTACCAAAAAAGAGATTCTGTGAAATCAAACTACATCAAAACTTTCACAGTGGAAACTCCTTTATGGTTTCTAGAATTCTCATTGTAAACCCCTTAAACCAGCCATACCTGACAGCAATAATCAGAGATATTTGTTTCTATAGTGAAGTAGAAATGCATCCTCTAGAACAATCCCGTCTTCATGAGTCCCATCATAACATGTGCTCTTACCTAGAAGGCTCTGTCTCTCTTCTGGTTGGCAGCCCAGGTTGGAGATGAAGCCTTGTAAGTGTGAATGCGATTAGTTACTTTCATTAAAAGATCCTCAGTAAGAAACCTCTTGATGCCCTCCTGTGTATTTACTAGCATCATCACTTGGCAAAAATGTATATCTTTCTTTTGGCAAATGTGTGTGTGTATGCTATCTTCCTGTAAATAAGTGCCTATAAATGTTCAATAGTATTCATAAAATGTTCATTGCAACAAATTGGTGTATAAATTGCATTTATCTTTTTAATAGTTTTCTGAAGAATTTCCATTTACTTAGTGCAAACTATATAATTTTTGTTTTGTAAAATTTCTGAAATGTTCTTCCTAGCTTTGTACTGAGTTCTCAATTTGTCTGCAAAACCGTTTATTTACTAAATATTAGTAATTGATGCTACTTAAAGAAAAATTAGGAGCAACAAAGAAAAAGAAGAGACATAAAAATAAAGATAATTTTTAAACCACTATTAATCCTAGTACTTAAATGAAATGTCTTTAACATTTAGATGTATTGTTTTCTGAACATGAGGAATAATATAACACAGAGAACATTATAGGTCTTTTAGAATGTATGTATTATATTTTATATATGAATGAAATACACTAATATTCACTACAATAATGAGATAACTAGGATCATTTTAAAGCCAATTATATGAGCTTCTGGGTTTAATTGAGCTTTAGACATCTAAGTCTTTTGTAAACTCTTTTGATGCAGGAAAACCAAAAGAGAGGATTTCAGGGAACATGCGGGAGGGAGTGAGTTAGTTTGGAATGTTAGCTTGGTGGAGAGAAGGGAGTGTTAGAACTGATGAAGCAGGTTGTGGGAAGCCAAGATGCCAAGCTGAGGAGTTTCTTCTTTATTTTATTAACTTTGCCAGTGATATTGTTTTGTTCTTGAAACAATCAGAGAGATACAATCAGAGAGAAACAGGGAGACTGAATGTAGTAGAATTCTCATTGTATATTTTGTGCCATGTAAAATTACTTACATGGAAAAAAATCATTTCCTTTGGTAAAGGGCTTTCTCTTGCTCAGGTTTACTGATAACCTGGATTTTTACTAGGCCTCTTTTTTCTTTGTATTTTAATTTATTTTTTTTAGAGACAGTCTCACTCTCCCGCCCTGGCTGGAGTGTAATGGCATGATCATGGCTCACTGCAACCTGGATTTCCTGGGCTCAAGTGATCCTTCCATCTCATCCTCCCTAGTTGCTGGGACTGCAGGCATACATCACCTCCCCCAGCTAATTTTTGTATTTTTTTTGGTAGAGAGCGGGGTTTCACCATGTTGTCCAGGCTGGTGTTGAACTCTTGAGCCAAAATATCCACCTGCCTCAGCCTCCCAAAGTGCTGGGACTACAGGCATGAGCTACCATGCCTGACCATTACTAGCTATCTTTTTAACTTATTTAAAGTCAAGTCTTGTAAAATAGCCTGGAGTTAATAGAAGTTATTTTTTTTTCCTTCTAAAAGTGATACAGTCAAGGTCCTGTTTCAGAAATTAGCAAAATTGGTTATTGTCTTTTAGCAGTTGGTTCCTTATACAAGCCTTTGAGAATTCCTTTGAAAAGATAAATCAAATTGCCAAGTTTGATTTTTTAAAAATATATTTTCCTTCTTTCAGTTCTCATTAGATATAGATTTCAAGAAAATACTTGGGGCAGTAAATGATTCTAGAAAGGCACTTAAAACAGTTAACTACTAAAATAGCCTATTTACATGCTTTGAGTGAATGATAAAGAGAATTAAGTTTATTTTTGTCACATTAATTCCCTTCATATCTAGAGCTCTCCAGAAAAGCTCTGCAGATAGGATGCCCAATGCACATATTCCTTGGTGACAAGTAGTCAGGATAAGTTTTATGGAAGTTTCCTAGGAATCTTTTTTTCTTTTTACAATACTTGGCTTAGTAAATCAATATTTTTGTTTGGGTTTCTGTTTAAATCACAATTCAGTACAGCTTCAGCCACTGAATCAAGATGTGAAATCCATGTACTGTGGCACACATTTCAAATTGTGTGTTTTAAAGCCTCAATCTAAGCAAATTCTAAATTCCTATGTTTTTTGAGGATGGAATGGTACCTTAATGACCATAACATGTGGTTAGACCATATATCTAGAAGTAAATTGATTTAATTGGTCATGATAAGGACTTATATAGTACTTAATGGTAATAGATATAGAGTTCGTGCAGTCTCCTTAGGGTTAGAATTCACATGGTGCCTGTGTATGGATCCAGATCTATGCATAACTAGCTAGCCAGGAAGCAAGCTATCTCTATCTTTTAAAAACATTTACACCTATCTAAAGTAGAAACTTGTATTATCTTTGGAAAACTGAGGCCCCAGAAACCCTAAGTAACCTGCCTAACTCACACAGCTCTAGGAGTCATGGTGATTCCACTGAAACCCATCAGCTTGACACTATGATGCAGGTTGAAATCTGCAGTGCGTTGCCTTGGGCTAGGTTAATCTGCCCAGAGAGGTATTTTGCTGTGAGTGGATTGTATAGGAAAAGGGTTTGTGTGGCCAGACAGCAGAGAGGAAATGGATGAGGAGGCAGAGAAAATGATGAAGCTAGTAATGAAAGCATTGACATTGATTAAATTCCACTTCTTAGAATTGTCACTGATTAACCATGTAGCTTAGCATTTTATTTAAAAATTTTCCTTATTTCTGGCCCAGGATGCCATGAGTCCAAGGATTTAGGCTTTAAAAATGATAGGGTTAGCTCAAAAGGAAATGGATAGGTTGTGAATTATCTGACTTGGTGAATTCTAATCAGACAAACAGAGCTATTAAAATGTTTCAATAACTTTTAGGGCATTTTCAAAAATTAGTAGTTAATATTTCTGAATGGTACTGCTTTCTTTTCTGTAGGCTTTATCAACTATTGATCATGTGAAATCAACCGTGGATTCTTCTGGAGTCTTTTGGGGGGCCTTTTAAAGTAAATCAGACATTGGAACACATAGTTCTAAGAAGGAGCCAGTACGTTCACTTTAGACATTAGAAATTATCCAACACATTCGGTTCGTTTAAGTGTATAACCGTACAAGTAATTGTTTTAACATATTTAATTTCCATATTTGTTTTAATTAAGAAATTGTGTTCAACTTTTTCTTCTGAGTCACACTTCTTTGATTGTTTTTATGATTGCCTTGTAATCGTTCAAGAATCCCTTTTATATTGGTTAGTATGGGGCTAATTATGCATTCGCGAGTGAGCTAAATGCAGATGTAGTTAATTCTCACATCTACTCCATGAGGTAGGTATTAAGATCTTCACTTCAGAGACGAGGAAAACTGAGATAGAGCCTGGTTAAGTGAGTTGTTAAAATTCTATACCTAGTGAGTGGCAAAGTTTAATTACAATTCAATGTTTTTCTACTACAAAATTGATCTTGTTAATCCTATTCCTTATTCTGTTCGAAGTCAGTTTTAACATTATGCATACAATTTTTGTGTTCTTTTCTACCTTTCCTGGGAGGGTTCTTGCAAGAATAAAAACATAGGGTTGTGTGGCATTTCCGGATTGTTTCCACGATTCTTGGTTATTTCCTCCATAGAAGCCATGAACATAGAGGATACAAAAGCATTGTAGAAAGAAGTAAATCTGTCAAGAAATGTCATGCCTTTGTTTAGATTACTTCCTCATCAGTCCTTGCAGTTTATTGAAAAATCCTGCTCTGGGTGGATTGACTATGAGCTTACATTTTATTTTATTTCTGCTGGTCATGTACTACTGCAGAGTTGTTTGTATTTAAAAAAAAAAAAACTCAAAGAGGGGATTTCAATCCTTAAAAGGCAAGAGGATTTTGTTTATCTTTCTAGAATTCATGCAGTGTTGAATCCAAGTCTCTTCTTTACAGCTATATTTTAAACTTTTTCAAGGCAGGGACAGTGTATTTTTATGTGAATTTTCATATACGCTAGATGCAACTCAGAATTTTATGAAATGCTTCTTGAATTAGATTTTGCACTGTACATTTTGAAGACTATCCTACCTCTTTAAACAGGGAGATACAGAAGTAAACCTATTGGGCTGGTAAAAAGGGTATGCACTTGAAAACTTGGTGGCCTTTAGAAAGCATTGAGATATTGGACTGAGCACATCAAGGGACATATTCTGTGAAATCGTTACAGTAGCCAGCTAGTCAGATATGAGCAGAGCAGGAGAGTACCCTCCCCACAACACACACACCAGGAATGTCAGGCAGCCATCAGGCGATGGTCAGGCATTTGTTACCGGCTTCTTTAAAATAATAATTGGTTATATACCCAATAATGGGATTGCTGGGTCAAATGGTATTTATGGTTCTAGATCCTTGAGGAATCACCACACTGTCATCCACAATGGTTGAACTAATTTACACTCCTACCAAAAGTGTAAAAGCATTCCTGTTTCTCCACAATCCTCTCCAGCATCTGTATATACCCAAAGGATTAGAAACCATTCTACTATAAAGAAACATGCACACATATGTTTATTGCAGCACTATTCACAATAGTAAAGACTTGCAACCAACCCAAATGCCCATCAATGATAGACTGGATAAAGAAAATGTTGCATATATACACCATGAAATACTATGCAACCATATAAAAGGATGAGTTCATGTCCTTTGCAGGGATATGGATGAACCTGGAAACCATTATTCTCAGCAAACTAACACAGGAAAAGAAAACCAGAAATCAAACACCACATGTTCTCACTCTTAAGTGGGGATTGAATAATGATAACACATGGACACAGGGAGGGGAACATCACACACCGGGGCCTGTCTGGAGTGGGGTCTAGGGGAGGGATAGCATTAGGAGAAATACCTAATGTAGGTGATAGGTTGATGGGTGCAACAAACCACAATGGCACGTGTATACCTATGTAACAAAACTGCATATTCTGCACGTGTGTCCCAGAACTTAAAGTATAATAAAAAAAATTAAAAATAAAATAAAATAATAATTGGTTGCAGCCCATGTCAGGGAAAGGCAATCTCCCAGTAAACAGAAACACCTGAAACCGGTGATCAGAAACTTCTGAATATCTCAGGAGTTGGGTGAATGGGCTCAACTATGTGCACTAAAAGGCAAAATGGCAGAGTTTAACTGGTATATGACCTTCTATGGACATTTGACTGTTAACGGAAGAATGCCTCAAGTGAGCGTGTGTACAACTCCAGTAAACACAGTGCACACGCTCCCCTCCCAAGTGCTAGCAGGCCACTGTGCATGAGGGCAGCCCACCATAGGGAAGAATCAGGAGAGAAGGGATGCAAGGCCTCAGAAGTACGCCGGCACACGAAATCCTGAGTTAAAAGGTCAAACCACGCACTTGATCTCCCAAGTCGCCCACTTGGCCCTCTTACAAGTGTACTTTACTTTCTTTCATTCCTGCTCTAAAGGTTTCTAATAAACTTTTACTCCTACTCTAAAGCTTCCCTGAGACTCTCCTTCTGCCTTATGCCCCTCAGTTGAATTCCTATTTCTGAGGAGGCAAGAATTGAGGTTGCTACAGACCCGTACAGATACATTCCACCACCAGGAACAGAATTAGTAAGCAATGATAGACCAAACATTTTTCAATTAATTAATTAGTTAATTATAACTGACAAAATTATGTATTTGTGGTGTACCACATGTTTTAAAATATATATACATGTGGAATGGCTAAACCAAGCTAGTTAACATGTGCATTGTCTCACATATTTATCATTTCTTTATGGTGAGAACACTTAAAATCTACTTTCAGCGATGTTCAAGTGTACAATACATTAACTATGGTCACTATACTGTACAACCCATCTATTGAACTTATTCTTCTATCTAGCTAAAATTTTGAAACCTCTGACCAACATTTCCCCAATTTCTCTCACACCCCAGCTTCTGTTAACCACCATTCTACTCTCTGCATCTATGACTTCCACTGTTTAGAGTCCATGTGTAAGTGAGATCACACAGCATTTGTCTTTCTGAGTCTGGCTTCTTTCACTTAACCTAATGGTCTCCAGATTCATCCATGCTGCCATGAATGACAGGATGCCCTTGTTTTTTAAAGTCTGAATAGTTATTTCAGTGTGTGTGTGTGTGTGTGTGTGTGTGTGTGTGTGTGTGTGTGTATTTTTTTTTTTATCCATTCATTTATTAACATTTAGGTTGATTCTTTATCTTGGTTATTGTGAATAATGCTGCAATGAACATTAGAGTGCAGATATCTCTTTGGTATAGTGATTTTGTGATTTTGTTTCCTTTTAAATATATACCCAGTCATGGGATTGTTGGATCATATGGAACATTTCTATGTACCAAACATTTCAATGGAGTAATAAATCAAGATGAAAAAAGTGGAGTTTGAATCAGACCAATGGAGAGAGTTTTTTTTTTAAGTTGGCACTCTGTTCTCAAGCCTGAATTGCTTGGAATAGGTCACTTTTCCAAATTGGCACTAGGCTCGAAAATGGTTGGTTTTCAAGTTGGCATTTGCTGAAATAAAACACTAGCACCAGCATCCAGTTAAAGGTACACAAATACCATAGTTATTTTTTATTATGAGGAAAGAATTGGGGAATAATAATTCCTCATAACACTGAGGCTGCAAAAATGTTATATGACAGTCTCTATATATAATAACTCATGGATTCTTGGTTTTTAAATAAGCATAGGGCATGGGGAAATTATTAAAATAGAGCAAAGCCTTATGGAATATAATATCTCATGTGTAAGTTTATGTACACAGCCCCTCTATATAAACATTAAGTGTGTGTGTATTTGTAGGATGTAAGGAGGCAAAATCATCTCTTAGTTGTGTTTATATGAAACAGATAATTTCATGATTACATTTTTTCTTCTGTGTCACTTGCAGTATGTCTTCTAACAGTTGTTGGACAACTAGCTCAGACATTTTAAGAGCCTACAGATGTCATTATTAAACTTAGTAATCAGTCTAGAAATAAACACACAAATAACAAAGGATCATAAAGGTCAGCAGTATGGCAAGGCATAAACATGGAATTCTAGAACTTGTTTTTATTATGAAAAGATGTATTTTGCAGTTCAAAGCATGTCATTCTTTGCATATGTTCAACTGAAATATGAAAGAAGGAAAATTCCCTCCAAATGACTAAGGTAACGTTTTACAGGGGACATATGGATATTCTTAGAATTTAATGGGGGATAGGGGAACTTACCTGGAATCAATTATAGGAAATTTGGCAAAATGGAAGTAAAATATTCATTTGCTTTGCTTGTTATAATTACGTTTGTTATAAGCTTTTTAAAAATCCAAAAGAATAAAATGAAAGTAATTTCAATCAATGGGAATTAATTGTGTTCAAATAATAGCATGACAAAAGAGACATTGGAACTGATTTTGAATAATAGATTTCAATATGTGCTGAGTAAAGCTCTAGGGCTGATGTCTTCTCTTGTCTGAAATTTTCTAATACTCTCCCCAACTGATGTTGTTTCTCCCATGTCTTGTGTTCCTTGAACATGCACTTCCCTGAAAGCAAAAATCACAGAATTGTTTGTTTACCTACCTATCCCACGAGACTATGAGTTTCTTGGAAGCAGTGATCTCTCTTACAAAACACTTTTGGATCTTCAGTTATTTTTAACACATCATGAACTTCCTATTTCATGTATAGTATTGCTAGCTCAGGGCTGAGAGAGCACAATAAAGGATGAATAAGAACTTACAACTAAATGGACAAATAAATAAATGAGTGAATATGATAGTGTATGAATGTTGCACTGATATTTACTTATTTTGATTTGATACATTTCATTGTAAACAGTAAAAATGTAGAGAATATTCTTCTCTGTAAAAATAAAATAGTATTTTAGAGCTTTCTTTGTAAAATATATGTAATTTATTTAAACATTACAGATGTATTTGATTCACCAAAAAATTAAAAATATCATAGTACCATTCATATCTATCTTCATATTCTAATTATGATTAAGTTTTAAATAGCAGTTATGTCTTTAAAGTGAATGTGTGTTATGTTCTGCCCTAAATATAACTTAACATTGCAGGTAGAACTCTAGTGTTTGAAAATGTTTAGAAGTCAGAATTGCAATTACTGAGTGTGGGATAAATATTAGCTATAAATATAATTATGTATAAATATAATGAATATAAATATTAGTTATAAAAAGTATAAGCCTCTTCCAACTCTTAATGTTTATAAGTCTACTAAAAAATTAAAGATTTCTAATAGTTTAGGAGTTGGGAGGGAAAAAGGAAAAACCACAAACAATGATGTTGGAATGCAAGAAATATAATTTGATAGTGCAGAGGTGAGCAAAAAGGTCTGTTGGGCCAAATTCAGCAAAATTCAATGCAGAAAATATTTACTATCTGACCCATTGAAGAAAATGTTTGCTGATCCCTGTATGTCATGAAAAGATAAACGTGAATTTGATTTGAATGGCAAAAAGTAGAGGTATGAAGTAAAATGCATATAGTCCAAAATGTATATAGTCTCCACAGAGCCATAAAGATACTCCCTGAGACTGCACAATTTATAAAGAAAGGAGGTTTAATTGACTCACAGTTCTGCATGGCTGTGGAGGCCTCAGGAAACTTACAGTCATGGCAGAAGGTGAAGGGAAAGCAAGGCACAGCCTTACATGGCTGCAGGCAAGAGAGGAAGCGAAGGGGAAGAGCTTCTTCAAAAGCACTTTAAAAGCATCAGCTCTCCTGAGAACTCACTCACTCACTGTCATGAGACGAGCATGGGGGAAACCACCCCCATAATCCGGTCACCTCCCAGCATGTCCCTTCCTTGATATATGGGATTATAATTCGAGATGAGATTTGGGTGGGGACACAGAGTCAAACCATATCATAGGGATTTCTCCAGAATATTTGTGTTGTGATGCTATCTTACGTACTTATTTTTACCTTTTAAATAAAAATTGGAGTGAAAATGGCAGAGTCAGAAATTAATGGATCAATTATTTTTTTGTTTGTATCAAAGTTTGAGATAATAAAGATAAATATTTTATCAACATGGCCTTATTAATACTGTATATTCAATGCAAAAGGAGTGCTGACTGGAAAACAATTTCAATTAGTAATACTTATTAATTGGATGCTAAGCCTAATTCTGTCCTTGTTTTATTTTTTTTCCCAAGATATTAAAATATATTTACCTATAAGTTGAAAAGTAAAAATATGACTGCAGGTGGCTCATTTTGTTTTCACATATTTTGAAAGTTCTAGGCTATGGTGCCCCTTTTTGTCCCCACTTCATGCTTTCCCATTTCTCGGAGACAAGTCACAATTTCTAACTATTTTTGCTCTTTGAATTATTTTATGCTTCTTTGTAGCAATGTGAGGCTTGGAAGAAAATGTACAGTACATGACTTTCTCAAAGTTTACATTTTAAATTTAACACATTGGACCTTGCATTTCGAGTTCAGGTTGCACTAATGAGATTTCTTTATGAGCAAAGACAGGAGAAATGTTTAACGTTTTTAATAGCTGTAACTCTTTTTATATATAGATATAGGGTCTTGCTATGTTTCCCAGGCTGGTCTTAAACTCCTGGGCTCAAGCAAACCTGCTGCCTTGGCCTCCCAAAGTGCTGGAATTACAAGAGTGAACCACCCAGGCAATAATTCTTTTTTATGTTTGTGGATATATATCTATCCTAAGTGACAAAGGAATGGACAGTATTCACATTGCCTCATGCTTTCAAAGAATATATGGTGCAGGGACATCTAGAAAATGGGCTTTTGGTGGATTAAAAGAAAGTCATGAGTGGGTTGGCCAAATGATTTCTAAAAAAAAATCAACTCTAGAGTAGTTTTCTCTAAGCCTTTTAGAATCGTTTCTTTAGATATTTATATGATCTTATAAACAAATATCATAAAATTATGGTTCCAATTTACTGACACATTGCCTTGCTGGAAATGTGGTTTCATGCCAAGAACAAATATGAAAAATGTAGCAAAGCTAATTACAGTACAACATGTGTCCATCATTTGATCTTTTGGAGGAGTTAAGGGAAATTCAAAAGAAAAATTATCATGTGCAAATAAAGAGAGCTTAGCTATCTTGCCTACTGGCCTAAGGTTTCTCCATCACTCCTGCAGCGTTTACTTTATGTATCAGGAGTTAATTAAGGTGAAACATGAGGTAATTAGGGCTAATCCTCCCAGCCTCCTGCTGGCTTGTTGCCTCCCAGGCTATTGCCTAAACCAAACTATGTTCGCAGTTTTAAAAAATAATGCTCGTGTTTATTTTAGACATTACTCTTAACTTTTAAAGTTGCCTTATTCATTTTAAATAGGACTTTCCATGGAAAAAGTATAAAGAATGATCAAACTTTAGTTTTGATTTAAAAAGTAAAACAAGACTCATTAATATATAGGTGGTCATTGACAGAATTGTAAGTTTACACTTGTTCACTTTACGTGTTACTAACAGATTTAATAAAATTTGCATTAGTATAAATCTTTAGCTTTGATTATGCTGGAAAGGTGCATGCACTTCCCAAGAAAATAATATTTCTTATACAGATTTCTCAATATATTATGCATTTGGATGTGTATCAGGGTAATTGGAGGGAGGATCAGAGAACAAAAACAAAAAAAAAAATAAACAAACAAAAAAACCTTCCATGAACTGCATTTAGGTATTTTATCTTTGAGGAACATTCTAACTTTTAGATTTCACTAAATAGATCTGGTAAGTAGTGACTGATTTATTCTCCTTAAAATAAATACATCGCTTGTGTCAAATATTTTTAATTCCACACTAAATTGTTTGTGCGTGTGTATGTGTCGTTTATATTTTCACTTTTTCAATGAAAGTAAAGAATAAAAAGGTTTTCTATCCTTGTTGTTTCTCTAAGTTGAAATAAAAGCATGTGCTTTTTTATTACCCTAGTCTTATAATTTACCAATCATAATAGAATCTGTACTCTTGCCAAAGACATTTCATTAGGATGTGAAGACTTTAGAATTGACACCCCCTCACATATTAATTAAAAAGCAAATTGCAGGTAAGCAGTCATGACATTTATAAAAGGGGGAACTTACATGGGTAAAATCTCTTTTGTTGTTTTTTATAATATACTATCAGGACTGGGACTAATAATTCTATTATAAATTTGATTTGGGGAGATGTTTGTTTTCCCAATTGCTATCAAAATTTGACTTTTATTTAGCCTACATTGACTTCTTCTGTTCCATCTTTTTATTTATTTGTCTGTTTTATTATTTTTTTAGAGACAGGGTTTCACTCTGTGGCACAGTCTGGATTGCAGTGGCTTGATGATAGCTGGCTGCAGCCTCCCTTAATCTCCTGGGATCAAGGGATCTTCCTGCCTCAGCCTCTTGCATAGCTGGGGCTACAGGCATTCACCACTGTGGCTGGCTAATTTTTTAAGTTTTAAAATTTTTTATAGAGGTAGGTCCTTGCTTTGTTGCCCAGGCTAGTCTCAAACTCATGGCTTCAAGTGATCCTCTTGCCTCGTCCTCCCAAAGTGCTGAAATTACAGGTGTGAGCCATCATACCTGGAATCCATCTTTTATATGTACTCTTAAAAGAATTGTTTATGCTAGCATCTTGAAATACATACATATATATATGTATATATATATATATATATAGTCTTTTACTGAGGTTAAAATCATTTTTTTGCAGAGTAAACCAGTAAAGATTGCAGAACAATTATATTGCAACAAGTTGCTAATTCATAGTTTCTGCTTGAGACTCTAAAGCAGTTAATATTTACATTGTTAGATGTGTGGCCAAATCATGAACTTTTATTTAGTAGGCGATTTCATAACCTCCAAATGTCTGAATCTTACTCTTTTTGTATTGTATTGAGGAAAAAAATGATCATTTTGATTCTATAGGCTTTAAAATTAAATCAAACTCTAGGTAGCATTGTTTGGGTTATTTAGTGAATTTAATGTTGATTCTTTAAAAATAGAAGTGGGGCTTTTCTCCTGCAAAATTGCCAAGAGAGCATTTGCACCATGGCATTTAAGAATATATCAGTTGAGATTTTCTATTGATCCCAGCTGGGGGGATGAGTGCCCCGAGAGAATACATGCGCCGGCTTTATGAGGGTCCCTGTCATCAAGGATTTAGCTGTTTCATTTACAGATTCCTGTAAATGTTCACCAGATCCATGACCAGTAATTTTCACTGGAGAAGGACTGGACCGTGGGTAAGCAAATGACTCTTTGTCATTAATGGTTTCAAGTAGCATTAAAAATGTTCTGGCAGCTCAGTTGATTTTGATGAAGCTATGAAGCCCAACTGCAATGTGTATCTAGCTCATATTTCCAATTATAAGACCAAGGAAAGAATCAAAGTGAATAATATGTAACGTACACACATACACACACACCCTAATTTTGATTACATAGCTTTTCCTGTATAGAGATTTAACTTGAAGTCTACAGATGTTCACATTTAGCACAGCACAATAAAAATACAAGTAAAACAGAAACTACTTTTTATGTAATTAAATTTATATCTGCTAATGTTCACTTCCTTAATTGGGTTATCTCCTAAGTGATCAGTAAATTGCATGCAATAACTAATTTACATGCCTCCTTAGACACTGTAGCTGCCTGATGATTTGAAAAGTATAAGTACCCACAAGTGTACCAAAATTCATTTTGAATTAACAGTGAATAAAGAAATCTTCAAAAATTCTTGAGACATGACAGATAAATGAGTTAACACATCTCTCTGTGGAATCTGTTTCTATGTATCAAAACTTTTTAGTTCATGTTACTGTTTAAATGACCTCCCATTAATGTAAGCCTGTCATTTATAAAAATATTATTATTATTGTTTCTAAATTTCACTTAGAGATGCCTTAGAAAAATCTATAGCTAATTTTCTTCGCCTGTATTGCTTCTAGTATGGGCTGACTCACAGAGATGCTGCATTACACACAACAAAGTGTTCCATAATTTGCAATATCCTCTCCTCCTCCTTCCCCTTCTCCCTCTTCTTTCCTCCTCCTCCTCTTCCTCCTCTTCCTCCTCCTCCTCTTCCTCCTCCTCTTCTTCCTCCTCTTCTTCCTCCTCTTCTTCCTCCTCCTCTTCCTCCTCCTCCTCTTCCTCCTCCTCCTCTTCCTCCTTCTTCTCCTCCTCTTCCTCCTGCTCCTCTTTCTCCTCCTCTTCTTCCTCCTCCTCTTCCTCCTCCTCCTCTTCCTCCTCCTCTTCCTCCTCCTCCTCCTCTTCCTCCTCCTCCTCTTCCTCCTCCTTTTCCTCCTCCTCTTCCTCCTCCTCCTCTTCCTCTTCCTCCTCCTCCTCCCCCTCCCTCTCCTCCTCCTTCTTCTCCTTCTTCTTCTTGTCACTCTGTCATCCCAGGCTGGAGTGCAGTGGTGTGATCATAGCTAGCTGCAGTCTTAAACTCCTGGGCTCAAGGGATCCTCCTGCCTCAACCTCCCGAGTAGCTGGGACCATAGGTATGCATCACCACTCCCAGCTGTTTTTAAAAATGTTTTGCAGAGATGAGGTCTTGCTATTTTGCCCAGCTGTTCTCAAATTCCTGGGCTCAGACCATCCTCCTCCCACCTCAGCTTCCCCAAAATGCTGATATTACAGGCATGAGCTACCACAAACAGCTTGTAATCTGTAATCTCTTATAAGCACAGAGCAGAAATAAAAATGGCATCATTTTTAGGTTCTCCTAACTCTTCTTGCCCATTCTTCACTGTCTGCCCAGGAACAAAGTCCTGCTCTTGAGTCCACAATTATCCAAGTAATTCTAAAGGTCTTCTCATACATGCCTGGTGAGGGCATAAATTAATGAAACCTTTATTGAGGACAACTTAGCAATATTTATTAAAATTAAAAATGCTTGAAGCCTTCAACCCAGCAATTCCACTGCTGTAAATCTATATTTCAGATAAATTTGTGTATGTGAAAAATGGCATTATATGTGTCAACTTTTGCATTATGGCATTGTTTTAAATCGTGAAAGATTTCAACCTAAGAAGGATGAAGTCAGCAGGGGACTTGCTAAGTAAGTTATGGTGCAGCTTGTTTTGAGCCATAATAAAAGAATGAGGAAGTCCTTCACACCTTGCTACGGTAAAGTTACCAACACACTTTATTAAGCAAGAAGAATAAAGGTGGTAAATTGAACTTCTCCATTTTAAATAATTTGTGTAAAAATGGAGAAATGAATATATACACATGTATATGTATATTTATGCATATTAGCTTATATGTGTGTAAACTCTATCTGGAAGGACGGACATAAAAGAAATTAATCATACTGGCTGTTTATGGGGAGGAGAACTGGACAAAGCTAAAGGAGACAGGTATGAGCATGGCATTTTTCTTTAACCACTTTAAATAATGTTTTTATATCGTTAAGACATTAAAAATATTCTCATCCTTTATTGTTTCCTTCCCAACCTGACATCCCATGTTCAAATGTTCAAATTACATTTTTCCTCTTCCCCTCTTTTAAATTTCCATTTTAGTGCTGTCAATTTTAGTTGGCTATTAGAAAAACAACCCAAATTCATATTAATGTGTAGGTGACTCATAGCCTCAGACCTTCCAGGCGTGTTTTCTATTTAGAAGAGGAGAGTTATTAACTTGCATGGAATTCTAACTCGTTAAATACCAGGCGGTTCTAAAAGTACCCCAGGCAGTGCTTGCACGATCATTTGATTAAAGTGAGGACAGCAAGCCAAAGACATCTGTAGGTTCTTTAATCCACATCCCTGACAAAAGGACAAAGCAGTCACTGCCACTCACACCAAGATTCTACCCAGAGGTGGATGCCCAGAGGGCTTCCAAGGAAGTTGCATGCTGGAAAACTCCAAGTACAGATGGGACAGAGCTGCTGAGCTCTAAGCCAGTATATCTAAGTGTGGTTATCACACATGTGGCAAAAGACATATAACACATGGCATATGCTTCATGATGGAATGTTTGTTAAAAAGAAAGACTCTAGAGCCCCTCTGTCCTCAAGATCTACTGAAGGCACTGTATAAAAGAGCCCTAGTTTGAGCACTGCTGTCTGTCATGAATTCGCTTCATCTGCTACTTTTCTGATTTCAGTAACTGGGGACAGTGGGATCTCAATCAGAAAGGATTTGCTCCTGGAACACCCAAGGCTTGGGCAATCTCTGAGCAGCCAAGCCCAGTGTTCTCTGAGTTCAAAGATCTGAAAGTCTTTGCAAAGACCTTAGAGACCCATCCTGCCAAGACTGATCCCAAAAATGCTTTCCTAATCCATTTCCTGAGGCTCTCTGCTCACTAGGGCCCAACCCCACACTTCCTGTTTTATAGGGATAGTTAGCCTCTGCCCTGGGGCACTGGGCTGGTCCATGTGTTCCTTTCCTACCCTAGCTAATGTCTTTTGACATTTGGGGATGCGTCAGTGCTGCAGATTCTTTAAACTCTATTCATTTATTTTAAAAAAATACTTAATAAGGGCTGGGCACAGTGGCTCATGCCTGTAATCCCAGCGCTTTGGGAGCCTGAGGCAGGAGGGTAGCTTGGGTCCAGCCAGCCTGGGCAATATAGCACAACCCCCATCTCTACAACACAAATAAAAATAATAAAAATATCTAGTGAGTACAGGCTTTGGGACCAGTACTCTTTTGGGCCCTGGGGATTCTGAAAGGAACAAAAGAGACCAAAATCAGTCCTTTTGGGAAGTAGATATATAATAGACAATAAACAAGGCAAATAAAGAAAACATAATTGTTTTAGGATGAAACTCTAAGGTTTGGGGGTAAAAAAGAAAAAAAAAGTATGTAGGAATGGGGAGTGGGGACAGAAAATGTTCTAGAAAGAGGAAAGAGGAAGTGCAAAGGCTTAAATTTACGAAAAGCGAGGAGTTCCATGTGAGTGGAACAGCCTGGGTGGGATAAATCCTGCAAATTTGAATGAGGTGAACTGAGAGCCATGAGCAGGGGCCAGGTCATGGAGTCTCTTTGGGAACTTTGGCTTTGATGCTAAGCGAGACAGGAATCCATTGAAAGGTTTGCGTTTTGTTTTGTTTTGAAGAAGAATCAACATGATCTGACTTACTGAAATGATCTTGATGTTCAGTTGAGAATTTCCCACATGGTGACAAGGCCTGAAATACAGAGCTCCGTTACAGTAACGTAGGTGAGAGTTAACCAGGTGGAATCAGCGGAGAGGTTAAGAAGTAATTAGAATATGGTGTATTTTCAAATCAAAACCGTGAGGATTCCATCACTCTATGTGAGGATATAAAGGAAGAACGAGAGTCAAGGACGACTCCACTTTGTTGGCCTAACTGGAAGAACAGAATTGCCACTTACTAAGATGGAAAGACTGGAGAGAGATGCAAATGTTAATGGACAAGTAAAATGTGGCAGGTCAATCTGACAACTAAAAATGGAGCTGTAATGTAGGCAGTTGGATGCATGAGTCCAAGGAAGAGATATGGCTTCAACATATAAATTTAGAATCTTTGTGTACATGTAGTAATTTAAGTCATGATATTTGATAAGTCTACAGATGGAGTCTGTGGAGGCATAAGAGATCCCAAGACTGAGCTTTGGATCAGTTCATTTTTAAAGATTAAGAAGATGGAGAGGACCCAGCAGAGGAGACTGAGAAAAAAAGAAAAAAAGAAAAACCGTAGCTAGTAGGCAGAAAACCAAATGAGTGTCTTATTCTGTTGGCCAAATGAACTAAATATTTAAAGATAGAATGCTCAACTGTGTCAGATGCTACTTAAGGTCACAGAAGACAAGTAACAAGAACTGACCGTTGGAAACAGCAATGTGGAGATTATGGGCCACCTTTATAAAAGCAATTTTCCTGGAGTGGTACAAGGAAAGTCTCTATTGCAGGAGGTTCAACAGAGAATGAGAGAAGAGACTGTGGAGATAGCAGGTAATGATACCACACTAGTGTCCTGCAGTACGGGGAAGAAGGAAAATGAGGAATATATGGAGAGAAATGTGGATATAACAGGTTTTGTTTTTAAAACAGGATAAGGAAAAGCGTGTCCATATGCTTGTGGGAATCATCTAGTTAAGTTAGAAAAATTAATGATACAGCAGAGAGGGGGAAAATTGCTGAAGCAAAGTACTTGAGCAGACAAAACAAGACGGGAGCTAGGCACAAGTGTAGAAGTGACTGTAATGTAGGCACATAGACAGATTATCATTATTATGAGAGAAGGGAGATAATGGGTGAAGGAGGTAGATAAGCCCAGATATTTGGTCTTTGTAGTGTGCAGTCCATGATGCATTCATTATTTCACATTAATGTTTGGAAAATAAGTGGGAACCCTGGCATACATTGTTTGGTAAAGAAACAATGAATTATGCTGAAAGAGAACAGATTTCCAGACAGTGTTGTTGGAGTCTTTATCCATTGCATATGGCTCCTGTTAGAGTCAATTTATATAAATAGAGAATTCCTTTTCCAGTCTTGTTTAATTTAAGCAATGAAGTATTGAGTGCTCCTGAAGATTATTAAGACTCCACCCCTGCCTTCAGGAAGCTGCCCATCTGGTGGAATGAGCCCTAAGATATTTTGAGGACTGCTCACTCCACCCATGATCCCACAACAGGAAAGAATATTTAACATTAGGGACATCCAGGAATATTCAGGACATATGTTTGCCATTACTGTAATTAGTGTCAGTTGTTTGTAAGTGCAGAAATAGGGAAATAAACAGTGTTACAGGAGAACAGAAGAGCAAATGCTCAACTTTGTCTGGGAGGTGTAGAGAAGCAATGTTAAGGCATTGAAACTTACTGAAATAGAAGAAGAGACAGGAGTTAAGCCTGGACAGGTAGATTAGGGTCATATTGAATGAATAATTGTTCTAAGGGGTATGAATATTTTTCTATAAACATCAATGGTGACGTTAAGTATGTCTGTGTTTTGGAGAGAAATGTAGTAGCTGTATGGAGCAGAGGCTGGCCATAATTGAAGGTTGAAAACCATTGTGTGTCCTCTGCAATAGTCCAGGCTAAATATAATAAGGAAGTGACAATGACACAGGGCGCTTTCAGCTCCACTTCACCAGCCAGAAATCTCTGTGGCCAGCTGTGCCCCTGCCCAGGCTTCACTCGGCTCTGGGCTCGCCACTGGGCTCATTCCACCCACTTGGCCCAGTGGGCTGCACTCAGCTTGCACTACCAACCCAGGGTAGGGCACAGGTCTTTGCACTCAGTGGCTGAGCTGGGTGTGGGCAGTTTTTGCTTTGGGCACCAGCATCTAGATAAGGGGAACCCAGTGGCATCGGAAAACTCAGAGATGCCGGTAACCACAGAGACCTAGGGGTTTTATGGCTCTTTCCCAGGGAGTCCCCAGGTTTGAGCCCCCAAGAAATGTTACATCATTTCTGCTGCCCGCAGTGCAGCAAACAGGAGGGCATATTACAGCTTATTCATGTTACAGCTTGTTCGTTCCTGCAGCCCATAGCTCAGCAAATGGGGGCATGTTGTGCCCAGAGGCTTTTTCTCCACATTGCTTGGTGAATGAGAGGGAGGGTTACAGTGTTACAGCTCTTTTTGTACCTACTGTTTGGTGGGTTCCGTGTTCTTGTCCCACAACCAAGAAGGATGAGATTGCACAGACATTGGAGAGTGGACAAGGCAGGGAAGAATTTTATTGAGTGAGAGTAAAGTTCTTGACAATAAGAGGGGAGCCCAAGTTGGTGGCCCTTTGTGTGAGGGGGAGGGCCCGAAAGTGGGTATCCCAATGTGTGCCTGAGTCTGGGGTTTTTATGGGCTCAGAATGAGAGAGTGCATGCTGATTGGTCCATGGTGGGCCTGGAGAATGCACCATTTAATTGGCTAAAGGCCTTAAGGAAGTTCTTACTCTGGTAGTGGACTCCCCTCAGAACTGGAAGTTCAGTTTTCAGGCTTTAAGCTGTCTTTGGCTTGAGGTTGGATTTCACCAGAGACCTGTCCCTTTCTGCCCAGAAATTTATCTGCCGTGGCCTGGAGCAGTGGCTCATGCCTGTAATCCCAGCACTTTAGGAGACTGAAGCGGGTGGATCACAGGGTCATGAGTTTGAGAACAGCATGGCCAAGATGGTGAAACACCATCACTACTAAAAATACAAAAATCAGCCAGGTGCAGTGGCAGGTGCCTGTAATCCCAGCTACTCAGGAGGCTGAGGCAGGAGAATCACTTGAAACCAGGAGGCAGAGGTTGCAGTGAGCCAAGATCATGCCACTGCACTCTAGCATGGGTGACAGAGCAAGATTCCATCTCAAAAAAAAAAAAAAAAAAAAAGAAAGGAAATTTATCTGCCTCCTGCTGCTATCAACAAGGGCAATAAATGTTGAAAGGAGGGAGTACATCTCATTAAGTTTTTAAGCAGGGCTTTGACACGTATTTAGAAAATAAGAGAAAAAATAACTGACTATGAGGTTGCTGTTTGGGGTAAAAGTTACATTTTGATTTCATTTGTCAAGATGTAGATTGCCGAGGATGAGACAGATTTGGTCAGAAGGTGAGCAAGCATAATGAGTTCATTATGTACATGTTGAATATTAGGTAATTTTAAGCTACTCTAAAGTCTAGGATTTGTTTCTTTGACATGTTTCCTGTCTTTTAATGAACGTTGAATCTATAATCAGAACTCAACAAAAGAAAACTCAGGAAAACTAGCAATATTTAGGTGCAATTTCATGTGAGGGACATTGACTGCTAAAGGACAAATTCATTACATCCCTAGCAAAATCAAGGGTTTCCATTATTTTAATGCAGGGTAGCAGGGTAACCACTTTTTTTTTTTTTTTTTGGCTTAAAATAATTTTTGTAAGTTACAAGATGGGCCAGACATACTTTACTTTCTTTTCTTGTTATATATTCACAGGCAATCAATCCTTTGATAAAGAAAAAATAAAAGTTTAGAAGGATGGTTAGGAGGATGTGATTAAGTAATACAGCATAAAGAAAAGGATTAATTTACTTGAAGATACCCTTTTCTTTCATATATGCCCAGTGGAA
Organism: Homo sapiens; assembly: GCF_000001405.40. Taxonomy (NCBI): domain Eukaryota; kingdom Metazoa; phylum Chordata; class Mammalia; order Primates; family Hominidae; genus Homo; species Homo sapiens. The sequence continues at coordinate 77,417,458 of NC_000003.12, forward strand.
AATGATAATAGTTTTAAGATTTCCAAGAACTTCAATAAAATATATGTAATAAATGCATCAAGCTTCTTATTGCATTGTCTCAGTCATTAATTATACACCAAAACCATTTAATGTCAGAATAGAATGCTTACTTGACCAATCCACAAAAACTCCATTGATTTGTACCACTTTAGTCTATGGATTCAATATACTGTAAAAACTTTAAAAATCAGTAAACTTATTTTTTAACAAACTAAAGAACACTATGAAATGCTATGATGTTTTCTCATTACACTGTCATAGTGTTCTTGTACTCAGCAATGTTATCAATGACATAGATTATCATATGAATGTATTATCATCTTTATTGTGAGATTATGTATATTTAATGCAATGCTTTTTTCTGGAAAGTTAAACCTAAATTTAATATATAATTATGGCCAATATATTAATTCCTTTAAGGTATTTAAAATTTTCTCATGTTACATATTTTTTAAAGTTTCCTTTTTTAAGTTCTTATATTTTTATTAGGTGAATGACTTTATTATTGACTAAAGTCTCTGACAGCAGATAAAAGGAGGAATAAATGAATGAATATACAAACTGAACAATTAAATAAGCCTTGTTGCTACCTCAAGTGATTTCTTAAAAAAATCTTGCTTTCAGCAATGTTAGTAGCCCACTGAAAGTAACATCCTTATATTTTTTTTACCTACAGAAAAGTATGTGAAAAAGTCACAGCAGCCTTTTTGGTGCTTCTTGTTTTTCTTCAAATTGATATCAACTGTGTTTAGCATGGATAGGTACTTTGCTTGAGCAAAAGTTTTCTTAGTATTTCTAAATTAGCTTCTCCTCATTTTTTGGAGGATATTCTTATCATCATATTGACTCTGCAACATATTAGATGCATCCATTTTCCAAATCGTGTACATTTTTATTGCGGTTATAAATGGTAATCTTTTAAATTGTAAGGTTTTTAAATTAATCATGGCTCAATTTACCAAAGACATTATAAAATGGACTAAATTTGCTGGATCTTATAATTTATGATTTGTTCTTTTACTTTCATTTATATTTTCTCATTTTCTTTCTTTTTCCCTTGGAGATTCACTATCTCAAATATTGTGTAACACCAAATCTCTTTAAGAGCCACAAAGAAAAGTATTGTGATTCATACATTCATATGACAGATCGCTTACCCAAATCTCCATTTTACTAGGAGTTATGAGATGTAGAAAGTAAAGGCCTAACCTGCCTTTTCCAAGAACTAGTAATATGATGGAGAGAGACATTTAAAGTACAGTACAAGAGAGAATACAGTATTTGTTGCTGTAGAATTTTTAAAAACTATAAACTATGGGAGCACCTAGAAAAAATTGTTAAGGAGTGTTAAAAGCCTCGTTGAAGTTGGCACTTCTCTCACACTGCAGATTATGAAGGAAGACCTATTCATATGGGCAAAAGGGATGGTTGCAATCAGGAGAAAGGAATAATGGTTTGTTTCCTAGAGCTACCATTAAAAATTAGCATAAATTGGGTGGCTTAAAACAAATGTATTCCTTCTTCATTCAAGAGGCCAGAAGTCAGAAATCAAGGTTTGGTTCTTTCTGGAGACTCTGAGGGAGTAACTGTCCCAGGCCTACTCTTGAAAAATAATAGTTTCTCACTATTGTTTCAATTTATTTTAGAAGCAGAGAGACAGATTCTATAAAGGCCCAAGGCAACATAAACTCCTATGTCTGGTTTAAGTAATGTCCTATCATAGAAAACGTTAAATCATACTTTGTCAGCTCACAGAGATACATTGACCTATCTAATAGAATAATAATAAATGTTATTAGCAATAACCGTCATGTATTGAACATAGTTAAGCGTTTCACATGTATATCTCATTTAATCATCACCTTAATGGTAGTACTAGCATGCTCTAGGTAGAGATAAGAAAACTGAGGCCTAAAGAGAGTTATCTATAAACATTTGCTTGTGATAAGCAGAATAATAATAAAACAAATTGAACATGAGGACATATATTACTATGAAAACTGAAAAAAGAAGGAGAGGTGGCACATGAGCATAAATATGAAATGATAGTGCAATGACAGAGGAAATGGAACTCTGTGTGGTGTGATCAACTTAATTTTCAGCACTTTCTGCTTCTGCCTTCTGCAGCAAAACTCATTACACAATATAAAAATATTATGTGCTACTTACTATGAGAGTAAATATTAAGGCTATAGTACACATTGCTTTGAAACCTTGCATTTGAGGATTGAAAGCTTTATCTCACAAAGTAGAAGTTAATATAAACTGCCATTATAAGTAAATGGATATTTGTTAAAAAGCAAACAAACTGAAGAACTTCTCAAAAATGAATTTATTTCTAAGCTAGAAAAGCCTAATATTTTTGAGGTGCTTCACAAGGCTGATATTTTTCAAGTATGACCACCATAGTGTATTCCTGAAAATAGGTGTCATAGGAATAGGTAAAAGTGAAGATTACTCTGCTCAACACCATGCCTTCTGAATCGAAGTTTCAGGAAACAAACTGAGGCAATTTGCATTATAAATGAACATCCAGGGTAATTGTTTAATACCAAATACCTGAGAACCATTGGTGTAGGTTTAATGTGAGTATTCATAACATTCCCCCCAACATTAAAAAAAAATTCTTTAATTTTTAACTTTAAGAAATGACTTCAGTAAGATGGAAGAGATGGTCATAAAATGAAAGGGTGTTCTCAGTCTACAGTGGTTCCATGAATTTTCATTTCAAAGGAGTTGTATTAAGTAAATATTTAAGGTAACTATTTTACAGATGACTTTTTTTTTTTTAAATCAAATAAATATGTTTGGAAAAGCCATGACCTATTTGTAAATTCTTTTCTAAAAAGCCTGAATGTGTGTATGCATATGGTATATATGGTCGTGTATCATAAAATAAAATGAAATAAAATAAGGTAGATATTGGGCTTTCTCTTGCTGGTCAGAAAAAAGCCTTCCCATTTCAAGGGACTGGCTCTACCAATCAGGCCAAATTTCCTGGGCACACATCCTTCTGGGAGTGGTTGCTCTCTTTACTTTCCATTTAGCAGCTGTACAGTTGGGAAATGTTCAACAGAATGAAAGCCACCTGCTCCTCTAATGATTTCAGCCAAACAGACAGGATTGAAGGTTTACCAAATGTGTTGTCTGTCACTCTGACTCTGCTCAAAAAAGTAAATCAAACTGGTCAGATATTCATATAGAAAATGTGTCATTAGTTAACTCCTGGAGTGCCTGAAGCTCCTTTCAGGCTACCAGACTCTGCTGATTTGGAGATGCCTTTTTAAAATGAAGAATGGAAGTGATTTGAAGAGACAAATTTGGAAAATGAGGCATTCTAGAATGTTTCCCTTATCAAATGCTATATCATTGCACTCTATAAAATGAGTAGATTTATGCACATTTTTCCCCACATTGACAGTTTGATTTTAGTATGTGATTATATGTTCCCAATCCGACTAATTAAATGTCAAATTCCCATAAGTTTCCAACTCACCCCTTCTTCCAGCTCAGTCTCTCTGTATTCCCTGAAAATTGTCTACAAGAAAGTATAGTATGGAAGGGAAAACCATCATAGTCTTTCCTATCACACTGGAAAAATCACATTAGAAGTGGAAATTGGCCTCCACCTTCTCTGGCAGTTTGGGCACGCTCTTTAATCCTTCTGTGCCTTAGGTTTTTAATCTGTAAAGTAGAATTATTTTATACATTAGATGTGTCTGGAAATGTCACAGGACATTTGTTTTCCTGAATAAATGTTCAGTATTATGTGGTTTTTTAAATGTTATTTTGAGATACTTTTGTTTTATATGGTTATCCCATTAATATTTACATCACGACAAATATCCAGAGAAGTTTCATTTTATGTATTTTGTTTTACTACAATCTGATCGTGTATAACATTTTTTTTCTATGGCCATCTTCAACCTTATGTTGTCAATATTGGTTAACAGAGGGTGATGCAGCTTCAGTATAAATTTGTTTGTGTAAGTATTTCTGTAATCTCAAGGGATTAATGCTTCATAAGAATTAGCTCATATAACGCCATAGAAATAAGTAGAGAAAAAGCCCACAAACTTTTGTTGAATAATTTCAGGAAAATTCTTTATGGGTGCACTTTTTTGTTGGATCACAGAGCTTTAGTCATCGAAAGCATTGAACTAGTGAGCATCCTCAGCATCCTCAGTGAGCATAATAGTGTTAAAAACTCCATAAACATGTTAATTGAAGTAGATTTTGAAAAAGGGAAAATGATAAGCAGATAGATATAGAAAAATAAAAATGGGTAAATAACATTTATCAGTAATCCATTGGTTATCTTTTTTTCAAAAGGCATGGTAGAAATTTTATTATAATGAACAAATAAATTATATCAGCCTGAAATAATTTTAAGTTTAAAAAACAAGATCTGCTGTCTAAAAATGTTATTTCCTTTTACACATTAAAATGTTATTAATTTAGACTCCTCTAATTTAGAGTTCCTCAAAATTTATTCAAATGAATTAGAAATAATATCATGAAAAATTAGATTCATGTGCTGATTTGTATTCTTGCATTTAATGGGCACTTTGCTTTATACTCTTCTGGCAATTTTGAATGCTGAGGCAGCACACTAGAAAACGCCAACATCGGCAGATTAGTGCAAAAGTCAAGAAGCCATTTACCTAATTGCTGTGTCAGTCTAACTGCACAAGCATCCCACTCGGTTTTATGGAACTGTACCTGAAGGCGAAATCAAGTTGGTGTAGAATAAGACAGGGGATTAGCGGTTCCTTTTGACATTTTATGCCTTTCATTTCCCTCCTGTGCTCACTGTATCTTCTGGTGTCCAGGGAATCTTGCTTAGAAATGGACATGAAGGCTAAGCAGGCATTTATAGCTAATATGTACTTTTCTACTCCTCCATATCATTATTTCATGGTTATCTTTGCATCCCAGACGGCTCCTGGTACAAATTGTTGCACAAGGTGGGCCTTCAAGACACCATTTTTAAAAACGTCTTTGCCACGTCCTCCTGAGATATGACTCTGGAATCAATCTGTTCCTAAACTAGTGTTTCATAAATTAGAGTCAGCTCAATGATATCGAACCACAGATTCATTCAAATAGAACTGCATTTCAGGCATGGATTTACAAATGATTATCTTAATATTTTCTTGCAAAACATAGCTAATGTGTTCTTTACATTTATTTGACCTCCCCTGGTTGGATTGTTCTGTCTTTATTGCTTCAGCATGCAACATTGCCTGGACACTCACAGTGATTTGCACCTATTTTTTATGGATGTGTCAGCCTATGATTATATAATTATATGACTTTTTATAAAAGCGTAGAAGGCATAGAAAATAATGTGCCCTCATTTTATGAATACTCAAGTACCCTTTAAATAAAACACTTTACTCACTTTTAGAGATGATATGCCACTGGAAAGCAATCATTTGGTCTTTTATGTAAATTACTATTTTTCATTGTTTACCAATTCCCTTATGGCCCATATGTAGTGTAACTATATTTTCTATGGCAGTCAGAGTTATACAATCTAGAAGTTAAGTGATTAATAAAGCAGATTTCCTGGGATCAGATGCAGTATAATGCTGTGCTAATATAAATAACTATTTTTTCCCCACATTACTCATTGGACCAAAAGCATCAAAATATATTTTATGTAAATGAGGACCCTACACTTTTCACCAGCTTATGAAGCAACATTTCTTTAATCTTACCGTTTAGTTTCTAATATGCTTTTCAGATAAATTTCTTTAAAAGACTAGATGAATTACTATGTCATATTAATTGCATATTTGTTGTGTAGTTGGTATGTTCAATTCAGTGACATTATTTTATAAGAAGTAGACCTTTCCTGCCATGAGCTTTCAAAGTAGTTGCAGAATTTCCCATGAATGTGAAATACAGAATGACAAATACTGTAAGTAAACATTTAAAATAAACAATTATTAAGGTTATACTAGGTTGAAATGTATGAAATTGCCAGTTTTCAACTGTTTTGACCAAATATAACCTCATACAATTGTATTATAATTTTACATAATATTTTATTCTTCCTCAATTCTGTGCCTTTGTTCTTCCTGGTTTTTCTACTTAGAATGTCCCTCCCCACTTTTTTCTGACAGGAACACTTACTTTTCATCTGTATGGTCTCACCTGGAACACTATATGTGCCCAGCATTTTTGCTGATATTCACAAGAAGACTTAAGCACTACCACTACTGATTATACAGATTTTACATTTAAAATAATTCAATGTGTGGACATTTTATCATATGTGATTTCATAAACCCCTAACTCCACCCTGGTGCTTCCTAAAACATAATTCTCCCAGGGTAACGTTATGACTTACTGTGTCCTTCAGGCTAGATGTCATAATGTATTTGTATCTATAGAGCTTATTAACATGATTGGCATATAACAGTAGGTAAATTCAGTGCTGACTGAATGAATATGTTATTCTATTAATAATTCAGTAACTTTTTTTCTTTGAACTGGGAAAAATCTTGGAGAGTTTCTACTTCTTTCCCCTTATTTTATAAATGAGAATACTGATGCTCAGAAAAATACCTTGATATTGCTCTTTAAGAGTGGAGTTAAAGCTGATACAGCACGAGCAAAATACTAAAAATCATCTAAAATTATATATGTGACAATTTGCACAGATATTAAACCAGAGAAATAGTAACTCTGGGATAACTCTAGACAATGACAATCAGAGAAGGTGTTGTAGAAGAACTGGGATTTAAAATGAATTTTAAAGGACGGGTAGAATTTGGACAGGCAGAGGAAATGGGAGAATGTGAGTAGGATGGTATGAGTAAAGCATTGACAGAGGAAGACCTAAAATGTGCTTAGAAGAGTGAGCAAACAGAATGTTAATCAATGATTGTTCTGATGTCTTTACAAAGTATATGCTTTTACCCAGGGGATATATACTTGTTGGCTTTCTTATTTTGATATAAGATACAATATATGTGAAATTCTGGAGACTATTCCTTTGAGATTGAAAAGCGAGTGATACTTTGTCAAAGTGTTCTGTATTACAAGTTAGAATAGGATTGAAAATTAAATATAATCCAAACCTTGAAACTTGGCTTAAACATAAATATATTTCTAATTTACTGAAGCAACTAGGCTTCCACAATTTGTAATGTAAAGGTTCTTTTCTTTTTTTTGTTGGTTTTATCCCCATGAAATTGTTTCCATCAATTTGAGAAAATACTGAGGTTTCTTAGTTTGGTTCTTTTTTGTATATGAACACTGCGTGCCCGTGTATGCGTGTGAAGTCACAAAGAGAAGGGTTGGAGGGGAGAGTTGGAGGAAACAAACATCCCCTTGTCAATGTAGTTTAGGGTTTTCAGCTCCTTCCATGAACCTTTGCACAGTATGACATCTACAGGTTATAGATGGTTTTCTTTCTGTATTTGGTGTTGGCTCTAAAATCCTCCTTAGAAAAGGCAACACAAGTATCCCTTCCCGATTAATGTGAATTGGAACAAAAGGTATAAATACCATAGATAAAGAGAGATACATATATATGACGTAGTATTTGAGTGAGATAAACTCTTACCCATGGCTAATATTTGAGTGAAAGGCAAATTGGTAAATATTTTCTCTATTGAATTATTTTTAAATCACTTGAGAATCATCTGTTGAGTTCTCACTACGTGCCCAGCAGTGTGCTAGTTGTCAGGGATGCAATGGCAAGAAAAAAAAAAAAAAAAGACTTGAATGGTCTTTGCTCTTATGGAGCTTTGAACTAGTAAGGAGATATATAATAATTACAGAACAAATATACACATTGCAAATTGCTGGAAGTATGTTAAGAAAAGCAAACAGATGATGTGGTAAAAAGCAGTTTGGTCTGTTAGAATTTGAGTAAAATTAAAAGAAAAAACATAGCTTGAGATGGTGTCCTCTTTTGGAGGTGGCCAAAGATGTTCTTTCTAAGGGGGTGATACATAAACTTAGAGCCAAGGTGAAAGATGAAGTCACCCATACTCCATAAAAGACAGGGACAAAGTGCTAAGCAGGGAGGTGGAACTGTATATGCAGTGGTACTGCAGTGAGAGGAACTGGGAAGGAGTGAGGGTGAAGACTGGGTATGAGGAGGATGGGGTGATCAGGAATAGTCAGGTCATGCAAAGATGTGCAGACCATGCTAACGACTTCAATATGACTCTTTTTTTTTTTTTTTGATGGAGTCTCTCTGTGTCGCCCAGGCTGGAATGCAGTGGCATGATCTCGGCTCACTGCATCCTCCACTCCTGGGTTCACGCCATTCTCCTGCCTCAGCTTCTCGAGTAGCTGGAATTACAGGCATTCGACACTACACCCAGCTAATTTTTGTATTTTAGTAGAGACAGGGTTTCACCATGTTGGCAAGGCTGATCTCGAACTCCTGATCTCAAATAATCTGCCTGCCTCAGCCTCCCAAAGTGCTGGGATTACAGGAATGAGCCACAGCGCCCAGCCCCTTAATATGATTCGTGGTGTGACTAGAAACCATGAAAGAATTTAAAGCCAAGGAGTGCATGACCCAGTTCATATTTTCTAAAGATTCCTGGGATTACTGTATTGAGGTTGGATTGGGAGGGAGCAAGAACGAAGCAGGAATGTCACGTTAAAGGTCGTTCAGCTGTCCAGACAAGAAATAATGGTGGATTTGGCTAGGGTGATGGCAGTGGAAATGGAGCAAAGTGAGCATATTCTAGAAATACTTGGGACATTGAGCTGTAAGGACTCCAAGTGCCGGCTTCATGATGTGTGGGAAAGACTGATCAAGGAGAATCGATGGGTTTCTAACTTGAACAACAGGATGGATAAAGGAACCATGAACAGAGATGGGGCCCACTGTGGCGGGCAGGTTTTGGGGGTGAAGAAGATGAGTTCCACTTTGTATTCTGAATTGGAGATACCTGATTGTCGTGAAGGTTAAGATGCTTCAGAGTGTTCAGAAATCAGGCGTGAGATTAAGGTAACAGATAAGGATTTGAATAATGGGAATATATAGATAATTGAAGGTATAGAAATTCTTTTTCTTGATCATAAAGGGGGAAACCCTATTTGAATGTGGTGTGTATAATGTAAATACCTACACACACATACATATGTGTGTGTCTGTGTGTGTGTGTGTGTGTGTGTGTGCATAAAACCTAAGGAGTAAAAAGAATAGCTGATATCATTTGGTCAGGAAGGAAGGAAGGAAGGAAGGAAGGAAGGAAGGAAGGAAGGAAGGAAGGAAGGAAAGTTTTTCTTGATTGAAGAAACCCATGTTCAATTCAACCTTACACATTGAAATCATTTACTAATTTGCTTTCATTTACTAATTTGCTTTAATTTTCCCCCACAAAGCTGTATATGAATGTAAAAAGAAAATGATTAAAAATACAAATAAGATTAACTCAGCTTCCAAAGTTCATATAGGGTAAGAATTTGCATTGAAAATCTGATGAAAGTGTTTGAACTCTATGTTCTCTCCCAAGAGTCATACTCCTTTTAAAATTTGCTAACAGCGAACTTCATATTTTAATTTAACATTGAGCTGAAGCCTCTAAAAGTGACATTTCTACATGGAAGGTGTGCCAGATTCCTGGAGAGGGCATATGGAATGTGCGGAATATGAGCAACCTGTTTGTAGGCATCTGGAGGCACTGGAAAAGGGATGAGGTTAACCTGAAAACCACTGGATTCAGGATTAGAGTAGCCTCTCTTGCCGCTGATCCTGAAGTTGTATCTTATGGAAGCATTGTCAGACCACAGAACGCTTGCTACTGAAAACACAGGGCTGAATTAATAATTGCTAATCTATATTTTATTTATGATGTGCTAGTCAGTGTTGTAAGCACTTGATGTATTATTTCATTTAATTATTACAATTCCCTTAAAATGGGTGCAATTGCTATCTCTATTTTATAACTGAAGAAATTGAAGTGAGCTTAAATAATTTGTAGAAGTTCACGTATCTCATAAGTGGTACACCTAGGATTTGAACTCCTGTTCGCACAAAGCATGTATCGTAATTGTTATTTGTTGTTTGGGATGAGTGGGTTGAGGGGACAAGAAATTTCAATCCCAAAGGAAAGAAATGCTGTCTTTCCTGGATGTTAGTTGATTTCCTGGAGTGAATGGCCTTCTGGCTCCCACTGGCCAGGGAAAAAGAAAGAAAATAACAGCAAGTCGTTAATTCATAAAACAATTTTCCCAAGTGCAAGGCTTGCAGTTTCTGCACCTGCTACGTTGCTGACTCATCTCACCTGAATCATTTAGTCAGCTTCATTGTGTTTGCTAAGACTGCTAATTATCCTACTGGAATAATTTAAACTATCAATAAAGAATGCAATAAATCATTAAAGATATGGTTAATAGGGAGAGATAATTTTGACTATTCAGCTTGCATTGATCCTTGATATAAAAAGATTAATTTTATATTCCGTTTTTAACCTTACAGGCAACCATTAGCCATTTCTTTTCACAGAGTTGAGCTGAGCTGGTTTTTCATTAAAAATGTGGCATTTATCTTATTGAATTCTAGCTGTGATATCTCATTCCAGGAACAAAAATATATTCTGACTTACCAAGAAAGCACAACAAGACAAATGTTACATTTTTAATAAAAGTCATTGTAAACAAATTTTTGAAATTTTTATGCTTTTTAATCTACCCAAGTATACATCCTCCTTATTCCTATTAATTTAGAAAATTGATATCTTTTCCCCTTAAAACTATAGGAATTATGTGATTTTATTCGTTACTGAAATTAATGAGGATACAGTGTCAAAATTATTTGGCCTGTAATACATAAAATGTAATATTTTGTGTTTGAGGCATTCACAGCAAAACTTAGGTAATATTTTTTTTTTTTTTTTTTTTTTTTTTTGAGACGGAGTCTCGCTCTGTCACCCAGGCCGGACTGCGGACTGCAGTGGCGCAATCTCGGCTCACTTGCAAGCTCCACTTCCCGGGTTCACGCCATTCTCCTGCCTCAGCCTCCCGAGTAGCTGGGACTACAGGCACCCGCCACCGCGCCCGGCTAATTTTTTGTATTTTTAGTAGAGACGGGGTTTCACCTTGTTAGCCAGGATGGTCTCGATCTCCTGACCTCATGATCCACCCGCCTCGGCCTCCCAAAGTGCTGGGATTACAGGCGTGAGCCACCGCGCCCGGCCGGTAATATTTTATTGTTAATGTTCCTTGGATGCTTGTAGAATGGTGCTCATTTTTAATAGCTTTTAATTAATTTTTATGTTTTTGCTATTGCTTGGCAAAGTTGTATAATAAGAAATACTTGTATTAGTAGTCATGTTGATCTATTGCATGCCAAGATTATATTGGATAATGTATGTATCCATGAAATCAAAAAGTTTCAGTGTTAACTTTTTCAAAATAACAGTATAAGAAAAATGCATTTTCTGTCAAAACTCATAGAGTTTGAGTTTTTAAAAAGTTTATTGAAGAGAAAGTCAGAACCATACTATAGAATTTTGATTTATTTTTTATTAGAACCAAAGGAATAGTTAGTGCTACTCTAAAGTTAGATCAGCTAAACAATTACTGTATATACACTAGTTTTATTTCCATAATCTGATAACTTTAGAAACATGACAAAAAAGAGCAAACTTCAGAGTCGTATCCTATTGTGACACAAATCAGCTATTTATATCCAAAGTGTGCATTCAAAAGTATTCCTGGTTACTCTTGAATGTGGACTTGTGGAAGCTCACAAATTCAATCTCTGCATTACATTTTATTTCTCCATTTACTGATCCTGGTAATAGGCCAGGAGCTACATTTTATTACCATCCCATAAGTGCACCCGACTTGCTTTACCAGACTATGACACATATTTTTAAGCCATTATTATAGCCCCCACTGGTACCCAACTGGTCAGAAAACACAGATTCAAACTCAAGACAAGTAAAATGATATTTCTCCCCTTCCTCAGACTTGATTGGAAATTCTTCCTTTATGCAATCAACTAATCATCAAAATCCTATTTTGCTGGTCTCTGAGGGGAATCTCAGGCAGTATAGAGAGCAAAGGACTTTGCAGTTTTGTTATGTCCATGGATCTTTGGGTTGTAAGTAATAGAAAACAGTTCAAAATTGCTCATGTAAAAAGCAGGGTTTTTTTTTTTTTTTTAAATGCACTCAGTATTTCATGATGTTCAAATACTGAAAAGGAAATTCATGAGAATCAGACCTAGAAAGTTGAAAAACACGGTTGTGATCTTCCCTGTGATCACAATCTGTGATCACAACAACACAATCTGTGATCTGCTGTGATCACAGATTGTGATCAGTCTGCACCCCTTTCTCTCTGCATGTTGATACTTGTGGTTTGAAATGGCCCCACACAAATCACACCTTACGGTCTCTTAGCTGCGGTGCTCACTAATGACTGTATCTCAAGAGAGAGAATCTGGATCAACATGGTAGAGCCTAAGAGTGGGAGCCCCTGGCCCACTCTGCTGTGACCATGAGGTTAGATCAGGTGAGGCTTCTGTGCAATGGACAGTGATCGATATGTTTCATATAATCCTATCCCTAGAAACATGGCACAGGCACTGAATGATAGCTAGAAACCCAAGCCTGGAGTGATTACCAGCTTGCAATCCATTCTGTGGAGAAGGGAGGACTTCTACTGATTTTTGGAGGATGAGGGCAATTCTGACAGGGAGTGGTATGAGTAAAGGCTAAAGATTGGATCCTTTCTAAATGGTGACTAGAAGGGTGAGGGGAGCTAAAGGTCTACATGAAGAAGTTGTGGAAGCTTGGAAAGGAAGGCTTTGTAGAAAGCCTTAGATAATAAAATTTTTACTTTGGCATCCTTTGAAGTTTTGTTGTTGATATGGCTTTTGTGTGTGTTTGTGTGTTTTAGCAAGGAGTGGCCATTGGTCAGAGGTGTGCTGGTGAATGTTTAACAACCAGCTCTCCAAAATAAAAATGTGTATGTACATATTAATGTATTAAAAATTTTATTGATAGGATATGGACACACAATTTACAAATAATAAAATATGTGGCTAAGTCTGAATGTTTGTTTTCCCTCAAAATTCTTATATTGGAATCCTAAACCACAAAAGGATGATACTAGATTATGAAGTGGGGCTTTTTAGATGGTTAGTGACCTTATAAAGGAGGCCCCAGAGAGCTGCCTTGCTCCTTCCACTACAGGAGGGCACCATCTCAGGGGAACCATGCCCTCACCAGACACTGCTGCCAACTCAACCTTGGACTTCCTAACCTCCAGAACTCTAAGAAATAAATTTCTGTTATTAATAAATTGCCCAGTGTAAGGTATTTTAGTTATAGCAACCAGAGCAAACTAAGATATGTGTAACACCCTTTGTTGTACATTTCATATGGCTAGTTGATGATCTCAAGATTCTGTCAGTGATTTTTGCTAAACTTTTGTGCCTGTATCTCATCTGCATCTGCAGTCTAGCCATGGTTTCCCAAATCAAGTTGCATCCCAATCTGCTTATTCTTTTCCCAGTAAGTTTATTGTCATTAAATTTTATATGTGATCTGCTGTAACTATTTCTCATCCTGATATTAATTACATTCTTTAAACTGGAAACTTTTCAGCGTTAGAATCAATTAGAAATGTATATAGTGCAACAACAGACTCACAAAGTAACTGAGCATTTAGCAATTGGCTCCTGAGTTTCAGCCGGAGCTGGTTTCAGTGAGTAACTCTTAATGTCTGAGAGGTGATGATACCCTCAATTACAATGTTACAATCCTCAAAACAATCAATGGGATTTGATTAGATATGGGAGTATGGTGAAGACAAAGAAGATTTCAGGAATGTGTCCTTTGATAAAGGGGTTATGATCATCCACAATGGAGAAATAATATAGGAATCCATTCATTCAACAAATATTTATGAAGAAGCAAATACTAATGAGGAAAAGCTAAACATTTTATATGCTCTACAGGATAGTTTTCTAATTAATTGTTCAAGTCAACCACAGTTCAAAAATAGATATAAATAATTATTGATTTCTATTAAATTAAGCCTCTCTTTTCAGCTTTTAGTGATGACCCTACTTGCACATTATGCCTGAAATGACATAGTCGCTGGACCCTGAGCCCTCCCAAAGCAGAATCTGTCTTACTTTCGTCCTGTGTTCCCAGCATCCAGCTCAATGTTTGGCTTATACTATTCAATAAATGTGGGTTGAGTTAAGGAACAAAGAATCTATACTTGGCTCCCTAAAAGAGCTAGTCAGTGATGAAAAGGGGCAGACTGGTTGACTTCAACCACTTTCTAGAGAAAGTGTTGACAGTGTTAAATCTAGGGAGGCTATTTTTTATTCTTTTCAAATCCCAGGAAAGTCTATCAGTCTATAAGGAAGTCTACAAGAAAGATTCAATAACGTAAGTATGTTGCTTGACACTGATGTTTCTCTGTCTTCAGGGTGAAAATTCTAGGAATCATTGTTTACAGGGACATCCTTGAATTCCAAATCCTGGAATTAAGCTAAAGATTTGTGACTTAGGTTGGATATTGATGTAACTCTAAATATTTAGCAAAACCAGGCTGAGCAATTTTCTCTGCAGCATATAATGAATGTGCATACTCTATGCCTCTAGCTTTTTTAGCAATTTGGAATAAAATCTTTGGGATTTGTTCTGACACTTTTGCCTTGTTAATAAACATAGTAAGAATAAGGACAAAGAGAGGATTATAAAAGTCATTTGTATGGTCAAGCTAAAACAGTGGCATTTACAGAAGTTTATAGGAAATGTAAGGAATGACATTTTATATACGGGCTTATTTTTCCTTTAATCCTATATTAATAAAGTGAATTCTGTATGGGTAATACAGGATACCCTCTGTGAGTTGACTGTGTTTACAAAATTCATTTCTAAACTATTGTTCGCAATGGGGCATATAGCGGTGCATGGAAGCAATATTAAATATAGTTTTTAGTTACCTCCACACCAGTCTACAAAATCTGATTTAGCAAAGCATCTGAAGTCTCTGAAGGGACTAACGATATTATAGACCAGGGTGTGGGGAAGCTATTGTCCCTGGGCCAACTCTGGTTCACCCCCTGATTTAATAAGTAATGTTTTTATTGGTGCACAGCTGTGCTTATTTATTAGCATATTGTCTATGGCTGCTTTGGGGCCACAATGACAAGACTGAGTAGTTGCCACAAAGACCTTTTGGTCCACAAACCCAACTTTTCAGTGGGAGTGTTTGCCTATCACTGAATGGTCTTTAATGACCACAAGGAAGGGTGACCTGTGAAGTTTATTCAGTTTTGACTGTAGAGATCAATCAGGAATTCATGCTACCCTAGTCGACCCGTATGCTGGTTTATTGTGTCTCACAGCACCCTCTTGTATTTTCCCGTCCCTCCAGACAGTGGTACAACTTCATGTGGCAGGAATTAATTCTCAAGGTCTGAAGAGAGGACTCTCACAGGACATAGTCTAAGAGACATAAAAGAATGGGATTGGATTGTTTCTTTTGGTGTCTCAAGTTCACCGCAGAGGTGAGGACATGGCTTTATTTGGCGACAATGCCTTATTGTCGGATGACAATTGTCGGACTAGTGATGAAGTCAATTGCTTGCTTCCTTTCTTCTTGCTACACTGTCCCCATAACTAGTCTCTCTGCATCTCAGCCCCTGATCAGGATGGGTCTTGCGATGAGACACCTTGCAGACATGAGTTGATTTTTCAAAGGTTTAGTCTTGGTCAGGAGCCAATAGAGCAAGATAAACAGAAATAAAGACAGTGAGGCAAGGTGAGCAGGGGTTCCCAGACTCCTCCTGCATTTCAGATAATTTATTAGCTAGGAGAGTTAACCATAAAGTAGCTGTTTCCCATCCGTCCTAAACTGTTCTGTATTGTGTTCTATTATTCTATGTTATGCTGTCAGTATCACTCCTAGATGACATCTATATAATGTTTATTAGGGACCATGCAGGGTGCTAGATGCCCTGCACGCTAAGGATTTTCCTTCTTCTCTGGCAACTTGTATATATATATATATATATATATATATATATATTTCTCCTTCATCTAATCTTTAAACAACTGAGTTTCTCTAGACTTACTTGTGAGTTCTCTTAATCTCTTATTCTATATTTTCTCCCTAGACAATCACATGAACATCACAGCTTCAAGTGCCTTCCCTAAACAGATAACTCTCAAATGTATAACTCTGTCCTGGACCTAATTTCTGAGCTTCAGATCAGGATACCCAACTACCTACTTGGAAACATTTCCTCTTGGCTCACTCATGGTCTTTCTATCTGACTCTTCAGTCAGAGACTGTCTCAGTAAATACATCCACCATCCATGAAACTTCTAAACCCAGTAATTCTTGTGTCAGTTTTGTCCCTTCCCTTTCCCTTATCCCCTGGATCAAATCACCCAGTCTAGTATGTATTTTCCTCTAAATATAATTGGGAATCCATCTACTTCTTTTTATTCATACTGCCATCACTCTCGTCAAAGCAGCCGCATTTCTCCCTCGGAGTAGGAAACAGCTTGTTAGCTAGTGCACCTAAAGCTACTCTTCGCACCAATCATGTTGCTCTTCTATTTGAAACTTTTCCCTGACCTCCTTTTACTTTTTGGAAAAAGTCCAATAGCATTAATGCTACCTACAAGACCCTGCATTATCTCTTCACAGCTCTCTTCTTGGCCTTTTTCTACTTCCTCCTGTGTGTTCTCCTTCTTGCCTTTGAATACATTGCTTCCTTATCCTTAGCCTAGATAACCCCTGAATATCTTTCTCAGCAGAACTTACCTCATATCCTTAATATGATTTTTTTAAGAATGATCAGACTAGGTGAGGACCCCCAAATTTCCCATTTGCAACTGTATTCACAACTGTAATTAAGTAAACAAGTATGTAATTGTGTAAAATGTGTCAGCCTCACCAGAATGGAATCTCTAGAAAGACAAGAGCTGTATAGTTCTGTTTAGGACTGTGTTTCCATCTCCTAACACAACTTTATCATTACTGAAAGAATTAATGTGCCGACTGAATGAATGAATGAGCTCATTTAACACTTGCATACTTGTTAGATATTTATTGTTGTCACCATTTATGAGAACTAGGTAGAACTAAGTTTCCAATCTAGGCTATCAGACCCTCAGACCATGTACTGCGATACACTGCAAAGAAGGTTTAGTGCTTATTTGCTCTCCTGGTTCCCCATTACCATGCATAATGAAAAGTTGATGAGTTCCAGCTACTGGATCCTAGGTAAGGAAGAGCAAATCAATATGTAACAGTGTTTTTGGTGTTAAGGGTCAAATTGAATAAATTGTGTACCATATTACCCTTACATTTAGAAAATGGCTTCACTGGATACCCTTTTATTTTAAGATCACTTATTGTATTTTTATTTTAATGCACTCGCATATAAAATGAAGAAACAGCCAGATAATGAGTACTTGATCCCCAAATCATGAAATCAATTTTAATATGCTTAGAAGATTTAATATTTTCTTAGGGCAATGAGATTGATGAAGTCCTGTTAATGAATATATTGATGTAATTGAAGGAAAATGGGCTCAACAGTCTTTTGCCATCAGTGAGATGAACCCTATCACACAAACTAAGAAGTAGGTAAAAAAGAAGGCATTAAAGACATTGCATAAGCATAAAAGTTCATTCTAAACATTTTTTATTAATAAAATAAATTTGTTGATATAGATAACATAAGGCTAATTTTCTCTTGAAATTTACATAACACTAATATAATTATTTTAAGTATCTTATACTGACTCCATGAATCTGTTTATTTTCTTTCCATATCAGAGATTGTAGACGAAAAAAGAAAAAACACCTCCTTTTTGCAGTACATTGATGGAAAGTATTTTATTTCATATCATATTTTATTAAGAAACTGATCTATTATGAAAAACACTTTTTAAGCCAAATAAGTACTAAGAAATGTGAAAAGTAGCATTGTTTTAAAAAATTTAAATTTCTTTTAAAAACATTCATTTTCTGGAAGAAGTTTTGAATACAGGTTTAACAATTTCAAATTTTTTTTCCATCTAAATTCTACCTTTCAAACTGTATTCCCATGTTAACTAGCCTGAAGACAGATACTAATTGTACCCCAATTTGTAATGCATCAGTTTAGCACTATTGATCCGCTAAAAAATGAAAGCAAACTAAGCAAGAGCCAGTCTCAATACCAAAGGAATGATATATTGATTCCATCTGACAATGCTTTGTCTACAGATCAATGTGTATGTGCAGCATAGACCAGTTAAAAATGAAACAGGGTGGACAAAGGTCGTGAAAGAAACAGGGTATCCAAGATTATTGGAGATCATGAAATGAACATATCTTAAAGTATATCTGATAGTTGTTCACTTATAAAGGAATTCTGTAGGTTTACTGTGCAAAAAAATCATAATGTAAATGTTTTATGATGACAATGCCATATCTTGGTCCTGGGAGTCTCTGAAGAAATTGAGACTCACTTCTTAATCAAGAATGACTTTGTCTTGATTAAGAATGACTTTGTCATTCTTGATTAAGAAGTGAGTCTTAGAGAAAAAAAAAGACATGATATGGATTCAGTCCTGCTATGCTTGGTCATAAAGAGATGACTGTGTATGATATATAATACATCTGATTCTTAGGTTCTCTAATGCATGTTTTATATTCCTGCAGTTTTTTTTACATTTCAGATTTTGAAAATCAGATATATTGGGCTGATGAGAGATTGAGAGATGGAAGAAATGTTTTCTGGCATAATCACAAAGTAGTAATTAATCAGACTGTGAGATTTCCTCCCTGTCGAATAAAATTTAATATACTGTAGTGAAATATATGCATATACAATACATTATCTGTTTGTTCTCTTCATCACTGTATTAAAGAATCACAAATATGTTCTAGAACCAGAGGTGGGTAATGTTGATAGTATAGCTATGGAAAAATAGCCTACCACAAATTTCTTTTTTTCTTTTTTATTCCTCTACACATTTTATTTTCTTGGGCTTGTTACATTTTAAGAGCAAAAGTAGGTGTCAGCCTGTATCAACATTGCTACTTTAAGAATAAAAATACTCTGTTTTATGAATTGTTCAAGTTAGCATGTCT
Organism: Homo sapiens; assembly: GCF_000001405.40. Classification (NCBI taxonomy): domain Eukaryota; kingdom Metazoa; phylum Chordata; class Mammalia; order Primates; family Hominidae; genus Homo; species Homo sapiens. The sequence goes on from NC_000003.12 coordinate 77,436,586, forward strand.
GTGGGGATTTTTGAAGATTCGAATATGGTCAGATGTGACCTTCTGAGTTGATGTAAAAAGAACATAGAAACTAATTTATGTGTAGAGATACTGGATTTCAGAATAATAATAATAATATTTGGAAATCACATATTAGAAAGTCAGAACTAGTTCCAAAAATGTATATTTGGGATTTCCTTATCTAGATGCTATTTATGTTTTTAAAACCAATTTGAAGTCTATTCAAATAGGAATAAGGAAAGAAACTATTATAGCCTGTATGCAGAGGAAATATCTGTCAACCCAAAAGTTTAGCAGCTATGCAATAAACCATAATGTGTATTCAGGCTTTGCTTATGCAACTTATTTTATTATTAAGAAGTGTGAATATTCTGTAATAGCAATCTTTGGACAATTGTATACACATGATTTTCTACTTTTGCATTTCTTCTGATTCAATTCTGCATTAAAATATGACAAATGGAATTCATGCAAGAAAATGTGTTTCTGAATACCTTGCATAGTCCACATCTTCTGTTATTCATAATCCCTGACAAAGGATGACAGATTTTTGCTTTTAACCACTAAAGTGGAACCACCCTGTGGCAATAGCATAAAGCCAGTTCACCATTCACTTGGCCTGCCAGCATGAAAATTCTTTGAATATTTGAGAAATTTTTAATTTTCAAATTTGTGATTTCTAAAAGTTTGTTTATGATATGAGGATATAGTTCTTACACTATTTTAAATAAGCTCAAAATGTTACTGTATTATATTGTCTTTCATCTTATAAACCTTGTGCTCAAGTACTGAAATTTAATGTGTCTAGGGTTACCTATTTAGGATTTTAAATTATGTTCTAAGATTTAAACTGTGGATTTAAATAGAAATAGTGATTATTATTACATTATAGATAATACATAGTATTAATTAACAATTTATTTTTATGATAGCAAACTTTACTGCCTATTAAAGCATCTAATTTTAGTTTATTTTTCTTATAGTTATATTAAAAAACATTTGCATAGAACTGTAACATGTTTAACCTTTCTAAGTAAAATGGGACTAGAAAAGCTCCTTTATTACATTATTCATCGTAAGCTTACAGATAAGTGAGAGAATTTGACATTGTTTTCACAATCTAGCCTATAAAATGGCTTAGGTTTTTGAATTGATGATTACCTACTTACTCAAAACTCTTTTTTTAAAATCAAAAGAAGCCTTCCATCAAAAATGTCCCCAATAAAATATGACAGCCTTCTGTGAATACACCCTGTCCTCTGACCAGTCAATTCCTTAATATCCAGATGCAAGAACTTATATCAGTCGGTATGCCACACACTACAGTGTGCAAAGCTAGGATAATAAATAAAGTGTAGCAGTATGTTTATTAAAAATCTATGCCTTAAAGCAATTTAAAACATTTTTAATAACGATAATAACTATAATACCATATACATGATTAATAGGAGGTTTTTACTGTCTTATAATAATACTTTCCCCTTCTCTTTGGCATATGCTTAGTTTCAGATACAAACTTTTCAACCTACACAGCCTTGATTGGATTGGAAAATGTGCTTGCACGCTCTCTCTCTGTCTCTCTCGGCCTCTAGATAGATAGATAGGTAGATAGATGATAGATAGATACATAGATAGATAGATTGATTGATAGATTGATAGATAGATAGATGACAGAGTTGACCTCTGAGAGGGATGAGCAAATGGCAACAGCAACAAGACATCCAAAGAGGACTAGCAATTGTCCAAATGACTACCCACTTAGACTGATTTCTGAGCATTTCAAGCCTGAAACTGAGTTTTACCAGGAAATAAATCTGTATATATTTTATATATATATGGAAAGAGAGTGAGCATACCCAACCTACGAGAGAGAGCAGGTTTGCCAGAACACTTCAGACTGTTTAGGGTGAAAAGTGAGTATCTGAAAAAGAGTGTGTATTGAAGAGAAGGGGATACACACACACACACACACACACACACACGCATATATGTGTATATATATTGTGTATATTACATATTAGATTATATTAATATCAATAGTTATGTTTATTACATGTAAATCAAGCATATTATATATGTGCTTACTAGTCATTTAAATTGTAACCATTTAAAAATGTAAATAGCATTCTTGGCTCACCAGCTCTACAAAAACAGGCAACAGGCAGATTTGACCCACAGGGTGTTGCTTCCAGATCCCTGTGCTAAACTGTACTTTTAAAGTATATGCAGAAGAAGAAAGCTTTCTTTTGTGGATGATGTGTTACTAAATAACTATCATATAATACTAAATAACTCATATTGGCTTTGTAAGAAAAAGTGAAGTAGTTTTTTTGAGTTAGTTTTACATACAGAGCTATTAAATCTGTAGTGTTCTATGTGGTCAAAGTCATTTAAACTAAAAGAAATCTCACTAGTTCAAGGGAAAGTCAAAATAATAACCATGATGGGGGAGAACAAAAATTGCAAAATACAAAAGGACAATATATATTGTCCTTTTGCATTCAAACCATTTTTAAATTCTTACAATTATCATCAGCTTTAGCAGCTAATTTTCTAAATGTTAATTAAATAGACTAGAACATTCTATTTACTATTATCCATTGTCCCTTAAATTAATAGCAAAAAGTGAGTAATATCTTGTAAGTTATTAAGAAGCAATTAGTATCTTAATACAGAACCTGGACTAATCACTTCATTGAAACAGTCATCTGCTTTATCAACTTTGCTCAGGATTTGAACATGATGATCAAGGAAATATATTTAAAAAGGAGGACTATGTCATTTCTAAAATGAAGATATCTGATGATTTTTCCATTGCAGTGTATCTGTATTTTATGAAGCTACATGGCTTTGTGGCCTCTTATGATATGAATTAGAAATTATGATATACAAATTAGTTCTGAAAAAGATGGACTGCATTTTTCTCTTCTCTTATTCTCTGGCATTTGCTGAAATAAATACTTACGTTGTTCAGGGCAGAACAGACCAAGATCCACCAAAAGAATACCTTATTAAGTATGAAGGGTTCCTTGTATTAATGCATTTCAAGAGAAGACGCATGCTAACCATTAGTATTAAGGAGTACAAGGCAACCTACTAAGGCAAGAATGTCAATCAACTTTGACAGTCCCATGTCCTTCAACATTTCCTGTTTTTTCCTACCCTCCCCAATTTTCCTCTCATTTTCCTTGCTTCCTTTCTCCTGTGTTCTTCTTTTCTAGATAAACATTTTATCTGAACATTTTACATTCTAACGTGTTTTAGCTCTCTTCCAGACACCTCATACATATCATACCTCATCTCTTAAGTGGTTTTTAATTAAGTTAAACACATTTTGGCCTGTTACTTGTCCAGGAGGCAGTCCAAAAATATTTATTGAATGAATGATGTAGCAACATAATATGCAAACAAAAAATAGTTTTTACGTAATATGTAGTTTTAAATACAGAAGATAGTTATTATATATATGCTCAGTGTGAGAAACAGGATATAAATGTAGCTAAAACACAGAAGTTGTTTTCATTTATGTCAGTCTACCATGTGCTTAGAGTAACAATAAAAGATGGTTTAGTAAGATGACCATTACTATTCCCATTTTTACTTTGTCTTTACATATGACACATTTTTACACTGTTTTGGTCAATAAAAAGCCTAGCTTTCCATATTGATTGCTATCACGTACTTATTGAATCCAGGCTTTGTCCCTCTAATTACTTTCTTATGCTATTTTACATCCTTGTTTTTAGTATTGAGTGGCAAAACTCATTATTAACTTGAGAGTCTTTTGATCTAAATAAAAGTTAAATCACCAGTATCACATACCGGCTTTTTTCCAAATAAATGTAAAGATTTTGCATTTATGGTAGTTAAAAAGTTAAAATGTACTTTTATAATGAGCTGTGCATATGGCTTTAGTAGTTAAAATATGCACTGAGTAAATATCTTAGCCCATATATATGGGTCATGACATGATAGATGGAATTATTCTATTAGAAATAATATGAAGAATAAAAATGTAAGTTCACTGTGTTTATAGTAAACATTTGATAGGTTTTCATGTTCTTTTTGAACAAAATGTTTTGAAATTATTCTCAATTGCAAGACCTATGTGAAAGCTCAATTTTATTCCTCTTTATTCATTCTTACTGGGAAAGAAGGAAAGTCTCAGCCGAGTGTAAAATCTTTGAAATTGTTCAATTTTTGCTACATTCTTTTTCCATTTACACCATTGAGAATTGACCTGGTTGTGGAAGCTCAGTCTCCAGGAATATTTGAGGGTTGCGGGTGGTGAGGACGGGAGGAGAGGATATGTCACTATGCACCCAGATTTAGAAAACTCCCCATTCTCTGCGTTCTTTTCTCCCATGCCTCCCCATTTTCTCTTTTCTTGCCCTAATTCTGTTTACAATTCCCATATTCTATTCTTTCTGTCGAAGATTTCCTGCTGATTGTGGAAAGACAATGTCCAAGGGAAGACTGACATACAAATGAGTAGAGTGTAGTTCTACACGTCATTTTCTCCCTCTGGACCTTTCCTCTTTCACTGGGGCTTGTCCCCTTGTGCCATTCGTTGCCCAACTGGCTTTACAACAGGGCAGCCCCTTTTCATTTTTGCTTAGTTTTATCATGGTGTGCCTTAATTTAATCCAAGAAACATGTTTGAAGATTGCTGTGTAAAGCATTGGATGTTTCCAAAACAGAGACGGGAATGTATATGTGCTGATACTAGATCAGGGTGGGTTGAAATATTATTGTTTCATTTAAAATGTAAGTGTGCAACTGTATATATGTATATCTATACACACACATATACCTATGCTGTATATTAAAATATTCATAAAATAATACACAAGAAAAATGATAACAGTGTCATGTAAAAAAACCCAACGCTTTAACTTTGTTATAAAACGTTACTTAAAAATCCTTTTGCAAGGATTGAAAATACGAGATATGAAGGACATATGTCTTCATGTCTAAATTTAAACATACAAAATTATAAAATGAGCTGTACTGCATAAGAAATCAGTGTTCTGAAGGACAGCTGGGACAGAGGCCTTTGGGATCAGACTGAAGAAAAATGATCACACAGAGTAACAGTTAGAAGATAAATGTCTTTAGTCAAGGTTTTCAAAGTGACATTTTACCTCTCCTAGAAAAAAACCTGCTAGTTTCTAAACTTTAAAATTCCATTTTGGTGAATTAGCTTAAAATATTAGAAGAATGTGACTGTCAGCGATTCTCTTCAGAAAATCAAAGAAAACACAAATTTACAATGGTCATTTTTTGCTGATGCTTATCAACGTTTTGATTATGGAGGAATGAAAGTTTTAAAACATTTTACATTTAAGATAATTTTTTATCTTAAATGTGTTAGGTTTACCCACAACACATTTTAGACTTGCTTCCTAAGTATTAGTTAAAATGGAACAATAATATCAGATTTACGGCCGGGCGCGGTGGCTCACGCCTATAATCCCAGCACTTTGGGAGGCCTAGGCAGGCGGATCACGAGGTCAGGAAATCGAGACCATCCTGGCTAACACGGTGAAGCCCCATCTCTACTAAAAATACAGAAAATTAGCTGGGCGTCATGGCGGGCGCCTGTAGTCCCAGCTACTCGGGAGGCTGAGGCAGGAGAATGGCGTGAACCCGGGAGGCAGAGTTTGCAGTGAGCTGAGATCGCGCCACTGAACTCCAGCCTGGGCGACAGAGCGAGACTCCGGCTCAAAAAAGAAAAAAAAAAAAATTACATTCATGAGTCATGTGTTTGTTGCATGATGCTATTTTCATTCAAAGAGAGAGTATGGTCATTCTGTAAAACTATCCTGTTGTGTAGGAAATAGGACTGTAATTTTCAAACTTTTTTCACCCAATGAAAACCTTTTCTTCATGGCAGAGCTGTATCATATAAAACATAATTAAATAGTATTTAAAGAGATACTATGAATGTAAATGTCTAAGGATAAGCATTTAAAACTTATACATATCAAAACAGTCTCCAATACATGGCACAATATCATGGTGCTGTGACGTGTTGTATCAGTTAGTAGCAGTGAAATGACTATAGCGTGATGATGTGCACTTACCCCACATATGACCCTAAGTATTGAGTACCAGGGTTCACATGTGTAGCATTCTCATTTGTACCATGTTCCAAATGAGCCGGGGCAAATTTGAAACGCTAAATCAGAATCTTCTCTTCCAAGATCTATTGTGATGTAGTGTGTGACTTTCCCATATAAAGTTTCTGAAATGGTTTTGCAAGCCTTACAGTGCTATACAGATATTAGTAATAATAAACACCTGAATTTTACATCAGTGCTCAGAAAGAGTGGACTCCAACCTCTGCATGAAGTCAGTTAGATTGCTTGCACATATGGTGGTTCTCATATGATGGGATTGGAATATAATGTGTCTGAGTGCATTGTTAGTTTTTGTTATAAAAATAGTTGAAAACCAAATTTAAATGAAATTCAAATCAAATATTGTTGCCATTCTTAGAGACTTTAGCGAAATACTAGGATTTCATTGGATACAATGGAAAGAACAATGAATGTAAAATCAAAGTCTTATTATAATTTTGCTTATAAATAATTGCTTTTAATAATACTTGTATAGCCCTGAACTGTTTATAGAACCATTTTACACATTATGCTCAATAATCTTCAAATAATTCTCATACAATGAGGATAGGATGGTTATTATTATCTTTTTTTTTTCAGAAGAGGAAATAGACTGAGAAAAAAATAAATTCAGCTTAACATGGATTTTTTTCTCACTTAAAATCTTAAATTTCCAGTGTGGCAACATCATTTACATATAGTGCTCAATAAAATAGTCTAAGTGCCACTCATTGCCCAATTTAAGTAGTGCAGTTCTAGTATATTTTATAACTACTCAGCTATTGTTAGTAGTACCATGAAACAGTATGTCAAAATAATATTGAAGAATAAATGTATGTGCTTTTGGAGTTCTTGTTTTAGAGGTAGACAATTCTACTAAAATTGCATTTTATAAAATAATAGAAGAAATTGAGAAAAATACTATAATTTTTTTTCCCTTTAACATTTTTACCTATATATTAACATAAATAATTTCTAATTTAACATCTTAATCATTTCTCATATGAGTAAAAAGACATTAAATCCTCTAACTTCATTTGGAGAGTTCTTGTCTCTTCCCCATGCAAGTTGTAGCTATGTAGCCAGCAGGCAGACATAGCATTAAGACAGCCAACTTGGACGAAAGGAGACATAAAGGGAATGTCAGAGTTACCCAGCCCAGAGCCCCTCCCTCCTACCAAATCTGAACTTTTTTTCTTGATTCTCATGTCATTCTTTCCAACTTCTCAATCTTCTAAAACAATCTGCATAAAGCATCTTAGGCTTCACACTTTACAAATTAAGCAGATAATGTCTCTAATTAGCCTTACTTCTTCTCTTCCTGATTACCTCCCCATTTGTTTCTTATTATCTTTGTCCATGCCTTCATTTTTGATCTTAGATCTTCTTTTCTATTTATTCAACATTTCCCTCTAAGATTCCATATGAAGTAAATTCAAGAATACTATGGAATAGCATTTTAATATTAAGATTTTCTCTTACTAAACATGTATTTGCATAAATAAATGTAGGTTCACGTCTTTATGTATTTTATTAGAAAGAATAACCTCCTATTTAATACAGAGGATGAAGCTTTAAGGGAATATAAACTTTTTATCGTGCCTGATATATTTGAGTATATAATTATATGCTTACTCTGATTAGGTAGATATGTGTGTATAAAACCTTCAAATTTTAATGGAAACATTAACTTTTGTATACATTAACTTGTGTCTCTGAATACATTAACTTATGTCTCCATGTAAACAGCCTCAATAACTCTGTTCAATGACATACCAGTTTCTGTCTGTTGGTGTTTTTTAGTTTGCCCTTTGACAGATAATTTTTTCTAAGTTCAGTTAATTGAAACTAATATTTTGCCACCATGAAAAGTTTTAAAGAGGAAAAAGAGGTTAAAATACACATTGGAATTATTGATTTAGCAGCATTGACATCTCTACATAAAGCACATTGCTGCTTGATACTGAAGGCTCTCAGTGGATGACGTATAAAATCCTATGTGGGAAAAAAGGCAGAAAATACCGAAAAGAACACATCTGTTTATCCCAGGCTTTGGGAGTTTGGAAAGACCTTTATTTAAGCTATATAATGTATAGAAAAGGGCAGGGATTTCATATTTGAATAGTTAGTGTCTCCAGTTAGGAGTTGTCAGCAGACATGCAGAATTGTCACCTATGTTTGGAATGTGCGGAGGCATCCTTACCAATTGCTATGACAAGGTCTGGATGGGATACGTGTCTACAATGCATTCCAGTTCCAGTACCCAAGCTGATTTGGTGTTCTCATTCTTGAAATGGCGTATGGCTCTTTTTCGGCAAATAAAATCAGCAAGTGATTGATGTGCCACATCCGTTTGGTGACGTCAACTGCCATGTTGCTGATACATTTTTTGTCTTCTGCAGATAGAGCCTTTTTAGGGACTTAGATAGTTCAGTGTCTTAAGAAGATGAAGACAGGAGAGCAGAAAGATGGGCACCTGGCCCACAGCATCATTAGCCACTCTACGCTACTAGTGGAAAGATACATTTAAAAATTAATGCTTTTTTAATTTAAGGAAAAATATGAAATTAAAATTAAGACTATCTCAGGACTTCTTAAAACCAGTCAAATGAGTGTAACATTCAATAATTGTCACTTACCTCAAAATCAATAGGATATATATTAAACAGAAAGCTTATTTGGTGTAATATGGGTATGTCACTCCTCATAAAATACTTCCCTACTTCCCTCTCCCAGTGATTATATATACTTATTTATACTCTCATCCTTAAATATCCATACAAAAATAATTATATATCGCAACTAATAGTGACTTTCGACCAAACTTCTAATAGGAAAAATAAAAAAGTTGACTCTTGAAATTATAAATAATATTGTAAAACAAGGTTAGAGATTTCAAGGTTTTCCACAAAGTAAAGAAAATAAGTGAACAATTTAAATATAGATATAGCCTTAACTTGATAACTATGGAAGCTAGAATTTTCATGATAGTTTCCTGATAAAAATATGCATGTATTTTTGTCTAATTAATTGTAGTAGCATATAAAGGTACCAGTTGCTTTTAAACAATTAAAAGGTTTTTTTTTGTTTTTTTTTTTTTTTTTGCTAATTTTAGTATAGCAAGGATAGCTTTCTGTAATATAAACCACAGGAATTCCATTTTGAAACTGTGTCTAGTATACTGTACAGGTGAAATAATTACTAGGATGACACGTAGTAATTGGGTCTGTAACTCCAATTACCCTGAGGCATTGACTCATTTAGACTTATGCCTTTATTCTTCGGGTTTGTGAGATAAGCTTTTCTGTAGAAATAAATTCAGAGTATCTTTCCTAGAATTCCAGGAGTCTACAACTCTCCTCTCCAGAGGACCAGCAAGAAATCATTGAATTATTTGCTAATTGTGAGCAAAATTTGTATTGATTTTTCTCTGTCTCTCTAGTCGATGTTAATAGCATCATACTTCAGGTTACTAAATACTTTTCAGCACCATCTAATTGTCAAAGATTCACTTACTAAGACAAAATTGTAGACATCAAAGCTATACACACACACACACATAAACACAAAGAAAATGATGACACAGGCAGTTTATATGCTCTTTCTTACTTCTCTTTCTCATATGATAATGTTTTGCAATATGTATTTCATAATTTGAAACCAATAACAATTTGAAAGGATATTAAGACTACTATACCACTCAGCTCCATGCTTGATTTAACTGCTGGGCAAGTATTAATTTCTCATTGCACCCAAGTGCAGCTAACAGAAAAAAAGTACATCAAAATAAGTATATATCCATATTGTTTTCATCATGTTGTCATATCCCTTAAGGATATAAGCAGCATATCTTTTGTTTTCCTATTAAAATCACTTTATATCTGTAAAAATAGACACTGTATTTTTCTTATAGTGCTTAAACACTGTATATGGTTTCTACTACAATGAAACTATTCCCACATATTATAATTTCTACAATATATTAGCAGAGTTTTTAAAATTAAATATGAATGTCCGTTCTCCACACCAATACACAAAACTATTGCTCAATAAATTTGACTAAATTTAGTGAAATATAGTGGTGGAAAGAACAGAAAAAAAATCCTTTGGGTGCTCACAGTAGAATTTTACATGGGAAAAGCTATTTCTCTCATGGCCCCTAAATAGTTGTTAAAATCAATGTACCTCATCTTTGACATCTGTTTGAGCAGAATGAATCCATCTTAAATTCCCAAATCACTTTCACTGTGAAAGAATGCAGTAAATGAAGCAAAATAGTTTGGGGAAATGAGAAAATGTAAACAGGCCAATCAGATGCTGTTTAATTTCCTGGATAGCCAGAAGTTTTCTCAAGGAAAAATGAGATCAGAGTTTGATAAAAGGAAAACCTACTTATAACCCATTGCTAGCTGAGGGAAGTTTTCTCAAGTATATTGAGATTTTAATTGATACTACACCTTGAAATGTTTCATAGCAACAGCCAATGCTAATAAGTTACTTAGCACTATTGCTTGATAGTCCATAAATATCTGTTCTGTATACACAGGAACAGTCATCACTAATATTTTGGATACAACTTACTATAGTAAGAAACATAGTATTCTGAATGTCAAGTGTTGGAATATTCAATACTTTGGCCTTTTTTGCTGTTTATTAATATTGATGAGGTTCTTCTTCAGTAATGCTGTTGGATTATTAATTCCTGTTAAATTCTGAGAACACTAAATTAAAATAGACTGTTAAAAATTTAACTTTTTATATACTAAGGCTTAATGTAATAGGCTTTTGGTTAGTACTACTCTGCCATAAGATGCTAATGTGCTTGAGTAATATCTCTGGAAATAGGTTCACAAGACGGACCACCAAAATTATAGAATAAATTTGACATCACACTTTGCTTGAGACGGAATTCATTTTTTATATTTATATAAGTTCTGCAGGAGCATCAGCGATAGTATCCTTTTGAACTAATTAGTGTCTTCTTTTAAATTCAGAGTAGGAAATCTCATCTGCTGGTTCCCAAATCAACGTTGACTAATTAAAAAGTTCTAGTGCACAACACAATCAAGATAGAAAGAATCCATATATGTTAAACCTTCATGTTTGGTTGTCTTGTTTTAATTATAGTTTGTTTCTATCCTTGAAAGATTGTAAGAGATGGTGAAAAGTGGTGCAATATTGAGCTACTCAAGGTCATATGTGTGAGAAAAACTGTTGAATATAAACTCTTGCTCATTGTACATAAAGATTATAAAGTGTCGCAGTAAATTTTTCAAGCTATGGTAGGCAGAGCATTTATAAAGATGAGTGACAATAATTTCTTCTGTCCCTATACCTACAGTTTTTGCGATGTGACATTGCTCATTTTCCTACTGAGAGGAGGAGCCCTTTTCTTTATTGCTTGAATCCGGGCTGGTCTTGTGACTTGCTTTGAGAAAAATAATGCAGTGGCATTGATGGGCTGAGCTAACACCTCATGGGGCCTTGCTGATTCCACATTTGACTTCCAGGATCACTGATGTCCCCATGTGAAGTAGTCTGGCCTATGACTTTTGAAGTTGAAATTACTATGAGGGGAGAGTAGCCCAGCTGCCCAGCTATATAGCTGCCCCAGTGACCACAAACAGCACCAACTACCTACAAATGTAAACAAGGCCACCTTTGGCCATTCAGCTTCAGTAAAGATCCCTTGATGACTGTAGATGAATCAGTGTCCCCAGGTAAGATCAAGAGAAGAACCATTCGGCAAAGTCGGCCCTAATCTCTGACACACACAAGTGTGAGCCAATGAAATAATTTTTGTAAGCCCTTAAGCTGGCTTTGTTAAGCCACTGAGTTTTGAGGTTAGCAAGGCAGCTAGAGTTAACTAATGGATACACCTTTTATTATGCGTAAGGACAGGTATTAGTCTGCGTACATTTCACTGCCTGGCACAGAGTATATATTAAGGAAAAATTATTGAATCGAAATGAAGTAAGTAGAAAACTTTATTTCAAGAGACTGGCAGCTTCTCGGGGGAACTGGGCAAAGGAACCACATCCCTTATTGAACTTTTGCCTGTAAGAGTCACCTCCAGTCTCTTGCTGAGCTCTGGGCTTGAGACCAACATTAAGCTTTTCCTCAAAAAATCACATATAAGAGCCAAGTTAAAAACATTTATGCACAACTCTATGTGAAAAAAAATCACATGAGAAAGTGTGAATAAATTTATTATCTATTTCATTTGGTGTGATTGTGTTGGTTTATTTGAAGTAGAAAATTACAGATATTTATAGGTATGTAAAAATTGTTTATAAAAGTTTTAGCTCTTTAAGTTTTGTAGAACTACTTTGAAAAGAAAGGTAAACATTTCTAAGCATACTGAGTATTCAATTAGATATGCTAATTGCTTACATGAAAAGGTGTAAAAATCATAAAACATGGAATTAGTTTGTTCTTTAAAATTAACATTATTAAATATTCTATTCTATAATGCAATATTAATTAAAATTTTCCAAAGAAAACTTGAGCTTGAAGTTCATAGAATGAAATAAGCACTTTAGTGACTAAAGCAAATGGTCATTCGGGTCATGAAAACAAGATAGTAATGAGAAGAATGAAAAGGTCTGTATTTTTAATTTCCATTTTTAAATTTTTAAATATGCGTATGGGGTAAGTGAATTTTAGGTTGTTAAATATGCAGTCAGATTGGCAAATATATATTTAGGGATGAGAAGGGATAATAAATGTGCTGTAAGTCCATACATCTTGAACAAAATATGCGTTCATTTTAATCACAGAGAGGACACTTTTGGTTGAGTTTCATTCAAAAAAGGGAAGAAAGAAATCTGCATCTTTCATTAAAATCTCCATCTAGCTGTGTTTCCATTAGAGTTCACTGAAAAATGACTCATAAAACCAACAATTTTATGCATCAGGTGACAGGTTTTGACAGAAACAGCACTGCAGTTTTTGCGATATGCTACATTTTGAATGCTTAAGCTGTGTGATTAGGTGTGCTTTATATGACTTCCACGTGCTTAGCTAGCAAAATCTGAGTTTATTTATATAAAATTATTCAAGTGAAAAAAATAGTGTCTCTCACAGTGAGCAAAGTCAGATCTCAAAAGGGGCCATAAGGGATTGGCTAGCATTTTATCACCAAGTGAGTCCAGCTCTGTTAAAAACAAGCCACAGACCTTCTTGCGATGCACAATGGGCTTTTTATTTTTAACTGACCACAGAGTAAAAATAATAAATCTGCCATCTGCCTGTCAATAGAAAATAAAATAATTTTCCATTTCAGCTCTAGCAAAATAAAAATCTGTGTCTCCTGTAAACACAGAAAAAAAAAAATTTGTAAAGTAATAACATGTGTGCCAGAAGCTTTTGTTTGTCCATATGAGAAATAGCTCGTTGCTAATTTTTAGATACTCTCTAGACAGTTTTCTCTGGGCATATTTTAGAATAATTGCATATTTGAGTCAGCTGGTTTTATTTAAAATTGAGAATCCAGTTGTTAGAATATTCAAACTTACTTTTTTTACTTTGATGTTAAATGAGACACTACACTACTTGTTCTTAACATGACATGTTGATCACGCAGCTTCAACTAATGTTTTCTAGTAAGGGAAGTGAAAAGAATGCATATTTTAGAGAAAAAGGGCCCTGGATTTCCATCTCTAAGCTTAATGACCTTTGGAATATCACTTTCTGAAACTCAGAAATGTACATCTAGAGATAATAATCCCTTGAAAAGTGAACTAGAGATAATAATCCCTTGATAAGTGATGTGAGTTTTACAGATTATTGGCCAATGTGGTGCCTGCTGTATAATAGATACCCAAGAATGGTAATTATTACTATTAGTACTGGTATATTTAATAAATTTCTATTTGTCTTACTTGGATCCCATCAATTAATATGAAAAAGTTTTAAATATTATTTGTGGATACTTATACGTGAGATTTCTACTTTGTCAATATCAAAATGGCAGAATAAGTACAGCAAGCCTAAAGGCTTTAGTTTTTAGAAAGACTAACGATTTTCTTGTGTTATTCATAAGTCGAGGCAAGTTAAAGGTAAAGATAGTGGAAGGAAAATGTCTTTGTTAGGTATTGTATATGCAGAATCGTACTTTGAGATAATTGACGGTATTCAAGCTGGATAATTAGAGAACGAAATTTTGGCCTTTATTAATTAAAATTCGGAGTATAGTGAAATTTATGAAAGAATTGCACATTTCATTGAAGGCATATTTGAAATTCTACAAAGTCAAAAAGCATGTTCCAAACACCCTAGTTTTCTTGTACATTTTGTTATATTCATCCGTCAGTTTCAGCAGCTATATTCATTAAGCTTTCCTGATACCACTTTTCAAAAGTCTAAATGCATTTGAGAATGGCCTTAATTCTCAAAGGGAATCAGAACATACGCTATGTAAGTGGATTCCTACAAATTTTTATTTCCCAGTTACATCAAAATTTTCTTCAATAGCTTAAAATCCAGTGTAAGCAAGTTTCACTAAGCAGCATTTATAATTTCCAATTCTTTCTATTTAATTTGTTTGAATTTTAAAGTTTGAAAAATGATCCCTATCCATATAAAAACCACATTTTTAATTTATTTATGCTGAAAGGATCCTCCAAACTTAAAAGAAATAAAATTCCTCCTCCCATTCTAAAATTATTATGATTTTATAGTATTTTTCTTTGAATTCATATGCTTTTCACTATTTAGATCACTACCTTTGGCTTAATGTCCTCATGAGAAGAAAGTAATGCTATTTTAACGAAGGTCCATAGGGTACAGGTATGTTTTGGCTCCACATTGCATCCCAATGCTAGCTAGCTCAGTGCTTGCCCAAAGTGCAGTTTTATTTAATATATATTAAGTGAATAAATGAGAAGATAATTGCAAGATCTCACTCTTTGACTATTCCACCATTACCAGCCAAAATGTGCAAAGTCTAGTTCATTTCCTCTTTATCTCTCCCCTCTCCTGCCCTTTGATTCTCCCTTCTACTCTTTCTTTTTTTTGTGTGTGATTCTTTTCAATCATTCTGACTCTAAAAAGCAAATCCTTTTTTTTTAATTTTTTTATTATACTTTAAGTTCTCGGGTACATGTGCACAATGTGCTGGTCTGTTAGGTGTGTATACATGTGCCATGTTGGTGTGCTGCACCCATTAACTCGTCATTTACATTAGGTATATCTCCTAATGCTATCCCTCCCCCAACCATCCCACAACAGGCCCCAGTGTGTGATGTTCCCCTTCCTGTGTCCAAGTGTTTTCATTGTTCAATTCCTACCTATGAGTGAGAACATGCGGTGTTTGGTTTTTTGTCCTTGGGATAGTTTACTGAGAGTGATGGTTTCCAGCTTCTTTCTTCCCTTCATTCTTCTTCCTAGCTTCCATCTTTCCCCCTAGACAAAAATGAATATCTCATTGAATTATATTTTAAACAAGGAATAATTTTGAAAGTTGATTCATAGGCAAAATAATGTAAAAATGATCCTTGAAAGTCCTTCAAATCATTTGCAAAGTATCATACTCATTCATCGTGAGCAGAAGAGTGAGATGTTCACATTTCATGTGGGAAACAGGACTGCAAAGATTTCCAAACTTTATTTCATAGGAATATTGTTTGGAATTGACTGAATTGTGGAAATATTATCTTTTTCTCCCGCTCTCTCCTTCTGAGCATATATATAGTTAAAATCAGATAAACTAACCATGTTTGTGTCAACCTTTATAGTGAATACGAAAAGCATGCTTATAAGTGCAGCAGACACTCATTCCAATCCCCCAGGTACCCCTTTGCTATCACTGGAAGTGGACACCAATTATACATTCGATATTCTCATTCACAAAATGGCAATATAATAATACGTAATTTTGCGGTTCTTTTAAGGTTAAAAAAGAAAATGCCTACAAAGTCTTTAAACAGTACTCAGTTTACAGCAAGTGCTCAATAAATAGTAGCTGTTCTTATTACTAGATCCAGCTTACAAGTGACAAGATTAGCATTAAATGGATTCATTTCTTGAATGTGATATTTTGTGTCCTAAAACCAAAACATGTTTTTTTTAAATAAAAAGCAGAATTTAATTATAGAAATCAATGGGAAAATTAATCCCAGTTGCAGAAACAGGTTTGAATATCAAAAGCACACATACAAGCCAATGTGAATTGAATTGTAATGTTTTTTGCAGTTTTCACTTTTCCTGTTGATCCTTAAAATGGGTATTTCTCAGGGTTCTTGTCAGGAATTCATCCATCTCCTCAAGTAGTGTCTTCTAATCTCATGTCTTCAGCTACTACATGGCTGACATTTCCCCAAAGTATGTCTATGGCCTAGGTATCACACTTCCGTATAGCCAAGTCTACTCAACATTGCCATTTAAAAATCTTACCAACATCTTATTCTATTTTCTTATTTATCTAAACCATTTTACTGCCTTCTCTATTAAACTACTATGAAATTTTGGAAGAAATACTCATAAAACAAAATAAAAATAGGATATCTTCTCCATCAATTGTCTTCTGTGTCATTTTTCATTCAACATTTATTGAGCAACTTTCTCATCACTGCAGTTGGCTTTGAGGCACAGAGTTAAAGAGAACATGGTATCTCTCCAAATGCCCATCTACTTGGATTGATTCCTATTAGTCACAATTTTAAAGCCTTTTTTTTTTTCACTTCAATCTCAATGGCTAGTCATATCCACTAACTGGAATTTAATTTCACATTCACTTACTATTCCTGCTTGTTTCCATTATTGTTTTATTTATGTTATAGGATATAAGGGTTAAAAGGAATTGTAGATAATCTACTCTGATTTCCTCAATTTACAGATGCTAATGGAGCTTCATATAACTTGAGACTTTTTCCTTTGTCAAGCAGCTATAATAAATCCTCTGTTAGAATCTGTTTGATAGGAAAAAAGTATGTAAAATTTAGTTAATATTCCTGATTATCTCTGAGAAGTATTAAATGTTTTCTCTTGTTTAGTCCTAGTTTTTGTTAGATTCTTAGATTCTTGAAGACAGAAACTCTACCTTATTACTGTTATTTTCCAGGTTATGTTTGAGTGCATGGCTTGGAGTAGTAATTTAGCAATTATGGGATTAATTTTTATCAATTGACTGCCAAAATCAAAACCAAATAACATATTGACCTTTTTATAATATGAGCTTCCAGGAAGAACAGTGAAGAAAGATCATTAGAAGATTGAAACATTTCTGATGTGTTTTAAGTGTCTTGCAAATACATGTTTTTTTGCTCCCCCGTTCAATCAGCACATCTATTTTCAATCCTCATTTCCCGTTAATGATTGGACCAGACACCCTCATTAGACATTTTAAAAAATAGAACTTGTATGTAGCCTTCTTCAAGATTAGCATCTTCCTCAAAGTCTTCTTACTCTGGGCTTTTTTTTTTTTTTAATACTTGCCGGTTTATGGTACAAATATTTGCTAGCTTATTTCTCTTCTTTTTAAATCTTGTCTGGGACACTGATATTTTAATGGTTACTGTTGTTTACCAATATAAACAAGATTGTGTTTGAGAAAAAGATAAGCGTTCAATTTGGTTATTGGGTTTTTGCATTTTCTGGTGTCCTGCCTTGGTAAATTTGCAGAGTCTTCAGTTGGCCTCGTCAATTTCTACACATTTCCACTGTCGTAGTCATATAGGTCATGCCCTTATGCTAAATCCCTGACTCATTTGCAATCAAAACTCTCTTGATTGCACCCTAGGTGTTATATTAAGACACCCTTTCATTTAGTCATTCTTATACATTTGAGGCAGAAAGTTGGAAATATTTGTATTAATCTCCTGCAGAATGATGTTTATGCTGTGACATCACTCTAACTCTCTACTGGCATCATTTGTACAGAAAATTATTTTTAATCCATAGTGCATCTGACTTATAATACTTCACAGTTTGGCATTTTGAAAGGTGTTTCCTTTGAATATTTTTTTCACATCTAGTTCATAAGAAGCCATCATGCACTCTTAAAAATTTCTAGGATGATGATTATTTTTCATTCTAACCAATTTTACTTAATTGTGTCTTCTCTTTTTCAATTTATTTATGTTATTTGTTTATATCCATTCATTTGTGGTAGAGGTTGACATAATGCTAAGATCATTTGTTAGGATACCATATGAATTATCATAGTTTGAAGATCATGGTTGAGTTAGCTTTTTCTTATAGTGAACACATTCCTACAGCCAGGCTGAGACTGTAATTTAGTCTACCATCTCCTGGGTGTATAAAAGTGGCTTAAACTAGGAGATGGCGAGAAAAAATGGATTAGTAGTTTGTTGTTGCTGATATAAAGTAGATGTTAATAGTCACTAGCTTGTAATTTCAAAAGGTAAAATTATTATGGGAGAACAAATAGAACAATGAAACTCTAATGCTGACCCCAAAACAGTACATTTAACTGGCTTTACAATAAATAGAATTACTAGTATAAATAGCAAATCTTGCATGTTGTTTGATTAATGAGAGAACATTTTTTCATACCTTTGAGAAGGAAATACTGAATCATTGACGGAAACTTGAAAAAAGTGTTTCAGCAGTTACAATCATTTACGAAAAACTTTTAAGTTACGCTAATGAAAAGAATGTATGGAAACAAATATGGAAAAATTATGACACTAAAAATATAATCGCTGACATGTGAATATACTTAATTAGGGCAAAACAGAAGTCCGAAATTAAGGAAAAGCAAAAATCGTTATACTCTTTTTCTTTTTGAGTCTTGCTCTGTCACTAGGCTGGAATGCAGTGGCACAGTCTCAGCTCACCGCAACATCCAACTCCCTGGTTCAAGCTATTCACCCACCACACCCTCCTGAGTAGCTGGGATTACAGGCACACACCACCACGCCCAGCTAATTTTTGTATTTTTAGTAGAGATGGGGTTTCACCATGTTGGCCAGGATGGTCTCGATCTCCTGACCTCGTGATCCGCCCGCCTCGGGCTCCCAAACTGCTGGGATTACAGGCGTGAGCCACCGCGCCCGGCCTTATACTCTTTTTTTTTTTTTTAGATGTTTGAGGCAATGACTAATATGCATTTTTATTCATTCATTAATAAATATCAAATGCCATCATCCTATATATCATCTCATTTGCAAAGCAATTTTCACATGTGTTTCTCTTTATAGTAATGTCCTTTGAGGATTGATGGCAACTAAGGAGCTTTGCCAGTTAAATATTCCTAAATGTGGAAGGAATCTGCAAAGTAAATGCAAATGTTTATTTCCCTTTCTCTTATTAAAAATGAATTATCAAGGCCCAGCATGTCTTCTTGTAGTAGAGTGATAGAGGAATTATTCAGAAAGTATTGTCAGTGCTCATATGTAACCTTGAATTCTTAGCATCCTATTTAATACTGTAGTATGAAAATATGCCATAATATCATAGCACATTCTATAGAAAACCACACATAAATAGAACTAGTAAAAAGCAATAATGTTGAAAGCTATATTATTTTGTACTTACAAAGTGAACTTTTTTATAAGTTGAAACAACAAGCCAATAAAATTAGCCATCGAAGATCCCAAACTAAGTGTGAACAGGAGTTGCTGTCTGTAATTATTTATGTTTTGTTGGAGATATAAGAAATCTCAAAGCTTGGCCCTGCTTCAAAGGAAAGAATATTGGTTAGGTAGGAAAGAGGTAGGGGGTAGTCTTGGAACTGTTAAGGAAACATTTATGTGAAAAAACACTTAATGATGTTTTAATAAAAGCTAAAGGATATACAGTGTGCTGGATTTTGTGTGCAAAACTTTCATTTTGTTCCAGTTAAATACTGAGTTCTAATGTACAGAAGTGAGAAATTCAGTGGCGAATCCAAAAAGAAAAGAAAAGAAAACAAACAGACTTCTCTTCATTCTGAAGTGCCAAGGCAGCCATCCAAGTGGTAGAAGATCTTAGGTGCCATATGTGCTGTTCTTCCTATGGGGATGACATTTTAAACTTAACTGAAATGACTGGGCTTATTTGAATTCTGCTGGATTCTTTTCACTTCATCTCAACATGGGATGGCTCTTCTCAGTAGAATATATTCTTAGAAGAATCCACACTTACTGAAAAAGGAGGCATATCATGGCCAGTGTCCTTTCATGTCATGCAGTTCCCATCATGGAACACAACTCAGGGTCACAGTGTAGATATGGCAATGTGAGGCATATTTGGAGGGTCTGCATCTGAGCACCAATTTCCCTCTCTCCCCATTTACACATCTTCTTTCTGTCTCAAGGGTACCAAAGGATTATTTGTTGCTTTTCAGATAAACCTTGCTATTTGCTTCCACACTGAATAGAGATTACAGTCCCCTCCAGCCCTTTAAAAGTCCAGCACACCAAGCTTTGCCATATGTGAGCAATCTACAGGCACTATTAGCCCCGCTTGAGTAGCTCTTGATAACATTCTCTAGGAAGTCAATTAAAGATGTCAGGAGGTGGGCTGGACTGCTTTTCTTTTACTAACAGGCATTCAGAGAGTGGAAGATGGAACTGTCAGAAACAGGTGATTTTGGGTTGTCAAGAAACTAAGGCTCCTGATTTGTTTTGTCTTTTCCCCTCATTATTTCAACTTTTTTTCTTTCTGTGAGCTCTTTTAGTTTTTAACCAGCAATAGCTATATAATAGGGAGGACAAAGCACCTAGTGTAATAAATGACAATAACATTTGCTTAGTGTAAGTTTAAAATATAAAGAGAGATAAAGTCTTAGAAATTTGAGCGTAGCGAAAATTTCTATTAAGGAGTTACTTTTTGTGTTAAAATGCCTATATATAAATACAAGTTAAATGGTTATTCACTAAGAATTGGTCATAAAACTTGATCGGTATTATATTAGAGTGATTCTCTGCCCTTGCTTCCCATACAACAGGGATCACTTTCTTTTGCTACAAATCTCGACCCTTTTATTTTATGTGCTTTCACTGAGAAAGACTATCCAAAGAAGTAAATGACTAGATTTTATTCTAAATTAATATGAAGCAAAGTGTCACAACTATTTATCTAAGCTAATGAATTTAAGTGTTTAAACCAGATTATTCTGTCCTCCTAAGTATTATTTTGTTCGGTCAAAATAGTATTTGTTAAATATTATATTAATTTAATATTTGTTAAATTAAAGTAATAATAGAGAAATAGACATTTTATTGTTTGAGCTACAACCTAGTTATATGTTTATATACTAATCAGGACAATTATCACTGTGGGCAAATAAATACTTTATAAGAGACTATATATAACTTTAAATATCTCTATTTGATTATGCAAAACCATGATAATGAATGAACCTTGCTCTTTGCCAGGTATGTGCTAAATGCCAAAAAACTATTTCACTTAATCCTCATCGCCGCCTTAGATAAGAGGCGCCATTATCCCCATTTCACAGATGAAGAAACAAAAAATTAGAGAGGGTAAATAACTTGCTCCAAATGGCATAGCTGTTAAGCAACAATACCAGGACTCAAACAAAAGGCTTTCAATCACCAAAACATGTGGGCATAACCTCCAGAGGGCAAAGAATAGCTGAAGACGCAAGATTCTGTTTGTACTTGCAATTGCAGAAAATATAACCTATAAGAATTATGTGACTCTGAGAAGTTAACTGTCTCCAAGATGGTAACATACAGTTTTGAATGTTTTAATAACGGTGAATGAGGAGACAGAAAAGATTGAGGCTGGCTAGAAGGTTTGGGTTTGTTGGAAGAAGAAGCTGGCTTAAATTTTTCTTAAAAAGTGAAGACCAGTCCTGAGGGTTTCCGCATACCTATTAGGAAAAGGTGCCATAGTTGGTTATACAGAAGAAGAATGTAACACTGATCAGCAATTCACTCACCATCAGCTTTTGTTCTCCAGTTTTTGTTTTTCTTTTTTTTTTTTATGAAAAAAAGGCAATTGTACAGAATCAAGCTCATATTAGGGATTTATTCAAAGAAGCAAGTGTCATCATGAATTTTGAATTAAAAATAGATTTAGCTTAATGTTCAAAATCACCATCTCACAGCATGGCATAATAACTGATTATAATGAAGACCTTAGTTACAAAGCTAAATTATTTTTAGTATACTTTGATTATTAGGTTAAGGAATTGTAAAATATGCCTGTTATATCTTATTTCATCACAATATTTTTAAAGTATAAGATCTAGAATAAAAAATTGTCTATTTTCAAATCCTGGCCACTTTTATTAACTAGATGAACTTGACATCTTGGAACTTCTGTCTTTTCATTTATAAACCTGCCCACCTCACAGGGTCATTGTGAGTATTCAATTGACCTTATAGACAAGAAATCTTGACCATTTAGTAGACACTGTTTTATTCCACCCCACTAGACAACTGCAATATTTTAAAATAAACATTCAGAACATGATCTTTAAAAGGTTATGGATGTGATAAGAAGTGATACAAGCTACTGGCTTTTTTCTGATCATTTGAATACATGAAATTTAGAAGTTAGTTTTTACCTTTGAAAATAAGAAACTACTAGCATTTCAAGATCATTCCACAGTGATACCTTCAATGCATATTACATTCCTTACTAAAGCAAGAGATAAGCAACTACCCATATATTGAGTAAACTCAACAATTAGACCAATATAAGGAACTTTCTACTAAAGTTGCATATGTAATAATTAACTATATCCGGTTTAGTAATGACAAGAATTGAAATTCGTTATTCATCTGTTTATTCAATGAACATTTATTGCGCACCTACTGTGTGCTAAGGATACCATTCTAGACTCTGGAAATACAACAGCAAGCAAAATGAACTTGGTTCCTGCCTTTGTGGAGCTAGCTTACATTTTATTAAAAGCAGATAGATAACGAACACAAACAAGAATACTTTTACACAGTAATATGTGATATTCAGGGGAGAAAACAGAGGAATATGATATGTGTGATCTTGCTGCTTCTTTAGTTTGGGTAGTCCTAACAGGGGAAACTGAAGAAGTGATAAGTAAACTGAGATTTGACTAAAAGAACAGGAGAGGTGTAGGAAGTCATGGGGAGAATAACAATTCACAGGCCAACTAAATAATGTAGAAACAAGACCCAAGGAAGTAACTGGCCTTGCTAGAAGAAGAAAAAGGCCAGCATGGTTGGGAAGGAAGGGAGCAGAAGGGGTAGATACTACGAGATGAGAGGTCATATCTCTTGAACCTTGTAGGCCAGGATAAGGATTTTCACTTTTTTCTAAATGTGATGGGGGTGGTGGAGTGGGTGGGGGGGTCCTTCGGAGAATTTTATGTAAAAAGATGTTAACATTTATTTTTATAATTTTGAAGAGGTTCCTCTGTCTGCTGCAGGAAGAATTGACTGTAGTGTGGACAGGAGTAAGAGTAAGATTGTTGAGTTGGCTGCTGTGTACTCTGAGAGATGTTGGTGACTCAGACAAAATGACAGGGGCGGAAGTCAGGAAAATCGGGTGGATTCTGAATAAGTTTCACAGTCATTGGAGCTTACGAATGGTCAGGATGGTGTGAGTGTGTTCATGGGTGACAGAAATGGAGGAGTAATAATAATTCCTTGAGCGATTCATAGAAGATGATACCATGTACAAAGACAGGGAAGATTGCGGAAATAAAGACTTGTATGGCGAAAACCATGAATTCCATTTTGGTAATGTTGAGTTACTCTTAGACATTCAAGACACTGTCAAGCAGGCAGGTGGACACAAGACTGAAGTTCCAGAGTAGCTCAGGCTGGAGGCATGCATTTTGGGATCATCAGCATGGAGGCAGAACCAGCAGGGGTTCACTCAGAAGAATGTGTGGCTGGAACACTCCGTTTTAAGTACTGACGATTTTTTAAGGGCAGGAAGCTTTTGGCAAAGTAGATGGATGAGTAATGGCTAGTTGGAAGGAAATTAAGAAAAGTATTCCAGAAGACAAGGTAAAAAACACACATTTAAATTAGATGCATTTTAATGCAATGCTTTCGTGGTAATGATTTCATTATGTAGGAATTCAGGGGAGAATAAAAAAAAACTGTAGGAATTTTCCACATATTAACTCTTAGCAAATATATATCTAGCACTTATTATAGATAAGGTGCAATGGGAGAGAAACATGGAGTTATTATATCTGCATTGGAGATAATAGCTGATAGCTAATTTCCCATATTTTTTTCCATGGCCATCTGATTCTTCAGTCTTATAAGGTACTGATGTATTATGAAATGAAGGAAATTAATCACTATATTTTATTGAGCCATCCGCTGTTGTATGGAAGTCTTATTCGACCAAATATTTTAAATATTGAAAAGGAAATAATGGCTATATTAGTATACTTTTGTACCATTTTAAATGATTTTCAATTACTAATAAACACCATCTTTCATATGACTATTTTTTATAATTGAAAAAAACAACAACAACTGGGACTCTGTGGTAAAAAATAATATGTTTTTAGAACCTGCAATTTAATTATTGGGCTGCTTAATATTTGAGATCTATTGAAAATATAGAGTGAACTTTTTATTATGCAAATTTATTCAGTTCTAAAAATAACTAAATGATAATAAAACATTCTTTTTTCTTTACATCATATTACAGTAATGAAGCTGTTACCTCTCAGTATGCATTTTAATGAATTTTAACTAACATTTTAATGAGCCAACATTATTATAGATCCAAGGATTAGACAAAATTGAATTTACTGGTATTGAGAAAAGTTCACCAAGAGTTATATTGTTTAAAGATGGAATATAATACATTTTATGATAAACCATCAAGTATCCTGTATGAAAAATTGTGCTAATGGTTGAATAACATTATATTTATGCTATACATAGATATATTCTTCATCACACTTTAAAAACATTAATGATATTTTTGTTTTTGTATATTCAATCCATATGAAATATAAAAGACATAGCATATCAAAGAAAATAATATTTTATAATATTAGATTTTTAAAAAAAATTTTCTTTAAGGAAATCTCTATGAAGTATCATTATAAGTTTTTATTTTTTAAAGGAGGAATCATTTATAATTTTCTTGATGTACTTTTTTTTTTTTTGAGACAGAGTCTCTCTCTGTTGCCAGGCTGGAGTGCAGTGGCACTATCTTGGCTCACTGCAATCCTCTCCTCCTGGGTTCAAGCCATTCTCCTGCCGCAGCCTCCCATATCTGGGATTACAGGCCCGTGCCACCACACCCAGCTAATTTTTGTATTTTTAGTAGAGACGGGGTTTCACCATGTTGGCCAGGATGGTGTCTATCTTCTGACCTCAGGTGATCCACCTGCCTCGGCCTCTCAAAGTGCTGGGATTACAGGCGTGAGCCACCACGCCTGGCCTGATTTACTTACATGAAATAGATTTATACACTCACAACTTATAATTTGAGAGAGAAAAATAACTTTTTATAAAATTGATAATTTTGGGTAATAATTGATATTTTAGGTTCTATAGAAGATGTATTAATAACTGTAAGCCGCTCTCAACTAAAACACAGTTAGTAATACTTGCTCCTTCCTTTAGAACCTCCTCACTCAATATTCTGTTGAGGCACTGAAAGGACCTAAGTCTCAAATCAAAAGGTTGTCATCGAATTCGTCTTTATGTCTCTTGTGCCTAGCTCGCAATAGGCCTTCAGTTAATGTTAAATGAAAAGAAATGTCCTTCTCAATAGCAAAGTTTGTGAATTTTTAGTCTATCTTTGAAAAAAACTCATTAGTTGAATTGTACACTTTGATCAGGCTCAAGTTAAGGCCATGCTTACTAGCATCCTACAGATATTTTATTGACATTTACATTTCAAAGCACCTAATTGTGGAAAATTGCCATTTGTGTCACTGAATGACTCTTGTAAGAAACCATGTTTCTATACTCTCTTCGCAACTCTTTGTGTTGAATCCAGTTGGGAAAGACAGTATAATTTGAAAACACTCCGTCAATATACTTTTTCTTTATACATTGAATTTATACATTGGTAAACATACGTATTAATAAGTAGTTAATACATTTACAGGGTTTTAAAGAAGTATAAAGTAGATGCAGGGAAGTCTTCCTCCCTTATTCTTTACTTTCCAGTATTTTTTTTTTCCTGCAAGTGCATTTGTTATTATTAGTTTCTTGTGTGTTCTTTCAGAGATTGTTTTATGTGCATGCAAGCACATTCCAGCATGTTTCTTTTCCTTTTCTAATTAATTAAAGCATACAATGCATATTCCAAACCCAGCTCTGAAACTCGCTCCTCCAAAAAGCCTTCCTTATGAAAACAAAGTTTCCTCCATTTTACCTTACGGCATTTTAAGTATACTTGTCCCCAATAATTCATACTTTCATCTTTCAGTTTGTGGTTTTTGAGTTAGGTATGGTAACTTTCCTAAATCTCTTTAGCACCATGAGGGGACCATCTTTCATTGAAATATCTTGTACTCCTAAAGTGTGCTATATAGAGACTGGAACAACATGTGCAGTACATACTTGAATTTAAAAAGTGGGTGATTGAGAAATAAAACTCTTCTGTTACCTCACAGAGGTAGTCTCAACAACTAGAGCTGGTTGAAAAGTGAAAAACAAATATCTAAGTTTGTTATCAATTAAACAGAGCAAAATTAAAGGTCATATTAAAATCAACTTTTAAAATGAACTAGGTAAAACTCACTGGGCAAAATTTATACTTTTAGATTGGGAAGAACCATGGATATTAGTACTGTATAACATAAAATAGTACCTCTAAATGTGTTTGTTTTTAGAATTATATTATATATAAATCCCTACTCGCTTATTCATAGCGATGATCGCTTTTAGCAATTGCATAGTAATTGATTGACCCCAAGACATTAAGGCCTGAAAAATTTTATATATGGGACAGGGTTATTGAAGATTATTATTATTATTGTTATTATTATTATTAGTTTTCTTGAGACAGAGTATCACTCTGTTGCCCAGACTGGAGTGCAGTGGTGCAATCATGTTTCACTGCAGCCTTGACCACCTGGGCTCAAGCAATCCTCCCACCTCAGCCTCCAAAGTAGCTGTGACTACAGGCGCACACCATTACGCCTGGCTAATTTTTGTATTTTTGGTGGGGATGGGGTTTCACCATGTTGCCCAAAATGGTCTCGAACTCCTGAGCTCAAGGGATCCCCCGACCTCGTGGCCTGTCAAAGTGCTGGGATTATAGGCGTCAGCCACCATGCCTGTCCTCTTGAAGATCATTAACTATTTGATAGTCAAAGGAATTAAAAATTGACAGCCATTAAACTCATTGAAGATCAGATGCAGAAGTAAAATTCAAAGTCTTTCTTGTTTACTATACTACTTCTAATTCCTAATAACAGTGATTCTTTTATGAACTACTTCCTTTACTTTTCACTGTACTTTACAAAGATCATTTGTTCAGGCTTCATAACAAACCAAAGACAAAGGCTTTTTTTAAACCTTCATTTTACAGATGAAAAAGCTGAAGCTAAAATGGCTGAAGGACCTGTAATAATTTAATAATAAAAGTAGATAATCATCTGGATAATAAAAGTAGCAGAACAGAGACAACCGAGGCCATCTGACTAAGCCCATTATCTTTACCACAGTGCTGTGTTGCCTTCCTGCCAAATAGTAGTAGCTCCATAAACACTTGTTAAATGGGAGTTCCAAGTCCCTAAGAGGAACTGGCATATGGTGGAGGGGATTTCGAGTGCATTCCAGAAATAGAGAACAAACTGTGTTTAGGCCCTAAAAAAAGAAAAGAGCGTGTTACATTTCAGGACCTGAAGAAAGGCCTGAGGAAATGTGGGTTGAATATTATGATTGAAGTGACAAAGAAGAGGCTGTAGAGACAATTTTAGAGGCTAGACTACTTAGAGTTACAGGGGGAGGAAGGGGACTATTCAGCCTGAATTTCCTGGAACTGTCCTGCAATAATTATTAATAGTACTTCCTTAGGATTTCAAAAGTGTTAGTTTGGAAGGTAAAATAGAAAGTTATCCAATTCTTAGGTAATGTTGAAGATTTTTTTTTAATTTCAGAATGAATGAATGCATTTCCTCCTTTGCTACTTGGGATATTAGAAGGAAAATGAAAAGTCTGTTAGTCCATACTTCATATCCAGCACTTTTATCAACTGAGAGCAACTTCAGTGATTGGTTCTCCAGTGATATATTGAAGACATTTGTCATAAGGCCCTAGCCCTCTAAAGCAAAGGTCTTTCCTTTAACTAAATATGGGGAAAATATGTCAAGGGCAGTATTAAACATGTGCATTAGAAATTACTGAATCTGTATATAACATTTGAGTATTTAGTATCCACTAATTTATTTCAAAAATTATCCCATTTGCCAACTTCAGATTTTTTGGTTGTTGTTGCTGACACTTTAGACAACTTGCCCTACATTCACAACAGCCGTAATTTGTTCATCAAGAGTACCGAGAAAACAAGGTTCTAATTTTACTATTTGTAGACAGTTTTTAGAGGGAGTAAGGTTAATATGGTGCATGAAAAAAGCCAAAAAGAGATTAAGGCAGTTTGTGAATTTTAGTAATATGGCATAATGAAGTGCCTCGATCATGTCAAAATAATGGAGGTTTCGTAGACTTTCTGGTAAATCTTATTTATCAAGTTTGGTACCATCCCAGGGAGAGAAACTCAAACCATCTCATGCAGCTAAGTAAGTAGTAACTACAATGTAGAGATTTGCTTCCTCTCTGCACAGAAAGGAAATGGCTATGATTATTTTTTATCTCCAAGCATTCTGAGAATGAAAGTGTAGTAAGTCCTCAGGCTAGGAGAAACAGGGTAGCCCAGGGAATAGATATATAGCTAGAGACTCAGAAGGCAGTACTATTTGTTTTCTTACTGCTGAGCACATACTCTATGGATGGTCAAGGTGACTCCAGTGTGTATCAGAGGAAAAGAAGGATTTTATTAAAACTCTACTGAAGAAGGCTTCTTTCCAGTTTCAGCTAAGATGTGAAGGTTTGATTAAAGCATCCATGAGTTTTAAAATATTTACATACTTTTGGGTAAAACACACATATAATTAATTCTCTTCATGAGAACTCAGTATTACTTATACCTTAAAAAGATACTCAGTATCTGTTGTTTGATATCAGTTTGTCTTTAGGAATGTAAGAAACTGTGCTTTTCATAAGTAAACAAACATCTTCAAGCACATTGTTCTCCAATCACTGTCAATGGTGTAATATGAGTTTTCTGAGATAATTTAAATTTGGTATTTAGGATATTTGCATGTATAAAAAGTACTTGGATATGCTCCTTGCTTCCTCTTCTCCTGCTGAACTGTCAGAAGATGGTGATGCTTTTGAAGATTTATGGTAGATGGGTAATGAGATTGCTGAATGTTAACTACTGCATTTGGAATTCATTTAGTAGCAAAAGAAAAGAAGGTTACTGGGATTGGGATAGAGTAGAAAAGTGATAGAGCTATTTTTAATCAGTGAATTTAAAAATCAATATGATACGTTCTGAATTAGGATACATTTCAAGTCTCTTGTCATGTAGTAATCAAGTAGAACATTTCTTGAAGAATATAGGATGTCAAATTGGATCTAATTCAGCAAAATTCATGATAGTGTAGTGCCCATATTTTGTGATGTGGACATATCAAATTTTAATATTGGAAGACTAAGGCTAAAAAATCCACAAGCATGTGGAATATGTTTTTAAAATTCAAAATTCGAATATAATCTATTCAGTTAGGCTTTGGTTTATGTTCTGGTGCAAAAGAGGAACATAAACCGTGTACTCTCAAACTGCTCATTTTTGAGTTTATGGATGATGATGTGATTCATGTGAACCCCCTATCTAGGACCTCCAATGGTTATGGTTACAAAATGTGTTGTTAAAATAGCTAAAATGATGGAAATGGTGAAATTAGCAGAATCAAGTTGTGAGCCCATAGATATAATTATATTTCTACTCTATTCGGAGATTTGTTGAGTTTCGGGTAGAGGGGAAAGAAAAGATAAAGCAACAATAGTGTTAAAGTAACTGGCAAAGAAGGTTGACCTTGACCTTCTTTTCCTTTCAACCCTCATTTCATCAGCAGGGGTGAGATTACTTTGAGACCCTGCCAATAGGTAATAAATAACACATAAATTCCAGGACACCCTTGCACTGTAGGGTGCCCTAATGTGTAATAATCCTTAGACTATTGAGTTTATAACTCATGACATCTGGCAGTTACTTGGCATTGTAATTCATGTTGATCATGCACATCAGAATACACAACAGTAGAGAAATATCGGAGCAATAACACGTTGATACCAGGAGAGGCTAGAATGACAAGAGATGCTGCTGAAACTGTGTACCTCTGTGAACTGTGCAGTGGAATGCTGTAAAAGCTAATATCTTCAGATAAGGACTAATAAGGTGGGAGGAGAGAGGCGATCTGTTGGGATCCAGAATAATGCAGCACATTAATATGTACTTGATAACACTCTTTATTTCCTTTATTCAAATGGACAACTATAGCTATAAGTCAGTAATGAATCCTGAAATTTGGATTTAAATATATACTTAGATATATTTTAATTTAAAAGTGCATGTAAACAAATGTATTGAATTCAAATTTTGTATAAATATATGTAAAAGAGATTTAATAATTTAATTTTTGTTTTCTTTGGTCTAATGGTAAGGGCTAAATGAGGAAGGAATGCAGAGAGTTAGAGAAAAATGAGAAGCAGTAGGGAAACCAGGCAGGCATTCTACAAAGCACCTGTAACACACCTACCTGGTACCTAGCAGCCTAACTACTTTGTCTGAAGACCCGAGGCCCATGGGACATGAACCAGACTGAAAAGCTAGAAGCAGACAGATGGTTATTTGTAATCATCCTGTAAATGTAAATTCTTTAAAACTGGTGGGCTTGCTGGCTTTATCATCTATCTGTCTGTATCTATCTATCTATCTATCTATCTATCTATCTATCTATCTATCATCTATCTATCTATTTATATATCTATACCCAAACCCAGATCTAAGAAAAGTAGGAGGCAGTATTATAACCTTAAAACAATCTGGTGTTTCCCCTTGTTACCATCTTAAAAAGCACTAATATAAAAAAAAAAAAGCCAGCCTGTGTAGTTCTTAATTTTAAGTTGACTGTATTATATCTTCTAATGCCCAAAGTTATAAGCATTGCTTTGAGCAAGCCAAGACAGTTTTGTCCGAACTGGGCAGGTGCTGAAAGACAGTTGCCTGTGGAGGAGAACAGAATGTGTTGGGAGCATGGTGAGATGGGTTTTTGTTCTGCAGCTGAGCAAGACATTGCCTTGAACATGTTTAGGTTAATACTAGCATTTCTAGAAACCATCCTCCTCACATGCTATGTTTGGACACAATCTCTAACTTGATCTGGTTTCTTTGAGCTTTCTGTGATTTCGGAGACAGCAATGCCACGTGAACAATTCTGTGGGCGATAGCTCTTTAAGGGAGAAAGAAAAGGAACTGATTAAACATTAATCAGCTTCAATCCACAGCTTCCTCATAAGCTAATGGATAGGCTATGCAGATCCCTGTCAAATATCACATGCTAGGCTTTGCCAAAAATAGGACTTCCAAGTGTTGAAGGCATGCCAACTGCTGGCTCTTTAACTGCAAACCAAAGCAAATGATTGCCAGAGACAGGCCTAGAGTCTGCCGTGGTCAGATGTCACCAGTTTGCAGTGCCACATGTGATCCAAGAGTTTATGAATGATCTCAACACTTGGTCCCCAAGGAGAACATATGCATTACAGAGGTTATGGATACAAATTACAGAGAGCGCGATGTTTCCATGCAATTTCTAAGAATCCTTCAGCAAGTTTTAAACATAAGTGGAAAACATTAAGGAAGACTTGGCACTCTTAGCAGGACTTCAAATTATATTGTGGGTGAGGACAGAACACGGCTAAAAAAAGGATTCAAGAATAAAGACTTGGCTAAGAAACTCGAAGCTGGCCATTCCTCCTGTGTGAATTATGTTTGTGTTTGTGTGTTTTATTCCCTGCAGAATACTAGACTTCACAAAATGCTATGACTTGAAAATGAACAAGTCACAGGGCATTCTTGTTTATTCAACATGCTCCAATTCCTACCGCTGGTTTATCTGGATCATTTGCTCAGTGAATGTGCCTGTGCACAGAATCTCATTGGAGGTGGGGGTGAGAGCTTCTCATTTTGGAGTTGTCAGCATGCTACAGGGTGCCAGAGTGTCAGCTTGCACAGCGGCCCCCGGATGTCTCCCCACTGAGTTCTTTCTTTCCCATTCCCCTTCTGTGCAGAAGAAACCACTTATGACTTATGCCCACATGTTCAGATGTTATTGTCTATTTAACTGGTGGCTAGCCTGCCCATCCTGACCATATTTTGTTCAATTGTACCAAATGTAATAAAGTAGTTTCTTGTGAATGACAATCTTTATCAGTTGTTTAGTCATTAAAACTTCAGAAAAATACAGAATTATTATGCGATGTCAGTGGGGAGCTTCTGGTTGAAAAAGGAAACTTACACTGGCTTAAATATAAAAGGAAACATACCTAGAAAGTCCAGAGTTAGCATAGTTTTCAGAATTAATTTGTCCAGCCATGTCCTTAAGAGCCCAGATTTTTTTACACTTTGTACATAGCTCCAGTTTCATCCTGAGGATCGGTCTCCCCCTGGGGTCAAAGCGTGGCTGCCACCTATAGCCATGTAGTCCAGGAAGAGATAGGGTGCTTTTTTCATGTGCAGAGTAGAAGTTCTGAGCTGCATGCTGGTTGGGGTTACACTCAGTCATTCCCTATGGTAACTGGTGGTGGTGGTGGTGGCAGTGGTGTTGGTAGGGCTAGGGGAATAATCTGTGGTAGTTTTATGAGTGACCATCATTGTTTTTTCTCTTAGTCCATTGGAATAATTTAATATGATATACCTATAATTTGTGCTACCAGTTTTTTTGGCTGACATAAATCTGTTCTATTCCTTGAGTCGTTGATTTCTGACCTTCTTGAACTGTCTGGCTTTTATTTTACAGATATATGAGTATGTAGATAGGCAAGCCAAGAGGATTCTATTTCTTAAATCCAAACAATTCAAATTGTTCTTCATAAATGACATTTTAAAATCAAATTCAAACACTGTGGTCTATTTTATATCATAAAAAAGGGGTGCAGCACACATCTTGAAGGAGAGCACATCAATTCAATCAACCAATCGACATTATTTGGTTAACTTTTCTGATACCCTTCAACTAGAGAGCTCTTTGGAGGGTTACCCAGTCCAGTTAAGTAGATAAGGAAAGACTTCAGATGAGTGAGTCCAAAGTTGACACTGAATGAACAGTATGTACTTCAGAAAGGCACAGGCAAAAGTAAGAGAACAAAGGGACAGCTAGGAGTTACTTGCAGGCAGAAAGACCATCATATGCCAACTTACAATGATAATTAGGTGTTCCTTCATATCCCTAGGGCATGGAGGTTACAGAAATGTCCCTGATGAGCCTGGAGATATATGCAGGGACCTGGTTCCAAACAACATTTGAAATCATATTAAGGAGAGAATTTTATCTTAAGAGCCATTAAAAAGTGTTAAAAAGGGAATTGACATGATCACATTTGCATTTTAGCTAACTCATAATAGCTACAATGGAAAGTTTAAAGGAGAAATTAGAGAAAAAGGTCAAATAGGATATTCTTACAGTAATTCAAGGAAGATATAAGGACATTCTGAACTAGGGCAGTGGAGAGAGGATGAATAGACCCAGATGATATTGCAAATCAGTGCAGCATAATGACTGTGTATAAATTCTAGTGTCAGACACACTGGGTTGAAACCCTGTGCTTACCTAACACAATAGATGAGGCTCCAATGACCTATTCTATATCCATGACGCTATCTTTGGCACATAGTATGTACTCACTAAATTTTAGCTATTATCATAGAACAAGTTATTTTAAAAATAGATTAAAAGTGTCATTATATGTGCCTGTTAATTAATTTTTAAAAGCAAGTCTAAAAAATTCTTACTGAAAATCAGCACATAATTACATATATTATATATATGGATAAGTAAAGGCTCCTGAGTATGCTTCTATTTATCATAATTTACTGAAACTGTATTCATAAACTAAAATGTATGTCATATAAGGAACTGCTTCGGGCTAGAGGTCGGTCTTCTACTGAGAAGTTTGGATGTCATTGTGCCACATAACTCCAGCAGTTCTGATACATACACAGAGAGAAAACCTGCCGGCAGGAAAGACTTGTGTTCAGTGTTGTTTGGGTCTCCTGCGGTTTTCAACTGCTGTTGGCCGTACCTTTCATTACAATTATTTCTTAGATTATCTTTCTCGTAATGTTTAGTTGGTTGTGGATGGTATTCTTTATTCAATGATGTGTGCCAATTCTTTTATCAGTAACATTTTAGGCTTTACCCTTCTAATAACTTTAGTTGGGATCATGTGCACATTGTGGTTTAGAAATGTATCTTTCAGAAGTCCATTAGTTATACAGTCTCACTTCATTGTCATTGCTAATTTGTTTTAATAAACTAAGATGGAAATGACTAAGTAGTGATTTGCCTAGACTGAGGTTAAAAAAAAATTCTAAGAACTATTGATTTAAGACAAAACAGAGAGGGTTTGGGGTGGGAAAGGATATGGGATTATAAGGAAGCAGGAGCCAAAGATATAAGCTCTAAAATCACAGCTGGACATAAAACTTTTTAAAGGCACTCTGTTAGTTACCTATTGCTTCATAACAAATTACTACAAAATTCAGTGGTGACTTGAGTCCTCAAGGGTTTTTGGACTGAGGGCCTTGGTTTCTTGCCAGCTGTTGGCTGGAAGCTGACTTCAGATCCTTGCCAAATGGGCTTCTCCATTCTGCAACATGGCACCGTGCATGATCAGAGAAAGTATATGAAAAGAGAGTAAGAGAGGAGTTCAGACTTTCCCTCTAAAGATTCAATAACTTAGTCTGCTGAAATACACTGACAATAGACATATTAACAGGAGAAAAAGGCTACATATTTACTATGCACACATGTGCATAGAAGCCACACAAAATATGAGACTGAAAGAAAGGTCAAATACTTGAAGCTTAATTATTCTCCTCATAGAGGAGAGGAAAGTGGGAGACACAGGCAATTTTAGAAGAATAAGTGATTTTTTTGAGGAGATGAATGGGCCTGAAGAACAAAGGGTGGCCTGGGACAACATTTCCCTGGGCTCTGGGTGCGGTGTCAACTCTGGTCTTTCCTCCTGCAGGATGCGCCAATTTCCCCTGGTTAATGAGATATCTGAGAAAGGAATTAATTGAATACCTTCTGGAGGACAGCATCTTTAGGTAGACAGGGGATCTTTAGAGAAAGCTCTTTCTTCCATTTGCTACTCACTGGGTGCTCTTAGTTTAAAGTCTGAAGTGGCGTATTTTGGGGTATCATTTTCTAAGCCACAATGAGAGAGAGAGAGAGAGGGCAAAAACATGAAGGTCACAATCTTTTATAAACTGATCTTGGAAGTGGCATCCTACCACTTTGTAACATTCTGTTCATCGAAGGTAAATCGCCAGGTCTAGTTCATGCTCAAGGGGAGGGGATATACAAAGGGAATAAATAACAGAAGGGAGTGACCATTGGAGAACAGAACAAGGGTCTATCACAGGCACTGTCATGTCATTCTTGTTAATCTATTTCTTAACCAGTTCATAGGAGAGTGTTTGTCACATTACAGCATTCAATACATACTTGCAGAATTTTAATTTGTCAAAAATCTCTATGTCGTAAGGTAGTAATTTAGAATGTTCCAATTTTCCAAAATAATTTCCTAAGTCATGGTGCATCCCAATGTAAAAAAACATGCAAATATAATTCAGGTTATATTATGACTAGCTAAGTGAACTATTTATATGTGTTTTCCAGCTCACATATGGAAGTGAATATTCGGGTTCTAGCCAATTACATATCCCCCCCACCTCACCCCATGGAGATTTGAAACCCTGTATTCTAACTTAGATCTGAAAGCAAGTTCTATATTAGAATGTACCTACCATATCCCTTTTCTTTTTAAATGAAGTTTTAAAAATTCTATTTTTATTTGACAAGCAATCGTATATATTATATATTTACTGGGTACAATGTACACCTGTTAGAAAAGCTGTTATCTGAAAGATGAAAGATAAATATTGGTAAGGGTGTTGAGAGAAGGGAACCCTTGTATATTTTGTTGGGGCTCAGAAACTGATACCCTGAAATATGTCACTGAAGCAGTGTCCTTCGTCTGGGGTAATACCCAAGGTTCGTTGCCTCGTGCCAAGGAAATCAAGGACATGGACACACAAGGACTGAGTTTAAGAACAGAGGTTTAATAGGCAAAGGAGAAACCCTCCCTTGTGCAGAGGGAGGGGTTCCGAGCGTATCTCCCAGGGTGCGACGAGATGCGGTTGGTTTTATAGATGAGCTTGAGGATGCGGTGTCTGATTCCCACAGGGTTTAGAGGATTGGTTGGGGCAGGTGTGTCATTTACACAGAGCGTGAAGAAGTTGGCCACCCCATCCCAACCTTTTATTATGCGGATGAGTTCTGTACCTGGTCGGCACGATGTTGCCTGCTTTTTTACTGCACCTGTGGCGGAAGAAAAAAATAATAATAAGAAGAAGAAGAAGATGGAGCCTCCGTGTTGAATAGACTTGGCTTCCAGGTATCCCTTTCTATCGGCACAGCTGCGGCATTCACCCGTGCAAGCTTCCGGCTTGCTTCTCTATGTCTGCAGTTCGATTTTACAAACTGCTCTTTTTTTTTTTTTTTTTTTTTTTTTTTTTTTTTTTTTGAGACAAAGTCTCGCTCTGTCGCCCAGGCTGGAGTGCATGAACTCGACTCACTGCAAGCTCCGCCTCCCGGGTTCCTGCCATTCTCCTGCCTCAGCCTCCCGAGTAGCTGGGACTACAGGCACCCGCCACTGCGCCAGGCTAATTTTTTTTGGTATTTTTAGTACAGACGGGGTTTCACCGTGTTAGCCAGAATGGTCTCGGTCTCCTGACCTCGTGATCCACCCACCTCGGCCTCCCAAAGTGGTGGGATTACAGGCGTGAGCCACCGCGCCTGGCTGCAGGCTGCTCTTTGTTAGAAATTATTTGGGGCTGTTTTTTGTTAAAAGGGAAGCCTCGCTGAGGACTTGTTTACCCTCACTATCTGCCTAAATAATTTCTAGCTCCTATAGCAGCACTTGGACATGCTGAACTGAAGAGGAAGCCTCAAGATCTCTCTGACCTTCCTTCCTCCAAACCCCCATCTCTCAATCCTCTGTGTCTCTTGAAGCACAGGATGAAGTTGTTCTCCAAAGTTTCTTACCTGCCTAAAGTCCGGACCTACCAAAGAAGAAAACCATTACCTCTGGCCCCTTCCCTGAATTTTCATGAGCTCAAATGATATCGCAGAAAGGAAGACTGAAGTTGGACAACAAACCTGGGCAAACTTTCGTCAAAAACCATCGTCCCCTTGTGAGCCGAAAAGACTTAGTCCCAGGCTATTGTATGTTCTTTAAGGTTATTGAATCCGCCTAAAAATTATCTATACTTCCCCATCTCCCTTTCCCCTAAGAAACGGAGTATATAAGCATTGGTATACCATAGCGGTGTTAGGCAATTACTCTGTGATTCTCCTCAGGGTACGCTAATAAATTTGTGTACCTTTTCTCCAATTAATCTGCTTTTTGTGAGTCGATTTTTCAGTGAAACATCAGAGGCAAAGGGGACGCTTTCCCTTGGCCCCTACAACTTGGTAGAAATGTAAATTAATACAGCCATTATGGAAACAGTATATCCTTTTTCTTTAAAACACAACTGCTGCTACCCTGTCATCGAATTTATTTCTCTTCATCATATTTAAAGACTTTTTGGAGAGTTAGGTAACACACACTGTGGTATGTGCTCTTCTTTTGACATACGTGTCAAGTCACACTTGAAAATATAGTTTTCAGTTCTTTCTAGGGTAGAGGATTTAGGGGGAATACACACACACACACACACACACACACACACACACTCAATTTAGAATTTAAAATTGCTTTGCTATTTTCTACATTTACCAGACCATTTTAGTTCTCTTAATCCGACACATGGGAATACTTCACCATGGCTAACACTTTCTTGTTTTTATCGGCTACGATAAAGAGCACAGGGCAAAATCCAAGGCAGAAATGAATAATTAGCACAAAAATGGGAACTGATAGATATTATTTTATTTTACTTTTCTTACATTTATGAATGTAAATACAGACCCCAGAAACATATAAACAAATATCAGAATATACATATCTTCCTTCAAAATTTGAGAAGAGTAAAAATGATTTTACTCCTTTTTCTAAAAATAAGTTCTAGGCTGCCTATGGTGGAACCTGCTGAAAAGCATGTTTTTCAACTGAGAGAGAGAGAGAGAAGAAACATATTATAATATCCTGAAGACTTAGGGTTAAATAAATGATATCACTAAACACAAATGGATTTACTGAGTACTATACAAACCCCAAAGAGCACATTACAAGTTGAAGAGGGTAC
Organism: Homo sapiens; assembly: GCF_000001405.40. Lineage (NCBI taxonomy): Eukaryota > Metazoa > Chordata > Mammalia > Primates > Hominidae > Homo > Homo sapiens. Next base: position 77,475,204 of record NC_000003.12, read on the forward strand.
AGTATCAATTATATCATTATCTCACCCTACTCTCTGGGTGAATAGTCTGAAAGCCTAAAATTACAGTTGATGTTAGATTTCTTGGCTTCATTTGCAAATTGGAGTCATTTTCCCCCTTTTTGTTGAATGCCATAAGCACATGTTTTATTGTTGAAGAGTACCAGTCCTTATAGTTTGTTATGATGTTTTTCTTCTTTTTGTCCTACATGTCAAAGGACCTTTAAAAAAAAATGGATTGTGGAAAATTGGTGTAACGTTGTATTTCTGAATGATTTGCAATGGTATTAGGTACTACTTGTGCTTAGGCTTTTTGGCATACCATTTTTTAGGAGAGCAGATCTGGAGAAGGCCCTTCAACTGGCCAGCTGTGCCATTTTGGAACAGATTGAGGGCCTGCAAAAACACCATTTGTTGCCAGTACCGGATATTGTAGGGGTGCTCATCACCCTGTTACCATATTTTTGCACTTCTTAACATTGCATAAATAGGCAGCTGTTCTGTATTTAGAATATAAATGAGTCACCAGCTTGCTCTCCCTGGAGGATTTACCTGCAAGAGGGAACCACGGTGTTAACCCCTTCTCATCAGTTGCATGAATGTCACATTTAAATGCACACTTTCCTCAGCCCACTCAGAAGCAAATCCTCATGCATATAAATCACACCTTTCTTGCCAGTTAGACAAGGGGGCCAAAAATATGCAGTTCACAGAGCTAAAATGGAACACATTTCTTTAGCAGTGAAATCAGTAAATTAATCAGCTTATAAACTGAGAGTGAGCAATTTGTGCTGAATTATTTCTTACTGCTCCTTCAATAAGAGACAAGGTGCTCTAATCTCATAAAGGGCCATGACTTCATTAAGATGGAAAACCATGTTAAAGGGTGTGTTGCAAAATACGAGAAAAGAAAAACCCTGAAGTCACTGAGTTGACTCTCTGGAGCTCTTTTAAGGACAGGGTTTTTTATTTATTTGGGGAATGACAATTAACCTACAGACTTGGCACAACAAAGAAGCAGAGTGCTGAAGTGGGTCTCATTATAGGACACGGAAGGCAGTTGGTTTGACCTAATCCCCAGTCGCGGCACATGATTTACATAACAGGCTACCACAAGCTGCCTAATGTTGATTTCAAACAGCTTGATGTGTGCATGTGTCTGTGGGTATGTGTGTGTGTGTGTGTGTGTGTGTGTGTGTGTGTGTGTAGGTTCATTTTACCTCAAGGTACTTTGGAACCAAACATGTCGGTGTTGGAATGTCCAAGAACAGAAATAGTAAAGCCAGTCAGGAAAAGCAGAGGCAGTTGCAGTATATGGTACATTTGCTGATCTCAACTACTTTTTTGAATGTTTACCCTAAAATTAATGTAGCTCTGATTTACCACCTAAATGCAGTCCGATAGGGCTGAGCCATCTCTCCAGGCTTTTCATCTTGTCAGGAGCAGAGAAGCACAAGTAGATAGATAGGTGACATTTGGAGAGGCAGGCATGCCAGATTTTCGGTGGTTACAGCGAAGGTCCAACCTGCTGTTCTCCTTAATGAAAGGAGGGAAATTTCAGACAGGCAAAACTGCTATAAGGGATATCTCTGCCCTGAATGTCACACTGCCCAGATGTCACTCGGCAGGTGGAGTTGCAGAATGAAAATGTAGCCCTGCGTATGTGGGTGCTAGTGTGCTGCAAGGGTGAACTATGAATCTGTCTTCTGAAGTGTAATGAAAACAGTGTGGATCTTGTCTATGTTTGTGTCATGAGAAAGGACTTTGTCAAAGAATTCTCACCCCACTTTCCCTCACAGATCATTAGGCTTGCAGGCTCACAAACCACATGCATATATATATGCGTGCACACACACACACACATATATGAGTTTCTATATAGAAAATAGAATTATACTAATGAAGGGTTCTGCACCTTGCTTTTTTAATTAATCGCAGAACTGTACATGAATATTTCTCATTTTTTTGACTGATTTCATTTTTAAAGTTGAATTTTTGACCAAAGGTGCATGATAATTTAGTCAGCCATTCTCCTGTTGATGATCATTTATGTTGGCTCCAGAATATTTTAAGGTGGATGTAGCTATGTTCTCAGTAAAAATCCAGGCAATTTTTACTAGAACAAGGTAAACAAGACTTGAAGTTACCTTGTACAACAAAAAGCCTAAGTTACTGTCGTTGAGTTTTCTTTTCCTGTAATTATTTTTCCTCAGTGTTACGAGATGACTTCCGACAAAACCCCACAGATGTTGTAGTGGCAGCTGGAGAGCCTGCAATCCTGGAGTGCCAGCCTCCCCGGGGACACCCAGAACCCACCATCTACTGGAAAAAAGACAAAGTTCGAATTGATGACAAGGAAGAAAGAATAAGTGTGAGTTAAATTAAAATCATGGCCCAGAGAGATTGAATTTTCAGTCTCAAAATACAAAATAGATGTATTTTATTCTTTAACATTATTAATACAATTGTATTTGAATGTTAATTACAATTTATACTGCCTTGAAAAGATTTAAAAACATTTGGATGAGACTACAAGAGACAAAAATTATGTAAATCAAGTGTACATGAAATATTAATAATTGCACCAATCTGAGTTATATCTTTACACTGCAATATTGATATTTTAGCTCTTTTTTTTTTTTTTTTTTTTTTTGAGACAGAGTCTTGCTCTGTCACCCAGGCTGGAGTGCGATCCTGCTCACCGCAACCTCTGCCTCCCGGTTTCAAGTGATTCTTCTGCCTTAGCTTCCCAAGTAGCTGGGACTACAGGTGTGCGCCACCACGCCCAGCTATTTTTTGTATTTTTTGTAGAGATGGGGTTTCACCATGTTGGCCAGGATGGTCTCCATCTCTTGACCTCGTGATCCACCCACCTCAGCCCCCCAAAGTGCTTGGATTACAGGCGTGAGCCACCACACCCAGCTGATGTTTTAGCTCTTTTATAAAATCTCCAGAAGCTTCTGTTGATCATGCAGTACCTGAGTGTTAAAGTATAAATGATAGCCATAAACCACATTAACTACATCTAATTTTGCACCATTTTCAAAAATTATAAGAGAAATTAATTTAAGGTGATGAATATCTCAAATGCTTTTTCCAGTTTTTCCAATTGAATAATATTTATAACAGTAAAATTTTATACATGAATTGATTTAAAAGGAAATTGAATAGATGTAAAATAAAATGGAAATCAAAACAGCTGACTGATTCTGCATGTAGAAAAATAACTGTTTTCAAAGGAAATTTATAATCAGATTCATCAGTTGATTAAAATTCAAAATGAAACACACAGAAACAGGCAAATGGCATGTAATCATTTTATTTCTTCAGAGGATCCACGCAACATTTGTATGTGAAGTTTTTAAGTGAGAACCAACCCACAGAAATAGTATGTAATTGCTTAACTTTCTGATATTATTCAGTAGTATAATTTTTATATTCAATACAACTGAGAGTGAATACATTTAAGATAATTTCTCATTTGACTGAATAAATGTGCCATTTTAATAAAAAAACTATAAAGTATTGGTATCTATTATCTTAAAAATATGTTTATTACAAATGAGGATTTTTCCTCTGTGCACAGTGAGATTACAACATAAAACAGAACTAGATAGGCTGTGGAAGGGATGACAATGTATATTCATGCGTTTCTGGTATAGAGGCAAAGATATTTTTTCCCTTCACCCTCTAAAGGTTTAAGTCTTTTAGTCTGCTGAAATAAACTGGCAATAGACAGTTTAATGGAAGGAAGAGCATACAAATGTATTTATATGTAAGTGCAAGGGAATCACACAAAGTATAAAACTCAAAGAAAGGCTAGATGGTTGAAGCTTAATTACCCTCTTCATAGGATAGAGGGAAGTGGGAATAGTAGGTGATTTTAGAGGAAGATTAAATGATTTTCAGAGAAGATAAGTGGGCCCAACAAATAGACAAAGTTCCTCTGGCCTCTGGGAGAGGTGGTGACAAGTTCTGGGAAGGTGAGGGGCAGAACTGCACTGCAAGCAAAGGTTGTCTTATTATGTAGATAAAGTCTCAGATAACAACCCCAAGAAGAATAGTTGAACAGTCTGTCCAGTAGGCATGGTAATGACCTTTAGTTTCTTCTTTGGTGATTAATCTTTGCAGGTTACTGAGATTTCAGACAGGGGATTTAAGGCAATTGTGTTTCTTTTGGAAGAACTTTTCTCAGTCAGATAAGGAAACTTCAGAGAGCTTCCCTCTCTGTTCTTGGGGCAAGTGGAGGGGAGAAACAAAGGAATGTCAGAGAGACATTGATGTTAAGGAAGTTTCTAATGACTTACAATTTCCTTTAGTTCAAAGTGCTCAGAAAGCCAAAGCACCACATTTTGGGATATCGTTTTCTGAGCCCCAACACCAGTCTCACTATTAACACTGTGAGATCTACATTACCAAAGAGAGTTTTGTTCTCAGTGGTCTTGCTTGGGTACCAAATTTATGAAAATGTACTCCTGATGATGGAGTAAAATCATTGTTTATGGATTGGTAGTTTATGTTTATAGCATTTAGCTCTTGCCTATTTAAAGGTGTGCTGGCAGCTGAATAATCCAGGATGACCTTACCCACAAGTCTGGCAATTGGTTGACTCTCAGCTGGGTATCTTCGTTCCCCTCCTTATGATCTCTAATTTTCCAGCAGGCTAGTTCAGTCGGTTCCCATGTTGGTCTCAGTTCCAACTCAGCAAGAGAAGGCAAGACACAATGTACAAGAACCTTTCTTCCAGTGAAGTATTTGCTGTAGTTCCATTGGTCAAATCAAGTCATATTACCTAGCTCTCAGCTTCAAGGGGAAGGAGAAATGGCCTTCACAGCCATTTTTATAAGCTCTCATTTTATTCTACCAGACAGAATTGAGAACAGGTTAATGGTCTTTTTCACCTATGTAAAAAAAAGTTGAAAATTCCTTTCTAGAACATGACAAGTTGTAAATCTTGAAACATCTCTGATAAGAGCCAACGTACATGAGTTGTGTTTGCCTGTGAAATTAAAAAATAATGGAGAAAACCAACATGTTCTTATCTTGTATTTCTTCAAGAACACTCAATCATTGTAAAGCTAATATTGAATTAAATGAGTACCAAAAAAAAAAAACTGGAAAAGAAACTATGAGTTATAGATTTACTGAAAGCCTAACTCTGCTTTAATGTCCTCCTTAGCAAATACATATTTTAATATTATTGCATTTGTTTTTATCAGCCAATAAATGCTTCTCATTTAAGAAATCTTGAAGGGGAACCTATTAGATGCTAATGGTTTATACTAATACATATTACCATTTTATAAACTGTGTTTGTTTTTATCCAACCTGCCATTTTCTCCAAGAATTATCTCTTAAATACAATTAAGATGAAACAAAGATGATTAATATTAACAGTTGAAATGTGAATTCTAGGGAGGCAAAGATTTTTACCGTTTGATTTACCACTGTCTCTTAAGTGTCCAGAATATGCCTAGTAAGTATGGATATATATACTTTCTGAATCCCTCTGATTCAGCAGGATTTTATTAGATTATTTAAAATGAATATCTAGTATTTCTTTCTGATGACAAATGACAATAGCAATTTATTCAAATGAATTTCAGTGTGAAGACTAACTACTGGGATTTAGGGAGGTCAGTCACAAGACTCAAAATGCGATCAGGAAAGAGAGGACAGCTGCCTTAAAAAATATTTTCTATGAAGAAAGTATGGAAACTTACATTGAGGGTGAATTTAAGAAAAGAAAACATACCTGCAAATGCCAAAATAATGGGAGAGTTTTTTCCTTTGGGAAACAAATATGCTCAAATACTCAAAACTATTTATTAATGACCTTTATTTTCTATTCTGTTCCTTTTTCTTCCCTTCTCTTTTCTTTTTGTTTGATTTTAACAGATCCGTGGTGGAAAACTGATGATCTCCAATACCAGGAAAAGTGATGCAGGGATGTATACTTGTGTTGGTACCAATATGGTGGGAGAAAGGGACAGTGACCCAGCAGAGCTGACTGTCTTTGGTAAAACTTTCTTCTAAATTATAAATTTTTATTTTTATCAATTTTTCTTTGCTTTTAAGTATTACTAACATTAAAAACTGGGCCATATAAGGACAGTTACTCATGACTCATGGTAAGCAGTGACAAATTAGAATTATCTTGTTTTCTGTCTTTCTAATGAAAGCTTCGATGTAAAGAAAAAATTATTTGAAACTTTAATTAACTTACATTGTTCATGTATTTGTAAGATTTTGCAGTTCATCAAAATGTAACGTTCTTTCTCAAAGTCTATTTGAGATATTACATCTATCTAAAGTTTATCACTCATTCAACTCTCATGCATTTATCAGGTAGCTATTATGTGCAAGATACAGGGTAAGGATTTTTAAAAGTTAGAGAGTATAGTATAAAAAAACTTGTTTTCCAGTTCTTAGAAATTCAAACTGAAGTATTTATAATTTCAACTCTTGATAAATATACTATGTATGCACACATATAAATTCAAAATCAGAAAATGGACCCCTAAAATGAGATATTTTGTTATGATATTCATGTTCCTTCAACTTTAAGAACCAAGGCTCTCCTTAGCTGGTTAAATGCAATTAATAGGTTAAAAACTGACTAGAACCATATCATATAAATGGTGGATAAAGTATTGGAAAGGAGAAAACTGGGGACAAATAAAGATGGCCGAGGAAACAAATGTAAGGAAAATACTGCAGGGCAGCTGTGGAAGGTTGAAAGAGAGAGAAAATGACAAAAAATTGGAAAAAATAGATATGCTAAAGATACTCAAAAATGAAACACTCTTTTAGAATACATTCTATTTAAATTCTATTTAAATCTCTGTATAGACATACACATTTATAGACCCACACATGCACACACATACATGTACACATATGTATGTATGTGTATGTACATGTGTATATATACAATCTTCATTAAACATTTTACTATAGCAGATATTATGTGATTTTTTAGGAGCAAAAATATCATTGTGATTTTCAAATTATTTTTCAGTAGCGGTAAAATAATCCTCTACTTCTGTGCATGATTTAAAATCCCTATTTCTGGTCATTTCTTCAGGACACACCCAAGTGTGGCACCAAAGCCCTGCATAGGTCCCCAGAGAAACGTATTTTGCTGGCTTGGGAGACGCCATCCCAAGGTGTAATGGGAGTGCCACTATAGAAGAGCTGTATTATGACTTCCACTATATTTCAAGAGTTAAGATTGTGCTTTGTGCATGTGTACCAGAATGCAGGCCTCTCCTTTCAATCATTCTGAGCACCAGGTAATCTCTGGTAACACTCCCTGTGGCTACTAAGCAGCTTGAAGTCCCAAATGACAAAGCTAGGAGAAATCCCATAATTTGTTAAAGGAATTGAATAGAAAAAATAGAATTGTTCAAAGTATGCATGTAAATTTCTATCCTGCAGAGCTCAGACAAGTGTCAGTTTGCCCCTACATTTCATGCAGTCCTCTATAAGAGTCTCAAGATGTGCTCCACTCTGTAATGAATAAAACACAGTTTTGCCTGGTAAGAAATGATATTAGTGGTCACTGAACGTTAGCATTGAAAGCCCACAAGTATAGCTCTTCTATTTAAAGAAACACTCATTGCTATTTTTCTGTAACTACCACAAACTCTGGAATAGAAAGAAAAAAAAAAGCTATATTACTGCAGTATAGACTGCCTTCAGAAGGAAATTGAAAGGGTTTAATGTCATTACAGAAGCAATTAGACTTACCACTAATGAGACATCCTTATGAAATATTTACTCTACTTTCCCTAAAGAAATGATGAGAACTACTGGGGATTCCTAAACATGTCAAGAGTTATGTGGGAACTTCTAAATTATTTTGAAAATAGCTATTATCCAAATAGATTGAATTTGTCTAGAGGCAGTTCCCCTGGCAGAATTGATTTAGGAAACGGAGAATGTTTATTAGATGGTGTAAGCTAGTCAGAACTGACCTGAGGGGTTATAAGTACAAGATTAAGTTGAAGGAAAAACTAGCTTTCCATTATTGGTAAGAAAACAACATCCAAATCCAAAAGAAAAACAAAAAAAACAAAGTGATGGTCCAAATCAAGGATGTGACAAGTATTGCCCGAGAAACCCCTTCTGTATCTTGGCTCCCTATTCTTAGAGAACATAAAAGAAAAAAAAACAGTGTACTATTAATAGGGAGGTCTTCTTTATTTTATGCTGGTGCTCCTACATCTAATACACATTTTCCAATACAACTCTTTATATTTTAGCATTGTTACATATTATCATTTTTGACCAAATATTTATATAAGTAAAACTGATTGTACTTCATACTCTACCTCCCTCAATTTTATTTTCATGGAGCAGCAATTTCACTTTTAAAGGTCTAGCTACTATAACCACTCTGTAGCTACAGAAGGTTTTTAAAGGTCCTTTGCAGTTCAATCTTTATCTTAAGATATGTTTTACAGAACAAGTTACATTTTGTTGTTCAAAAAAATAAGTATATATATTATTATTATAAATATGATGTAAATATATTATATTTTATTGATACCTATTATTATTATAAATATAATAAAAATATATATAATAAAGTTACATTTAATTGTTCAAGAAATATAAGTCACTTGTAAATGTCAAGAAAAACAATGAAAGGAATAAAGGGTTTTTTCCAGTATAATAGCTGTCTACTTTCCGAGACATATTGCTAGGAAAAAGAATTTTCTGAATTCTTCAAGTATTTTGATTCTAGTGGGCTTGTACTTTGAAGTTGTATAGTTTAAAATTTCAGCATTATATATTTTAAATGTGCCATTTGATCATATCAAAGATATGATCGGTGTAACCTAACTTTAAAAAGTTACTGTGCCATACTCCATGAATCACATATTGTGGTTGATCTTCTAATAGTTTTTGGTCATGAAATAACATCCTAATTAACTGGGCATTATCAAATCTAAAAATTAGAAGTAGGTATCATAGTCTACAGTAGCACTGAAATCTGTGGCCCAATCTATACACCTTCCTGAAGTATAGTCCCTAGAAGTTTACATATGTTAAGCTCTGAAGATCCTGGATGGCAGAGAAAGTAGAGTTGAAGTAAATAATACAATTTCTAATTATGAGTAGATTTCAGAAAACTGCTGTCCAAAATTTGGGTTTTAAAAATGACATGTGGATTTCAAAAATGATTTTTAAGTGTTTATGAATGCAATACACGAAAACTTATTTTATGTGTAACATTTGTAAAATATAATAAGTATTACAAAACTTAGAATGAAATACAGGAATCTCTTGCCCCAACACAAACACACACACACACACACACACACACACACACACATATATTTCTCATCATTTTACGTTCTGTTTTATCTAATTATTCTGGGATTTGTTTCCATATTTCTGAATATGTGCTTAATCTGCTATTTATTGATGTATCAATTTCATACATTATTTGACTTCCTATTATAGAAGATGATGATTTGGCCCACTTATAGCTCCTTCCCCACCTTCTCACCTCCACTTTTCCTTCTTTTTCTCTTTTTAGTCTATGAACTTTCAAAACATTGGTTATATTAATATTCAGAATTTGAGTTATTATAGTCATGTCAATATTATTGACTGTGAGTTGAATGTTATAGTATTATGACCATATTTCTTTTCTGGTACTATTTTTGTTCTTCTTTGAATTAATAATAAACCCATTTTCCCATTTACTTATGCTTTCTATACCTGTCATGAATTCTTGAAATCTCTAACAGAAACTATAAAATCTTCTATAATCATTTTTTTAGACTTTAGCTATTAAGTCCCCTTCACTACAGTCTTCCCTGAGGCTGCCTGATCTGACTTGGTTAGACATTCCTTAGGTCAACACCGTAAACCTAATTCTGCTTTTGTCTTCCTTGTCTGGAATGCTGGATCTGCTGTTTTCTGCATCCTATGTTTGTTTCTTTCTTGGTTAACCCCTCTTTTCAGAAGGGGTTCTCAACTTCTTTCTGCTTGGCTGAAGCTTGGAGCACATTCTCAACCAAAATGCCTTCATTCTCTCCAGACCTTAGAGTTCTAGTTTAGAATTATACTTTAGTTAGGGAATTTGACTGAAATAATATTTTTGCTCAGAGTATTACAGTTGTGACTCTAACATCATTTAGCATCTCATGATGCTCTTGAGAAGTCTACTGTGATTCTGATTCCTGTATCCTGTATCTTTGTATGTGATCAGTTTTCTTTTTCTTTTTCTTTTCTTCCCAAATGTTTGGTGGTCTCTTTACCCCAGTTTTCTGAAATGGTTCAATACATTACCTTAGTTTGACACTCTTCTCTTTTCTGTGCTGTAAGTTGATGAGCAGTCTCAATCTGAAAACTCTCAAACAAAACAATTCAATGAAATGTTTAATTTTTTTAAATTTTTCTTTGTCAAACATGTTTTCATCAATTAGATTTTAAACCTCCTTGGTTTTTCTTTTCTCTAATTCCTCCTTACTTATAGCATCCTGTTCTTGTTTCATGGGTATTATGACTTCTCTTGTAGCAGAGAGTGTTGTTTTTGTAATTTGAATTTTGTTTTATTTTTTTACCAGCTTTTATTAAGCCCCAGGTCCATGTGCAGGATGTGTAGGTTTGTTACCTAGGTAAACTTGTGCCATGGTGGTTTGCTGCACAGATTAACCTATCACCTAGGTATTAGGTCCCACATCCATTAGCTATTCTTTCTGATGCTCTCCCTCACCATGCCCTTTTGACAGGCTCCAGTGTGTGTTGTTCCCCTGATGTGTTCATATGTTACCATTGTTCAGCTCCCACTTATAAGTAAGAACACGCAGTGTTTGGTTTTCTGTTTCTGCAGTAGTTTGCTAAGGATAATGGCTTCCAGCTCCATCTGTGTCCCTGCAAAGGACATGATCTGATTCCTTTTTATGACTGCATAGTATTCCATGGTGTATTTGTACCACATTTTCTTTATTCAGTCCATGATGGGCATTTGGGTTGATTCCATGTCTTTGCTATTGTGAATAGTGCTACAATGAACATACGTGTGCATATCTATCTATAATAGAATGATTTATATTCCTTTGGGTATCTACCCCGTAATAGTAATGGTATTTCTGGTTCTAGATCCTTGAGGAATCACCACACTGTCTTCCACAACAGTTGAACTAATTTACATTCCCACCAACTGTGTAAAAGCATTCCTATTTCTCTGCGACCTCACCAGCATCTGTTGTTACTTGACTTTTTAATAATTGCCATTCTGACTGGCATGAGATGGTATCTCACTGTGGTTTTGATTTGCATTTCTCTAATAATCAGTGATGTTGAACTTTTTTTCATATGTTTGTTAGCCACAGGAATGTCTTCTTTTGAGAAGTGTCTGTTCAGGCTCTTTGCCCACTTTTTAATGGGGTTGTTTGTTTTTTCTTGTAAATTTGTTTAAGTTCCTTGTACATCTGGATATTAGACCTTTGTCAGATGCTTAGATTGCAAATATTTTCTCCCGTTGTGTAGGTTGTCCGTTCACTCTGATAGTTTCTTTTGCTGTATCACAGAATTTTAATAACACTTTTTTTTAAGTAAAATTATCTTGTGATGCTTCTCTGCCTTTATTTCCTCTTAGTTTCTCTTCCCCACCATCCCCCACCACCATGGCTCCATACCACATTGTTCTTTGTCTTTTCGCTGGAAGCTTTTTTCAAATGGCACATGATCTATTGTTGTTAATTCATATTTAGTTGTTATTCTCCAAAAAGATTACTGGAAACTCTGTGCCAACTGATTATTTTCACAGTACGATGTTCAGATTGAGAACTAACCATTTTGGGGAAGATGAGGACAGAGATTGGGGTTGATGATACTGGTTTTCAGTCTTTGAATGAGAGATAATAGTTGATACCATGAGAGTAGTTGAGGTATTCAGAGATAACGCTATGAGAGAAGATCCTTAGGACCCACACCTTAAGAAGTATCTGTATTTTATTAGTAGCATGTGGTATAAGAACATGAGGTGTTATTAAGATTGTTGTCGGCAATATAATCCTTTCTTGAGTATATTTATTGAGCATCTGCTATGTCCCATGCCCTGTTTAAGTGCTTAAATACTAATGGTGGAATGAATAGGCAGAGCCCCTGCTCTCACCTGGACTCTTATATCATGTTATCAGCAATAACATGAAATTTTGCCTCTAATATGTGGTGAGAGAGGCATTATTTTCCTCTGAGAACATTTATTTATATTTGTCTTTACTTCATAGGATGAATTTTCTCAGGCAAGGAAAGTTCTAGCCAAAAAGAAACTAATGCAGTCAGGATTTATTTAATCACATTCAGACAGCCTGATCATTATCATTCAGTCTTTTTCTGGAAGGGCATGACAATTCACATTCAATGACTATCAAACCCATCCTTACCTCATACATGCCCAGTTAAATAAAAGGAGACCTACCAGGGCCATCTGACTTCCAATTTAATTGACACTACAGGGTGGCAGGTCTTTCTGGGTGAGCTGAAGTCAAGATAAGGTTTACAAGCAGTGGTTAACTCTAATGTCCTTTTATTACATAGCTTTGGTCTTACAGGACTTAAAGAACTCTACCTATGTAATTATTGCCATAACACTAATTTTATAATGTTAAGCGAAGTTTATTTTTAAAATTTTATGGTCATTTGAGAAATAGCTGTTACCACACAGTGATTGACAATTTTAAAGCCATTTTCAATGACTGAATACAGTTAAAAAGAGAAATTTGTTTGCTGGGCACTTAATTTTTTCATGTAACTAAGTAACTTAAGAGATACTATGCAACCACATTTCAGATTTATGGTATTTTGTGTTAAATTGTATATTTGCTTTCTGAATATTTTTGACATAACTACAAGAGACTTGGCATTTGATTTTATTATAGCTGTATATAAAGTTGGATTTTTCCAAAACGCCATTTTGGAACTAAATTGACAGGGCTGACTACTTGAGAGCCATACTTTACAGAAACACACTGGCAAACAACACTACTGTCCCAAGAGAGATTAACCTTGTAAGCAAGTTATGCAGGTGATTCAAATCCTGTTAATCTCACATAAAAAAATGTTAATTGCATTGGCAAAGACATTGCCTCTGATCACTCTGCAGTTATATAATTAGAGATCAGCCCATTCAGAGAGGCTCTGATCTAATTGATAAGCAGTCAGCAAACGACCCTTGAGATTTCTTCCCCGTTTTTCAATATGTGGTCAGACATAAGGTATTAACATGAAAAAATCAGTGACCTTGTTTTGACATGTTTTAAAATTAAGTTTGCTTGTTATTCAATAGTTTAAGATTTTCATGCATACTTATTTTAATTGTACAGAGCTCTAATTGTCCAAACTCTATGGAGCATTAATAGATATTGAGTGTGATCACTTATCAATGTATTGGATGGTTTTATTATCAACTTACTTTCTAATCCACCTAGCTTTTCATTTTTTTGGAGATGATTTTGAGTCAAAAGGGGAGACTCAAGTTACTTCCTTATAATTTTTAAAATTTGTGTCTGAAAGGGGCTTGGCTTTGTGTTTGGCTTATTGTAACGGTTGCCACTGCAGATCCAACGCATTTGAAATACATTTTTGGCCTGTACAACTTCTTTAGTCTTCATATTTATGTTTCTGATTCTCAGATTTTCTGGAAATAAAGTTGGTTAAGAAAAGTGGAAAATAGTTCTTACAAAAAATTTCTTCCATTTAAATAAATGTTAGGCAAACCTACAGTTTTTAACATAATGTTTTCTGTGGGTAATTATGAAAATTGCAAAGCAGAAGGTCAGTTTAGTATAATTAACAGAAAACAATTGGAATAATGAATAACACAGTTTAGAGATAATTGTTAGAAAGGGTGCTATGGAAATTCTCAGAATAATACTTTAAAATATGTGACCAAGCTCCAGTATCTCAGGAATTTCCCATGTCACATGTTGGACAGCACATCCTAATACCCAGGTATAAAACCCATGTTGATGTGTCATGTATGTGCAGGCGACTTTCATCTCATTTATTCTTTGCCTTTGTTTTGCTTTGATTTGTTTTTCTATCCATTGAATTACATTTTTCACCATGAGCCAATGTCAGACTTCCAAAAATTGTATACCACATATGCTCCTGTGGTTATCCAGTTGCTAAGCAACTGGACTCTGCTTGAGGGTAGCAGGGTAGAGAGAAGGTTCATTGTGAAGTCCTGCACCCCTGCTGAGTTCATTTGAACAGCAGCAGGGATCCTGTATCTTGATTCTTCTTGAAATTATAAATCAAGTGCCTCCACGTGTCTCCATATAAAACAATGAGGCTTAGAACAAGTACCATGACTAAAAAACCCTTAGGGATCCTAATGGTATCCCCTTGAGGAAGGGACAGCTTAGTTTTGAGACATCTCTGATGTAACGTTTGCCATTTGGATTAATTATATGTTGTGATTTTGTGACTGTTAGCATGTTAAGGAAAGCATACACAAACTTTGCCTGAAAATATAAGTATTTTAATGGAACTGGTCTCACATATTGTTTTTCAATTTATTTTATACCCAGCATAATGTCATGAAAACTTTTCATGTTAGATAGGTAGATAGTTTTAATATTGCAATGACTTAACAGTTTTTCAATGTATAAGTTTGCTGCAATGTATCCTAAAATCTCACATTTTCCAATATTGTCAGTTTTGCTGCAATTATCCTATGGACTTCTTAGTTTTGTTGCAGTTATCAATTATCGAAGCCACTGTTCTGCATTGTTATATTTTGCAGAGTGTCTGCAAGTAATGGTGGCTTTGGTTCTTCTTCAGGGCTCATATTTCCTTTTTCTTACTGATTTTTAATGTCGGCATGCCCGTCTTGTTCCGGACTTCAATGGGCATGACTTTTGTATTTTACTTTTTTTTTTTTTTTTTTTGGGACGGAGTCTCGCTCTGTCTCCCAGGCTGGAGTGCAGGGGCCCAATCTCGGCTCACTGCAAGCTCCGCCTCCCGGGTTCACACCATTCTCCTGCCTCAGCCTCCCGAGTAGCTGGGACTACAGGTGCCCGCCACCGCCCCAGCTAATTTTTAGTAGAGACGGGGTTTCACCGTGTTAGCCAGGATGGTCTCGATTTCCTGACCTCGTGATCTGCCCACCTCGGCCTCCGAAAGTGCTGGGATTACAGGCGTGAGCCACCACGCCCGGCCTGTATTTTACTTTTAAGAGAATTTTGGCATTTAATTTCTTGCAAAATATCTTCATCACGTTTAAAAAGTCTGTTTGATTCCTTCTTTATTTAGATGATTTGTAATTTGATAGCTATATCTACAGATTTGATCATATTTATCTTCATTTCTCTTCCTATTATATAAGTAACCTCCTTTATCTCATTGAAAATTTATTTGGCTTCAAGTAATATAAATCTGCCGAACAATGGCTTAGGCATAAGAGGTTCATTTTTCTCATTCTTACCATTTCTATGATGAAAGGAGCTTACACACACAAACTCACACACACATGCCCACACTCACACACAATCCATGTTTTACCTGCCAGTCTGTTTCAATTTGCTAAATGAAAAGTTGAGACATTTCCTTGAGTTTCCTTTTCACCCTATGCGTCTGACTGATCACCCAGTTTTGATCTCTCTTGTCTGTCCCCTTTTCGACATCCTATGAACCATTGTGTCAGTTTAAGCTGAAATAATTTCTTACAAGAACGCTTTGACCTAATTCACGACTTTATGTTTCTCTTCTAATTTATCTTTCACAGACATACCAACACGACCTTTTTCATATGCTTATTCAACAAGTTGCTTACTTGCTTAAAGTCCTTCAATAGCTCTCTATCAACCTCAGGGCAGAGCTCACAGTCCTTGAGTGGTGAACAGGGCCTTCATGGTCTTATCACTCACTCTCTGTCTAGCTTTGTCTCTCACCACTTTCCCCAATGTAACTAACCTGCTCACTATTCACCAGCTTGACCACTTAGTGAAAGCCTCTAGGAGTGGGTGCATTAACATGTGCTGAATGAGTCAGTGGATGAGAGAAAGACTTCTCTAGCTTGTTCATCCCAGTGTCAGGATGTAGTATGCTACTCCCACTAAAATCAAAGGGAACAGGAAAGGTCTCCTCTTGATGAATCATTTTTCAATCTGGAGTAATATCAATAGTGTCTCAAACCTCTTTAACATTGGGTTAATGTAGTTTTTGGATGAATAGCTGCGCCTGATAGCACAGAAGAAGTCGATCCCGCTTCCTATGTGAATGATTTATTTTTTACTATTAGCATTTGGGACCCTCATAAGGATATATTAATCCTATTGCCTATTTAACTACCAGAAATGATAGCTCAATACCAACTATGCCAGCCCCAAAATAGCTGTTTTGGGCACATAGTGTACAGAGTTGAAAAAAGTAACACTAAATTATTTTATCCGACATGTTGTCTACAGGGCACAATTTGCTGCTAATTTATTCAGGGCGTCTAAAATCTTTAGATGCAACCGTGTTTTTCTTTAGTTTTTATGGATCGTTTGTCAATTCTGCATTTACAAAATTTTTCATGATGAAATTCTATTTGTCTTGTTTTATTGCTTGGGATTTTTGAGTCCCAGAGTACGGATACTCTAGCATATGCAGAAAATTTTGATCCCTACTGTCAAATTCTCTGGAGATATACAATAGTCTTCCTTCTAAATGCCAATGGTAGTTGGTTTTATTGCAATAAAATATTTATCTTGCAACTTACACATTTGTTTTATAAATATGGATCTTGATTTAGTCAATAAAATCAAATACTCTTATTTATACTCTTAACATCTATTATTTGAAGTAATTTATTTTCTTTGAAGGTTTCCTGCCGAATACATTTTAGTTTTTGTGCCACTGTATACAAAATTTTAAATTAGAAGGTTTGAAACTCAAGTTCTAAGTGGCTAAATATGTCCAGATGGCCAGAAAAATTGTGTCAGCTTCCTACAGATCTCATCTTTCTTTTCCTTGGCTTAGTTCTCTTTCTACCTCAGTAAGTAGCAATATTGAATTTGTTTGTGATTTGCAGATATGGGCTAATAAAATTTAAATGACAATTTTTCCAGTCTCAGACCATTATCCAAAAGGGAAGAAACTGGACAAGGAATGCCAATGTCTGGTGATACATAAAACTACTTTTTGATTTGTATCCTCAGAGGCTAAGAATCTTATGGATAGGAAAAGATTTTTATGGATACAGACTTATTTTTCTCTAGCCTTATGTAGAAGAGTGCTAGAATACAATTTAACAGTGCCAAATACAGATTAATAAAAGAAGAAAGGATGAAAACAGTAAAACAGATTACTGAAGAAATAAAAAACATAAAATTAAGTAAAAAAAAATGGGTAGATATCTCAAACACTTAAGAGAAGACCATTGGAGAAAACCTCAAAAAATTGATAAATAAATAGTTTGCAACAATTAATAATGACAGTCTTTGTATTTAAGAAAAAAAATCAGGTAGACATCTTTCCATACATGAAGTTAAAATAATCATGGGAATATTGAGTCCTTATCAAATCATAGCTTAAGTGGGAAAATCTAGGTAATACATATGTGTGAAAGTACACATTTTTTGGTTTTCTCTAGCATTCTTGAGGAATATTAATATTTGTTTTTTAAATGTTTTTATCCCTTTCAACTTTTAGTTTTCCCACTTTGAACCCTGATAATAGATTATTGTAATCATTTTTAATCTCTCTTTTTCCTGTAGAATTCAGTGTTCTGATTTTTTATGATAGGATCCACCTGATTTAGCTCAGGGATTCACTGAAAAATCAATTTAATATTTTTTTCCAAAGGTTGTATGGTCTTATGTGCAAACTGTAGCTATTCCTTTGTTCCAAAATATCTTATTTTATTGAATGACATTGGATTCACAAGGCCTTATTAAAACACAGCTGAGGTACAGAGTTAGGTACCTGTGTACCAAAAGTAAATTAGGTTTCCTTTGCTTTTTTCATAATGTACTTAAAGCATGCATAATAGTTTATCTCATTTTACCATTGTTTCATTTTTTTTTTCAAGAACGACCCACATTTCTCAGGAGGCCAATTAACCAGGTGGTACTGGAGGAAGAAGCTGTAGAATTTCGTTGTCAAGTCCAAGGAGATCCTCAACCAACTGTGAGGTGGAAAAAGGATGATGCAGACTTGCCAAGAGGAAGGTAAGACCAACATATGGATGGAAGATTGTTAGATAACCAATGAATAATTAGAAAATAAAAGGACAGCTACAATGCCACCACCAAACACTCCTATGTCTTGGGGTACTTTCACTCATGTGATTTTTACATATGCAAGCCACATATTTACTGTTTGTATGTTAAAGTCCTCCAGGCTTTCAATGTCACTCTTTCAATGAGTATCTACATTAATGCTTGATTCTTCATTCCACCTCTTATCCCCAGATACCAAGGATTCCTGGGTGCCTTCTTTCCCCTGGACCCTTTGAGGTATACCATTCTGTTCCTGCAGAATGCCCCCTGCAGGCCTCCATCAATGACTGCCCGTTCCCATGCTTCATCCCCTCTGGATACCCTTTGTCACCTCTGTGGCCCAAAGCATAACTAACAAAAGACTATTGCATGTGGCTGACTGTAAGTCCTGGAGTAAAGGAAAGGTCAGCATAACACTGAAATGGTAGCAAGTAGTTGGCATCATTTTTCACATAGGGGATTTCCAACACAGAGACCTTCTGTCACTTTCTTTTTTCCATCTCTTCATGGAGACCTTCTCTTCCATCTCCTTCTTATTGTTCTTATCACAAAACCCCCAAACCCAATCTCTCAAACTCTAACCTGTATTCAAAAATGCTTTTCATCATATATAAAAATAATTTTGACTTGTTGTTATAGAAATTTCCTTAAGGCCTTGCCATTTAGAATGAAATAAGTAATTCAAGTGTTTTTTGTTGTTGTTGTTTTAACACAAGTAATTTTATCTTTAAGATTTGTTATGCCTTCCTGCTAGTTCTACCTGCTGATATTATAACCATCATGCATTCTCCAATTACTGCCTGCATAAAATTGTACAGGCTGTGTTTTTCTAATTTTTCTTTTTTTTAAAAAAAATTTTTTGGCTGGGCACGATGGCTGACTCCTGTAATCCCAACACTTTGGGAGGCCGAGGCAGGTGGATCATTTCATGTCAGGAGTTCAAGACCAGCCTGACAAACAGGGTGAAACCCTGTCTCTACTAAAAATACAAAAAGTTAGCTGAGTGTGGTGGCACATACCTGTAATCCCAGCTACTCGGGAGGCTGAGTCTGGAGAATTGCTTGAACCCGGGAGGCAGTGGTTGCAGTGAGTCAAGATCGTGCCACTGTACTCCAGCCTGGGCGACAGAGTGAGACTGTCTGAAAAAGAAAAAACAAAAAACAAACAAACAAAACAACAAAACAACTTCGTTTCTTTCAACTGACTGATATTAACCATGCTTCCTCCGAAGCTGTATACCTTTTATGTGCTTTCACTGCTATCAGTAATTTCCTAAATGTAAACATTCATTTCAAAATCTCAATTTTATAAATCCCTAGATATGATTGGATACTTTACTTCAAAAGGCATGTCACTCATGGATTGAATAAACTGGATTCAAATGCATCAACCATTTATAATAGTTACTGAGAGGTTCTTTACAATCTACAGGAATAAAACAAGTGAAAACATTAATTCAGTTAGTTTTTCAGCCTATGTAGTGGGGAAAGTCATCATTGTGTTTGTTTCATCATTTTAATGCCAGACATCTGTCTTTAAAGGAATGGTATTAGTAGAAGAGGTTTGTAAATGTGAGGCTTTTCATGCCCTCTCATTGGAGAAGCAGGTTAGAAAACAAGGAGAGTTTACACTATTGAATTGTTACTGTCCATCCTCTATATATAGTCAGCAACTTTCTTCAAATTTGAGAGCATGTAGTGAATAATTTTAAAATATTAATGTAAGGTGAAGAGATTAATTCTATAGTAAAATTTATCCTAGTGTAAACACAGGTTTATTTTAAATAACTGGGAGTATATGCCCTTGTGCATTGAAACTTTAAAAACCTTTAATTTTAGAATAATTTTGATTTATAGGAAAGTTACAAAAGTTAGTAACAGAGAGTTCCCATTTACACTACACCCAGTTTTCCTTATTGTTAATATCTTACATGACAATAAAACATTTGTTACAACTAATGAGCAAAGCTTGATAGGTAATAATTAAGTAAAGTGTATACATTATTTGGCTCTCCCAGGTTTTCATCATTGTCCTCTTTCTACTCCAAGTCCAGTTCAGGTAATTATTGGGTTGGGTATCATAGACTTCTGCATTTGTTCTCATATCTCTCCAGTCTCCTCCGTCCTGTTACAGGTCCTTAGTTTTTCTAGTTTTGTGACCTTAACAACCTTGAAGGGAAGTGCTGGCCAGGTATGCTATCGAATGTGCCCCAAACTTGGATTAGCCGGATTAGACTGCGTTTATAGGTTTTTAAAAAGAATACCTTAGAAATGACATGCTCTTCTTAGCACATTGTATCAGGGGGCACATTATATCCATATAACAGCACTGGCCACCCTGTTAATTTTCAAACACTGAGCACGAGCTAGTTGACAAAAGTATTAAAAATAGAGAATTGTAAGTGTGCATTGCATTTTAACATGTCTATGTTCCTGAATTAAGATAAAATAAAAATGAATTGAGCCTAGTTTGATTATTTCCAGCTTAATGTAGGTGTTAGGTCATAAACCTGACAACTTAAGCTGCTACACTGTTCTCTAAATCTTGCCAAATTCATTTGCTTCAAAGTACAAATGATACATATAAATCAAACAACAGCATTAAAGCTACACTATCAGAAGGTATGATATCAAGGCCACTAAACAACAAGGTTGAAAGCATGAGAAATCTTATTTTCACTAACTTCCTTTAAAACATTTTCATAGCTTTGGCCTCTTTATTCTTTTTACCAGCATATTATGGTAGTACTTTGTGTAACCAGTTAAATATTTTAAAAATATTAGACAAATGGAAGTGCTGTGTAAGCTTTAAATTGTTTTTGTTAGAAAGGCTTAAAGCAAGGATAAGTGCAATGTAGAAACTGAGGTCAGTATTTCATCATGAAAGAAGCATGTACTTTTTCTTGAATTCCCAGTCTTTAAGTGATGTTTCAGAGGAGTTTATTCATTCCTCGATTTGTATGTATTAGCATAAGCCTCACTTATGCATAATGAGAGAGAAAGACACCTCTTTCCTTGGTGAGGAATAACAGTAATAACTTTTAGCCAACCGTAGACTAAATCAACAACATTGATTCTATTACATTATTTAGGTCTCAGACTAGGGAGATGGCCATTGTTCTTGTATAAGCAATTGGTGTGGTGCATGACATTTCTTTGGCTTAACATTTAATGAAATTTGAATAAGGTTTGTGTAGTGGTTCATGCTTAACACATTTATACGAAAGCTTTGTAGGGCAGCTGCATAGCCTGTAATTACTATGTAAGTAATATGTGACTATTTTTCTTTTGGAGACAAGAAAAGCTTTTCAATTCAAGTTTAAATTTATGAAATGCTGTGAGAGCTATTAAAACCTTCAACACAGAAGAAGATATCTGTGCCAACCTTTCAGTAACCAGAGATGAGTTAAGGGAGTATTTTTTCCCCTTGCCTTGAAAATATTTTTTAAGTAGTACTGATATGCCTCTTTCTTTTATTTAGTCTTAAACTCCTGACCTTTCTCAGTAACTACCTTTAATGAAATTACAACAGACTCTTAGTGAGTTGTATTAAAACATTTTCTGAAAAGATGAATGTTTCAGTTTGGTAGGAAGCATAGCAAGTCTAACAATAACCCTTATGCTCAACTAGGGAAAATTATTTATGTGGACATTTTCCATGCGACCAAGGGACAAAATGGAAAGGAGTCTACATTATACATATTAGTGCCAAACTGTTAATTCCTTGCAGAGACTTCTGAAGATATTACCGTTTCACAATTGAGTATTTCAGGAAGCATACTGATTCTGTGCCAAGTACCAATACTGTTTTCTAGAAGATTTCAATACATATGTGTTAGGGACAAAAATTTCATAACACTAACGTGAGAATAAAGTGAGTAGGAGGAACAAGCAAGTGAAAGGCATTTTATAGTTTATAATGATTATGATTTTTGAAGCACATTTTTAAAGCATAATTTAAATAGAAGAAGATGCACTTTTGGGTTTACCTACATTTAGTGAGTGCCTACTACATTTGTAATGCTCATTGCAAGTTTGAAAAAGTAAGTCGTTTTAAACAAGGTAAGTTAACTGTTATCAGTTCTTTAGTTTTTGTTTTATATTAGTGAGATTGGGTGACGTGGGAAAGTATTTACATTCCAAATACAGTAAAGAAGTAAATTGGAACAGCTCTAGTTATTTTCTTGGGTACTGTCTGTCTTTTGCAGGCAAATATCCAACATTTTGCTTATTAGTACTGTCTTGATAGAGTGCCTTCAATACATCTTTTCACAAAGTGTTTTATGTGATAGAAGTTGTCAGTATTTATAATAAATGAGGTGAGTTTCCATCTTATGCCATGTTCCCTCATAACATAGGTTTATTGTATATTTTCGTTATATAAATATATTTATGTGCTAAAGCTCTGTAAAAAAGTATCACATGAAGAAACATTAACATAACACAAGTAACATGCCATAAAGAAACAGTATAATACATTTGTAACCAAAGATATAAAAATAAATTGAAATATGACAACACTACAATATTCTGTTCAATTTAATATTAATGAGAATTTTAAAAAAAATCCCTCTCAGAACTTGGGTAAGAGTTAGTGTGATTAATCTAATTGTGAATTCTTATCTGTGCATGTCAGCAGAGTTTGTATTTCATTTCATTATTAGCAGTCTTTAAAGAACTGTAAACAGGAGATTTAATATCTCTCATCAATCATATAACTTTCAGCATATTACCATTACCTCCTTTATCTTTTTTATTTCATTTTTATTTTCTAAACTAACTCTAAAGTGACACTAAGTTCCTCAATAAGAACTTCTCTCTTCCACAGCCGAGAAAGGAATGTTCATAATAGCTTGTCAGAAGAAAAAGGAAATAAAATATGCCATTTACATTTTTACGTATGCCTGCAAATTCTAAATGCAGTTGATGGCTTGCACATAGTGGATATAATTAATGAATATTTCATAAAATAGAAAAGGGAGTAGAGAATAAGAGTTTCAAGATATATGGAGCAAAATTCTATCAATTTTCCTTAACCCACTGACAAAATTTCCTTTTCTAAAGTGCAAGTCTATTTTAAGAGAGAATTTTCAGAGTTTTTAGTTCCATGAAATGTGAGATTTGCATAAGCACATGATTCTTTAAGAAAAGAAACTGAATGGAACTACTTATAATTCCTTTTTTTTTTTTTGGATGGCATTTTTATACAAAGTGGCTCTTTCTTCTTAGCCCTGCAAAATGTGTTTAGATTAATTGTTTGGAAGCTCTATTGTTTAGAGCATGTGCTTCTGGGACACAGAGATGCTGAACAGGTGCTCAGCTACCCTTAGGAGGCAATGGGCCTTCTTCACATACAGTGTATGCATCAAGGACATGGGATAATTTGAGCTCCTGATAAATAACCACACTGATTAGGTTGGCTGGTAAAGACTGGGCAAGTGAAATGGTCTTAGCAAAAGAAGGAAAATCTAAGAACAGGAGAAAAGCAATGAAGCAATGTGTACAAAATATTGTAAATGACATCTAAAAAATGGACTGGTTCCTAAAAGTCACAAATTTAAAGAAAAAGTGTAAATGAAAAATCTTTATTTTTTATGCTATACAGATGTCTTATCCATGTCTGTCTAAAAACAATTGGAAACTTCATGAGCAATGACTGTGGGACCTTTTAATACAAATTACAATAACATACAAATATTTAGGCCATTGCCAAGGGGTTTTAGACTTTAGGCCTTGTTCTGCTACTGTTTGATCATTTAGTTTATTTACACTGCCGTTTTCTGGAAATGATAGTTGACAAATTTCTCTACTGCAAACTAGGAATGTGATCTTGAAGAAGCTATTTAAACTCTATGTTTTACATCCTGAAAATATGGCCCAGCAATGTGGTAGGACTGGTGATTAACCTATATTTTTACTGATCTTATAGGGTGAAGAATTATGCCATCCATTCTAACTCAAAGGGCTATTAAAATGATATAACCATTTCAAAGCACTGTAAACATTGTACAATGGATGCACATACATGGTGCCTCAGTTTTACAAATCCACCTGATTGGTGGCATTTATTAATAATGCAGTTAACTACAGGGAAAAAAATTAATGCTAAAAAAATATAAAATATATAATTTGTATATAATGACACATTTTCCTATCTTTGGCCATATGATTTCCATAGAAACATATACAATATTATTTTTAAATAAGTATCACTTACGCTTTTTTTTTTTTTTTTTGACGGAGTCTTACTCTGTCACCCATGCTGGAGTGCAGTGGCACGATCCCGCCTCACTGCACCCTCCACCTCCCGGGTTCAAGTGATTCTCCTGCCCCAGCCTCCTGAGTAGCTGGGACTATAGGCGCCCACCACCACGCCCAGCTAATTTTTGTATTTTTGGTAGAAACGGGATTTCACCATGTTGGCCAGGCTCGTCTGGAACTTCTGACCTCATGATCCACCCGCCTCAGCCTCCCAAACTGCTGGGATTACAGGTGTGAGCCACCGTGTCTGGCCTGCTTTTAAATTATATAGATTCATTTATAAATGTTTCTAGTGACTTTGCCAAGTCTGAAAGTTGCCTGCATTTTCTACCTTTAGTAAGCTATACATTCTCCTGGTATTGTGTGCCACCTCCAGTGCAATCAGTCACCTGGGTTGAGACCTTCACATTTCACACATACTGTTTTGTTTGTCTGTGAGTAATAAGCATAAAACCATTATTATAAAAAGATGTGTAATGTTAAAAGCAAGTATTTAGGGAGGACTTACCATGTGCCTTACAATGCAATAAATGCTTTTTACATATGTTAATTCCATTATTTTTAAAGCATAGTATTACAGCATAATATTACTCCTACTTGAGGGTTACAGAAACAGAAGCTTAAACAAGTTAGGTTTTTAAGGCCACATATTAATAAGCATTAGGGCCAGAACTGAACTTAGAATCTGTCTAGCATGAAATCTCTATTTTAAATGAGAGGGCATGATAATTATATGATTATTAATTATTTAAGGATTTGAGTCACCTATGAATTTTATATTTTAGATAGAAACTTAGATAATTGGTTAGAAATACTATATTATGAATAACTAAATAAACATAGTATACAGCAATAGAGTTAAGGTAATTTTTAGACCAACTTCGTAAGCCACACATAAAATGTCTTGACATTATAAAAATTTAAACTTAGAACAGTTCAAGTTTACCTTCTTGGAAACTGAAGATATAGATTTTGTTTTTACAAACAGGATTAATTGACAACTTTCAGAGGGATGACAGAATTGTAGTTTTCCTGTGTTTTCATCAAATAGGTGCTAATAGTTGCTGTTAACACAAAACTAATTGCCACCTACGGTGGGGAGTGCAAGTTGCCTAGTCCTGTGACCACATTGGCCCATCTGTTAAGAATCTCAGCTTAGGAACAATGCTGGAACTGGCATCCAATTTGGGTTCTGGCCAGTGGTCAACTAACAAGCTGGAACACACATGGAATATGAAATGCCTTGAAGTCAGAGATGCTCTGCTGTCTGTTAACTGACAGCTCTTGTGTGTGTGGGCAGAGCCAAGACCAGGTGCCAGTATGCAGAGCAAAAGGATCTGTCTGTGTGCCACCTGTCATTGCCATGTGCGTAATGTCCAAACAGGAGCCACAGTAGGTGTGTTTCTTCCATCAAAGTGTGGTTGTTAGAGCATTCAGTTAGGCTGAGGTAGCGACTAGGGCAACATTTTACCTTAAACCAAACTATAGGACAAGCCAGAGGCTTACCAGAAGGTAGCTCTCATATCCCGCCATATCACACAAGTGGATGGAGATTTACCACTGGAGACACTCTCCCCTGTACCTAGGTTCTTACATTAACTCTAAGCAAAAGGTAAAAAAAAAAAGTTGTTTAATTAATTATATTAACACAAATACTTGTGTGCACAAGACAATTTGTGGTTAGAATCATGCAAATAAGTTTTAATCACCCCAGGGGTTATTCTAAAAATATATTTCTAACTGATTTTTGTTATTATTCTTAATAAGTTGAACTGTAACATAAGGCTGAAAGGTATAATAGAATTTAAGAGATCAATGTTCTTATCCCAGCTCTGCCATAATTCATCATGTTATTTTAAGCAATTCATGTAACATGTCTGAGTACCAGAGTCCACATCTGCAAACTATGTTGGATTGAATGGTTTCGGTGCTGTCCTCAAATTCTGAAAAATTGTATAATTCTATGTCAATCTCTCGAAACAATTAGAGAATCACGGCAATATTTTTTTTCAATAGAAGAAAAAAAGAAACCAGAAAATTGAAATAGATGGACATAAAGAAGAAAATTAATATTACCTGTGTATCTATTATCCAGTGACAACTACATTTTATGTATAGAAGGCATCTTGTAAACTTATTTATATTTTAGACATATTTTTCATTCAAAATTGTTCTTGACCCTGAATGCTTACTTAGGCTTTTATTGTTAAAAAGCCGGTACTGATTCAAAATAGCTGTTTCTGACTGCATTTTCCTTTCCCATAAATATAATATTAATAAATGATATTTACACAGTGCTTACTGTATACCAGAAATAATCTAAGCATTTTACAATAGTGCTATTTTATTTTTAGAAAATGCTATGATGTAAACATTATTATACCTATAATATAAATATCAAAACTGATATGCAGAGAGGGTAAATATGCCAACATCACTGACTATGGGACCTAGGATGTCTGGCTTCAAAGTCCACACTTTTGGCTACTACATAGTGGTGCTGAGTGGGAAGAACTTTTCTTCATTTTTTATTTGGGATTGAAGATAAGGAAAAGACAGCCTAGCATATGCTTGCCTAGAAGTAGAATTTTTATCATATAGTCACAGAATACATCTATATAGAAAGCACATGTTAAAGTTTTGAAAATTTTTATTATAAGGACACTTATTTCCCATAATATATGTTTATTATGTCAAATAAAGAAGTTTATGTCTTTTCCTTTAAAATCATTATTTTATACTACTTATTGACACAAAATTTAAAACAAATCTATTTTTTCTCATGGAATGTTTTAACTTGTATTCTTTTCTTCTCAACACTATATTGGGTAAGAAAAAATAATTTCACTGGAAACATATTAGAAGTTAAAGAAGTGCTTGCTGAAAGAGTCAAATGGTGTGAGTAGGGTGTGATTGGCCCTCTCCATCTATGGGTGCCACATCTGTGGATTTAACCAATTCTGATAAAAAACATTAAAAAGCAACAATAAAAATAATAGAAATAAAAATACAGTATTACAATGATTTACGTAGCATTTAGATTAGATATGATAATCTACGATGATTTAAAGTTGCAGGAGGATGTACATAGGTTATATGCAAATACTACATTATTTTATATAAAGGATTTGGACGTCCTCAGCTTTTGGTATTTTCAGGGTTGTGGGGATGGCAGTCCTGGAACTAAGCCCCAGTGGATACTGAGGGAGGACTATGTATACATCTAGAATGATGAACTCTTCTAGGGTATTGATAGTTTAATTCATCTTTCACATTCACTGTCTAACAAAGTTCTCAGACCAAATTTAAGTGTACTAAAATATGGTAAGTATAGTCAATAATAACAATTCTATATTTTAAAATAATTTAAATAATGGAACTGGATTGTTTGTAACTTGAAGGATAAATTCTTGAGGGGATGGATAGATACCCCATTCTCTACGATGTGCTTATTTCCCACTGCATGCCTGTATCAAAACATCTCACGTACCCTACTATGTACCCACAAAAAATTTTAAATATAAATTAAAAAAATAATAATAATATAAATGGCCAGGCGCGGTGGCTCACGCCTGTAATCCCAGCACTTTGGGAAGCCGAGGCGGGCAGATCACGAGGTCAGGAGATCGAGACCATCCTGACTAACACGGTGAAACCCCGTCTCTACTAAAAATACAAAAAATTAGCCAGGCGTGGTGGCGGCGCCTGTAGTCCCAGTTACTCGGGAGGCTGAGGCAGGAGAATGGCGTCAACCCGGGAGGCAGAGCTTGCAGTGAGCCAAGATCGCGCCACTGCACTCCAGCCTGGGCCACAGAGAGAGAGTCCGTCTCTAAATAAATAAATAAATAAATAAATAAATAAATAAATAAAATAATAATAAGGCTATTTGGAGGAAAAAAGTTTCTTCAAAAATAAATCAATAGGTACTAAGAGTATGATTTTTGCTAATTTCCTGATAATGTTTGAATATCAATAGTTCCATGGATGGTTATGAGTTAACAGGTAGGACTGAGTTCTAGGCTATATATTTTCTACCCAATAAATATTTTTTTCATTTTTTTAAAACTATGTAATGGTCCCTCAGGAAAAGTTGTAATTTGATACTATTATTTTAATTAACTGGTATGAATTAAAAGAGAAGGGATAAAAAAGAATAATTTCTGAGATCCAGTACTACAATTACATGAACAAGGAACATATCTTTGTTAGTGTATGAAGGAGATATAATTGCCAAATATAAGGAATGGGAGGACAAATAGTTTCAAAGTATTTCAGGGTATACCCTGATCCCCTTCAGTGAAGTCATTTTTGGGGGGATCTCTGTTTTAGTTGTTACATAGTATAACTCACTGGCGCTTCATTTTAAAAGGCCATATTTGGAGGTGGGAGGTTAGCCCTAGGGCTCAGTGAGTCCTTGCCGAGAAATTAGAAGTCCCTCTGAGAAGTGATTCATCATATAGACCTATGGGATAACATCATAATAAGATCTCAGTATAAAAATTCTGCCAGTTATTCTTATGAGCATGATGTTAAAATTACAAAAGGTATTGTAATACCATTCAACTCATTCATCAGTATAGACATTTGAAACCTTTATAAAGATGATCTGGTTGGGTATGCTATATCATTGCAATTCTTTAAATAAATGGCAGTTGTTATAAAAATATGTCCTATTTCTGACACATGGTACTCACCAGTTAAGACATTCAGTGCAGTGCTTCTCAAAAAAAAAAAAATGTTCAATTAAACCCATAAACATTCTAACCCACTAACTGACATTTTCTAACAGTTTGTCCAAATATTTACCACCACAAATAACAGAAACAAAAAAGTAAAAGAGACCTGTTATCTTTATTTGAGAGAGTATTTAAAAGTGAGAAAGAAAATGCTTTTGTCTTCATTATGAACATAATTTATAGTAAGACATATATATAGTTGATTTTCTCAAACGTAAACCCCAAATCGCCAGACTAGTCAAATATTATATATCAAGAATTATTTCAAAAATAATCCCATTCATTGAATATTCTGTGTTGATATTTCAAGGAATAAAAAAAGATGAGATTGTTCTCAAGGATTTTAGTAGGTAGTGTGAGATATGCATAACATTATTAAATAAGGTGAACTATATACAAACTATGATATTTGAGGCTCTTTATGGCTTCAGAAAATAAAAGATAGTCTATTCCTATATGAAACTAGAGATAGGTCTGAAAGGGAAAATTGAATTTTCATAAGTGGAATAGCAATGGCTATTTCAAAAGAACGAAGCAGGATGAAAAAGCTTTGGAAAGCGTGGGCCAACAATTAGTGATTCGGTTTGCCTGGAACATGGAGGAGTGGCACTTAAGGCCACAAAGGTTAGTTGTGGTTCTATTATGAAACCCTTTAATTTCAAGTGAAGTGTTTATATGGAATACACCATAAAATGGGGATTAATTGAAGCACATTGAATAGAAATGCATCTTTGTGTCCACCTTTAGAAAACTGATTCTTTCATGTAGAGTAGCTTGGAACAGAGAAAGTTTGGAAGTAGGCACACCTGGTAGGAAGCTGAAATATAGTTTAGGGAATACATTGAGTGTATTGTGTGAGTTACACAAATATGGACATTAATACAAGTGGTCATACAAGAAAACCTTTTTTTTTTTCAATTGGCAAATAATTGTATGTCAGAGTTATTGGAAAAAGAGAAATTAAAAATTAATGCTGAGATTTGTAACTTGGGTGCCTGGTCAAAAGGTGGTGTGTTCAATAAATAGAGAAGTCAAAAGGTATTATTCAGTCTCATCATTTTTAATCATGTAATAGTATTTTCTATCACTGAATCCAAGGTAGAATTGATTGTGAGATTTAGTAGTATTTTTTCTCTGAGTTAAGGAGAGGAAAAATGACCAAATCAACTATGATATGCCATCTATGATAAGATGATTCCTAATTCTGGAGGTGTTAAAATATAAAAATGTGCATCTTAAAATATATTAAATATGGGAGTAATAGCTAATATTTACAAGTGCTTTCCTTAGAAATAACTCATTTAATCTTCTCAATTTTCTTATGAAACAGGAACTCTTATCATTGTTATTTGATAAATGAAGAATCTGAGGGGCAAATATAAATGAGAGAGATTTGAATCCAAATCCAAATCCAAAGCCCACTTTCTTGACTACTATATACAGTAATTTATTTCTAGTAAAACATATTTAAAAATAATGGCATAAACTAATTTTATTTTAAGGGCTCACTGGCTTTCTGCTTAGTGGCTACACAATATTTTTAATTAATGCTTCCAGCAGCCTTAAAGTTTGAGTCCCTTCTTTAAACAGAGGAGAAAACTGAAGGTTAGAGACAGTGAAAAACATGCTCAAGGTCACAGGAAACATGGTAACAAAACTGGATTCAAACCTCAGGTCTCTCTAATATTAAAAGCTTGTGCTCATGGCTTATGTTGGACCCAGGACGCCCTTCATTCCATGTGTTAGTCAATGGCTGGTGACATTTTGTTTTGTATATTTCTATATAACTTTCTAACTTGAACAAACTCATACAGAGTCCAAAGTTCAGTAAACAGAAAATAAAGTGATTCTTCTGCTCAAAATATACTGCGTGGTGTCCCAGTGTCTCCATTGTGCACACTTGGAACAACTTTCTAAGAGAAAGTAGTGCTCAGATCATCATTATTATAATTATTTCTTTATCTCCCCAACTCCCTTTGCCTTATTTATGTTTAATCCTAACAATCCTAAATATCCAGTCCTATGACTGTCACATGGTGCTCACGAGTTAGTCCTTTAGTGCAGTGATTCTCACGAGGGGCAAATTTGCTTCCCCCATTTCCTGATATACATTTGGCAATGTCTGGAGACATTTTTGATTGCCACATTTGGGAGATTGGGTGCTACTGGCATCTAGTGGGTAGACACCAAGAATGCGGCTAAACGTCTTACTATGCACAGGACAACTCCCACAGTAAAGAATAAATAATCTGACCCAAAATGGCGATAGTGTTGAGGTTAAGAAATGCTGATTTCATGGAAAAAATCAATCTGGGCATTGCTCAAGTAGTTATTTTATGTAATTTTTATTTTTTGTTTTTAATGTTAGGGCAAAAATAATAGAATATAATTCACTGAAATACACTTCGAAGATAATAATCTTTTTTTGTTGCCTGAGATATGATGGTTATACAAAATGAGATAAATGAATAATATCATAATTTGGTTTGATATAGGCATGTCATCATTTAACACAAGAAGAGGACCTGTTGGTTTTCTAATGATTTGAGATGAATGTATATTTTTGCACCTTTTCTAGAATATATAAGGCAGATAATTTTTCTTCATATTCCTTGCACATCAGATAGTTGCTGAATTGGCGAAACTAGTAAAGAATATCCTAATTAGAGAAGTGTCTGAACCTCATTTTCAAATAGACCTACAAACCCACAAGTTATGTGAAACATTTAATGATCAGAAGTGTTCCTATGAGGTTGTATGGAATTCATGAATTATTCCATAAACACATTTCAAGAGGAAGTTTCTCTTGGCAAAAGAAAAAAGAAGAAAGCCTTTTGAATCTTCCACAGCATCTCGGACTGAACATCCCTCTGATAATGTAGTCACTTCCCCAGCTAGTTCTCAGTTTGAACACTGATGAAGGAGACTTCTTAGCATTTTTCCAACAAAGACAGCAAGGTCGCCAAATAGATGGCACATTCGGAAATACATTTTACCAATTTTACCGTGAATTGGCTGTCTCTTATCACAGCATTTCTTCTTGCACACAGAAGACTGCAAGAATGGGCTCTGCCTATCTAAAAACTTCCAGTCTGAGCTGTGAGCTCTGTGGATTCTTGTGGATGTGATCCCTAAAGTCCTGTCCTGAAAGGACTTAAAGTTGGGTTAATTTCTACCCAAACGCACAACTATGAGCTATATCTACTTTTCCAAATCTAATAATGCAATTTCTAGTCCTATTGTAAAACCAGTTTTGAAAGTATTTAATCCAGTAAAACAATTATTTCTAAATGAAAGGATAACTTAACTTGCTTCCACAACTTTATTTGTTCCAGTAGGAACAAATGTTCTTCTTAGTTGTTCTTCTTAGTTGTAATATATTTGTATTTTTAACAGTAAATTTCCAAGTTCTACTTATTCAAGAACTTATTGAAAATAATACCTGCAATATTTTTAAAGTATTTAAAAGTAATAAATTCAGGAAGATGCACCAGATTTTATTTAAATAATCTATGAAAAGTTACTGGAAAAATTGCCAAAAGAGTGTTGCATATTAAGGACAATAATGAAAATAATGAAATACTCCTTTCTGATCATGATAAACCAAAGAAACCCTTTCTCTATAATCTAATCTCTATAATGCTTTGGATTTGATCTTATATGAATGTAGAAAGAAGAAGTACATGATTTCACAAAGCACATATGTATCTTGTTCTCAGAACTGCAGGGAGCTTCAATAATTGTTCTGATTTTCACTAAATTGAAAGTTCCAGCCACCTCTATATGTCTTTCTCAAAATGTTGCAAAGATATCTTTATATTTGAATCTCTAATCTTTAAATATGTATTTATATAGTATATATATTTTTAAAATATATAGTAAAATCTTGAACGTTTTATATATTACAAAAATTTATATAAAACATATATTATTATAAAATGTTGTAAGCTATATAGTGAAAGCATTATATATAAATGTATATATTAAAGGTTTAGAGATTTCTATATATATGTGATAGTATAAGATAAATATATACATATTAAATATATAAATATATTTAAATCTCTAAATGTTTAGGAGTTCTCAATTTAGTGAAAACTAGAATGACTGTAGTTGATATTAAAGTTCTCTGCATTTTTGGGAACAATAATGTCATTGTTAGTGATAGGTCAGTGCACTATCTGCAGCTATTCATAGTGTAATGACAAACAATAATGACCACCATGTCAGTGATTTAAAATATTCTAAGTAAATTCTAAAGTTGTGGCAAGTTCTTTGATGTTAATATTTGATATAAATGAAGGGTTTATCAATAATGGAATCTGTTTATAATTTTTATCATATGCTTTTTAACTTAAACTTAATTTTTATCTTAAAATTTTTTTAAAAAACAACATTTAGACCTTGCTCTTTTTTTACCGCTGAAGATCAAACTTCGGTTTCTTCATCTAGGCAACAGGGGTGCATGTGTGAGGGGAGAAAATGTATTTTTTTCTCAACTCTCATAAGTTTGTAGTTGGGATAGACTGCTTCAACAAAACACAGATTAACAAGAGGAAGAGCAAACAGGTTTATTAATGAGTGTAGTGTATGTCAAAATGAGAGAGGGGTAACTCAAAGCAGTGGTTTACAAGTCTGGTTTACATATTATCTTCAACAAAGAACATCAATTTTAGAAAAGTGACAAGACAAAGTAGTCGTAGGCTTCAAAGACAGGAGAATAGGAAAGAGTCGTTTGCTCCTCCGGTGCCATCTCTGAGCTGATGAAGGTTGCAAGGGAGAAATTACAGCCTGTCTTCAGGTGGGAAGGTAGGAAGGAGGGTAGAAAGGCCTTTTGTATTTGTAAATTTCTGTCCTGACTTCAGCAAACACAAAGGAAAAGCAGCAAGTTCCCCTGCATCTTGTCTTCCCCAGCTTAACAATCCCGCATACATTAGGGTATGGTTTCCTTCATAAGGTTTTCAGGTTAAACAATAGAACAAAGACAGGTGTGAGCAAGGATATTCTATTTAACTTATATCTACCTCGAACTAGAGGTTAGGGGTGGCTCCTGGGTCCTGTGAAAAACTGTGTTAATTGTGTTAATATTCAGAATTGGGAGGGATTGGACATAGAGAGAATATTTGAAGTGGAAAATGATGAATAGAAGATATAACTTGAACAAACTTAGAGTTCAAAGTTCAGTAAACAGAAAATAAAGTGATTCTTCTGCTCAAAATATACTGTGTGATGTCCCCAGTGTCTCCATTGTGCACACTTGGCATTTTGTCATGAGCAATATTTGATGCCGATGAGAGACTATAACCTTCCCCTTCCTGCACGTGTACAGCCTTCGTTTATTCCCTCATCAACAAATTTGTCACGGCTGCCTACTAGGTTCAAGTAACTGTACTAAGTTCTGAGGATACAGCTGTTAATAAAAGTGACAGGGTCATGCTTTTATGGAGATTGAAATCTAGAGGTATAAGTAGATATTAAATTAATCCCGTGTCAGCATAAGCAGAAGTAGTTGGGCTAAAGGGAGAGAGAGGTGGGAGGTATGGGGAGTGGGCCAGATGTGAAGGCTCAGCA